>NT_187607.1:0-1329850 GCF_000001405.40 Homo sapiens | reverse complement strand
AGGTGCCTGTAATCTCAGCTACTTGGGAGGCTGAGGTGGGAGGATCACTTAAGCCTGGAAGTCAGAGGTTGCAGTGAGCTGAGATCACACCACTGCACTCCAGCCTGGGTGACAGGGGGAGACTCTGTCTCCAACAGCAAAAACAACAACAACAAAAAGAACGATAATCATTGCTCATTGTGTGTAGCAGGTGTTCAGCTGTTAACAAATGGGTGAAGTGGGCCAAGTACAGGGAGAGGCAGATGACACTAAGGTCTCCGTGTCACGGATATGGGGATTGGGGGAAACTCAACAATGTGTGTTCTAAACAACCACTACTCAGGTTTTTTATTTTTTAACTTTTGCTCTGTCACCCAGGATGGAGTGCAATGGTACAATCATAGCTCACTGCAGCCTCAACCTCCTGGGCTCAAGCAATGCTCCTGCCTCAGCCTCTTGAGTAGCTTAGACTACAGGTGTGCACTACCATGTCCAATGAATTTTTTATTTTTATTTTTTTGTAGAGACAGAGTCTCGCTATGTTGCCCAGGCTGGCCTTGAACTCCTGGTCTCAAGCAATTCTCCCTCCTCAGCCTCTCAAAGGGCTGGGATTACAAGTATGAACCACCATGCCTGGCCAGAAATCCATCTTTTTACAGGAAGCTTTACAAATTTTGATGGATGGGGGAATATATATAATAAAAGGCAAGTAAGTAGGGGAAATATTATTGGTAGAGCCTAGGTGGTGGTGGATACACAGGTATTCACTGGAAATTCTTTCAGCCTTATATGCTGGAAAACGTTCATGGGGAAATGCTGAACAAAAACCCCTGAAGGCGATCAAACAACACCTATGGGGCAGATGGATCTGCAGACGGCCAGCTGCACTCTGTGGTCTCCAACAGAAAGCTTCAGCTTCAATGACCACCTTCAACGTGTCTGGGACCTCTCCTCCGCCCTGCCCCAAACCCCCAATCCATTTGTTGGTCCCACACCCTTTCCTATACATTAGTAAAGCTGGGCTTGCCAAGGTCCACCCGACACCCATTCTTGTCCACGTCTGTGATGGGTACAGATCAACTCTCCTTCAGCCCCATCTCCCCAAGCACCAAGTGTCAGCAACACATACACCTACAAACACCCTCCACACAGCCTCCCTCAACCCATGCAGTCCTTTCTTTTTCTTTCTTTTTTTTTTTTTTTGAGACAGAGTTTCGCTCTTGTTGCCCAAGCTAGAGTGCAATGGTGCAATCTCGGCTCACTGCAACCTCCGCCTCCCGGGTTCAAGTGATTCTCCTGCCTCAGCCTCCCAAGTAGCTGGGATTACAGGCACATACAACAACACCCAGCTAATTTTGTAGTTTTAGTAGAGACAGGGTTTTGTCATGTTGGTGAGGCTGGTCTCAAACTCCCAACCTCAGGTGATCTGCCCACCTCGGCCTCCTGAAGTGCTGGGATAACAGGCATGAGCCACCGCACCCAGCCAGTCCTTTTTCTCTTGAAAGGCCCCCACATCAGAGTTCTGTGACTGAGCTTCACGTCCCCAACTGCTTCATGGCATTAGGTTTGTCTTCCCAAAGAAGGCAACCAGCACTTCCCCTTTCACCGTCCATCATACCTAGCCCTGGGCACACACAGTTTTGACTCTTCCATGAAGCAGCTCATCAAAATGTACATTGGGAGTTTAATGAGAAAAAGAAAACCACACAGACATGCCAGGGCCCCACCCAGACTTACTGAGAAATGGAATCTCAGAGCAAGGCGGGGAGATGGGGATGGGGAGAGAGGGTTCAGGCCTGTCGGATGTTTATGAAGCTGGCCTAGTGATGCTGGCTGGCAGCTAAGGCTGAGAGCCAGTCTCTGGGGCACGGTGTTGACTTAGTGATCCCTTGCTGAGCCCTACAGCATGTACAGAAGGGATGGTTTTTACCTTGCAGAGCACTGGGTCTCCAGATACCTGGCTATGTCTAGAGGTGCTTTTGGTTTTCACCACCTTGGAGGTGCGGGGAATGCTACTGGCATCTAGAGGGTGGAGGCCAGGGATGCTGCCAAACATCCCACAGTGTGGTCAGGCGGGGTGACTCATGCTTGTAATCCCAGCACTTTGGGAGGCTGAGGCGGGCGGATCACCTGAGCTCAGGAGTTCGAGACCAGCCTGGCCAACATGGTGAAACCTCGTCCTTGCTAAAAATACAAAAATTAGCCGGGCGTGGTGGCTCACACCTGTAATCCCAGCACTTTGGGAGGCTAAGGCGGGTAGATCACACTGTCAAGAGATCAAGACCATCCTGGAAAACATGGTGAAACCCCATCTCTACTAAAAATACAAAAATTAGCCAGGCATGGCGGTGTGTGCCTGTAATCTCAGCTACTCAGGAGGCTGAGGCAGGAGAATCACTTGAACCCAGGAGGTGGAGGTTGCAGTGAGCCGGGATTACGCCACTGCACTCCAGCCTGGCAACAGAGTGAGACTGCGTCTCAAAAAAAAAAAAAAAAAAAATTAGCCAGGCGTGGTGGAGGGTGCCTGTAATCCCAGCTACTCAAGAGGCTGAGGCGGGACAATCACTTGAACCTGGGAGGCGGAGGTTGCAGTGAGGTGAGATTGTGCCACTGCACTCCAGCCTGGGCAACAGAGCAAGACTCCATCTCAAAAAAAAAACAGGCTGGGCACAGTGGCTCACGCCTGTATTCCCAGCACTTTGGGAGGCTGAGGCAGGCGGATCCTGAGGTCAGGAGATCAAGACCATCCTAGCTAACACGGTGAAACCCCGTTTCTACTAAAAATACAAAAAATTTAGCCAGGCGTGGTGGCAGGCGCCTGTAGTCCTAGCTACTCGGGAGGCTGAGGCAGGAGAATGGTGTGAACCTGGGAGGCGGAGCTTGCAGTGAGCCGAGATCGCGCTACTGCACTCCAGCCTGGGCAACAGAGCAAGACTCCATCTCAAAAATACAAAACAAACAAACAAAAAACCCACAAAGCAAACCTCAGTCCCTCCCAACGGAGGATGATCCGGGCTCCAATGTCAACAGCAGCCAGGTCGAGAAACCTGCTCTGAACTGGCAGAGTGCAACACACCTTTTGGTAATGAAGGAAATGGTCTGCAGCCCCTCTGTCCACTAAGGAAACTCACTGGCCACACGTGGCTCCTAAGCACTTGAAATGTGGCTACTGTGACTGAGGAATTAAGTTTTTATTTTAATTCATTAAATTTCAACAGCCAAATGTAGCTAAGGGCTACAATATTGGACCTGATGATATTACTCTAGCAACACCTCCATACCCTAAAAATGTCTCCCTGGCCAGGTGGTGGCTCATGCCTATAATCCCAGCAATTTGGGAGGCCAAGGCAGGAGGACTGCTCGCGTCCAGGAGTTCAAGACCAGCCTGGGCAACACAGCGAAACCCTGTCTCTATAAAAAATACAAAAACTAACCAGGCATGGTGCCGCATGCCTGTAGTCTCAGCTACTCCCGAGGTTCAGGTGGAAGGACTTTGGTTTTTTTTGAGACGGAGTCTCGCTCTGTTGCCAGGCTGGAGTGCAGTGGCACAATCTCAGCTCACTACAGCCTCCAACCATCAAGTGATTCTCCTGCCTCAGCCTCCCAAGTAAGCTGGGACTATAGGCGTGTACCACCACGCCCAGCTAATATTTGTAATTTTAGTAGAGACAGGGTTTCATCATGTTGGCCAGGATGGTCTCAATCTCTTGACCTCGTGATCTGCCCACCTCAGCCTCCCAAAGTGCTGGGATTACAGGTATGCACCACCTCGCCCGGCCCAGGTGAGAGGACTGCTTAAACCTGAGACGTCCAGGGTGCAGTGAGCTGTAATCCAGCCACTGTACTCCAGTCTGGGCAACAGAGCAAGACCCTGTTTCAAAAAAAAAAAAAAGTCTCCCTGCCATGTGCCCTATAAAATCAGTGTACACAACCAAGAAAGTCCACGGGAACATGTGTGTGACTTGCTTCTCAAAGCTCCACCCATCATGGATCCCGAGGTCAGGAGTTCGAGACCAGCCTGGCCAACATAAAACCCCGTCTCTACTACAAATACAAAAAAAATTAGCCAGGCGTGGTAGCAGGCGCCTATAATCCCAGCTACTCAGGAGGCTGAGGCAGGAGAATTACTTGAACCTGGGAGGTGGAGGTTGCAGTGAGCCAAGATCGCGCCACTGCCCTCCAGCCTGGGCAACAAGAGTGAAACTCCATCTCAAAAAAAAAAAAAAAACAAAACAAAAAGCACCACCCACTAGAGGCACAAAGAGTTCAAAGATCACGTCTGCCGCACAGGCCCTTCCAGAGATGAGCATGGGCCTGGGGTCTGGAGTCCCTCATTGCAGGGTTCCTTCTTCCAGCCAAGCATGCCATGCCTGTGTTGGACGCCTGTCTACACCTGAGCACACTTCCTCTCAGCCCCTCACCTTGATGGTTTCCAGCTCCATGCGAAGGCGGTTATTTTCGGACAGGAGGTCTCTGTTCCTGGTTTCAATTTGTTGCAGCTGCGTCTCCAATTCAGCTTCATATTCTCGGCTTCCCTCCTGGAATTCTCGGAGTTCCTCTTGCGTATTTTCTGCCCTACAGCAAAATTGTTAATCATCACGTAGTAATATTTTTGAAGACAGAGTCTCGCTCTATCACCCAGGCTGCAATGCAGTGCTGCAATCTCGTCTCACTGCAACCTCTGCTTTCCAGGTTCAAGCGATTCTCCTGCCTCAGTCTCCCGAGTAGCTGGGACTACAGGCATGCGGCACCACACCCAGCTAATTTTTGTATTTTTAGTAGTGACGGGGTTTCACCATGTTGGCCAGGCTGGTCTCGATCTCCTGACTGGAGGTGATCTGCCTGCCTCGGCCTCTCAAAGTGCTGGGATTACAGGCGTTAGCCATTGTACCTGGCCAAATTCAAGGAATATTTTAAAAATATCAAGCCTGAATTACCTTTAAGTCAAACTAGAATAAAGAAAGTAGGAAGGGCTGGGTACAGTGGCTCATTAAGAATTACTTGAGGCCAGGAGTTCCAGACCAGCCAGGGCAACATAGTAAGACCTCATCTCTACAGAAATGTGTTTAAAAATCAGCCAGACATGGTGGCACACGCCTGTAGTCCCAGCTACCTGGGAGGCTGAGGCAGAAGGATCACCTGGGGTCCCAGGGGTTGCAGTGAGATAGGTCACACTTGTGAAGAGCCAGTGCAATTCAGCCTGGGTGACAGAGTGAGACCCTGACTCTAAAATAATTTTTATTTATTTATTTGAGATAGAGTCTTGCTCTGTCACCCAGACTGGAATGCAGAGGTGTGATCATGCGTCACTGCAGCCTCGACCTCCCAGGCTCAAGCAATTCTCCCACCTCAGGCTCCCAAGTAGCTGAGACTATAAGAACATGCCACCATGCCTGCTAATTTCTGTATTTTTTGTACAGACAGGGTTTTGCCATGTTGCTAGAGCTGGTCTCAAACTCCTGAGCTCAAGTGATCTGCCTACCCAAAGTGCTGGGATTACAGATGTGAGCCACTGTGCCTGGACCTAAAATAATTTTTCAATAAATGAAAGAAACTAAGGGGACTGGAATAAGGCCTCTATGTACAAATTATAAAGACCCATTATAAATAAAAACAGTGCCAAACCAAACGCACACACACACACCTCCCAGATATGAGCCCTGACCAAAACACGAGTTTCAAATCTTAAAATCTTTAGCAATATATTTTGCTAGGCATAGGGAAAAGCTCTTTCCCTGTGCACAAAGAACTTACCAGATATGGCATCTAGGAACTGATAAAAACCCTTCTAGAAAATAAGATGGACACCGGGCGTGGTGGCTCACGCCTGTAATCCCAGCACTTAGGGAAGCCGAGGCAAGTGGATCACCTGAGGTTGGGAGTTCGAGAGCTGCCTGACCAACATGGAGAAACCCCGTCTCTACTAAAAATACAAAATTAGCTGGGCATGGTGGTGCATGCCTGTAATCCTAGCTACTCGGGAGGCTGAGGCAAGAGAATCGATTGAACCCAGGAGGTGGAGCTTGTGGTGAGCCGAGATCATGCCATTGCACTACAGCCTGGGCAAGAAGAGCGAAACTCCATCTCAAAAAAAAAAAAAAGAAAATAAGATGGAAGGCCAGGCATGGTGGCTCATGCCTGTAATTCCAGAACTTTGGGAGGGTGAGACGGGCAGATCACGTGAAGCCAGGAGTTCAAGACCAGCCTGACCAGCATGGCAAAACCCCGTCTCTGCTAAAAACACAAAAAATTAGCCAGGCGTGGTGGTGGGTGCCTGTAATTCCAGCTACTCGAGAAGCTGAGGCACGAGAATTGCTTCAACCCAGAGGTGGAGGCTGCAGTGAGCCAAGATGGCACCACTGCACTCCAGCCTGGGCAACAGAGTGAGACTCTGTCTCAAAAAAAAAAGAAGAAAAAGAAAATAAGAAAACAAAATGTAAAGTAGCATAGTAGGATAATCAGGACCATAGGTCTGGAGTTCAAATTCCAGCTCTGCTACTTATTGGCTGTGTGACTGTGAGCAAGTTATCTGCCTTCACTGAGGCTCAGTTTCTTCATCTATATAATGGGGTGCTAATAGTTTTTTCACAGGCAGTTTTGAGATAGTGTAAGTTAAGCCTTTCACACTGCCTGGCACATATAGGCCTGCAATAAATGGTTGCTGTTCTTTTTATAGAAAAAAGAGAGCTCACACCTGTAGTCCCAACACTGTGGGAGGCAGAGGTGCATCACTTGAGTCCAGGAGTTCAAGACCAGCCTGGGCAACATAGCGAGACCCCTGTTTCCGCCAAAAAAAAAAAAGCCTGGCCTGATGAAGCACACCTATAGTCCCATCTACTTGGGAGGCTGAGCCAGGATGATCGCTTAAGCCCAGGAGTTTAAGGCGGCTGTGCACTATGATCACGCCTAGGAACAGCCACCGCACTCAGCCTAGGTAACATAGCAGGACCCCATCTCAAAAAAAAAAAAAAAAGGAAAAGCAGGTGAACTCGGACTGACCTCTGTTTGTAGGTCATCGCCAGATCTTTCCAATAGTTAGCTTCTTCCTCCTCGGAGCTGAAAGTCTTTCCGGAGTCCTCCATTGTGAAAACAGGGGAAGAGATCACTCTCCTTGTGGCATGGTGTCTAGGAGAGAAGGTTTCAAAATGATTACCCACATCTGGTTAAACAGCTGATCCCCTTTAACAGAAAAAAAAAAAAAAACTTGGCCAGGCGCGGTGGCTCACGCCTATAATCCCAGCACTTTGGGAGGCTGAGGCGGGCGGATCACGAGGTCAGGAGATCGAGACCACCCTAGCTAACATGGTGAAACCCCGTCTCTACTAAAATACGAAAAATTAGCTGGGTGTGGTGGCGGGTGCCTGTAGTCCCAGCTACTCAGGAGGCTGAGGCAGGAGAATGGTGTGAACTCAGGAGGTGGAGCTTGCAGTGAGCCGAGATGGCGCCACTGCACTCCAGCTTGAGTGACAGACCGAGACTCTGTGTCAAAATAAATAAATAAATAAATAAACTTTATGCTGGGTTAAATGATTAAATACTGCCAAAAATCTGAAGCTAAACCCAAACAAAACACAATCCACTCACCTGTTATATTCCCTGGGTTAACATCAAGGCTCATGGATATCCCTATGCAAATATTTATTGAGCACCTACTAAAGGACCTAGGGAGCCACATAAAACGTCTCCAAGATGCCTGCCTTCCCTAAAGGGGCCTCACAGTCTGGTGGAGGGAGTGGGGGAGTGGGGGCTGGAATGGAAATTACGCATAAAATAATAATTATAATTATTATTTGAGACAGACTCTTGCTCTATCACCCAGGCTGGAGTGCAGTGGCGTGATCTCAGCTCACTGCAACCTCTGCCTCCTGGGTTCAAATGATTCTTGTGCCTCAGCCTCCCGAGCAACTGCGATTTTACAGGCATGCGCCACCACGCCTGGCTAATTTTTCTATTTTTAGTAGAGACAGGGTTTCACCATGTTGGCCAGGCTGGTCTCAAACTCCTGACCTCAAGTGAACCACCCACCTCAGCCTCCCAAAGTGCTGGTATTACAGGCGTGAACCACCGCACCCAACCCCATGTAAATTATGATAAAACTATGTGCCTAGTATAGCCACAGAAATGTGCACAGGATTTTGACATGCAATAAATTGCATATATTTGAGTATACACATTGGTGTGTTCTGAAATATGTATGCACCTGAAAATACATTTCTATCAGTGCCCAGGATATTTAAGAAGTTCAAAACTCAACCCGAAAGTCAAGGAAGGCTTCCTAGAAGAGGCGACACATGAGGAGCATGTGAAAGAATATGAAAAAGCCAGGTGCAGTGGCTCACGCCTGTAATCCCAGCACACTGGGAGGCTGAGGCAGGCAGATCACGAGGGCAGGAGTTCGAGACCAGCCTGGCCAATATGGTGAAACTCCGTCTCTACTAAAAAAAAATACAAAAATTAGCTGGGCGTGGTGGCGGGCACCCATACTCCCAGCTACTCAGGAGACTGAGGCGGTAGAATCACTTGAACCTGGGAGGTGGAAGTTGCAGTGAGCTGAGATCGTGCCGCTGCACTCCAGACTGGGCGACAGAATGAGACTCCGTCTCAAAAAAAAAAAAAAAAGAATATGAAAGAACTGGAAGGCAATGGTAATTGAGCAGGGGAAGAAGGAATGAGGAGAAACAGCCAGGCACTTGTAGGGGAGCTAGAGGGAGTCTGGTAAGCCTGGGTTGAAAGGTGACGAGTGGAAGGGAACCTACCTGGACAGACTGAAATAAAGGGGCTAAGTCACAGACGGCTTTTGCAAGATGTTAAGAAACTTAGTGGCAATGGGAAACCATTGGAGAAAGTTAGGGAAGAGAGTGATGTGATATGATGGGCTCTCCTGCTTAAAAAGCTGGTCCTGGTGGCCATGGACAGGCAGAGGAAGGACAAGGCCTAAGATGGGGAGCTCCTGCAGCAATGCAAGAAAGAAAGGAAGGTGGAGGCCAGGTGCAGTGGCTCACGCCTATAATCCCAGCACTTTGACAGGCCAAGGTAGGCAGATCGCTTGAGCCTGGGAGTTTGAGACCAGCCTGGGTAACATGGAGAAACTCCGTCTCTACTAAAAATAGAAAAATATCAGCCAGCTGTGGTGGCACATGCCTGTGTTCCCAGCTACTCAGGAGGCTGAGATGGGAGGATCACCTGAGCACAGGAGGCAGAGGTTGCGGTGAGCCAAGATAGTGCCACTGCACTAAAGCCTGGGTGATGAAGTGAGATCCTATTTAAAAAAGAAAAGAGACCAGGCACGGTGGCTCATGCCTGTAATCCCAGCACTTTGGGAGGCCGAGGCAGGCGGATCATGAGGTCAGGAGATTGAGACCATCCTGTCTAACACGGTGAAACCCTGTCCCTACTAAAAATACAAAAAAATTAGCTGGGCGTGGTGGCAGGTGCCTGTAGTCCCAGCTACTCGGGAGGCTGAGGCAGGAGAATAGCGTGAACCTGGGAAGCAGAGCTTGCAGTGAGCCGAGATCACGCCACTGCACTCAAGCCTGGGCGACAGATCAAGACTCCATCTCAAAAAAAAAAAAAAAAAAAAGAAAAGAGAAAGGAACGTGGCCTGAATTAGAAAGTGAGAATAGGCCAGGTACAGTGGCTCACACGTATAATCCCAGCACTATGGGAGGCCAAGGCAAGAGGACCACTTGGGACCAGGAGTTCAAGACCAGCCTGGGAAACACAGCAAGACCCTACCTTGACAAAAAAACTTTTTAAAAAATTAGACTGGTGTGGTGCAACACATCTGTAGTCCTAGCTACTCTGGAGGCTGAGGAAGGAGGATCACATGAGTCCAGGAATTTGAGGCTGCAGTAAGCTATGATCACGGTACTGCACTCCAGCCTGGGCAAGAGAGTGAGACCTTGTCTAAAAAAAAAGAAAGTAGGAATGAAGATGGAGGGAACAGAAATGGACTCCAAAAATATTTAGAAGGCAAACTTACCAGAACTTGATGAATTATGACTTTTCGGGGCAGGGGAGAGAGAAAAAGGAGGTGAGGACATCTTCTGGGGCTCTACCTTAGGCAATTGGGTGCCGCCACCATCCCCATCACCAGAGATAAAGACTTCCAGAAGGTGGCTGGGTGCAGTGCCTCGCACCTGTAATCCCAGCACATTGGTAGGCCAAAGCAGGTGGAATGCTTGAGCCCAGGAGTTCCAGACCAGCCTGGGCAACCTGGTGAGACCCTATCTCTACAAAAAATACAAAAACTAGCTGGTCATGGTGGTGTGTCTGTAGTTCCAGCTACTCGAGAGGATGAGGGGCAAGGAGAGGTCGAGGCTGCAGTGACCCATGACCATGCCACTGTACTCCAGCCTGGGCAACACAGCAAGATCCCGTCTCAAAAAAAAAGGACAATCAAAAGGAAAACTCGGCCGGGCGCGGTGGCTCACACCTGTAATCCCAGCACTTTGGGAGGCCGAGGCAGGTGGATCACGAGGTTAGGAGATCAAGACCATTCTGGCTAACATGGTGAAACACTGTCTCTATTAAAAATACAAAAAATTATCCAGGCCTGGCAGCGGGTGCCTGTAGTCCCAGCTAGTCAGGAGGCTGAGGCAGGAGAATGGCTTGAACCCGGGAGGCGGAGCTTGCAGTGAGCCGAGATGGCGCCACTGCACTCCAGCCTGGGTGACAGAGCGAGACTCAAAAAAAAAAAAAAAACAAGTAAAACTCTTGGGTAGGTGGGTGGGTTAAGGAGAGATAACAAACCCAGTCTCAGACATTCACAGCTTGACATGTCCATGACACACCAAGATGCAATATCGCAGCTGAAACTCAGGGTTGAAATTGGGTCAACAATATCCATTTGAAAGTCATGCGTCTATAGCTGGTTTTTCTCTTTTCCTCGTGACCATGGAAGAATCGCCTAGGGACTGTGTATGGAACAGTGAAGAATGCCAATATTGGAAAGGTGGGCAGTTTAAGAAATGGTAACCGAAGGAGGCAGAGAAGAAACAGAGTGAGAGAGATGAGAATCAGGAAGACTGTGCTGTCCTGGGAGTGGGCGGTTTCAAGGGAAAAAAGGGAAACATTCCAGTGTCACAAGGATGCAACAGAGAAGCAGGGAAGATAAGGGCTGGAAAATATCCACAAGGCTGAGCGAAAGTCGGTCACTGGCGGTGTGAGCAAGAACAGTTTCTACACAGTGGAGGAGGAAAGACGAAGAACTGAGTGCAGGAGTAACTGGGAGGTGAAAAAGAGGAAAGCGATGGAATTCTGGAGAATTACCTAAAAGACGATGAAATAAATTAGCCAACAGCTAGAGGATGTGGGCGGTAGGGGCCTTGGCTCTCAGGACTTTGAGCTGTTTCACAGCAGAGGTGAGGGAAGCAATTTTTTTTTTAAGAGATAGGGTCTCAATCTGTCAACCCAGCTGGAGTGCAGTGACACAATCATAGCTCACTGCATCTTTGAACTCCTAGGCGGCACTGATCCTCCTGCCTCAGCCTCCTGACTAGCTGGGACTACAGGTATAGGCCACTACGCCAAGCTAATTTTTTTTTTAAGAGATGGGGTCTTACTATGTTGCCTAGGCTGGTCTCAAATTCCTGGGCTCAAGCGATCCTCCTGCCTTGTACTCCCAAAGCACTAGGATTCTAGGTGTGAGCCACCACACCCAGCAAGAAAGCAGACTTCTATTAACAGTTGGGCTAACGGTTTGTATACTCCCTGTTGATAGAGGCTGTTTGATGTAATCACCTATTTTCTGAATTTATTTGAGGCTCTGAGCTTGTCAAAAGGGCATGAGGAATCCAAGTAAGATTGTGTCCAGGCCAGACTCAGTGGCTCGCATCTGTAATCCCAGCACTTTGGGAGGCCGAGGCGGGCAGATCACAAGGTCAGGAGTTTGAGACCAGCCTGGCCAATATGGTGAAACCCCATCTCTACTAAAAATACAAAAATTAGGCGGGCGCAGTGGCAGGTACCTGTAGTCCCAGCTACTCAGGCGGCTAAGGCAGGAGAATTGCTTGAACCCAGGAGGTGGAGGTTGCAATGAGCTGAGATCGTGCCACTGCACTCCAGCCTGAGTGACAGAGCGAGACTCCGTCTCAAAAAAAAAAAAAAAAAAGATTGTGTCCAAGGCCGGGCGCAGTGGCTCACACCTGTAATCCCAGTACTTTGGGAGGCCAGGGCAGGTGAATCACCTGAGCTCAGGAGTCTGAAACCAGCCTGGCCAACACACTGAAACCCCATCTCTACTAAAAATATAAAAATTAGCCGGGCATGGTGGTGTGCGCCTGTAATCCCCACTACTCGGGAGGCTGAGGCGGGAGAATCACTTGAACCCAGAAGGCAGAGGTTGTAGTGAGCCGAGATCGCACCACTGCACTCCAGCCTGGGTGACAGAGTGAGACTTCCTCTCAAAAAAAAAAAAAAAAAAAAAAAAAAAAAGATTGTGTGCAAGGTCCCTTCCTTCCCTCAAGAGAACTTAGAGGCTGGTGTGTATCCCTGGGGACAAAAGAATGAGCAAAAACCATCACTTTCTAAGATATAACCAACAAGCTATATAGTTTTGGTTAAAACATGAAATCATTAGGCTAAACATGTAAGTGTCAACACAGACACCACCACTAACTTCTGGTGGAAGTTAGTGAGCCTCACCCATGTTGAGCCAATGACAGAGGTGGGCCTAATTCATGCAGAACCAGGAAATGCACAATTGTACCTAGATTCAAGCACAAAACTTACCGATAACTCTGCATTTGTTGGGACTCATATTCACATCCTTTCTCCCTCCTACTTTTTCAATCCTTTCCCTCATTCAGAGAAAACATGCTATTTCCCGACCCACTCATCCCTCTGGAAAGCAGATTCTCTGAAAGTTTGATCAAGGCAGAAAGGCGAAATGTCATACAAAGCTGGCCAGACGTGGTGGCTCATGCCTGTAATCTCAACACTTTGGGAAGCTGAGGCAGGCAGATGACTTGAGGTCAAGAGTTCAAGACAAGCTTGGCCAACATGGTAAAATCCTGTCTACACTAAAAGCACAAAAATTAGCTGGGTGTGGTGGCAGGCACCTATGATCCCAACTACTCGGGAGGCTAAGGCATGAGAATCGTTTGAACCCGGGAGCCAGAGGTTGCAGTGAACCACGATCACACCACTGCACTCCAGCCTGGGCAACAGAGCAAGACTCCATTTCAAAAACATATAAACAAAAAATAAATAAATGTCATATAAAGCTAATGATTTGTAGTTTTGCTTGTTTTTTCCAGACATGCATTCATTTTTCCATCTTCTGTGACAGCACAATATTCCCTTGGGAGAATACCCTACTCATTTCATGAGTTCAGAGGGATCTGACATCATCCTCCACACCTGGGAAGAGGCATATGCCTATTCACGACCTTAGTGATCAGCTCATGGGTGGGCCTAACCCACGATGAGCCAGTGACAGAGGTGGGCCTAATTCACGCAGAGCCAATGATAGGGTGAGCCTAACCCCCATGCTCAGCCAGTGACAGTCACGGATCTAACCCATGCTGAGCCAATGATTGGCTTAAGGATGGGCCTAACCCATACTAAGCCAGTGAGGGCCCAGGTCCAGACCTTTTGCATAGCTGTCAAAAATGAAACTCTCTTTCCACTAGGGTTGGTAAGGTAAGCCTGAAGCTGGAGGTAAGCCTGAAGCCGGAGGTAAGCCTGAAACTGCCGGTGGTCATCTTGCTATCACAAGGGAGAGCCTGCCTCAGAGTGAAGCCAAAACAGAGGAAAGCTGGGCCAAGGGATGGAGAGCCTGGGTCCTGACAATATCATTTGAACACCTAGATGCAGCCACACCTGATTTAAGGTTATGAGATAATCAATTCCTTGTCTTGGTTATACCAGTTGGGGTTAGATTTCTGCCACGCAGGAATCTTAATGAATGTATGGAATCAACGACCTTACTTGCTCAAAGTCAAAAGGGTAGAGTGGTGCCTGGCGCAATGGCTCATGCCTGTAATCCCAGCCCTTTGTGAGGCCGAGGCAGACAGATCACTTGAGGTCAGGAGTTTGAGACCAGCCTGGGCAACATGGTGAAACCCCGTGTCTACTAAAAAAACAAAAACAAAAATCAAACGGGCACGGCGGTGCGTGCCTGTAGTCCCAGCTACTCAGAAGGATGAAGCAGGAAAAATCACTTAAGCCTGAGAAGCGGAGGCTGCAGTGAGCCAAGATCACTGCATTCCAGCCTCCCAGCCTGGGCGACAGAACAAGACCCCATCTCAAAAAAATAAAAAGGGGGTAGAGTGTTAATAGCAGTCATTAACAAGGCCAGGAGCAGCATAAACCTAGGCCAAGGAGTCCCTGCTCAAGCCATAAGCTCTAATGAGCCCAGATCTCATGTAATATGTACTCATCAAACCAATTCTATAGCAACAATAGCCCAGGGCCAAGGCATCTATCAATGAGCACTGTGTGGCCATTAAGATATTGGTGGCTGGGTGCGTTGGCTCATGCCTGTAATCCCAACACTTTGGGAAGCCAAGGCGGGTGGTTCACCTGAGGTCAGGAGTTCAAGACCAGCCTGGCCAACATGGTGAAACTCCATTTCCACTAAAAATACAAGAAATTAGCCAGGTGTGGTGGCAGGCTCCTGTAACCCCAGCTACTCGGAAGACTGAGGCAGGAAAATCGCTTGAACCCAGGAGGCGGAGGTTGCAGTGAGCCAAGATCACGCCATTGCACTCCAACCTGGACGACAAGAGTGAAACTCTGCCTCAAAAAAAAAAAACAAAAAAAGACATTGGTGATACTATTGAGGGCAGTCTCAGTCCCATGGTATGGAAGGTTGTCAGCATACAATAAAGTGCGGAAGTGAGGAACCAGTAACAACAAAAGCAGAATGACTCCTCCTGAGGTTTGGAAAAAGATGTGCAAGATCCAATGTGATCAGGCCCCTGCATAGTTTTCTACACATTTCTTACCCTACCACCTCTCATTCACTTATGTCCCAGCCACACTGCCTTCTTTCTCTTCCTTGAACACCCAAGCCTGGCAGGGTGCTGTGGCTCATGCCTGTAATCCTGATACTTTGGGAGGCCACAGCGGGTAGATCACTTGAAGCCAGGAGTTCGAGACCAGCCTGGCCAACATGGTAAAACCCCATCTCTGCTAAAAATACAAAAATTAGCTGGGCATGGTGGCACATGCCTGTAATCCCATCTACTCAGGAGGCTGAAACAGAAGAAACTCTTGAACCCGGGAGGTGGAGGTTCCAGTGAGCAGAGATCCTGCCACTGCACTCCAGCCTGGGTGACAGAGCAAGACTCCATCTCAAAAAAAGAAAAGAGTAATAATAATAATAATAATAATAAAAGAAAAGAGCCTCTTAAAACACTGTTATCTTGGCCAGGAAGGTTTAAAAACTTAATCCTCAGGAAAGAAATGAATCTGAGATGCTTTAGGAGGTGCGTCTATTGTGGGGCAGGTTCTAATTACAACGGGCCAATGGGAGGGATCTGGTTTTGGATTTCAAGGACTGAGGAGAAAATAAGCAGAGAACTGGATTTGTATCACAGCCTGCAAAATCTTTCACTCCAACCAAGAGACAAAAACCACAGGAACAGCATTTCAACCAAAAACTCTTACATTTTAAAAGCAATCCTTAGGGAAGAGAGATGCTGGAAGCAAAGAAGGAAGAAGTAACAGCTGCACTTCACTTTATCATAAAACAGCAATCTTTTTTTTTCTTTTTCTTTATTATTATTATACTTTAAGTTTTAGGGTACATGTGCACAATGTGCAGGTTAGTTACATATGTATACATGTGCCATGCTGGTGTGCTGCACCCACTAACTCGTCATCTAGCATTAGGTATATCTCCCAATGCTATCCCTCCCCCCTCCCCCCACCCCACAACAGTCCCCAGAGTGTGATGTTCCCCTTCCTGTGTCCATGTGTTCTCGTTGTTCAATTCCCACCTATGAGTGAGAATATGCGGTGTTTGGTTTTTTGTTCTTGCAATAGTTTACTGAGAATGATGATTTCCAATTTCATCCATGTCCCTACAAAGGACATGAACTCATCATTTTTTATGGCTGCATAGTATTCCATGGTGTATATGTGCCACGTTTTCTTAATCCAGTCTATCATTGCTGGACATTTGGGTTGGTTCCAAGTCTTTGCTATTGTGAATAATGCCGCAATAAACATACGTGTGCATGTGTCTTTATAGAAGCATGATTTATAGTCCTTTGGGTATATACCCAGTAATGCGATGGCTGGGTCAAATGGTATTTCCAGTTCTAGATCCCTGAGGAATCACCACACTGACTTCTACAATGGTTGAACTAGTTTACAGTCCCACCAACAGTGTAAAAGTGTTCCTATTTCTCCACATCCTTAAAAGTATAAGATTTTTGCCTTTGCCATTCAAAAATGTCAGAGAGAGGCCGGGCACGATGGCTCACGCCTGTAATCCCAGCACTTTGGCAGACTGAGGTGGGCAGATTGCTTGAGCCCAGGAGTTTGAGACCAGCACAAGGTGAACCCCGTCTCTACTAAAAATACACAAATCAGCAGGGCGTCACGATGCACGCCTGTAGTCCCAGCACTTTGGGAGGCTGAGGTGGGTGGATTGCTTGAGCCCAGGGGTTCAAGACCAGCCTGGGCAACATGGTGAAACCCTGTCTCTACTAGAAACACAAAAATTAGCCAGGTGTGGTAGAGCGCACCTATAATTCCAGCTACTTGGGTGGCTGAGGCCCAAGAATTGCTTGAACCCAGAGGCAGAGGTTGCAGTGAGCAGAAATTGTACCACTGCACTCCAGCCTGGGCACAAGAGCAAGACTCTGTCTCAAAAAATAAATAAATAAACAACATGAAAACGTCAGAAAGTTCTATTGCAGTACTCTCTGTGGCAGAAAGCAGGCAACATGACTTGCAAGGGTTCTCTTATTTTATCAGCATTAAGTACTGAATTTGACCTTCTGTTTGCTGTGTGCTAGACATTTCAAAAATTGTTTGCAAACATTATCTTCTTTAAGCTGTGTGACTGTAAGAGATGGCTAAACAGGACAACCACTCTGTTTCTTGGAAGCAGAAACACCGTATGCCTTGGCCATCTCTAAATGTGCATGTGAGCAGCAGAGGCAAACTAGATCCAAGTTCAAGGGATCTTTGCATTCAAGTCCAAGGCTTCCCAGGGGTTGCAAACTGACTGACTGCAGATCAGATTCACTTGTTTCATTTGGTCCAGTTTTGTTTTTTTTTTTTTTGTTTTTTTTTTTTTTGAGTCGGAATCTCTTTCTCTGTTGCCCAGGCTGGAGTGCAGTGGTGTGATCTCAGCTCACTGCAACCTCTGCCTCGCAGCTTCAAGCGATTCTCCTACCTCAGCGTCCCTAGTACCTCGGATTACAGGTGCATGCCACCACGACTGGCTAATTTTTTGTATTTTTAGGAGAGACGGGGTTTCGCCACGTTGGCCAGGCTGGTCTCGATCTCCTGACCTCAGGTGATCTGCCCACCTAGGCCTCCCAAAGTGCTGGGATTACAGGTGTGAGCCATTGCACCCGGCCCTCACATAGTGTTTTAAAAGGCACTGTAATAGGCAAGTGTTAATGCCTGGTCTCAGTATATACAACTTTGCACCTGCTATCTTAAAAATGCACCCCACATGCATTTATTTCATCTGTGTGCCACTAACCTGCGTTCTTAATACGCCACCACACCATCATGCCCCAGCAGCTCTGTAGACAAATCTGATGGGATCATGCAAGGAACAATGACAAACTAGGACCCAGTGGTACAAAAAGTATCTATTTTGCACAACAGAGATCTATGCCTCCTTCAAAAATTTGTTTCCGGCCGGGTGTGGTGGCTCATGCCTGTAATCCCAGCACTTTGGGAGGGTGAGGCAGGCAGATCACCTGAGGTCAGCAGATAAGAGACCAGCCTGGGCAACATGGTGAAACCCCATCTCTACCAAAAACACAAAAAAATTAGCCAGGTGTGGTGATGCACACCTGTGGTCCCAGCTACTCAGGAGGCTGAGGTGGGAGGATCACTTGAGCATGGGAGGCGGTGGTTGCAGTGAGCCGAGATCGCCCCACAGCACTCCAGCCTGTGTGACAGAGCGAGAACCCGTCTCAAAAAAAAAAAATTGTTTCCACATGCTTTTTTTTTTTTTGCATGTTTTACATGATTAAAGCTAACAAAAAAGTCTGAAAATACACTCGAGACACACACCTCTGATTTTAAAACTCTGGAAAAAAGCAAAGCAATCTCTTTCAGCTTTCCTCTGAGAGAAGAAACCCAGCACTGCTAGTCAGGAGCAATAAACATACAGAAACCATCGATAATTACTCAACACCCTTCTCCATCCCCACTCCATATCCTTCCCAATCAAAACAAACAGAAGAGCAGGAGGGAAGAGAAAGAAGCTGCCAAATGTCCACACATGCTCCGACAGCCAGGACGCAGGCTTTGCATTTTGCAGGAGTGACATCACTGGGGCAACATCAGTCAAGAGTCAGCAAGCCTGGCTTCTGTCTTTGTGCTTTCCAAGTTTACAATGATCAACCTACAAAAATACTTAGGCAGGCAAGGACCCATGTTCAAAGATGCACACCATCATTCACGAATGTGGAAAACTGGAAACCTCAATGTCAACAGAGGACTGAATGGAAAACGATGCAGTTGTTAAGAACTGTAAGTACTAATATGGAAGAAAGCTCAGGATATGTTAAAAATGGGTGCCCATTTTTGTTTATTTCCCTCTCTCTGTACACAGAATAGAAAAGGGTCTGGAGGATGCACCAGAATGGGGGTAAAGCAAGCCCTGTGGATTTGTACCTGACACCTTGCTTTAAGGTAAACTACATACACATATATACAGTAAGCATAGATCGCTTTAGAGATTTTAAAAAGCTTAGGCCAGGCGCGGTGGCTCTCTCCCACCCCGGCACGTTGGGAGGCTGAGGCGGAAGGATCGCTTGAACCCAGGAGTTCGAGACCAGCCTGGGCAACATAGTGAGACCCCAATCTCTACAAAAAATTTTAAAAATTAGCCAAGCATGGTGGCATGTGCTTTTAGTCCCAGCTACTTGGGAGGCTCAGGCAAGAGGATTGCTTGAGCCTGAGAGGTCGAGACTGCAGTGAGCTGTGATTGCATCACTGTGTTCCAGCTTGGGCGACAGAGTGAGATCCCGTCTCAAAAAACAAACAAACAAAAACTTGGACAAAAAGTAAAATAGCTATTGTTCCAGGATAATTTTATTCTACTGAACCAAGTGACAGGGAAAGAATTTTTCCTACTGTGGTTTTGCCTCCTCCAACCCTTTTCAAACATTTCTTGAATACCTACTAAGTGCTGGGCACTGCTGAAGGAGGCAGACAAAAAGCACCCACATCCATTGCACGAGGTGCACGTGTAGTACTAACTGCAGGCACAAACTTTCTGTACACAGGAATGCTCATGTTAGGAAATTACCTTGTGAGGAAAAGGAGTGTCAATTCTCGGCTCACATTCTAAGGCAAAAGAACACACTTTGGGCTGCATGCAGTGGCTCATGCCTGCAAGTAATCTCAGCACTGTGGGAGGCCAAGGCAGGAGGACTGCTTGAGCCCAGGAATTTGAGACCAGCCTGGGCAACAAAGCAAGATTCTGCCTCTACATAAAAAATAATAATAATGATAGAGTCGGGTGCAGTGGCTCATGCCTGTAATCCCAACACTTTGGGAGGCTGAGGTGGGCAGATCACGAGGTCAGAAGTTTGAGACCAGCCTGGCCAATATGGTGAAACCCCATCTCTACTAAGAATTAGCCGGGCATGGTGGCACGCACCTGTAATCCCAGCTACTCAGGAGGGTGAGGCAGAAGAATCACTTGAACCCGGAGGACTGAGGTTGCAGTGAGTCGAGATCATGCCACTGCACTCCAGCCTGGACAAGAACAAGACTCCGTCTCAAAATAAATAAATAAATAAATAATAAATAACACACTTTGGAAACAAAAATAAGTCAAGTTAATAAACTGTTATCCAACATGGGATAAAATATATGAATCACAGGCCCCTGAGACTTCAGCGGCACAGATCATCTGCATTTAATCCTACACAAAACACACACTAAGAGGAAAGGCTCAAAATGGGTTGTAGGCCGGCACGGTGGCTCACGCCTGTAATCCCAGCACTTTGGGAGGCCGAGGGGGCAGATCACGAGGTCAGGAAATCGAGACCATCCTGGCTAACACGGTGAAACCCCATCTCTACTAAAAATACAAAAAATTAGCCAGGCGTGGTGGCACGCACCTGTAGTCCCAGCTACTCCGGAGGCTGAGGCAGGAGAATCGCTTGAACCCGGGAAGCGGAGGTTGCAGTGAGCCAAAATCGCACCACTGCACTCCAACCTGGGCGAGAGTGAGACTCTGTCTCAAAAACAAAAACAAAAAAAAAAAAAAAAAAACGGGTTGTATACCAACGAGGTGATGGAGGCTGGGGTGGTCGGGTAACAAGAGGCTTTAGGAGTAGCTGGGATCTAATTAATCTTCAAAACACCCGACCCATGTCCTAAAATGCCATCCTATGCTAGAATACACTATAACAAAACTAAAAATGATGAACCTGCCTAGGTCGTGCTGCAAAGGCCTTTTCTTTAGAAAGTTAAAAGGGGCCTGAGGCTCAAAGTAGAAATTAAGAGGCACAACCTGGTAGTAACCACGGACAAAGCAATCAAGGAAGCTCAGGCCCTCAGGAGGCAGAAAGCCTGAGATGGCTCGGAGAAGATAAAGTCGCCTCCCCAAAAGCGGTGTCAAGGTGACAGCGGGGTTTCCCAGGACCTCAGAGACTCAGGTCCTCAGTGAGCCCAGCCATCACTCAAGCTGCGGAATAAGCATTTTCGTCCTTTACCCAATCCCTCCCCAAAGTGCTGTCAGAAGAAACCTGAACCGTCCTGCGGCAGAGACGGGAGCAAAGCGGAGAGCAGACTGCCCCAAACGTGTTCCCGGAGGGAGGGAGCAGGGTGGGTTTTTGGAAAGAGGCCTGCAGGGGCGGGACAGTGGGTGTGAGGGCAGGGGCAACGCTGCAATCGAGGGGTCTGGGGTCGCAGAGAAGCGGGTGGCAGGATGGAGGAATAGGAGAGAGAGAGAAAAGAAACGAGGGTCATCTAGGAGAGGAGTATGGGGAGGAAGGAAGAGGAGAAAGAGGATGGAGCCTGGCAGCGGGGTTTGGGGACCGGCAAGGCTTAACCACCCAGGAAGTCCCGGAAGGAGAAGAGGGCAACGGGGTGGGAGAGAGACCAACGCAGAAAGAGAAACAAAGTTGCCAAGGGCGAGGGGCCAGCGCGAGGAACGCACCGGTGGCAAGGCACTCAGTGCCTAACTTTTTAGGACGGGAGGCTCCAGGGAGGCGGGATTTTGGAGCCCAGGGACCGGGGGAGTCCAGGCGGCCGGGAAGCGACGCGCAAGCGAGGGGCGTAGGGGTCCCTGCCAGGCGGTGGCCCGGGGTCCCGGGATCCTGGGGCGGGGCAGAGGAGCTTTTCAGCCGCGGTGGAGGTCCCCGGACAGCCACCCCGACCCCAGCCCCGCGCAGCGCCTCACTTACCCGAGCAGGGGCGGCGAGGCCAACGCGGCGGCGGCGGCAGAGGCGGCTGCGAAGGGCGGTGCGGCCCCGGCCCTCCGGACCCCGCCCCCGCCCCGGAGCCTGCGGTCGGCGCCTCCCATTGGCTGCTGCTCTACGGTACCGCGTCCGCCTCGGCCAATCAGCGCAGAGCAGCGTCGTTTGGAAACTTTTTTCCCAGGCCGGGCGCGGCGCGGCCAAGCGGCGAAGGCTCCTGGCCGGAGGGGGTTTGAGAGGCGCCGGCTGCCGGGCGCTGGGCTGCGGCGGGCTGGCGGGCATTGGAGATGCTGCAGAACGCTGCCTGGACACCCGGGAAACGGGTTTGGGCTTGCGGGCCGCGCATTTCAGGAAAATACGCCGGCCTCTCCTTCACTTCGATTGCATTTTCCCATTCTTGCACTTTCTCCAAATCAGAAGGAAAGACAAAGATTCAGGCCCACTGAAGCTAGCAGTGCCCCGTGCCCTTCCTACTCCTTTACACCAAAAGTAGAATCTTCAGCATCATTATCTTCTCCAGAAGCAGGAGAACGTAGTGCACCAGAATTTGGTCATAAACTTGGCTTTGAGTCCTAGTCCTGCCCCTTACTAACTGTGTGGTCTTGGGAAAGTTGTTTAGCCTCTATGACTCCGTTTCCCCATCTATAAAACGCCATTATGGGTCTGGCGCGGTGGTCACGCCTGTAATCCCAGCACTTTGGGAGGCCAAGGCGGGTGGATCACGAGGTCAGGAGTTCAAGACCAGCCTGGCACATGGTGAAACCCCGTCTCTACTAAAGATACAAAAAATTAGCCGGATGTGGTGGCACGCACCTGTAATCCCAGCTACTCAGGAGGCTGAGGCAGGAGAATCACGGGAAACCGGGAGGTGGCGGTTGCAGTGAGCCGAGATCACACCACTGCACTCTAGCCTAGGCGACAGGGCAAGACTCCGTCTTAAAGAACAGACAAACAAACAAACGACATTATGCAGAGGACTAAATGACTTAACAGCATTTGTAAAAACGTTTAGAACAGAAATTTGAACTTAGTAAGTACAATATATGTATTTGTTAAATGATCTTGATTTTGTTTATTTATTTATTTTGAGATGAAATCTCCCTCTGTCTCCCAGGCTGGAATGCAGTGGCGTGATCTCCACTCACTGCAACCTCTGCCTTCTGAGTTCAAGCAATTCTCCTGCTTCAGCCTCCCGAGTAGCTGGGATCACAGGCCCGCATCACCACACCCGGCTAATTTTTATATTTTTAGTAGAGACGGGGTTTCACCATGTTGGCCAGGCTGCTCTCGAATCCCTGTCCTCAGGTGATCCACCCACCTCGGCCTCCCAAAGTCCTGGGATTACAGGCGTGAGCCACCACACACTGCCTGAAGATCGTGATTTTTAAATGGCTGTGTGTGCCAGGCACAATTCTCACAGCAACCCTAATTGTTCACTAACAAATTAAAATTAAAAAATAATTTTTTTCTTTTCGAGACAGAGTTTCCCTCTTGTTGCCCAGGCTGGCGTGCAATGGTGCGATCTCGGCTCACTGCAACCTCTGCCTCCCAGATTCAAGCGATTTTCTTGTCTTAGTCTCCCTAGTAGCTGGGATTACAGGCGCCCACCATTACGCCCAGCTAATTTTTTGTATTTTTAGTAGAGACACGGTTTCACTGTGTTGGCCAGGCTGGTCTCGAACTCCTGACCTCAAGCAATACACCTCAGTCTCCCAAAGTGCTGGGATTACAGGCGTGAGCCATGTAACTCAGAAGGCAGAGGTTGCGGTGAGTGGAGATCACGCCACTGCATTCCAGCCTGGGAGACAGAGGGAGACTTCATCTCAAAATAAATAAATAAATAAAATCAAGCCACCATGCTTGGCTGGAATTTCTTTTTTTCTTTATTTTCTTCTAAAACATCCTGTCATAACATGTTCATTAACAAATACCGAACATTCTGGTTAGTGGGTACAAAAATAGAGTTAGAATGAATAAGATCTAGTATTTGGGAGCACAGCAGGGTGACTACAGTCCACAACAATGTATTGTACATTTTAAAATAACTAAAGGAGTATAATTGGAGTGCTTGTAACACAAAGAAAGGATAAATGCTTGAGGTCATGGACACCCATTTACCCTGATGTGATTATGATGCATTGCATGCCTGTTATCAAAATATCTCATGTACCCCATAAATATAAACACCTACAGTGTACCCATAAAAACTAAAAATATATATATTATTATCCAGCTTTTTTTTTTTTTTGTGAGACAGAGTCTCACCCTGTGACATAGGCTGGAGTGCAGTGGCATAATCAAAGCTCACTGCATCCTGGACCTCCCAGGCTCAAGTGATCCTCCCACCTCATCCTCCGGAGTAGCTAGGACCACAGGTGTGCACCAACACGCCCAGCTAATTTTTACATTTTTTTGTAGAGACGTGGATCTCACTATGTTGCCCAGGCTGGTCTTGAACTCCTGGGCTCAAGTGATCCTCCTGCCTCAGCCTCCCTCCCAAAGTGCTGGGATTATAGGCATGAACCACAGCACCCGGCATTATGAGCATTCTTCTGTACAATGCACCCTTACAGCACAGTGAATACAGTCAGACAAAGTACCTGTCCTCAAAGGGCTTATATTGTTAAGAGAGAAACATACTAAATCTATAAGCAGAAAAAGTAACGTCATTTCAGATACTGATAAGTGCTATGACTAAGGCAAGCCCATTTGATACAACGGGCTGGGAGGGGTCACTTCAGATGCTATAGTCAGGGAAGGCCACTGTAGAGAGGAGACCATGCAACTGAACCACAGGTGATGAACCACAGGAAAGCATTAAATTGTATCCATGTTAAAGATAAGAAAATAAAGGTGCAGGAAGTTAATTGAGTTGTCCGAGGTCTTACAACTAGTAATTAACAAATCAGGCTTCAGAGCTGGCTCTGACTCCTAAACCCTCCTTCTTCAGCACTATGCTAGAGGCAAAGAGATCTTAGCTATTACAGGATCTCCCACCCCATCTTGCCTTCCTGCTATCCTACAACAGCCTTTCTCAAATTCTACTTTGAACTCCTTGCTAATTCCTAAAAACTGCTTAGAGGCACAAAGGGGAACCCCACCACCTATCAACAGGTTTAAGGAAAGTACCAAATGTCTTTCAGGAAACTTCCCAAACATTAATGAATCATTTACATGCTGCTTCACACTTTACTACGTCTGATGCCTTCCCCCTTGGAATTTTATTTTATTTCGAGACAGAGTTTCACTCTGTTGCCCAGGCTAGAGTGCAGTGCTGCAATCTCGGCTCACTGCAACCTCCACCTCCCGGGTTCAAGCGATTCTCCTGCCTCAGCCTTTCGACTAGCTGGGATTACAGGTGTTCACCACCATGCCCACCTAATTTTTCTATTTTAGTAGAGGCAGGGTTTCACCATGTTGGCCAGGCTGGTTTTGAACTCCTGACCTCAAGTGCTCCACCCGCCTCAGCCTCCAAAAGTGCTGGGATTACAGGCATGAGCCACCACACCAAGCCTCCCCTTAGGAATTTTATTACTTATTTACTTATTCATTAAGATGGAATCTCACTCTGTCGCCCAGGCTAGAGTGCAGTGGTGCGATCTCGGCTCATTGTAACCTCCACCTTCCAGTTCAAGCGATTCTCCTGCCTCAGCCTACCAAGTAGCTGGTATTAACCCCCCTTGGATTTTTTTTTTCTTTTTTTTGACGGAGTCTCGTTCTGTTGCCCAGGCTGGAGTGCAGTGGCACGATCTTGGCTCACCGCAACCTCTTCCTCCTGGGTTCAAGCGATTCTCCTGCCTCAGATTCCTGAGTAGCTGGGATTTCAGGTGTGCACCACCACGTCCAGCTAATTTTGTAGTTTTAGTAGACACAGGGTTTCACCATGTTGGTTTGGCCAGGCTGGTCTCGAACTCCTGACCTCAAGTGATCCACCTGCCTCGGCCTCCCAAAGTGCTGGGATTACAGGCGTGAGCCACTGCGCCTGGCCCCCCTCGGAATTTTATTTGGCCCTAACCACTCTGTGACGTTTCTGGACAGGAACTAATCACCTCAGCTTACAGAGAAACCGAAGCACAAACTGATGAGGTACTGGTGTTGCCTAAATGGCTTTGATCAAGGTATTTAAACTAGTTGGTTCTCAATTTCCCAAATTTTCCATAAAGAAAAAAGAGAGGGCATTGAAATAATAATCCTTAAAGTCCTATTTGGGAACAACATTTAGGGAAATAGGTTTGTCATTGGGTAAAACCTTAAAAACATTTAAAATGTTTTTCTTGTTCTTTTTAAATTCAATTTGTTTTCCTTGTAGCTTTGGACTATGGCTGAGCAGATAACTCAATTTAACTTCCTTAGGTCCTTCCATGATCATTTATTAATTCAAACCACTGAACCTAATACAGGTAGAAGATTGGTTTCTGGGGAGAAACTCCTTTAATAACAGCTTGGTTAGTTGAAAAGCTGAATTGCATGTAAAGTAGCTACTTAAATAGCACACAAAAAAGTCTTTCGGTTTTCATACATGTGAAGACTATAATTTGGACAAGGGAAAAACTGAAAGTTACTTGTACTCTCTAAAGTTTTCCCAGCAAAGAAACAGGAATACAATTAATAGAGGATACATACTTAAAATATATCTTAAGAGAAAATTTATGTATTTTGATTCATAATTGTCTCCTAAGGCCTGGTATACTTTGCTTAGGCTCCTAGTCTTTAGAAAGCAGCAATAAAATTACATTTCTTTTAAAAGTATTTGTAATTCAGACTTTTATTAGCCTTCCACTTAATACGACTGTTTTGTTTTTAAAAATTTTTTTAATAGAGACAAGTGTCACACCATGTTGCTCAGGCTGGTTTTAAACACCAAGCCTCAAGGGGTCCTCCTGTCTCAGCCTCCCAAAGTGCTGGGATTACGACATGAGTCACCATGCCCCGCCCATTTTCAATCACTACATTTACTTGTTGTGACTAGTTACAGCTTTGGACTTGAAAGAATGCCAAGCTAAGTCAAACAAAATGTGTCTGCTTGGTAAAAAGGAATCTAAAAGAAAAATATACATATAAAGAAAATGTGGTCAAGCTCGTTGGCTCAGCCCTGTAATCCTAAAGAGGCCGAGGCGGGAGGATCACTTGAGGCTAGGAGTTCGAGACCAGCCTGGCCAACATGGCAATATCCCGTCTCTACTAAAAACACAAAAATTAGCCAGGCATGGTGGTGGGCGCCTGTAATCCTAGCTACTCAGGAGGCTGAGGCATGAGAATCGGTTGAACCCGGGAGGTGGAGGCTGCAGTGAGCCAAGATCCTGCCACTGCACTCCAGCCTGGGCAATGAAGCAAGACTTTGTCTCAAAAAAAAAAAAAAAAAAAGTAAAAAGGAAATGTGTCTGCATTCTTTGATGTTTTCTGGCTAAAAACTATTTTTTAAAAAAAGCAATTAGAAACCTACAATTACCTTGTTTCTTAAGATTTTTAGTTAATATGGCTTGTGTTGAAACATACTCAACTGAAATAAAATGGGGAAAAAACACCTCTGAAGAGTAGCGTATTTGTTTGGTACTTTGAAAAAAGCCAAAACGCTAGAAACGGGTTTTTCATCTATTCTAATCTCCACTTGGAAAATACTACCTATACACAGACATAATGAAGATTTTTTTCTTTTTCTTTCTTTTCTAAATAGTGATAGGGTTTCACCGTTTCCCAGTCTAGTCTCAAATTTGTAGGCTCAAGAGATCCTCCCTCCGTAGCCTCTCAAAGTATTGGGAATACAGGCCTGAGCCACTGCGCCCAGCCCACAGTCAAGATTTAGTCAGCAGTAATAAATACCTACGCAGGGAGAGGATGTGTGCTTGTCATCTGCCTTCTGGAAAATTAAATACAGGCACAAAGGATTCTTCAGCTACATGTCTGATCCTGCCCTCCACAATACCCGTCTACAGGGATGTTTACAGGGATGTGTTAATCCCCACGTAATGGGGATTGCCTATTGAAATAACCTCCCAGTAAGGATTTTTTTGGGCAAAATATTCTCGTTTGGCAATTTCGACTTACTGATTCTTTTGCAAAGTCAACTTGTTTCTGGGCAAACTTTAAAAATAAACTCCTAAGGTAGCATTTAGCTAGCAGCTAGCACATCCTAAATCGTGTCTAGATTTAACTTACACAATATGTGCTTTGCTTTTTTCCTAATTTGCAACAGAAAATAGTAATCAGCTGGTAGTTTCAGAAATCACCCTTTTGCTGAGTCTTAAATTTTTTTTTATTCCAGGGAAACGTGAAGATTGTGGGGCGCTATTTTTTTTTTTAAAGCAAACCACACAGCATATCTGGCCACCTAAAACACAAAGTGTTTGAAACTAACCGTAAGATTTCCTTTCTGCTCGCCCAACCTGTCACTGGAAACGCAGTATTCATTTGTAACCAGCTTTGGAGCAGGGCTTTTAAAAATAACGTTTTCTTGCTAAAGTCCCCAAAAATCTCTTGATTCTTGGTGGCAATGTCCAGTTGAGTCTTTGCACACACTGTATTTTTGCCAACTGGGTCGCAACTTTGCGAGAACTCCGGGGGACCTCGTAGGAAGCCAGGTTGGCAGTTATTTTTTTCTCCACTTGCCACTAGGTTGCACTAGATTTAGGATGCTGGGGAATATGCGCCATTTAATTTTTAAAAATAAAGTAGGACCATCACGTGACGAGACCCGAGAGAGGAAAAAAAAAAAGCCGAAGGGACAGGGTTTTTCATTGAAATCCCGTTCAAATCGCCTTCCCTCCAAAGCCTGAAAGAGCTGAATTCTATTAAATCCTGGTTGGCAGGTTTTTTCCTCGGGTCCACGTCACGAGCTCATTCTCCGCTTCAAGGTTCCTTTCGACTCCACAACGTGAAGCCAGGGGGAAGGCCTCCTTAAACTGGGGGTTTTCGCCAAAAAAGCCAGGGTCACCCCCCGGGAAAGTCCCTATTTAGGGGTTTATCGGGAGGGGACTGAGCCTGACGAGGCTGCAGGGCCGCGAGGCCCCGCCCCCCCCGGGGTTCCCAGCATGCCCCGCGCGGACAGGACGCGGCGGCGGAGGCGGGGCGAGGAAGGGGCGGGGCGAAGAGGAGAGAAGGGCGTCGGTTTTGCGACAGGGGCGGTGCGGTGCGGAAGCGGAAGTGAAGGGTGCGCTTGGCGGCGGCGGCGGGAGCTGCGGAGTCGGGAATCAAAACAAAGGGCCTGGGGGGGGCGGGGGGAAGGCGGCGGGGCCGGAATGTGAGCGGAGGTGGAGCCGGCGGCAGAGGTGAGTTTGCAGACAGTCCTGCGACCAGACCCCGGCAGGCTCTGCTCCGAGGCCAGCGGGGCGGGACGGAGGACAGTGTCCCCTCTTTCCCCGCCTATTGCTGGTGGGATGGTGGTGGAGAGGGGAGGTTAGCTAACTGGGACGCGCCAGTTGGGCCCCCCACGAAAGAGTTGGCTTGTCTCCCTTTCGGGTCCATTCACTACTGTCACTGTTGGCGCCGCTGTTCCCCTTCGAGGGCATTTGGCTCCCCGCCCGCCCCTGTCTGACCCCTGGTGGGGCCCTCCAGGAGTGAAGTGCACAGCTGGAAGGTTAAGAGAGAAGGAAAGGGGCGGGTGTTTTTGCAACACACTCCCCCCTCCCCGGCCGTTTTGCATTCTCCTCGGCCTTTTAGCAACACATAGGGTGTAGTCTCAGGGTTGACAATGTCTAGGGCTTCAGCCACTCTCACTAGTAGTTGTAACGCGACCTCGTGATACACCTTTTAGAGTTTCTCAAGCACCTTTCCGGTATTACCAAGAGCTGTCCAATTGCATTTGTGTCTTTTGGACTTCTCTGAGCGGTAAATATTCTTCTCTTTTGCATATCGGTGTATTGAAACCTAAACTGTTTTCCTATTTATTAAGCTTTATTCGTTCAACAGTTATTTATTAAAATATGCCAGGCATTGTACTAAGGACAGGAGTTGGAATAGTGGATAAGAAAACATAGTCTCTGCTGTCATGGAGTTTATAGCCTAATGGGGGAGAAAGATAATAAAATAAGCTAAAAAGGCCGTTTTGGACAGAAGAGCTATGGGGGAGAAAACGGTAATGGGATGGGGTGGTGTGGGGTCAAAGACTAGATTGGGTGCTAAGGAAACAACATTTGCTAAATGTTCCCCGTGGATTACCTCATGTAATCCAAACAACGGCCTTGTAAGGTGGTTTCTATTATTATCACACCCATTTTAGAGATGGGATCTGAGGTTCAGAGAGGTTGTGAGTTGTCCAAAGCTGCACCGCAGTCAAATTGGAGACCAAAATGCAGACAGTCGACAGAGCCTATGCTCTCCTCATTGAATTGGTCAAAAGACTTGAAGAGAGTGACAGAAAGGAGACTGTCGCTCAAGTCAAACAGAACCTGCTTTTGGCTACCTAAGTTGCTTCGTGGATGGTATTTGGGAAGTTTTCAGGGTGCAGGCACCTGAAAGTTTTTACTTTTAATCGCTTGTATTGAGCAGTATTGAAGGCACCTTGATGTAGTGGAAAGGGGTGAACAAGCCTAATCTTGTGTCAGGCTCGCTACAAAACTTCATTAAGTTTCTTTTTCTCTCTCTGCAAAAATGTAGCTAATTTCTCCCCTGTCTATTTCACAGGATTATTGCAAAAATTATATAAGAGGATCCCACCGTCTGGGTTTTTTTCATCATTATATTCCTTGTGCCAAGCACAGGCCTGCTGCATAGTAGATACTAAGTAAATATTTGCTGAATGAAGACATAAGTAATGTTAAGTGAAAATACTTTATAAACTAGATTATACTGTGAATGTTAGCTCACTTTCAGGATTTGGCTTTGAAGAAGTTTGAGAGAATGTTTAAGTTATGAACACTGTGAATATCACAGATTCTTACGATTTTGAGAGGAGTTTTTTGGGGGACATAAAACCTGTATCTAATAGGAAAGACAAGAATCGTAATTTACTATCAGTGGTAGCAGTTAAATCCATCTCCAAATTAACCACTCCCAATAGTGTGTAGTAGGTAATGTTTACTTTGTATTTACAGAGTAGGGAGCATTTTGGTTGGCACAAGAGATACAGTGGTGAAAATAGACAGTGGGGTTCATTTATCTAATTTTTTTTTTCTCTGTAATGCAGTGGCGGGGAGAAATTAGCCACATTTTGCATAGGAGGAAACAGAAACTTGAAAACAAAAATTTTTTTAGAGATGGAATCTCACTCTGTTGCCCACGCTGAAGGGCCAGTGGCACAATATAGTTCACTGTAGCCTCAAATTCTTGGGCTCAAGAGATCCTCCTACCTCAGTCTCTCTAGTAGCTGGGACTAGGCGCATGCTGCCACACTATGCTAATTTTTTGAACTTTATTTTATTTTAGAGCTGTGATCTTGCTATATTGCCCAGGCTGACAAAAGAGCCACGTAGTAAATATAGGCTTTGTGGGCCATACAGTCTCTTTGCAGAGACTCTCTTTGCAACTCTGCAATTGGAATGCAAAAGCAGTCATAGGCAGTATTTAAGTGAATGAGTGTGTCTGTGTCCCAATTAAACTTTATTTATGGACACTGACATTTTAATTTCATGTAATTTTGTTTGTTGGTTTTTGAGACAGGGTCTCACTCCGTCGCCCAGGCTGCAGTGCAGTGGTGCAATCACAGCTCACTGCAGCCTTGACTACGCAGTCTTAGGTGATTCTTCCACCATAGCCTCCTGAGTAGATGGGGCTACAGGCATGCACCACCACGCTCAGCTAATTTTTTGTAGCCATGGGGTTTTGCCATGTTGCCCAGGCTGGTTGGGAACTCCTGGGCTCAAGCAATCCACCCACCTTGGCCTCCCAAAGTGCTGGGATTGCAGGCCTGAGCCACGGTGCCTCGCTTGCATTTATTGTTAAGACCTGTAAGAGTGTTGTTGCTCTGGCGTAGATATAACACATCTGCGACTTGAGATTTTTCTATCAGTTAGATTTTTGGTGGTATATCAGATTGCACTTTCATCATTAGTAAACTAAGAAATTGGTTCAATTTGTTCTGTAGCAAATCAAATTCAAAGTCCACAGAGGCCACTTAGTTTGGACTTTTCATGCTCAGATCAAGAAACCAGTGCAAGAAGTTGCTCTTAAGTCAATTTTAAAATCTTACATATAGTTGTCAATGAGGATGTGGTGGTGGCTCTTTTACTCAGATTAGATGCTCTCTTCTGTTAACTTTTGACTTTCCTGAGCAGCATCTTTAGGGAGAGAGAGCCGAAAAGAATTCAGAAAAACTGTAGAAAAAATTGATTCCAGCCAAGTGAGGAGGTGAAGTCTCACTCTGGAATATGCAAGTTTCCAAGATATGGCTACCTCTCTCAAACATGGTTACATGTGGAAAGGAAACAAGACTCATGGAGAGTTCATTTTTTATTTGAAGAGCTATGAAACATGAAGAATGGCAGATTATAGATTTTTTAAGAAATCAGGTTGTTGCAGTTAGATTTTAAGCATAAACAGTCAACCAAGTTTACCAAATTTTATTAACCCGTAATATGCTCTGATATTTTGTGTTTTTTTCTTTCTTTATTTTATTATTATTATTTTGTTTGTTAAGATTTGAATTGTTGGCCGGGCGCAGTGGCTAATGCCTGTAATCCCAGCACTTTGGGAGGCCGAGGAGGGTGGATCACTTGAGGTCAGGAGTTCAAGACCAGCCTGGCCAACTTGGTGAAACCCCATCTCTACTAAAAATATAAAAATTAGCCAGGCATAGTGACAGGCTCCTGTAGTCCCAGCTACTCTGGAGGCTGAGGCAGAAAAATCGCTTGAACCCGGGAGACGGAGGTTGCAGTGAGCTGAGATCGTACCACTGCATGCCAGCCTGGGCGACAGAGCGAGACTTCCTCTTGAAACAAAGATTTGAATTGTTGAGAGCCATAGGACTGTAAATATAGCTGTGGTTTCACATTTTAGTATGTTGTAAAATTTGTACTTATGCAAGGAAATAACACTGAAATCTTACTCATTCTTAACAGGGTGGAAGAATGAAAGAAAAGAAAGATGAAAGGATGTTGAATCACTTTGCATGGCTGTATGATGGAAGGAAACGGAACTGAGAACTCCTGCAGTAGAACACGTGGATGGCTTCAACAAGATAATGATGCTAAGCCATGGCTTTGGAAATTCTCTAATTGCTTTTCTCGTCCTGAGCAGACGCTGCCACATAGTCCCCAAACGGTAACTATATGCAAGACTAAGGATGTAGCAGATTCCTCATCCAAATAGATGAGAGAGGTCCATTTGGTCTGGGATACAGTCTCTCATCCTAGAGTCTGTGCCACATTTTTCTGTAGATCTTGCCTGTATTGCCTCTTATACCACATTATAATGTGAGAGCACAGCACAATTTTTTAACTCTTCTATTTCACTTTGAGTAACAGTAGATGCCTTGAATATTTAATGTTAAAATTTGGGAAAGATTTCTTCCTCATTAAAGTCACAGGTAACAAAGATTAAAAATCCACATTGTGGAGTAAAATCAGAGGAAAATACAAAATATGTTGTATTTTACTGTAGCCCTCTTGAGTTTTGAGTCTATAATCTAGGAAGGGTTGGGAAGAGCTTATCCACTGCCTGTTTTTTATTTCGAGATTTCTCTTGAATATTTACTTCTCAGTATACATTTATGTCTCTAACTTCTTGCTTACTCATTGTGATTTTGACATTTTCTTTTTTTTTTTTGAGGTGCAGTCTTGCTCTGTGGCCCAGGCTGGAGTGCAGTGGTGCGATCTCGGCTCATTGCAACCTCTGCCTCCCAGGTTTAAGCAGTTCTCCTGCCTCAGCCTCCTCAGTAGCTGGGATTACAGGCCTGTGCTGCCATGCCTGGCTAATTTTTGTATTTTTAGTGGAGACGAGGTTTCGCCATGTTGGCCAGGCTGGTCTTGACCTCCTGACCTCAAGTGATCCTCCCGCCTCAGCCTCCCAAAGTGCTGGGATTACAGGCGTGAGCCACCGCGTCCAGCCAATTTTGACATTTCCTGACTTCATGCACTCATGTTACCACCTTTCTATTTCTTATTTTCTATTGTATGTGGGATTCAAGTGAGACTGTAATATAATTTTATATAAGGGTATTAACAACTTTTATTTGATTTTATTTTTTGAGACAGAGTCTCGGCTCAGCCCCCTAGGCTGGAGTGCAGTGGCACGATCCGGGTTCACTGCAACCACTGTCCCTAGTTCAAGGGATTCTCCCGTCTCAGCCTCCCTAGTAGCTGGGTTTACAGGCACTCGCCATTATGCCTGGCTAATTTTTGTATTTTAGTAGAGATGGGGTTTCACCGTGTTGGCCAGGCTGGTCTTGAACTTCTGACCTTAGGTGATCCACCCGCCTCGGCCTCCCAAGTGCTAGGATTACAGGCGTGAGCCACCGCGCCTGGCCGGGTATTAATAACTTTTTAAAAACCAGTTTAATTCTCTATTTTCTCTAGGTTTTCACTATATAGTTGTCTTTGTTGCAAGACATCAAGTAATTTGGGTCATTTTAGGAGTGTTTTATTTTAGAGACAGTTGACAGTGAGGGTTGGCATCAAAAGCAAGGCTTCCTGGGATGGGGTGGTAGATCTGGTCCTCATGGAGTCACACAATTCAGAATTACACGGTCAACTTTACAGATCTTGAAACTCAATTTTGTCAGTGGCATGCAGAATGGAGTAGGTTCAGGGGATCAACTCATAGTAAGCCTGCCTGTATGAGCCTGATCTGTATAAATCAGAATACCAGTGTGTTAATTTCAGTCTGAACTATAATTACCAAGAGGGCAGTTCATTGGCTGGTCAGCCCGTTGCTGTTATCTCCCTTTTAGGGAAAGTTTAGCTGAAAATTCACATTTCTTCCAGATGAGCCTATGCTCCCAGGTGAGTGTAGAATCACAGCAAAGGGAGTGGAATTTTAGGCGTCAGATGGACCCTCATATGCTGTGAACGGTGAGCACGTCTCAGTCACTGTAGCAGGGCCCCCTCTTCATCTTAATGTCTCTTGCAGTCAGCCTGTGAAGGCTGATGAATTCAGTCCCCTTTCAGTGGCTAGGTACTGTGCCAGGTGGTCTATGTGCTCTATCTTATTTTATCCTCCTAGCAACTCTAGGAGGTATATTGTATTCCCAGTTTATGGATGAGGAAACCAAAGTGTAGGTTAAGTAACTTACCCAAGGTCATACAACTATTGAGTATCAGATTCTAACCCAGGTCTCTGCCACTGATGCTCTGCTCAGAACCTTTGTAATATACTGGCTTCCTGTGTCTGTGTTGGAGTCATGTGGCAAACTATTTGTCTTGGATCTTTTTCTTGGATAGTTTTCTAATTCTCTAAATCTTTTCACTGGCTGCAATATAATTGTCATTATGGCTTTAGGTCATGATATCTTAGGGTTTATGAAATGTCATCAGCAACACGGATGGGCCATCTGGGTAGATGGCTGATCTCATCTGTGTTTGAAACTTTACTCTTTTCCTTTGGGGGATCTTACTAAAACCCCTTATGGCCTGACCACAGAACTATTAAGTATTGTCCTCAAACCACTGTGTGTGTTAGCCATCTTTATTGAATGCTGTTTGTGAGGGGTTGTTTTCATACCACCTATTTTGTCTTCAGAAGATTCTGTGAGGCAAGGGGAAATTACCAAAAGGAAGTTACTGAGGCATGGTGGCTGCTAAAGATGTAAACAGGCCCTCCCACCCCAGTCTGTTTCAATTCAGGAAGAATGTAGTCTTAATTTTAGTTGTGTGTTCCAGTGTTCATGTCCTGCAGACCTCTCTGAAGAATGTTCCTGGTTTTAACTAGCTGTGATTCCATTTTGTTCAGTTATGATTTAGTGATGTAACAGAATTGAACACTATTTCTGTTTGTGCATGCAGTAAGATATGAGTAACCAAAAAACCACGGACCTCATAAAATTAATTTATGTTCTGATTTTCTTTTCTCAGAAAGAGTACATGGAGAACAAGAAAGTTGCTGTGGAACTAAAGGATGTACCATCACCCCTTCATGCTGGCTCTAAGCTTTTTCCAGCAGTCCCACTTCCTGATATTCGTTCTCTTCAGCAGCCTAAAATACAGCTTTCTTCTGTCCCCAAAGTAAGCTGCTGTGCTCATTGCCCTAATGAACCCTCCACTTCGCCAATGCGTTTTGGTGGTGGTGGTGGCGGTAGCGGAGGTACCAGTAGCTTGATTCACCCGGGCGCACTGTTAGACTCGCAAAGCACCAGGACAATCACGTGTCAGGTAGGGTCAGGGTTTGCTTTCCAGTCTGCATCTTCACTCCAGAATGCCTCAGCTAGGAACAATTTGGCAGGCATTGCAAGTGACTTTCCCAGCATGTGTCTAGAGAGTAACCTGTCTTCCTGCAAACACCTGCCCTGTTGTGGAAAACTCCACTTCCAGTCATGTCATGGTAATGTGCACAAGCTGCATCAGTTTCCGAGTCTGCAGGGCTGCACCTCCGCTGGCTATTTCCCCTGTTCTGATTTCACAAGCGGGGCTCCAGGGCATTTGGAAGAGCACATTTCACAGTCGGAGCTAACGCCTCACTTGTGCACCAACTCTTTGCACCTTAATGTGGTACCTCCGGTTTGTTTAAAGGGCTCACTTTACTGCGAAGACTGTCTAAACAAGGTTCGTATCTTTTTATTTCTTAAGTTGGGTGCAGCTGAGGATTGAGGAATGACTTTTGAAGTGGATTTATCTTGAAAAGTATTATACATGGGGTTGAAGATTCTCCCATGGTATAGGGGAATCTCCCCATCAGCATAATTTTTGCTGGTTCTGAAAGAAACAAAGGGTAAGATGGGAGATCATTCAAAAAAGTAGAGAGTCATTATTTTTGTAGTTTATACTTTTAGAGCCTCTTGTTGCAAACAAGAGGTTGGCAAAGCCTTCGTGTTCTATGTTTAAAGGCTAAAGCACGATGGATTTTTTATAACTTACATTCAGCTTACACATGGGCCCATTCATGTAAGGTAGATAACTGCATGTTGTCTTTTTGCAATAATGTGGGAAACCTGAAGCTTGGCCTCAGTCACATTGGTGTTCAAGTGAGACTTTGCTACCCTTTATGTAAAATATGTGTGAGGTCTTCGTTGCAGCAGACTCATGCCCCAGAATGTAAAGATCTGACCACGTGAATATCTTTCTTGATCATGTCAAGTCACTTCTGGAAATGAATTTATGAACTGATAGCTAATGGTTCTTGGAAAGATTATTTGAAAGTCCTTTTTATTAGAGGCTAGCAAGTGGAAAGGTAAAACACTTAGAGTGTATTTTCAGTTGTTGTATATAACTCCAGCTTCTGAAATGATGTATCTGACACCTCCTCCTTTTTAAAAAAAATTTAAAACAGCCAGCAAGAAATAGCATAATCGATGCGGCTAAAGTCTGGCCAAATATACCACCTCCAAATACTCAACCTGCACCTCTTGCTGTCCCTCTGTGTAATGGCTGTGGAACCAAAGGAACAGGGAAGGAGACCACGTTGTTATTGGCGACCAGTCTAGGCAAAGCTGCTTCAAAATTTGGTAAATGACAGTATGGCATAAAATGTGCATATTTAAATAGCTTTCAATATCTCATACTAACATTGCATTTAATCACCTTTGAAGGATTCCTTATGGTTCTAAAGCTACTGTGTATGTGAGTCTCCAATTCCATATCTTGGTAGAAATCTTTTTATTATTATGGACCAGGAAGTCATTTGCCCTTTATGTTGGGCCGAGGCTATACACAGAAGCTGTGTATAGAAAAATTGGTAGTATATCAGGAGAAATAAAAGTGCTGGAAAAGACTTGGTGTCACCTTAGGTTGGAAATCACACTTGTTGATGGTATACTCCCTAGAAGTGCTTAGAACAATTTACTAATGGCTGATTAAAAACAGTATTTGAAAACCAAAGAGTTCTCAGTTAAAATAATTTCCCTAAAAAGTAGTTAATGCGACGTTTTGAAAACATTTTTAAAATATTAAATCAGATGTTAATGCAGCGTTAACTCAAAATCAACGACAGTAACAGCTTCACCCTTTGTCAGCTCCTCAGTGTTGGTTACTACCAAGTAGGTAGATAAGTGTGGGCTAAGCTTGAAAGTCGGGTCCTGGAGCTGCAGTATCCGGTCAGTTAGTGTGCTTGTGTTCAGAGAAGCATCACTGCTTAATGTCAGAGTGGCTCATGCTTGGAGGTGGATTTATTGTGGGCTTAAAGTTACTTGACTTTTAGATTTGTCTTCTCCTGAAAAACAGAAATAATCTCTTAGAGTGATACTTTTTGACAGCTTGATTGCTTATTAGGTCAACCAGTGAGGTTGGTAGCCTTAAAACTTGGCATTCATTAATAATTTAGTTTTTCTACCACTGAGAATGATAGGTAGTTTATTATCTTATTGTAACTTGCCATTTATTTTCCACTACAAGTAATTGAAAATGTTAACATTTCTTAAGGGTCACCAGAAGTTGCAGTAGCTGGACAGGTGCTAGAAAACTTACCCCCCATTGGAGTTTTTTGGGATATTGAAAACTGCTCCGTTCCCTCTGGCCGGTCAGCAACTGCTGTTGTGCAAAGAATCCGTGAGAAGTTTTTTAAAGGCCACAGAGAAGCAGAATTCATCTGTGTATGTGACATCAGTAAAGAAAACAAGGAAGTTATTCAAGAGCTGAATAATTGCCAGGTAAAAAAAAAAAATTTAATAATTTTAATCTACAGTAGAGGAATAAGCAGATATTTGTTTGTTTGTTTGTTTTGAGACAGAGTCTAAGTGTCACCCAGGCTGGAGTGCAGTGACGCATTCATGGCTCCCTGCAGCCTCGAACCCTGGGACCCCAGTGATCCTCCCACCTCAGCCTCCCAACTAGCCAGGATCACAGATGCACGCCATCATGCTCGGCTCATTTTTTATTTTTTGTAGAGACGAGGTCTCCCTATGTTCCAACCAGAAACAGAAACTAAGAACCCATGACTGTATTCTGTCCCTTGGACACCCCTGGATGGCTTTCAGGATCCAGGGTTAGGTGGTGGAGGCTTGTCTCAAACTCCTGGGATCAAGCAGTCCTCTTGCCTTGGCCTCTAAAAGTGCTGTACGTGTGTGTGTGTGTGTGTGTGTGTGTGTGGTGTTTTTTTTTTTTTTAGAATTCTGATTGAAAATTTGTTTAATGATATTGCATTTGTGCCAAGTTTTCAAATAAAATAAATTAGCAAAAGATCACTTCCAAAGTACTAGAAATAATTTAATCATTCTTTCAGTTATGCTCCCTAATTTATATTTTAGTTCTATACTGGTATAATGGTTATATATGTATTATTTCCTTTGATTTTCATTACTGCTCTTTGAACCAGGCACGTAGAATATATAATTCACAATTTACAAATTAAACTAAGGCCCTGAGAGGTGAAGAAACTTGTTTAAGATCACTTGGCCAGGAAGAGCAAAGATCCAAATCTAGATTTGTCTGACCCCCAGAGTCTGCTTTTAAGCTGAAACTAGAATTTGGGTCTTTTGACTCTTAGATAATTAATTATATTGATAGTCCATATTGCTTGTCTAAAATGATATACCCATGTTCTTTACAAAAACCAGCAAGTTATTATTGTGTATTGCAGGTGCCTGAGGCAACTTTCTCAAAATAAACCTTTCCTTCCTTTGGGGACTTATATGCGAGCCTGATAGTTTTAACAGAAATAAATGCATTTTAGCTCCCTTAGGGGATATCCTCCCTCCTCTCTCTACCACCTCACCCCAGATCCTGAAAGCCATCCAGGGGTGTCCAAGGGAGAGAATACAATCATGGATTCTCAGTTTCTGTTTCTGGTTGGGCTAGTAAAGCACCTTCCTTATCTCTCTTTTCTGCTTATTAGTAGGGACGGAAACTAAAAACTATGGCTTCCAGCTGCTAAAAGCCCAAAACAAAACAAAACAGAAAACAACAACAAAAGGCAGATTGCACAAGCTTGCATGGGTAGCATGGACAGTTGACATAAAACACAGCCTTAAATCTTATTTTAGTCATTTGTCTGATCTTTACCACCTCCAAATTGTTGGCAGAAGCTATTAGAGCAAATTTAACTGAGTTCAAATTTCACTTCCTATATTCTACTTATTTTCTGAAAGGAGGATGAAAGAAATGCAAAAACAGAAGATTGGAGATGAGAGCAGGGTTAGTCACAAACCCAGTTCATATCAAGAACCAATGTTGAGATTACTGAGATCTGTTGTAATTTTTTACCATTCCCAATAGTAATAAGAATTTTTTTCTCAAGAATTACTTATTAAAATATGGGCAGACATCAGTGATAGACTGGATAAAGAAAATGTGGCACATAATACACGATGGAATACTATGCAGCCATAAAAAAGAATGAGATAATGTCCTTTGCAGGGACATGGATGAAGCTGGAAGTCATTATTCTCAGCAAACTAATGTAGGAACAGAAAACCAAACAGTGCATGTTCTTGCCTTATAAGTGGGAGTTGAACAGTGAGAACACATGGACACAGGGAGGGGAAAAACACACACTGGGGTCTGTCTGTCGGGGTTGGGGGAAGGGGAGGAAGAGCATTAGAACAAATACCTAATACATGTGGGGGCATAAAACCTAGATGATGGGTTGATAGGTGCAGCAAACCACCACGGCACATGTATACCTATGTAACAAACCTGCACGTTCTGCACATGTACCCCAGAACTTAAAGTATAATAAAATTTAAAAAATAAAAAATATGGGCAGAATGTGTAGCAATTTTCTAGCCTCAGCTCCTGCTTATTCACCCTTATTATAAATTAATGCAGGTAACCGTTGCCCACATCAATGCTACTGCAAAGAATGCCGCTGATGATAAACTGCGGCAGAGTCTCCGCAGATTTGCAAATACACACACTGCTCCAGCCACAGTGGTTCTTGTGTCAAGTAAGTACAGAAACATCTGCTAATTTCAGCTAAACTCACTGTGTGGGAAATTATCATAGAAGCCAGCAACATGTGAAAGTAAAATGTATCCCCAAAGAGGCTGAAGTACATGAGACATGTTTATGGTTATTGTTGAGAACTGTTTAGAAAAAAAATTGGGTCTAGGTGGATTTCTGTATTTCCTCCTTGGAACTTGAGTTATTGTGGGACCAGGTTTATTTTTTATTTTATTTTTTTGTTTATTTATTTTGAGATGGAGTTTCGCTTTTGTTGCCCAGGCTGGAGTGCGATGGCGCAATCTCGGCTCACTGCAACCTCCGCCTCCCAGGTTGAAGTGATTCTTCTGCCTCAGCCTCCCAAGTAGCTAGGATTACAGGCATGTTCCACCACGCCCAGCTAATTTTGTATTTTTAGTAGAGATGGGGGTTTCTCCAGTTGGTCAGGCTGGTCTCAAACTCCTGACCTCAGGTGATCCACCCTCCTCGGCCTCCCAAAGTGCTGGGATTACAGGCGTGAACCACCACGCCCGGCCGGGACCAGGTTTATTAAAGAAAAATGTGATTTTTTTTTTTTTTTTTACCTTGTGCTCAGTATTAATAATTTTTAAAGTTTAAGTTAATTTTCAAATTTGAGTCTCCCCAACATATTTGCTCCTTTTTAATACTGAAAGTAACATATGTGTCTTGGAATTCTTTTGGTAAGATTGTCTTACATTCTTCTGATGTGAAACGTGTTTCTTTCCTAAGAAACGGGGGAAGCAATTTTGAATATAGTCCAGCCTTTCCTTTCTTCTCAGTGGGTGTCAATAGAGTTGTCTGTCTTTGTCAAGTGTTTCTAATGTTTGGGGATGGGGTTGGTCTGTACCTTTTCTTTCAGCTGATGTCAATTTTGCATTGGAACTTAGTGACCTGAGACACAGGCATGGTTTCCACATTATTTTGGTCCATAAAAACCAGGCCTCAGAAGCACTGCTGCATCATGCTAACGAGCTGATCAGATTTGAAGAGTTCATTTCCGACTTGCCCCCCAGGTTACCACTAAAAATGCCAGTAAGTGGGTTTGCGTTATTTTTGCCATTTTCCAATATTACATTGTGGAGGCTGAAAGACAGCCCATAATAAGGGGGTTGCCAGGCCCAGATGGGGCTGTTCTTTGTAAGAGGTGGGTTAGATTTTGAAGTAAGGCTTAGAAACCTTCGGTTCTTCTCACAAATATACAGATAATTGGTATGTATGAAGTTTGCTTTTATTTATTTCAAAATATCATATGAAATTGACTTGTAGATTTACCTTCCCAACTTGCCAGTGTCTTCAAAGCTAGCAGTGTTTTGTGTCAGGTGGATAGAAATAACGGATTAAAAGTCATGATTCTTTTTGCTTCCAAGTATTATGGGTAGAGAATATGGCGAGGGTTCTCACATACTTGTGTGGTTGGCACCAAATAAGTGGAGTCAATTGTGCATTTTTTTCGGTATTTAATCCTTAAGCTTCAGCGGGCCTCTGAGTCTGTGCTTTCTATTGTGCATTCCCTGTGGTGCATGGACACAATTAGCAGGAGTGGTTATTGCTCCACCTGTGTGTAGCCTGTTTATGCCATATACTGGGAGGAGGGTGTGAGCACATTTCCAGGACTAGCATTTCTGATAGACTTGACTTGGGATAAGAATGTTTATTGCAGTGCTGGGCTGTGTTTAAGCCGCTGGCGAATATGTGTGTAACTCTGAAAGAATTAATGATAATGGAGAAGGAGCCATGGTGTGGGTGATCCAGGAGAGTGGGCAATCCCATACGTTAAATGAAAGTCTTCACATATAATTTAATAACTGAGAGTTACAGAAGTACGTTAGACATGATCTCATGCAAAGTCTTCATTTAAGGGAGAAAGAAATCAGCTCTTAGAAAAAGTAAACGTGTCATTGGTGATTGCAGCAGTTAAGAGAGTGGGCCCCGGGTATCCTGATTCCGGCACTTGCCTGCTAGTCACCTGTGTCCCCGATACCCAACAAGCCCCCTGCGGTCTGGCTTAAGTTGAAACTCATGCTATGGACAGTTGAGAGTTGTGGATACCAGAGGCTTACCCAGGGAGTAAGCATATACAGGCCTTACCTTAATCTTTTGAGGCTCTTTCCTAACTCACCTTTGTCATTATTTGTTTTTAGTCACTTGGCTGTAGTTACATTTCTTCCCTTCTGCTTCTGTTTGACGGTCACTTTTCTAACTTTGAAGGCCTTATGTAAATACGGTGTTTTTTCCTGGGAGGTGAAGGTTGCAGTGAGCTGAGATCGCGCCACTGCACTCCAGCCTGGTCGACAGAGCGAGACTCTGTTTCAAAAAAAAAAAAAAAAGTAAATGTAGTGTTTTAGGTAAGAACTTGCCCACTTTGGAGATTCTTATTCCTTATGGTTAAAAAAACCAAAACAATGTTTTGATAATTCAAACCATTTAGTTTTGCTGGATGTTTTTTCCCATCCACTAGAGTGATAATTTAAGATACATTTCTTTTTATGTTCTTTAGTCTGTTCCTTTAATTTTAATAAATTAAACATACATTGGTACTGCCTGGGTTTTGAGTCCCAGGTGTAATAGGAAAAGTGTAGATTTTGTTGATAATTGGTCAGTACCCCTCAAATAAAAAGAAAAGCCTCTGATTAGAAAAGTATGGTGTGGGCCGAGTGATGTGGCTCACGCCTGCAATCCCAGTACTTTGGGAAGCTGAGGTGGGCAGATCACCAATCACCTAAGGTCAGGAGTTCGAGACCAGCCTGGCCGATGTGGCGAAACCCCATCTCTACTAAAAATACAAAAATTAGCCAGGTGTGGTGGCGGGCACTGGTAGTCCTAGCTGCTTGGGAGGCTGAGACAGGAGAATCACTTGAACCTGAAAGTGGAGGTTGCAGTAAGCCGAGATCACACCACTGCACTCCAGCCTGGGTGACAGAGTAGACTGTGTCTCAAAAAATCTAAAAAAAAAAGAAAGAAAAGAATAGTATGGTATGATCATTGTAAAAACAAACAAAACACAATATTTAGAAATGTGGAAAGTGAAAACCCCACAATTCTACCCTCCAGAAGTAACCACTGTTAATATTTTGGTATTGCCCTCCAGATTTAAAAAATGTACGTTTAAAAAAAAATGTGTCACATATACAGTGTTCTGTGGCTTTTGGAAAAAAACTATGTCAGAGCTTGGATGTCTTTTCATGTTAATATATATTAATATAAATCTGCCACATTTTAAAAACCAGAACTTTGGTTTGAAAAGTACTTGTATGGCTGGTCTTTATTTAACCAGTCTACCTGTTAGTGGACATTTTGTTTATACCCAGTTTTGTGTTTTGTTTTGTTTTTTACCATTTCCAGCAAGGTAATTTATATCTTTAGGCTCCTGGGCTGACATACCATAGGGTAATTTCCAAGGCATAAGAGTTCTGGGTTAGAACTTTACTAGCAAGATCCATGTCTTCCTCCAGGAAGGTGGTACTAATTTACACTCATAAGAGTGTCTGTTTTAAATGTTTGCCAGGCCAGTAAGTGAAAAACAGCATCATCTTATAATTGACTTTTAATCTTTAACACAGTGCAAAATATCCTTTTATGATTATCGTTGTTTGCTTTTTATTTCTTCTGTAAATTGTTCACATCCTTTGCCTGTTGTTAGTGATTTCTCTTATGGTTTCTGGATTTAACCCTTTATATAATTATCTTAAGTTTTCTCCTGGTGCTTTAATGGTTCTGCTTTTTAAAATATTATTCTTATTTAAAAAAAATTTTTTTGAGACTCTGTCACCCAGGCTAGAGTGCAGTGGCGTGATCTCCGCTTACTGCAGACTCCACCTGCCGGGTTCAATTGATTCTCCTTCCTCAGCCTCCCGAGTAGCTGGGATTACAGGCGCCCGCCACCACGCCTGGCTAATTTTGTATTTTTAGTAGAGAGGGGGTTTCACTGTGTTGGCCAGGCTTGCCTCGAACTTCTGACCTCAGGTGATCACCCGCTTTGGCCTCGCAAAGTGCTGGGATTACAGGCGTGAGCCACCGTGCCCAGCCTCTGGCTAGTTTTTTGTAGACGAGGTTTCACCATGTTGGCCAGGCTGGTCTTGAACTCCTGACCTCAAGTGATCCACCTGCCCCAGCATCCCTAAGTACTGGGATTAGAGGAGTGAGCCACAATGCCTGGCAATTTTTAAAAATTTTTAATAGAGATGGGGTCTCACTGTGTTGCTCAGGCTGGTTTTGAACTCCTGGGCTCAAGTGATCCCCCCGCCTCGGCCTCCCAAAGTGCTGGGATTACAGGCATGAGCCACCATGCCTGGCCAGTTCGTTCGTTCGTTCGTTTGTTCGTTCTTTCTCTCTCTCTCTCTCTTTTCTTTCTTTTTCTCCAGTTCTACTTCCTTCTTTCTTTCTTTCTTTTTTTTTTTTTTTTCACAGAATCTCGCTCTGTCGCCCAGGCTGGAGTACAGTGGTGCCATCTCAGCTCACTGCAACCTCCGCCTCCTGGGTTCAGGCAAATTATTCTGCCTCAGCCTCTGGAGTAGCTGGGATTACAGGCGTCTGCCACTTTGCTCAGCTAACTTTTTTTGTATTTTTAGTAGAGATGGGGTTTCACCATGTTGGTCAGGCTGGTCGCCAACTCTTGACCTCAGGTGATCCACCTGCCTTGGCCTCCCAGAGTGTTGCGATGACAGGCGTGAGCCACTGTGCCAGGCCAAGTTCTACTTCTTAATACATAAATTTCAACTTATCTGGAAGAATTATGACTACCCACTGCCAAATAAAACTTCCAGCCTAACTACTGGCAATCTGCTGTTGAAGCTGAACAGGCTCTAAATTGTTGGGTTTTAAAAAAATTTTTGTTTACTTAAGCCTATAGCTCCTAGTATTCCCAGGCATTCTCCTATGCAAAAACCAACCAGGACTGACCCTGCTCACCTTCTGGCTCTATAAGTTATTATTCAGCAGACCTGCAGAATAAATAGACTTTTAAAAAACAACTTCGTTGAGATATGATTTACATATTACAAAATTCAGCTCTTTTAAGTGTACAATAATTTTTAGTAAATTGAGTTGTACAATTTTAGAATATTTTTGTCACCTCAGTAAATCTATTATGCTAATTTATAATTAATCCCCTTCCCCACTCCCAGGCACTACTAATCTTTCTGTCTCTGTAGATTTGTATTTTCTGGATGCTTTATAGAAATGGAATCATATAGTATACAGACCTCTGTGCCTAGCATATTCTTTTTTATTTTTATTTTTTGAGACAGTGTCTCACTCTGTCACTCAGAGTGGAGTGCAGTGGCACAGTCACTCCAGCCTCAATCTTCCTGGGCTCAGGTAATCCTCCCACCTGAGTAGCTGGGACTGTAGGCATGCACCACCATGCCCAGCTAAAGCATATTCTTTAAAACAATATTCAGTTACTTTGTCAACACTAAATAATTTACCCTCTCCCATCTAAATCACTGTCATCTTCTCTTCAAAGTTGTTAACTGAAGTTTGGAGGTCACCCATTGTTCTTATTTTGAAATTGAATGTGTGCCCTTGAATTAACCTGACGTAACACTTCTTTCCTCTGTATTAGCAGTGCCACACTCTGCTCTATGTTTATAACCTACCAGCAAATAAGGATGGCAAGAGCGTCAGCAACAGGCTCAGACGCCTGTCCGATAATTGTGGTGGGAAAGTGCTGAGTATCACAGGCTGCAGTGCAATTCTCCGCTTCATAAACCAAGATAGTGCAGAGCGCGCTCAGAAGCGAATGGAAAACGAAGATGTCTTTGGTAATAGGATCATTGTGTCATTTACTCCAAAAAATAGAGAACTCTGTGAAACAAAGAGTTCAAATGCAATTGCTGATAAAGTGAAGTCTCCCAAAAAACTTAAGAATCCAAAATTGTGCCTCATCAAAGATGCAAGTGAACAATCTTCCAGTGCCAAAGCCACGCCTGGAAAAGGGTCACAGGCAAATTCTGGATCTGCTACAAAAAATACAAATGTTAAAAGTTTACAGGTAATTTTGATACCTCTTGCTTTCTGAAGTTTATGGTAGGTTTGGTTTGTTTCTGTGTTTTACGTGCCCGCTTGCTTTTGGCGTGTCCCTTTTTGATTTCAGTGTTTGATGATACTCAAAGTCAATCGTTTTCTGTAAAGGATCTAACACATCTTGGGTACTTAAAATTTAAACCCCACTGTGCTTGTGTCTTTGAAGGAGCTGTGCCGCATGGAGTCAAAAACTGGTCATAGAAACAGTGAGCACCAGCAAGGTCACCTGAGGCTGGTCGTACCCACTCACGGTAACTCAAGTGCTGCAGTGTCGACGCCGAAAAACTCGGGGGTGGCAGAACCCGTTTACAAAACCAGTCAGAAGTATGTGAAACTACTCTTTCTCATAGCTGCTTCTTGAATGTGAAGGAAGACATATGACCTTTTGCCTTCAATTTTCCCCTTCTGTTAGAAAGGAGAACCTCAGTGCCCGAAGTGTTACCAGTTCTCCTGTAGAGAAAAAAGATAAAGAGGAGACTGTATTCCAAGTGAGTTACCCGTCTGCTTTTAGCAAGTTAGTTGCATCCAGGCAAGTCAGTCCTCTGCTCGCATCTCAGTCTTGGTCTTCTAGGTGAGTCCAGCTTCTTGACCCATGGGGGTGGTTACATGTAATAGGAAGGATTATGAAATAGTATGTTTGTTGAAAAGAATTCAGATAGTACTGAAATGCACAAAGTAAGTCTCCCATCACTCTTCTGCCAGTCCCCCTCTCCTCAGGTAATCATCGTTAACATTTAGGGGCAATGCTTTCACCATTTCTTCTTCCTCCATCTGGAAATTGTGGTAAGCAGAGGTCAGAAAGAGAAGCCTGTTGGAGAGTCCCTGGCCAGTGCAGGGGGGCATGTAAAGATGTCCCTATGTTCGCTGTGTTGAGGAAAAAGCCCAAACGAGCCGTGCATTGGTGGTTCTGATTCATATGGTTCTGTATAGGAAGCTATTTGGAAGTAAAGTTTTCTGTAAACCATGGTAATTATTTATCACTGTCTCTCACACCAAGGAATTCTTGATGCTTGGGAGACAGAGAAGCCGTAAGGCCGTGTTGCATTCCCATGAGCTCCTTTTAGCATTGTGTTTGTTCTGCTGAGTTGGTGGCAGATCACTGTAGAAAGTGACTATGGATCAGCCGGGCGTGGTGGCTCACGCCTGTAATCCCAGCACTTTGGGAGGCCGAGGCGGGAGGATCATGAGGTTAGGAGATCAAGACCATCCTGGCTAACCGGCTAACACGGTGAAACCCCATCTCTACTAAAAATACAAAAAATTAGCCGGGCGTGGTAGTGAGTGCCTGCAGTCCCAGTTACTTGGGAGGCTGAGGCAGGAGAATGGCATGAACCTGGGAGGTGGAGGTTGCAGTGAGCTCAGATCGCATGACTGCACTCCAGCCTGGGTGACAGAGCGAGACTCCGTCTCAAAAAAAAAAAAAAAAAAAGAGAAAGTGACTATGGATCTATAAAATTACATCTAAAAAGCCACATAAAAGTTTTCCTTATGTGCAGAAAGAACTGTAACATGTAGGCAAGAACGTTTAACTCTTTCAGAGACACAGAGGAGGTTAGACGCCTTAAATTGGTATCACAGGCTGATTTCCTAAGGATAATGCACAAAGCAGAAGGTTAATTCATCAGGACTGCCTCTAATTCCTGCCTTTAGCTTTAACCCAAAGGAAGAATATATATTAATTGGTTGGCGGTAATTAGGGGTCAGTAGATAGTACTTTTGACAATGTCTGAAATCAATGTGTATTTAAGATTAAAAACACAGCTGGGCACAGTGGCTCACGCCTGTAATCCCAGCCCTTTGGGAGGCTGAGGCAGGTGGATCACTTGAGGTCAGGAGTTTAAGACCAGCCTGGCCAACATGGTAAAACCCCATCTCTACCAAAAATAAAAAAAATTAGCTGGGTGTAGTGGTGCATGCCTGTAGTCCCAGCTACTGGGGAGGCTGAGACAGGAGAATTGCTTGAATCCAGGAGGTGGAGGTTGCAGTAAGCCGAGATCGTGCCATTGCACTCCAGCCTGGGTGACAGAGCGAGACTCTGTCTCAAAAAAAAAAAAAAAAAAAAAAAGATTAAAAACACATTTGAAAACCAAATGTTTGGTTTGGTTGTGTTGTGGAAAATCTGCTTCTGTATATAGTTTCAAACAAAGCCTAAATGATAAAATCTAAATATACAGAACAGTTTTTTAAAATAATGTCAATATGTGTGTTTTAAGCAGGAGTATGTCTCCAAACCTTTTAAACAGAGCATCCCCGCTTGCTTTCAACATTGCAAATTCGAGCAGCGAAGCCGACTGCCCAGACCCATTTGCAAATGGTGCTGATGTCCAAGTCAGCAACATAGACTACAGATTATCCCGGAAGGAGCTGCAGCAGCTCCTGCAGGAAGCATTTGCCAGGCATGGCAAGGTAACTTTTTCCCTCTTGTGCTTGCTTTGTTATACTCTCTGATGGAGTCTCTAGTCAAGAGGACCTAATTTGATATACATAACCACAGCCGGGATAGAAGTGTGACTGAACAAGTTTGAACTCCTTCCTTTTCCCTTTGGTCTGCTCAGGGTGGTGCTATAAATCCAGTTTTTACAATGTTAGCCCCAGAGAGCAAGACGCCTAGCAGTGAAAAGCTCTTGTCTTAGGCAGAAATTGAAATGGCAATTTGTGGCCAGGCATGGCGGCTCATGCCTGTAATTCCAGCACTTTGGGAGGCCAAGGCGGCCAGATCACCTGAGGTCAGGAGTTTGAGACCAGCCTGGCGAGTGAAACCCCGTCTCTACTAAAAAAAAATTAGCCGGGCGTGGTGGTGCACGCCTGTAGTCCCAGCTCCTTAGGAGGCTAAGGCAGGAGAATTGCTTAAACACGGGAGGCAGAGGTTGCAGTAAGCTGAGATGACGCCACTGCTCTCTGGCCTGGGAGACAGAGTGAGACTCCATCTCAGAAAGAAAAAAAAAAAAAGGCAATTTGATAAGTAAAACATTGATGGATTTCAGTTAGCTCTTCCTGCTGAAATACAGGTAGGATTCTAAAATAATGTTGGCTGGTCTTGTTTATGCCTTATTATATTTGACTCATTTTTTAGGTGCAATTTTGCTAAAAATGCACCTTTTTAGTAGATTCTTAAAAATGGCCATGTCCTGGGTTTTGTAGAGTCTAGAAAAGACCCCAAACACTCTTCCCATGTGTTGGCCTCTGAGCCTGCCTTGGAAACCTGTGTGTGCCAGAGCACACAGGCAGGCCGGGCCAGTGTCACATCTCTAAAGGTCACCCTATCCTCACTTTCTTACGTCCTGGTCAGCAGAAGAGCAGAGTTCAGACATACTCCTTCATGGAAGCGCTGCAGTCGACAAATGTGTTCCTTCATGGTTCACCTTCAGTTTTAAGACGACAGGGTTCTGGGCGGACATAGCGTTTAGTTTTCGCTTTTCCTGTTGTAGGTGAAGAGTGTTGAGCTCAGCCCCCATACAGATTATCAACTCAAGGCTGTTGTGCAAATGGAAAACTTACAAGATGCGATCGGTGCAGTGAATAGCCTCCACAGATACAAAATTGGCAGCAAAAAGATCCTGGTCTCACTTGCCACCGGGGCTGCCAGCAAATCACTCTCTTTACTGAGGTAAGAAACAAGCAAGCTGTTTATTTCAGGAAATAACATTTGACCCAGAAACAATTTTAGAAATAATAAAAATAGATTCAATCACATTCCCACCCCCTTGTGATGATTGCATGTGGAATAATGCTTATTCTAGATTGATACAGTTAGAAACAAGCCATTTGACTCTTGTCTAAGTCATTAATCAAAGCTGGAATACAGCTTAAACTTGACAGGCACTTGGGAGTAAAATAATACGCAACATGTTCAAATAGGTTCTAAAAATAGTAGACCCCTACAATAAAAGTTTATAAGCCTGAAAAGTCTAAAATATTACCTTGAGATCTTAGGTAGAAGGTAGATTTGTGTGTAAAGACTAGATCTACAAATCTTCAAGCTCTCCATTTGCAGATATATCCTTAGTGTCAAATAGATACTCAGCCCCATAAGTCTACCTTAAGACTATCTCAGTCTCAAGCGTCTGGTGATGGTTTTATTCATAGTAAAATGTGATACTTCTTTGGGTCTCCCTGTTTCGGGGAGACTGGCAAAACAGGACCCACTCCTGAGTGTTTCCTTGGATGATCAGAGATCTTTTTTCTAACTTGTACTTCACTATTACTTAAATTACGAGTTACGGGTTTTTTTTTTGTTGTTGTTCTCAGAATAAAAATGATGCTTATTGAAGAAAATTTGGAAAGTTTAGAAACATAAAAGAAGCAGGGGAAAAAAAACCATCCACAGGCCTATGGCCCAAAGCCAATTGCACTTAACAGTTTGGCATCTTCTTTTAGTTTTGTTTGGATTTTTTCCCTTTGAGCGTTTTTTGGTGCCTCTGGTTTTTTAAAACTGTAGTTGAGATTATGTTGTATTCAGTTGTGTATCCTTATCTATGGGAACGCCAATCACATATATCTAACAAACTGCAGTGTGGCAGGAGATATTTAAGCTCTTCTCCCTTTTGCTCTGAATTCATCATGCTTTTCTGCTCCACTGGTGTGGAAAACCCTATGATTGATACTAATTCTACTGTGTAACGTAATCTTCTTTCATTGCCTTGTCCCTAAAATCCTTTCTTTAAATTTTTCTGGAAAATACATTCTGACATACCAGAAATCCGTAAATTTATTTTGCATATGCACTGGGTTAATTTTATGAACTCTGTTTATATAACTTGTAATATGGAGGAAATGGTCTGTTCCCTAATCAAACTTCTGTTTTACAGTGCAGAAACAATGTCTGTTCTTCAGGATGCCCCTGCCTGTTGCCTGCCTCTGTTTAAATTTACAGATATCTATGAAAAAAAGTAAGTTAGGTATATTTTTTCTTTATCCAGTCAGTACTGATTGGTGGCTTACATGCACAAAACCATGGTAATGACTCTTGAGGAACTTCAGCCTGGTAGAGGAGAGGAGACAGAGACACTGGCATTCAGATTTACATGTCAATGAATGTTTAGCAGACAGTTTTAAAACGTCTTTTATTTTTAACAAAGTTAGACCTTTGGTCCTCAGTGTTGTGCTTATTTTTCCCCTAATTGACTAGCTTTAGTTTGTTTTTTTTGTTTGTTTGTTTGTTTTTTAATTTTTTTGGAGACAGAGTCTCGCTCTGTTGCCGAGGCTAGAGTGCAGTGGCACAATCTCAACTCACTGCAACCTCTGCCTCACAAGTTCAGGTGATTCTCATGCCTCAGCCTCCCGAGTAGCTGGGACTACAGGCATGTGCCACCAAGCCTTGCTAAGTTTTCGTATTTTTAGTAGAGACAGGGTTTCGCCATATTAGCCAGGCTGGTCTTAAACTCCTGACCTCAAGTGATCTGCCCACTTTAGCCTCCCAAAGTGCTAGGATTACAGGTGTGAGCCACTGCGCCTGGCCAAGTTTTAGTATTTATTGGATGAACATTTTTAAGCACTAGACTATAAGCTCCAGGACAGCAGGGACTAGCTCTGCCATAATACTGTATCCTAAGCACCCAGCCCATAGTAGATGCTTAGCAGGGACTAGTGAGTACAAGACCAAGGCACTGCAGAGAAGGCAGAACTGGGCAAGACTTAGGTCTTGTCCTTGAGGAGCTTATGTCTAGCGGGAAGAGAAAATGCTCGTGAATCCTTATGGACAGTGAAGAAAACTGATTGGAAAGGAGGAGAAAAAGCTTTGAGAACACAGAGGAAGGGAAGAACAAGGAACTTGGCCATTATCCCACAGGTAATAGGGAGCCACTGAAGTGCTGGAGGAAGGAGGGGAGGGGAAAGGTGTGGTGATGGGAATCATGCTGCAGGAAGACTCTTCTCGTAGCAGTGGTGTCTGAGAGGGCAGGAACAGGGGAGAGAAGGAGGCAGAGAGGGAAAGTAGCTACATCAGTCCAAATTCAGAGCAGATACTGTTGGGACAGAACTCGATGTTACAGAAATGTCAAAATGTCAAATGTCATTGAAACTAGAGTGGGTAACTAATTTTTTTTATTAAAAACAATTTTTATTGAGCCAGGGTCTCACTCTGTCACCCAGGGTGTAGTGCAGGGGCACGACCCTAGGTCATTGCAGCCTCAGACTCCTGGACTCAGATGATCCTCCCATCTCAGCCTTTTGAGTAGCTGGGACCACAGGCATCCGCCATCCTGCCCAGTTAATATTTTTTAATTTTTGTAATGAGGGGGTTTTGCTATGTTGCCCAGGGTGGTCTTGAACTCCTGGCTTCAAGTGATTCTCCCTCCTAGGCCTCCCAAAGTGCTGGAATTACAGGCACGGGCCACCACGTCCAGCCAGAGTAACTAGTTTTATGTAGCAAGCAAGGTAAAAGGGAGAGGTCATTTTGATTCTGAGTGTTTTGCCTTGCATGACTGGGATGATGGTTGCACAGTTAAACTGGAAATAGGGAAATAAAGCATGGCAAGGAGGTACAGCAAGTTTTTGGTCTTGGTTTTGGACATTCAGGTTTTAGGGGCCATTGGAGTAGCTGGGTGGAGAGGTCACATAGTCTTCTGCACATTGAGGGACTTCTTTGGGAGAGAAGTAGGCTCTGGAGATAGGGCAGTCATTTGCCTTTAAGACGATTGGGACAGACTAGAGAGCAGATAAGGTTGGGAGGGGGAAGGAGAAATAGAGGGCAGGAATGGATGGAATGCCACCAGGGCCAGGGATGTGGGCGAGCACCCAGGATGTGTGCCAAGAGAGCACATCAGGAATGGGGGGATCCAAGGCCATGAGGAAATGCATGAGGTGTGGGGATGAGGCAGAGGCCGCTGATAACTTTTGAGTCATCACTACAGAGTCCTGTGGCTAAAATCCAGTAGGGAAGGGGCTGAGAGACTCGGGGGTAACACAGCAGAAGCAGCTCCTGAGCAGCTGGATGTTTCCATTACAGGGACAGGGTAGAGTACGAGACTGAGAATGAGAGTACAAGGGAGAGTGTGTCTCTCCGGGAGGTGGAAGAGGACCAGGGGCTGGTTTGGTAGATGGGAATCTGAGCATATGTAGGACACTGGGAAGAAAACACTGGTCAGACAGTGAGAAGACCAGGGAACACTTACTGAGCACTTACTATGAGCCAAGTTCTGTCCAGGCCTAACCACACTTAATCCTCACATTGACCCTGTGAGATAGGCGCTATCATCACCCCATTTTACAGATGGAAAAAGTGAGGCCCCGATTGGTCGTGGAACTTGACTAAGGTCACACAGGTTGAAGTGGAGTCAGGATGTGAACTCAAATCTGCCAGCCTCCAGGGCCAGTGCCTTTAAGTTCCAAGTAAGAAAGATACAGGTCAGGAGGAGAACTGGGGAGTCCAGTGTCAGAGGGTGTGTGGATCATGCAGTTGAGGCATAGGAGAGTTGAGAGGGTCACGGAAAGCACATATACTTCTGAGAGGGGAGAATGGGGATGGTGAGAAGTAACACAGAGAATTGGAAGTGAGGGGAGCTGCATCGAGAGAGGTTTCCAACTCAAGAGAATTTGGTGAGGTCACTTAAAGAAACTGGGCAGGGGCTGGGGGTGGCTTTCAAATGAAGTGAGCATTGTCATGGTCGGAGCCAGAGACGACTCAGGAGTACCAAGCATCACTGGTTTGCTAGTGAATGAATTTGTAGTAGAATTATTCCAGTTTTACCTTTGAAGAGATGGAGGAACCATTCTTGGTTATTGTTCTTTATTTAAACAGGATGCGTGTTTCTGTATAATCAAAGAAAAACCTTCTAAGTCAGCGTCTCTCTTCTCTTGCTTTTAGGTTTGGACACAAGTTGAATGTGTCAGATCTATATAAATTAACAGACACGGTCGCAATCCGTGAACAAGGAAACGGACGGCTGGTGTGTCTCCTACCCAGCAGTCAGGCCCGCCAGAGCCCCTTGGGGTCTTCCCAGTCACACGACGGCTCCTCCACGAATTGCAGCCCAATTATATTTGAAGAGTTAGAATATCACGAGCCTGTCTGCAGACAGCATTGTTCCAATAAGGATTTCAGGTGTGCCGTTCGTTTTCCTTTAGAAGTAATTCTTTTCTATAAGATTGTGGAACATGTTAGGATGACCTTGTGAACATCTTAGACCCCTGCGGAATGTCAGCTTCCAATTGTGTTCTCTTTTCTTCAGCGAACATGAATTTGATCCAGACTCTTACAAGATTCCTTTTGTGATTCTTTCTTTGAAGACATTTGCGCCCCAGGTTCACAGTCTTCTCCAGACCCACGAGGGCACCGTGCCTTTATTGAGGTGAACCATCTCAAAGCCTTTGTCGATATAATGCCCTAGTTCTGCTTTTTATAGGAAGCCTGCCCTTTCTGCCCACATCTCTTTACAAATAAGTACTCTACAATGCTTCATCCTCATGTGTTTAGCCTTCAGTCAAAGTACAGTCATGCACCACATAACAAAATTTTGGCCAACCATGGACTGTATATAGGACAGTGGTCCCATAAGATTATAATCACATATTTTCACTAGACCTTTCGATGATTAGATACACAAATACCATTGTGTTATAGTTGCTCACAGTGTGTAGTACAGTAACAGGCTGTCCAGATGTGTAGCTCGGGAACCATGGGCTGCACCAGCCTAGGTGTGCAGTGGGCCGCAGCATCTAGGTTTGCATAAGTGCACCTGATGATGTTCTCAGGTGACAGAATCACCCAGCAACACATTATTGAGTACATATCCCCATCATGAAGCAGCACGTGACTGTTTATCTGAAATGGGATCCATTCACTCAGTACTTCAACAAGAAAATGTGTGTTTGCGCTACATTTTAGAAACGTAAACGTGAGGAGGGCAGATTCTTCCACAGAGGGGAGATGTATCATAAGTGCTGCAGTCGAAATCTCCACAAGTGTTGAGAGTACACAGCTTCAAATATGCATACATTTCAAGACTTGTGAGAGAAAAGTATTCTTCAGAAGTTCATTTAATCACTCCATGAGCCACAACAGTAGACTTAACACAAAGGCCAACACAGGACTCAGTGGCCTGCACGTCCCTGCTGATGTGGAAGCAGACGCGTAACTGACTTGGAGCCCAGTTGCCCTATTTTTAATCCCCCTCCTGGAAAACTACCCAGAAAATGCCATCAGAATGCATCAGAGAGGCCAGTGCCTCAGTGCTTGCCTCCCTGGGTCCTTAATTTTAACCTTCAAACCTGGTGGTGGGCATTCAGACAAATGATTAACACATACATTAAACCAAAGCCTTCTGTTTAGCAAGCGCCTCCTTTTCTGTTATTTTGATTTAACCTTTCCTTTTTTTGTTGTTTTTTCCTATTTCAGCTTTCCAGATTGTTACATTGCAGAGTTTGGCGATCTAGAAGTAGTGCAAGAAAACCAAGGAGGTGTTCCCTTAGAACACTTCATTACCTGTGTTCCAGGTGTAAACATTGCCACTGCTCAGAATGGCATCAAAGTGGTTAAATGGATTCACAACAAGCCCCCGCCTCCCAACACTGGTAGGTGTCAGGTATTTTGTCCTGGAGCTACCACCTGTCCACTATGAGACCAGAGGAGGCTATTGGCTTTTATTTTAAACAGCAGCACAATTTGCCAAGTGTGAAAACACCATGGATGTGTCCTTTGATCTTTTGAAAATTCCTAAAATGCTTGAGGGGTTGGCGTTACTGGACTTTGTTTTATTTTTTATTTATTTATTTTTTTTGAGACGGAGTCTTGCTCTGTCGCCTAGCTGGAGTGCAGTGGTGCGATCTCGGCTCACTGCAACCTCTGCCTCCCGGGTTCAAGTGATTCTCCTGCCTCAGCCTCCCGAGTAGCTGGGACTACAGGCACCAGCCACCACGCCCAGCTAATTTTTTGTATTTTTAGTAGAGACAGGGTTTCACCATATTGGCCAGGATGGTCTTGATCTCTTGACCTCATTATCCACTTGCCTCCGCCTCCCAAAGTGCTGGGATTACAGGCCTGAGCCACAGCAACCGGCCTAGACTTTGTTTTTTAGATAGGGCCTTGCTGTGTTGTCCAGGCTGCTCTTGAACTCCTGAGCTGAAGATGTCGTCCCACTATGGCCTCCCAAAATGCTGGGATTACAGGCATGAGCCACCACACCTGGCCAGTTTGAAAGTACCAACATAAGCTATGTAAAAAATTTGAAACTCAAATTTCACATTTACAGATCCTTTTAGCAACCTAATTTTGTGAAGCTTTTGGCTTGCCAGTTGACTGACCTTTTAAAAATAGTTTCAGGGGCTGGGCCTGTTGGCTCACACCTGTAATCCCAGCACTCTGGGAAGCTGAGGTGGGTAAATCACCTGAGGTCAGGAGTTCAAGACCAGCCTGGCCAACATGGTGAAACCCCATCTCTACTAAAAATAGAAAAATCAGGCATGATGGTGGGCACCTGTAATCCCAGCTACTCGGGAGGCTGAGGCAAGAGAATCACTTGAACCCAGGAGGTAGAGGTTGTGGTGAGCTAAGATCAAGCCATTGCACTCCAGCCTGGGTGACAAGAGTGAAGCTCTGTCTTTTTTTTTTTGAGACGGAGTCTTGCTCTGTTGCCCAGGCTGGAGTGTAGTGGCACAATCTTGGCTCACTGCAAGCTCCGCCTCCTGAGTTCACGCCATTCCCCTGCCTCAGTCTCCTGAGGAGCTGGGACTACAGGCGCCCGCCACCACGCCCGGCTAATTTTTTTTTTTTTCTGTATTTTTAGTAGAGACGGGTTTCACCTTGTTAGCCAGGATGGTCTTGATCTCCTGACCTCATGATCCGCCCGCCTCAGCCTCCCAAAGTGCTGGGATTACAGGTGTGAGCCACCGCGCCCAGGATTTTTTTTTTTTTTTTTTTTTTGAGACGGAGTCACCCTCTGTCACCAGGCTGGAGTGCAGTGGCCGGATCTCAGCTCACTGCAAGCTCCGCCTCCTCGGTTCATACCATTCTCCTGCCTCAGCCTCCCGAGTAGCTGGGACTACAGACGCCTGCCACCACGCCCGGCTATTTTTTTTGTATTTTTAGTAGAGACAGGGTTTCACCGTGTTAGCAAGGATGGTCTCGATCTCCTGACCTCGTGATCCGCCCGCCTCAGCCTCCCAAAATGCTGGGATTACAGACGTGAGCCACCGCACCTGGCCGAAACTCTGTCTTTAAAAAAAAAAGTACTTTCAGGTATTTGAAGGAAATACCACTTAATGCAGATTTACCTTCGAAAGTCATTTTGGTCCACGTTTTGGACTTTGATAAATGTGAAAATAAATTTAAAAGACCAAGGTATTTGGACCTAGACTTGGGTGAGTGTCTGAGTTACGGGCATGTCCTGAGTTGCAGATATCCAAGGCTGCTGCCCGTGAACGACACTTTACTTGTTGCCTTCCTGTGTATACACACATACTTCCTCCTCTTTGTCCCCAACACTTTTGCTTCTCCCACCTCCCTTACCCTACAGGAAAAAAGGTGAGGATAACCAAGGAATTCTTTCTGAGTCAGCCTGCTCTTAGGAATGTGTGTACTCAGGTTTCTTACGGGACACCTCCTTTCTTTTCCCTCTGTCTTAGACTTCTCAGGGGCCATAGATTATGCCACTCCTCCTTTCTCCTAAGCCATGAGCCCACAAGCCTCCACTTTTTATTTTATTTTATTTTATTTTATTTATTTATTTATTTATTTATTTATTGAGACGGAATCTCGCTCTGTGTCCCAGGCTGGAGTGCAGTGGTGCAATCTAGGCTCACTGCAAGCTCCACCTCCTGGGTTCATGCCATTCTCCTTCCTCAGCCTCCTGAGTAGCTGGGACTACAGGTGCCTGCCACCACGCCCGGCTAATTTTTTTGTATTTATTTTTGTATTTTTAGTAGAGACGGGGTTTCACCTTGTTAGCCAGGATGGTCTCGATCTCCTGACCTCGTGATCCGCCCGCCTCAGCCTCCCAAAGTGCTGGGATTACAGGCATGAGCCGCCGCGACCAGCAAGCCTCTCCACCTTTCTATAAAGATTTCCGTTTGATTACTTATACCTTTTTAATAGGTATAAGCAGTCAAGATGGTGCAAAAACCTGTTCCTTACACCCTTTTATGTCATGCTAATCTTACAACATTATCACTTTCTGTGGTTTTCTGGGTAACGTTTTCAGCTCCACTATGGATTAATTTTGCTCTTCTGGGCCACCTACCTGATGACCATTTATAACTTTGTGGAAAGGTACGTTCCACATGACCAAGTTTCAGAAGGATCTTGGAAATATAACTAGTTTCTAAACTGGGAGCTTCTTGTGTACTTTGACTTCTGCTATAAATAACACTATAGTAGACTCTGCTTTACCTTGGCCGCTTAACTTTGAGGATTAGTGGGACAGCATTTGACAGCCCGTGAATAAGTTAGTTAGCTAGTTATTGGACTATGAGACCTGAATATAGAAACTGAGACGTAAAGCAGCTACTGTATTTGGTTTTGTTTGCTTCCCCATGATCGAACTCAAGCCAGGGACTGCAGGGCCATTTTCCCTTCTTTCAGCTGGTGAAATCTGTGCTTTCTGTCTTATACACGTTCTTTTTCTTCTAGACCCTTGGCTTCTGCGTTCGAAGAGTCCTGTAGGTAACCCCCAGCTGATCCAGTTCAGTAGAGAAGTGATTGACTTGCTGAAAAGCCAGCCATCTTGTGTCATACCCATCAGTCATTTCATCCCATCCTATCACCATCATTTTGCAAAGCAGTGCCGAGTGTCAGACTACGGATACTCCAAGCTGATTGAGTTATTAGAAGCAGTGCCTCATGTATTGCAGGTAAGGCGTGTCACGGGATTACTTGTTTACAGGCAGGAATGTTCCTCCATGGCTTTGGCTGCCTCCATCAAAGAAACAGTTTAATTCCTAAGAAGTCAGTTCTGGGCAGAACATCCACTAAAAACTTTCTTCAGAGGGCAGGAATAACACACACAGGCGGCTTCTCAATTTTTCAGAACGCTGCTAGTTTCCAGTTTTAGAGGAACTCCTTGGAGGACTGAGGAGTATTTTCCCTCTAAGCTCTATAGACCTTCTTCATCCCAGCACAGCTTTCTCCAGAACTGTTCATGATTACAAGGAAGCTCCCATGAATAGCCACATACTTGTATGTTGGTGCCTATGTGAGAGTCAAGGGCTTAACCTTTCTTCTAAATTTAACTAGTTGGAGACAAGTTACTGGGCTAGAGTGTAGCACTGGATCCTATGAAGACTTTTACCAGTTAACTCACAGTGTTATAACAGCTTCCCACTCACTAAAAACGGCTTGAAAAACTTGTAGACCAATTTGTCTGGACAACCAATACAGTTTTCATTTCTGTACTCACGACTTTTCTTTTCAAAAGATTACACTTTTCATTTTTATACTCAACGACTGTTTGGGAGAAGGTGTGCCAGGCCAAAAACGATAAGAGTTTCAGAAGGCCTTGGACATTTGTTCCTTTTGACCAACTACATTTTGTTGATCGACATGTGTTTCAAATTGCACACATTCTACATAAAGGGAGTCATGCTCTGAGGCTAGTAACGAGAGGGTGAGCCAGCAGCAAGGAAGTCGCTGTCTGCTGAGGTCTTATGTGTATAAATAAACTATTTGCTTTGCAGATTCTTGGAATGGGCTCCAAACGTCTGCTGACCCTTACCCACAGGGCCCAGGTGAAGCGCTTTACTCAGGATTTACTAAAACTTCTCAAATCCCAGGCCAGCAAACAGGTCATTGTGAGAGAATTCTCACAGGCTTATCACTGGTGAGTTGATGAAAAGAACAGAAATGAAAGTAAATATTTTAGGACATTTTATCTTCTGCCAAACTCTAAATAGTTATCTAGTATTTCTATTAAGCATTCTTTTGGAAAACTTGTAGTAGTTTTTTGTTTTTTTTTTTTTTTTTTTGAGACGGAGTCTCGCTCTGTCGCCCAGTGGCACGATCTTGGCTCACTGCAAGCTCCGCCTCCCGGGTTTATGCCGTTGTCCTGCCTCAGCCTCCAGAGTAGCTGGGACTACAGGCGCCCGCCACCACACCCGGCTTATTTTTTCTATTTTTTAGTAGAGACGGGGTTTCACCATGTTAGCCAGGATGGTCGCGATCTCTTGACCTCGTGATCCGTCCACCTCGGCCTCCCAAAGTGCTGGGATTACAGGCGTGAGCCCCAGCGCCCGGCCGGAAAACTTGTAGTTCTTCTACCGATGATACTACTCATTCCGTATCCACTTCCGTTGTTAAAACCTAGGTGTTTCTCAAAGGACTGGGATGTCACTGAATATGGTGTTTGTGAGTTGATTGACATCGTATCAGAGATTCCAGACACAACCATCTGCTTGTCCCAACAAGATAATGAAATGGTGATTTGTATCCCCAAAAGAGGTATGTGACTTAACATTTGCTGGAAGGATATTGTCTATCTCCTGTTATTTTAACATAGTGTGGCATGGAAGATGTGGTTTTCCCTCCCTGTCCGTGCTTCCTGAAGATTCCACAGAAAGCACAGTGTGAAAACTGCTGCTCTTTGGATTCTGTGTTCTTCAAAGTAGGTGAAGCTGTTCTCAAGAACAAAAGCAGGCTGGCTTTTTAGAATTGACTCTAAGGGGAAAAAGGGGCATCATCAGCACTTTGCTCAAATGCCTTCTGCAGCCTGGCTGTGGCTACATGAGCCTTAGTCATCCAGTTGAGAATCTGTCACCGTGCCTGTTGGCTTTGCTCTTCTGTTGAACTCTGAGCTACTTTATTTACTGTGCACACTTGAGAAGGGAAGACAACTCGAATGTTTTTTTTTCTTTTGCCTTTCAAATTTTAATAGTTGAAGTCAGAACTGCACAGGTCCAGTTACGGGTAGAAAGTACAGTATTTGAGGGATGCGAAACTCATGGATACTGGGGGCCAATTTTTCGTGTCTGCAGTTTCCGCGGGGCAGACCGCAAGACTTGAGTAGGTGCGGATTTTGGTATCCAGGCAGGGTCCTGGACCCGATCCCTTGAGAACACCAAGGGGTGACTGTATGGTCGTATCCTCCTTCTATTATCTGGTTCTTAAACGGTGCTCCTGCAGAACATTGATGTCCATGAAATCATAGAATTCCAGGGCCCATTCTCACTTAAAAATTAATAGAAACAATCTCAGCTTAAGCTTTCCCTCCTGTTTATTTTTGTTCAACTTTTGAAGCCTGATTCTCTCTTCTGCTAGCAAGTTTTAACTGAAGATCAGATGAATAAACAAAAAAAGTGGGGATATTCAGAAGCGTGATTTCATGGGAATAATTTCTAGAGTACTTGCTTAAGTACAGGGACCTGGGTGTGTGTCATGTTAATAGATATGGGGCAGGGGCTAGAAAATTGTTTCTAGCTTATAAGATGACATTGTTTCTAGCTTATAAGATGAATATATATGAATTTCATAATATAATAATATCATAACTTCCTGGTGTTCTGCCCTGGAACATGTTTGAGAACCACTTGCAAAGAGGGAAGAGTATATGTGTTTGTTTTAGGTTGTGTGTGTTTGGAAGGCAAGGATGATATCGTTTATAAATTCCCAAAAGGATTTACTCTAGTGTGGATGTTGAACACAAATGGGTAGAAAAAAACTGTGATTTTATGTTTTTTGGTTTTTTTAAAAGAACGCACTCAGGATGAAATAGAAAGGACAAAACAGTTCTCCAAGGATGTCGTTGATTTGCTGCGTCACCAACCCCATTTCCGGATGCCCTTTAATAAATTTATCCCTTCTTACCATCACCACTTTGGCCGGCAGTGCAAACTTGCGTACTATGGGTTTACCAAACTACTTGAACTTTTTGAAGCCATACCTGATACTTTACAAGTGAGTGAAGAAATTCTAATTTTATAAAGTATTTTTCTGAACAACGTATAGGAAATACTTTTTCACGTTCCAGACCTGTTTTTCTGGGAAGTAGGGAGTTACGAAAGAGGATGAAAATCTAAGCTATTCCAGTCAGAGAAGCCATATTCCTGACTCATTAGTATTTTTAGATAAATATGGCTTTTTCCTTCAATAAAGGATTATTCAAACTTGTTTTGGGGGTAATTATTGAAAAAAAGATTCAGTAGGTTTTCTTTTTTTTGTTTGTTTGTTTTTGTTTTTTGAGACGGAGTTTCTTTCTTGTCGCCCAGGCTGGAGTGCAATGGCGCAATCTTGGCTCACTGCAACCTCCGCCTGCGGGTTCAAGCAGTTCACTTGCCTCAACCTCCCGAGTAGCTGGGGATTACAGGTGCCCGCCACCATGCCCAGCTAATTTTTCTATTTTTAGTAGAGATGGTGTTTCACCACGTTGGCCAGGCTGGTCTTGAGCTCCTGACCTCAGTTGATCCGCCTGTCTCAGCCTCCCAGAGTGCTGGGATTACAGGCGTGAGCCACCACACCTGCTGATTTCTTACACTGAATATTTGTTCATTACTTTTATACTTTTAAAATCCTTCGTGTTGAAGGTAGGTCTGAGTACATGAGGTAACATCAGTGCTAAGCTGTTCGCTGTTGCTAAGTTAAACCAAATTTCTGTTGTTGATTTTATTTTCTTTTTTTACTACTGAAGTGCTTTTTAAAAATTGTTTTATTGTGGCACAATACACATAACATAGAACTTACCTTCGTAACTATCTTTATATCTCCTGTCCAGTAGTGGTCAGCACATTCACATTGTTATGCAACCGATCTTCTGAACTTTTTCATCTTACACAACTGAAACTTTATACCCATTCAGTAACGCTGACTTGTTTTTTCATTACTAGCTGCATACTTTTTTTGCTATTCTGTAAACACCCGTGATTTGTTTATTTTCCCTTTCCTCCCCCCGTGTGTTTTCAAAGGTATTGGAATGTGGAGAAGAAAAGATCCTTACTCTGACAGAGGTGGAGCGGTTCAAAGCTCTAGCTGCCCAGTTTGTTAAACTCCTTCGGTCCCAAAAAGATAACTGCCTTATGATGACAGATCTCCTTACAGAATATGCTAAAACTTTTGGTTATACATTTCGTCTCCAAGACTATGATGTCAGTTCCATTTCGGCTTTAACTCAGAAACTCTGCCATGTCGTGAAGGTAAATGTTTTTTTTTTTTTTTTTTTTTTCCCTCATGGGATAAAACTCACAGTGACCTAATTCTCATTAGGACGTTTGCGTGTGCTGTAGCGTTTCTTTATTTACACCTTGAACTACTTAACTGTCACAGCATTATGACTCGTTTTGTGTCATTAGTGCTTATTAGGTAATAGAAGCCTTGGTTTGGAAGTTGAGAGTTTTGGTCTTCCTCTTGTGTGTTTCTGAATGGCCTTGCCAAAGCAATGCCTTTGTGAACTGATGAGGTCACTCTTCACCCCAGGGTTCGGTCATGAGGTGCAGCTGCCTCAGCACTGCTGGCCTGAGCTTGACTCCTTCCAGTGTGAGTTTTGCCTGTGACGTTCTTGGGAGCCCGTAATCACACAGTGTCCTCTCCCTCCACATTCTCACCCACTTAGGAGTAGGCTTAGGAGCAAGCGAGGGTGCAGAGTGGCCTTTGTCACTGGCAGAGCTGTAGTAGAGAGGGCAGCTCGTGCTGTTTGCTGTCCTGGACTGCACTTGACCCTTCCTGTCCTAGGCAGAGCAGCTGCCAGTTTTCGGCCTCCTCCCCCACAGGACCAGAAGAAGTCACTGCCAGGAGGAAGGAATGGAAAGGGAAGCATGAAGGACGGCACCCTCAGTTACAGGCCCATTACTAGCTGCACACATTTCTGTGTCATTTAATTCCGTAAACAGCCAGAACGGGTTCACTCTCCCTTTCCTTCCCACTGTGGGGTTTTTTTGGAGTTGGAGTCTTGCTCTGTGGCCCAGGCTAGAGTGCAGTGGTGCGATCTTGGCTCACTGCAACCTCCGCCTCCCAGGTTCAAGAGATTCTTCTTCCTCAGCCTCCTGGGTAGCTGGGATTACAGGCGCCCGCCACTACGCCCAGCTAGTTTTTGTATTTTTAGTAGAGACAGGGCTTCACCGTGTTGGCCAGGCTGATCTCGAACTCCTGGCCTCAGGTAATCCGCCCACCTCAGCCTCCCAGAGTGCTGGGATTACAGGCATGAGCCACTGCACCCAGCCCCCACTGTTTTTTAATGTATTGGACTGCAGCTAAGAAGACGTTCTTACCTTGGCAGAGGTAGGAACGCTCAGAGCTCTCCTTAGGTACTGATTGGTTGGAGGAGGAGGTGAGAGAGCAGGAAGCACAACCAGGAGAGCCGAACATCCCTGAGCCAAGGCAGAGGAATGGCCAGCAGCATCGCAGGAGGGCTGGTCAGAGAGGGACTGCCTGACTTCCAGGTTTAGCTCAGTGGGAAGAGTCGGTGCTGCTGGCCAGGTCAGTGGCAGTGTTGGTTGTGTAGACAGAAGCCACCTTGGAGTGTGGTGAGGAGTGAGGAGAGGTGAGAAAATGGCCCAGGTCATCTGGACAGCATCCTGGTTTGTCTGCTTGTGAAGATGGAGGGCTGTGGCAGCAGCTAGAGGCTGTGGGGCTGAGGGAGCAAGGGAGGATTTGGGCTGTTGGTTTTCCTACCTGGAAAAACTTGAGCATGTCTGAAAGCCATTGATGTGGATCTGTCTAGAGAGAGAAGATGAACATACAAGGGCGAGAAGGGGTAAGACAGGAGGGCCTTGAGGTGTGGGAGACTAGGAAACAGCACACAGAGGAAGGAGGAAGTATACAGGGCAATAGGCTGGGGGCAGGCATGGGCAGGTCTGATGTTTATCATCAGGAATAGAAGGGAGTCCTCTTCCAAGAGTGGTTTTCCACTAGAGAGAGGGACTGATCTCTGCTTAGAGAGAGAGAGGAGAGGCAGGGCTCAGGACTTAGGAGTGGGGAGAAGGTCCACAGTTGTCATGGTGAGTGGAGAGTGGCTTGATCAGGATGTCACGTGGAGTGCAGGGGTATCGAGAGCTCACTGCAAGTTGGCACCGTAGACTCTGGGAGAGCAGCAGTTGGGGTGTGGCTATGCAGGTGTCGGTTCAGGGAAAGCAGGTGGTTGGATTCAAGGTGGGAGTTTACCGATGGGCGTCAGGAAAAGGCATGGGATGAGCGAATTTAAATATTGACAAGAATGTCAGTGCCAGCATGACAAAAGAGGAGAGTGAAGCAAGGGAGTGGGCTGGCAAATTGGGAGCAGATAGGAGGCAGTGATGCTGCTGAGGTTTGAGAAGGGGCGGAGTTGAGCGGGTAGAGTCTCTTTCTGCACTCCCACCCCAACAGCAGCTCCAGACTTGCTTTTGCAAGTGGGATGCTCAGGAGGTTTGAATGATTTATGTTGGATGGGGTAATGACAGGTTTGCACTGTGACCCTGGAGATGGGTGTCTGCAGTGAAATTGAACACAGGAGGATGTCGTCGGAGATGACAGAGGCAAGGCATTGAAAGGCTATACGGCTGTGGTGTGGGACAGGTCCCTGGGTGTTCAGTTGCCCAGGATGATGAAAGGGGTGGACTCAGGTGGATAGGAAGACCCCACGCCATGACCTAGGGCTTTGCTGGGTGAGTGTGATGGGTGGGCAGCTGGGGTGTGAGCAGCAAGAATGGGGAGAGCTGAGAGAGGCTCCGTGGTGCCTCCCTGGCTGCCCACTGGGTCTCCTGGGAGCTTCTCCAACCTTACCTTTCAGATTCTTATAGAATTAGTCCCAGCACACTCTGAGCATTGGTGTTTTTAAAAGCTCCCCAGGCAATTCTAATGCATAGCCGGGATTGAGAATCAAGGGATGGATCCAAGTCGCACCAGAGGAGCAGGCTCTGGTTTGGTTTCTTTCCTAAGCAGCTGTAGTGATGGTGGGGGTCTGGGTGGCTAAGATGACTGGGATCCCCTGGACTTGTATCGGTTGGTTGATTAAACCCGCTTCTGAGGAGGAAATCTATACAGTCCCATAATCATGATAAGTAGGGTGGGACCCTGCCAGCCTCCCTCCTGCCTTGGCTCTGGGCACATGTCAGAACCAGATAAAGATGCCCTGGTCTTGGGATGGCTCCTCAAGTGCCACCCACCTCTCTCTGCCTCTCAGAATCCACGGTCCAAAGAGTGCCAACTTGTGGTGACTTAGCCCTGCCAAGACCTTTGGCCCTGGCAGGAAAACCAGATAAAGGGGGCAAACAAGCTGTCAGGATGAGCATTGGTTTGTGAGAGCAGTGCCGGAGCCGTGTGTGTGCCAAAGCTCTGCCTGTTTTTGTGCCAGGAAAGGCTCACGCCACAGCCTCACCCTCGCCACCCACAGCCTGCTGGCTCAGTCACCAGATGCGTGTTTCTTCACATGGTGTTTGGTCCCCAAGTGACAATCTCTGTCTTTTTTGTAAGGTTTCCCTCTCAGCGCATTTAACCGCTTAAACCCTTTATCTCCTTGAGAATCTGAAATAATTGAGGAGTGGACAGTTACTAGTCAGATGAAAATACCAGCTTTGTGGTGAGTAATAGCAGACTAGAAAAATGCAGCTTGCCTTGTAATCAGAGTAGGCCCTCTCTCACCTCCCCAGCCCGCCCTGGGGACGCATATGGGCAAGTCGGGTCTGCACAGAAGCCATGTGAGTGTTGCTTAGAGTCTAGCCTCCCCATCCCTACCCCCCTTCGAGCACAGCAACCCACACTTCACAAGCTTGGACCACTGGCCATCAGCTGGCCAGTCTGTGTCCTTCTTATAGTGGGGTTTGGAAAGAATGAATGAAAAATAAAGAGAATGATGCAATTTCCTCCCCCATTATTATCTTGTTGAGAGTTTTCAGTTATGGACCGGCAGGGGGAGGACAGTTTCTGCTTCCATGTTGGTCTGGTGTCCCAAAGACGCTAAAAACAAACCCACTTGCTTTATTTCAGTGTAAGAGAAAAAAATTAGAGATTTTTCATCTGTTGGTCTCATTAACCAAAATGAAGTGAGCTGAGTTGGGTATAACCTAGGGTGTCTCTCTTGAGCTCTGAAAAGTGTGAATTCTCGTTTTCCCCAGGTTGCCGATATAGAATCTGGCAGACAGATTCAGCTGATCAACCGAAAGTCTCTGCGATCTCTCACTGCCCAGTTGCTGGTATTGTTGATGTCTTGGGAAGGAACCACCCATCTTTCTGTTGAGGAGCTCAAGAGACATTACGAAAGTACCCACAACACTCCCCTTAACCCCTGTGAATATGGATTCATGACCTTGACCGAACTGCTGAAGAGCCTGCCATACTTGGTTGAGGTAGGCACGTTAATGGCTCTTTAGAACTATCATTGAAAACTATCGATTGGGCATTTCCGGATTACCTGATGGTCTAGATTAGAGTGTGTAGAGCTGGAAGGGACCCGAGAGACCATTTCATGGATGAACACGCCGAGACCTCAGGCAGTGAAGCAGCCCTGCCTAAATGGGTGGCAGAAGCCAGTGAAAGCCTGGTCTCCTCATCCTGGCACTGGGGTGTGTTTGTCCCGTTCTAGGATGAAAGCCTGGTCTCCTGATCCTGGCTCTGGGGTGTGTTTGTCCCATTCCAGGATGGATTTCGCTACTGTTTTATCTTTCTGAATGAGATGGTTTATGTGGTGGCTTGAAGAGAGAGATGAGTAAGGTGAGGGCAGAAAGGAAGGTTGGCCAGCCAGTCCCCCAGGCAGCCTTTCAAGAATGGCGCTCCAAGATTGAGAGAATCTTAAGAGAATACTGCATGCAATTCTCGGGCGACAGATATAAAAACCTAGAGTAAATAAATGAAATCCTGGAAAAAATAAGTTACCAAAATTCACTCAAGAAGTTAAAAATTAGACCAATTACCATAAAAGAGACTATAAAAGATCACTGAAATATACCAGTGAAAAAGGCATCAGGACCAAGTGAGATAACAATTGAATTTCAACCAACCCTAAAAGAACAGATAAATCTACCTTTTAAAAAACCATTCTGGGGCCCGGCAAGGTGGTACACGTCTATAATCCCAGCTACTAAGAAGGCTGAGGCTAGAGAATCACTTGAGCCCAGGAGTTTGAGGCCAGCCTGGGCAACATAGCAAGAACCCATCCCCAAGAAAAAAAATACTGTTCTAGGCTGCTGAAAAAGAAAAAAGGAAAGCTTACCATTTATTTTTACGAAGCCAAAATAAATTTAATACCAAAAACATAAGATAGTCCCTTAAAATGATCCTAAATAAGATATTAACAAATGAGCTCCAGCAATTTAAAAGAATGATATGCCATTATCATCTAACTGTGGGACACATCATTAAATAATGAAAGGATATACATCCAGCATTTTCTAAACTCTGTTAATATCTATCCTAAGAACACCAGTTCTGGACAGGTGTTAATGCATATTTCAGGACAAAGGACTTTCCCTGTCCAGCTAAGATTGGGAATATCCTTTCTCTTGGCGATTCCATAGCATGTTAAACACTTTGAAAAGGTTTGTGGTAAAGAAATCTGCTTCCTTACCCTGCATACACAAGGGTTTTGTGTTTGTTTCTTGTTGCTTTTGATGTGTTTTTAAAGAATGCTAGTGTCATCCTCTTATCACAGTGTTTCTTGGAAAACTGGTTTGGAGGTGCAGTTTAATGGCCCCAGTGTTCACTGTGTGTACCGTGATTTGCCAACACAGTTTGCCTCCCCCGATTTCTTCCCTACTCACACACTGTCTCTTCAGACCGCTGCAGCCTTCGACTTGCAAATAGAACTGAAGTTTGCTGGAGGCTATAGCCTTCTCTTGGAGGAAATCCTTGAATATATCCCTCCTCCTTTTCTTTCTCCTCTTCCTTCTTTCCTCTCTGCCTCCCTCCTTCTTTCCTTCCTCCTCCTCCTTTCTTCTTCTTTGTCTTTTTTGTCATCTTCATCTTCTTCATCTTTGTCTTTGTCCAATTCGTCGTCTTCGTCTTCTTTATCGTCGTCTTCGTCTTCTTCATCGTCGTCTTCGTCTTGTCTTCGTCTTCTTGTTCTTTGTCTTCATCTTTGTCGTCTTTATCTTCGTTTTTGTCTCGTCGTCTTTGTCTTCATCTTCTTTGTTGTTGTCTTCTTTATCTTTGTCGTCTCCTTCTTCTTCGTCATCTCTGTCTCCTTCTTCATCTTCATCTTCTCATCTTCGTTGCCTTCTTTTTCTTCTTTGTCTTCGTCTTCAACTCTGGGCCTTTTCCCTCAGTGGGAGGCCTTCACTTTCCACGGGGCAGGGCCAGTCACTAATATTTCTAATGCTGCGTTTTCTTTTTAACCAGGTTTTCACTAATGATAAGATGGAAGAATGTGTGAAGCTCACAAGTCTGTATTTGTTTGCAAAGAATGTGCGGTCTTTACTTCATACTTACCACTACCAGCAGATTTTCCTTCATGAGTTTTCCATGGCCTATACCAAGTATGTCGGAGAAACTCTGCAGCCCAAGACCTACGGCCACAGCAGCGTGGAGGAGCTCTTGGGAGCAATTCCACAGGTGGGCATTTTTCTCAGCTTCCGGGAGAGCATCTTCTGAACAGCCACAGGCTAACTGTCCTGAACAGAAAAATAAAATGCTGCCAGAATAATGGAACGGCAGGCATTTTGAATTGATCCTTTCAAAACATACTGTTGGTCTAAAGTAAATGATTTTAGCATTTCTCCTTGATTCTTTCTGTAAACCTTTATTAAATCCCTATATGCCAGGTGAGTAAGTTTCAGGCTGTAACTCTAGAAAGGTGTTGGTTAATGGGAGAGTCAAGACCCCCAAGCAGGCAACTAGTCAGGGCGGTCAGGGCAGTGGGCGCGCTGAGGAGGGCCGTGTCAGGGCCCACTTCCCAAGCCTGGGGAGCCTGTTGCAAAACCTTCAAGGATGTGCCTGAGGGAAGCACGTGACAAGGAGGGGAGAGAGCATTCTGGGCAAAGGGGATGATGACATGAGCAGATGCAGGGTTGTGACAAGTGGCATGGAGTGTCGAGAGGCTAAGAGGGAGCTGAGAGCTCGGTTAGGGAGGGCGTGGCTCCTCCAGGTAAGGAGGGAGGACTGTGTTGGAGAGAGCTGGAGCCCAGGTTTGCATTTGAAAAGCACCCCAGTGGTGCTGTCCATGGTAGAGCCGAGAGAAGCAGGCATGGAGAAGGGAACTGGGCTAGGATCCTGGCCACTGCAGAGGTCTGGGTCAGTGTTAGATGGAGGGATTGAGCCAGAGTAAAAATAGTAGAATAGAGGAAGTAGGAAGGACCCAGGCAAAGCTTGCCTGGGAGCTGAGATCAGTGACCTGGCGACGGTGTGCACATGTAGGGGGCCTGGGAGCCTAGCTCCACTACTACCACTCTGCTTGGCTGAGATGGAGAGCGGCACCATCAGGGAGAGGACTTTAAGATGCTGATAATGAACTTAGTTTAAAGGGTCTGAGAGATTGCTCTTAATTCTTTTAGGTGGTTGTTCAGTTTCTGCAAAAAAATGGCAAAGAGCTCTCATGTGAGAACTACCTTAATTTATATGCCAAAGCTGGTGTTTGGAAGACAGTCTTTTTAAGAATTATAAAGGATATTTCTGAAACTGTGTCTCATGATTTTTGAACTACTCTGCTTTTTATAGGGGTATGTTTCTGTCAGCTTCTGTTGCTTTAAAAGCTAAGGAGAGAGTAGAGAAACATGCTTCTTGGCAGTAACTCAGCTCCTAAATTCTAGCCTAAGGCAGGCTCCGTAGGTCACACTCTTCCTGAATGTTAGGGCTTCTGTCCCCTCCTTTTCCGCTGCTTAACCAGTAGTATGTCTTGTGTGCAGGTGGTCTGGATAAAAGGACATGGTCATAAGAGAATTGTAGTGTTAAAAAATGACATGAAAAGTAAGTAAGCACCCATCCCCTCCCCCCTTAAAAAATCACGGTTCTCTCACTGACATTTCTCTCTGACGGGTGCTCTTTGTCCTGTAGGTCGTTTGAGTTCACTCAGTCTCTCCCCTGCCAATCATGAAAACCAGCCCTCGGAGGGCGAGCGCATCCTGGAGGTGCCCGAATCGCACACAGCCTCGGAACTCAAGCTTGGAGCTGACGGCAGTGGTAAGAGAGGAAAAGCAGAGACATAGGAGCTTGTGAAATTCTAGGAGAAACGGCTTTGGGGTCGGGGAGAGCGAGGGAAAGGACTCCAGCAAGTCATCCAATCTGCTGAAGTTACATAGCCACACATTTTTCAAAGCAGTTTTGGTATTTAGTTAGTAACAGGATAAAATTGACCTTTATCTGTTAGCATTGCATGGTTGACTGGTTAAAGTCCCTGAAGGATGTTGGCACCCCCATAATGATCATCTTACCCCAGTTCAGATGTTGAAGAAAAAAATTATTCCGACACTTATTATAATGGATATTCATGACACTTGCAACAGGGGAGAGAGAGCCAACTCCCAATACATAGCCTAGGAGCAGAGTGAGGGCTCAGTGGGTGGAAAATTACTAAGAGGATTCTTGCTATAGGCATGCAGGCCAGCCAAGGATCTAGACATCAGTGGTTGGGAATAAGGAATTCGATCAGCTGTGAAGGGTGAGGGGATTCTCACTAAACTGACTCAAGCTAAGACTCTAGAGCGAGCCGGCAAGTTCAGCAACAGACATGGAAGGCCAAGGTCAGGCCTGATCCGGAAGAGGGCTCAGGGTGCCTGACTCATGGCTGGTCAAGGCGTCTTTGTCACAGGACAGCCCTAGGCAGGATTTGATATACTAATGCATTAATATTACCCAAAATTACACTGAGTCACATAGATTTCAGATAGATCCACCTCTGTAGTAGATAGAGGCCAATTCTTGGAATGTTATAGCAGTTCTAACTTTTCTGAAGGACTTTTGAATTCATCGTTATAGGTGAGAATTTTGTCTTCATAACATGCGGCGAGATAGCACGTTACCGTCCCCTGTGCCCTTAGGATAACTGAGTTACACAGCATTTGACGTTTTATGAAGCGCCCTCCTGGGAATCATCTGCCGAAGCTGCCCCACAGCCTTCAGCAGTGCTGACCTCCGTTGTGCAGCGGAGGCTCGGAAATCTCAGGCAGTCACGTATTACAGCTCACCCAGAGTCAGCAGCTAGGAAGCCACGGAACCAGGCCCAGGGCTTCGGATTCTGAGCTTCCACTTGCTGTTAACTACGTACACCCCGTCTCAGGCTGTCCCTTCTCTTTGGAAGCTGACTGCAGGACCCTTTTCTCTGGTTGGGTCTTTTGAGGGGCCAGTGTTCCTAAGAACACGGATCTTCAGAAGAACTAGCTTATTAAGGCGTTCCATTACCAGGATCTTCCTGTTAGTGGGTTTTGGGTTTTTGTTTTTTTTTTTTTTTTTTTTTAATACCTTAAATACTTCTTGACTCTCTTATCTTTAAGGCTTAGAAGGAAAACTTCAGGTGTGAGCCCAGGGTGTGTGCTGGGGGTGGGCGTGGAGGTCCTGTGGTGTCACGGCCCTCCTTGTTTGCCCAGGGCCCAGTCACACAGAGCAGGAGCTTCTCCGCCTGACCGACGACTCCCCCGTCGACCTCCTGTGTGCGCCTGTCCCCTCGTGCCTGCCGTCCCCTCAGCTGAGACCAGACCCCGTTATCCTCCAATCTGCTGATCTCATTCAGTTTGAGGAGCGCCCTCAAGAGCCTTCTGGTGGGTGACTCCATGTTGTCATGGGGATTTTCTTCGGGGTTTAAAACAAAACCACGATGAGATACTGATATAGTAAATGACGGAGGTGGGAAGGGACTACCCCTTTTCAGGTGGAAAACACTGTGCTGATTATTCGACCTTCTTTCCCCACCTGGGTTCCTGCAGAATGGGATGCACAGCCTGAGGTTGCCTGGCGAGCATCAGGCAAGGGCGATTTGGCAGCTCTGGAGGGCTGGTGGCTCGGGGCTGTGGGCGAGTCCACAGGGGTGGGTGGGGCCTCCTGGGCTTCTGCTCTCCCAGACTTTGTGAAGGTTCAGCTGCTCTCAGGCACACCTGTCACCAGATGTACACGTCACCCATGGTGGGGGTCCAGAGGGCCCAAGGGCTTTATAAAGGGGTGAATGGAGGGAGGTGTCTGTGGCTGGAGCCCCGGACTCTGCCCAGTGATATAACAGACAGGAAGCTGAGCACACTGAGTCCCAGCCTAGTGCAGGCATTGGCACTGACCCTGTGCTCAGGGCTGACAGACACCATCACATTTAACTCTTACCACGGCTCCAGGTGAGAGCCGTGGAATAAAGGCAGCTGCTTTATTCCACAGGCTGCGTGACTAAGGCACAGCTGGTGCCGTCACTAGAGAGGCAGTGGCCCCGGGCTGCTGGGCTAGCAAGGGCAGAGCCGGCATTGGAACCCAAGCCCTCTTGTCCTGCGGTGTCTCCTGGCCTCTGGAGAGGATGGCCCATCTGCCCTGTACAGATCCCTCCCTGCTCTTCATCTGTTGGAACCCAACTCCTCCCCACTGCTGGTGCTGCTTTCCAGGTCACCAGGAACAACCCGTGGACTCCTGGCTTGGCTTTTACCATCTTGGTTGTTCTTGGCAGCGTTCAGCACTGTTGCCCAGGAAAAGAACTGAGGCTGTTGACTTGGAAAATAGGAGATGGGGAAGTAACTGCCTGCGGATAGAACCAGCCTGTGCAGTCAGACCTAGACCATGCCCTGCTCCTGTGCAGTGCCCCCCTAGGGTTGGTGGCACATTGATGTTAGCTCGTTTGTGGGGTTGTGGCCTTTGTGCCTTCAGTCTGGGCAAGTTCAACTGCATGCACCGGACAAGAGAGGAAAATAATTAAAACACTGTGGGCAGTTCTGTCAGCCGCTCTTCTCTTGAGGGTCAGCCTAGGCAGGGAGCTGGCTCTGCTGTCCCCTCTGCCACTCTCACCTTCCATGGGCCTTTGGGAGCAGGAGCCCTGTGCCCTATGCAGTGGGAGTCTAAGGCATAATGATGCATCTCTTTCAAGCAGCGTGGCCCTGTGTGTAGAGCAGGTGAATTACATGTGGCTCAGCCACAGAAATGGCAGTCCAGAAGCACTGTGGGAAAGCTGGCTGTGCTCAACTTCCTGGGTTCTGAGGGTAATTCTCACTCTGCGTAGTCCTTCCTTATCCCCGGTAATAGACCCATGGGGAGCATAGGTCCTCTCTAAATGGAGCAGGCCAGGAGCTCCCTGACACCCAGATGCTCCGACCCCACCCCCTACCACCCACGGCCTCCCGCCTCAGGAAGTCTCTAAGTCGTGGATAGCTTTATGGGTCCTTAATATCTGGCAGGCAGAATGAATGGGCAGAGAATCCAAAATGGAAAAACAAAAAGTTTTAACCTTTGCTCATTCATTTATAGCTCAAAATAGAGATCTTTCCAACTTTGTAATCCAGTGGGAGAGGTGGGATGCAGTTTATAGATACTTGATTTCTGTGCCAAGTTCACTGGCCACACAACTCATATGTAAACTGTGGCATAGATGTAGCATTTAGAAGCTTTTTATTACTATTATTATCTTTTGAGAAAATATGAGCAAGGAAGAGAAAACCCACACTTCTTACAGTTCCTGGATCTGAATCTGTTTGCTTTTCTGTGTTTACAGAAATTATGATTTTAAACCAAGAAGAAAAAATGGAGATTCCAATACCAGGAAAGAGCAAAACTCTGACCTCTGACTCCAGCTCGTCCTGCATCTCAGCAGCTGTCCCCGTGCCTCCCTGCCCCTCCTCGGAAACCTCCGAGTCACTGCTCAGCAAGGACCCCGTGGAAAGCCCGGCCAAAAAGCAACCCAAAAATAGAGTCAAATTGGCAGCCAACTTTTCCTTAGCACCTATAACCAAGCTTTAACTCCCATTTGGAATATAGAATTAGGATGGGAAAACACTGTCTGATTCTGCACACAAAAGTGGGTTTCAAAAATACATCCTTTTCTGTGTCATGAAAACCCCCCGAAGCCATTGACTTCATCTTACCTGTGTTCTATCATGTTTTTCTTTTCCATTGAACACAGCTTTGAGCTGAAGTCTTTCTTTTCTTCTTCCTTTTTCTTTCTTTTTTCAATTATTTGAAGAACTTGTGGCATTTGTTAAAGAATCCTTAATATATTTTACCAAATTTTTAGTAACTATTATGAAATACAATGGTGTTCCAAAAGAAGAAAGCACTAAAAACTCAACTAGCAGGAAGCGGTTTTGCTTCCATTGAGCCACGTCGGTGGTGTCATCCTACATGTAGCATAATAGAGTCTCTCAGCCTTTGCTTACTGGTGTTTCCGACAGTATTAACCCAGTGCGTGGCATGTCTTTGAAGCAAAGCCTGTCCCGCTAGCCTGTGTGTTCACACACCAAAGGAGAAGGGTAGGCGAGGGGTTCGGAGTGTATTTTCAGGTTGGAATGTGAAGGTTCCTGGCTTCCATGTGACTTGTAAGTGTGCCTTGTTTTTTATTTAAACTATGTCTGTAGTTGACAAAAGTGGCTTCATCACAAATTTTTTTAAACGTTTCTACTTTGGGGTTCCATTTAGGAGCTTTCTAGAAAGTTGAGGATGTTTGAAGCTTCCCTTCTGTGTTCCAGTTTGATATGGGTTAGGTTAAGGAAAAGGAGATGGTCTCGATGTCATGGATTTAAAGTCAGCATTTGGATTACAACACACATTATTGTGTGTCGAGAGGCAGCATTGGAAAGAGCCTGATTTTCTAAAATATGCATCAAGTGCATAAATTACAAATCAGAGCTGAGTGGGGAGGTGCTTCAGCAGCAGCGGGATCAATACGATTTCCACTGGGAAGAGACAGGAATTCTACCTACACATAGGAAGGCCAAGGTTGATCCACTTAACCTTGTTATTGTAATTTTAAAGCTGGTATCGGTAGCTGGGAAGCTTTATGTGTGTGTATGTCAGCTCAGCATCTTTTAATCGTGTCTGATTTTACTCTCGTTACTTCTCGCTGTTGGAAGCATCTCTGGGTTTCTTGTGGCGTCTGGTGTGGAATGGCCTTCCTCTCTAGGTGCCTGAGGTGTCCGCTGACGGGTGGCCTCTCACCCCCCTCTAGAGAAACCTGACATTTACAATGGATTGTATTTGTCCGGCAAAAAAGGCGGATTCATTCATAGAGCAGAAAGAACCTGTTGGCGTAAGGTCTTCCACTAGTTAGATGGTTTCTTTTGGGGAAATGTTTATATTTGGTAACTTCTAGAAAGCCAGAAAATGGACTCTGATTTCATAGCATTTTGATAAAATGCCACAAAATAAGGGCTATAGAGAGATTTTTACAAGTCAGATTTTTTGTTCCCCAAATCTTTTAAATGAAGCCAGTGACTCCCAGTTCTCAACACATGGCCCCAGTCAAGACAGAACACCATGGAAAAAACCCTGTAAGTATTATGGCACTCTCCGAATCCTCCTGAAGGCATTTCCTCTACAGACATAGTGTTACAGGAAGTGAAATGCAAATGTGCAATTTTTTTTAAAGGAGCTTTTAAACAAAGTAATAATAATTGGTGTTGAGAACATCAGTTGCCTTATTCTAAGATTTCATAAGGCTGAGTTTGCACGCTTGGACTTCAGTTCTGCTAGCATGTAAAGAGTGGTGGACTTTAAAACCGTAAGAGGTATCATTACAAGTCACCTGGAACAGACTCAAAGAACAGGTTCTTTGGGCAACAGACAAAGAAGAATCAAGTTCTGTGCTGTCCCGTGAGTGTGTCTGAGTACCATTCACTGGAGTTGCTGCTTAGGTCTGGGACGTGTGTGTGACTCTTAACAATTGCTGTCTGAAAATGAGAGAGAAGACTTCGGAAGCACATTGTGTTCATAATGTACTCCACAATGGCCAGTCCAATTGCTATCTATTTTTTTATCCAGAGGCTTAATTAAATGATGTGGTAAAATGATGTTTGAGCATTAAGACAATGTAATTCTTTATTTCTGGGTGGAAAGATATACCGGATTAAATTTATCTGTTTAAAAAAATGACAAAAGTTATCACCAAAACCCCCTTTCCCATCTTGCACTGTTTGTTTTGGATTGGGTTTGGGGGAAAGAGATGTTTTTCTTAGTTGTCTACTTTGTTTGAACACTTTTGTTGTGGTTCAAGTGCTGTTTTGTGTGTTGGGACCAAACAGTTGTCAATAAACTTTACAAGCGAGCATCTATTTTGAGTTTCCCAAGTGAGTGGTTTTGTCTGTCTGTCTGTCTGTGGGGAGGAATTACAAACCAATACAGTTCTGCCATCTTTCATTTTGGGTCTCCTCAACTTCTCTCCCCTTCTGGAAATAGAATTGTGAGGTGGAGAGTAAATCCGTCTACATCTTAGAGGCCTTTTAAACTCAGCACACGCCGAAGCAGGTGGCTGGATGGTGGGCCCTTCGTCGTCAGGATCCTCCAAGTTTTCCAGCCTTTGTTCCAGCTTATAATTACATGTGGGAAAATACAGTAACCACAAAAACCTTCCAGTTAGAAAACTCTATTAATTCCTAGGCTCTCTCTTCTTGTGAAAGAAATCCAGCGTGCCCGCTGTCTCGTTTTTGGTCACTGCTAAGCATGCTTTTTGAATAAGCCAATTTGGAAAAGAGTTATTCCACAGATACAGTTGTGAAGCCCTCCCATCCCCTGAGACCGCCATTACCCCGTCACCCCTGCCACCAGCACCCTCTGGCAAGAATTTAAAAGGACCCAGAAGAGACTTGAGTAAATTGCTTCTTGATGACATTTTTTTCAAGTTCAGCAATGTTAAAAGCTGCTAAAGACCTTTCCAAACATTTCACGATGGCAAATTTGTGCAGAAAAAGTTGAGTAGCCATCGTGCCCCTTTTGAGCGGCGTCAGGAGGTCTTGTTAGGTGTGGACTGGGGCTGGAACGGTGGCTTTGCATTTATCTTTGTTTGTTTCCCACCTAGGAAGGTGATTCAGAGGTGGGGGCCTAGAAGACAGCTGTCTGGGGGAGAGCAGACCTGTCCGTAGCAGAGGGGGCTGCGCTGATTGAAGAAGATCTGTTCCCTCTCTGTTCCCTTTGCCAGAAGGAGCGTTGCGCTTTGGGATTCACCTTCACTTTCTAGCTGCTTCCATGGGCAGAGGGTGAGTCATGGCGCAGAAGCCCTCAGCGGCCTCCACCCACCTGCTGTCCCCATTGCTGGGGGGGGGGGCGGTGGGCGGCAAAACTTCCTCAATTCTCCTAGTGTCCCTGGCTGGGCCTTAAACTGACAAAGACATTAATAGGAAAAAAGCAAACAAATTTTACTTCATACCAGTTTTGCGAGAGTCTTCATAAGGAAATGAAGACCCCAGAGAAATGGCTAAGCCTGAGTGGTTTTTTGTTTTGTTTTTTGGTTTTTTGAGACAGTCTCACTCTGTCACCCAGGCTGGAGTGCAGTGGCATAATCTCAGCTCACTGCAACCTCCACCTCCCAGGTTCAAGCGATTGTCCTGTCTCAGCCTCCCGAGTAGCTGGGATTACATATGTGCACCATCACACTGGCAAATTTTTGTATTTTTAGTAGAGATGAGGTTTCACCATGTTGGCCAGGCTAGTTTTGAACTCCTGAGCTCAAGTGATCCTCTGGGCTCAGCCTCCCAAAGTGCTGGAATTACAGGCATGAGCCACCACGCCTGGCTGAGAACGCTTTTTTTTGGGGGGGGGGGGGGCGGGGGGAAAAGGGCTAGAGAGCTTAGAAGGTGCCAAGCCAGAGCACCAAGAGCCAGAACTTTCCTTAGCAAGATGAAGAGAAGAATACACACGTTCCGGGAAGGAACGCCTTGGAAGTGGGGGAGCTGAGGTGCAGAGGAAGAAGGCATTGCAGGGTGGAAGGGGCCGTTCTTAGAGGGAAATCCTGCTCAGTGGCTGGGCTGCTCAGCTCCTCACTCCGCACGAGGTGGTGAACCAACCAGGAGCATCCGCAGGGGAGCAGTACCAGGGCCAGCAGGGAACATATTGGGCCTGCTTGGCACCGTCTCTTCCATCCGCCTCAGGCAGCTCATGTGATGGCCTCCAAAGGCTTCCCAGGTGCAGGGCCTGGGCATGAGGGAACCCCCGCTCCTACCACCCACCTGCCCCCACTGCAGTTTCTGGTATCAGCAAGTGCAGACAAATCCACACTGGGGCTGCAGGGTCGCCGCCCTTGGTATTTCAGCAGCCAGAGTCTGATGCATCAAGGGCAGGTGTGGCAAGAATCAGGAAATACATTTTTTTTTTTTTTGAGACAGAGTCTCACTCTATCGCCCAGACTGGGGTGCAGTGGCACGATCTCGGCTCACTGCAACCTCCTACCGGGTTCAAGCGATTCTCATGCCTCAGCCTCCGAACAGCTGGGATTACAGATGCTGCCACCACACCTGGCTAATTTTTTTTGAGACGGGGTTTTGCCATGTTGCTCTGGCTCGTCTCAAACTCCTGGCCTCAAGTGGTTCACTTGCCTCGGCCTCCCAAAGTGCGGGGATTACAGGCGTAATATAATATAGATATTATATATAGATATAGATATAGATGTCTCTATAATATCTATATATAAATAGATATATCTATTATATATAATAGAGATATATATCTATATATAATATATAGATATCTATATATTATATATAGATATATATCTATATATTATGTATAGATATAATATAGTCACACAGTCAACCATGCCCGGAACCCCCAAGCCCCCACTTTTTTTTTCCGAGATGGAGTCTCACTCTGTTGCCCAGGCTGGAGTGCAATGGTGCGATCTCGGCTCTTTGCAACCTCCGCCTCCTGGTTTCAACCGATTCTCCTGCCTTAGCCTTCCGGGTAGCTGGGATTACAAGCATGTGCCACCACACTTGCTAATTTTTGTATTTTTAGTAGACATGGGGTTTCACCCTGTTTTTTAAATTCTCTAAAAGGAAGAGGACACTTTTTTTGTTGTTGTTGTTGTTGTGTTGTGTTGTGTGTGTGTGTGTGTGTGTGTGTGTGTGTGTTTTGAGACAAAGTCTTGCTGTGTCTCCAGACTGGAGTGCAGTGGCGCAATCTCGGCTCACTGCAACCTCTGCCTCCCAGGTTCAAGCGATTCTCCTGCCTCAGCCTCCCGAGTAGCTGGGACCACAGGCGCCCACCACCATGCCCAGGTAATTTTTTTGTATTTTTAGTACAGATGGGTTTTCACCATGTTAGCCAGGATGGTCTCAATCTCCTGATCTCGTGATTTGCCCGCCTCGGCCTCCCAAAGTGCTGGGATTACAGGCGTGAGCCACCGTGTCCAGCCCTGTTTGCTTTTAAATGGGAGAGACCTGTTTAAATCCCTCCGATGGGAAGAGAAAGAACAATTGGGGCTACAGTGGTGGGGAGGGAGGGAGATGAATGATGACTCTGTCACTAACAACCCCTGGGACCGTGGGCAGTGGATTTACTGCCACTTCCTCATCTGTAAAGTGAGAAGTGATAACAGGATCTGACTCACTGTTTCAAGTGTTTATTCTGCCTCCGCTTGCAACCTCTTGCAACCTCCGCTTGAAAAGGGTAATGGATTTACTGCTACTTCCTCATCTGTAAAGTGAGAAGTAATAACAGGATCTGACTCATCAGGCTGATGTGAGGAGGGAACCAGCCAGTGTGAGCACATTGCTCAAGGCATAGAGATAAGCTACAATAAATGTTATTCCCATTATCAACCTCCTCCATGGCTTCTAAAAGGAGCAAGTCTAGGTGTGCAGGACCCCACAGTCTGCAAGGTTTCCCAGCTTGGAAGGTGGCCCTGGTAATCTGGAAGCGTCTGTGACAGCTTAAATAAATTGGATTTTTTAATGTTTTCTTTTTTTAAAAAAATCAGTAGGAATTACAGGAACATACAGTAGGTGTACCCAGAGCTTAGCGGAAGTACCAGAGGCAGGATTTTGATGAGGGTTTGATCTCCTCTGGTTCGTTGGATCTGTGAGTGACTGCTGTATAACTGGCCTGAGGTCAGACCTCGCTGACCCCCCCACTCCCCTCTCCCCTTTTTTTTTGAGATGGAGTCTCGCTCTGTCGCCCAGGCTGGAGTGCAGTGGCACAATCTCTGCTCACCGCAAGCTCTGCTCACTGCAAGCTCCGCCTCCCGGGTTCACGCCATTTTCCTGCCTCAGCCTCCTGAGTAGCTGGGACTACAGGCGTCCACCACCACGCCCGGCTAATTTTTTGTATTTGTAGTAGAGATGGGGTTTCACCGTGTTAGCCAGGATGGTCTCGATCTCCTGAACTCGTGATCCGCCCGCCTCGGCCTCCCAAAGTGCTGGGATTACAGGCTTGAGCCACCACGCCCGGACCCCCCAAGCCCCCCCTTTTTTTTTTCCGAGATGGAGTCTCACTCTGTTGCCCAGGCTGGAGTGCAATGGTGCGATCTCGGCTCTTTGCAACCTCCGCCTCCTGGTTTCAACCGATTCTCCTGCCTTAGCCTCCCGAGTAGCTGGGATTACAAGCATGTGCCACCACACTTGCTAATTTTTGTATTTTTAGTAGACATGGGGTTTCACCATGTTAGCCAAGTTGGTCATGAGCTCCTGACCTCAAGTGAGCCTCCCACCTCGGCCTCCCAAAGTGCTGGGATTACAGGCATGATCCACAGTGCCCAGCCTTGACCCACATTTTTTATGGGGAAAAGAGGGCGGTGGGCCCTTTGCAGCCTGAGTTTTCACTGCACGTTGGAGCGGGAGGGGTCTGTGGTGGGTGGAATTGGGTCCTCCCCAAATGCATGTCTACGTGGAGCCTCAGAATGTGACCTTGGTTGGAAAGAGGGTTTTTGCAGAAGTAATTAAGGAAAGGGTCCAAATGAGATCATACTGCATTCGGGTGGCCCTCACTCCAATGACTGGTGTCTTTTTAAGATGAGAGGGTGCACAGAGGCACATATACAGCGGAGGCGGCCACGTGGAGACAGAGGTGAAGACTGGAGTGGTGCAGCCAGGGAACTGCCAAGGTGCCAGGAGCCACCAGGAGCTGCAAGAGGCAAAAGAAGATTCTTCCCCACAGAGGGAGCAGAGCACCGCAGACAGGTTGATTTCAGGCTTCTGGCCTTTAGGACTGTGAAAGGAGACGGTTCCACTGTTTTAAGTCACCCAGTAGAAGGTCATTCATTATGGCATCCCCAGTACACGAAGAGTCTGGCTTCATGATTGGTCTAGGTTGGTGAAGGAGGACACGGGGTCCTCTGAGGCCATTGTGGTGGCACTGAGTAGCCCAAGGGACCCTTTTCAGCATCAGAATGGTGGGAAGTGGTGTGCAGACCAAAGCCGCGAACACGCAGAGTGGGAGGACTGGGGTCTAGCAGCCTGCTGGGAGGGCCTGTCCAACCAAAGACCTTTTGATCTACAAATTTTTTTTTTTTTTTCGAGACGAAGTCTCGCTGTGTCACCCAGGCTGGAGTGCAGTGGCGCAATCTCAGCTCAGTGTAACCTCTGCTTCCCATGTTCAAGAGATTCTCCTGCCTCAGCTTCTTGAGTAGCTGGGATTACAGGCACAAGTCACCACACCCAGCTAATTTTTGTATTTTTTGGTAGAGATGGGGTTTCTCTGTATTGGCCAGGCTGGTCGCGAACTCCTGGCCTCAAGTGATCAGCCTGCCTCTGCCTCCCGACGTGCTGGGATTACAGATGCGAGCCACCGCACCCAGCCAATTTACAAATATTTTGAAAATGCTACTTATGAATGGCCCAATAATTTTACTTCTAGGAGTTTATCTTAAGGAAAAAATAAAAAATTCAGATGAAACCTTATCCCCCTAGATGTTTATCAAGACACTATTTTTTTTTTCCAGGGGGTGCGATCTTGCTCTGTTGCCCAGGCTGGAATACAGTGGTGTGATCATGGCTCACTGCAGCTGGAACCTCCCAGGCTCCAGCAATCCTCCCACCTCCCAAGTAGCTGGGATCACAGGCCCGCGCCACCGCATATGCCCAGCTATTTGTATTTTTAGTAGAGACAGGGTTTTGCCATGTTGCCCAGGCTGGTCTCGAACTCCTGGACTCAAGCAATCCTCCCGCCTCAGCGCCTGGCCCAAGACACTTTTTTTGTTTTTTTTTGAGATGGAGTCTTGCTCTGTCACCCAGGCTGGAGTGCAATGGCACGATCTCGGCTCACCGCAACGTCTGCCTCCTGGGTTCAAGTGATTCTCCTGCCTTAGCCTCCCAAGTAGCTGGGATTACAGGCACCCATTACCATGCCTGGCTAATCCAAGACACTATTTATAAGAAAACCTAGAACCAGTCTACACATCCAATAGTGAGGAAATGATTAGATGAATTACAGTACATCCACAAGATGGATTACTAAACAGACATTGGCATGATTTATGAAGAGTGTTTAATGTTTACAAAGAGCTTTTAATGATGTGGAAGATGGTGGTATAATAAGTAGGAAAAAACTGGTTATAAATGATACCACAATATGATGTCAACGATGAAAAAATGCACAAAAAAAGACTTTTTTAAAACGTCGAAACATCAGAGTGGTCTCTAGTTGGAGGAATAATTTTTTTTTTTTTTAAGACAAACTTCTTCATACTTTTTGTACTTTTAAAATGATTTACTATGTACATGGATTACTTCCATAATCAAGAAAAAAAGTAAAAACTTTTAAAATGCTGTGAACGTGGTTTCCATTTTTATTTTCTCTGATGGGTGACTGCACATCAGCATCTTGAGTTATGCTAACTACTTAGGCTGGTCACGACACACACACACATACAGAGAAGTCACACAGGCTGTACCGGGCTGGCTGTTGCAAATGTACATGAATTACACGGGTTGAAGTTGTTTGGCAGCTAGTTAACATATGCCACCCAATGACGGGACACAATCTGGTCACACGCTGCCTCTCCTGCCTGTTGCTGTTCTTTACAAAGGTCCGTGTGTCGGGCTGGCAAAGTGGCATCCTGCTGGCATCTCTGTGGTGGCCCCGGAATGGTGGAGTGCCCAGGTCAGCATCTACTCTGGGTCCCATTCTCAACTGCTCTGGCCTTGACATCAGAGCTTCCGGTTCCCTGCTGGCTCTTCTGCACACTGGATCCATGCCAGTCCAGGCCCCCTCCAGGCACACACCTGAGGCAGACTGAGAGCACAATGGACGCTGTCCTGATGTGAACTGTGCCCAGACACAGGATGGGGGGAAGCGGGAGATGTGACCACGACACCACACACAAGCTCGATCTTTACAGATGGGCCCTCTGGGACTGCTATATGGGTGGTGCCCGAGAGACACGGGGGCCATGTGGAGCCCTCCAGGGCACAGTTGCTGGGAGAGGACAGACGGGAGGGGACCTGTGCCCATGTGCCTAGCTCTGAGAGCAGAGCTAGGAGGGTGGATGGGGAACGTGTCCGACATGGTGCTAGATTGTTGAGAAGTCACGACTACACACAGCTGGGGAGCATGCCCCTCTCCCAGTTCATTCACACGGTGGGTTAGATACAGCTAGAGAGAAGTGGAGATATGCTTTTTTGAGGGAGGACCTTTCCTGGTGTTTGGATAAACAGTGAGACAGACTCCTGGGTTCGGCATGCTCTGGGGAGGACCATGCGACGGTGAGAGACTCCCTACTGCTACACTCTGTACAGGGTGGCCAGGCCCGCCTGCCGTGCCCATGGCCTCTGGTGACAGTCACGGGCTTGCCTTCAACCCCTTCTGCCTTGGAGAGCTCTTGGGCCCCGGTGAAATGGGGGCTATAAAGACAAGAGGGTGGGGGGGGGGTCCCCATGGCCCAGGGCACCCCACGTGGGGGCTACATGATGTTGCACTGGGTGGCCCCGCAACAATCCTTGATCAGTGCCAGCCCCGTCTTGGCCACCGTGGGCTTGCTAGGTGGGGGCTCTGCTTTCTTCTCTGCCCGGGAGCCTGCAGCAAGATGTGGGCACAGGGAGAGGGGGAGAAAGGAACAGAGAGAGAGAGGTGAGGTGAGCAGAGCCCTGACCATCTGCAGCCCAGCCCCACTGCAACCCCTGGCCAGGTCTTGTTCCAGGCCTTGTTCAGGTGGTATGGAGAGCTGATGCACATTTCATATGATCCTCAGCTGGTCCTCATTTTATAGTCCTCATTTTATATGGTCCTCAATGCTCAGCTTCCAACCCTAACTTTCAGCCCTTCTCCTAGTCAGCTGTTATCATCATTGTACCTGCCAAGCCTAGCACAGGGCCTGACATCCAAGAAGTATTTGGTAAATAGATAAATGGGAAATTTTGTTCAAGTCACTTCAATCTGAGGGCTCATATTTTTCAATTTTTGAAAATGCTCATACATTGTCTTTTCAGATACCTCCACCTCCCATTCTCTGTTTTATCTCCTAGAATGCCTATCACATGTAAGTTGGACCTTCTCACTCTATCCTCTCGGTTTTATAACTTCTCTTTCATATTTCTCATCTCTTTTTCTCTTTGTGCTGCATTCTGTGTAACTTTCTCAGGGCTGTCTTCCAATGTATAAATTCTCCCTTCAGCTGTGTCTCTGTATTTAATCCATTGAGTTTTTACTTTATTGATAAAAAAAAATTTCAGAAGGCCAGTTTTTTGCATGTCTACTTATTCTTTTTTCATAGCATCTTACTATTTCATTTTGGGTTTTATTCCTTCTCTTAGCTCTTTGATCATTTAAAAGTACTTAGTTTATTTTCCTTTTTAAATAGTTCTATATTTTTGGTTCTTGGGAGGACATTCTCTTTGGTGCATCTACTGATTCTCCTCATGGTGATTCAGTTCTTCATGGGTTTTTCTTTTCTTTTCTTTTCTTGAGATGGAGTCTCGCTCTGTCACCCAGGCTGGAGTGCAGTGGTGTGATCTTGGCTCACTGCAACCTCCGCATCCTGGGTTCAAGCGATTCTCCTGCTCAGCCTCCTGAGTAGCTGGGATTACAGGTGTGCGCCACCATGCCTGGCTAATTTTTGTACTTTTAGCAGAGACAAGGTTTCACCATATTGGTCAGGCTGGTCTCGAGCTCCTGACCTCATGATCTGCCCACCTTGGCCTCCCAAAGTGCTGGGATTACAGACATAAGCCACTGTGCCCGGCCGGGTTTTTCATTTTTATTGAGGGCTCATCTTCAAGGGGGTTGCTTTTTTCTGTGAGAATACTGTATACCATGGGATCCAGAAGAATCCCTACTGAGCAGTTTTGCATTTGCTAAATCTGCTAGGATCCCAGAGATTTCACTGGTTTTACAATAGTTTTTATTTTTCAACTTGGAATTCCAGTACCAGATGAGTAGTGTAAAGTTGGCCCCTTGCATGTGGTGCATGCTTGGTGTTTTGATTTCTCGCCAGAATCATTTCTTTTTTCCACCCATAATCCAATAGAGAAGGCAAGTTTCCTTGCTCCTCCTCCATGCTGCTAAGTGGAGTTTTTCTACCTTGCCTTTCATGAAAGGGTCCACTGAGGATGCTGGCCTTCGGCAGTGATCACGTGCCTTGTGGTTATAGGAGCCAGCAGAAGAGATCATTGCCCTTCTCTTTCCTTACTCCCTCCAACCATCTTTCACAGGATGTTAATGAAAACTGGGTTTGTAGTTTTATAGACAGTGGCAGCTTTTGGTTTTTGTCTTCCCAGCAAGATTTCAAGTCCCTCTTCCTCTAACAGCTCATGTCCCTGTGGCTGCAGGAGTGGGCATGTTATACATTCCTGGCCAATCCCAGTACCCCCAGCCTCTTGGTGATGGTAATGGATCTAAGAGGTGGGAACATAATCCCAGAAGGGCGGGTGAGAATATTTCCCTGAGACTTATGTATTTCGATACCAGGGAAAAGAACCTGTGGTATTGCTTCAGAGTTGCTAAGCTATGGTTCTAGGGTTCTGGTCCCATGGAGAAGGCCTGTGTTGTAGGAAAAAATGATGCTTACATGCAAAGAGAGGCAGAGATGAGAAAAAGAAGAAAAGGAGGGGAGGTAATAGTGTTCAGTCCTTGAGGCTCTAGTTCTTGTTGCTCTTTCTCCAACAAATTCCTTTTTTTGCTTAGACCAGTTTGAATTGGGCATCCATTTCTTTTCTTTCTTTCTTTTTTTTTTTTTTGAGATGGAGTCTTGCTGTGTCACCCAGGCTGGAGTGTAGTGGTGTGATCTCGGCTCACTGCAAGCTCCGCCTCCCCAGTTCACGCCATTCTCCTGCCTCAGCTTCCCGAGTAGCTGGGAATACAGGCGCCCACCACCAAGCCCGGCTAATTTTTTGTATTTTTAGTAGAGACGGGGCTTCACCGTGTTAGCCAGGATGGTGTCGATCTCCTGACCTGTGATCCGCCCGCCTCGGCCTCCCAAAGTGCTGGCATTACAGGCGTGAGCCACCGCGCCCAGCCAGGCATCCATTTCTTCTAACTGAAAGAGGCCTCACTAATACAGCAGTTAAACACATTTGAGAAACGCTGGGTCAACAAAGAAAAGACAGTTTCTTGACAGCAGGATCCATCATCACTTTAATATCCTAATGGACACTGGGACTCTCCAAATACAGGGTCAAGTAAACAGCATTTCTCAAACTTATTTCATATAAAACCCTCTTTGCTCTGAGGATCTGATGAGGTTAATATTCTGAGACATATGCTTCTGGCTTCTCCAGAGATTCCAGACCTAAGAGAGGCCAGAGCTCCCTGAGCCTCAGTAGCTACCCAATTCTTTCTATGAAATGCACCAAACTTTGCAATTAGGGAGGAACAACTACCAGGACCAGGTACGTAGTTTGCAGAGTTCAATCCAATATGAAAATGTAGGGCCCCATGTTCCAAACGTATTAACAATTTCTAGACAGCAACAGGAGAACATTAAACCAAGCATGGCACCCTTCTAGGCATGAGGCCCCAGGCAACTGCCTACAGGCCCATGAGGCTGGTCAGGCATGAGGCCCCAGGCAACTGCCTGCAGGCCCGTGAGGCTGGTCCTGCCTGCTGTCATCCCATGCTGAAATCTGATCTCTAGATCTGATCTCTAGAAAGCATTTTGTTGCGCCCCTTATGGCTCCCAGACTTCTCTGAAATGGCCTTTTTTTTTTTTTTTTTTTTTGAGACAAAGTCTTACCCTGTCACCCAGGCTGGAGTGCAGTGGCCCAATCTCAGCTCACTGCAACCCCCACCTCCCGGGTTCAAGCAATTCTCCTGCCTCAGCCTCTCGAGTAGCTGGGATTTCAGGTGTGTGCCACCGTGCCCAGCTAATTTTTATATTTTTGGTAGATACGGGGTTTCACCATGTTGACCAGGCTGGTCTCGAACTCCTGACCTCAGGTGATCCACCCACCTTGGCCTCTCATAGTGCTGGGATTACAGGCGTGATCCACTGTGGGCCTGGCCTGAAATATACTTTTCTCTTTTGTGGGGGAGGGGAATGAATAATGTATATACTCACTGGCTGGAGATTTGGTTACTTTGTCTAGAGGTTTTAACTTGATTCTCAGGAAATCAGCCATTTCCTTGTCTTCTTCTTGCTCCCTGTGAAAGTAGATGGGTAAAAGAAAAGAAGATACACAGCAAGCAAGGAAAGCATCAAGGAACCAATGAAATAAACCAATAGGTTAAGCAACAGGCTTTGTGGATGGGGCATGTATGTTGTCACGTGTTATGCGTGTACAGTATGTATATGTTGTATCTGGTGAACCTGCTCTGAACCAGAGACACATATCAATGATGGGGTAAATGCTTACCCAGAGGTAGGTATGTGACCCCAGGGCAGAGGCAGGGACATTACAGGACCCTGCTGGGGGGTCAGTGAGTGAGGCAGCACCTCTCCTGACCTTGTATTTTGAAGCCACCCTATTCACCTGTGCTCCCACAAAGTATGAGGCAGGTCTCAGAGAGCGAGTCACCCCAGCTCTTCCAAGGATCACCAAGATAAAGTAGGTGGGTGCAGACTTGCTGAACTGCCTTGAAGAGACACGGTCTTTCTTTGCCACCCAGGCTGGAGTGCAATGGTGCAATCGTAACTCAAGAAGCCTTGAACTCCTGGGCTCAAGAGATCCTCCCACCTCAGCCTCCCAAGTAGCTGAGACTACAGGAGCACTCCACCACTCCTAGTTAATTAAAAAAAAAAATTGTAGAGATAGGGGGGTCTCACTATGTTGGGGCAGCTTGTCTGCCTGCCCAAGACTGGCATTGATAATTTCTTCTAGATCTGGAAGCAGAACCGGAGGTAAGGAGAATATAATATTTGTTGTAGTTTTCTGTATTTTTTGTTTTGTTTTGTTTTTGAGATGGAATCTCACTCTGTCACCCAGGCTAGAGTGCATTGGTGCAATCTTGGCTCACTGCAACCTCTGCCTCCTGGGTTCAAATGATTGTTTCCTGCCTCAGCCTCCCAAGTAGCTGGGATTACAGGCATGCACCACCACGCCCGGCTAATTTCTGTAGTTTTAGTAGAGACGGGGTTTCACCATGTTGCCCAGGCTGGTCTTGAACTCCTGACCTCAGGTGATCCACCCACCTTGGCCTCCCAGAAGCGCTGGGATTACAGGCGTCAGCCACTGTACCCGACCATAGAATATAATATTTGGATAGGAGGGAAAAGTTGGTTTCTCTCATTAACCAGAAGTCCATTGCAGCATGAAGAAGGGCAGTGGAACTGCTAGTCCCAGGACCCTTGAAGAAAGGTCTCTGAGAACACAGACAATAAAGAGCAAGTTGCCCTCTGGGTTGGAAGGGCCTTTTTCCTTGTGAAAGGCCCTAAAAGCTTTGCTCTGGTGTAAGGAAACAAAAATCAAGAACCAACATGTACAGCTTTCCACATTTTCAACATTTACAACATGTTTTTACACTGCAGCTCCAGGGCTGTGGTTGTCGAGGTCAAGGCAGCAGATGCAAAGAGAAGACCCTGATACTTAGAAAAGGGCATTGGCGCCACTAAGGGGAAGGGAAAGGGGAGAACAAAGCTGGGAGGTTGGGAGGACAGAGGTTGGGAGCAAGTCAGTTCAGGTGGCAGAGTTTCGGTAGAAACTGATAGCAGAAGTTTCAAGACATTGCCTTCAGGAGTGACAGGATGTGAAGGAAGCTCTGCCATGTATTATGGGATGTGACTCCTCCCTGGTCACTTCCTGGAACAACATTCCCTCAAGAGGCACAGATTTGAAATTCTCTTATATACAAAATGAATTCTCAAGCCAGAAGGCTGGGGTTCCTTGGGATTCAGTGTCCAGAGACTGTGGATCAAGGCCATGCCTGTTAGGCAAGGCTGTGAGTCCCAGGAGCAGAAGATGGGTTCTGGAAGGAAGCAGAAGGTTGCTGTCCTGCAGCCCAGTGATCGGGTACCCGCAGTGCACTCACCTTAACCGCTCGACCTCCGCATCGTCCACCAGGAAGTCTCTCTTCTGCACCAGTTTGTGGATCTTCTGGATTAGCTCATCCTCTCTCTGCTTCTGCAGTTTGGTTTTTTCTTTTTCTGGAAAGAAGACATCAACAAGGAGACAGATGAGCATTTTGGGAGGCTGAGGTGGGCGGATCACTTGAGGTCAGGAGTTTCAGACCAGCCTGGTCAACATGGTGAAACAACCCCATCTCTACCAAAAATACAAAAATTAGCCAGGCGTGGTGGCACACACCTGGAATTCCAGCTACTCGGGAGGCTGTCAGCCACCACCTCGGGAGGCGGGAGAATTGCTTGAACCTGGGAGGCGGAGGTTGCAGTGAGCTGAGACTGCGCCACTGCACTCCAGCCTGGGCAACAGAATGAGACTTCATTTCAAGAAAGAAAAAAAAAACAAAAAATTACAGAGAGACAGATGAGAGGGTGACCACTAAAAGCACTTGAGCTGGCCGGGTGCGGTGGCTCACACCTGTAATCCCAGCACTTTGGGAGGCCAAGGTGGGCGGATCACGAGGTCAGGAGATCGAGACCATCCTGGCTAACAGGGTGGAACCCCGTCTCTACTAAATACAAAAAATTCGCCGGGTGTGGTGGCGGGTGCCTGTAGTCCCAGCTACTCGGGAGGCTGAGGCAGGAGAATGACATGAACCCGGGAGGTGGAGCTTGCAGTGAGCTGAGATCGCACCACTGCACTCTAGCCTGGGTGATAGAGCGAGACTCTGTCTCAAAAAAAAAAAAAAAAGCACTTGAGCTGAGCGGCCAGGATTGATTGGAGACCTGACTCTGCCCTTCCACCCTCTGGATGAACTTGGAGAAGCAACTTGACCTCTTCAAGCTTCAGTTTTCTCATCTGTAAAATACACAGTGAGGCTTAAAATGGGAGTAATGGGCTGGGCATAGTGCCTGCCACCTGTAATCCCAGCACTTTGGGAGACCAAGGCAGGAGGATCACTTGAGGCCAGGAGTTCAAGACCAGCCTGGGCAACATAGTGAGACCCTCCTATGTCTACAAAAATTTTCTCTGTAAATTAGCCACATGTGATGGAGTGTTCCTGTAGTCTCAGCTACTTGGGAGGCTGAGGTGGGTGGATCTCTTGAGCCCAGGAGTTCTAGGCTGCAGTGAGTTATGATTGCACCATTGCACTCCAGCCTGGGTAACAGAGAAAGACCCTGTCTCTTAAAAAAAAAAAAAAAAATTGAGAGGGCAGGGTGAGTGTGGGGAGGGAGAGCATCAGGAAAAATAGCTAATGCATGCTGGGCTTAATACCTATGTGTCGGGCTGACAGGTGCAGCAAGCCACCATGGCCCACGTTTACCTATGTAATAAACCTGCACATCCTGCATACTAAATTGCATACAATTTTGAAATGCAGTAGTGTTAGTAAATGGCTTAGTGGAGTGCTTGGCCTTGGCTGAGAGCCTTCAGTAAATGGTCATGACAAAGCCAGGGTCTTCTGCAAAGGCAGGGGGTGAGGAGAGGCTCAGATAGGGGTGCTGGGAGGGAACTAGTTGTTTTTTTCCCTTTGGTGAAGGTAAACCAATTTATCAGAAGAAAATCATCCATGCCAATGACACTAACCCTGTCCCAAACACCAAGTGCTAGGATGCCAAAGAGAAAAAATAAAAAAAAGAGAGAGGGCTGAAGATGAGGTTTGAGAAAATTAAGAGGCAAAAACTTAAACCCACTTGGGCTCTTTCTGCTCAAATCCCTTCAGAATAAAAAATGTGGGACAGCTTGTCTGCCTGCCCACGACTGACGTTGATCATTTTTTCTGGATCTGGAAGCAGAACCAGGGGTAAGGAGAACATAATATTTGGATAGGACAGAAAGTTGGTTTCTCTCATTAACCAGGAGTCCACCACTGCACGAAGAAGGGCAATAGGCTTGCCAGCCGCTCCCCATTCCCAGCCATTGGTGCATTGGATGATGGTGTCACTGCTCCTGCCGTGGTAAATCTTGTGGGTTGGGTCTGATTCCCCAAATCACTCGTCAGCACCGCAGAGCCGCTCCCTGCCCTCTCCAAGCACGCACCAACACCCATCGACTCACCAGGACCCCTGCTCACTCAGGAGCTCGTGGTGTGACTTTACTCTCCAAATAACCATTGACAGCACTCTGACATTCCCAAGTGCCCTCCACTGCTCTCTAGATCTTAGCCAGAATCACCCAACAACTGGCTGGGCCCCCAACATCTGCAAACCTCTGTCTCCAAGCCATTCATCCATGTGTTCTGTCACTCACCAATAGAGGCATTCCCCAGCCTCAGCTGCAGCAACTCCCAGGAGAAACCACCTACTCACACAAGTGGCCTGCGTCAGCTCACAGACCTATGACTAGCCCAAGTCTCCAAGTCATTGGCCAATGCTGCTCACGTGCGTGTGTGCCACATACCTTTCCCATCATCTTCCACTTGCCTACAGGTGCCACCCACTGAAATCCTAACCTCCATGGTCATAGTATTAAGAAATGAGGCCTTTGGGAAGTGAGTAGATTATGAAGGTAGAACCCTCATGAATGGAATTAGTGCCCTTATAAAAGAGACCCAAGGGAGCTTGTTTGCCCCTTCCACCACACAAAGGCACAGTGAGAAGGTACCATCTATAAGGAACAGGCCGTCACCAGGCACTGTATCTGCCAACACCTTGATCTTGCACCTCCCAGCCTCCAGAACTGTAATAAATGTTGTTTACAAGCCCCCGGTCTAGAGCAAGCCACAGAGACTAAGGCACCCCCAAAGTTCATGTGTGCCCTATTTGGAAATAGTTTTCCCCAGTTTATATCTCTTCTATTTGGAAATACTCTATTTCCAAAGTAATTTGTAAGTTGCTTTGCACATGTAATTATAATAGTTAAGCTAAAATGAGGTCATACTTATTAGCATGGACCCTAAACCCAATGACTTGTGTCCTTATGAGAAGAGGAAAGAGACCCAAGCATGGTGGCCTGAACCTGTAATCCCAGCTACTTGGGAGGCTGAAGCAGGAGGATCACTTAAGCCTGGGAGTTCTAGACCAGCCTGGGCAACACAGCCAGACCCTGTCTTTTAGAAAAAAAAAAAAAAAAAGAGGAGAAGAGAAGACACACAGACACACACAGGGTCACGTGAAGATGGAGGCAGAGATTGAAGTGGTGCAACCAGAAGGCAAGCAATGCCAAGAATTGTGTGTGTTACTGTTAGAGTAGGTAGCCAGGCAGCCATGAGCAAGAAAGGAGAGGGGATTTCCCCCCCAAGGAATGCCAGGCAACCATCAGGTGATGTCAGGCAGTTGTTAAAATTGTCTCTCTAAAATAATAATTGGTCACAGCTGGTGCCAGGGAAAGGCCATCTCCCAACAGACAGAAAACACCTGAAGTTATCAGCGGTTTCCCGATGAGATCTCAGGAGTTGGGCAACTGGGCTCAAGCATGCACATTAAGAGGCAAAATGGCGGAGTCTAACTGGTATATGACCTTCCTCTAGGAACACTCAACTGGTGAGGGAAAAACATCTCAAATAATCAGGCCCATGACTTCTGTAAATACACTGTGTTTGCAGCCTCTCCCAAGCGCTGGCAGGCCACTGCGCATGCGCACAACCTGCCCTGAGGGAAAATGAAGGGAGGAGAGACATAAAACCCTGGAATATGCCAACATATAAAACCCCGGAACATGCCAACATATAAAACCCCAAATCAAAGGTCAAGCGGTGCACTTGGATCTCTCAAATCACCCACTTGGCCGTCTTCCAAGTGTCCTTTACTGCCTTTCATTCCTGCTCTAAAACTTGTTAATAAACTTTTGCTCCTTCTCTAAAACTTGCCTCGGTCTCTCACTCTGCCTTATGCCCGCTGGTGGAATTATTTCCTCTGAGGAGGCAAGTATCAAGTTGCTTCAGACTCGTATGGATTTGCTACTGCTAATGATACAGGAGTGAAGAAGAAATTATTTAGGCAGATAGGGTAAGGAAGTCCTCGGTAAGGTTTTCCTTTTAATGAAAAGCAACCCCCAAATCATTTTCTTTTCTAACAAGGAGCAGCCAGTAAAATCGAGCTGTAGACATAGTCAAGGGAGCTGGAAGCTTACACGGGTGAATGCTGGCAGCTGTGCCCATAGGAAAAGGCCACCTGGTCTAGGTATGTTCAAAATGGCGGCTCCACGCTCCCTTCTCTTTGCCAGCCATGTGTACAGTAAGGAGAAGACAACATGGCGCCGCCCAAGTGGAAAGTTCATTTGCATGATAAGATTAGGGTGGGGTGGCCAGCCTTCCCATGCACTATGCAAACGTCACACCTGCTCCAACCAATCTGTGGGCCCTATGTAAATCAGACACCACCTCCTCAAGCTTGTCTATAAAATTTGGTGCAGTCTGCCACAGGCCGGAATTCCCATTCAGGGACTTCTCGAGAGAGACCGAGAGAGCTGTTCCCTTTTCTCTTTCTTTTGCCTATTAAACCTCCACTCCTAAACTCACTCCTCTGTATGTCAGTGTCTGTGTCCTTAATCTGCTTGGAGAGAGACAACGAACCTTGGGTATTTACCCCAGTCAACAACACTACTTCACTAACACTACCAGAAGCTAAGAGGCAAAGGAGTCTCCTCTAGAGCCTTAGCAGGGAACAAGGCCCTGTTGACACCTCGATTTTGGATGTCTGGCCTCCAGAACCGAAAGAGAATACATCCAGAACCGAGAGAGAATACATTTCTGTTGCTTAAGCCATCCAGTTTGCACCAATTTGTTAGGCAGCTCTGGGAAATGAATGTAATGCCCTAGGGCTTCAGGAGACTCCACTGTCCTTCCAGTAATTGTTTGTTTTGTGCTTACATAAGCTTGGATGGGTTTCTGTACCTTTCAGCCAGACTAATCCTTGGAGAATTGTGAAATGAGAGAGGGGAACAGGCCTGGCGGTTCCTAACCGTCCCTGCTTATCACAATCAGGTGCAAAGCTTTAAAAATTGCCAATGCTCGGCTAGGCGCGGTGGCTCACACCTGTAATTCCAGCACTTTGGTAGGCCGAGGCGGGCAGATCACGAGATCAGGAGGTTGAGACCATCCTGGCTAACACAGTGAAACCCAGTCTCTACTAAAAATACAAAAACAAAATTTGCCGGGCATGGTGGCGGGCGCCTGTAGTCCCAGCTACTCAGGAGGCTGAGGCAGGAGAATCACTTCACTTGAACCCCGGAGGCGGAGACTGCAGTGAACCCAGATCTCGCCACTGCACTCCAGCCTGGGTGACAGAGCAAGACTCTGTCTCAAAAAAAAAAAAAAAAAAATTACTAATGCTGAGATGGATCAGGTGAGGCAGGAGAATATGGTCTGGAGGCAGGGAACCTAGGGCCAACTTCCTAGAACTAAATCAAAAGAAAAACCCCAACTTTCCACACATAAGTAACAAAAGGACTGGAGGCTACTCCCTTTGCAAACCCTCCTCCTTTTCTGTGTGTCACATGAGAAATTGAAAGTATATCTGATTGGTCGCAGAAAGCAACTGCAAAAGCTTTCTGCGACCAATCAGACTAATTGTGGGCCACTACTTCATTTACATAGGGTGTACACCAAGTAGCCAACGGGAAACCTCTAGAGGGTATTTAAACCTCAGAAAATTCTGTATTGGGGCTCCTGAGCCCCTATGCTCAGGCACACTCCCACCCTATGGAGTGTACTTTCATTTTCAATAAATTTCTGCTTTTGTTGCTTCATTCTTTCCTCGCTTATTTTGTTTGTGTGTGCATTTTGTCCAATTCTTTGTTCAAAACACCAAGAACCTGGACACCTTCCACCAGTAACACAGGGACTCCCTTTTGGGGTCTGTGGGAGACCCCCACCCCAAGCATGGAAATAAAGGAAAATCTTGAGTTCCCTCAAAGGAAATTCTAGGCACCTAGCTAGCCTTGAAAAGTCAATAAGCAACTTATCAGTAAGAAGGTAATAGTAGCCTAAAACAATAGCCAAGGAAGTTAGAATCTGGAGATGTTTTGTTTTCTATAGAAACTGAAGATAAACATCTTAGCATATATGTCTGAGTTGTTTTTCAGAAACCCAGGACCCTACCAAATGGATCCACTGGCATATAGACGTCAGATAAAGGAAGACTAAGGACTGAATTCTGACCATCTTTCCTTGTTCTAAGTGTCTTCCAGAGAGGCCTGGAGGGAGTCACACCCATGGGCCAGGGATGCCATTCTTTTCTGCTGACCCCCGATTTTTATTATTTTTATTTATTTATTTATTTGAGGCAGAGTCTTGCTTTGTCGCCCAGGCTGGAGTGCAGTGGCACAATCTTGGCTCACTGCAACCCCCCTCTCCCGAGTTCAAGCAATTCTCCTGCCTCAGTCTCCCGAGTAGCTGGAAGTACAGGCAGGCGCCACCACACGCGGCTAATTTTTGTAATTTTAGTAGAGACGGGGGTCTCGCCATGTTGGCCAGGCTGGTCTCCAACTCTTGGCCTCAAGCAATCTGCCCACTTCGGCCTCCCAGGGTGCTGGGATTATACGCGTGAGCCACTGCACCTGGCCTTGACCCCCGATTTTTAAACAAAGCTTCTCTTCCTTAACCAATTGCAAATTAGAAAATCTTTCAATCTACCTATGACCTGTGAGCCCCAGCTTCAACGTATGCAGCCCTTTTAGGCCAAAATTGATATGTAATCTCAATGTATTGATTTACAATTTTGCCTGTAACTTCTGCTTGACTGAAATTTACCCCTGCCTTTAAAAACCTGCACTGAAATCGCCATTGCAAAATTATAAGAGACAGTGAAAGAGATCTGACCTAATCAACTCCATCTTGCTTCTAACCTCCAAGCTGTCCTTGTTCATTACTGGGCATAGGCTGAACTAACTATGGGAGGAACTTACTTTATCATTTAAAACAAAGACGATAACAGCCTTTTCCCAAAACAAACTCCCTTCTTGCCTGGGAACTAGACTGCATTTGTAGGTGATACGGTTAGGCTTTGTGTCGCCACCCAAAACTCATCTTGAATTATAATCCCCATCATCCCCACGTGTCAAAGGAGAGACCAGGTGGAGGTGACTGAATCACGCAGGCAGTTTCCCCATGCTGTTCTCGTGATAGTGAGCGAGTTCCCATGAGATCTGATGGTTTTATAAGGGTTGGGCAGTTCCTCCTGCGTTCATTCTCCTTCCTGTCACCTTGTGAAGAGAGTGCCTTGCTTCTCCTTCACCTTCCACCATGATTGTAAGTTTCCTGAGGCTTCCCCAGCTATGCCGAACTGTGAGTCAATGAAACCTCTTTCCTTTATACCCAGTCTTGGGCAGTTCTTGACAGCAGTGTGAAAATGGACTTAACAAATTAACCAGAAGATTAGGAATTATGATAGTGAGTGAGTTCCATGAGATCTGATGGTTTTATAAGGGTTGGGCAGTTCCTCCTGCGTTCATTCTCCTTCCTGTCACCTTGTGAAGAGAGTGCCTTGCTTCTCCTTGACCTTCCACCATGATTGTAAGTTTCCTGAGGCTTCCCCAGCTATGCCGAACTGTGAGTCAATGAAACCTCTTTCCGTTATACCCAGTCTTGGGCAGTTCTTGACAGCAGTGTGAAAATGGACTTAACAAATTAAGCACAAGATTAGGAATTATGGTTTAGGAATCATGCAGCTGGAGGCTACAAGATGCTGACCCTCCCCAGATTACTCCTGAAGATAACACCACTATTGTAAAAACCAAGATCAATGCTTGAGGTATTTTGCAGACCGTGCACTTGATGGGTCAGTGGGTACCACCCAGATAAAGTGGCTCATCTGACCTTGTGGCCCCAACCCAGGAACTGACTCAGTGCAAGAGGACAGCTTCGGCTCCCTGTGATTTCATCTCCGACCCAACCAATCAGCACTCCATTCTCACTGCACCCCCACCCCCATCCACCAAATCGTCTTTAAAAACTCTGATCCTGGAATGCTCAGGGGCACTGATTTGAGGAATAATAAAACTCCAGTCTCCCTCAGCCGGCTATGCATGAATTACTCTTTCTCTATTGTAATTCCCCAGTCTTGATAAGTCAGGTTTGTCTAGGCAGAGGGCAAGGTGAACCTGTTGGACAGAACATTACCTATAAGCCATTGAGGAGGTCAGGCTTGAAGCATTAGCTGCCCAGTCCTCCTGGCTTGGAGCCTTGCAAATAAACTGTTTCCTTTTTACCACTGCAAAAACTCTGGGGAGACAGCTGGTCTTACTGTGCCAGGAAAGCAGACCCTAGTTGTATTAGTCCATTTTCACGCTGCTGATAAAAACATACCCGCAACTGGGTAATTTATAAAGAAAAAGAGGTTTAATGGACTCACAGTTCCACGTGGCTGGGGAGGCCTCACAATCACGGCAGAAGGCAAAAGGCACGTCTTACTTGGCAGCAGGCAGCACAGAAAATGAGAATCAAGCGAAAGGGGAAACCCCTTATAAAACCATCAGCTCTCATGAGACTTCTTCACTACCATGAGAATAGCATGGGGGAAACTGTCCCCCATGATTCAATCATCTCCTACTGGGTCCCTCCCACAACACACGGGGATTATAGGAGCTACAATTCAAGATGAGATTTGGGTGGGAACACAGCCAAACCATATCACAAGTTGAGTTCTATTACAATGCCAGAGTCCAAAGCCAACAATGCCAGATCAATTGCATTGGGGTTTCTAGTGGGTGGAGAATAGACTTTGGTACTTTTCCCTCATTCCTTCGTTGTTTTATGTTTGACATTTAACTTTTTTTGGTAACAGCTTTATTGCAATATGATTCACATACCATGCAGTTCATCTGTTCCAAGTGTATTTGCAGAGTTGTGCAACCATCACCACAATCCATTTTAGAACATTTTAATCACCCCCAGAAGAAACCCCATACCCACTAGCTGTCGCTCTCTTTCAACTAGGAAAGTCTATTCACTCGTTTATCCTTAGGGCCTACACAGTGCTGGGCACCTAGTAAATGCTCACGAAAGCTAGAGGATTCAGTTCTACTGTCATTGCGCACACTACCCTTACAACAAGACTGTGTGGAAGACTCCTACACCTTGCCTTTGTTATTTATGGGATATTCACAACAACCATGCGGGGGGTAGTATTATTGGCCTCATTTTCCCAACAAGGAATTCAAGGCTCAGAGAAATTAAGTCGCGAACTTTCACGAAGTTCACCTGCCTGCTAAGGCTGAATTCAAACCCAGATTGCTGCACTCTAATTACTAAAGTAGTAGTTCTTATGTGGGAGCTGTAAGCTGCAAAGTGTCTGAGAAGGTCTCAATCAATCTGGAGGTTTATTTTGCCAAAGTCGAGGAGGCACCTGGGAAAAAGAGACACAGGCAGCAATAGGATCCCCGGCCTGTGCTTTTTTCTGCAGAGGATCTTAAGGACTTCAATATTTAAAGGGGAAAGAGAGGGCAGGAAGGGGAGGATTGCATTCTCTGGCCCTCAGTGAATTTGCATTTTACATAGGATAAAGGAAACGCGGAGTAGAGGAGGAAGTCAAATGTGCATTTGTCTCCGGGTGGGCGGAGGGACGATGATTTATAGTCTTGTCTTAGTCCCCTACCTGTTAGGATAAGCTGTTAATTTACATTGACAGGGTGAGGGAGGCCCCTGGGAAGATAGGTGGCCTTTCTATCTTGCAGCTATCTGTTTAGGAAAAAAAGAAAGGCAGTTTTGGCTGGGTGTGGTGGCTCACACCTGTAATCCTAGCACTTTGGGAGGCTTGAGGTGGGTGGATCATGAGGTCAGGAGATCGAGACCATCCTGGCTAACACGGTGAAACCCCACCTCTACTAAAAATACAAAAAATTAGCCGGGCGTGGTGGCAGGTGCCTACAGGCTCCCAGCTACTCGGGAGACTGAGGCTGAGGCATGAACCCGGGAGGCGGAACTTGCTGTGAGCAGAGATCGCGCCACTGCACTCCAGCCTGGGGGACAGAGCGAGACTCCGTCTCAAAAAAAAAAAAAAAAGTAGGTTTTTGTATGACTCATAGTTCCCAAGCTTAACTTTTCCTTTTGGTATAGTGAATTGGGGTCCTGGGACTTTATTTTCCTTTCATAGGGCAATGTTGCACACCCCCCTGACCTCGCTTGGGGTACATTCAGCAACATCTGTACATCTATAGACATTTTTGGTTGTCACTGTCAGAAGGGTTTGAACTACAGTGACTCCATCTTGAATAGGGGCTGGGTAAAATAAGGCTGAGACCTACTGGGCTGAATGCCCAGGAGGTTAGGCATTCTAAGTCACAAGATGAGATAGGAGGTCGGCACAAGATACAGGTCACAAAGACCTTCCTGATAAAACAGCATTAGTAAAGAAGGCTGCCAAAACCCACCAAAGCCAAGATGGCGATGAAAGTGACCTCTGGTCGTCCTCACTACTCATTATATGCTAATTATAAGGTATTAGCATGCTAAGAGGTACTCCCATCAGTGCCATGACAGTTTACAAATGTCATGGCAACATCAGGAAGTTACCCTACATGGTCTAAAAAGGGGAGGAACCCTCAGTTGTGGGAATTGCCCACCCCTTTCCCAGAAAACTCATGAATAATCTACCCCTTGTTTAGCATATAATCAAGAAATAGCTATAAGTACAATCAATCGAGGAGCCCAAGCTGCTACCCTGCCTACAGAGTAGCCATTCTTTTATTCCTTTGCTTTCTTAATAAACTTGCTTTCACTTTACGGACTCGCCCTAAATTCTTTCTTGCTCTTGGTCCAAGAACTTTGGGGTCTGGATCAGGATCCCTTTCAGGTAACATCACCATTGAGGGGTAGCGGAGAGGTACGTTGTGCTAATGGCCTGTAGTGGGTAGAGGCCAGGGATGAAACTCAACATCCCACAAGACACAACACAGAGCCCCGTACCCCCAACAAAAAATGATCAACCCCAAAGGAAGATACTGACATTTGTCAACCCCAAATGTCAATAGTTGAAGGTTGGGAAACGCTGCTCTAAGGCTCATCATGCTGCACTTGTAGCTCAGTAAGAACTGCCACTTATGGGCACCCACTGTGTGCTGGGCCCAGTCTCTTTCTGCTAACCTGGGGGCTCCTTGAGAGTGGAGAACCGTTCTCTGTTCATCACTGCAAGCCCGGCTCCTAGGTTCAGAGCTTGCTGCAGAACAGCCTCTTGGGACATAGTTATTGAACTGACAGCATGGCAAAAACATTCAAGTCAAGGGTAATGGTGGGTGCTTATCTGGCCTATTTGAAAACACCTTTGCAAAAATGATAACAGTGAGAAAATTAGGACAGTGAAAGGGATCTGATCTAACCAACCCCCATCTTGCCTTTAACCTCCAAGCTGCCCTTAATCATTCCCAGGTTTAGGCCATGCTAGCTTTGGGAGACATTTAGTTTATAGTTTAAATGATTATAACCTTTTCCACCAACTAAACTGCCTTTGTAAAGCTAATAAAAGGCCCCCATGTTAGAAGGATGGGAGGAGGCTGAATTCTGCTAAGGTGTAGACATAAATGACTACTGCCATTATTCCAGAGGTCACAAGATTTGCAACTTCCCCAATTACTCCTGCAGATAACATCACTATTGCAGAATCTAAGATCAGCCTTTTGAGATATCTCTTTAGGTTTTGCATTTCTGATGAATGATGATCCACGTGGACCTGCCACCCAGAAGTGGACTTAGCACCCCTGAGAATCATTTTTCACACACCTATGATTGCATCCCCAACCAATCAGCAGCATCCATTCTGATATAGTTTGGATGTGTGTCCCCGCCCAAATCTCATATTGAAATGTAATACCCAGTGTTGGAGGCGTGGCCTGATGAGAGGTGATTGGATCATGATGGAGGTTTCTCATGATGGTTTAGCCCCATCCTCCTTGGTACTGTCCTTGTGATAGTGAGTTCTCATGAGATTTGGTCTTTTAAAAGTGTGTGGCACCTCCCGCCTCACTCTCTTGCTCCTGCTCTGGGCACGTGACATGTCTGCTCCCTTGTCTTCCGCCATGATTATAAGTTTCCTGAGGCCTTCCAGCAGCTGAGCAGACACCAGCATCATGCTTCTGGTACAGCCTGCAGGACTGTGAGCCAATTAAACTTATTTTCTTTATAAATTACTCAGTTCTCTCTTTCTTTTTTTTGAGTCGGAGTCTCGCTCTGTCACCCAGGCTGAAGTGCAGTGGTGAGATCTCACCTCACTGCAACCTCCACCTCCTGGGTTCAAGCAATTCTCCCACCTCAGCCTCCTGAGTAGCTGGAATTACAGGCACCCGCCACCACCCCTGGCTAATTTTCATATTTTTACTAGAGATGGGGTTTCACCATGTTTGCCAGGCTGTTCTCAAACTCCTGAACTCAAGTGATCTGCCCTCTCAGCCTCCTAAACTGCTGGGATTACAGGTGTGAGCCACCATGCCTGGCCTGGGACTAGCATTTTGATAAGGGTAAGCCCCACAGAGGGCAACTAACACAGCCTGATGGGCAGGGGAAAATTTTTTGGAGAAGATGCCAAATAAGTCAGGCATTATTAACTACCAAATCTGGGGTGACTTCAAAGTTAGAGTTTGTACACACTTCATCTGTTCCCAAGTAGGATAATAATGGTCATAATTGCTAATATTTACTGGACTCTTGAGGCCAAATATCAAGCTAAGCACTTAGTTTGCATCATCTCATCGATTTTTATGATATTTAATTTAATTTAATTATATATTTTTTTGAGACAGTGTCTCGCTGTGTTGCCCAGGCTGGAGTGCAATGGCACAATCTCAGCTCACTGCAACCTCCACCTCCCAAGCTCAAGTGATTCTCCTGCCTCAGCCTGCCGGTTACCTGGGATTACAGGTGTGTGCCACCACACCTGGCTAATTTTTGTATTTTTAGTAGAGATGGGGTTTTGCCATGTTGGCCAGGCTGGCCTCAAACTCCTGACCTCAAGTAAGCCACCCATCTCAGCCTCCTAAAGTGCTGGGATTACAGGCATTAGCCACCGTGCCCAGCCTCTTTAGGATATTTATACTCAATGAATTAGACCCTCTTACTATTACTAGCCAATTTTCAGAGGAGGAGAAATTGAGTCTCAGAGAAGTACAGTGACTTGTCCAAGGACAAGAAGGTGACCAGAATTCACTAGGACTTGAACCCAGGTCTTCCTGACTCGAAGTTGTGTTTGACACATGCAGTCAGGGAGCACTGCATTGCAAGAATGAGGCTCTGTCTTCCAGACCCAGGCGTACAGATGGGCCAGGCTGGGGGCCCCCAAGCACCTGTTTAGCACAAGGTGAAGTTGCAAATGGTTACCTGGGATGGCGACCAAGTTCTGCAGCTCCTGCTTCAAGTCCATGATGTCCTTGCAGAGCTGGATGTCATCCATCCTGGGGAAACAGGACACCATCAACAGCAGGTTACATCAGCAGAGCATTACGCCCTGAGCATCACCCGGTTAACACAAAGAAGCTATTAAAGGTGGGTTATCTTTTGAAGAGGCCATACATGCTCATTGTAGAGGTTTTCCCTCAAAAGGAAAAAGCCAAACACTGCTCAATTATCCCACCACCTAGAAATGATCACTGTTTTTTGTTTGTTTGTTTGTTTGTGACAGAGTCTCACTCTGTTGCCCAGGCTGGAGTGCAGTGGCATGATCTCGGCTCACCGCAACCTCCACCTTCCGGGTTCAAGCGATTCTCCTGCCTCAGCCTCCCAAGTAACTGGGATTATAGGTGCCTGCCACCATGCCCAGCTAACTTTTTTTGTATTTTTAGTAGTATTTTTAGTAGAGACAGGGTTTCACCATGGTGGCCAGGCTGGTCTTAAACTCCTGGCCTCAAGTGATCTGCACACCTCAGCCTCCCAAAGTGCTGGGATTACAGGCATAAGCCGCGGTGCCTGGCCATCAGTCACTGTTAATAACACCTCGATAGAGCTCCTTCCAGTCTTCATGTGCCTGACTTAGGTTTGCTTATATAAGTGGGTTCATATGGCATATTCAGTTTCGTTTTTCAGCTAAAGTTTACGTTTTTTAAACACTGCAGAAATTCACAACATAGAGGAAAGTCTCCCTCTGTCCTTCGGAGAGAATCATTGTCAACGGTTTAGTATGTATTCCTCTGGATTTTTTAAAAACATTTTTATTTTGAAAATGTTTAATTTTTTATTTTTTATTTTTGGAGATAGAGTGTCGCTCTGTTGCCCAGGATGGAGTGCAGTGGCGTGATCATAGCTTACTGCAGACTTGAACTCCTGGGCTCAAGGGATCCTCCCACCTCTGCACAACCCCTCCCAACCCCAGCCCCCTACGGAGTAGCTGGGACTACAGGCTAATTTTTAAACAGTTTTTTGTAGAGAGAGGGACCTCGTTATGTTGCCCGGCTGGTCTTGGATTCCTGGCTTCAAGCAATCCTCCCACCTCAGCCTCTCAAAGTGCTGGGATATAGGTATGAGCCACTGCACCCAGCCTCCTCCAGATTTAAAAAAAAAGCGTATGCTTATAATATCATATATGACACCATTGTTATTGCACAAAAATTTTTTGCAATTTGCTTTTTTCAATTTAATAATCTTTAATAGTCTTGATCATCTTTCCATATCAGTATATGCAAATCTCCACATATTTAGTGGCTGCATAGTATACCATTATATTGATATACAGTCATCTATTTTTATTTTTTAAATTTATTTTTATTTTTATTTTTTTTAGACAGTCTCACTGTATCACCCAGGCTGGAGTGCAGTGGTGTGATCTTGGCTCACCGCAACCTCTGCCTCCCAGGTTCAAGTGATTCTCTGGCTTCAGCCTCCAGAGTAGCTAGTAGCTGGGATTACAGGCGTGAGCCACTGCACTCAGCTGATTATACAGTGATCTATTTAACTATAATTTATTTAACTATTCCCCTATTCATAGACATCTGGGTTGTTTCCTAATACATTTCTAGGATAGATTCATAGAAATGCAATTGCTGGGTCTAGTGGCATGAACACTTACATTGTAGTAGGAATTTCCAAATTGCCCTCCGGAGAGATCATGTGTGACATTACCAACAGTGTGGCCATGGGGGACAGTGGGTGCTGGCTCCTGTCATCTCAGTAATTGGGTTGCTTTTGCAACCTAGTTTTGCATTACACATTATAATTTTGCATTACACATTATGGTTTTGTGTGTGTGCTACAAAAATTAACTCATCTTGCTGTAAACAATATTTGTAATGGCTGTCTGCAATTTCACAAATGAGATTCATCGGGATTGTGCTAATTACACCCTCATCTTGATTACTAAGGCTGGCTTTTCAGGTTTGAGCAATTTTGGCCACTGCAGGATGAACATCAGTTCCTCTAAGGCTTCTTCTCCATGTTGGATTATTTGGGGTTTAGATTCTCAGAAGTGGAATCACTGTGTACAAAGGGCTTGATATTTCCATAGCTGTTGAGATGTATCTTCAAATAACTTCCCCGTGATACACAGGTTCACATTCACTCTGCGTGTCTTTGTCTTTGTTGTTCTTGTTTTGTTTTTTGAGACAGGGTCCTGCTGTATCACCCAAGGCACAGTCATAGCTCATTGCAGCCCTGAACTCCTGGGCTCAAGTGATCTTCCCACCTCAGCCTCTGAAGTAGCTGGCACTACAGCTGTGCAGCCATCATGCCCAGCTCATACTTTTTTTAATTTTTAAAATTTTCATAGAGATGGGGTCTTGCTGTTTACCAGGTTGGTCTTGAACTCCTGGCCTCAAGTGATCCTCCCGCCTTGGCCTTCCAAAGTGCTGGGATTACAGGCGTGAGCCACTGTACCTGGCCTGCACGTCTTTATTGAACATCTACTATGTTGGGCATTGTTGTCATCTCTGAGGCTTGCAACAGCAAAGAAGACCAAGCCCTCAGGAAGATGACATTTTGCTAGCAGAGACAGAAGGTAAACCCAAATACAATATTTCAGATGTTACAAAGAAGACTGAAGCAGGTAAGGGATGTAGTGGGTCAGCTTGGAGCCAGTATCTTACTTTGCTCCTGACAACTATCCTAGGAAAAACCAGAGGACAGAAATCATATTTTCATTTTACTCATGCGGAAACAGGTAAAGAGGCTCAACTGAGTACACACAGCTCATGGGGGCAGGACCAGAACTAGAAATCGACCCTTCGGAGTCTGAGTCCACTGATCTTTCTGCCTCGTTCCTCAGCGTCTCCATCAAGGGCCGGGGCTGCTGACTCCTTTCAGCAGTGCCATCTGTATACCAGCATGGGGCCCTATCTTAGTCCCTTGAGTGTTGCTATCAAGGAATGCCTGTGGCTGAGTGCTTTTTTTTTTTTTTGCATAAAGGAATATAAAACTATTTATTAACCACTGTTCACCAGTATTTACGATAAAGTAAACAATATACAGTTGGATAACATTCTGATTACTACAAAGTTGTTCTTCCTGGCTTTTGCTGAACCAGTAAAGCAAACTGAAGATTGAGGCTACATGTAAGGAATGAGCTGGGGTAAAGAAAAAACATGCAGGTCAGTAGGTTAGATTACAAAAGGTTGTTCACACATTTATGGCAGCAGGTCCTAAACTGCCAGCATCTCTAACCATCTGATTAGGTTTCTATGAGCCAAGTCTTACATATTCCATTCAACATGATCTTTTAGTCAATGTAGCAACAGGGATTTCAACATTTTGTTAAGGAATGGCCCACTAGGGAAATTTTTAAATATTCATTTAACTTAGTTTTGTTTAGCTAGTTAAAACACACTAGCATTTGTCTTGTTTTCTCATCTGGATGTGGAAACCTGCTGTGATGGCAGTGATAAAATTTTTCCTTTCAGGAATTTTGCAAATAAACCAATTATAGACGCTTTAAAATTATCCAATTTAAATTGTCCTATTTAGAATTACTTATTTCACTTGAAATGTATGGCTTCAGGAAAATTTTCAATTTACCTTGAAGTGATTATCTCTTATTTAGCTCGGAATAATGGCATCTCAGAAATATGGGTTTACCTGTGATTTTTTGTTTGGGTGAATGCTTAAAAACAAAAAAAAATTTATGTATGCATTTTATAGATACACACACACAAAAAAACATGTAAAAAATCTAGAATGGTCCTTAGGCTTATGGGAACACAAGTTTTGATTGAGTAATGACTATGGACATTTCCCCCAACATTTAGAAAAGCTGTTCTTTAATGAAGAGGAAATAATATCTTTATAAAGACAAGAGGTTTATTTGGCTCATGATTCTGCTGGCTGGAAGATGGGACATTTGGCATGGGCCTCAGGCTGGCTACATTCATAGAAGGTGAAAGGGAGCTCATGTGTGCAGAAGTCACAGGGCAAGAGTGGAAGCAAGAGAGAGGGGGAGGTGCCAGGCTTTTTTTAACAACCAGCTGTCCAGGAACTAAAAGAGTGAGAACTCACTCACCCCCACCTCCCAGGAAGAGCTTAATCTATTCATGGGGGATCCACCCCCGTGACCCAAACACCTCCCACTGGGGCCTATGATGTAGTTTGGATCTGTGTCCCTGCCCACATCTCATGTCAAATCATAATCCCCAGTGTTGGAGGAGGGGCCTGGGGGGAGGTGATTGGATCATGGGGGTGGACGTCTCCCTTGCTGTTCTCATGATAGTGAGTTCTCACGAGATCTGGTTGTTTAAGTGTGTGTAGCACCTCCCTCTTTGCTCTCTTGTTCCTTCTCCAGCCACGTAAGACTTCCCCTTCGCCTTCCATCATGATTGTAAGTTTCCTGAGGCCTCCCCAGCCATGCTTCCTGTACAGCCAGTGGAACTGCAAGTCAATTAAACTTCTTTTCTGTATAAATTACCCAATCTGAGGTAGCCTGTTTAAAAATTTTTTTTTCTGGCTGGGCACGGTGGCTCATACCTGTAATCCCAGCACTTTGGGAGGCCGAGGTGGGCAGATCACGAGGTCAGGAGATCGAGACCATCCTGTCTAACATGGTGAAACCCCGTCTCTACTAAAAATACGAAAAATTAGCCGGGCGTGGTGGTAGGCACCTGTAGTCCCAGCTACTCGGGAGGCTGAGGCAGGAGAATGTGTGAACCCAGGAGGCGGAGGTTGCAGCGGGCCAAGATTGCGCCACTGCACTGGGCAACAGAGCGAGTCTCCGTCCCAAAAAAAAATTTTTTTGTTTCTTTATAATAGAGATAGAGTTACACCATGTTGCCCAAGCTGGTTGCCAACTCCTTGGCTCAAGCAATCCACCCACTTCAGCCTCCCAAAGTGCTGGGATTACAGGCGTGAGCCACTGCGCCCGGCCTCAGGTAGTTCTTTATAGAAATGCGAGAACAGACTAATTTCAACATGAGATTTGGAGGAGACAGACATACAAACCACAGCAGGACCCCTTGCCTTTTGCCACTCAAGAACAACTCATGCTGTCCATTCTAATGCCAGCATCCCAGTTTCAGGACAAGAGGCAGGAATGCCTTGCTTCAGCCTGCATCTCTTGTTGTCAGAGGCACGCCAAGCATTTTTCAAGTCGTGCCCTGGAATGTCCTAGCAGGTGACAGCTGCCTCGAATGAGCGTGGACTTGCCGGGAGGGCACAGACTGTTCCCGTGAGTTTCTATCAGCGATCGTTCAACTGGAGAGACTCCAGACGCTTTTGCAGAGATCAGGCTACATCAGGGCAATCTTGGTCCCCAGGAACATTTGGCAATGCCTGGAGACATATTTGGTTATTATAATTGAGTGTGTGTTGGGGAGGGGTGTGGTTGCTACTGGCATCTAGTGGGTAGAGACCAGGGACACTGCTAAACATCCTACTGTGCACAGAACAGCTCCCACAACAGAAAGTGAGCCAGCCACCATGTCAATCACACTGAAGTTGAGGAATCTTGGATTCTAACCACAGAATTATCAAATTATTGATAATTTTTGAGAGGTAAGAGAGGAGAAGATGGAGAAAGGACAAAAGGAGAGACAGGTAGTGATTAGGAGGCAGAGTTTTGGCACCAAACAACTCTGGCTCAAAGGGCCATGGTACAGTGACTTCCTTTTCTGTCTCACCTAACTCATTTTTAATTATTTATTTATGTTTTTTTTTTTTTTTTTGAAAAAGAGTTTTGCTCTCGTTGCCTAGGCTGGAGTGCAATGGCGCGATCTTGGCTCATTGCAACCTTTGCCTCCCGGGTTCAAGTGATTCTCCTACCTAAGCCTTCCAAGTAGCTGAGATTACAGGCATGCACCACCAGGCCCAGCTAATTTTTTTTTTTTTGGACGAGATTTCACCATGTTGATCAGGCTGGTCTCGAACACCTGATCTCAGGTGATCCACCTGCCTCAGCTTCCCAAAGTGCTGGGATGATAGGCGTGAGCCACCGCACCTAGCCGTCATGTTTTAAATAGGAATAATGGCAGTACTATTTGCTGGGATTATTATGCACATCAAGCATTAAGCACAGTGCCTGGGACCTACACAGTCAAATGCCCAGTAAATGCTATCTACTATTATTATGTTTTTTAGAGACAGGGTCTAGCTCTATCACCCAGGCTGGAGTTCAGCAGTGCAATCATAGCTCACTGCAGCTTCGAACGCCAGGGGTAAAAGGATTTGCCTGCCTCAGCCTTCCAAGTAGCTAGGACTTTAGGCATATGCCCCTACACTCAGCTAATTTTTAAATTTTTTGTAGAGACAGAATCTTGCCATGTTGGCCAAGATGGTCTAGAACTCCTAGCCTCAAGCGATCCTCCCATGTCAGCCTCCCAAAGCACTGGGATTACAGGCATGAGCCACCACCCTTGGCCTTTACTATTATTATCATTAGCTGTGAGAAAGAAGCAGAGAATGGCTGGGTGGGGTGGCTCACACCTGTAATCCCAGCACTTTGGGAGGCCGAGGTGGAAGGATCACTTGAAGTCAGGAGTTCAAGACCAGCCTGGCCAACGTGGTGAGACCCTTTCTCTACTAAAAATATAAAAATTAGCCAGGTGTGGTGGCACATGCCTGTAATCCCCAGTTCTCAGGAGGCTGAAGCAGGAGAATCGCTTGAACCCAGGAGGCAGAGGTTGCAGTGAGTCAAGATCATGCCACTGCACTCCAGCCTGGCCAACAGAGTGAGACTCCTTCTCCCAAAAAAAAAAAAAAAAAAAAAAAAAAAATGGCCGGCGTGGTGGCTCACACCTGTAATCCTAGCAGTTTGGAAGGCTGAGGTGGGCAGGTCACAAGGTCAAGAGATCAAGACCATCCTGGCCAACTTGGTGAAATCCTGTCTCTACTAAAAATACAAAAATTAGCCGGGCATGGTTGGTAGTGGGCGCCTGTAATCCCAGCTACTCAGGAAGCTGAGGCAGGAGAATACTTGAACCCAGGAGGCAGAGATTGCGGTGAGCTGAGATCGTGCCACTGCACTCCAGCCTGGCAACAGAGCGAGACTCCGTCTCAAAAAAAAAAAAAAAAAAAAAAGCAGCAGAGAAAAAAGGAAAGAGAAAATGATGTGGAAGAAGCACTATTTCTGAGGAATGGAGCTAACAAGTAAAACCTTTTTAAAAATAACTTTCAGTGCTTATACTCTTCTTTGTAAAAGTTTTTATTTTTATTTATTTATTTTATTTTATTTTATTTTGAGATGGAGTCTGGCTCTGTCACCCAGGCTGGAATGCAGTGGCACAATCTCAGCTCACTGCAATCTCTGCCTCCTGGGCTCAAGCCATCCTCCCTCCTCAGCCTCCAGAGTAGCTGGGACTACAGGGAGGCGCCACCACACCTGGAGAATTTTTTGTATTTTTGGTAGAGAAGGGGTTTTGCCATGTTGCCCAGGCTGGTCTCAAACTCCTGGACTCAAGCAATCCACCCACCTCAGCCTCCCAAAGTGCTGGGATTACAGGCATGAGCCACTATGCCTGGCCAATAAAAGTTTGTAAATGGCAATTTTATCTGATTATAGAATGGATCCCTAATCATTGTAGAAATTTTGGAAAATACAAACAAGTACAAAGAAGGAAGATGAAAGTATGCAGAACCTTGACCTACGTGTAGCAGAGGCCACTTCTACTCCGAGGGTTCTGGTGTATTTCACAGCAATCTTTTTCCTCCATGTAACCTAAGGGTGGCGGGCATGCCCTGGGGGCCTTTGCCCTGGCCCTTTGTCCACCTCCAAGGCTGCCCTTAGCATGTCATTGAATCCTCCCAAAAGATCCAAGCCCACAACCCATTGACAAGCGAGGTGGAGCTCTACAGAACTGCTGACGGGATTCACGCTGCAGGACTCCATCAACGTCCCTATGAGATGGCTCTGTTTTCCTCATGTCTCATCTCTTCTCTCTCTCTCTCTACCTCCTCCACACACCTTCCGCTAAAGGAGGACCATCAGGTCCTAAATCAAGCTTGTCCAAATTAGGCCCAGGATGGCTTTTGAAGGCAGCCCAACACAAATTTGTAAACCTTTTTAAAACATGAGATTTTTTTTGTGTGTGATTTTTTTTTTAAGCTCATCAGCTATTGTTACTATAAGTGTATTTTATGTGTGGTCCAAGACAATTCTTCCAATGTGGCCCAGGGAAGACAAAAGATTGGACACCCCTGTCCTGAATTACTCAGCTCTGTTCTTCAACTTACAAACCCCAGTTGGCAAAACCAAAAGCTTCATGGTCCTTTGAACATCCTTCCAAGAAAGAAGCTTGTCCCCCGACCCCAAGCTGTCCATCAGGGTTAGGTGTCCATTCACGTAACTAAAAATCAAGTCTTTTTCTGGAATATGGAAGGATGGGTTCTGCCATTAAGGCAAACAAGAAGTCAGCATTTACGGAGCATTTACATGTAAATGCACTTTCTGTGCATAAACTCTTCTAGACCGTCACAGCAGTCCAGGAAGAGAAACATTGTTTTTAGCTCTATTTTACAGATGAGTACATGGAGGTTAAGCAACACACCCAAAGCTCTGCACTGGTAAGTGGCCTTCCAGATTCAGCCCTAGCTCCTGCTCTTGACAATTTCACCGTGTTGTCTCCTCTCCATGTGGCTCCATGAGTTGCAGCGGGCATGACTGGTTGTAGACCTTCCCCTCCCGCTTTCTCCCAGAGCTCTGATTTGTCCAGGAGGCAACCTGCCCTGCCTTGATGGAAGCCAGTCACAGAATCCCATTTGCTTTGGCTAGACACATACTTTTCCAGGCTCTCTTGCAAGTGGAGGTAGCTATGACATCTACTCTGGGCCAATGAAATGTAAGAGAACAACTTTAAGCAACCATTACCATAGTCACGTATGTGTCATAGTGCCATATAGGTGACATATGACATATATGTAACATAATGACATATAGTGACATATATAAGGAAGCCAGTGGAGGGTTTAGTTAAATATCATTTGGCTGCTTGACTTTTAGCTATATAAGTTTTAAGATCAGCTAGAAGTAAGTGGTTAAAAGCAAGCAAGGCAAGTTAAGTTTGGTGGGCTTAGAGAAAGCCCTTAAGAGAAACTCCGCTTGGGCAGGCTTCTGGGAAGGATAATTAGGGCCTTCGGATCTCCCCTGTCCTGGTCCTAAGCTCCTACAGCCACTCACGTGAGAATGGCGAAACCGAACGCTAACCTGATGAAGCCCACCAAACTTAACTTGCCTTGCTTGCTTTTAACCACTTACTTCTAGCTGGTCTTAAAACTTATATAGCTAAAAGTCAAGCAGCCAAATGATATATACCTAACCCCCCCACCGGCTTCCTTACATATGTCACTATATGTCATTATGGTACATATATGTCATATGTCACATATATGTCGCTACGACACATATGTGACTACGGTAATGGTTGCTTAAAGTTGTTTTTCAGGACTATGGGGGCAGCTCCTGTCCAGTTCGAACCCGTTGAGATCAATGACCCTTCAACTGAACCTGTGCAAATGCCGGAGAAGTGACCTTTTGACGTCAGAGGGCCCAAAACTCCCCGAGATCATGCTAATGCTGCCATTTTCTAAACATGCACCCTATGAAGATCCAGGAAGCTTGGCTATGTATGTGCAGATTGCCAATGACCTCACTTTTCCTTGCCTCCAATCACCTCTTCCCACACTTTAGACCACCCTGCTCCTTTATTCCATAAAGATCCCTAAATTCCATCTTCAGGGAGGCAAGTATGAGACCTTTTCTCCTGCCTCCTTGCTTGGCTGCGTTGGTGTGAATAAATTCTTTTCTTTTGCCAAATCCATCATAACAGCGATTGGCTTACTACCCATGGGCAGAAGGGGACAGGTTCGCTATCTAGGGCAGAGGGGAGGAAAGGAAACAGCCAGACCCTTGATAGCATCCTGGGGCCACCCCACTGACCCTCGGGCCACCTGCATCTGGACTGCTTATCAAGTCAAAAAAAATTTTTTTTTTTGAGACGGAGTCTAGCTCTGTTGCCCAGGCTGGAGTGCAGTGGCATGATCTCGGCTCACTGCAACCTCCGCCTCACAGGTTGAAGCCATTCTCTGCCTCAGCTTCCCGAGTAGCTGGGATTACAGGCATCCACCACCAAGCCTGGCTAATTTTTGTATTTTTAGGAGAGATGGAGTTTCACCATCTTGGCCAGGCTGGTCTTGAACTCCTTACCTCGTGATCCACCTGCCTCAGCCTCCGAAAGTGTTGGGATTACAGGTGTGAGCCACTGTGTCCAGCCTCAAGTAAATATTAAATGTCCTTATGACTTAAGTAGTGTGAAAAACTGACTTGGTTTGCCTGGGGCTGTCCCAGTTTCTGCACTGCAGTTTCCAGATCCTTGGAAACCTCTCAGTCCCAGGCAAACAGAGACAGCTGGTCACCCAAGATTTAAGACACTAGTCGTCGGACGCTGTGTTACTTGCAGCTGAAGACATTTTCACAGATACATATGTGTGGATAGGTGCATTTTTAATGTGTATTGGATCAAGACATACAGCTGTCCTGCTCATTGCAAGCATGACATCATGATGATTTTCCAATGCCATTAAATCATATTGTTCAAAAGACATGTGAATAGTTCATGCAAAGTGCTTTAAAAGCATAGCTGGAAGTTCGAATAAGCCATGCTTTAGAAGCATGGCTGGAACTTTGAATAAGCCACATTAGTCCAGGTCTCTGTACCATTAGGGCTGAACCTGGAAATCAAACTCTGCTGCTGCCGGCTCGTTCCAGAGAGAGATGTTATCTTCAAGAACCTGATTAATGTTCGGAAGGAAAAGAAAGCCAACCCGTGTCATTCAGCATCTTGGTCTTTCACGCTGGGACGATAGGGGAAAGCGGGTCATTTTTATCAGCGTTGGGTGCGGAGAGGTGATCAGGCCCTGCTGGAATAATAGAGCTGCTGCTTTACAAAATGTTTGTGAAAACGACATGAAATGGAGGCATCAGCAGCTTGAGTTGCAGCCTAATGGAAACCCAGCAGAGACCACGACAAAGGCAGAGGTAGGTTTTCAGAGGCAAGGATTGACTTTTAAAAATAGTCTTTATTGTCTCCTTTTAAAAATAAGTTACAGAGGCTGCAGGTATCTTAAGACAGGTGAGAAAAAGATGTCATGTCTGGGCCGGGCGCGGTGGCTCACGCCTGTAATCCCAGCACTTTGGGAGGCCGAGGAGGGCGGATCACGAGGTCAAGAAATCGAGACCAGCCTGGCCAACATGGTGAAACCCTGTCTCTACTAAAAATACAAAAATTAGCTGGGCGTGGTGGCACGTGCTTGTAGTCCTAGCTACTCAGGAGGCTGAGGCAGGAGAATCACTTGAACCTGGGAGGTGGAGGTTGCAGTGAGCCGAGATTGCACCACTGCACTCCAGCCTGGCAACAGAGCGAGACTCCGTCTCAATAAATAAATAAATAAATAAAAATAAATAAATAAGATGAGGGGTTTAGATGAGCCCTCGAGCCCCATTCTGCAAGCACAGAGAGGATACAACCCGCTTTAGACACAGCCAGATCTCAATGCAGATCTCAGTACCCCCATTGACTGGCTATGACCTACTTTGCTGCTCTCAGCCTCAGTGCTGTCACTGTTGAAAAGGGATTACACCTTTGTCTTGGGGTTGTATGAGAATCAAACAGGCTTGTGTGTGTGGTGCAGGCAGCCCACGGTTTTGCACAGGCAGTGTGGGTGTGTAGGAACAGCCACTTCCATCCACTCCTCCACCCTAGGTAAAAAGTCAGCTCACAGAGACTCTCCTGGACTATCTCAGCCAACATTTCTGTGCAAAATGTGTATCTCACTATCACATGCTATTTTTTTTTTTTTTGAGATGGAGTTTCGCTCTTGTCGTCCAGGCTGTAGTGCAATGGCGGGATCTTGGCTCACTGCAACCTCACCTCCCAGGTTCAGGCGATTCTCCTGCCTCAGCCTCCCAAGTAGCTGAGATAACAGGCACTTGCCACCATGCCCAGCAAATTTTTGTATTTTGGTAGAGAGGGGATTTCACTATGTTGGCCAGGCTGGTCTCGAACTCCTGACCTCAGGTGATCCACCCGCCTCAGCTTCCCAAAGTGCTGGGATTACAGGCATGAGCCACCGCGCCTGGCCAGCATGTGCTATTACAATTTCCTCAAATCAAATGGTTCCAAGATGATAAACATGTGCATTGGTTCAGCTTTCGTAGGATTCATGAGCTTAAACGCTATCCCTGGGTAAGGATAAGTGTTGATAAGTGTCCAGGGAGCCCCTGGCCTCAGCAATTTCTCAGCATCTTGCTGGGGACCAAGGGACCGGAGAGGTGCCTGCCAGTGTACATAGGAAGGGAATGCCCTCATGTTGCACCCTGGAAGGCCAATATGTCTGTTTTCTCTCTGTGGCCATTTTAATGGACTGTGGATTTACATCCACCTGTCACACTGGCCTTTCCTTTGATTGCAGTCAGACACTCGTTCCCAAACAAATGTCACCTTCTTCAAGACCCTTGTTCCCACTCTGTTCCCAAATGTCAACTTCCTCAAGCGCAGTTTATTCTTCTCTCTTCCAAGGGCTTTCTAGACTGCCTTAGTTTTCATTTTTCTTACAATAACAACTACTAATACTGCTCTTTTCTGTATGTATGATATAAAAAAATTATGGCCAGGCACAGTGGCTCATGCCTGTAATCCCAGTACTTTGAGGCTGAGATGGGAGGATCGATAGAGTCCAGGAGTTCGAGATTAGCCTAGGCAACATAGCGAGACTCTGTCTCTACACAATAAAAAAATTAGCTATGCCTGGTGGTGTGTACCTGTGGTTCCAGCTACCAGAGAGGCTGAGGTAGGAGGATCACTTCAGCCCAGGAGGTTGAGCTCCTGGGTGAGCCATGATCACACCACTGTACTCCAACCTGGGAGGCAAGGATTGACTTTTGAAAATAGTCAATTTTCTTGACGTGGGTTTCCAGCTGTCTGCCTTGACAGAGTGAGACCCTGTCTCAAAACAAACAAACACCAGTATTGCTTAGTTACCTTTGTTTTAGACCTAAAAGAATACTTGCTCCTGGCCGGGCACGGTGGCTCAAGTCTGTAATCCCAGCACTTTGGGAGGCCGAGGCGGGCGGATCACAAGGTCAGGAGATCGAGACCATCCTGGCTAACACGGTGAAACCCTGTCTCTACTGAAAATACAAAAAATCAGCCGGGCGTGGTGGCGGGCACCTGTAGTCCCAGCTACTTGGGAGGCTGAGGCAGGAGAATGGCGTGAACCTGGGAGGTGGAGCTTGCAGTGCGCTGAGATCATGCCACTGCACTGCAGCATGGGCGACAGAGCGAGACACCATCTAAAAAAAAAAAGAAAAAAAAAAGAATACTTGGTCCTTTTTTTTTTCTTTTTTAGAGGCAGGGTCTTACTATATTGCCCAGGCTGGACTTGAACTCCTGGGCTTAAGGGATCCTCCTGCTTCAGCCTCCCAAGTAGCTGGGAACACAGGCATATACCACCACACCCAGCTTGGTCTATTTAAAAAATTATACAAATATTACATAAATATGGTCTCACTATAAAAACATCAAACAATACAGAAGTATAATTGCTAGTACTTATTGAATGCTTTCATATGATTGGTGTCAGGCTCTGGATTAAGCATTTTACACAAATCATCTCAGTGAACTCTTGCAGCAACTCTATGAGGTAAGGACTATTATTATTATCTCTTAGACAGGATAAAGAACTTGTTCAACGTCACAGAGTAAGTGGTAGGAACTTGAACTCGGGCAGTCTGATCTGAGCCCATGCTCTCGACTGGGACTGTGAAAGCTCCAGCCAGTGACTGGAGTTCAAGGAAGACAGAGATCAGGATAGTCTGGGAGAAGGCTGCTCAAATCGAGATGCAACTTACAGGGGAGGGCACAACTTGGAGGGGTCAGGAAAAGATTCCAGGCACTCAGAGAGAAGGGGGAGCTGAGACAAATATTAGGAATGGGTGTGGTATGCCAGGGTAGGTGACAATGAAGAGTCTGCCCAATTAGGACATATCAGGGACATATGTGTCTGCGTTGTAAAGAACCTTAACATGGGAGCCATCTTAGGTTCTAGAGTGAGAGCATGGCATGGAGATGTGTCTATGAAACCCAGTTTGGAAGACATGGTGATCAGTATTTCCACACCAAGGAGAGAGTGCACTCTCCCTTTGACCTTCTGTCTAAGACGATCCAAGGAATTCCTGGAAGATGCGTTTGCTCCTCAATCTTTAGCTGGGGTTGGCAAACTATAGCCCACAGTCAAAATCTGGCCCACTGCCTGTTTTGGTACAACTCACGAACTAAGAATAGTTTAATTTTCATTTTTAAATACTTGGGGAAAATCAAAATCATAACATTTTCTGATAAATGAAAATTATATGAAATTCAAAGTTCAGCATCTGTGAATAACATGCTATTGGAACGAAGTCATGTCCATTCATTTCAGCATTGTCTGTGGCTGTTTTTCCCGACAGTGGCAGAGGTGAGTAATCACGACAGAGACTGTACACTCTGTAGAGCCTAAGGTGTTTAGTACTTGGCCCTTTACAGAAATATTTTGCTGAACTTACAGGAGTGTAATCATAGCTCACTGCAGCCTTGACCTCCTGGCTAGAGCAATCCTCCTGCCTCAGCCTTCCAAGTAGTTGGGACTACAGGCGCATGCCACCACGCCTTGGTAATTTTAAAAAAACGTTTTGGGCCAGGCACGGTGGCTCATGCCTGTAGTCACAGCACTTCGGGAGGCCGAGGCAGGTGGATCAATTCAGGTCACGAGTTCAAGACCAGCCTAGCCAACATGGCGAAACTCCATCTCTACTAAAAATACAAAAACTAGCCGGGCATGGTGGTGCATGCCTGTGATCCCAGTTACTCGGGAAGCCGAGGCAGGAGAATTGCTTGAACCTGGGAGATGGAGGTTTCAGTGAGCTGAGATCGTACCACTGAACTCCAGCCTGGGCAACAGAGTGAGACTCCATCTCAAAAAAAATGTCTGGTAGAGATGGGGGTCTCACTATGTTGCTCAGGCTGGTCTCAAACTCCTGGGCTGAAGCCATTCTCCTGCCTTGGCCTCCCAAAGTACTGAGATAACAGGGGTGAGCCACTGTGCCTGGCTCTAAAGAAATTTCTGCAGCTAGAAGAGCTCTCACCTTACATGAATGAAGAAATCAATGCCCAGAGAGGTGAATGCTGTTCACCAATTCACTGACTCATCCAGAAAACAGTTCTTGAGCGCCTACTACGTGTCAGCCCTCCTGATCTATTTTCACTTTCAAGAGACATTGAGACATAGGCCAGCTACCAAGGCCATGTGGCGAGACAGCAGGGCTCTTCCCACCCCACTGCTTCGACTGAGACCAGAGCTTGTTTTCTTCTCTGGGCTCTGGCAGGGAACTGGGCCGTGCCCAGTGCATGCAAGGTTGGCCAACAGATTTCCTGCACCTGCTCACTGATGCTACCTGGCAGTTTCTGGGACCGCACTTAGCCCTCTGCACATCCTTCACTCCTTTGAAGGAGACAGTAAGTGTTGTGAGTTCATTTCTTCTTCTTCTTCTTCTTTTTTTTTTTGAGATGGAGTCTCGTTCTGTCGCCCAGGCCGGAGTGCAGTGGTGCAATCTCAGCTCACTGCAACCTCTGCCTCCCAGGTTCAAGCAATCCTCGTGCCTCAGCCTCCTGAGTAGCTGGGATTACAGGGGCACACCACCATACCCTGCTAATTTTTGTATTTTCAGTAGAGACGGGGTTTCACCATGTTGACGAGGCTGGTCTTGAACTCCTGACCTCAAGTGATCCACCCACCTCGGCCTCCCAAAGTGCTGGGATTACAGGTGTGAGCCACCGCGTCCACTTGTTATTTTTGATTTTTTTTCCCCCAGACTCTTACCAGTGCCTAGAATGAGACACATAGTCCTTCCCTTGGAGGGCCCAGCGAGCTGTGAAGTGGATAGAAGACTGGCCCTTGGTGTCCCTAACCCTACCCCTAAGGCCTTTGGCTAAGCTGGCCCAGAATAATTAAAGATGTGAACAGAGATTAAGCTCCAGGTGGGCACAGCAGCTCCTGCCTGTTATCCCAGAACTAAGGGAGGCCGAGGCAGGAGGATCGCTTGAGTGCAGGAGTTCAAGAGAGCTGCTGGTTTTAAATGTGGCACTTCCTACACTCATTTTCTCTTGTGCTGTCTCTCTCCTGCCGCCACGTAAGACGTGCTTGCTTTCCCTTCGCCGTCTGCCATGACTGCAAGTTTCCTGAGGCCTCCCCAGCCATGCAGAACTGTGAGTCAATTAAACTTCTTTCCTTTATAAATGACCCAGTCTCGGGTAGTATCTTTACAGCAGTGTCAGAACAGACTGGTACACAGCCCATGTGCATCCCTGTGTAAAGCCTGGCCCCAAGGAGTTCTCTTGAACTCCTGCACTCAAGCCTTTGCCCAACTCCTCCCTCAGCTCAGAAATCTTTGTCTCAAACTAAGTGCTCTGCAGCTTCACTAATCCCTTCTCCTTCTGGAATCTTCCTGATGCCCTCAGCTACATCAGGTCCTCTTCCTTCCTGCAGCCATAGCCCCCTTGTTATCCCATTGACATCTAGGCATTCCAGAACCATCTAGGCATTTGTGTTTCTGCCTCAACAGACTGCACCTCCTTTAAGGGACTTTGCCTTTTTCCTTCATGGTTCTAGCACACCACCCCGTCCCTGATACATTGCAGTAAATACACAAGGAAGGAAGGAAGGCTGGCAGGCATGGAGGGTACACACAGTACTGCATTTTGTTGAAACAAGGCCTAAAGACTGCAGGTGCAGGTGGAAAAATTTCAAGTCTCATGATAGACACCACGAGGGCAATCGCATCTATCAAAGGCGGTGAGTCAGCCCTGGAGAAATCCAATTAAACATCCGTCATTCGAGTGATACTGCTTTGCATTCTGCTATCAATACCGTTTCTATTCTGAGCTGGCTCAGCATCTGGGCTCTCTTGTGCCTTCCACTCTCAGTCACCTGCTGCGAGTTCCTGCCACTGTGTGGCGTCCTCTCCCCCAAATCCACCCTCTCCACTCCCAAGTCCATCCCTCCTCTCAAGCTGATGCCAACAAAAGCTGATTTGTATCCAGCCCAATCTCATTGAATCCTCATCATCTGTAGGGTGGTATTCTTATTCTCCACTTTACAGAACTCTCAGAGAGGTTAAGTAAATCGCCCGAGATCAGACAGCTTGCAAGATTTGAAAGAAGACAGTCTAACTCCAGAGCCCTGACAATTGCCACTACAACAGACTGCCTACGCATGTCACCCAGATATACCAGGCTGTCATCTTCTGTTCCCATACCCCCTTACTTTATCCCGTTCTTTCAGTCAGGAGCCTTCTAAAATGCTTTCAGGCCGGGCGCGGTGGCTCATGCCTGTAATCCCAGCACTTTGGGAGGCTGAGGCAGGCAGATCACTTGAGCTCAGGAGTTTGAGATCAGCCTGGGCAATACGGTGAAACCCCGTCTCTACTTAAAAAAAAAAAAAAAAATTAGCCAGGCATGGTGGTGGGCACCTGTAGTCCCAGCAACTTGCGGGGCTGAGGTGGGAGGATCGCTTGAACCTGGGAGGCAGAGGTTGCAGTGAGCTGAGATTGTGCCACTGCACTCTGGCCTGGGTGACAGAGTGAGACTTTCACCAGTGGCAGTTCCAAGGAGTGGGCTTTCTTAGGGATGGCAGGGAATGGTTTCAGTCCCACCTCGTAATTTCCATTAGCCTTCAAACCACCTCAACATTTAAAAAGTGCTTTTGGGCCGGGCGCGGTGGCTCACACCTGTAATCCCAGCACTTCGGGAGGCCGAGGCGGGGTGGATCACGAGGTCAGGAGATAGAGACCATCCTGGCTAACACAGTGAAACCCTGTCTCTACTAAAAAACACAAAAAATGGTGGTAGGTGCTTGTAGTCCCAGCTACTCGGGAAGCTGAGGCAGGAGCATGGCGTGAACCCGGGAGGTGGAGCTTGCAGTGAGCCGAGATGGCACCACTGCACTCCAGCCTGGGCGACAGAGCAAGACTGCATCTCAAAAAAAAAAACGTGCTTTTGAAATGGGAAATATCAGGTAGGATAGAAGCAATAAGAGAAAATGAAATAAAGAAATGGGAAATAGACATTTTTCCCAATTTTGTGGAAAGTGTAAGAAAAAAACTTGATAGAAACTATGCAATTTTAATTAATTTGTACGACACAAATCTCACTAAAAACCATGGACTCCCTACTGCGAAGGCAGCTCTAAGGTAAGTCCCCTGATTGTTTCATGTGACCAACTGGCTGGCCCTAAGCCCCTCCTGTTTAGGAATTTTTTTTTTTTTTTTTAGACAATGTCTCACTCTGTCGCCAGGATGGAGTGCAGTGGCGTGATCTCAGCTCACTGCAACCTCCGCCTCCTGGGTTCAAGGAATTCTCCTGCCTCAGCCTCCTGAGTAGCTGGGACTACAGGCGCCCGCCACCACGCCCAGCTAATATTTGTATTTTTAGTAGAGACAGGGTTTCACCACGTTGGCCAGGATGGACTCCATCTCTTGACCTAGTGATCCGCCTGCCTCTGCCTCCCAAAGTGCTGGGATTACAGGCGTGAGCCACCGCACCCGGCCCTGTTTAAGAATTTTAAAGCAATCACTCCATTTTTTTTTTTTTTTTTTTTGAGATAGAATCTTGCTTGCTCTGTTGCCCAGGCTGGAATGCAGTGGTGTGATCTTGATCTGGGCTTACTGCAACCTCCACCTCCTGGGTTCAAGCAATTCCTCTGGCTCAGCCTCCCAAGTAGCTGGGATTACAGGCACCAGCCACCATGCTCAGCTAATTTTTGTATTTTTAGTAGAGTTGGGGTTTTACCAGTTTGGCCAGGCTGGTCTCAAACTCCTGACCTCAGGTGATCTGCCCACCTCGGCCTCCCTAAGTGCTGGGATTACAGGCATGAACCACCACATCCGGCCGCAGTCATTCCTTTCAGCTGAGCTTCTAAGGACTGAAGGAAAAAACTCTTAAGAACACAATCTGCAGGCCCCGGGGAAGCCTCCCCTGCCCTCTTCCCACCCATTCCTGCTTAGCCCATGGACTGGGCCACTAGGACCACTGTCTCAGCTTAGCCCTGCTCCTGCCAAAGCACAGAGCACACTTCTCTGAAGCCATCACCTATCTACCATCACCACTGGCAATTCCCATCAGAGTCATTGCACCAGCAGAAGCAGATAAGCTTTTGATAATAAGTAAATTAATGTTTAAGTCAACTTCATGTTTATTCAGCATGCTAGTGATTAGTGGTCTCCTTTGTAGGCAAGCGAGACCCTGGGGCTTGATAAACCACAAAGAAAACGCAAGTAATCTCTGTTGGATGCCCCAAAGTAGGGCAGGCTAGGACTAGAATGAGTGATGTGCTGGGGAATGTTTAACTGGCTGGAAGCAGGGGAGGGAGGTAGAAGCCTTGCTGTGAATCATTTGCCAATTTCCACGGTGTAAATACTCCCACTGCTGCAGATTTTGAGCTACCCACAGTTGAACAACTGGTTCTCCAGATTCCTAAAAATTTAACATCACTGGCTAGAATCAACAAGTGGGCAGATTTAGGGGTGCTTCTTCAACACTCTAAAGTATTCATTCAACGTTTACTTAGAAGAGAAGCTGAGTATTATTTGGGGAAAAGGTTACCTGTGGCGATGATGATGACAATGATTTTGGCTACCATTTACTCGGAATTCACCACGCACAGGGCGGGTGCAGTGGCTTACACCTGTAATCCCAGCACTTTGAAAGGCCAAGACCAGCAGATCACTTGAGATCAGGGGTTCAAGACCAGCCTGGCCAACCTGGTGAAATCCCGTCTCTACTAAAAATACAAAAATTAGCCAGGCATGGTGGTGCACAGCTGTAATCCCAGCTACTCGGGAGGCTGAGGCAGGAGAATCACTTGAACTTGGGAGGCAGAAGTTGCAGTGAACCAAGATCATGCCACTGCGCTCCAGCCCGGGCGACAAACAGAATTTACCATGCACCTTTTACACCCTAAGTGCTTTATACACTAAGAAGTGCTTCATAGGCACTAAATGCTTTACACAGATCATCTCAATCCTGATAACCACTGTTTGAGGTGGGCACTACGTGGTTGTCTCTTTTATACAGGAAGATCCCACAGCTCAGAGAGGTTAAGTGGCTCCATCGGAATCACACAGCTAGTCAATGGTGGAGCTGGGACACTGACCTGTGGATCCTGATTCGGACACCCACATTATCTCAATGAAGAACATCTCCTTCATTGTGTGGCAGGTCAGGTCTCACTAACGCAGGCCTCCATGACAGCTATTTCAGCAGGGACTGTGTGGTTAAGTTAAACATTAAAAGCTGAAAGTGGCTGGGCAGGCAGTGACTCATGCCTGTAATCCCAGCACTTTGGGAGCCCAAGGCGGATGCATCACCTTGTTCAGGAGTTCAAGACCAGCCTGGCCAACATGGTGAAACCCCGTCTCACCTAAAAATACAAAAAAAATTAGCTGGGCGTGGTGGCAGGCACCTGTAATCCTAGCTACTTTGGGAGGCTGCAGCAGGAGAATCGCTTGAACCTGGGAGGCGGAGGTTGCAGTGAGCCGAGATCCTGCCATTGCACTCCAGCCTGGGCGACAAGAGCAAAACTCTGTCACTAAAAAAAAAAAAAAGAAGAAGAAAAAAACAAAGCTGAAGGAGCCTACTGGGCATGGTGGCTCATGCCTGTACAATCCCAGCACTTTAGAAGGCAGAGGCGGGTGAATCACCTGATGTCAGGAGTTTAAGACCAGCCTGGCCAACATAGTGAAATCATGTCTCTACAAAAAATACAAAAATTAGCTGGGCATGGTGGCGCATGCCTGTAATCCCAGCTACTCGGAAGCTGAGGCAGGAGAATCGCTTGAACCTAGGAGGCAGAGGTTGTAGTGAGCAGAGATCGCACCACTGCACTCCAGCCTGGGCGACAGAGCGAGACTCTGTCTCAAAAAAAAAAAAAAAAAGCTAAAAGAGCCAGTGCCCTTATACAAAGGCTGGAATGTAACAGAAATCCTCCAACAGTTTTGCTCAGGCCTTTCCTGGGCCTTGAAACATGACGAGATAACGAGGCAATTCTTAACAGGACACGTTTAGGATTAAACAAGTTTTATTGGGGGTGTGAAGAAACTCCCCAGGCCTCCACAAACAAGTTTATTGGGAGTGTGAAGGAAGTCCCCAAACCTCCATGATTTAGCAGGAGACAAGATAAGGGTAATCACCCCAGCAACTGGACCCATTTAGATTAAGTAAATTTACTGAGGCTTCAGAGGAAGGTCTTCAGGACTCAGACCTTAGTTAGACTAGAAGAAGCTGATTATTTAGGTCTTTAGGTGAACGCACACTTACACGTGGACATATAGTTTAGAAGGTATGTAAGCTCTGGGAAACTTTGTAATTTTGAGTTGGTCTGGTGGTATTTTCCAGGCTTTTTCCCTGTAACTGGTAACAGAAATAGAAACTCCCTCCTTTCCCAGTTTATTTGCATCTCGTTATTGGGTCACTAGAATAAGCAGCCCAACCCTCAGTTTGATCCAGGAACAATTGTTCCAAGCAATTTAATTCTGATACCAGTTCAGCATAATGCTCTTGGAAAAAAATCAAAATCCTGCAGATAGCAGGACTCACTTTGCTTAGAACGACGGGGTTTATGTGTATGTGTTTTTGTTTGTTGTTTGTTTGTTTGTGACAGGGAAACAGGGTCTTGCTCTGTCATGTAGGCTGGAGTGCAGTTGCTTGATCATGGCTCACCACAGCCTCAATCTCCCAGGCTCAAGACATCCTCCTGCCTCAGCCTCCTGAGTGGCTGGAAATACAGGCGTGCCCTAGCATGCTTGGCTAATTTTTATATTTTTTATAGAGAGGGGGTTCCACCATGTTGCCCAGTCTGGTCTCAAACTTCTGGCCTCAAAGCAATCCTCCCATCTCGGCTTCCCAAATTGTTGGGATTACAGGCGTGAGCCCCTGTGCCTGGCCCCCACCCTCTTCTTTGACCTCTGTCAAAGAAGACCTTCTTTGGCCACCATTCCTGGCCATGGAAGGCTGTTTACAGACTACCTATTGTTACTTACACATGGTCTTGGGTGGGGTTGTGTCTCCCTCCTGTAATGGAAAAAAGTTGGAATTTTTGGCTGCTCAACCTCCAAACCCTAGTTTTAGGGAAAGCATTCACTGTGTCAGTCATTATTAGAGAAGTTCAACAAGGGAGCACCCCCACTTCCTCAGACTCAGCCAATCAGAAGCTCATGTCCAAGACTTTGACCACAGAGCAAATGACAGAGATAAAAGGATGGAGGGATTAGACTTGTGCTGTCCAGCAATGGCGGCTTCCTGGCCAGATTGGTCCTGTGGCCAGTCTCTGGGGCTTTCTTGATCCATACTCATTTCCAAGCCTGTCCTTCCGACTCCTGAGCCCCCATCCCCACTCATAGCCTTCTACAATCCCATTTTTTGGTTGAGTCAGGCAGAGTTGATTTCTGTTGCTTGTGGCCAACAACCCTAACCAAAAGAAGCGTCAGAGTGTTCCCACCAACCACACCGGGTCTTCTCTCTAAGGGAAGTCTGGATGGGGACAATTTTCTCCATCATATATCACTTTAGTGAGTCTGTACTGTCTTCTATCGATTGGTACTGGGCTAGCTTGCACCTAATCAGCTGTGGGCAGATATCAGTAAGAGGGTGTTAGAAAGCACTTATTAGAAAATTTGGGGCCAGGTGTGGTGGCTCACACCTGTAATCCTAGCACTTTGGGAGGCCGAGGCAGGTGGATCACTTGAGGTCAGGAGTTCGAGACCAGCCTGGCCAACATGGTGAAACCCCGTCTCTACTAAAAATACAAAAGTTAGTCAGGCGTGGTGGCGGGTGCCTATAATCCCAGCTACTCGGGAGGCTGAGGCGGGAGAATTGCTTGAACCCGGGGGGCAGAGGTTGCAGTGAGCCGAGATTGCACCACTGCACTCCAGCCTGGGTGATAGAGCGAGACTCCGTCTCAAAAAAAAAGAAAAAGAAAAGAAAAGAAAATTTGGGCTTGTGTTAGGTGCTTTGGGGGACAGTTTAAAGGAAGTGAGCATTTACTCTGGATTGGATGTTGTCAGGAAGTGGAGGTAATTCTCTGATAGAGTGTCTTCCTAATTCTTTCCTTTAAAGGGAGAAGAACAGAGTAAGACTGAAACTGTGATTGATGGAGAACTAGCAGTCACTCATATGAGCTAGGAAATGGGGCTATTGGGTGATTTTTGTGGCTGGGACAATGTTCATGTCTTTATCTGCCTTCAGGAGTAGTGTTATTTTGTCTTGATCTATCACGGTCTCAGGATGGCCTTGTCTGATGCCGGCAATCTGCAAAATTGTTTACATTCAACAGGAGAACACTTTGGCCAAGCTGTGAGTGTCAAGCCAGCTCCCGGCTGCCAGGGGCAGCTTTTCTCTTTCTCACAGTGTAGGAAGTAATTTATATACTTCTTTTCTGCCCATAAGTAATTACTAAATCTGCAACTATAGGGACCAGTCCTACCCATTTTAGTCTTCCCTGCGGGGCCCACCATGATGCTTTGCATACTGAACGTGCTCTGGGAATGTGCCCAGTGAACTAAATTATGGGCACAGAGAACTCTCTGGGACTTGGCATTATTAAGATCATGCTGAAGTATATTTTCAAAATTTAAAATGTGACTCATACAAATGTGGAATGAACACTTGTCAAAAAATTTATTTAACCCATTAATGAGGGAACCAGTAAAATGGTAAAGCTCGCTCCAAGGGCATTTAAAAAGTGGACTCATCAGCATCTTTAATGAAAACCTTAGCATAAGATTGCTAAATTCGAGAGAAATCTGGTTAACATGCTATAAGGGCAATAAAACCATAACCTTTAATGTCGTCTTTTTTCTACTGGACAGAAATCTACAAGTTAACGTGTAATTTCACTATGTCAGTGCTCTAATCAAATAATAAATAACAAAGTCAGATACATGTACTCTCTCCAAGATAATTAATCATCCGTGGGCAGGTCATTAAGCAGTGCCTCAGTATGACATGGAAAAGACATTCTTCCTTATTTCCAATTTTTAGTTAATTTTCATTTAAGAATCATAACAAAAGACTCTTTTGTGGCTTCTTAGGAACATATTCAACTGAAATTTTTGTTTTAATTGTGTTTTAGAGACAGGGTCTTGCTCTGTGGTCCAGGCTGGCATGCAGTGGTATAATCATAGCTCACTGCAGCCTTGACCTCTCAGGTTTAAGCAATCTTCCCACCTCAGCCTCCTGAGTAGCTGGGATTATGGGTACACACTACCATGCCCAGCTCATTTCAAAATTTTTTGTAGAGAGGAGTTCTTGTGATGTTGCCCAGGCTGGTCTCAAACCCCTAGGCTCAAGGAGTCCTCCTGCTTCGACCTCCCAAAGTGCTGGGATTATAGGATTGAGCCACTGTGCCCAGCCTGAAATTTTTCTAATGCCCACCTCACACCTGGCAATTCCCCAGGTATCAGCAGCAGCAGTAGCATCCTGCTGATACGGACAGGCGGCAGAAGGACAGGGTCCCAGGTGAGGGCTCCACCCTCAAGCCTGGACCTGCAGCCCTAAATGAGAACAGGCATTCCTGTTTTCACACCCAAATGTTGCCTTTTCCAAAACCGCTCTGGACCACCCTGCCCCCATCCTATGCCCTTAAGAACCCCAAACCCCAGGCTCCACAATCAGAATAGCACCAGAGTGGCGTGGCAGAGAAGGAGAGAAGAGAAGAAGTGTCTGAACATCGAGAGGAGTTTGGCTGGGGACAGTCAGAGAGGAGATCATCTGAGGATGGCTGAACTCCAGGGGAAGATTACCTTCCCACTCCATCCCCTTTCCAGCTCCCCTTCCACTGAGAGCCACTTCCACTACTTAATAAAAAATTTGTATTCACCATCCTTCAAGTCCATGTGACCTGATTCTTCCTGGACACCAGACAAGAACCCAGGTACCAAGAGGGCAGGGTGTAAAAGGCTATCACCCTGAATCTCCACTGAACTGGTTAACACTTAGTCATCTGCGTACAGCAACTGCTAAAAGAGTATTAATTGTAACACATCCCTAGACGCTGCCATGGGACCAGAGCCCAAAAGCACTCACCCCAGCCCCAATCTGCTCACCTGCATGCTCCCCCTCCTGCAAGGGGTTTGATGCAGTGGCAGCCAAGTAAGCGAGCCACACCCCTGTCACAAGTCCTGCAAAGGGGACAGGGGAGCTCCCCCATTTCACTGCTAACATTTACTGAACAGTTATTATGTGGTTAGGTATTGTAATATCTTTTTTATGTATCTTATCTCATCTGCTCCTGACCAAAAAAAAAAAAAAAAAAAAAAAATCCCTAGGAGGTAATTCATTAAGCCACTAGTGTGGTTAATAAAATATCTATTTGGTCTTCATCCCTGGTTCCCAGCACAGAGCTCCTAAAGCCCCTGGAGTTTCCTGAGCGATAGGACTGTCTTTTGTTATCCATAGCAATCCCCATTGTACTACATCTGAGTGTATGCTAATGAGGGCACTCAGGCTGAGTTCCCTAGAGAGATGGCTTCAGGTTGGGGCCTCGTCACCAGAAGAGCAAATGTGTGATAAAGACAGGGGAGAGGGGTGGGCAGGGCACGGTGGCTCACGCCTGTAATCACAGCACTTTGGGAGGTCCAGGCCGGCAGATCACGAGGTCAGGAGTTCGAGACCAGCCTGGCCAATATGGTGAAACCCCCGTCTCTACTAAAAATACAAAAATTAGCTGGGTGTGATGGCACGTGCCTGTAGTCCAAGCTACTTGGGAGGCTGAGGCAGGATAATTGCTTGAACCTGGGAGGCGGAGGTTGCAGTGAGCCGCAATCATGCCACTGCACTCCAGCCTAGGCTATAGAGTGAGACTCCGTCTCAAAAAAAAAAAAAAAAAGACAGGTGGTCGGGGGCACTGCCGGATGCAGACGCTCATGCCTGTAATCCCAGCTACTCAGGTGGCTGAGCCAGGAGGATCACTTGAGCTCAGGAGTTTGAGACCAGCCTGCACAACATAGCAAGACTCCATCTCTACCAAAAAAAAAAAAAAAAAAAATTTAGGCCGGGTATGGTGGCTCAAGCCTGTAATCCCAGCACTTTGGGAGGCCGAGGCGGGCGGATCATGAGGTCAGGAGATCGAGACCATCCTGGCTAACATGGTGAAACCCCACCTCTACCAAAAATACAAAAAAATTAGCCAGGCATGGTGGCAGGCGCCTGTAGGCCCAGCTACTCGGGAGGCTGAGGCAGGAGAATGGCATGAACCTGGGAGGCGGAGCTTGCAGTGAGCCAAGATCGCGCCACTGCACTCCAGCCTGGGTGACAGAGCAAGACTCTGTCTCAAAAAAAAAAAAAAAAAAAATTAAAAATTAGCCAGGCATGTTGGCACCCACCTGTGTAGTCTCAGCTACTTGTGAGGCTGAAGCAGGAGGCTCACTCCTAGGAGGTCAAGGCTGTAGTGAGCTATGATCTCACCACTGCACTCCAGCCTGGGTGACAGAGTGAGACCCTGTCTCAAAAAAAAAAAAAAAAAAAAAACAATTCGGCGGGCAACTTCCAGTCCCACTCGCTGACCTGCCAGGAAGAGGAGGAGGCTGGCGACTGAATTATAAAAGCTCTTGAACAGTGAGATCCAGGGAGCCTCTAGGTTGGTGGACACACTGGTGTGCTGGGAGGGCAGTGCACCCAGAGAGGGCATCATGGAAGCTCTGCACGGCTCCCTCTCCACACCTTGCCCAATGCATCTCTCTTCCATTTGGCTATTCCTGAGTTCTGTCCTTTGTAATAAACCAGTAAACATAAGTGAAGGGCTTTCCTGAGCTCTGTGAGTCATTCCAGCAAACTATCAAACCCGAGGAGGTGGTCGTGGGAACCCCCAAGTTTGTAATTGGCCAGGCAGAAGGGTGGGTGGCTCCGGACTTGCGACTGGCATCTGAGATAGGGGCAGTCTGGTGGGATGGGGTCTTTTAACTTGCAGGACCTGATGCTAACTCCAGGACATAGTGTGATAGCTGAATTGAATTGCTTGGGCACCCAGTTGGCATCCAAGAATCAGAGACTTAGTGTAGAAAAATGGCACGTATTTGGTATCAGAAAAAACACATTTGGTGTCAGAAGTGGCGTCAGAAAACACCACACAGAGTAACAGAGAAGTCGAGCAATTTGCTCAAGACCACACAGCCGGTAAGCATCTCCGCTGGGACACAGACCCTGGCGCAGGCAAAGTCTGTGACTGTAACTGCTACGTGTGCTGCCTCTTGCTGCGCCTGACCTCCTCACACCAGCCACCAGGTGCAACATCCTTATCGCCTTGCAGGCAAGAAGGAAAAGTGTGGCTCAGGGTAGCAAAGCCAGTGTTTCCTGAACATCAGTCACTTGCACGTTACCATGGCAACAGTTGCTATGCCTCAAGCCCTCTCTATTATTATTATTATTTGAGACAGGGTCTCACTCTGTCACCCAGGCTGGAGTGCAGTGGCACAATCTCAGCTCACTGCAACCTCCACCTCTCAGGTTCAAGTGATTCTCATGCTTCAGCCTCCTGAGTAGCTTGGATTATAGGTGCATGCCACCGAGAGCCGCTAATTTTTGTATTTTTAGTAGAGACGGGGTTTTGCCATGTTAGACAGGCTGGTCTTGAACTCCTGGCCTCAAGTGATCTCCCCACCTCAGCCTCCCAAAGTGCTGGGATTACAGGCGTGTTCTCTTTTATTGTCTATTTAATACTTTTCTTTATGTTGATTCTCTTTTTTACATCACCATAAATGCAAACCTAATATTGTTCCTAAAAGACATGAAAATTATATATATTTTTTTCAGCAGGGTCTCACTCTGTCGTCCAAGTTGGAGTGCAGTGGCGTGATATCAGCTCACTGCAGCCTGGGTTCCAGCAATCCTCCCGCCTCAGCCTCCTGGGTAGCTGGGGGTACTACAGGTGCACTCCAGCACACTGGGCTAATTTTTTGTAAAGACGGAGTTTCGTCATGTTGCCCAGGCTGGACTCAAACTCCTAGGCTCAAGTGATCCTCCACTTTGGCCTTCCAAAATGCTAGGATTACAAGCATGAGCCACTAGGCCTTGCCTGAAAATAAATTCTTTTTCTTTTTCTTTTTTTTTTTTTGAGACGGAATCTTGCTCTGTCACCAGGCTGGAGTGCAGTGGTACGATCTCGGCTCACTGCAACCTCCACCTCCCGGGTTCAAGAGATTCTCCTGCCTCAGCCTTCCAAGTAGCTGGGACTACAGGTGTGCACCACCACGCCCAGCTAATTTTTGTATTTTTAGTAAAGGCTGGGTTTCCACCATGTTGGCTAGGCTGGTCTTGATCTCTTGACCTCATGATCCTCCCACCTAGGCCTCCCAAAGTGCTGAGATTATAGGCATGAGCTACCATGCCTGGCCGAAAAAAAATTCTTAATTAATGTTTTCCTAAATGCTGCCTAAAATCATCCCAGAGCGTACCCAACTTTGGGAAAAACTGGACCAACTAAGTCTGATAAAGCAGGGGTTCCCAACCCCTGAGCCACCACCAGTACAGGTCCTTGGCCTGTTAGGAGCCAGGCCGCACAGCAGGAGGTGAGTGGCGGGTGAGTGAGTGAAGCTTCATCTGCATTTACGGCCACTCCCCATGCTCACAGTACCGGCTGAGCTCCCCCTCCTGTCAGATCAGCGGCTGCATTAGATTCTCATAGGAGTGCAAACCCTATTGTGAACTGTGCATGTGAGGGATCTAGGTTGCACGCTCCTTATAGGAATCTAATGCCTGATGATCTGCCACTCTCTCCCATCGCCCACAGATGGGACCATCTTGTTGCAGGAAAACAAGCTCAGGGCTCCCACTGATTCCACATTATGGTGAGTTGTATAATTATTTCATTATAGATTACAAAGTAATAATGATAGAAATAAAGTGCACAGTAAATGTAATGCACTTGAATCATCTCAAAACCATGCCCCCACCCCATCCCTGGTCCATGGAAAAATTGTCTTCCATGAAACCAGTCCTTGGTGCCAAAGAGGTTGGGGATCGCTGCTATAAAGTCAAACAGCCAAGATATCAACCCAGGCTCCTGCCTCCAAGTCTAGGGCTGTTTTAGCTACAACATGGGCCCCTTCACCACATTGTGTTTCTGGTTAACTGTGTCGGGCAGCAAGTGGAGAGGAACTGGAAATTTCTCAACTTGGCTCTAAATGAGACCAAAGAGAAAAACCAAATAGTGATGGCAGACAACAGATGGTGAGAGGGCTCACTCCTCCAGGCGGTTAATGATGCCCTGGGCAAGCTTTCCGAATTTAATCACCAGAGCGATTCTGGACTATGCTTCAGTCCAGAATACTCTGATTGTTCTAGGATCCGCTGGAATTTTCCTCTGGAATAACTCAAGGTCAGTTCTAACAGGTCTAAGCAGCAGCATGAGCATTGAAGACATGGAACAGTAGCAAACAGTCACCATCTTCAAGGGGGAATGAGAGCACTGACTTCCAATCTAAGAGCCTTTTTTTTTTTTCTTTGAGACAGAGTCTTGCTCTGTCACCCAGGCTGGAGTGCACTGGCACATCTCGGCTCACTGCAATCTCCGCCTCTCAGGTTCAAGTGATCCTGGTGCCTCAGCCTCCCAAGTAGCTGGGATTACAGGTGCACACCACCATGCCCAGTTAATTTTTGTATTTTTAGTAAGAGATGGTGTTTCACCATGTTGGCCAGGCTGGTTTGGAACTCCTGACCTAAGTGATCCACCCACCTTGGGCTCCCAAAGGGCTGGGATTCCAGGCATGAGCCAACGCATCCGGCCCATCTAAGGGCTTTTTAATGACCTGGTATAGCTCACCAAACTCCACGTGGGGAAGCCTCCTATCGACTCAAGATGTCAGTTTATTCAGGCATTTCCCAAAGTGTTGCTTTCAAAGGTAAATTAAACTTCATTATCTAAATGAGCAGTTTTCGTCTTGGGTCAAACTATAGCTCCAAAATGCTTTCATAGGTGGCAGACATTTAAGAATTTTCAGCCACGCACGGTGGCTCATGCCTGTAATCCCATCATTTTGGGAGACTGAGGCAGGAGAATCACTTGAGGCCAGGAGTTTGATAACAGCCTGGGCAACACAGCAAGACCCCATCTCTACAAAAAAATTAAAAAATTGGCCAGGCATGGTGGCATGTGCCTATAGTCCCCACTACTCAAGGGGCTGAGGCAGGAAGATCACTGGAGCCCAGGAGTTCAAGGCTGCAGTAAGCCATGATTCATCACTGCACTCCAGCCTGGGCAACAGAGTGAAAGCCCGTCTCTTAAAAATACATATATATTTCTCGGCCGGGCATGGTGGCTCATGCCTGTAATCCCAGCACTTTGGGAGGCCGAGGTGGGTGGATCATTTGAGGACAGGAGTTCGAGACCAGCCTGGCCAACATGGTGAAACCCCGCCTCTACTAAAAATACAAAAATTAGCCAGGCATGGTGGCGGGCACCTGTAATCCCCGCTACTGGGGAGGCTGAGGCAGGAGAATCGCTTGAACTTGGGAGACAAGGTTGCAGTGAGCCAAGATTGTGCCACTGCACTCCAGCCTGGGCAACAGAGCGAGATGCTGTCTCAAAAAAAAAAAAAATTAAGAATAAGAAAAATCTATCTTCTGCTCTGCTCTTGGCCAGCTCACTTGATTTCTTTAAAAAAATAAAAATAAAAGGAGACCCTGTGTTGGTTTTTAGAAGTCCAAAACAGGAACAAATGGAAAGCAATAGTCATTGAATGATGACAAATTCTGTTTGGTTGGACACTGTCAGAAAGCCTGTGCTTATAATTTTCTTGATAAATATAGCCCCAGGTTCAATCAAAGGCATAATCAACGGACTTCAATAACGGATGTGATGATGAAGACAACAGATGGCATCGGAATTATCTGACGCCACGGGAGACCACAAACACACATTTCATTATGATTCTGATCACGATCCTAGGCTACAGGGGAGAGAGAGAGGCTCCCACTGCTGTGCCAAGGAGTCAAACTAACATAGGGCAGATTTTGTACTTTTTATTAACATCTGAAGCAAGTTTTCGTCAAGAAAGGATTAAGAAGATGAGTCATCTATAAGCAGCTGATGGACACTAGGGTTCTTCTATTTCAGCCAGCGAAGAGGTGAGGGGATGTCTGTGCCGTGGGAGGTGAGGGGGCATCAGCCTACCTGCTTCTAAGACTCTCAATGACCAGGCTATGCCTTGGAACAACTAGACAAGACTCTGGCTGTAAGACCAGGCCCCAGCATTTTCTTTAAAGTTCTCCATGTGATTGCAATAGGCAGTCAAGGCTGAGACGCGGAAGCATGGGGGGATGTTGGCCTGGTGCAAGATGGACACATTGCCTCCAACTTCTGGCTACTTCTGTAAAGGCTGTTGAGGGATATTAGTCAGTGCTCAATCGGGGAAGCAGGGTCACTACGTGCTCTGGGGCAAGGGATGCGTTATAGGAATTAGACCTTCTACAATTGTCCAGGGAGCTGGGGAGATGGCGGTCTGGGAAGGGTGGAGAGGATGAGAGAAGTCACCGACAGCTGATATGAGAGTCAGATGCGTCCAGCTGTTAAGATGGAGTGGCAGAGGGGAAACAGGTAGAGGGGTCCCTAGGGGGCTGCTGCCTCGTCTGCCAAGCATCCAGAGGCGGGGGGGCTGCTGTTGGTCAGCAGGCCCAGCGGTCAGGAAGACAAGCTGCAAGGGACACAGGGGAGGGTGAGGACAAGCTGGAACCTCTGTGGCCCCTCTGTCAGATCACCTCCTTGTCTCATCTGGACAGCCTTCAAAGAGTAAACACTGATGTCACCTTCCTTCCACTTCCCAAATCTCCCGCACCATCCTCTTCTGCCTACTTTTAACCCACAACCCTACAGGGAAAAGGATATGGTTTGGCTCTGTGTCCCCACCAAAATCTCACTGCAAATTGTAATCCCCACGTGTCGAGGGAGGGAAGTGATTGGATCATGGCGGCAGTTTCCTCCATGCTGTTCTCGTGATAAAGGGTGAGTTCTCATGAGATCTGAGGGCTTTATAAGTGTCTGGCATTTCCCCTGCTGGCTCTTATTCCCTCCTGCTGCCTTGTGAAGAAGGTGCCTGCTTCCCCTTCTGCCATGATTGTAAGTTTCCTGAGGCCTCCCCAGCCATGCGAAACTGTGAGTCAATTAAACCTCTCTATTTTATAAATTACTCAATCTTTGGTATTTTTTTTTTCCAGTGTGAAAATGGACTAATACAAAATGGGATATGGGAAATAAAGTTCTCGGTATAGCTAAGCTTTCTTTTTTCTTTTCTTTCCTTTTTTTTTTTTTTTGAGATGGAGTCTTGCTCTGTCGCCAGGCTGGAGTACTGTGGCACGATCTCAGCTCACTGCAACCTCCGCCTTCTGGGTTCAAGTGATTCTCCTGCCTCAGCCTCCTGAGCAGCTGGGTCTACAGGGACACACCACTGTAGTCACCTAATTTTTTTTTGTATTTTTAGTAGAGATGGGGTTTCACCATGTTGGCCAGGATGGTCTCCATCTCTTGACCTCATGATCCACCCACCTTGGCCTCTCAAAGTGCTGGGATTACAGGCGTGAGCCACCGCACCTGGCCCTCTTTCTTCTTTTTGAGACAGAGTCTCACTCTGTTGCCCAGACTGGAGTGCAGTGGCACAAGCATAGCTCACTCCAGCCTTAGACTCCTGGGCTCAAGCAATCCTCCCACCTCAGCCTCTAGAATAGCTGAAGCTACAGGCATGCACCACTATGCCCAGCTAATTATTTAGTTTTTTTGTAGAGATGGGGTCTTGCTATGTTGCCCAAGCTGGTCTTGAACTTCTAGGCTCAAGCGATCCTCCCACCTAAGCCTCTCAAAGTGCAGGGATTACAGGTGTGAGCCACTGCATTCAGCCTAAATTTTTAATAGAATATTGCAGCACAGACTAGAAGGAACAGAAATCCACTCAAGCTCACTTGAGAAAAATATAGTTTAGTAAAGGTGTAAGAAAATGAAGGGAAATGCTAGCATCTTGACAGATGGTACCCATATGTATCTTGGGGAGATAATGGTTTTTGCTTGGAATTATGGCTTGACAAACACCTGGGGTGGTACTTGCAAGAGCTCAGCATAAATTGGTGCCGTGGCTTCTTAGAAGAGGGCAAAGCTGCTGTGGATAAGACAGGAGAAGTAAGTGTCTTCCTTGGAATGGAGGGAGCTGAGATAAAGGAGAAGAGAAAAAGAGGTGATGAAACTGGACCCCGTGTGTGGAAAAGGCCAAGAAAAAGGAAACCACCCCACTGCCTTATGGCACAGGGTGGTGAAAAAGATCTTGTTAACCAGGAATGTCAAATGTGGATTTCTAGTTCTCCTAGTTATGGCCATATGGATACCACGATGCCCTTTACTGGAACATTGACTTTTTTTTTAAGACAGAGTCTCACTCTCTTGCCCAGGCTGGAGTGTAGTGGCACAATCTCGGCTCACTGCAACGTCTTCCTCCCGGGTTCAAGGGATTCTCCAGCCTCAGCCTCCCTAATAGCTGGGATTACAGGCATGTACCTCCACACCCAGCTAATTTCTGTATTTCTTAGTAGAGACAGGGTTTCGCCTTGGCCTCCCAAAGTGCTAGGATTACAGACGTGAGCCACCGCGCCTGGCCTTTTCTTTTTTTTTTTTTTTTTTTTTTTTTTTTTGCAATTAAAAAAAAAATCAAGGTCTTTGCAGGGCTGTGGCTGGGGCTAGTCCTCTGGGGCTGGAGGGACAGTTACATGGTGAGCCAGGAGACGATTGTCACTGGTCATGGTTTTTAAGCTGTCTGCTGTGAAGAGATCAATGACACCCTTTTTGTGATCCTCATTGTATTGCTCCTCAAATGACCTGTGGGAGTAGGATAGGGCATTGTTTTATTCTGTTGTTATGGAAACCAGTGAAGCATCTGAGTTTCATATTCAGTTGGATGGAGGTACAGGACTCAAGGAACCAAGCCTAGGAGCAGAGAAGACTTGAGGATGGAAGCCCCTGGAAATGTACAGACATTGTACAGCTGGATTTTGGATTTCCCTAGGCGGTGGCAACACGGGGTGGGAGGTATTTCTCCAAGGGTCTGGAGAAAGGATGCGCAGGGTTGAACAAGGTGCAACATCTTATGGACTACCCAGTTCATCTGGACTGCAATGGGAATGTCATGGCTGAGTTCCTTCTCTGCTTTCAAAGGACACTGTCTCTCTTGTTATTCTTGAGGCAGACGCTCTGTCCTCTTTCCCTTCAAAGACTGGCTTTCTCTGCTTATGCATAGACTTCGGTTTGCCACTCCCTCATCATCCACCTGGGCTAATCTCTCTGCATCCCAGGAGAAAGACTCTGATTGGCCCAGACTGAGCAAATTTGGACCAATCAGAGAGGAGTGAGGAGAGGCTCAAGCCCCCCTACACCTGAGGCTGCTACTTGGTCCCAGCTACTCAGAAGGCTGACGCAGGAGGATTGTTTGAACCTGGGAGGCAGAGGTTGCAGTGAACCAAGATTGAACCACTGCACTCCAGCCTGGGCAACACAATAGACTCTATCTCAGGAAAAAAAAAAAAAAAGAAAGAAACGAACTTCCTCTTCCACGTAATATCCTTCAGATATTTTGAGACAAATCTTAGGTGCCCCTTGAGACTTCTCTCGTCGTTTCAACAACCTTGACATGGAAAAGATCATCATTCCACCCTCTAATCTCCCCCTTCTCTTGTGTCTCCTCTTCCAAACAAAGAAACCAGTGTCTACACTTATGCCTGTATCTATCCATTTCCAAACTCAATTTCTTCCTGGTGGTAAAGGAAAGTAACATTTAATGAGCACTTACGTGGTAGCAGGCACTGGACTGAGCACTTAATATGCTTGATCTCTTTTACTCCTCATGACCACCCTGCGAGATACTGGATGCATGGCTATTTAACAGATGAGGCCACCGAGGCTCAGAGAAGGTAAGATATTTGTGCAAGATTGCACAGCCTATAAATGGCAGAGGTAGAATGTAAATCTAGGTGTAATTTAATCCGGAGCAAGTAAACACACTTACCAGGCACGAGGTCTATTTATCAGAAAGCAACCCCATCCAAGACCAGGATATCTAGTAATGAAAAAACAGGGATCTGGCCAGGCGCGGTGGCTCACGCCTGTAATCCCAACACTTTGGGAGGCCGAGGCGGGCAGATCACGAGGTCAGGAGATTGAGACCATCCTGGCTAACACAGTGAAACCCTGTCTCTACTGAAAATACAAAAAATTAGCCGGGCATGGTGGCAGGTGCCTATAGTCCCAGCTACTTGGGAGGCTGAGGCAGGCGAATGGCGTGAACCTGGGAGGCAGAGCTTGCAGTGAGCCGAGATCGTGCCACTGCACTCCAGCCTGGGCGACAGAGCGAGACTCCGTCTCAAAAAAAAAAAAAAAAAAAGAAAAAGAAAAAAAAAAGGCCGGGCATAGTGGCTCAAGCCTGTAATCCCAGCACTTTGGGAGGCCGAGGCAGGCGAATCACGAGGTCAGGAGTTCAAGACCAGCCCGGCCAATATGGTGAAACCCGGTCTCTACTAAAAATACAAATTAGCTGGGAGCAGTGGCGGGTGCCTGTAATCCCAGCTACTAGGGAGGCTGAGGCAGGAGAATCGCTTGAACCCAGGAGGCAGAGGTTGCAGTGAGCCAAGATCAAGCCACTGCATTCCAGCCCAGGTGACAGAGTGAGACTTTGTCTCAAAAAAAAACAAAAAAAACAAAAAAACAAAACAGGGATCCTACCACGTTTGGCAGAACCCAACCAGGAATGTCTTGGATTGATCTAATATAACTTGAGATCCCCGAGGAGTTTAGGGGACTGAGGACAGACACAGTAGACTGGAATTCCAGGAGACAACAAGATCTAAGTAACTGATGGCTCAATGAATAGCAGCCAATTACATAACATGAAATATGTAAGTCAGGATATTGCCTTAAGGGGGTGCTCGGGAATCTGGTTGTGTAGACCCAAAACACCAAGGCAGCTCTGCTAAGTCACTTGCAGTTTTATTCCCTCCCATTTCTCTTTGGGCATCCTGTCCTAGAACTGTCAAGAAAGGGTTGGTATTTTATTTGAAGGAAAATGTGGGAAGGAGGCTCAGCCAAGCATTATCCTATTCAATTCAGACCATCACGTGATAGGGACAAGCCCTTCTCAATCTCTGCTGCCACTCACATCAGCAGCTTTCCAGAAATAAGCAAAGGGAATGGAAAAACCCTTAATCGCCAGGCCACGGTACATGCAATTTACTGGTATCTATTGCCCTGTCTTTCTAAGAAGCTTCTTTTTTGGGAGATTTCAAAAAAATGATGAGAACCCGGCACAGGATGAAGCTATGAGGGTGCCCCATGTAGTGTGTCATCTTCCCCTTTCCCCAGCCTCACCAGGGCCGTCTCTGTCATTGTTGCTGCCACACTGTGGCTCCTGCTCTGGGCTTGGCCCTTATATGAATTGCTGTGGTCACTCAATATGGTAGACTGAAGAATGGTCCCTGAAGATATCCATGTCCTAATGAACCTATGAATCTGTTACCTTACACGGCAAAAGGGATTTTGGGCCAGGCATGGTGGCTCATGCTTCTAATCCTAGGACTTTAGGAGGCCTAGGCGGGAGGATCACTTGAACCTAGGAGTTCAAGACCAGCCTGGGCAAGGTGATGAGATCCCAACTGTATTAGTCCATTCTCATGCTGCTATGAAGAAATACCCGAGAAGGAGTAACTTGTAAAGAAAAGAGGTTTAAGGCTGGGCGTGATGGCTCACACCTGTAATCCCAACACTTTGGGAGGCTGAGGTGGGCGGATCACGAGGTCAGGAGTTTGAGACCAGCCTGGCCAACACAGTGAAACCCCGTCTCTACTAAAAATACAAAAAAAAATTAGCTGGGCATGGCAGCGGGTGCCTGTAATCCCAGTTACTTGGGAGGCTGAGGCGAATAATTGCTTGAACCCGGGAGGTGGTGGTTGTAGTGAGCCAAGATTGAGCCACTGCAATCCAGCCCAGTGACAGTGCGAGACTCCGTCTCAAAAAAAAAAAAAAAAAAAAAGAAAGAAGAAAAGAGGTTTAATTGACTCACAGTTCCACATAGCTTGGAAGGCCTCAGGAAACTTACAATCATGGCAGAAGGTTCCTCTTCACCAGGCGGCAGGAGAGAGAATGAATGCCAGCAGGGGAAATGCCAGATGCTTATAAAACCATCAGATCTCATGAGAACTCACTATCATGATAACAGCATGGCGCAACCACCCACATGATTGAATTACCTTCCACCGGGTCCCTCTCATGACATATGGGGATTATGGGATTACAATTCAGGATAAGATTTGGGTGGGGACACAGCCGAACTATGTCACCATCTCTACAAAATTCAAAAATTAGCTATGTGTGGTGGCACGTGCCTGTGGTCCCAGCTTCTTGGGAGGCTGAGGCAGTAAGATTGTTTGAGCCCAGGAATTAAAGGAAGCAATGAGCTATGACCGTGTCACTGCACTCCAGCCTGGACAACAGAGCAAGACTTCGTCTCTGAAAAATATATATTTTTAAAAAGGAAATTTGCAGATGTGATTAAATTAAGGGGTCCTGAGATGGGGAGATCATCCTGGGTTATCCAGGTGGGCCCTCAATGTCATCACAAGTGCCCCTACCCATTTATGCCTGAGGTTGCAATTTTTTGAATTTGAGAAATCAGACCTGGTGATAGCCTTGAGAAGTAGCATATAAATAACTCCCACATGCTTAGTGTTCCAATAATGGAATGCTAGGCATACATTTAAGAGAAAAACAGAGGGATTTGACACAGAAGAGCAAAGGCGACAGGATGACCTCAATCGAGAGGGACTGGACTATGCCATGCTGCTGGCTTCGGAGATGGAGGAGGGAAACACAAGCCAAGAAATGCAAAGAGTACGGTTCTAGAAGCTGGAATGAATGAGGAAGAGGCTTCTCCTCTAGAGCCTCCAGAAAGCACGGCTCTGCCAACACCTGATTTCAGCTCAGTGAAATCGATTTCAGACTTCCAGCCTCCAGAACTGTAAGATAAAAGAAATGTGTGTTGTTTTAACACATTTGCAGCTGTTTGTTACAGTAGCCACAGGAAAATAACGCACTTAGCTGCATTATCACTCTGTTCCTTCCTATGAATGGACCCACTGTTCACCCTAACCATCAGAGAGCCAGGCAGTTCTCACCACCCAGACCTGCCACATGGAAGGGAACCCTTGAGATTATGTGACCGTGGGAGAAGCAGGAAGATGAGCCCTCATTAATTCATTCAATCAATCTTCACTCAGAGTGCCTACGCTGAGTTTGGCTGTGTGCTGGGTACCGTCAACATTTTTGGGAGTGAAAATAGCTCAGCCTCTGTCCTCATGGAGGTCAGCATCTAGGAGGAGAGTCAGATATTGAACATACACTCACACCAATGAACACAAATTTACAAAAGGCTTCTAAGGAAAGGATTGCAGGGATGGTAATGGGACAGGGACTGGGGAAGTGCTGGGAAGGTGTCCCTCCAGAAATGCCCTAGATCTCAGTCCTCGAGGGGACAGAGTTTATCAGGTGCCTTAGTCCATTTGGGCTGCCATTCTCCCTTTCTTAGCCTAGGTGGCTTATAAACAACAAACACCGCCGGGCGCGGTGGCTCACGCCTGTAATCCCAGCACGTTGGGAGGCCGAGGCAGGCGGATCACGAGGTCAGGAGATCAAGACCATCCTGGCTAACACGGTGAAACCCTGTCTCTACCAATAAATACAAAAAAGTTAGCCGGGCGTGGTGGTGGGCGCCTGTAGTCCCAGCTACTCGGGAGGCTGAGGCAGGAGAATGGCGTGAACCTGGGAGGCAGAGCTTGCAGTGAGCCAAGATCGCACCACTGCACTCCAGCCTGGGCGACAGAGCTAGACTCCGTCAAACAAACAAACAAACAAACAAACAAACACTTATTTTTCATGGTAAAAGAGGCTGGAAAGTCCAAGATCAAGGTGTCAGCAGATTCAGTGTCTGGTGAGGACCTCTTCCTCATAGATAGTGAGTTCTCACTGTGTCCTCACACAGTGAAAGGGAGAAACAAGCTACCCTGGGCCTCTTTTACATGGGCACGAATCCCATCCATGAGGATCTGCCCTCATGACCTAATCACCTCCTGAAAGCCCCACCTCTTGATATTATTACATTGGGAATTAGATGTCGACATATGTATTTAGGGGTGATACAAACATTCAGATCATAGCACCAGGGAAGGAGAGGGGGGTGGGAGGAGAGGGATCCAGGCAGAGGGAACATCACAAACAAAAAGGCCCCCACGGCAGGAGGGGACCTGGTGTGTGTATCGGGGGGTGGGGAGGTGGAGACTAAAAGGAGGCCCAAGGGAGTGGTGTGTGTGTGTAAGGGAGGGAGCTGGGGGTGAGGAATGGATGAAGAAAAGAAGTTGGAGAAGAGGTGTGAGCAGATCCAGCAAGATCTCATGGGCTTTATCATGCTAACAAATTCTGGAAGGTGTTTGCTATGGTGTAAATGTTTATGACTCTTCAAAATTCATGTTGAAACTTAATTTCCAATGCAATAGTATTAAGGGGTGAGGGCCATTAGGAGGTGGGATCAGTGCACTAACAAAAGTGCTCGAGAGAGCAAGTTCAGTCCTTTTTGCCCTTCTGTCCATTCTGCTTGTGAGAAGACGGTGCCCTTCCTCTCTGGAGATCACAGAAGCAAGGCGCCATCTTGGAAGCAGAGAATGAGCCCTTCTAAGTATGGAATCTGCTGGCATCTTCATCTTGGACTTCCCAGCCAGACTCCAGAACTGTGAGAATTAAATTTCTATTATAAATTACCCAGTCTAAGGAATTTTGTTACAGCAACAGGAACGGACTAAGACAGTGTTTAAATCTGAGAGTTATAATCAGATTCACATGGTGAGAAAATCCCTCTGGCTGCAGGACAGAGATGGGCATGTGAACCTGGGTGGTGGCCATGGAGATGGAGAAAGATGGACAGCTGAGCATTATTTTAGGAGGTAAAACAAACACCAGTTGATGATGAACTGAATATATGAGGTGGAGGGTTGGGAGGGGTCAAGAATGATGTCTAATTTTGGAATTTGAGATTTCCATGGATAGATGGTGATGCTTGACCATTTGCTGAGCTAGGGCTGGTGGGTATTGGGACTAGATGGGGGGATCATGAGTTTGACTTGGACAGATTGAGTTACAGGTATCTTTGAGACATTTAAGTGGAGATATCAGATACTGTACCTTCCCCTGCCTGTCTTTCTCAGCATTTTCCCCTTAGAAATGTGTGTCCAAAAAGAAAAATACCGTGTGATTCCACTTCTTTTTTTTTTATTTTATTTTTTGAGACGGATTCTCACTCTGTAGCCTGAGCTAGAGTGCAGTGGCACAACCTCAGCTCACTGCAACCTCTGCCTCCAGGTATCAAGTGATTTTCATCCCTCAGCCTCCTGAGTAGCTGGGACTACAGGTGTGCGCCACCACGCCTGGCTAATTTTTGGTATTTTAGTAGAGACAGAGTTTCACCATGTTGCCCAGGGTGGTCTCGAACTCCTGAGCTCAGGCGATCCACCCACCTTGGCCTCCCAAAGTGCTGGGATTACAGGCGTGAGCCACAGCGCCTGGCCTGATTCCTGTTTTATGAAGTATGTAGAGTCATCAAAATCAGAGACAGAAAGCAGAATGCTGGTTACCAGGAGCCAGGGGAAAGGGAAAATGGGGAGTGAGTGTTGAATGGTACAGAGTTTCAGTTTGGGAAGATGAAAAAAATTCTGGGGAGGGATGGTGATGGTTACACACAGTATGAATGTTCTTAATGACATAGAACTGTACTCTTAGAAATGGTTTCAGATAGTAAATATTATATATATTTTGCCACAATTTAAAAAATAGAAGTGTGTGTGCAAACTACATATAAGTGTGCATAAAATGTTTTATTTTTATAGTAAAATTTATATAAAATATACTATAATAATAATAAAATATAATAAAATATGATTTATTATATTTTATTATTATTTACTATTATTTCATACTTCATAGAATTATTATTATATTATTTTTATGGAATAATAAAGCAGTTATTTTCCCAACATCCTACTTAAGTAAAAATCTGTGTGTGACTTTTAGACGGCCCCGTGTGCCCCATTCCCTCATATTTTTCTCATTCCCTCAGAGGTAGGCACTATCACAAACTTGTGGTAATGCTTTTTATTTTTATCATTTACCACCCATATATGAAGCCCGGAACAATTATATTTTTTAGTTTTTTTTTTTTTTTTTTTTTGAGATGCAGTCTCGCTCTGTTGCCCAGGCTGGAGTGCAGTGGCGGGATCTCAGCTCACTGCAACCTCCACCTCCTGGGTTCAAGCGATTCTCCTGCCTCAGCCTCCCGACTAGCTGGGACTACAGGCATACACCACCACACCCAGCTAATTTTTGTATTTTTAGTAGAAACGGGGTTTCGCCGTGTTAGCCAGGATGGTCTCAATCTCCTGAACTTGTGATCCACCCACCTCAGCCTCCCAAAGTGCTGGGATTAGAGGCGTGAGCCACCACGCCCGGCCTATATTTTTTACTTTTATACACTTTATATAAACCTGTTGCTCAACATCTTGTTTTTGAGATGCTTTCATGTTCATACCTGTTGCTCATTCATTTTTCACTGCTGTATAGTATTCTGTGGTACAGCTAGACCACAAACGAGGCAGTTATGAACATTCTGGAACATGCCTCCTGATGCTCATGTGTAGTTTCTCTAGGGCAGTGCTGGTGAATAGAATGTTCTACAACAATAGAAATGTCCTATACAAATGTATGCTTTCCAATAGGGTAGCCACTAGCCATTATTTACTAATGAGTGCTTGAAATATGGCTCAGGCTACCGAGAGACTGAATTTTACATGCTATTTAATTTTAATTAATTTAAACTGAAATAGCCACATGAAGCTACTGGCTAACCAGGGGTAGACCCAGGAGCAAAACTGCAGGTTATAATCACCTGTTCATCTTTACTAGGTAACAATGAACTGTTTTCCAAAGAGATAAGGCCAATTTCCCTATATTTTCATTTTATCCAACTTGCTAGGTCTTTGCTAACCTGATAAACTATCCAAATGAAAATTTCTGAGAATAAAAAGGGCTCTATCAGTCAGGGTTCTCCAGAGAAACAGAACCAATACTACTGAAGAGATTTATTTTATTTGTTTTTTCTTTATTCTTTTCTTTTTTCTTTTTTTTTTTTCTGAGATGGGATCTCACTCTGTTGCCCAGGCTGGAGTGCACTGGCATAATCTTGGCTCACTGCAACCTCCACCTCCCAAGTTCAAGCGATTCTCCTGCCTCGACTTTCCGAGTAGCTGGGACTGAAAGCACACGCCACCACAGCCGGCTAATTTTTGTATTTTTAGTAGAGGCAGGGATTCACCACATTGGCCAGGCTGGTCTCAAAACTCCTGACCTCAAATGATCTGCCCACCTTGGCCTCCCAAAGTGCTGGAATTACAGGCGTGAACCACTGCACCTGGCCTGGAAAAAGATTTATGATAAGGAATTGGCTCATGGGATTTTGGAGGCCAAGAAGTCCCAAGATCTATAGGTGGCAGCTGGAGACCCAGGAGAGCTGACGGTGTTAAGTTCCAGTCCAAAGGCTGGCAGGCTCAAGACCCAAGAAGAGCTGATGTTTCAGTTTGCGTTCAAAGGCCGGAAAAGACCCATGTCCCAGCCCAAGCAATCAGGCAGCAGGAGTTCCCTCCTACTCACCCTTTCTGTTGTAGTCAGGCCTTCAACTGATTGGACGGGGCCCACCCACCTCTACATTAGGGAGGGCAGTCTGCTTTACTCAGTTTACCAATTCAAATGTTAATTTCATCCACCAATGCTCTTGCAGACACATACATCGAAGAATCTTTGGCCAAACATCTGGGAACCCTGTGGCCCACTCAAGTTGATGCATAAAATTGATAATCACCAGGGTCTTACATGGTAATCTCCCTCCCAACCCAATGGAGTCTAGGTGGTTCAGAGGTGGTCCTCTGAGCAGAATGTAATACAGTTCTAGGAAGACGGAACTTCTAGAGAGTATTTTCCTTCTCGAAACTTGTTCTGACCATGAAAGGCAACTCGTAGCAGCAAGAGCTTGTCAAGTACAGAACATTTATTTGATTTATTTATTTTCTTTGACACAGAGTCTCATTCTGTCACCCAGGCTGGAATGCAGTGGCACAATCTTGGCTCATGGAAACCTCTGCCTCCCAGGTTAAAGCAACTCTTGTGCCTCAAGCCTCTCGAGTAGCTGGGATTTCAGGTGCACACCACCATGCCTAGCTAATTTTTTTGTATTTTTAGTAGAGATGGGGTTTTGCCATGTTGGCCAGGCTGGTCTGGAACTCCTGATTTCAGGTGATCCACCTGCCTCAGCCTCCCAAAGTGCTGGGATTACAGGTATGAGCCACTGCGCCCAGACTAACATGTATTTCTCCATTCAATCAACACAGATTCCCACCTTCCTCCCCACCTCCCAGTACATTTAGAAATTCAGGAGGAGGGTCCTTCCATTCAGAAGTCTAGCTTAGAAATTCTCCCTCCTCTCTCCTCCCTTTAGTCTCTCCGTTTCTTCTTCCTTCCTTTCCCTCCCCTACACCCCAACTTCTTGTATATTTTGTCCAAGACAAACTGCTTCTTAGATCTTCTGCAATTAAGGGCATCTCTTCCCATCCGATATGTACAGTGGCCCCGGCAATGGTGACCTGTTCCTGGAAGATGCTATTTAAAACCCTGTGTGCAACTAAAGTGACGCAGAGCTCCTGAATGTGGCTGAAATGTGTCAAGTTACATAAACGCACATGCTTCATTTTGCCCTTGGCTTGAAGCTCTTCCTAACAGACTTCAGAATTATCAGCTCATTAAAGGGGAAAAAATGCAGGTTTATAAAAAAATCTTAAATAATCATCATAATAAAATCAAGGCCCCAGGGTAGAGTTGCACTTAATGGTTGAGAGCCACTCTCAAGAGAGTTGGCACCTCCCAAGAGGGTCTCAAGGAAACCACAGTGAATCCCATCTTCTCTTGGGGAGAGGAATATTTTCTGGGAATTCTCTGGAGACAACCATAAGCAGCCCTGATGCCCTACTCTCCCACGAAGCACAATGTTAACAATGAAAGGAAAGAAGGGAATTTTGAATTGCTTACTACCTAGGAAGGGCCACCCAATTTCATACCTGTGTCTGTTTTCATCCCTTGCTATGATGCTGCAGGGAGATATCACTGTCCCCCTTGTACTGATGGGGAAGCCGAGGCTGAAACAGGACAAAGTATTTGCTCCAGGCCACACAGTTGGTAAGAAGTAGAATTCAAAGCTAGTTGAGAGACCCCACAGCTTGATGACTGAGACCATGGACTCTGTGATATGCAAGAGAGGTGATAGGAAGGGAAGGGCATGGTCGCTTTAAATGCTACAGAAGGAAGGAAGGGAAGTGCTGGGTAGAGGAGGGTGTGGTCCCTGGTAAGGGCTCCACCCCCACGCCTGTGCCCACAGTCCTAGGTGAGGACAGGCATTTTTGTTTTCCTGCCCAAATGTTGCATTTCCCAAGACCACCCTGGCCTGCCATGCCCCCATCCTGTATCTATAAAAACCCCAAGACCCTAGCAGGTGACACACAAGCTGCTGGACGTCAAGAGCTGCAGATCGGCAAAGAAGACACAAGCGTCTGGATGTCAAGAAGACGTCAAGAGGAACACGCTGGCAGAAGAGCACATGACAGATGCTGGCAGGCCATCTACTGGCGGAACAAAGTGGAGTTTGGCCTGGGCAGTCGGAGGAGTGCCCAGGCTGCTGGGCGGCCTGACTCCAGGGGGAAACCTTCCCACTCCATCCCCTTCTGGCTTCCCCCATCTGCTGAGAGCTACCTCCACTCAATAAAACCTTGCTCTCATTCTCCAAGTCCAGGTGTGATCCGATTCTTCTGGTGCACCAAGGCAAGAACCCAGGATACAGAAAGCCCTCTGTCCTTGGGACAACGTAGAGGGTCTAATTGAGCTAGTTAACACAAGCCGCCTATAGATAGCAAAACTAAAAGAGCACCATGTAACACACACACACTGAAGCTTCAGGAGTTGTAAACATCCACCCCTAGACACTGCCGTGGGATCAGATCCCGACAACTGGCCCATCTCTATGGTCCCCTAGAGGTTTGAGCAGCGGGGCACTGAAGAAGCGAGCCACTCCGACATCACACACCCTGCGAGGGGGACAAGGGAACTTTTCCCATTTCATCTGGACTTAGAATGCTATTTCATGGAAACTGTACAACCATGGGCAAGAGACTTGACCTCTCAGTGCCTCAGTTTCCTCATCTATAAAATAAAGGCTATGTGATATTTTCTGCCTGGATGGTGATAGTGAGGATTATATGAATCAAAACAATAAAACACTAGAAAACTAGCCAGCATAGAAAATGTTTTAAAAGAACTGCTATCTACAATGCACACACTTTCCGTGTGTGTGTGTGTGTGTGTGTGGTTTTCAACACAATGCATGCACTATTACCCCATTTTGAATCTCTGCCAGGTTCCCAGGGCCTGTCCTCTTTACCACACTTGGTACCTCTTAATAAAACGAAGTTACTGGATTTCAAGCCCAGGCTCTGGAAATATTGGAACTCAAAGGCTGTGCTCTTGAAATATGTCCTTCGCACGCCTACCTTCCCTGCCTGCTGCAGTTCTGTCTCTGGCTGATTAAAACCTGCTTTTGCCCAGAGCAAGCTGAGTGGCAGGGCATGCTATCCCTTTTTATGAAAATCCAGCAAGCGGGTGTAAAAGGAAGATAACCACACCCCTGCCCCATGTGGAGGCCAAAGATACTTAATTATCTGAAACCCAGATAAACAGCAGGAGCGGGTTGGTAGACTAGATGTGGAAAAGCTGAAGCGAGCCAGAGGGGCTGCAAGAAGAATTATTAAAAACTAATGATGTGATTCAGTGCTGGAAGGAAGGCGAGAAAATGAGTCTGAGGTTGTTGACAGCCTCTGAGAGTTCTTGCCTGCAGTAAGATGGGGGCAGGATGGGTAGGGAGATGGGGTAGCAGTGGGAGGTACTAGGAGGTGGGTGGAACATAGGGTCAAGAAGTGAGAAAACACAGGCGTTTCAAGCATTATCTGCCAGATGTTTGCTGCCTGTTTTCCGGAGGCAGTTTTGTGTTACTGCCCTGTTCCAGTAAAGTTGATAAAATTGCCAAGCCTCAAGAAAGAGATCTCTAAATGCCATTTTGCACATTGGAAACCAGGGGTCAAGCAAAGGGAAGTCAGCAAGGGAACACACACTGGAAATTCAGAGTGAGGAGCACACTCAGAGTTCACACCTGCCTGCTGGGAGCTCACTTATGGCTGGTCTGTGAACTTGACCTCCTGGGCCTGATTCAGGGCAAGTGGGTGTCCTGGGTTGGGGTGGTTCCTGATGCATCTTTCTGTTAGTAAGCATTTGATGTGGGTTATGTGAGCATGTGTGTAAAGGGCTTAGCACAAGCCTAGGTCCACAATAAGGGGTCTGTAAATGCCAACTGTTGTGGGCCTTAAGAGTTATTACGGGAACCGGGTTCTTTTTCTACAGCACATTCCCAGCAGACTGACTTCACAAACTTTGACTGTCTGCATTGGAGCTCATCATTTTGGTCTCTGAAATAAACAGTTTATGTGCAGAGAAATGGTGATACTGAAACACCAGGGGTTTGGTCTAGGTCCTGCTGCTCGCCGCATAGAAAGCCCATCACTGACAAGATGAGTATTGCCAAGGAAGATTTTAATTGCGTGCTGCAGCCAAGGAGATGGGAGCTCAGTCTCAAATCCATCTCCCTGACCAACTAAAACTAGGAGTTTACATAGCAGGGAAGAAATGTAACAATGTATAAGAAAACAGGAACTCGGGAGGAGCAAGGAAGCAATCATGAAGAAAACAGGAACTCGGGAGGAGCAAGGAAGCAATCATGATGAATGAGGGGTCTGGTATCTCATCTCTGGATGTGGTAATCTGGTGAGTTTCAGTTCTTTGATATTTTTTGAGAGGCCTGGGGGTCCCTTCCTGAGGAAATAACTCAGATAAGACAAATGAGGGCTTCAAGCTTTAAGATCAGAAAGGTCAACTTCTGTATTTATCCAAAAGAGTATCTATGGGCCGGGTGCAGTGGCTCATGCCTGTAATCCCAGCACTTTGGGAGGCCAAGGCGGGAGGATCACGAGGTCAGGAGATCGAGACCATCCTGGCTAACACGGTGAAACCCCGTCTCTACTAAAAAATACAAAAAAAAGTTAGCCAGGCGTGGTGGCGGGCGCCTGTAGTCCCAGCTACTCGGGAGGCTGAGGCAGGAGAATGGCGTGAACCCGGGAGGTGGAGCTTGTAGTGAGTCCAGATCGTGCCCCACTGCACTCCAGCCTGGGTGGCAGATCGAGACTCTTGTCTCAAAAAAAAAAAAAAAAAAAAAGAACATCTATGATGGGACTATTGGGTCAGTTTCAATGGTACAGAAAAGTCCAAAGCCTGACTTAGTAAAATCTGTCCAAGTTCCACCACACACAATTCAACATTGCAGAACAAGACAAGACCAAGTGTGGGACTGGGGGCATCTAATCGGGGGTTTGTCCTTGCGTTGTAAAAGAGTAAGGCAAAGAGAAAAGGGGTCCTGGCATTGAGAATAAAGATAACAGAACAGCTTAAGGTTAAGGGCTCTGCCCCCACGAGACAGACACCTTGGGTTCAAATCCTGGTACTACTTTATCCTAGCTGGTGACCTCGAACAAGTCACTTTGCCTCTCCGACCTCAATTTCCTCATTCATAAAATAAAAGAGATAGAACTTACTCTATTGGGGTTCTTGCGAGGACTCAAGAAGCTAAAATTAAGGGGTGAATGCATGCAGGGGACGTAGCACTCAGGGTGGCATATCAGTGCCCGCGGGAAACAGCAACTCTGTGTGCTCCCTCATGTGTCCAAGGTCACAGACCAAGGACGTCAGAGAGCCAGGATGATGACCTCTGATCCCACATCTCCCGAGTTCTCACCATTCCCTGGGAGTAGGGAAATCTCCCTCCTCTTCTTCCTCACTGTCGTGGCAGGAAAAGAGGAAGAACAGGCAGGGGCTGTGGATCTTGGGGGAAAGGACAAGTTAAATCAGCTGAGAAAAAGGAAGCCCATGAAATAATCTAAATGTGAGGGTGCCAGAGCTTTGGGGCTGGGGCAGGCAGTCCCCCCCGGACTCATGCTTAAAAGAGTCAATGCAGGCTGGGTGCAGTGGCTCACACCTGTAATCCCAAGGAGGCCAAGGAGGGCAGATCACTTGAGGCCAGGAGTTCAAGACCAGCCTGGCCAACATGGTGAAACCTTGTCTCTACTAAAAATACAAAAATTAGCTGGGCATGGTGGTGGGCACCTGTAGTCTCAGCTACTTGGAAGGCCGAGGCACAAGAATCGCTTGAACCCAGGAGACGGAGGTTGCAGTGAGCCGAGATCGCACCACTGCACTCCAGCCTGGGCGACAGAGCGAGACTCTGTCACAAGAAATAAAAATAAAAGAGTTAATGCTGCGAGAAGCATTGGAAGTGAGACACATTCTCAACCATGAAATAGGGGCTGACTCACATGGTCTCTGCAGCAGCTGATGGGCATTAAGGTGATTACTTCGCAGCAGGTGTGACAAAACAAATCTCACCGCGGCTATTACACTACGGCCACCGGGAGTCTTTCAGCCCAGGGCTGTCACATTCCTGTCACTTAAAGCTTCCTCGCCTGAGCCTGAAAATGATCAGTAGGGTCTGAAATTTTTTTCTCTCCTACTCTGTGCCAAGAGTGTCTCACGTGTGTGTGTGTGTGTGTGTGTGTGTGTGTGTGTAAGAGGATTGTTGGGGTAAGGATGGAGTGAGAAAGAATAATTTATTGCACATTTGACAAATATTCATGACACTCAGTGCCAGGCATTGTTCCAAATGCTGGGAAGACGTTGTGAGGAAATTGGATAAGGTCTCTGCCCTCATGGAGTTTATAAACTTGAAGGAATTATCTTGGTAGTTTATACTCAAAGCTTCCTTCCTTCCTCCTTTTCTTTCCTCCCTTCCCTCCCTTCCCCTGTCCGCCTCTCCCCTCCCTCTCCCCCTCCCTTCTCTCCCACTCCCTTCCCTCCTTCCCTGATTCACTTAATAAACATTCTGGAGTCAGACTGCATCCTAGCTTGGCTACTTATTAGCTAATGCAGCATCAGGCAAATTTTGTAACCTCCCATTACTTCCCATCCAAAATGGAGATAAGAACAGGACACACTCACAGGATAAGCCCCACAGCTTCGGGAAAAACCATCTCTGAGGAACAGCCAAGAAAGTGAATTCAAGCAGGGCCTTGGCTCAAAGCCTGTTGGCCTGGAGGGCTGAGGATGATGGATGAGGACTTTGTGCAGATCTGAGCATACTGTGTCCTTTGTCCTGGTTGCCTTAGTGTCCACCGTCTATCTCTGAGATTGATGAGGCAGGTGCACCACTGGGCAAGCTACACACCATACAAGGCTGAGCCTGGTTGGGGAGCGTCATCACCATCCAATACTGTCTGTAGGACTCCATTCCAGCAAGACATCTGGGGGCCTGGAAGGGGGTCCCTCCCCTGGAAAATGTCACAGAATCCCTGATCTATGTCCTAACAACACTCAGGTCCTTCTGTATCCTTTAGATAATTTGATTTATCCTAGGGTCTACTGTTGACATTTGTCCCTAAGTGGTCAGATTCATGGGCTAGATGAGGACATTCAATGAGATCACAAGTCAAGAGCTTACTGCAGAGCTGCCTCTTAAGAAATGCTAGTTATTCTTGTCCTTAAGCCTGGGCTAAGTGACAGGCATGTGCACATCCATACACACACACATATCCATACATCCATACCCACATCCACACACGCACACATCCACACCCACACACACATCCACACATGCACACACATCCACACGCACACATACACACCCACATCCACACACACACCCACACATGCACACACACATCCTCACACACACATACACACACACAGATCCACACACACACATCCACACACCCACACACATCCACACACACACATCCACAATACACATATACACACACATCCAGACACCCACATACGAACACCCCCACACACATCCACACATCCACATCCACACACATCCACACACATCCACACAAATATCCACACACACGCGCACACAGTAAAGGTCAGTAAGTGCACAGTGGTAACCATTGTTCCTGCAGCAGCACCATTAGGTAAATAAAAATAAATATATATTTTTAAAATTTTTAATTTGTATTTGTATTTTTAAATTTTTTGTATTTTTGTAGTTTTTTTTTTAAACAAAGGGATCTTGATCTTGATTACTTAAAAGCAAGACTCATGTTCTCTGTCTTCCTTTTATTTTATTATTATTTTGGGATAGTTTCTCTCTGTTGCCCAGACTGGAGTGAAATGGTATAATCTCAGCTCGCTGTAGCCTCCGCCTCCCAGGTTCAAATGATTCTTGTGCCTCAGCCTCCCAAGTAGCTGGGATTATAGGCGCACGCCACCACACGTGGCTAAATTTTTTGTATTTTTACTAGAGACGGGTTTTTGCCCTGTTGGCCAGGCTGGTCTCAAACTCCTGGCCTCAAGTGATCTACCTACCTCCGCCTCTCAAAGTGCTAGGATTATAGATGTGAGCCACCACACCTGGCCTCTCTGTCTTCCTTTTAAAACACAGGGAGGAAAGGATTGTTTCTGAATGCTCACGTATCATTTTAGCTTATTTCCAGACAAAAGGGAAGATATTTCTTAGCCATGAAGTGGAAATGTTCTAGAACCTTCCTCAGAGATGTCTGTGAAAAGGAATTATGCATGGGAAGCATTTAGCTCACGGTCTTGCACATGCAAAGGGCTGGATAAATGACAGCTGTGAATACTGCAGTTCATTTTATGTGGCGAGAGGGAAGGTCATATAACGTCCCAGTGAGAGTATGGGCTTTCAGGAGTTCGAGGCTGCAGTGAGCTATGACGGCCTCACTGCATTCCACCCTGGACGACAGAGCAAGACCCTTTATCTAAATAAGTAACTAAAAATTTATAAAGAAGAGGTGTTTTAAAAGCAGAAAGAGCTGAGTCTGAACCCTAACTCCCCATTTACTAGCTGGGAGGCCTTGGGCAGGCTGTTTCATTTCTTCAAGCCTCAGTCTCCTCATCTGCAAAATGGGATGATCACAGACTCAGCCTCTTGGTGTTGTGAAAAATCAGTGAAAGAATAGGGGAGGGGCCTAGCCTGCCTAAAAGATTTGATGTTCCTGCTGCTTCCAGTGGAGGGTGGGTGGGTGGGTGAGCTGACAGGCAGCGCAGGGAATTTTCCAGCCAGGTTGCCTCTTAACCTCTGGTTTGGTTTGGTTTTGCTTGTAACCTTTCACTGTTTGTCGGCAAAAGCCCAATTTTTAAAAAAACTTTTTCATTTTAATTTGATGTTTTTATATTTTTTGTATTTTTAATTTTTTTCTTTTAGCGACAGGCTCTCACTGTGTCTCCCAGGTTGGAGTGCAATGGTATGATCATAGTTCACTGCAGTCTTGAACCCCTGGGCTAAACCGATCCCCCCACCTCATCCTCCTGAGTAGCTGGGACAAAGGCACACACAGCCACACACAGCTAATTTTATTTTTTGTAGAGACAGGGTCTGGCTACATTGCCCTGTCTGGTCTTGAACTCCTGGGCTCAAGCGATCATCCCGCCTCAGCCTCCCAAAGTGCTGTGATTACAGGTGTGAGCCACTGCACCTGGCCTTAATTTGTGCTTTTTAGAGACAGTGCCTCTCTCTGTCACCCAAGATGGAGTGTGGTGATGCGATCATAGCTCACTGCAGCCTTGAACTCCAGGACTCAAGCAGTCCTCCCACCTCAGCCTCCTGAGTAGCTGGGACCACAGGTGTGCACCACCACACACTCAGAGCCCAACTTTTTAAATGAGAGTTTGTCTTGAAAGACTACCTGCAACTCTTCAGGAATGCTGTGCTCTGTAGATAATGAACGTTCAACCCATGTGACTCTGATGTTGCTAGAGACCCCATCTTGTTATTTTTCCCCATTTTAGAAATGAGGGAACTGAAATTCAGAGAGTCCAAGTAACCTGCCCAAGCTGACAGGCTTAAAAAAAACTCAGGCCTATCTGAGAGCAGAGTGTGCGCTCGTGAAAGACACCAGCACAGGGTACAGCCTCTGCATTCCCTTCCCTCTTTCTTCCCCGTGGGTGATACAGAAAGAACAAAGGTTTTGGAGTCAGATTGGCCTGAATTCAATTCCAACTTCAGGGTCTTGCTTAAAACAGGAGATGACAATATCCACTTCCCTGGGTGGTGGTGAGAATCAAATGAGGCTTTTAAAAACGTGCATAATGCCTTTATCTCAGTGCCTGGCACACAGTAGACGATCAACAAATATTAGGTTTTCCTCTCTCCTCCACACACTTCTTTCCTTGGCCACATCCCCAAAACACTCACATGAACCTGAGCTCAGACTCCCGGCGGACCAAGACTTCCCGGAGACGCTGAATTTTTGCCATCTCCAGCTCAATCTCCTCTGGCATCATGGTTGTCTCCGCCATGGAGATGATGTCCAGCTGATCTGTGCAGGAGACAGGAAATACAACCATCAGGACCCCAAGGCTGCACCATGGGACAGACCCTGACATGGTTCCAGGGCACAGCCTTGCTCTGCGACCATCATACACCTTGAGGACAGACTTCAGCCTGTGCCGCAAATGTGTATTCGTGAGCACACCCTTTGGGAACCAGAAAATGTGTTTTCCAAAGTAATTTACTTCGTTTGCTTTGTTTTGTTTTGTTTTTAGACGGAGTCTGGCTCTGTCGCCCAGGCTGGAGTGCGGTGAAGCGATCTCGGCTCACTGCAAGCTCCATCTCCCAGGTTCACGCCATTCTCCTGCCTCAGCCTCCCGAGTAGCTGGGACTACAGGTGCCCGACACCTCGCCTGGCTAATTTGTTGTATATTTTTTAGTAGAGACGGGGTTTACCATGTTAGCCAGGATGGTCTCGATCTCCTGACCTTGTGATCTACCCGCCTCGGCCTCCCAAAGTGCTGGGATTACAGGCGTGAGCCACTGCACCCGGCCTTGTTTTTGTTTTTTGAGACACAGTCCTGCTCTGTTGCCCAGGCTGCAATGCAGTGGTGTGATCTCAATCTCAGCTCACTGCAACCTCTGCCTCTGAGGTTCAGGCGATTCTCCCACCTCAGCCTTATAAGTAGCTGGGATTACAAGTGCACACCACCAGGCCCGGCTAATTTTTGTATTTTTAGTAGTGATGGGGTTTCACCATGTTGGCCAGGCTGACGTCAAGTGATCCGCCCGCCTCAACCTCCCAAAGTGCTGGGATTACAGTCGTGAGGCCACCACGCCTGGCTGGGAACTTTGTTATGATGGCTAGTGGAGGCTCACAAGTGGGCTCACAAAAGCCTGATTAAGGCCTTGTCAGCTCCTGCCTGGTCCCAGATTCTAAGCCTCTGCTCCCCCTGACCACGACCACTTTGCCCTGTGGTCTAAGCCTCTAAGACCAGCCGACTCTAGGCAGAAGAAAGTTTTATCATAATTATCTTATAGTAATACTACTACCAAGTAGTGTTAAGTATTTTTTCATTTGTTTTGGAGACTAGGCCTCACTCTGTCATCCAAGCTGGGGTGCAGTGGTGCAATCATAGCTCACTGCCGCCTCGAACCCTGGGCTCAAGGGACCCTTCCGCCTCAGTCTCCCAAGTAGCTGGAACTACAGGCCCACCTAGGTAACTTTTTAATTTTTATTTTTTTGTAGAGATGGGGGTGTCACTATGTTGCCAAGGTTGGTCTCAAACTCCTGGCCTCAGGCGATCCTCCCAACTTGGCCTCCTGAAGTGCTGGGATTACAAGCGTGAGCATACATACGGATATATAAATATGTGTGTGTATATACATATATGAATATATGTGGTTTTTTATATATATAATATGTGTAATATACACAGACACACTTTTTTTTCTTTTTTGAGACGGAGTCTCGCCCTGTTGCCCAGGCTGGAGTGCAGTGGCACGATCTTGGCTCAATGCAACCTTCACCTCCCGGGTTCGAGTGATTCTCCTGCGTCAGTCTCCCAAGTAGCTGGGATAACAAGTTTATGCCACGACACCCGGCTAATTTTTGTATTTTTCGTTGAGATGGGGTTTCACCATGTTGGCCAGGCTGATCTTGAACTCCTGACCTCATGACCCACCCGCCTCAGCCTCCCAAAGTGCTAGGATTATAGGCATGAGCCACCGCGCCTGGGCAGACACACTTTATAAAGACTGAAAAAGTCCACTAAAATGTTAGCAGTTAAAATGTTAATATATATGCGTGTGAATGTATATTTATACTATTATATGCATATACATATATCCACTGTGATGTAGGTCTTATTTTTCTAATATAAAGTTAGGACCTCACTATTTCGTTATGTGTTCTTTTCACCTAGCAACATGCCTTGAGCGCTCCTGCCTGTCCTTGGATGGTCTTCCTCGGCAGCAGCATGGAAGGCGGGGCGGTTTTCTATTTGTGGCTGTATCACGAAGCACTTAAGCAATCCACAGACATGTAGGTTGTTTCCTATTTTTTCCCCACTGTAATCATGAGGAAAAAAATGTAAGAATTATTTTCACCGTAAGAATGTTCCAGTGAAGAACGTTCTCAAAGTGAAAACTTCGCACACATCTACAGGGTTCCTTCGGGCTATGTTTCTAGGGTGAATGGCTGAGATATAAGTGATGTGCTATTCAAGGCCTTTGATCGGTAGTGGGGGAGACTCGGGGCAGGAGATGTTTTTGGCGTACCCTGAGACACCATCACATCATCTGTATCTGCTAATTCCTTCCACACCCGCCCCCAAGATGGAGCCCACCCCACACCTCAGTTCTACAAGGGCGTCTGTCTTTTTCCTTATACTCAAGGAATAATGAAAGTTGGTATACCTTATACCCATGATTTGGAAAGTTGTTCTCTTTTTCCTTTTTCTCTTTTTTTTTTTTGAGACGGAGTATCCCTCTGTTGCCCAGGCTGGAGTGCAGTGGCACAATATCGGCTCACTGCAACCTCCGCCTCCCGGATTCAAGCAGTTCTCCTGCCTCAGCCTCCTGAGTAGCTTGGGTTACAGGCTCGTGCCACCATGCCCAGCTAATTTTTGTATTTTTAGTAGAGTTGGGGTTTCACCATGTTGGCCAGGCTGGTCTTGAACTCCTGACCTCAAGTGATCAGCCTGCCTTGGCCTCCCATAATGCTGGGATTACAGGTGTGAGCCACCACACCAGGTCTTCTTTTTTCTTTTTGTAGAGATGAGGTCTCGCTATGTGGCCCAGACTGGTCTGGAACTTCTGGCCTCAAGCAATCCTCCTGCCTCAGCCTCCCAAAATGCTGGGATTACTTACAGGTGTGAGTCACTGTGCCCAGAGAAAGTTGTCCTGTTTCTACCTGTCCAACTGCCTTCTATGTCCTGGGGCCCTGGCCCTTGCACACGTGCACAGGGTTTAGGGCGCTGTGATTTGCAGGCTTCCCTGAAGTCAGTCCCTACCTGCTTGGATCTCTAGATAGAACAGCGCCCTCTTCTAGGAGTCCACCTGATGCATTTGTCCACCTGTGGGACTCTCCCGGCCCTGAGTTGTTCAGCAGACGTTGGATTCTCAGTAAATTGGAGTTCCTTTCCATTACCTACCCCGTGATGTGTCCGTTCCATGTGCCAAAATTATCTGCTTCCCCTCCACCAATCAAAACACCTTATTTTGCTAAAGAGACAGAAAGAAGGTAATTCTCTGGAGTTGATTCTCACATTGAAATGAATGGCCTCTCTTCATTCTCTCTGAGACAATTCCCCCTTTTTTTTTTTTTTTTTTTTTTTTTTTGAGAGCAAGTCTTGCTCTGTTGCCCAGGCTGGAGCGTGGTGATGCAATCTCTGCTCATTGCAACCTCTGCCTCCCAGGCTCCAGCAATTCTCCTGCCTCAGCCTCCCAAGTATGTGGATCTACAGGCGCATGTCACCACGCCTGGCTAATTTTTTGTATTTTTAGTAGAGACAGGGTTTCGCCATTTTGGCCAGGCTGGTTTTGAACTCCTGACCTCAGGTAATCTGCCAGCCTTGGCTTCCCAAAGTGCTGGGATTACAGGCGCGAGCCACCGTGCCTGGCCTGACAACTCCCAGTTTTCAAGAGAAACAGTAACAAAGGCAATGGAAAAGGCCAAGCAATTATATGGGGAGAGGAAAATATTTGACCTGTCAGTCATCAGCCTATTGAAGATTTTCTCCTCTTTGAGTTCAGCATCTCAGAGCAATGTGTGCTTCTTTTATATTTTCAGGGAGCAACAATACTTCATGAAATAGATAAGTGCAGAACATAAATAGTGCAGAATCTGCTATTGGGTTGGAGAGGGGGTCACTGAACAACTGTATAAGTGGGAGGAAGAGAGTGGAGGTGGGTGAATGGGAAAAACATGAAATTGGAGAGATTCACAATCACCTCCTCCTTGCCTTCTAAAGATGGCGGGTCCCGAAGATTATCTGGCCACCTGGCCGAGCCTCTGCCAGGGAAGGGTGAAAAGGGAGACACAGTGGAGGGAGAGGAGGGAGTGTCAAAGAGAAGCAGGAAGGAGAGAGGTCAGAGGAGCCACCTCAGGCTGTGGCTTGGGGAGAGGGAGCGATGTCTGTTTGCAGAGGATTTGTAGGAAATGTCTCATGTGATGTGCTGCCTAAAGATCTCCTGGGGCCATCTGGTTATGCTTCAAGGCCCCTGGAATCCAATTTCGGGTCCTACTACTGTCCCTGACACCATGCTGTGGTGGCTCCTGGGATTGAAGCAGTGAGGACAGGCTTGAGAAAGGAGGGAAGGAGGGAGGAATAGGATCGAAATATTAATATTGGCTGGGCACGGTGGCTCACGCCTGTAATCCCAGCACTTTGAGAGGCCGAAGCGGGCGGATCACCTGAGGTCAGGAGTTCGAGACCAGTGTGACCAACACGGTGAAATCCAGTCTCTACTAAAAATACAAAACTTAGCCTGGCATGCTGGCAGGTGCCTGTAATCCCAGCTGCTTGGGAGACTGAGGCACGAGAACCACATGAACCTGGGAGGCAGAGGCTGCAGTGAGCCGAGATCATACCACTACACTACAGCCTGAGGGACAGAGTGAGACTACGTCTAAAAAAAAAAAGATAATTAATACTGAGTGCTACTGTGTGCTGTGATGCTACCAAGCTAGAAGACCAGCCTTACCAGATCAGATGGCCTGGGTTTGAGTTCCAGTTCTGCCCCTCCCTGGCTGTGTGGCCTTGGGGAGTTGGTTAACCTCTCAGCAGCTCTGTTTCTCCTCTGTAAGGGAGCCCACCACCCAAAACAGATGTGAGGGATGAATTACCCCGGCACGTCACGTTTAATATATGCTTGCAATTGCCCTCGTTATGACCGCCGCACCTGCTCTGCCCATCACCTCTTTTAATCCTCGCCATAAGCCAGCAAGTTCAGTAGGTTCTCATTTTCGCAAAGAAACAAAGGCTCAGCGCTGGCAAGGGAAAGAGCTGAGTCCAGGTCTGGCTTCAAATTCATGCTTTTTGACCCTCACAGCTGCCTCTGGTCCAGGCAGCTGTTCTAAGTCCGACACCCCCCATTCATTCCTATCTCAGAGTCAAGCGTGGTGCCATAACAATTCATGGCCAGTGGGGAGGCTTAAAACAAAAGGAATTTAATCTCTTGGAGTTCGGGAAGCCAGAAGTCGGAAACCAAGGTGTTGGCAGGGTCACGCGCTCTCCAGAGGCTCTAGGGATGGATCTTTTCTTGGCCCTTGCAGCCCCCGCTGGCTCCTTGGTTTGTAGTATTAGGTTGGTGCAAAAGTAATTACGGTTTTTGCCACTGGATGTAATAGCATCACTTCAACCTCTGCCTCTGTTTTCACAGGTTCTTCCTCCGGGTGGCTCTGTGTGTCTTCTTTTCTGTCTCATTAGATTTAGGGCCCACCCTAATCCAATGTGAGCTCATCTGGATCCTGATCTGAATTACCCCTGCAAAGACCTTATTTCCAAATAAGGTCACATTCTGATGTTTTAAGATGCACATGAACTTCAGGAGGCCACAAACCCACAAGAATGAATGGCCACAGCCTTGCAAGCTTCCTGACAACAATGTCACTCTCTCCAGGGGCTTGAGATCCTGCACACAGAGCACAGCCTTGGCTGGAAGCAGCAGGGGTCCCAGCGGGAGTCACCAGGGGGTGAGGGAAGTGCATGGGGGAAGTGGGGTCTGGCAAAAAACAGCTAGGCGGGGGCAGTGTCAGAAATCCTCATTTGACACTAGTCATCAGCCGCAAGACCTCGAATGAGTCCCTTTATGTCTTTGCGTCACTTTCCTCCTCTGTACAAGAATTCAATAGTTACCTGTGCTGGAGGCTTTCTGTGTATTATCTCATTTAATCTCTATTTTACTGAGATGACTCTGAGGCTTAGAGAAGGAAAGTGACTTGTTCAACATCACACAGCCAGATCATTGCAGAGATAGTATTCAAACCCAGCTTGTGCTCTCTCTCTCCCCCCCCACCCCCCTTCCACTCCACAACCACGTGACCTTAACCACGTAATCCAGCCTCCTGGTGAGGGCTGAATGCATTTGTGCCTGCGAAAGTGCGTAGTTAACCACCCCACGATATGAGTATCCTTGTTTTTCTCATCACAGTTCAGATGGGCAACCTGATTTCCATGGGACAGATGCTGAAAACGGCAACACACCCTGGGGCGAGGCGTGGGACGAAGAGAATTAATCACATCCCAGGAACTGGCATTTTACCTCCATCCCCGGGGGAGGATGGAGGCGGTGGTGCCAGGCTCCAGGTGCTTAGCTTGGATTTGGGGCAAAGAATGGAACAAAGACCTATGTTGAAAAGTCTTGCTCAAGGATGTTTTTCTTCCCCAAGAGAAAGGAACGAAGCCTAAAGCTTGAATCAGATACAAATCGTTAGAATCCTTTCTTGCCATGAGCTGTCTCTGCATCAGGCACTGTGTTGGGCTCATTGTAAACCTCATCTTTTTTTTTTTTTTTTTTTTTTGGTGGGGCAGGGTCTCGCTCTGTCTTCCAGGCTGGATTGCAGTGGCATGATCTTGGCTCACTGCAGCCTCAACCTCCCGGGCTCAAGCAATCCTCTCACTTCAGCCTCCCGAGTAGCTGAAATTACAGGTTCACTCCACCACACCCAGTGACTTTTTTTGTACTATTTGTAGAGATGGGGTTTTGCCATGTTGCCCAGGCTGGTCTCCCAACTCCTGAGCTCAAGTGATCTGCCCATCTCAGCCTCCCAAAGCGCTGGGATTACAGGAATGAATCTCATCTCATTTAGTCTGCACAATACCTTAGGCCAGGGGTTGATATCCTATGGCCAGGGGACCAAGCGCAGCCCCATGCTTGATGTTGTAAGTAGAGTTGTTCTGGAACACTGATCACGCTCATTCATTTACATGTCATTTATGGCTGCTTTTGCATTGCAAAAACTGAGTAGTTGCCACAGAGACTCCCTGGCCCACGAAGCCTCAAATATTCACTACCTGGCTCTTTATAGAAAAAGTTGGCCAACCCCTTCCCTGGGTGGTATACTGTAATCTCTCCAGTTTAAAAGTTAGGAAAGCCAGGTTTATCCAGTAACGATAATAACTAACATTTATCGAGCATTTATCACATGCCAGCACCTGTGCATTACCTTATCTGATTCTCAAAACAGCCCTGGGTGGTCAGTGCTGTTATCCCATTTCATAGATGGGGAAGTCGAGGCTCAGGAAAGGGAGTAAGTGATGGAGGTGAGATTTAAAACAAGATCTCTCTTACTCCAAAGCTCTTGTTGTAATCAACCATATTCATGTAAGAACTACCTCCCTACGTAAGTACCATCATCATCATAACAAAACTGAGTAGACTGTATTGCTTTAGACACAGAGGGAGTAGTTATTCCCAGACATCAGTGGGCAAGGTGAATATCTAGGGAGGTTGTTTAAGAAACAATTCCCTGCCTCCACCTCCAAGGATTAGGATAAACCTGGGTTGGGGTGTTGTGTCCAGGGACCTTAATGAAGGAGGTCTTCAGATCAGAGTGAAAAATGCTGATACAGGACCTGAATAAATGAGTATCACACACAGTCAGTTTCTTTCCAGTCTGAACTTGTGTGATAGAAATTAGCCTGCTAGACTGTTCCTTTCTTGATCACATTTTCCAACTAGAAGGCAGGCATCCGACAGCTGCCAAGGAATGTCTCCACGAGGAGGACAAATCACGGGAAGAAACGGGAGGAGCATTTCAAGCTGGCTAGAGACAACAAGTCTCTCACGCACACTTCCAAGCAAGAGCTTGCTTGCTGTGTGGAGACAGCAAAGCATGAAGGCACAGACGTCCCCAGGGCTCCAACTGCCACTGCTGTCATTGAGCTTCCAGGAGCTGAGTCACTTCTGGGGGAAGAGGCAGCTAAATCCATCTTCCCATCCCCAAATGCCACCCCAGGGAGATGCATGCTTCCTGAGCGGTGGCACCAGCAAACAAGAGCTGAGCACCCGGGCAGCCCTGGTATGCACCAGCAGGTTTAATCACTGATCTCAAAACAAAACAAAAAGTAAGGCTACCCAGGGACAGGAGTGGTGGAGGTGATAGAGGATGAGGGCTGGTGATCTAAAAACTTCTAGTTTAAATACAAGCTTGGAGGGTTAAACTGCTGGGGACCAGAGAGATACCTTTCCTAGCCCATCTTTTCCAATCAGGGGTCATGGTAGGAATTTAAGCTCAGGGTGCCCTGCACAACCTCTGCCTTTACTTCTGCTTTATAACTTTACGTGCCTAGTACTGGCCCCAGAGCTTGCTCATTTTGGGTGTTTACCGGAGCCATGATCTAGCTCATATCAACCTCTCTTTCTAGATTAATAAAATGAGGCTTAGAGAGGTCATAAGTGATTGGTCAAACTCACTCACTCAATTGTTGCAGCAACATCAAGGGTTCTGTCTAGATCCTGCTACTCGCTGCACAGAAAGCCAATCACTGAGGCAATGAGTATTGCCAGAGAAGGCTTTAATTGGGTGCTGCAGCTGAGGAGATGGAAAGAGACTCAAATCCATCTCCTCAACCCACTAAAATTAGAGGTAGCAAGGAAGAAACGCAACCATGTGTTACATTGTGATACATCCCTATTCTTTTTTTTTTTTTCTGGGAAATTATTAGGAAGGGGTAAGGAAGAGAATCTGGTCAACAGGATGCAGGTGGTTGGTTAGGCAATCGTGATGGTTGAGGAGTCTGGCATCTCATTGTCCACATATAGTGATCTGGTAAATTTCAATTCCTTAATACTATCTGGAAGGCCGAGAGGTCAGTTTCTTGAGAAAGGAACTCAGGTAAAATGAATGTAACTTTCTAAAATTTTAAGATTAGGAGGGGGCTGGGCACAGTGGCTCACGCCTGTAATCCCAGCACTTTGGGAGGCTGAGGCAGGTGGATCACAAGGTCAGATAGAGACCATCTTGGCTAACACGGTGAAACCCTGTCTCTACTAAAAATACAAAAAATTAGCCGGGCGTGGTGGCGGGCACCTGTAGTCCCAGCTACTTGGGAGGCTGAGGCAGGAGAATGGTGTGAACCTGGGAGGCGGAGCTTGTAGTGAGCAGAGATCGCACCGCGGCACTCCAGCCTGGGTGACAGAGCAAGACTCCGTCTCAAAAAAAAAAGAAAAAAGAAAAACAAAAGATTAGGAAGGTAAATTTTTGTGTTTATTCAAACAAAACAAAACACCGTAAACATCAGTTCTAAGGGGCAATTGGGGCAGTGCTATAATGAGTGGTAGAAATGAAACTCAAACCCAGATCTATCTGATCCCAATGCCCATGCTCTAAGGTCAAAAGAGCTACAAAACAGTGTTTCCAAAACTCTCAACACTGCATAGAATTTACCCCAGCTACATATTCTGTACTCTGTCATATACCACTCAGTATGTCATGACATTCACTTTTTTTTTTTTTTTTTTGAGACGGCGTCTCGCTCTGTCACCCAGGCTGGAGTGCAGTGGCGTGATCTTGGCTCACTGCAAGCTCTGCCTCCTGAATTCACGCCATTCTCCTGCCTCAGCCTCCCAAGTAGCTGGGACTACAGGCGCCCACCACCACACCAGCCTAATTTTTTGTACTTTTAGTAGAGACGGGTTTCACCACGTTAGCCAGGGTGGTCTCGATCTCCTGACCTCATGACCCACCCACCTCGGCCTCCCAAAGTGCTGGGATTACAGGCGTGAGCCACTGCGCTTGGCCGACATTGACTTTTTTTACTCAAACTCCCTAACGGAAATGTCCCATGACATCCACAGACAATAAATGACTCTTACTTGGCATAATTAGAAAATAGCCATGAAAATAAACCTGAGGAAACAAAGCAATACTGTTAAATTCTTGCTAAATACTATAGCCTGCTTAAGGTTCAGAATGAAGCTTGAATTTTCTTTCTTAACAAGGTGAATCAGCAAGTACTAGGGGCATTAAAGACAAAGCTAGCACCAAATTGTGGCTTTCTCCTTTAGGTAATCAAAAAGGTTGATAATTGGGGAGAAAATGCGTAGCTTTCCTGAAGGGAAATTCATTGCTGTTTGATGGTACAAGCATGAAAGTACCACTGGGGGTACCTATCCCATCCCCTGTTGTAGAATAGAATTCCAGTCCTTTGCGTTGGAAAGGTCTTAAACGACGTTTTGGTCAGCCTCATACCTGTGTTGGATAGGATGTAAAATGACTTGGCAAGATGTGGTTCCCAGGGTCCCTCAACAAACGGTTCTCATTCAAACTTCAGTGAGAACTCAAGCTAGAAGGACAATTCTCAGCCATGGGTTAAGTCCTACTCAAAGAGGAATCAGCCATTTTGAGCGATTATTTCAACCCAGCTCATATAACAAAGGCAATTAAATGAAGGGCTGGGGGTGGGGGTGCTATTCATTTCAGTCATTGGAATATACTTGGGTCACAGCCGCTGCATTTAGGGAAGGACATGAGGGACTCAGGTAGGGGGAGTCAGTGTTGGGGGAGAATCAACTTTCACCTAATATGTCCTTTTCTCTTGTTTGGGTTTTTAAATATACTTTTTTTTTTTAATACTTTTATATTTCTAGAAAATGTGGCTGGATGTGGTGGCTCATGTCTGTAATCCCGGAGCTTTGGAAGGCTGAGGGAAGAGGATCACTTGAAGCCATGAGTTTAAGACCAGCCTGGGCAACAGAGCAAGACCCCATCTCTACAAAAATAAAATGTAAACATTAGCCAGATGTGGTGGCACACAGCTGTGGTCCCAGCTACTTGGGAGGCTGAGGTGGGAGGATCGCTTGGGTCCAGGAGTTTGAGGGCTTCAGTGATCTATGATGGTGCCACTGCACTCCAGCCTAGGTGACAGAGTGAGACACTATCTTTAATAAAAAAAAAAAAAAAATTTAAGAAGAGTTGCAAAGAGCATAAAGAATTCCCCTCTACTCCTCATTAAATTTCCACTATTGTTAACATTACCAAGAAGTTGACATTGGTGCATTGTTATTAACTATATTCATTGAAATTTTAGCAATTTACCAATGGTCAGATGTTACATTTGCAAAACAGATTTAAAATTAAGAAGAGAGAAAAGAAAAGGGGTTGGCGTGTGCAGGCACCATGGGGAGCCAGGCCAGCCCTTGAAGAGGGCAAGAGAGGGGAGTGGTTCTGGGCATGGGCTTTTGGGTTTCAGAGTCCAGCTCTCACGCTTGAGCCATGCATCAGTGACTCTGGGCACCTCAGTTTCTTCATCTGCAACACTGGGGAACAAGCATACCCATCTCACAGGTGATTCATGTAAGTGACAAGCATACAGAAAGTTCTCTGTAACATATGTTTGCTCTTATATACATTTAATAACTATGCATTGAGAACCTGCTTCGTGGCAGACCCTGCTCTAAGCAATGGGGAAGGAGCAATGAGCAAAACAGACAAAAATCTCTGCCCTTGTGGACCTGAGCTTCTAGCAAGAGGCTTACACTGTTGTGGAGAACAGTTGCTCTAATAATCTGCAGGGGTCATTGGCTTAAGACAGACGTCGCTTCAAGCCCTGGCTCTATCACTAATTGTGCGACCTGGGCAAATTACTTGATCTCCCTAAGTCTCAGTTTCCTCTTCTGTAAAATGGGACTAATAACTCCTGCCTCATGAAGTTGCTGCTGTAGGGATGAAATGGGATGATATACTTGTCCCTCAGTATCCGTGTGGGATTGGTTCCAGGCCTCCCTTTGGACACCAAAATCCTTGGATGTTGGCCGGGCGCGGTGGCTCATGCCTGTAATCCCAGCACTTTGGGAGGCCGAGGTGGATGGATCACGAGGTCAGGAGATCGAGACCATCCTGGATAACACGGTGAAACGCCGTCTCTACTACAAATACAAATACAAAAAAAAAAAAAAAAATAGCCGGGCGTGGTGGCAGGCGCCTGTAGTCCCAGCTACTCAGGAGGCTGAGGCAGAAGAATGGCGTGAACCCGGGAGGCGGAGTTTGCAGTGAGCCGAGATCGCGCCACTGCACTCCAGCCTGGGCAACAGAGCGAGACTCCGTCTCAAAAAAAAAAAAATCCTTGGATGTTCAAGACCCGGATATAACAGGGTGAAATATTTGCATAGAAGCCCCACACATCCTCCTGTAGACTTTAAGTCATCTCTAGATTACTTATAATCCCTAATAGGATGCCTACACATCACTTCATTTACACAGATTCAGCATAATACTCAAAGTTTTGCTTCTTGGTAATTTGTGGATTTTTTTCCTGAATATTTTCCATCCATAATTGGTTGAATCTAAGGATGCGGAACCCACAGATACAGAGGACCAACTGTATACAACATGTGCTTGGTGTAGTGCCTAGACATCACAAAGAGTGGTCAGTAGCATTATTCCTGCCATCACAGTGCCTTTCCCTGAAAGAAGCCAGACTAACACTGGGGAGAAAATAAAATTGGAGCCACCATCAAATTTGAAGAACACAGACTCATGGTCATGGGGACCATCTCTTGGCCCCTCTAGGTGAGACCACAGCCCCGCAGCTCCAACAGACCCATGCCTGCCCTGAGAAGAGAATCTAGAGGGGGCCCCCTCCAGCCTTTTGTCAAGAAGCCAGTTGCTGCTATTGACCCAAAAGAGAGTCTTGAATCCCAAGGGAATAGATCTGCGCCCCATGACCAGGGAGCCAATATCTGAATGCATTTCAAAGGCTCCTGGTGGCACTCTAGACTTCGTTGTCATCAATCATTCATGTAGGAAAGAAGCTCATTCCAACCCCCAAGCATCCTATTACGGGATGCACCAAGTGCCTCGCCTTCTTGCTATAACGTGAATGTAATGGGAAGCCGCCCGTTGCTTTTAATGAGTCACCGTTTCCCAAAGAGATGAAGTCACTGCTTTTAACCCAGAAGCTCCTGGCTGCTCGATTTCTCCCAGCCTGCCTCGTGGAGAGGATGCCACTGGGCCCCCAAGAGCGATCATACCTTTCTTTGCACTCCGCCGTCCCATACATCCCGTCTCTGTGAGGTCGCCCCACATGGAAGAATTTGCGGCTGAGGAAACTGACAGGCTTCAGATCCTGGCTATGATTGTTATTCTCCAGTGGCACCTCAAGCACATTTTTTTAACTTCTGCGAGTTTCTGTTTCCCCAGCCACATCTGACGTGTCAAAGGACACAAAAGTAATTCAGGAGGACGCACCAACAGCACGTGAAGACGCAGGCATTGGCGTCAAGCAGACATGAGTAGATGGTCCGGCATCTTTCTAACGGCCGACCTCGGCAAATGCCCTAACCTCTTTGAGACTCAGTTTCCTTATCTGTAAATCGGGGGTCATAAAAGAGAGAATGTATAGATCAGTGCGGTCCAATTGAAATAGAACACTAGCCACATATGTAATTTTGAACATTCCAGGAACCACATTCTAAAAAATAAAAAAGGCTGGGTGTGGAGGCACATGCCTGTAATCCCAGCACTTTGAGAGGCCAAGGGTGGTGGGCATATCACTTAAGGTCAGGAGCTCAAGACCAGCCTGGCCAACATGGTGAAACCCCATCTCTACTAAAAATATAAAAATTAGCCGTGGCAGAGCACGGTGGCTCACTCACGCCTGTAATCCTAGCATTTTGGGAGTCCGAGGCGGTGGATCACCTGAGGTCAGGAGTTCAAGACCAGCCTGGCCAACATGGCGAAAGCCCGTCTTCCTAAAAATACAAAAATTAGCCAGGTGTGGTGGTGTGTGCCTGTAATCCCAGCTATTCAGGACGCTGAGGCAGGAGAATTGCTTGAACTGGGGAGGCGGAGGCTGCAGTGAGCCGAGATCGTGCCACTGCACTCCAGCCTGGGCAACAGAGGGAGACTCTGTCTCAACAAGAACAACAAGAACAACAAACAAAAAAAATTAACTGGGCATGGTGGCAGGTGACTATAATCGTAGCTACTCAGAAGGTTGAGGCAGGAGAATCGCTTGAACCTGGGAGGCGGAGGTTGCAGTGAGCCAAGATCGAGTCACTGCACTCCAGCCTGGGTGACAGAACGGACTCCATCTCAAAAAAAAAAAAAAAAAAAAAAAGTAAAAAGAGCTGGGTGCGGAGGCACATGCCTGTAGTCTCAGCTACTCTGGAGGCTGAGGCAGGGGGATCACTTGAGCCCAGGAGTTTAAGTCCAACCTAGGCAACATAGCAACGAGACCCTGTCTCTTAAAAATAAAAAAAAAGATAAAAAGAAATGGGCGAGATTAATTTCACTAACATATTTTATTTAATCCAATAGATCTAAAGGATTATCAGTTCAAAATGTAATCAATATATTAAAGATACGAATGAGATGTTTTATATCCTTTTTGGAGGGAGTATGGAAGTCTTAAGTCCAGTATGTATATTTTACCCTTTAAATAGATCTCAATTCAGGCCAGGCACGGTGGCTCACGCCTGTAATCCCAGCACTTTGGGAGGCCGAGGCAGGTGGATCACTTGAGGTCAGGAGATCGACACCAGCCTGGACAACATGGTGAAACCCCATCTCTACTAAAAATACAGAAAATAGCCACGTCTGGTGGCACGTGCCTGTCATCCCAGCTACTTGGGAGGCTGAGGCACAAGGATCACGTGAACCTGGGGGATGGAGGTTGCAGTGAGCCCAGACTGCGCCACTGCACTACAGTTTGGGTGACAGAGTGAGACTCCGTCTCAAAACTAAATAAAGGAAGAACAGATCTCAATTTGGAATGGCCACATTTCAAGTGCTCCCAAGTCCCAAGTCATTGTTCACCATCCTGGGACCCTCCATTCATCTCCTTCTTTCTTTTCTCCCTGATACCTTCCCCTTCCTCAAAGATTCTGTCTCCCTGAGGTGTTTCTCCATTTCAGGACTCTTCTGCTTCCCTCTTAACTGCTCTCATGAAAGGACTTCTGATGGACCCTCTCGTCCCACCTCCAGCCCCTGGCAGCCTATGGGTGGCCCTGCCTTTGGTCAGGGCCTCAGCACGTTCAACCTGGGTGGAGCCACAGGTCACACGAGACCCTCCCCTTCAGCAGGGACTGTGAGGAAACCCTTAGAAGGAGTGTGTGCGGTGCAGGCCCCACAGGTCGGCTGCCCCCTAAATCCTAATAGGACTGGCTCAGCTGTGACCCAGAATCCCCTGCAGAATGAATGCCTGACTTCAGCTCTCTCAGGCAGTGTAGTCTGTTGGGAGCCAGGAAGGTGGGGAGAAGGACACAGGTATCTCTGTGGAGGGGACTCCACAGCAGCATCTGAGCAAAGGCACCAGAAAACTGGAGATGGGCAGTGATAAGTTGCAAAGAGCCAACAGAATTCCCCTCTACCCCCCTCACTCAATTTCCACTATTTGTTAACTTTACCAAGAAACTGACATTGGCACATTGCTATTAACTATATTGATTGAATATATTGATTGTGTGATAAGGGGCAGCTGGGATTTTCCAGTACCCTCATCCCTTTGTTTCCTTACTCCCTACCCCGACTCCTTATCTGGAGCTGGAAGGTCTTTGATGAGCTGAAGAAAGACACGGGTTATTAAATAATAATGCTGCGACATCTTCCCGCAAGAGGCGGTCAGTGTTGGCAAGAGAAAAGCTCGTCTTCCAAATGCTCTGAACAACCTGAATGATGAGCTGGAAGAAATGTCCAGGGCCTCAGAAATCAAACACCATCCCTCTAGGAAGGAACTGGGAGGAAGGAAAGGGAGGCAGAGAGAAGGTGTCCACAGATGCCCTTCCCAGGTGGACTCAAGGAGAAGCTGTGGTCCTTCCCCTCTCGTGAACCACAAGATTATGCAGAACTGGCTGATTGTAGGAATTTCTTTCTGGAAACATGCTCTTCCTCTGTGACCTCATAGAAGTCCAAGATCTAAGAGGTCCAAGTACAAAGAAATGACAAAGGGAGCAGAGGAGAGCATTTGATGCTGTTGACTTTTTTTTTTTGTTTTTTATTTTTATTTTTTTAGATGGAGTCTCATTCTGTCTCCCAGGCTGGAGTGCAGTGGTGTGATCTCGGCTCACTGCAACCTCCACCTCCCGGGTTCAAGTGATTCTCCTGCCTCAGCCTCCCAAGTAGCTGGGATTACAGGTGCCTGCCACTTCGCCTGACTAACTTTTGTATTTTTGGTAGAGACAGAGTTTCACCATGTTGGCCAGGCTGGGCCCTTGACTTTTGCAGTGAAATAGGAAATAAGGATGAAGGTGAAGAGGTGAGATTGAGGAGTAGAGGAGAAACTAAGATAGCCCATTTGGGGAGGAATCCTGGGAGGACCCAACACTTGAGACAAAGAGTTTCTTTCACAAGAAAGACAAATTCCAGCCTAATCCTCTGGAAGTGTAATCTGAGAACATCTGAAGACTCATTCTGAGTGCAGGAGCCAAGGCTAGAGCAAGAGCTTCATCTCACTGCTGCTCCATAGCCTGTGAGTGCTTTGACATTTGGAGTTGGACGCTTCTTTGTGCTGGGGGCTGTGCTAAACACTGTAGGCTGTGCAGCAGCATCCCTGGCCTCTGCCCACTGGCTGCCAGTAGCATCCTCTCCCCAACCCAAAATGTCCTCAGACACTGGCAAGTATCCCCTGGGGGACAAAATCACCCTTTGTTGAAAACCACGGGTTTAGACTCAGAGTCTTTCTCCTTCTTTCCTTTCTCTCTTTTCCTTCCTTTTTCTTTCTTTCCTCCTTTCTTCCTTCCTTAGTTCCATCTTCCCTTCCTTCCTTCCTCTTTCTTCCTTTCTCTTTCTTTTTTCCTTCCTTCCTTTCTCCCTTCCCTTCCCTTCCCATTTCCTTTTGCCCCTTTCCTTTCTTTTTTCCTTTCTTTCCTTTCCTCTTTTTATCTGAAACAAGGTCTCACTCTATTACCAAGTCTGGAGTTCAGTGGTGTGATCATACCTCACTGCATCCTCAAGCTTCTGGGCTCAAGCAATCCTCCCACTTCAGCCTCCTGAATAGGTGGGACTACAGGTGTGCACCATCACGTCCTTTTAATTTTGTAGAGACGGAGTCTCACCATGTCACCCAGGCTGATCTTAAACCGGCCTCAAGCGATCCTCCCATCTCAGACCCCCAAGCTGATGGGATTACAAGCATGAGCCACTGCACACAGCCTAAACCCAGAGTTTTTTTATTGTGCTCCCAGGGCACAGGTATGAGACTTACCTAGGTGTGATTAAAAAAAAAAAATCCATCTACCTGGGCTTCTCCTGGACCTACTGAATCAAAATCTCCCTGGAGGAGACCCAGCAAGCTGCCCTTCAAGCAGGTGATTCTTCATTAAACACTCTATGCCTCAGTTTCCTGAAATGGGAAGGATAATGATAACATCTATCTCAAGGGTTGGTATGGAGGTTAAGTGAGGGGATTCACACATTGAGCACAGTGTGCTGAATGTTAGCTATTATCACTCACATTAAAGGTGGAGAAGCACTGGTTTGGAGAGATATGCATTGAGTGCTCTTGAAGAGAGGGAAGAACAGGAACCCGGGGGCAGGAGAGTGAACGCTGCTGTGATAACCACTCTGCTCAAATGCCAGCCAAGTACTGTGGCTAATGATGAGGGGGCACAATGGGGATTATCCCGCCATCCTAGGGCTTTCCTCCCTGCAGATCATCATTGTTCCTGTTGACTTCATGCTCCAGCTGCCTCCCCAGCTAAAACAAATACTAACAACTGATGATACAAGGCAAGAGGGGTGACAGTGGAAAAAAATGCCAATCTGTGTCTCAGTTACAAATAAACACAAACTTAGTGGCTTAAAACAACACACATTTATTATAGTTCTGGAGGACAGAGGCCCAACGGACGTGAAAATCAGGGTGTTGAAACCAACACAAGTAGTCCCATAGACAGTTTTTTTCTTTCTTGATAAACATAGAAATTGACCTTTCTGGTCTTAACTCTTGAAACTTAAAGTTTGTTTTATCTGAGTTCCTTCCTCAGGAGGGAATTCCTTGCCTCTCAAATAAGTATCAAAGAACTGAAACTCACCAGATTACAGCATCCAGACAATGAGATGCCAGACCCCTCATTCATCGGGATTGCTTCCTTGCCCGTCCCAAGTTCCTGTTTTGTTACACATTGTTACATCTCTTCCCTGCTGTATAAACCCTTGATTTTAGTTGGTCAGGGAGATGGATGTGAGACTGAGTTACTGGCTCCTTGGCTGCAACACCTGAGTAAAGCCTCCTTCCTTAGCAATAATTGTTGTCTCAGTGTCGGCCTTCTGTGCAGTGAGCAGCAGGACCTAGACGAATCCCCTGGTGTTTTGGTAACAGTGTCAGCAGGATTGCCTGTCCTTCTTGGGGCTCTAAGGAAGAATGAGTTTCCTTGCCTTTTCTAGCTTCTACATTCCTTGGCCACCTACATTCCTTGGCTTATGGCCCCTTGCTTCATGTTCAAAGCCAGCAATGGTGAATGGTGAAAGGCTGGCTCTGCCCCTGCCTGGCTCTGCCCCTGCCTGGCTTTGTGCCCCTGGACAAGTTATTTAAATTCTCTGAGTTTCCACTTTAAAAAATTTCCCTTGTGGGCCTGGCACAGTGGCTCATGCCTGTAATCCCAGCACTTTGGGAGGCCGAGGCGGGCAGATCACGAGGTCAGGAGATCAAGACCATCCTGGCTAACATGGTGAAACCCCGTCTCTACTAAAAATAAAAAAAATTAGCCGGGCGTGGTGGCGGGCGCCTGTAGTCCCAGCTACTCGGGAGGCTGAGGCAGGAGAATGGCGTGAACCCGGGAGGCGGAGCTTGTAGTGAGCCAAGATCGCACCACTGCACTCCAGGCTGGGTGACAGAGCAAGACTGTCTCAAAAAAAAAAAAAAATTTCCCTTGTAAAGTGGGTCTATTAATCCTTAGCTTGTAATATTTGTTCATTTCATAATAGCTAGTTGTGTGGCTGGTAAGTGAGTTATGTAACTTTCCCAATCCTCAGTCTTCATTACCTGTTAACTGGGGATAATAATAGAGGGTACCCTTGGATGCAGTGAGGATTGAATGACAGATCGTATATAAGGCTCTTAATGTGGTGCCTGGTACATCATAAGGACAGTGAGGACTTGGTGAATGTCAGTTATCACAATCACTGTCTCTATCCTCACCATAATCACTATCACTATCATAATCATCACCACTATCACCATTATCTTTACCATCACCATCACCACTATCACTATCACCACCATCACTGTCATTATCACCATCACTAGCACATCACTGTCATCGTCACCATTATCACTATCACCATTATCACCATCATTACTATCCCCACCATCACCATCACCATCATCACGATCACTGTCATCATCACCATCACCACCATCATTACCACCCCTTTCATCATCACCATCACCACTATCACCACCACCACCACCATCAACATCACTATCATCATCATTGCCACCACCACCATCACCACCATCAACAAAAGAAAAAGCAGCCAAACTCAGAATTCCACATCAGCTGGAACTAGGGTTGGGGAAGCACAGAGGACATTAGCCCATGGGAATTCTTTGCCCCAACTTCACCTCCCTCCCAGAACTCCCTTGGCTGGGAATATCCCACCTCATACACCATCCCATTCTGTGCCCTCTTGGAAGATGAGAAGCACCAAAGGTCTTGTGTCCCACCTGCAATGTCCACAAATACTAATATTAGGCTTAGAGAAGAGAAATGAGAAGAGTGATATTAAGATAATAAAAGTAGGCCAGGCGCGGTGGCTCACGCCTGTAATCCCAGCACTTCGGGAGGCCGAGGTGGGCAGATCACGAGGTCAGGAGATTGAAACCATCCTGGCTAACATGGTGAAACCCCACCTCTACTAAAAAATACAAAAAATTAGCCAGGCGTGGTGGCAGATGCCTGTAGTCCCAGCTACTTGGGAGGCTGAGGCAGGAGAATGGTGTGAACCCGGGAGGCGGAGCTTGTAGTGAGCCAAGATCATGCCACTGCACTCCAGCCTGGGTGACAGAGCGAGACTCTGTCTCAAAAAACAAAAAACAAAAAACTTAGCTGGGCATGGTGGTGCACGCCTACAGTCCCAGCTACTTGGGAGGCTGAGGCAGGAGAATCGCTTGAACCCAGGAGGTGGAGATCACGCCACTGCACTCCAGCCTGGCAACAGGCAACAGAGCGAAACTCCGTCTCAAACAACAACAATAATAATAATAATAATAAAAGTAAATTAGGCCGGGCGTGATGGCTCACACCTGTAATCCCAGCACTTTGGAAGGCCGAGGTAGGCGGATCACTTGAGGTCAGGAGTTCGAGACCAGCTTGGCCAACGTGGTGAAACCCCACCTTTACTAAAAATACAAAAATTAGCCAGGGGTGGTGGCGCATGCCTGTAATCCCAGCTACTCTGGAGGCTGAGGCACAAGAATCACTTAAACCCGGGAGGCAGAGATTGCAGTGAGCTGAGATCGAGCCACTGCACTCCAGCCTGGGCAACAGAGCAAGACTCCTTCTCAAAAAAAAAAAAAAAAAAAAAAAAGATAAAAAAAAGGAAATTTACCAACATTTCTTGAGCCTTTTAAAACTTTTTTAAGGCTCCAATAAGATCATTAAGTCCTTTCTGGAATAAGGAGAGGTAGTAATAAACAAATTCTTTGTTGCTTTCAAATCAGTTTATGCGTTACTCAAGAAAAGCAGTTAAAATAACTTTACATTAAATTTCATTTGATCAACCACTTTATTCAAACACCTTGGCCCAGAATGACTTTGGTTATTCCAAAAAGCAAACTCCGTCTAAGGCAAAGTTTTATCACATTAAGGATATTCACAAGACTTTGCCACAGATTGGGACTGCAGTTCCCAGGTGGGACTTCCAGAAAGATTGCATTTGAATTACGTGTGTGTTATTTCCAGGGTGAGACTTTGAAAGAGATGACACAAGAGTTCCGGCAAATTATTTAACAAATTGTAATGTCATTTTACATTACTCAGTGTCCTCTCCCCAACACTTCAAAGTGACCTTCAATGAATCACCAAACCATGCTGTCATATTTCTTCCAATGACAAGCAGAAGGGCTCCGATTGCTTTCTAAGGCCCTTTGGGACCATATGAGAGAATAAAGTATATACTTCCTAATTCAAAGCAAATCATTAGGGCTGTGGAATTAAAATTGTGGAAATTGATAAACCTATAATAACAACAATTGCCCGGTTAAAATTGCATAAACAACAAATCTTTTTCGGCACTTCTGTAGGTTCATTCTGTTACTCAAGGTCCATTTGTTCTGAAATATCCCCCATCCCTGCAATCTCAGAATGAGTTCATGAAAACAGACAATTATAAATCTATCCTGAGCTATGATTCATGCATCTTAACCGACTCCCTAATTCTTCCAATTTACAAACCAATTCAGAAGTCAGTCAAGGGCCCAGGTCACGCAAGGATGGTTAGAGGAGCAGATGGAGCTGCTTAAAACCATGTGCTTGGCGGGGTTAAAATGATGAGAATCCAGAGGAAAATAAATTGGGCCTGTCTAAAGTAATATTTCAGTTTTTAAAAACTGCTTAGCCTGAAAATCATGTGCCTCATTTAATTCCCTGCAGGCTGGAAATTTGACAGGAGAGATAAATTGCACCAGGAACATTATTTTCATTCAGAAAGGTAAGCCCAAGAAATAGGGTGGGATATATCCTCATCTGAATGAGGGTGGTCTGCGGAGGGGGGACGCAGGGAAGAGCAGCCAGGGGAAAAACAGGATGTGTGCAGGCGTGAACGGCTCCAGTTCAATGTGAAGTCAGAGGGAGAGTCAGATCATGGCAGAAGAAGGAAGGAAGCAAATCTGGAAGCATTCATGTCGGACTGAAAATCCACACCAGAAGGGAGATGTGGCTCTAAACAGGGATCTCAAGCACAAAGGCAAAGCATCAGTACTGGAAATCCTTAGGGGATTTAAAAAAAGATTAAAATGCATACTCTGTTCAGATTTCCTTGTTTTTCCGCCAATGTTCTTTTTCCATTCCAGGATCCCATCGAGGACAGTGCATGACATTCAGTCCTTGTGTCTTCTTAGACTCTTCTACACTGTGACAGTTTCTCAGGTGCAGTAGCATGATCTCAGCTCACTGCAACCTCCGCCTCCTGGGTTCAAGCGATTCTCCTGCCTCAGCCTCCCGAGTAGGGGGCAGTACAGGCATGCACCACCACGCCTGGCTAATTTTGTATTTTTAGTGGAGACGGGGTTTCTCCATGTTGGTCAGGCTGGTCTTGAACTCCTGAACTCAGGTGATCTGCCCACCTCAGCCTCCCAAAGTGCTGGGATTACAGGCATGAGCCCAGCCTGCCCTTGACAGTTTTAAGGGGTACTGCACAGGTATTTTGTAGTGGAATACCCTTTAATTTTGAGTTTTTCTGATGGTGAGACAAGTTGTGAGTTTGGAGAGAAGACTGCAGAGGTAAGTCACCATTCTCATCACTTTCTTCTTTTTTTTCTTTTTTTTTGAGATGGAATCTCATATTGTCACTCAGGCTGGAGTGCAGTGGCATGATCTCAGCTCACTGCAACCTCCGCCTCCTGGGTTCAAGCGATTCTCCTGCCTTAGCCTCCCGAGTAGCTGGGACTACAGGTGTGTGCCACCATGCCTGGCTAGTTTTTGTATTTTTAGTAGAGACAAGGTTTCGCCATGTTGGTGAAGCTGGTCTCAAACCCCTGACCTCAGGTAATCCACCCGCCTCAGCCTCCCAAAGTGCTGGGAATACAGGTGTGAGCCATGGTGCCCGGCCACCATTCTCATCACTTCACATCCGTGGTACATCCCATCAAGATGAGTTGGCACTGTTGATGCTGACCTTGAGCCCCTGGCTGAGGGAGTGTCTGCCAGGTTTCTCCATTGTAAAGTTTCTCCTTTCACTTCCTCTTTGGAAGGAAGTCACTATACACAGCCCACACTTATAGGGTAGGGAGTTATGAGTGCTTCCTTGAGAGTGGAGTATGGTGTTATTTTTATAATTAAAGAAAAAGATGCCTGCAATGGAAGATGAAGAGGATCACCTGCTGGTGGAGCAAAAATCCAGAACCTCGTGTGTGTCTCAGCTAGAACTGGTGGTTTGGGAAGGGTCGACTGCCCAGCAGTGCAGCGGGAGATGCAAAACCTGAGGGTTCAAGTCCAAAGGTTGACCTGGCTTTAAAAGCCAATGATGTCAAAAAAACAAAACCAAAAACACTGAGCACAAAAGCTAGGCAATGGTGCAGCCAGTTGGGATACTTTTCATAGGCACTGATTTTTACTCTCTCTGGAATTCCTTTCAAAGACACAGGGTCTGCTGGTGGATGGTCGCTCCTCTGCAGGGACTGGGGCACATGGCATGGCCTCCTATGTCATTTGGGGGCTCTTTGTTTATTCAACATGCCCGCCACACACCAGGCAATATTCTAGGAGCTAGGCATGCAGAAATGAAACATCCATCCTCCTGATGAAGACAGACAGCAAGCCAAAAGATAAACAAACAACATCATTTAGGTGGACAGGGCTAGGAAGAGAGTAAAATGCCATTACGGGGGTAGACAGTGATTGATCCCGGGGACTCCTCCAGATAGCGGGGTCACAGAAGACCTCTATGAGAAAGTGGCATTTGAGCTGCCACTGAATGACCAGCAGAAGCTGGCCTGGGAAGACGGAGGGGGAAGAATGCTTCAGATAGAGGATCCACGAGTGCAGAAGCTGTGAGAGGTGACAACACAGTGAGATCCTGTCTCTAAAAGAAAGAGAAAAGGCAGATGTGGGTGGAGCAAAATGAGGAAGGGAAGGGGTGTTCCAAGATGGAGAGACAGGAAGTGGCCCCATGATGCCCGGCCTATAGGCCACACTGAAAAGTTTGGATTTTAGTCCTAGTGGTCAACCTATTGATGGTATTTCAATTTTAATTTTAAAAAATACAATCAGGCTGGGCGTGGTGGCAGGTAATCCCAGCTACTTGGGAGGCTGAGGCAGTGAGCCAAGATCTCACCATTGCACTCCAGACTGGGCAACAAGAGGGAAACTCTGTCTGAAAAAAAGAAAGAAAGAAAAAAAAAAGTCACTGTGTTTCCCATGAGAGTGTGATCTACTAAGGGAGCAAGTATAGAAATAGGAAGACCTGCTACTGCCTCAAAGAATTGTTAAAGGATCGAACGCCTACTAATGTGTGCAAAGCCTGGGACATAGCAGGAATGCAGTAAATGCAATAAAAGAAAATAGCTGCAGTAAGTGCTATCAGTAAATGCACTACTGGACTGGGCGTGGTGGCTCACGCCTGTAATCCCAACACTTTGGGAGGCCGAGGCGGGAAGATTACTTGAGCTCAGGAGTTCGAGACCAGCCTGGGCAATATATCAAGACCTCATCTCTACAAAAAATACAAAAACCAAAATAGCCGGGCATGGTGGGTGTGCCTCTGGTCCCAGCTACTCGGGAGGCTGAGGTGGGAGGATTGCTCAAGCCCAGAAGGCGGTGGAGGTTACAGTGAGCTGAGATCATGCCACTGCACCACAGCCTGGGTGACAGAGCAAGACCCTGTCTCAAATAAATAAATAAAAATAAAAAATAAGAATAAAAATCAATAAATACACTACTGCACTTATGCAGATGAACTTCACTTCTTCCGACTTAGCCACACACAACTTTCCAGCATCACAGATCTTTGCAGAGGGTGGGACAGCCGGGAAGGTGCTGTTCGCACAGAATTGGCTGAATGACCAGGTGTTTGATGGATGAATCCCAGGTAGCCAGGGCGTCTCTGGGCACACGCACCCAGGATCACACCTGGACAAGAAAGTGGGGTCTAAAGTAGCAGTCCGAGGCTGGGTGCAGTGGCTCATGCCTGTAATCCCAAAACTATGGGAGGTTGAGGCAGGAGGGTTGCTTGAGACCAAGAGTTGAAGATCAGCCTGGGCAACATAGCAAGACCCCATCTCTACAAAATTTTGAAAAATTAGCTAGGTGTGGTGGCATATGCCAGTGGTCCCAGCTACTCAGAAGGTTGAGGTAGGAGGATCACTTGAGCCTAGGAGTTAAAGGCTGCAGTGGGCCATGATCACGCCACTGCACTCTATTTTGAGTGACAGAGATCCTGTCTCCAAAAAATACATATGCCAGTGCAGGCCTGGTATGTGTCCTGAGAGTTCCCTGCCTGGCATCTCTTGAAGTGGGCACCAGTAACCAGAAGCTGAAGTCCTGGTTTGGCAAAGGATGGAGGAAAAAGATATTGGATCTGGAGGGCTGGGTGCAGGTGGCTTACACCTGTAATCCCAGCACTTGGGGAGGCCGAGGTGGGCAGATCATGTGGTCAGGAGATCGAGAGGATCCTGGCTCATACGGTGAAACTCCGTCTCTACAAAAAATACAAAAAATTAGCCGGATGAGGGCGGGCGCCTGTAGTCCCAGCTACTCGGAAGGCTGAGGCAGGAGAATGGCGTGAACCCGGGAGGCGTAGCTTGCAGCCAGCCGAGATCGAGCCACTGCACTGCAGCCTGGGCGACAGAGCAAGACTCCATCTCAAAAAAAAAGATATTGGATCTGGAATGGATCGCTGAAAATAAAAGAAAACTGGGGTGAAAAAGAAGTGTACATGGGATAAACTGGAGGTAATGAGTTATGTTTGGGGGAAGATAGAAAAAGTTAGACTCTGTGGCGTGGGAGGAGCAGAGTAAATGTCAACAGTCCCCTCGAGCCTGGAAAACTCCACCATGAGTCATGGAGGACCCACGTCAGAAAATAGCTATTTTGAGCCCAGCTAGAAAGTTTGGCTCTGTCTGCTTTTCCTGAGAGTGGTGAGTGGTTGACCCAGGCTGTAAGCTCTTCAGGTCATTGCTTCCCCAAACAAAATTTCAATCAAGCGAGTGCCATGACCCTGCACAGAAGTCCAGAACTAAACCTCGATGTGGGACTGGGCTTGCCAAACCAGAAGGTCTGTTCTAAGAGAAAGAAGCTGGAACCTGCGAGGGGAATTTTGCCAATGGGAGGAACAGCAATTTCTCCAAAAAGAGGGGGTAGGACCAGCAATTTCCCGTTCCTGGAAGGTCCCCTATACATTTTGTTCAGAGCATTTAGATTCTAAATGTCACAGTGTGATGTCCTCATGTGCAATGGACATTTGTTGATTTGCCTCCCAGTATCCATTCACCTTTCTTAGGTAATAGGACCTGTTTCCTTTGGGGAACCAACTGGCACCACCGCTCCCAGGACTTGCAAATTTAATGGGGCTTACCCTACCCAGGTGTGGCCTAAGGTGCTCACTGTGTTCCCTTCCCGTTCAGATTCAGATAGATATAGGATCAGATACACACCAGAAGTAGTCAGACCCAGAACTTTGCTGTGAACCCCCCTGGGGGAAAAGAAACCCTGAATCCTAAGAACAAAGCCCTCATGGAGGGGATAAAAGCTGAGGGATAAACAGATAGACTTTGGACTCCTGCCTCAACCACCCCTAGAGTGTAGAAACCCCGGTTAGTACATTCCTTTTTTTTTTTTTTTTTTTTTGCATATGCAGTTTGGGTTGAGTTTTCTGTTGCACAAAACCAAGAAAGTCACACAAATACTATATATCTTTGTTTTTTTTTTTTTTGAGACGGAGTCTCGCTCTGTTGCCCAGGCTGGAGTGCAGTGGCGCGATCTCGGTTCACGCCATTCTCCTGCCTCAGCCTCCGGGGTACCTGGGACCACAGACACCCACCACCACGCCCAGCTAATTTTTGTATTTTTTTTTTTTTTTTAGTAGAGATGGGGTTTCACTGTGTTAGCCAGGACGGTCTTGCTCTCCTGACCTCGTGATCCACCCGCCTCGGCCTCCCAAAGTGCTGGGATTACAGATGTGGGCCACCGCGCCCAGCCCCACAAATACTATGTATCTTTTAAGAGAAACGCATGATGAGAAGCAGCAGGGGGTCAACATGCATCTGGGGTGTTAGAACCCAAGAGGCAGTAGACAGTCATCTTGTACCTCCCCTGCCTGCTGTCAGAATGCTAATGCACTGTCTCCTAAAGCAGGGTATGAAAAATATGGCCCCAAGGCCATCTCCAGCCCATCACTTCTTTTTGTGCAGCCTGTGAGACAAGAATGGCTTTTACATTTGTGAATATTTGGACGGGGGGCAAGGGGTCAGCGTGGAATCAAATGAAAACTGCAAAAAATTCAGATTTCAGCATCTATAAATAAAGCTTTATTAGAACACATCCATGCCCATTTGTTTAGGTACTGTTGATGACTGCTTTTGTGTTACAGCAGGGCTGAGTAGCTGGGACAGAGACCATACTGTCAGAAGCGTTTGAACCAGAACAACACCATCTTGAATAGGGGCTGGGTAAAATGAGGCGGAGACCTATTGGGCTGCATTCCCAGGAGGTTAGGCATTCTAAGTCACAGGATGAGCTAGGAGGACGGCACAAGATACAGGTCACAAAGACCTGACCGATAAAACAGGTTGCGGTAAAGAAGCTGGCCAAAAGCCACCAAAACCAAGAGGGCAACGCACATGATCTCTGGTCATCCTCACTACTCATTCCACACTAATTATAATGCATTACCATGCTAAAAGACCCGCCCACCAGCGCCAGGACTGTTTACAAATGCCATGGCAATGTCAGTTACCTTATATAGTCTTAAAAGTGGAGGAACCCTCAGCTGTGGGAATTGCCCACCTCTTTCCCAGAAAACTCATGAATAATTCGCCCCTTGTTTAGCATATAATTTAGAAAAAACTGTTAAGCATTATGAGTTGAGCAGTCCAAGCTGCTGTTCTGGCTGTGGAGTAGCCATTCTTTTATTTCTTTACTTTCTTAATAACTTAAGAAACTTAATAAATAAACTTGCTTTCATTTTACTCTATGGATTCGCCTTGAGTTCTTTCTTGCACAATATCTAAGAATCCTCTCTTGGGGTCTGGATCGGGACCCCTTTCCTTTAACAATATGGCCCTCAAAGACAAAAATATTTACCATGAGTCCTTTAAGCAAAGGTTCACAGACTCCTGCCCTAAAAGATACTGTAATTCTAAGACATCCAGGAAAGAGACATTCTGTAACTTGTCTTTTATAAACTAAGATATTAAAGGCTTTAAATTTCAATCTTATGCTGGCAAACTTGATAAAACAATTGGTTTTTCCTGCTAGGTAAGATGGCAAGAATTGCTATTATTTTATATAAGGCTGTTTAGAAGAAACCCTTACTAAAGCTTTTAAGGTTATAAATCAAAAGTACCGTCTAGAATTCAAATAATATGAATTCAAATTATAGAATTCAAGGGCAATAGCAATGATATATTCAATCTTAGTAATGGTTATTCAGCCCTATTTTCCCATTATCATAGAAATTCCCTTTTAAACATCTTCTATATTTTGAATAATCTGAAAAACAATCTGTCATAATGAAATGAACTTTACAGTAATAATAATAGCTATTTGTTAAATCTTTACTATTTGCCAGGCAGAGTTCTGAGCATTTTACTTACATTAACACATTTAATGGCTCCAACCATGCTGTCAGGTAAGTAATATTATTATACCCATTTTGTAGATGACAAAACGAAGGCACAGAGACAGGTTAAGTAATTTGCCTAAGATCACACAGCAAATATTGGGGCCAGGATTCAAACCCCAGTAATCTAGACCCAGAAACTGAACTATGCTAGGGGTTAGACCATCTCAGATTTATTTAAAAGAGGTGGAAATGACAATAATATTTCACTATAGTTTAGAATTTAATTGATATCACTGTGTAACATACACCTTTTTTTCCCTCAGAAGTATTTCTGGACCACTAACACGATCATGTTGATACAATGGAACTCACATCCCCTCTCCATATTTGATTGGATCAGGTGTCAACATCTGGCCCAAGCTGGACCAATAGGCTCCTTCCCTGAGCTTTTGGTGCTGAGATTAAGATTCCAGTCTCAACCTGACTTCTGTCACTCTCCCATGAGATAGAAGAATAGAGGAGACATGGAGAAAAACAGTCAAGAGGTAGAGGTGGTGGGAGGGACCTCCTTGATTCACAATGGACTCTATCCCCTTCCTGAATTCCAGTGGAACCATGGCCCTGTGTTCTGTGAGACACCCTAGAATCCTTCAACAATATCCACTTTTGGCTGAACCCAGTGGGTTTTGGTCACCTAGAACCAAAAGAATCCTCAAACGTAACCCGATTAAGAGCAAAACAACCTGGCTTTTTTTTTTTTTTTTTGAGATGGAGTCTTGCTCTGTTGCCCAGGCTGGAGTATAGTGGCACGATCTCGGCTCACTGCAGTCTCTGCCTCCCAAGTTCCAGCGATTGTGCCACCACACCTGGCTAATTTTTGTATTTTTAGTAGAGACAAGGTTTCACCATGTTGGCCAGCCTGGTCTTGAACTCCTGACCTCAGGTGATCCACCCACCTCAGTCTCCCAAAGTGCTAGGATTACAGGCATGAGCCACTACACCTGGCCAACCTGCCATTTTATATATTCTCTGAGTCATCAGCATGGGCCTCTCAAATGATGGACTTGCTGGATTTCTGTTTATTTCCTTTGCTGTGCACTAAGTAGGTCAGCTCCCAAGAATGACTAGTTTGGAGATGGAGGGACTAGTGGAATATGCTTAGAATGGTGCCTAAGCCAAGCTGGGAACCAACAAATTGGTTTTGGGCTCTACTTTAGTTTTTCTTGTTGTTGTTTGTTTGCTTTTTTTTTTTGGCCTGGGGGGGAAAAAACCCACAAATGTCTTTCCCCAGTTTCCTCCAGTAACACAGATGGAAATAGTAGTTTATACTTGGGATGGTGCTCGGGGAAATAGTGTCTCAGAACCAATTACTGAAATGACCAGAATGGATATAAAATGTGGCTGCATAATTTCCTAAGTCCCATTTCTCAGGGTAAAAATGGTTCAGACCATCCAAATGCTTCTCCGAAGAAATTACACAAGCGAGATGGAAAAAGAAAGTATTGGTTTCTCAGCGCTGGTAATAATTAGGACTTGAATGAGTGGTGATAAACCCATTTACAGACAGGAAGTGTGAAGGCCTGAATGGCCAGGAGATTTGCTAAGTGATGACAAGATCAAGATCAGGCCTCTGGCCTCTGAGCCCAGCTCCCTAAGCCTAGTGAACTTTGAATGACACCTGATTTTTTGCCCCATCCAGCACCCATTTTCTGAATGCAATTTGGAGGAATGAACATACGACCCAGAACCTGGCCAATCAGAATATTCTACCGCCACCTCTTCCCCTCTCCCCCACCATGGTAATCAGTTCAGCCATGGGCAAATTATCCAAGTTGAGGCAATAATACTCAGTCCCATGACTTCCATTGAAACTTCTAATGAAACGATCTCTCTCTGTTGGGATTGCTACCTGATGGCTAATGTAAGCTTAGAGCCACTGGGATTGCCATATGGAAAGCATCTGCCTGAGAGTGAAGCCAACACAAGTAGATGCAGAAAAACTGAGTCCTACTGATGGCATTTGATCCCTTGGATCCAGCCACGCTGGATATGGGATATGGGAAACCTTGAAGTACAGTGACTACTGTGGATAAGGGGTCAATGGGTAAGTGGTTTCCTTGTGGGATGATGAAAATGTTTGGCATCTAGAGGTGATGGTTGCACAAGACTGTGAATGTACATAAAGCCACTGAAGGGTACACTTTAAAATGATGAATGCTATGTTATGTGAATTTCGCCTTCTTTTTTTAAAAAAGGGGAAAGAGGCCAGGTGCGGTGGCTCACGCCTGTAATCTCAGCACTTTGGGAGGCCAAGGTGGGCAGATTACCTGAGGTCAGGAGCTCGAGACCAGCCTGGCCAATATGGTGAAACCCTGTCTCTACTAAAAATACAAAAATTAGCCGGGTGTGGCGGTGTGTGCCTGTAGTCCCAGCTATTTGGGAGGCTAAGGCAGGAGAATCGCTTGAACCCAGGAGGCGAAGTTTGCAGTGAGTTGAGATTGCACCACTGCACTCCTGCCTGGGCAGCAGAGCGAGACTCTTTCTCAAAAAAAAAAAAGAGGTTGGGGGAAGAGCATAATTTTAACCACGCAGATATCAGAGATTTCACAAAAGGAGTGTCACTGAAGCTAGATATGGTGGTCAAGAGGCAGGAGAAGGGGGAGATGCTTTCTAGGCCTAATAACAAGGTGCTAAGCCCTTTTGATGTGGTCTGAACATCTGTTCCCTCCAAATCTCATGTTAAAATTTGATCCCCAGTGTTGGAAGTGGGGCCTGTTGAGAGGTGTTTGGATGATGGGAGCAGATCCCTCGTGAATGGCTTCATGCCATGTTTGCAGGATTGAGTGAGTTCTCACCCTTAATTCCCAAGAGATCTGGCTGTTAAAGAAGCTGGCATCTTCCTCTTTTCTCTTCCTCTCTCTTGACATGTGATGTCTGTTCCCCTTCACCTTCCACAGTGATTGTAAGATTCTTGGGCCCCTCACCAGAATCAGATGCTGGCACCATGTTTCTTGTATAACCTGCAGAACTATGAGCCAAATAAACCTCTTTTATTTATAAATTACCCAACCTCCGGTATTCCTTTACAGCAACATGAAATGGACTAAGATACCTCTACCTACAGTAATTACATCGTTAATCCTCACAGCAACCCTTGAGGTAGTAAATATTACTTTAGCCTTGTTTTATAGGTAAGTATGCAAGGGCCAGAAAGGGGACATAACTTGCCCAAGTTTACATAGTTGTAGATCAGCAGAGAGCTGGGACTCAAACATAGATTTTTCTGGCCAGGCACGGTGGCTCATGCCTGTAATCCTAGCACTTTGGGAGGCCGAGGCGAGTGGATCACCTGAGGTCAAGAGTTCGAGACCAGCCTGGCCAACATGGGGAAACCTCATCTCTAATAAAACTACAAAAATTGGCCAGGTATGGTGGTGGACATCTATAACCCCAGCTACTTGAGAGGCTGAGGCAGGAGAATCACTTGAACCCAGGAGGCAGAGGTTGCAGTGAGCTGAGATCATGCCATTGCACTCCAGCCTGGGCTTCAGAGAGAAACTCTGTCTCAAAAATAAATAAATAAATAAAAATAGGTTTTTACAACTCTCAACCACTCCGTTCAAGTGCCTCCTAGTAGAGGGAAGAGCATAGAAACACAGAACATTTCTTTAGAAGAATGTATCATTCCATGTTCTTCCTAGAGGAATAATCGGAGTTTAGCCCACTAAGATAACTCACAACAGCAACCTTTATAACAGTGGAAAAATTGGAAACATACAATGTTTGGCCATATGGACTAGTTAAGTTATTGAAGAATATGTGATGATTTGGGACTAGGATCATAATTTAGAGCTGAGTGAAAAAGGCAGGATATGGGAAAGTAAAATAGTTGGATATTAGCTACACAGGAAAAATATTAAAAGGTTACTAGAAAAACACGCATCAGGATGTTGGTTGACTTTGGCGGGTAGAATTGTGGGTGATTTTTTTCTATGTGTTTTACGCGCGTGTGTGTGTGTATAGACTCAGTTTCCATATCTGTAAAATGGGTATAATAACAGATCTCCCCCACTGAATGGTCAGAAACACTAAGTGAGACAACGCATGTAAAGCTTGAAGCATCAGTACCTGACATAGGATAAATGCTGAATAAAATAACTAACTACAACAATTATTATGTACATGTATTAATTTTATAACTAAGAACACAGGCAATAAATGCTATGTTTAAATCCTGTACAATCTTTTTTTCTTTTTTAAACATGGGAGAATCCTACACGGCAGCCCCCAGAAGTCGCCTTGCTTTGCTTTGTCAGTGATTTCCTCCTCCAGATGTGAAACTGAAGGTAGCATGAGTCATGGCTGCTTCCACAGGTGCCCTTGGATTGTCGAGTGACTCAACTCCAAGCTGCTCTGCATGGAAAGTAACCAGCTGCTGCCTCCAACTCACCAGGCTCAACCCTCCACACCAGGCTCCTCCTCCAAAGTCTCCCAACAAATCAATGCAGGATTCAGAGCCACCCACTGGATGGTTCTGGTGGCCACTAGGATGTTTTCTCACTTCCCAACTCCCAGCCCCAGGCAGCAGGGAAGTGTCTCTGCTCACCTCATGGCTTCCTGTTTAGGACACTGACCTCAAAGCACACAAGTCAGTTCATACTCAGGGCAGATTCTTTTTCTCTTAGACACAGAGAAGATGTTGCCTTAACATCATCTACACCCCTGGGGATCCCTATGATTAGGGCCTGGCTCTCCTTTCCTCTTCTCTCAAGGCTGGTTCTACTCAAGGTCAATCTGGTACCTACAGCAGGCTAAGGAGCAGCAGGCACCTTGCCAATATCAATGGCAGTGGACCCTATCCTGCCAGGAAACATCTCTGTCTTTCACAGATGGTCAGGTTCATGGTCCTGATGATTATTTAGAATTACACAGCAGGCCAGGCGCGGTGGCTCATGCCTGTAATCCCAGCACTTTGGGAGGCTGAGGTGGGCAGATCACTTGAGGTCAGGAGTTCAAGACCAGGCTAGTCAACGTAGTGAAACCCCGTCTCTACTAAAAAAAAAAATACAAAAATTTGCCGGGCATGGTGGCAGGCACCTGTAATCCCAGCTACTTGGGAGGCTGAGGTAGGAGAGTTGCTTGAACCTGGGAGGTGGAGGTTGCAGTGACCCGAGATCATGCTATTATTGCACTCCAGCCTGAGGGACAGAGAGAGACTCCATCTCAAAAAAAAAAAAGAAAGAAAAGAAAAAGAAAATAAGTACACAAGCAATATGTTAATTAATTCTTGTTATAGAAAATGCAGACAATCTAGAAGTAGGTTTTAAAAAGGAAAGAAAAGAGTTCCCTTGACATCTCTCTTCCAATCCCACTCCTCTTCTCAGAGGTGACAAATCGCTGGTAGTAGTTGGGCATGCACCTGGGTGGGTTTTTTTTTTGAGATGGAGTCTTACTCTGTCGCCCAGGTTGGCATGCAGTGGCACAATCTCGGCTCACTGCAAGCTCCGCCTCCCGGGTTCACGCCATTCTCCTGCCTCAGCCTCCGGAGTAGCTGGGACTACAGGTGCCCACCACCACACCCAGCTAATTTTTTTGTATTTTTAGTAGAGACGGGGTTTCACCGTGTTAGCCAGGATGGTCTCGATCCCCTGACCTCGTGATCCACCCGCCTCGGCCTCCCAAAGTGCTGGGATTACAGGCATGAGCCACTGTGCCCGGCTGAGTTTTTGTATTATTATTTTTTTTTTAGCAGAAATGGGAACATGCTCTACATATTCTGTGACTTGTTTTTCCACTTGGTGACTTTCTACTTAATATCTTGAAGACCATTCCATGATGATACAATTAGATCTTCTGCATTCTTTTCCAAATAGCTACATAATATTTTGCTCTAAAGTTCTACCATAGTTTAGCCACTTCTCTATGGATGGACTCTTAGACTGATTCTAATTTTTTATTATTAGACACAATGCTCTAATGAAATTCTCTTATACAGATCTTCATGCATTCCTGCAAATATCTGTATAATACAAATTTCTAAAAGTGTAATTCCTGGCCGGGCACAGTGGCTCATGCTTGTAATCCCAGCACTTTGGGAGGCCGATGTCAGTGGATCTTGACGTCAAGAGATCGAAACCATCCTGGCCAACATGGTGAAAACCCATCTCTACCAAAAATAGAAAAATTAGCTCGGTGTGGTGGTGCATGCCTGTAGTCCCAGCTACTTGGGAGGCTGAGGCTGAAGAATCACTTGAACCTGGGAGACGGAGGTTACAGTGAGCCGAGATCGTGCCACTGCACTCCAGCCGGGGTGACAGAGTGAGACTCTGTCTCAAAAAAAAAAAAAAAAAAAAAAAAGACAGTGGAATTGGCATATGGATGAACAAATAAATATATATAATAGAAAAAGAGTCTAGGCACACAATCAAATGAATATGGAAACATACTAATGGCAAGAGGTTATATTACAAATTAGTAGGGATAGGATAGACTACTTCAGCTACTGGAGAAACTGGTTATTCACATGAGAAAATGAAAATAAAATCAGATTGGCCAGGTGCAGTGGCTCACGCCTGTAATCCCAGCACTTTGGGAGGCCTAGACGGGCGGATCACGAGGTCAGGAGATTGAGACCATCCTGGCTAACACGGTGAATCCCCGTCTCTACTAAAAAATACAAAACAAATTAGCCGGGCATAGTGGCGGGTGCCTGTAGTCCAGCTACTTGGGAGGCTGAGGCAGGAGAATGGCATGAACCCAGGAGGTGGAGCTTGCAGTGAGCCGAGATCGTGTCACTGCACTCCAGCCTGGGTGACTGAGTGAGACTCCATCTCCAAAAAAAAAAATTAATAAAATCAGATCTCTATTTCATGCCATAGATCAACATTTCCTGGCCATTTAAAAAAATATGGAGGACCCAAAGAGCTTTTTAAATATATATTATATATATATTATATATATATATGAAAACTATATGATAAATTGAAACTGAGAAATTTTAGAAAAAAATTTTTGAGACAGGCTCTCATTCTGTTGCTCAAGCTCGAGTGCAGTGGCGTGGCATGATAATGGCTCACTTCATTCTCAATCTCCCAGGTCCAAGTGATCCTCCCACCTCAGCCTCCCAAAATGCTGGGATTACAAGTGTCAGCCACCACACCTGGCCTTAATAATTTATTTTTTAAATTCACTATAAATTCATTACATGGTAACATAGGTAACATGTTATTTAATTTTAAAATCTTCTATTTTTCAAAACAAAAAATTTTTAGTGACATTGTTTTAAATTTTTGCAAATCGTTTCAATGTCTGGCTAGATTCTTATATCTGCTTCTATGTTCGGTCTGTTTTAATATATATTGTTTTGGTTGGAGTATATAAGGAAAATCTAACCTCACAGAAATGTGTGGTTAGCAAAGGCAGGAGTAGTTTAATAGCCTTTTCAGATTATTGTGAATATTCTTATTTTCTATGACACCCAAACTCAAGAAGTAGTCATTTTTAAGGTTTACTTGCAATGTGGAATCTGAAACTGTATCAATTCATACTCTGTTACATGAGAATTCATTGGTCTATCTTACTCTTTGAAAGATCTTTTGCTCAAGTATGATTTTGGAATATCATGTATTGGTCATTTACAAAACATTAGGCCACTGATTTACACTGATCTTCCACATTTGACACATTTCATCCCCAAAATCACATTCATTAACATTACGACCAATCACATCAAAAAGTCTTCTATTGGAAACCATCAAGCCCATGGTAACAGATACAAGTGTTCCAGAATTCTAATTGTTTATTTGAAAGCTCAAGTTTGATCACCAGCAACAAACACTGTCAGTTGTTTTCCTTGAAGTGACAGGCTTATTTACTCATTTTTGAGAGAATGTCTGACAAATACCCAAGGCTGAAAAATCAGAGTTTCTCAGTATTTCTTTCAATGATGTTCTACGCAAACAAAAAACAAAAGACAAAAGGCAGCTAGTTCAGTTCCAGCCACTGCATAAGTGCTTTTCCTTGAGACAACCATTGTGCTTCAGAATCCAGAAGAAGTGCTTTTCGTGTATTTCCCATTCCATCATCCAGAAGAGCTCAAAGACATACTTGGGATCAGGAGTCAGTAACAATAATAACTCTCACTGCTTCATCAAGAACATTCTTAAATGAAACTGGTGCATGTTTGTTTAACTGTGAATACATGGCCATGAAGAATATGAAGATGAGTAGAGTGGGGTGCCCTGCCTTCTTGTGCTAAGGTGCAAAAAGTGTTACCCACCAATGCTTTGGCACTGTCATTGGGAATGTCAACACAATAAAGAAAAATTACATCTTGGCATCATTAGGAAAATAGTTTGACCTCATCGTCCTCCTGACAGAGTCTCAGTCACCCAGGGTCCTTGGATCATGCTTTGAAAATCACTGTCACACCCAAAAATAAATTCCAATTAGACTAAATACCTAAATATGGGAGTGGGGAAAGCACTTTAAAACTAGAGAAAAAGGCCAGGCGTGGTGGCTCACATCTGTAATCCCAACACTTTGGGAGGCTGAGGTGGGAGGATCACTTGAGGTCAGGAGTTCGAGACCAGCTTGGCCAACATGGTGAAACCCTGTCTCTACTAAAAATACAAAAATTAGCTGGGCATGGTGGTGTGTGCCTGTAAATCCCAGCTACTTGGGAGGCTGAGGCAGGAGAATCGCTTGAACCCGGGAGAGGCAGAGGCTGCAGTGAGCCAAGATTGTGCCACTGCACTCCAGCCTGGGCAACAGAGTGAGACTCCATCTAAAAAAAATTAAAAACTAGAGAAAAAGTCTGAGCTATCTTTATGACTTGAATGTCGAGAAGGATTTCTTAAACAGACACACACACAGACACACACACACAAACCTTAGAGGAAAAGGTCAATGCATTTGACTCATTAAAAGTCAAAACTAAATACAGTATCATAAGCAAAGTGAAAGTCAAGCTACAGGACTTCTGGTTCTGGCCAAGATGCAGTAGTGTCATTCTTCCCAGGTCCTCTCTCTTACAACTGATAACTCACAGACATAACACAGCAGACAAGCATAAGGAGATTCTGAAAGGTGAAAAGGAGAAGACATACTACCTCTGGATCCTGGGACTTTGGGCACTCGTGGCAGTGAGCAGCCTGAGTTTTCTTATTGTCTTCCATATACCCCAACATCCCAGACACAGTAAAGGAAAAGCCTCTGACCTGGAACCACTACCAAGCACAGAAAAAAAAAAACGCTCTAAGAAAAGCCAGTTCCCCTGAATCAAAAGAAAAGAAAGAAAACCAGCAACAGGATTTTTTATTCATTTTTGTTTTTAAGCCATGATCTCACTTTGTTGCCTAGGCTGGAGTGGAGTGACACGATCATGGCTCACTGCAGCCTCAACCTCCCAGGCTCAAGTAATCCTCTTGCCTCAACCTCCTGAGCAGCTGGGACTACAGGTGTGCATCAACACAACTAGCTAATTATTGTATTTTTTGTAGAGCAGGAGGTCTCACTATGTTGCTGATATGGTTTGGCTCTGTGTCCCCACCCAAATCTCACCTTGAATTGTAATTCCCATAATCCCCACGTGTCAAGGGCGGGACCAGGTGGAGGTAACTGAATCATGGAGGTGGTTTCCCCCATGCTGTTCTCGTGATAATGAGTGAGTCTCATGAGATCTGATGGTTTTATAAGTGTCTGGCATTTCCCCTGCTTGCACTCATTCTCTCTCCTGCCGCCCTATGAAGAGGTGCCTTCCACACACAATTCTAAGTTTCCTGAGGCCTCCCCAGACATGTGGAAGGGTGAGTCAACTGAACCTCTTTTCTTTATAATTACCCAGTCTCAGGTATTTCTTCATAGCAGCATGAGAACAGACTAATACAGTTGCCTAGGCTGGTCTTGAACTACTAGCCTCAAGCAATCCTCCCACGTTGGACTCTCAAAATGCTGAGATTATAGAGAAATTTTTTTTAACCATATCTGCCCTGCCAGCCAAAGACTGATGGAAAAACTGCAACCCCTTCCCTGTCATTTCAGCAGGGCCAACTGGGGATCTGGTCTTGTAGCTTCCACATGGCAGAAGCAGGTGGTGATGCTCTGATTCCCCTGCTGGGGTACATAGATGGGAATGAGTGGGAAGCTGATCCTGTATCCCCCACCCAGTGGAAGAAGGTGGTACCCTGATTTTCCTGCCACAGCCATGTCATCAGGGTCTGGTGATGGGTCTCCCGTCTCTCTCCCCTCCCCTTCAGCAGACTTAATGAGCTGGTGCAAGGTGAGGCTACTCACCATGACTCTTCTTTCCTTCTCACCCTGGTGTTGGCAGAGCCCGGCAGAGCCGGAGTCTCCATCCCAATCAGCATCACCAAGATTGGACAAGTGGCACAAGTCATGGCCAGCCAGGCCTGCATTTTCCACCTACACTGGTGTCAACAAAGCTCACTGTGAAGCTGAACCTCCACACCCACCTGGCAGCAATAAAAGTGAATGAGATGTGGGCTGGGCACAGGGGCTCACGCCTGTAATCCCAGCACTTTGGGAGGCTGAGGTGGGTGAATTGCCTGAGGTAAGGAGTTCGAGACCAGCCTGGCCAACATGGTGAAACCCTGTCTCTACTGAAACTACAAAAATTAGCCGGGTATGGTGGTGGGCGCCAGTAACCCCAGCTACTCAGAAGGCTGAGGCAGGAGAATCACTTGAACCCGGGAGGCGGAGGCTGCAATAAGCCAAGATCACGCCACTGCACTCCAGCTTGGGCAACAGAGTGAGACTCCATCTCAAAAAAAAAAAAAAAAAAAGTGAATGACATGTACAAAGTAGGATATGCAGTAATGAATTTAAACTTCAGCTCCTGGGAGGTCATCTCTCAGCCTTTGGAATGTCCTGCTTAATAAAAGTGTGTTTGTTCACAGGGGGGCTTTAGGCCACATCAGAAAGTCAAGTGATGTGATTCAGGATGGGAGCTTTGGGTCACATGGCATCAGCTCCACCTTCAGAGGGGCTGGAGAATGAGGTCAGCAATGTGGGCAGTCAACCAGGTCTACATGACTGAGCCCCAATAAAAACTCTGGACACCAAGGCTTGGGAGAGCTTCCCTGCTTGGCAATACTTTGTGTGTATTTTCACACATCATTGACAGGAGATTAAAGTTGATTTTCCAACTCCCATGTGGCAGAAGCAGGTGGTAACAGTCTGATTCCCCTGCTGGGGTAGCATGGGTGGGAACAAATTGAGAGCTGATTCTCCATCCCCCACCCAGTGGAAGGAGGTGGCACTCTGATTTCTTTACCAAACAAGTATCAGGAAGGTCTAGCAGTGACACCAAGGCTTGAGTGAGCTTCCCTGGTTGACATACTCCATTCATTTTGTCACATGTTATTGCCAGGACAATTAAAGCTGCCCATTACTCCACTGTCATCTCTGTGTTCAGAACTTACCTGTATTCTGCCCTCCAGGCTTCTTCCCTTGCCTGATTTTAATCTGAACTCTTTCCCTGTAATAAACTGTAACTGTGAGTACAACAGCTTTCAGGGAGTTCTGTGAGTCCCTCTAGCAAAGCATGAAAGTTGAGGACAGTTTTGGGGACCCCCAAACTCGCAGCTGGTGTCAGAAGTGAGAGTGGTCTTTTGGACTGTCCTCTGACTTTGTGCAAGGCTAGTCTGTACTCCTGCCTCACTCCCCCACCTGCTGGTGTCAGTGGGACCCATTGGGGAGCTAAGTTTCTGCCCTCACCCTGCATCAACAAAGTGGTACGAGTCAACTCATCATTTCTCACTCCCCAGCAGCAGTAGAGCGCAGTAAGGAACTAAACGTACACCCCCTACCAGGAAGCAATGCAGCACTGTCAGGTTTGTTCCTCATATTTTCTAGGAAAGTGGCCCCAGCACCAAGGGGGAAAGTGAATATACATCCCAACCACCCCTCATACTATAGCTCAACAGGAAGGCTACCTGCTTAAAAAGAAAAGAGAAAGGCTGGGTGCGGTGGCTCACACCTGAAATCCCAGTGCTTTGGGAGGCCAAGCGGGTAGATCACTTGAGGTCAGGAGTTCAAGACCAGCCTGGCCAACATGTTGAAACCCCATCTCTACTTAAAACCCAAAAATTAGCTGGACGTGGTGGTGCATGCCTGTATCCCAGCTACTAGGGAGGCTGAGGCAGGAGAATCGCTTGAACACCGGAGGCAGAGGTTGCAGTGAGCTGAGATCATACCATTGCACTCCAGCCTGGGCAATAGAGCAAGACTCCATCTCAAAAAAAATAAGAATAAAAAAGAGAAAGGCCAGGCACAGTGGCTCATGACTGAAATCCCAGTGCTTTAGGAGGCTGAGGCAGGAGGAACGTTTGAGGCCAGGAGTTCAAGATCAGCAGAGCAACATAGTGAGACCCTGTCTCTACAAAAAGCACACACACACAAAAAAATTTAGCAGAGTGTGGTGGCACATGCCTGTAGTTCTAGCAACTCAATTCAGGAGGCTGAGGCAAGCAGATCACTTGAGCCCAGGAGGTTGAGGCTGCAGTGGGCTATGATTGTGCCACTGCGCTCCACCCTGGGCAACAGAGTGAGACCCTGTCTCAAAATAAATAAATAAAAATTAATTTGTATTCCTAGAAGGAGAAAAGAAAGAATATGGTACTGAAAAATTATTTGAAGAATCAATAGCTGAAAACTTCCCAAATTTGAAGAAAGATAACCTATGGATTCAAGAAGCTGAGAAAATCCCAAATAAGATAAAACTAAAGAAATCCATACCAAGACATGTCCTTAAACTCTGACAAAAAAAAAAGAAAAATCTTGAATGGATTCAGAAAGAAATAAAACTTTTTTTTTTTTTTTTTTGAGACAGAGTCTCACTCTGTCACCGAGGCTGGAGTGCAGTGGCATGATCTCTGCTCACTGCAAGCTCCACCTCCTGGGTTCACGCCATTCTCCTGCCTCAGCCTCCCGAGGAGCTGGGACTATAGGCACCTGCCACCACGCCCGGCTAATTTTTTTGTATTTTCAGTAGAGACGGGGTTTCACCATGTTAGCCAGGATGGTCTCGATCTCCTGACCTCATGATCCGCCTGCCTCGGCCTCCCAAAGTGCTGGGATTACAGGCGTGAGCCACCGCACCCAGCCATAAAACATTATTTGAAAGGGAACATCAATTTAAATGACAGTCAAGTTCTCCTTTGAAACCATGGCAACTAGAAGGAAGTGACTCAATATTTTTCAAGAAGTAAAAGAAAAGAATTATGAATTGTGAATTCTATATCTGGCAAAAATAGATGTCAGGAATGAAGAGGAAACAAAGACATTCTCAGGCGAGAAAACACTAAGAGAATTTGTTGTTAGTAAACCTGCCCTTAAAGAATGGCTAAAGGGGCCAGGCACGGTGGCTCACACCTGTAATCCCAGCACTTTGGGAGGCTGAGGCGGGTGGATCACCTGAGGTCGGGCATTCGAGACCAGCCTGGCCAACATAATGAAACCCCATCGCTACTAAAAATACAAAAATTAGCTGGGCATGGTGGCAGGAGCCTATATAATCCCAGCTACTCAGGAGGCTGAGACATGAGAAGCACTTGAACCTGGGAGGTCGAGGTTGCAGTGAGCTGAGGTGGCACCACTGCACTCCACTCCAGCCTGGGCAACAAGAGCAAAGCTACAACTCAAAAAAAAAAAAAAAGGCTAAAGGAAATTCTCCAAACAGAAAGGTAATGATAACAGAAGAAGGCTTGGAACTTTAGTTTTATCTTATTTGGGTACTTATGTACCCACAAAAATCAATAATAATTTTTTTTAAAGATGGAATCTGGCTGGCCTCAGTGGCTCACGCCTGTAATCCCAACACTTCGGGAGGCTGAGGCAGGTGGATGACCTGAGGTCAGGAGTTTGAGACCAGCCTGGCCAACATGGCGAAACCTCATCTCTACTGAAAATACAAAAATTAGCTAGGCATAGTGACGCATGCCTGTGATCTCAGCTACTTGGGAGGCTGAGGCATGAGAACTGCTTGAACCTGGAAAGTAAAGGTTGCAGTGAGCCAAGTCATCATGCCACTGCACTCCAGCCTGGGCAACAGAGCGAGACCATGTCAAAAAAAAAAAAAAAAAAGATGGAATCCTTAAAATATGTCAAGTAACCTGTAGGAAAGTAGGAAAAGAGAAGCAGAGAAGGAAAAACAGGAGAAACAAACAATAAAATGGCAGACTTAAATCCTAACACATTAATAATTGCCTTAAATGTAAATGGTCTAAATATATCAGTTTAAAGACAGATTGGCAAAATGAACATGAAAACATTATCCAGCAATATGTTATCTAGAAGAAACTCACTTCAAATATAATGATATAGGCAGATTCAAAGTAAAATGATAGAAAAAGATACACAAATGTTAATCAAAAGAAAAGCCAGGATGGCTCTACTAATACCAGATAAAGTAGACTTTAAAGCAAAGAAAATTACCAGAGAGACATTACATCATGATAAAAGGGTCAACCTATCAAGAAGACATAGCAATCCTGTGTATGCACCAAACAACAGAGAGTCTGAAGATGCATGAAACAAAGATTCATAAAGCCGAAAGGAGAAGTACACAAATCTACAGTTACAATTGATCACTTCAACATCCCACTGTGAGCAACTGGTAGACTTACTAGACAGAAAATCAGCAAGGATATAGAATAACTGCATAACATTCAACTTAATTGATATTTAAGTTGGGAACACTTCACCCAACAACAGTGGAATACATATTTTTTTCCAAGTGTTCACAGAGCATTTACCAAGATAGACCATACCCCGGCCAAAAAACAATCCCCAACAAATTCAAAAGAATTAAAATTATGTGTTATATTCCCTGACCATAATGGAACAAAACCAGAAATCAATAACAGAAATATAACAGAAAATCTCCTGACACTTGGAAATTAAACAACATACTTCTAAATAATCTCTAGGTCAAAGAAGAATTCTAAAACAAAACTTAAAGAATAGAACCAAATGAAAATGAAAATACAACATATCAAAACATATGTGATACAGAGACTGTACTCAGTGTAAAATTAATAGCACTAAATGCTTATATGAAGAAAGAGGGCTGGGTGCAGTGGCTCATGCCTTTAATCCTAGCACTTTGGGAGGCTGAGGTGGGAGAATTGCTTGAGTCCAGAAGTTCGAGACCAGCCAGGGGAACATAGCAAGACCCCATCTCTACAAAAAATTAGCCAGGCGTGGTGGTGCATGCTTGTAGTTCCAGCTACTTTGGAGGCTGAGACAGGAGGATCTCTTGAGCCCAGGAGGTCAAGTCTCACCTAGGTAATGCAGCAAGACCCCTATCTCTAAAAAGAGACAGACAGAGAGAGAGAGTGAGAGAGAGGACACAAAGCACTAATATCAGAAATGAAACAGGTGATAATCTCTACAGATTCTATAGCCACTGAGTAGATAACAAGGGAATACTGCAAACAACTTTTTACGCAGAAACTTGACAACTTAATGAAATGGACCAATTCCTCAAAAACAACACTCTACCAAACTCATCCAAGACGAATTAGAAAATCTGCATAGTTCTAAAACCATTAAGGAAAATGAGTGCATAATTTAAAAACTCCCAAAAGAGAAATCTCCAGGAGAAATCTCCAGAAATTGCCTGGATATTTCTCTTTGTGAGCTTTCAAATTATTCCTTTTTAACAAACAACGCTGGACAAATTGGACATCCATAGGCCAAAAAAAATGAATCTCTATCAATTCTTCATTGAAGAATTCTATCAAATCTTTAAAGAATTAATACATATTTTACACAATCTTTTGTGGAAAATAGAAAAGGTAACACTTGGCCAGGCACAGTGGCTGACGCCTGTAATCCTAGCACTTTGGGAGGCCGAGGCAGGAGGATGACTTGAGGTCAGGAGTTCAAGACTAGCTTGGGCAACATCGTGAAACCCCATCTCTACTAAAATACAAAAAATTAGCTGGGCGTGGCAGCAGGCGCCTGTAGTCCCAGTTTCTCGGGAGTCTGAGGCAGGAGAAGCACTTGAACCTGGGAGGGAGAGGTTGCAGTGAGCCGAGATTGCACCACTGCACTGCAGCCTGAGTGACAAAGCAAGACTCCCTCTCCAAAAAAAAAAAAAAAAAAAAAAAAAAAAGAGGCCAGGTGCGGTGGCTCATGCCTATAATCCCAGCACTTTGGGAGGCCAAAGTGGGCAGATCATGAGGTCAGGAGATTGAGATCATCTTGGCCAACATGGTGAAACCCCGTCTCTACTAAAATACAAAAAATTAGCCGGGCGTGGTGGCATGTGCCTGTAATCCCAGCTACCTGGGAGTCTGAGGCAGGGGAATCGCTTGAACCTGAGAGTTGGAGGTTGCAGTGAGCTGAGATCGCGCCACTGCACTCCAGCCTTGCGACAGAGAAAGACTCTGTCTAAAAAAAAAAAGAAAGAAAGAAAGAAAAAGGAACACTCCATCACTCATTTTATGAATCTTGTATTACCGTCATACCACAACCAGAGAGAGACAGTACAACAAAGGAAAACTACAGACCAATATATTCCTCATGAACTTAGAGCAAAAATTTTCAACAAAATACTAAAAATACTAGCAAATCAAACCCAATGATGGATGAAAAGAATTATACACCACAACTAAGTGGGACAATCCAGGTATGCAAAGCTAGTTTGAAAATCAATCAATGTGTGATCCACTATATTAACAAGGTAAAAATAAAAAATCATACAATTGTATCAATTGATGCAGAAAAAGCATTTGACAAAATCCAACACTCATGTAGTACAAAAAGTCTCAGAAAGTAGGAATAAGGGAGAACATTCTCAACTTAATAAAGTGTATCTACACAAAACTACAGCTAACATCCTAATGGTGAGAACCTGATTTTTTTCTCCCTAAAATTGGGAAAAAGCCAAGAATGTCTGCTCTCACTACTGTCATTCAATATAGTACTGAAGTTCTAGCCAGTGCAATAAAACAAGAAAAAGAAATAAAAGGCATACAAATTAGGAAGGAAGAAATAAAACTGTCCCTATTTGCAGATGACATAAGTGTCTACGTAGATCTCCAATAACTTACCAAAAAACTATTAGAGCTAATACAAGAGTTTAGAAAGTTTGCAAGATCCAATGTCAAGAGACAAATATGAACTGCATCTATATATACTAATAATTAACATGTGGAAACCAAAATTAAAGACACATTACCATTTATAATTACTCCAAAGAAAATGAAATACCTAAATATAAATTTATCAAAATATGTAGAGGATATGTATGCTGAAATTTACAGAATTCTGAAGAAAGAATTAAGAATATCTCAATAAATCGGGAGACATATTGTGTTCATGGATTGGCAAACTCCACATAGTAAAGATATCAGTTACACTCAAAATGACCTGTAGGTTTAATGCTATTCCTATCAATACCCCTGCAAGGTAATTTTTGAAGACATAAACGATATTACTCTAAATTTTATATATAAAGGCATAGGACCTGTAAGAGCTAAAATAATTTGAGAAATATGAATAAGCTGGAAGGAATCACAAATGATTACATATACCTACAGCTTACTTTAACAAGACTGTGTTACTGTGTTACTGGTGGAAGAATACACATATAGATTGAGGGAACAGAACAGAGAATCCAGAAATAGCCCCAAACAAATGTGCCCACATTATTTTTCACAAAGGTGCGAAGGGTGGGTGCAGTGGCTCATGCCTGTAATCCCAGCACTTTGGGATGCTGAGGTGGGAGGACTGCTTGAGTCCAGGAGTTCAAGACCAGCCCGGCCAGCATGGTGAAACCCTGTCTCTACTAAAAAAATACAAAAGTTAGCCAGGTGTGGTGGCACGCACTTGTAGTCCCAGCTACTTAGCTGAGACACAAGAATCACTTGAACCCAGGAGGTGGAGGTTGCAGTGAGCTGTGACTGCACCACCGGACTCCAGCCTGGGCAACACAGCAAGGATCTGTCTCAAAAAAAAAAAAAAAAAAAAGTGTGAAGATGATTTATTGGAGGAAGTCAAGCCTTTTCAACAAACAATACTGGACAAATTGGATATCCACAGGCCAAAAAAATAAATCTCTACCTAATTATCATGCTTTACACAAAAAATAAAATGATTCACAGACTTAGTGTAAAATGTAAAACTATAATACTTTCAGAACAAAACAAGGGAAAATCTTAAGAACCTAAAGGGGGGCAAAGAGTTCCCAGATTTGACACCAAAGCATAATCTATAAAAGGGAAAATTGATAAATTAGACCTCATCAAAATTAAAAACCTTTGCTCTGCAAAAGAGTCTGTGAAGAGTATAAACCAAAAACAAAATTCTAAGGCCCCCCAACCATCTGAATGGAGCCCTCCTCTCAGCCAAGGGCATGTCAAAGTTAACCTGAAAAAGTCATTCAGACCATGATTGGAAGGGAGAGCCAGACATGCCTCATTATACCTGCCTTCCTTTTGGAATTATTAATAGAACAGACTCTTTAAGTCTGATTGAAACATTTACAATCAGGTCAGGTGTGGTGGCTCATGCCTGTAATCCCAGCACTTTGGGAAGACAAGTGGGTGGATCACTTGAGGCCAGGAGTTTGAGACCAGTCTGTCCAACATAGCCAAACCCCATCTCTACAAAAAATACAAAAATTAGCCAGGTGGGGAGGTGCACACCTATAGTCCCAGTTACTTGGAAGGTTGAGGTGGGAGGATCACTTGAGCCCTGGAGACAAAGTTTGTAGTGAGCTGTGATCGTGCCACTGCACTCCAGACTTGGTGACAGACTGAGACCCTGCCTCAGAAAAAAAAAAAAAAAAAAAAAAAAAGAAGAAGAAGAAAGAAAGAAAGAAAAGAAAAGAAAAAGTAAAAAAAAAGAAAAGAAATATTTACAATCTGTTCTCTCTGAATCCTGCTACACAGAGGCTTTGACTGCAGAATGAAACCTTGGTCTCCACAACCCCTTATCTTAACCCAGACATTCCTTTCTATTGATTCTCAGTCTGTAGACAATAACTTAACTCCTTCAATCAATTGCCAGTCAGAAAATCTTTGAATCCACCTATGACTTGAAAGTTCCTGCTTCCAGTTGTCCTGCCTTTCTGGACCAAATCAATGTACATCTTACATATATTGGTTGATGCCTTGTATCTCCCTAAAATGTTTAAAACCAAGCTGTGGCCCAACCACCTTGAGCATATGTTCTCAGGATCTCCTGAGGGCTGTGTCACAGGTCATTATTCACTTCCATTTGGCTCAGAATAAGTATCTTCAAATATTTTACAGAGTTTGACTCTTCATTGACAAGAAAGTGAAAAAACAAGCTACAGACTAGGAGGAAATATTTGCAAACCACATACCCAACAAGGACCTGTATTTAGAATACATAAAGAACTCTTAAAAGTCAACAGCAGAAAAACCCCAAATAAACCAATTAGTAAGTGGACAAAGGACATGAACAGGCATTTCACTGAAGAGATTATACAGATGGACATACAAATAAGCCCATAAAAAGATGTGCAACAGCATTAGATATAAAGAAAATGCAAATTAAAACCACAAGATGTCACTGCACACCTATCAGACTAGCTAAAATAAAAAATAATGATAACACCAAATGCAGGTGAGGATGGGAAGAAACTGAATCCCTTGTGCACTGCCAATGGGAATGTAACATGGTACAACCACTCTAGAAAATAGTTTGGCAATTTCTTATAAGGCTAAATATGCATTTGAAGCAACTCAGTAACTGCACTCCTGAGCGTTTATCTCAGAGAAATGAAAACTTATGTTCACACAAAAATTTGCATAAGAGTATTCATAGCAGCATTAAGCATAATAGCCTGTAACTGGAAATAATCCAGATGTCCTTCAATGGGTAAAACAAACCATGGTACATCCATACAATGGAATATTACTTGGCAATGAAAAGGAATGAATGGCTGATACACACAGCAACTTGGATGGATCTTGAGAGAATTACGGTGAGTGAAAAAGCCAATCTCAAAAAGGTTATATACTGCATGATTCCATTTCTTTAATATTCTTGAAATGACAAAATTATGGAAATAGAAAACTAATTGTTGTTGCTAGGGGTTGAATGGGGCAAGGTAACTGTAACTATACAAAAGTAGCAGGAGGAACCTTTGTGATGGAACTGTTCTGTATCTTGACTTTGTTGATAGTCACACAAATCTAAATATATGATAAAATTGTATAGAACTAAATACACACACACACACACAGACACACACATAAATCTGGTGAAATCTGAATAGGATGAATGGATTGTATCAATGTCAATTTCCTGTCTTTGATACTGTATTTAGCTGTCCAAAATGTCACCATTGGGGTAAAATGGGTGAAAGGCATACATAGATCTCTGTATTATTTCTTAGAACTGCACGCAAACTACAATAATCTCAAAATAAAAAGTCTTTTTTTAAAAGACAGGCCACAAGCTGAAATTTATAATACACAAACATACAAAACAATCGGGAACAAAATACAAAAAATACCTATGACAATGACAACACAATAGAAAAAAAAAGGGCAAAAGGGTACGACCTCAGGATTCACAGAAGAGGAAATTCCAGCTAATAAACCTATGAAGAGATGTCTAACCTCATTGGAAATCAGGAAAACACAATAATAAAATAACAATGAAATACTACTTTACATCCATCAGATTGGCAAACTTTTAACAGTCTGGAAAGATCAGGTTGGCTGGTGAAAATATAAGGAAATGGTGATTATTACCACCTGCTGGGACAGCCATAAATTTATAGAGTCACAGTTGGATAGCAATTTCTCAATGTTTACTGAAGTTTAGTATGTGCATACTGTCTGCTTAGCACTTTCAATTCTAGATAAAAACCCTGCAGAAACTCTTGACCCAAAAAGGCATTTATACCTGGATGGCCATGATAGCAATGTCTGGTAATACTGAAAAATGGAAAACAACCTATTATCAGTGGAAGATTGGTTGAAGAATTTGTGGTATATTCACCTATTAGAAATACTTTGAGCAGTTAAAAAATTAAAAGAATTGATCTACATGTTTCAACATGCATAAATCCTGAAAACATGTTTAGTGGCAAAATAAGCTACCAAAGGAAATGTATAACAGGATATCACAGACTGTTTATGACTATGCACATAATACAGTAAAAGCAAATGTGGAAAAGATAAATACATATTAATTCCATGACAAGGGTCATTTCTGGAAAGAAAAAGGACTGAGTAGGAGTCTCCAGCTGAATCTTTAAGGTTTTGTTTTATTTTTCTAAAAAGGACTAATACAAAGATCTTAGGGCTGGGTGCGGTGGGTCACAGCTGTAATACCAGCACTTTGGGAGGCCAAGGCAGGTGGATCACCTGAGGTCAGGAGTTTGAGACCAGCCTGGCCAACGTGGTGAAACCCTGTCTCTACTAAAAATACAAAAATTGGCCTGGAATGGTGGTGGGTGCCTGTAATCCCAGCTACTTGGGAGGCTGAGGCATGAGAATCGCTTGAACCCAGGAGGCAGAGTTTGCAGTAAGCCGAGATCATACCACTGCACTCCAGCCTGGGTGACACATTGAGACCCAGTCTCAAAAAAAAAAAAAAAATATATATCTTAGCATTGACCAAATTTGGATGATGGATACAAGGTGTCAGTGTTTGGGGTCGGTTTTGTTGTTTAGCTTTTTATTTGGAGAGAATTGCTGATTTATATCCGTTTGTATGTCAGAGAGGTCCTAAAAAACCTTCACCCAATGTTCCCCAGTGATGACATTTTGCATAACTGACCTTATTCAGATTTCACCAGTTTTACATCCAATTCATTGGTGTGTGTGTGTATGTGTGTGTGTGGTTCTGTGCAATTTTATCACATGTACAGATTCAGGTAACCAACCACCCCAATCAAGACACGCAACTGTTCCATCACACAGATCTTTCATTTGCTCAAGGGTGTTAGGTCTTCATCTATGCTGGCTTTGTCAGAGGCATTTGAACCAGAGTGACTCCATCTTGAATAAGGGTAAAATAAGGCTGAGACCTACTTGGCTGCAACCCCAGGAAGTCAGGCATTCTTAGTCCCAGGATGAGACAGGAGGTCACAAGATACAGGTCACAAAGACCCCACTGATAAAACAGGGTGCAATAAAGAAGCTGGCCAAAACCTGCCCAATCCAAGATGGTGTCAGAAGTGACCACTGGTCATCCTCACTGCTCATTATACACTAATTATGATGCATTAGCATGCTAAAAGACACTCCCACCAGCACTATGACAGTTTACAAGTGCCATGGCAACTTCTGGAAGTTACCCAATATAGTCTAAAAGGAAGAGGAATTCTCAGTTTCAGGAATTCCCTGTGCCATTTCCGGAAAACTCATGAATAATCCACCTCTTGTTTACCATACGATCAAGACATAACCACAAGAATTGTCAACCAGCAGCACTCAAGACTGCTCTGCCTACAGAGAAGCCATTCTTTTAGTTTCTTCTTTTTAAAAAAATTAGAGACAGGGTCTCTCTATGTTGGCCAGTGTAGTCTTGAACTCCTGGCCTCAACCAATCCTCCCGCCTTGGCCTCCCAAAGTGCTGGGAGGTATGAGCCACCATACCTGACATTCTTTGGAATCCTTTTTTTTTTTTTTTTTTTTAAGATGAAGTCTCACTCTGTCGCCCAGACTGAAGTGCAGTGGACCAATCTCAGCTCACTGCAACCTCAGCCTCCTAGGTTCAGGTGATTCTCCTGCCTCAGTCTCCTGAGTAGCTGAGATTACAGTCGCCCACCACCACACCTGGCTAATTTTTGTATTTTTAGTAGAGATGGGGTTTTGCCATGTTGGCCAGGCTGGTCTCGAACTCCTGACCTCAGGTGATCTGCCCGCCTCGGCCTCCCAAACTGCTGAGATTACAGGCATGAGCCACTGTGCGCGGCCTTGATTCTTTACTTCTCTAATAAACTACTTTCACTTTACTCTATGGAGTTGCCCCAAATTTCTTCTTGCACAAGATCCGAGAGCCCTCTCTTGCAGTCTGGATCAGGACCACTTTCCAGTAATAGTTTTATGCTTCAAGTTTTTTTTTTTTTTTTAAAGCATACACAAAAAGAACCCCAATTTTGCTTGATGATGCTGAGGCATCCCAACATTGGAAAGTCCCAGGTTCCAATGGATGGCACAGCCTCACAGCTAAGGCAGTTGTGTCAACAGCAGCAGGAGCTGGGGTGGGGATGGGGGTCAGGATTGGGGAGGGTTCCTTGAATATGTTCTCCCAAAGTGACATCTTTTGGGGAGCATGTAAGGTGAGAAGTTACTACGATTCATTGTTAAGGCTACACTGAAAATATATTAGAGGAGGCCACGTGAAAGCTACAGTCTCAGAGTGTGAGTAAGACCTCAGCAGTCAAACGACGAGGCAAGGGAAGGTGGTTAAAGTGGGGGGCATCTTTCTGTGTGTCTCCACAAAGCCCAACTCGCACAGGCTCCTGCCCAGCTTCTCATTCACTCTCCACACTGAACCTGACCACACTTCTGTGATAACAGTGGTTCAAAGGATGCCTTCAAGCGTATTTCAGGCCAGGTGATGTAGCTTATGCCTGCAATCCCAGGGCTTTGGGAGGCCAAAGCAGGAGGATTGCCTGGGACCAAGAGTTCAAGACCAACCTGAGTAACATAGTGAGATCCCCGCCTCTACAAAATATATATATATTTAATTGATTTAATTGGCCAGACATACTAGTGCACACCTGTGGCCCCAGCTACTCAGGAGGCTGAGGTGAGAGGATCCCTTAAGATGAAGAGTTCAAAGCTGCAGGGAGCCATGGTCGCACCACTGCACTCCTGCCTGGGCAACAGCAAGACCTTGTCTCCAGAAGAAAAAAAAAAAAAAGAAATTTATCCCAATGTTCTCTCTCTGACAGATCATTTTTGCTGCACTTTATATAAATGGAAACAAACTGGCCACCTGTAATGCTTTCCAGTTTTTGAAACTCTCCGCGGTTTACAGGCAAAGTCAGATTCATTTGCGGGAGGACTCTGCATTGTTGAAGGATCTAGTGCTGGTGGCGTTGGACTTCCTTGACAACAGAGGGACTGAGTAAGTCCAGCACATGTCTCCACTGACTAATCTTTCAAATCAATAACCTGAGTCACTGTACCTGACATTTACTTGTACAGCATGCCTCCTTAAAAGCATGATATATTTACTCATTTTCCAATTGCTTCTCCTCTCTCCATATCCCAGTAAACTAAATGTCTGTGCTCAAGCCCCAGGAGCCTTCTCTCAGACTCTTGAACGCTCTGTTGGGGCCAATTTCTGTTCGCATTCAGGCTGTTCCCTTCTCCAGGTCACTCCCCTCTCCGGCCTCCTCTCCCAGGTGCAGCTCCCTGTTCTGCAGATGTCAGGCTTTCTCCAATCACCTTCTCCCATTGCAGCCCAGGTTAACTCAGGTCCCCTAGTCATGTGAGCTCATGGGATCTTGGACTTAAGGCTGCCAGGTTTACAAATAAAAATGCAGGCCAGGTGTGGTGGCTCACACCTGTAATCCCAGCACTTTGGGAGGCCAAGGTGGGCGGATCACAAGGTCAGGACTTCAAGACCAGCCTGGCCAACATAGTGAAACCCTGTCCCTACTAAAAATACAAAAAAATTAGCCAGGCGTGGTGGTGGGCACCTGTAATCCCAGCTTCTCAGGGGGCTGAGGCTGGAGAATCTAGTAAACCTGGGAGGTGGAGGCTGCAGTGAGCCAAGATGGCGCCATTGCACTCCAGCCTGAGCAACAGTGCGACGCTCCACCTCAAAAAAAAAAAAAAAAAAAAAAAAAAAAAAGGCAGGACATCCAGTTAACTTTGAATTTCACAGAAAAAACAATTTTTGTGTAGGATAAGTATGTCCCAAATATTGCATGGGACATGCTTATACTGCAAAATCATATATGTTGTTTATCTGACATTCAAAGTTAACTGGGCACCTGTTTGGGGGAGTTTTTTGTTTGTTGTTGCTGCTGCTGTTGTTGTTGTTGTTGTTGTTTTGGTGAAACAGGGTCTTCCTGTTACCCAGGCTGGAGTGCAGTGGCCCAATCACAGCTCACTATAGCCTTAACCTCCTGGGCTCAGGTGATCCTCCTGCCTCAACCTCCCAAGTAGCTGGTACTACAGGTGCACACAACCACACCTGGCTAATTTTTGTGTTTTGTTTTTGTATTTTTGTAGAGATGGGGTTTGCTGTGTTGCCCAGGCTGGTCTCAAACTCCTGGGTTCAAGCAATCCACCTGCCTTGTCCTCCCAAACTGCTGGGATTACAGGCATGAGCTACCACATCCGGCCACATCTAGTATTTTTACTGGCAGCCTAACTGGATTTTTTCTGTCTGAGCACTTGCCACAGGTTAAAATTATATTTTTATTTGTATGATTAATTCTATGAGGACAATGGCTAGGTTGGTTTTGCCCGTTTTATTCCGGGCTCTTAGCACTGTGCTTTGGGTAGAGATCACATAGAATGAGTTCTGAGAGGTGAGTGGAGGGCGTGTGAGAAGGAAGCAGGGAAGAAAGAAGAAAGGAAAGAAGGTTCGGTAAGATGGGAACCAACGCAAAGTATGTTTTATTGATAACGAATTGCTTTTTGGTCCCAGGAAGCACCACACTGCTTTGTACTTATGTGACTTTGCCTGTTCCTTTCACCTGGTGAACTGAGCCCGGGGGTCGCTCCTGCCAGGAGTGATTTTGCTCCTCCCACAGCAAAATGTCTAAATGTCCCCTTGAATTGTGCTTCTCCCTGTTCCCAGGCTGGGTCAGAAGGCTCAAAGCCCCTGATGCGCCTAGCTTCTTTTTTTTTTTTTTTTGAGACAGAGTCTTGCTCTATCACCCAGGCTGGAGTGCACTGGTGCAATCTTGGCTCACTGCAACCTCTGCCTCCTGGGTTCAAGCGATCCTCCTGCCTCAGCCTCCCGAGTAGCTGGGACTACCGGCATGTGCCACCACTCCTGGTTAATTTTTTGTATTTTTAGTAGAAAATGGGCTTCACCATATTGGCCAGGCTGGTCTCAAACTCCTGACCTCAGGTGCTTGCCTTGGCCTCTCAAAGTGCTGGGACTACAGGTGTGAGCCACTGCGCCCAGCCTGCACCCAGCTTTTTTCCTCTGATAAAGCACTTAGCATATTACATAATGATCTGTTACTGTGTCTGTCTCCTTTACCAGCCCACAAATTCCTTGAGGGGAGGCAGAATGTCTCATCCATTTTGGAAACCCTGTAACTAGGCAGAACTAATTAACGTTCAGCCAATATGTGTGGATGTGTTGAGCTGTGAAGTTCACTACCTAGTGTCAACGTAGCCTGCAAATAACAACCTCTGCTTTTGCCCTTGGCCACCTTCAGGCTGGTCTTGGCACATCATCACATCAAACACAAATGAATTAAAAAAATTAAAAAACGAAATCAACAGATCCTGCTCCGATAATGAGTAATGTCTTACTTTTTATTAAATGGTTTGTTGGGAGATGAAAAAGAGGGTGATTTTGCTCATCCCAGAGCAAAATGTCTAAATGTCCCCTTGAAGTATGCATCTGTTCCGTATATATCCACCCTGATACTCTCTCCCATGAATTTCCTCTGTATTTTTCCTCTGACCCTTCTCTAGCCAAGATGGTTCCCGAGTCCCTACCTACGTACCCAACTCCCATAACTTTAGTTTGGAAACTGTCTTTCTTAGGTAGGGTCATTTAGTCCTCATAGTACTTCTCTAATTTGAATCTCACCCATCCTCCCACTCAGAGAATCTTCAACCTACTCCAATAATTCCTGAGTTAACTTCCATAGAAGTTGGAGAAGGGTAGGGGAATTTTAAATTAATAATTAAGGCTTCCTGTCACATCAGAAGATGGTTCTTTCCATCCAACAGTAGAACTGGCACTAGAGTAGAAAACCATGCTAAATCAATGAGAATGTGAGATTTCTGAGATCAAGACCAGGATGACTAAGGAATGAGGTATGGCAAGAAGAAGACCAATTAAAGGAAAAGAGAATTGAGAAGAAAAGAAACTGTCTCTGGGCTGACAAAATTCCAAAGACCAGAAGCTCAGATGTTTAAAACGGGCTCTTAAACATCTTCCCTACACCTAAAAATGACAGTGCCTCTTCCCTCAGGATGTTTCCTGTTAGTGCTACTGTGATTTCTTTTCCCCATCAAGACCACCACTATGGTGCACTTCAGTATGATAACACCTTAGAATGGAGTGGACAGGAGGCCACAAGGTAAAGAATCTGGAGAGGTTCCAAGGTATGGTTCTGAAAACACACTGTAATTTACACACTGTAAGTTACAATATTCACACTGTAAAGGTTCTATAATTCATTCTACAATTCCCTTCTACTCTTGTTATTGGACACATATATAATTGTTGTATTGTTGTTTTTATCACTATAAAATGTCCCTCTTTGTCTCTAGTAACATTTTTTGTCTTAAATTTTCTTCTGTCTGATATTAATATAGCCACTCCTGCTCTCTTATGCTTGCAGGCTATACATTTTTCCATCCTTTTCTTTTCAACCTATTTGTGTCTTTGAATCTGAAGTGTGTCTCTTATAGACAATACATAGTTGGATCCTGGTGTTTTTTTTTTTTTAATCCAGTCTGACGATCTTTGCCTGTTGATTGGAGTATTTAATCCATTTGCATTTATGTAATTATTGATGTGGTTGGATTTACACCTGACATTTTGCTATTTGTTTTTTATATCCTTCATGTCTTTTTTGTTAGTCTGTTCCTTTTTAATAGCTTTCTTTCATGTTATTTTCCAGTGTGCCATTTTAATTCCTTTGTTTGTTTGTGTGTGTGTTTTGTTTGTTTGTTTGTTTCTTGAGACAGAGTCTCACACTGTTACCTGGGCTGGAGTGCAGTGGCGCGATCTTGGCTCACTGCAACCTCCACCTCCCAGGTTCAAGCGATTCTCCTTGCCTCACCCTCCCGAGTAGCTGGGATTATGGGCGCCCGCCACCACGCCCGGATAATTTTTTTGTATTTTTAGTAGGGATGGGGTTTCACTATGCTGGCCAGGCTGGTCTCAAACTCCTGACCTCGTGATCCACGCGCCTCAGCCTCCCAAAGTGCTGGGATTACAGGCGTGAGCCACCGCACCTGGCTTTGTTTGTGTTTTTTTTACTGTATTATTTTGAGATGTTTCCTTAGTAGTTCTGAGGTTTCCTTGAACTTTTAATTCTCATAAACTTCTACTTTTTTTTTTTTTTTTTGGACACACGGTCTCACTTTGTTGCCCAGGCTGGAATGCAGTGGTGCCAACACAGCTCACTGCAGTCTTGACCTTCTGGGCTCAAACAATCCTCCTGCATCAGCCCCCCAAGTAGCTGGAACTACAGGTGTGCACCACCATACTCAGCTAATTTTTTCATATTGTTTATAGAGATGGGGTTTCACCATGTTGCCCAGGCTCGTCTCAAACTCCTGAGTTCAGGTAATCCACCCACCTCAGCCTCCCAAAGTGCTGGGGTTACAAGTGTGAGCCACCATACTTGGCTGCAATTTTGTATTACTGAATCCAATCACTTATTTTATAGATCAATTGTTTTATTCCACAAAGATTCAGCAAACATCTGTATGTGTCAGACACTGTGGTAGATACTATAAATTCAAAGATGAACAGGTCACGGTTTCTGCCCTCAAAAGAATGAAGTGACCCAGATAAGAAAGTCAGCCGTTGTAATACAGTGTGTGCTATTTACAGAGGATGTGTAAAGTAATATGCTGCCTTCACAAAAGCCAAGAGAAGAGGCATCAGTTCAACCTGTAGGTGTCAGGAAAGTCTTCTGAGAAGGTAAGAAGTCTGATATGGTTAGGCTTTGTGTCCCCACCCAAATCTCATCTTGAATTGTAATCCCCAGGTGTTGAGGGAGAGACCTAGTGGGAAGTGATTGGATCATGGAGGTGGTTTTCCCTATGCTGTTCTCGTGATAGTGAGTGAATTCTCGAGAGACCTGATGGTTAATTAAGGCAGTTTTCCCTGTTCTTGCTCGTTCTTTCTCTTCTACTGCCCTGTGAAGAAGGATATGTTTGCTTTCTCTTCCACCATGATTATTAGTTTCCTGAGGCCTCCCCAGCCATGCGGAACTGTGAGTCAATTAAACCTCTTTCCTTTATAAATTACCCAATCTTGGGTATTTCTTTATAGCAGCGTGAGAATGGACTAATACAAAGTCCAAGCTATTTCTTGAAGAATGAGTAGAAGTCAGCTGGTCAGAGAAGGGACCAGATATTCCAGAAGGAGGGAACAACCTGAACCAACATCTGGAGGCTTAGCAAACTGTGAGCATTGAAGGCAATGAAAGGAGGTGAGAACAGGTGGATCAAAGGTCCTGGCTGGGCACGTGGAGGGAGAGGAAGCTACAAACACAGACTGCTGCATGGTTAGCTAGGAGTTTTAGCTTCACCCCAAAGGCAATGGTGAGCTCCTGATGGACTTAAGCAGAGGTCATATTCGCATTGTAGAAAATGACTCTGTCAATTATTTGGAAGATTCATGAGACCAGATACAACTGGAGGCAAGAGTCAGACGTGCAAAAAGGTTAAGAAGCTTGTCAAAGGTCAACCAGTTAGCTGGAAGGTGAACAAGCTCTAGAACCAAAGTATTCTAACTCCTACTCTGCTACTTTTTCCACAGTATCATTTGAATTACGATATTTTCTTTCTTCCTCAAGTTAATTAGTTTTAATTTAGTCTCAAATATGCACCCCATAAAGTGAATTCAGATTTGTGTATCTTCCACATTCTAAACCTAGTTGAAAGCTTTTAACTCAGCAATTCTACTTTTAATTATTTGTATAGAGGAGGCTGGGCACAGTGCCTCATGCCTACAATCCCAGCATTTTGGGAGGCCAAGGTGGGTGGATAACTTGAGGTCAGGAGTTCGAAACCAGCCTGGCCAACATGGTGAAACCCTGTCTCTACTAAAAATACAAAAATTAGCCAGGCATAGTGGCGCGTGCCTGTAATCCCAGGTACTCGGGAGGCTGAGACACGAGAATTGCTTGAACCCAGGAGGTGGAGGTTGTAGTGAGCCGAGATTGCGCCATTGCACTCCAATCTGGGCGAAAGAGTGAGATTCCGCATCAAAAAAAAAGTGAATTTATATAGAGGAAATAATTGGACAATGTGCAAAAATGACAAAAGATATTTATTGCAGCATTCTTTATCAAATTGTTAAATCACCTAGCTGTCCATCAATAAAGAATTAATTAAGAAAAAATAAGGTATAACCAGACACTGAAAAATTATGCAGTGATCAGAAAAGGAAGACATAGGCCAAATTAAACACAAGATACTTTTTTTGGCTGATGCAGTGTCTTCCCAGCATTTTGGGAGGCTGAGGCAGGCAGATCACTTGAGGCCAGTAGTTCGAAACCAGCCTGGATAACATGGCAAAACCCAGTCTCTACTAAAAAATACAAAAAGTAGCTGGGTGTGGTGGCATGTGCCTGTAGTCCCAGCTACTCCTGTGACTGAGGCATGAGAATCACTTGAACCTGGGAGGCAGAGGTTGCAGTGAGCTATGATTATACCACTGCACTCCAGCCTGGGTGACAGAACTAGACTTTCTCTCAAAAAAAAAAAAAACAAGGAAAAGATAATGCTGTATTACTGACTTAGAAAGATGGTCATGATATATAGTTTGAATAAAAAAAGAAGACTGATTAGTACACATATCATCCAATTCATTTTTTAAAATCCATGTGTTAACATATGTCCAACAAAACACTGAGAAGATACACATCAAACTTGTGACGGAATGACAATTTGAGAGTGGGAAATTTTCTTCCTGAAGTAGAAAGTACTTTCTACTTTCTACACTTTTGTATTGTTTGAATTTTTATAATGAGCATCTATTACTTTAAAAAGATTTTTAAAAGCGTACTGACAGTATCTATGTGGCCCCTGCAATGAATACCACCAAATTACTTCACTCCCTTAAGTCTCAGCTGCCTGAAAAGAAAGGAAAACGTCAACCTGATAAGCCACAAATTGTCATTAAGAATAGTCAAACATTAACGACGGACTTTTCAAAGAACACAGTGGCAAGTCAGGCCAAGGTTTCCTGGCTTCCGAGTACAGGTTAAATGCCTTGCTACTGTAGACTGTTTTAAAGCTGCACCCCTTGAAAGAAAGCTGTTTCGTATCTTAATATATAGTTAACATGGCCAGGCGCGGTGGCTCATGCCTGTAATCCCAGCACTTTGGGAGGCTGAGGCTGGTGGATCACCTGAGGTTGGGAGTTTGAGACCAGCCTGACCAACATGGAGAAACCCTGTCTCTACTAAAAAAATACAAAATTATCCAGGTGTGGCGGCACATGCCTGTAATCCCATCTGCTTGGGAGGCTGAGGCAGGAAAATGGCGTGAACCCGTGAGGCGGAGCTTGCAGTGAGCCAAGATCATGCCACTGCACTCCAGCCTGGGCAACAGAGCGAGACTCCATCTCAAAAATAAATAAATAAATAAAATTTTAAAAAGACTTTTCAGAGCTAAAAATAGGATAGTCCCAGGCAAACCAGGATGGCTGGACACACTAGTAGTTGTCATACCCAACACACTGTTGGGTATGACATTTTCTTTTCTTTTCTTTTTTTTTTTTTTTGAGACAGAGTCTCCATTTGTTGCCCAGGCTGGAGTGCAGTTGCGCCATCTCGGCTCACTGCAACCTCCATCTCCCGGGTTCAAGTGATTCTCCTGCCTCAGCCTCCTGAGTAGCTGGGATTATAGGTGCACGCCACCACGCCCGGCTAATGTCTGTATCTTTAGTAGAGACGGTTTTGCCATGTTAGCCAGGCTGAACTCCTGACCTCAGGTCACCTGCCTCTGCCTTCTAAAGTGCTGGGATTACAGGCATGAGCCACCACGCGCGCCCTCAGATGACATTTTCTACACTTCTCCTCTTCATTTCAGCTTTCTCTGTTGCAAGAGATTGTTAATGCTACTCGGAGACCACAGAGTGTGATTTCTCACAAAGTATTCATTACCTGTATAGCCAAATTTCACCAAGTGAACAGTTGCTATGTTCAAAGGAGGTCTTTCAGGTGGAACTTACTGAGCATTGATCTCCATTTTTCCTGCTCAATCTTTCAGCAATGTTCACAGCATAAATAGAACAGCAATCTTTTTTTTTTTTTTTAGACTGAGTCTCACTCTGTCATCCAGGCTGGAGTGCAGTGGCACAATCTTGGCTCACTGCAACCTCCGCCTTCTGGGTTCAAGCGATTCTCCTGCCTCAGCCTCCTGAGTAGCTGTGACTAAAAGCATGTGCCATCACACCGGCTAATTTTTGTATTTTTAGTAGAGATGGGGTTTCACCATGTTGGCCAGGCTGGTCTCGAACTGCTGACCTCAAGTGATCCACCCGCCTTGGCCTCCCAAAGTGCTGGGATTACAGGCGTGAGCCACCATGACCAGCCCTAATGATTGCATTTTAATCGCCTCTGTGTCCCCATCACACTTGGCTCATGCATTTGTCACAGGCTGGTCTGTGCTGTAATCTCTTTGAAATTCTGTCCCCAGTGGATGGGGGGAAAGGAAGCAACTCTGTCTTCCTCGAAGGAAGCAACACTGCCTCGGTTTCCTTCCCTTCCAAGTCACCTAGCAGAGCCATCTGCACAAAAGTAATGAAAACGTGTGTTTGCTGAATCACATTAGACTTTATGTTACATCCTATTCTCGTGACTGTAGCTCCAGATTATACAAGCTACATCTAATTTGTCCAACATTATTTTCTCTTAATCTTCCACTTCTCTGCAGCTCTGTGCTGTGTACAGTTCTGTCTGAAGTCTTCCTCCATTCAAACTCTAAAAGGAAAAAAACTCCCTGTGATATCCATAGGGAGGGAGGTGCCCCCCTAGAGAGCAGAGATGTGTGAGAAAAGAGACCAGATCCCAAAGTACAACTTGTCTCTCCTTGAGAAACATGACTCAGAACAGGAAGAAGAGGAGGAGAGGAAGGAAAGGGGAAGGGAGGAAGGGACATCTGAAGGGATGCTCTCAGTGGTTATTGGAGGTTGGTGGCATTCTGTTGGTTTGCTTTATTTTATTTTATTTTTGAGACAGAGTTAGCTCTGTCACCCAAGCTGGAGTGCAGTGGCGAAATCTCGACTCATTGCAACCTCCACCTCCCAGGTTCAAGTGATTCTTCAGCCTCAGCCTCTCGTGTAGCTGGGTGTACAGGCACGTGCCACCACACCTAGCTAATTTTTTTGTATTTTTAGTAGAGACAGGGTTTCACCACGTTGGCCAGGCTGGTCTCGAACTCCTGACCTCAAGTGATCTGCCCGCCTCGGCCTCCCAAAATGCTGGGATTACAGGTGAGCCACCTCGCCCAGCCGGTTAGTTTTAGAACAGGGTCTCACTCTATTGCCCAGGCTGGAGTGCAGTGGCACAGTCTTGGCTCACTGCAGCCTCATACTCCTGGAGTCAAGTGATCCTCCTGCCTTGGCCTCCCAAGTAGCTAATAATAGAATTAGAGGTACACCACCACACCCAGGTAATTATTTTTATTTTTGTAGAGACAGGGTCTTGCTGTGTTGGCCAAGCTGGCCTTGAACTCCTGGGCTCAAGCTCCTGCCTTCTGCCTCAGATTACAGGTGTGAGACTCTACCTCGCTGCAGCATTCCTTTAAATGACATTTGCCCTCTTTTATAACTTTTGGTATTTTTTTAGTTTTAAAATTTCGAGCATTAACCCTGTTTTATCATCAGAATAAAAGCAACGGTGTTTTGGTTTTTTCTTTGTTGTTGTTGTTTTTGAGACAGAGTCTCGTGCTGTTGCCCAGGTAGTTGTGCAGTGGTGCGATCTCAGCTCACTGCAACCTCCGTCTCCCGGATTCAAGTGATTCTCCTGCCCCAGCCTCCCGAGTAGCTGGGATTACAGGCACCTGCCACCACGCCCAGCTATTTTTGTTGTTGTTGTTGTTATTTTTATTAGAGAAGGAAAACCAGTGTCATTCCTTAGTGGTCATCTGCGGGTTCTGTTCTGCAAGCATCCATTGTTCTTTCTCTCATGATAGCACCTCCAATGTCTTGCCATGGGAGAATACACCTCACCCGTGAAATGCTGTCTTAGGGAACTGGCATTCAAGATGCCCTCCTTCCTAGTCAAGGGTTGGGTCTTGATCCTAGCTGGTCCGATACACTTAGGCTAAGTTCTCGCTGTGTTTGGCTTTGACCTTAGCTTAGCTTCTCCCAACCACCATTGTCCTGAGACTGGAGAGGTTCCCTTGCCCGCGAGCAGCAGTTGCAAAGCTGGCAGGAGGCCTTAGGACACAGGGAAAGTTTGTACGAGTCAGCGTTTCTTCTAAAAGTGCTTATTTTAGGAGTTTGCACACACAGGAGATGGGATGATTTGCAAGCAACAGAAATGGACTCTGGTTAACGCAGAGATCTTCTCTGTGTTCTCCCCCAGGTACTTGAATCTTGGGCACAGTGGCTCAGAGATGCAAAAGAGTGGGACTGATTCAGCCAGATGACAGTACCCGGAATTTTCTGCCATCTGGAAATTCCTAGTCACCAAGGTTCCTCTTCTCTCTAAGGTCTGGCTGTTTAGCTTTTTCTTTTTCTTTCTTTCTCTCTCTCTCTCTCTCTCTCTCCCTCCCTCTCTCCCTCCCTCCCTCTCTCTCCCTTCCTTCCTTCTTTTCTTTTTTTTTTTTTAAGAGACAGGGTCTCACTCTGTCTCCCAGGCTGGAGCGCAGTGGCCCAATCATGGCTCACTGTAACCTCAAACTCCTGGGTTCAAGCAATCCTCCTGCCTCAGCCTCTCAAGTAGCTAGGACTACAGGTGCACGCCCCATGACTGGATAATTTTTAGAACTGTTTTGTAGAGATGGGATCTCCCTGTGTTGCCCAGGCTGGTCTCAAACTCTTGCCTCTAGCAATCCTCCCGCCTCAGCCTCCCAAAGTGCTAGGATTTCAGGCGTAAGCCACTGTGCCTAGAGCTATTTTTTGTTTTAAATTCTGGAAGGATTTCCAGATACATTCCTTTTCCTTAAGTTCCTGTACTTTGCAAACTTATTTAAATAAGTTTACTTACTGTGGATCACAGTAAGAAATACTCAGAGAGCCAGATGCAGTGGCTCATGCCTCTAATCCCAGCACTTTGGGAGGCTGAGGCAGGAGGCTCACTTGAGCCCAGGAGTCCAAGACCAGTCTGGGCACTAAAGTAAGACCCTGTCTCTACAAAAAAAAAAAAAAAAAAAAAAATTAGTTAGCTAGCTGGGTGTGGTGACACCCACCTGTAGTCCCAGCTTCTCAGGAGACTGAGGTGGGAGAATCGCTTAAGCCCAGGAATTCAAGGCTTCAGTGAGCCATGATTGCACCACTGCACTCTGGCCTCGGTAACAGAGTGAGCTCCTGTCTCAAAAAAAAAAAAAAAAAAAAAAAAAGAAATACTAAGAGTGACCCAGTATGTACATACACACATAGGCATAAGTAAAACAAACGTTGGACAAAATAGGCCGGGCATGGTGGCTCATGCCTGTAATCTCAGCACTTTGGGAGGCTGAGATGGGTGGATCACTTGAGGTGAGGAGTTTGAGACCAGCTTGGTCAATACAGTGAAACCCCATCTCTACTAAAAATTAGCTGGGCATAGTGGCATGCACCTGTGGTCCCAGCTACTCAAGAGGCTGAGGCAGGAGAATCGTTTGAACACGGAAGGTAGGGACTGCAGTAGCAGAGATCACACCACTGTATTCCAGCCTGGGTGAGACTCGCTCCAGAGAGGGAGACTCTGTCTCAGAAAACGAACAAACAAAACAAACAAACGAAAGGTTGCACGGAAATAAGACTTAACTTTAGCAGCATAGATGCAGCTTTCTATTTCCTATTTCCTTCTATTTCATTTTTTTTATGCTGGTTACGCCCCCTTAAACTAATTTAAAGTTTCATGCATGAGGCTTTAAATCTCACACTTGGAAAACCTCTGAGTTTTCCAAAGTTCATTGCTGTTGCTTGCAATAATCCTGTCTCTTGTGTGTGAAAACCCTAAAATGATCATCGATATGATGGAACGTGGAACCTCACAAACTTTTTCTCTTGGGCAATGCAGCAGCATGACAAGCTCTGGCAGCAAAAAGCCACAAATGGTGGTTGGAAGAGCCAAGCATAGCATCGAAGCCAAGCAGCCAGAACTTTCTCCTCCCACAGCAAGCAAAAAGCCAGCTATGGCCGGGCGTGGTGGGTCATGCCTGTAATCCCAGCACTTTGGGAGGCTGAGGCAGATGAATCCTGTGAACCCAGGAGTTCGAGATCAGCCTCAACAACATGGTAAAACCCCATCTCTACTAAAAATACAACAATTAGCCAGGCATGGTGGCTTGTGCCTGTAATCCCGGCTACTCGGGAGGCTGAGGCAGGAGGATTGCTTGAGCCCAGGAGGTGGAGGCTGCAGTGAGCCAAGATCATGCCACTGAACTCCAGCCTGAACAATAGAGCAAGACTCTGTTTCAAAAAAAAAGCCAGCTGTGATGTGAATACCTTTTACATGCCTATTATTTGTCTAGGGTAGGGATCCATGAGCCTTCAGACCAAACCCAGACCAATGCCAGTTTCTCTATGGCCCTTGAGCTAAGGATGACTTCTACATTTTCTTTTCCTTTTTTTTCTTTTTTGAGATGACCTCTACATTTTCAAATGGCTGTGGGAAAACATCAAAAGAATAATAATATTTTATGACATGGGAAAGTTATATAAAATTCAAATTTCAGTGCTCACCAATCAAGCTGAAACAAAACATAGCCACATCCATTCACTTAGGTGCCTGTCTATGGCAGCTTTAGGCTACAGCTTTGGAGTACGGTGGTAGAGCTGAGTGGTCGCAACAGGGGCCATATGACCTGCACACCCTAAAATAGTATCTAGCCTTGTACAGAAAAAGTGTATCAGGGCTGGGTGTGATGACACACACCTGTAATCCCAGCACTTTGGGAGGTCAAGGCAGGAAGATCACTTGAGGCCAGGAGTTCAAGACCAGCCTGGGCAACATAGTGAGACCCCATCTCTACCAAAAAAAAAAAAATTTTAAAGAAAACAAAAAAGAAAAATTTGCCCATCTCTAGTCTAAATACTAGATGGAGATTAAAAATAAAGTAGGCTGGGTGCAGTGGTTCATGCCTGTAATCCCAGCACTTTGGGAGGCCGAGATGGGTGGATCACCTGAGGTCAGGAGTTCGAGACCAGTCTGACCAATATGGTGAAAGCTTGTCTCTAGTAAAAATACAAAAATTAGCCAGGTGTGTTGGTGTGCACCTGTAGTCCCAGCTACTCAGCAGGCTGAGGCAGGAGAATCGCTTGAACCTGGGAGGCAGAGGTTGCATTGAGCTGAGATCACACCATTGCACTCCAGCATGGGCGACAGAGCGAGACTCCCTCTCTTAAAAAAAAAAAATTAAAGAAAAAGAAAAAAAATTCAACTTTTATTTTAGACTAAGGAGGTACATGTGCAGGTTTGTTACAAGGGTGTATTTCATGATGCTGAGATCTGGGGTCTGGGTGAAACCATCAGCCAGATAATGAGCAAAGTACCTAACAGGTAGTGTTTCAACTCTTCCCTCCCTCCTTCCTCCCTCTTGTAGTCCCCAGTGTCTGCTGTTCCCACCTTTGTGTCCATCTGTACCCAATGTTTAGCTTCTACTTATAAGTGAGAACACGCATTAGTTCACTTAGGATAATGGCCTCCAGCTGCATCCATGTTGCTGCAAAGACCATAGTTTTACTTTTTTTGCTAGCTGGTGGTATTCCACGGTATATATGTACCATATTTTCTTTATCCAATCCACTGTCAATAGGCACCTAGGTTGATTCCACATCTTTGCTATTGCAGGTAGTGCTAAACGGACCAGTTATTTAACGGGGCCTTATCGTTTTTTTGTTTCTGTTGTTTCAGAAAGACGTGACTTACTCTGAAATGTTATACCTCACCTATGCTGGCATCTAAGAATCAAAAATTTAAGGTGTGTAAAGTACCTAGCCCAGCCTATACCCATCACAACACTGTCACTTGGCTGCCGGTTCCCATTCATGGTACCTATTCCTGTTACTTTGTATCTGATCTGAAAATCTCACATCTTTCCCTCAAAGCAGAAGGCGAGGATGCTAATCTCACGGCAGCATCAGGAACAACTCTTTGTTTTTTCAGTTTTTTTTGAGACAGATTCTTGCTCTGTCGCCTAGGCTTGAATGCAGTAGTGCGATGTCAGCTCACTGCAACCTCTGCCTCCCAGGTTCAAGCGATTCTCATGCCTCAGCCTCCTGAGTAGCTGGAATTACAGGCTTGCACCACCATGCCCAGCTAATTTTTATATTTTTGGTAGATGGGATTTCGCCACGTTTCCCAGGCTGGTCTTGAACCCCTGAACTCAAGTGACCCACCCGCGTGGGCCTCCCAAAGTGCTGCAAATACAGGCGTAAGCCACTGCGCCTGGATGCTGATATTTTTAACTGGTTAAGACCTCAGGCTAATGACAGGGTTTTTCCTTGCCTATCACATTGAGAGCACTTAGAAGACCTTCTTTCCTTCTGAGACATAATAACTACTATGGGTTTCTCCCTTCAAGATTTCTGATCAGCCCCTTCTTTCAAACCCACTGCTCCTGCAGACTCCAGCCCTGCCATGGATATTTGGACATACAGCCCTCATCATGGGATAATTCCAAACCCTCCTAGCTGACCTTCTTATCCCCAGGGCCCCTGACTTTGCATCCAGTTGGTCACCATTGCCAGACAAGCCTTCCTAAAATGCTACTTCCGGCCAGGCGCAGTGGCTCATGTCTGTAATCCCAGCGCGTTGGCAGGCCAAGGCAGGCAGATCACCTGAGGTCAGGAGTTTGAGACCAGCCTGGCCAACAGGGTGAAACCCCATCTCTACTAAAAGTACAAAAATTAGCTGGGCATGGTGGCGGGTACCTGTAATTCCGGCTACTCAGGAGGCTGAGGCAGGACAATCGCTTGAACCCAGGAGGTGGAGGTTGAAGTGAGCCGTGATCACGCCACTGCACTCTAGCCTGGGAGACAACAGCAAGACTCTGTCTCAAAAATAAATAAATAAATAAATGCTACTTCTTTCCCTCCATCCCTTGTCCTCCAATGGCCCCATATTGCCAGTCCTTTTTTAATCCACCAAAGTCTAGTGGTCCTGCTTAACCATCCTTTTTATCTCACAACTCCTCCAATGCAGCGAAGCTCATGCACGCCTCCAGAAATCTCCACGCTCATCGTCACCTCCATTCTTCCTTGAGGTTCACCCACTTAAATTTAACTTCTCTCTCTTCCTTCTCTCCAACTATTCAGATACTATCAGGTCAATTCCCACTTCACATCCTCTTCTATTAACATGATCGCCACCATTTACTGAGAGCACCAGACTCTGTGAAGGGCTTTCATATATTATTTCATTGAATCTTCTTAATTAGCCTTTGATACGGTTTGGCTGTGTCCCCACCCAAATCTCATCTTGAATTGTAATCTGAATTGTAATCCCCATGTGTGGAGGGAGGGACCTGGTGGGAGGTAATTGGATCATGGGGGCGGTTTCCCCCATACTGTTCTCATGATACTGAGTGAGTTCTCACGAGATCTGGTTGTTTGATAAGTATCTGGTGCTTCCCTCTGTCACTCTCTCCTGCCACCTTGTGAAGAAGGTGCTTGCTTCTCCTGTGCCTTCCGCCATGATTTTAAGTTTCCTGAGGACTCTTCGGCCAGGTGGAACTGTGAGTCAATCAAATCTCTTTTCTTTTCAAATCACCCAGTCTCAGTCTCAGGTAGTATCTTTATAGCAGTGTGAAAACGGACCAATACATCCTTTGGGGCAGATCCTGTTATTATCCCCATTTTACAGATGAGAAAACTGAAATTCAGAGAGGTTAACTAACTAGCCCAAGATCACGCAACTATTATGAAGTGGTAAAGCCAGGATTCAAATGCAGGCAGAGCTCCTGCTGCCAAACGTTACAGTAATATGCCCCTATATTGACCTAGAAATCCTTCTTGATCATTCAAAGAAAGCCTTTCTTTGTGAAGCTACAAGTCTTCAAAACAGAAAGGCTCTCCCTCCTCCATTTTTGTGAACGTCTTCAACTTCCACTCCAGTTTGACACTGAAGGCACTTTGAAGTGGTGAGATGTAGTCCTCAAGCTTACAAGAGGCATGTTTGTAATGGAAAAGGAAATTAATGAGCCAGAGAACAGAATCAGTTCTAAGAAACACAGAGATGTGTCTAGTTGACATTAAGCATCTATATCAATGGCAGCTTCAACTAATCCTGGGAAATTAGGAAGGTAGCAGAATTAAGTCAACCTGTGCTAGGTTCAAATCTCAGCCCTACCACTTATCAGTGGAGTGACATTGGGCCAATTGCTTAACCTCTGTAAGCCTCAGTTTGCTCCTCTGTAAATAGAACAATAAATGCAATAGATGGCTATATTGTGTCTCATCTCACAGAACGTTTTGTAAGGAGCGGAGGATGCATGTAAAACATGCACACAGTGGCTCATAGGAAGAACTTCATGCATGTTATTTCTTATAATCATTTTCTTTATTTTTTTAGAGACAAGGTCTCACTTTGTTGCCCATGCTGGAGTGCAGTGGTGCAGTCATAGCTCACTGCAGCCTCAAACTCCTGGGCTCAAGAGATTCTCCCACCTCAGCCCCCGGGTAGCTAGGACTACAGGTGCACATCATCACACTCAGCCAGTTTATTTTTTTATTTTTTTGTAGAGATGAGGACTTGCTATGTTGCCCAGGCTGGTCTTGAACTCCTGGGCTCAAGCCATTCTGCCTCAGCCTCCCAAGTAGCTGGGATCACAAGCGTGGGCCACTATGCCCAGCTAACTTTTTTATTTTTATTTTTGTAGAGTTAGAGTCTCGCTTACTTTCTGTCTGTATACAATAGTTTGCGTTTTTAAAATAATTTCATGTCAGCGGACTCATACAGTATGTACTCTTTTCTTTCTTGCTTGCTTCTTTCACTCAGCATGATGATTTTGTGATCCATTTACATAGTGTGTCTTTAGTCTGTTCCTTTTTACTGCTGAGAAGCATTCTGTTGTATGATTATACCATATTTGGGTTGTTTCCAGTTTGGGGCTATTCCTAAAAAAGCTGCTATGAACATTTGTGTACAAATATTTGTAGAGACACTTGCTCTCATTTCTGTTGGGTAAATACCCAGAAGTGCACCGTCTGGGTCCTATGATTGGTGTATGTTTAAATTTTTAAGAAATGACCAAGCCATTTCCCCCCATGTGACATTCCTACCAGCAAGGCATGAGGGTGCCAGTTGATCTACATCCTCTCCAGCACTTAGTATGATCAGTCCTTTTAATTTTAGCCTTTCCAGTGGCTACATATCTCAGTAAGGTTCCAATTTGGTTTTTCCTAACAATTAATGGTGATTCCACATATGTATTTCCTTCTATTCTTTCTTATTAAGGCTCAGCTCTTCCAGAAGTTTTCAGAAGCCCCAGGGTTAGCTAAGCCCCTCCTCTTTGCTCCATTAGCTACCCTGCTGCCAGCCCCCTACTTACTCACACACCCTTATTAAATCAAGTTTACCTTTTTATGTACCTGTTGCCATAGCTGTAAAGCCAATAATATAATAATTAACATTTACTAAACATGTATCATGTACTGACCTCTGTATTGAATGATTTCCAATCTGTGTCTCAAGGAATTCTCAGCTATCCTAAGTAGATACTATTACTGTCACTGTTGTACAGTTGCAGAAACCAAAGCTTAAGAGGTGAAATAACCAGGCGTGGTGGCTCATGCCTATAATCTCAGCACTTCGGGAGGCCAAGACAGGAGGATTGCTTGAGGCCAGGAGTTCAAGACCAGCCTGGGCAACACACCAAGACCCCACCTCTATAAAAAAATTGTAAAAATTAGCCACACGTGGTGGTGTGCACCTGTAGTTCCAGCTACTTCGGAGGCCTAGGCGGGAGGCCTAGGCAGGAGGTTGAGGCTTGCAAGAGCTGTGATTGTGCCACAGCACTCCCATATGGGCAATGGAGCAAGACCCTGTCTCAAAAACTGACTTTGAGAAACTTCTTCAGATTTATATAATTCCTCATGGTTATCATTGAGAACAGATACAGATAGCAAAAGATTGAGGTGGGGGAAAAAAAGGTGAAATAACTCATTCAAAGTCCAGAGCCAGGACATGGCAGAGCCAGGCCTCAAAATAAAAGCTCTCTCGAAAGCCCACACTTATAACCAATAAACTAGAAACCATCTGCTCTTCCATGCAGGACCACCATGTACTCATACTATGAGGCCAGCTCCTCCCACCCAGCCTGGCAGGCATTTCTCAATAAATATCGTCTGCAAAACAGAGCTGAGCCTTCACACTGCTACCATCAATAACATTTAGTGACATGTATTTGTCACCATGCTTTCCTGGCATTATTCTGTTTATTTCTCAGGGGATTAAAGAAATCACTATACCCATTTTACAGATGAGGAAACTGAGGCTTAGGGAAGTTAGGCCAATTGTCCAAGATCACAGTGCTAGGAAGCAGCAGAGGAAGAAATGGACCACAGTAGGACGGAATTCTTAAGGGTGGGGTCAGGACCCATCTAGCTCTGTTCCTCTAAAACAAGTGCACAGGAGACGCCCACAACAAGTGAATAGTGAAGAAATGAATTGATTCTATCTTTTGGGGGAACTTGTGAGTGAAGTACTAAAAGAGGGCCTTTACCTGTGCTGGCTTCCAACCAACCCCCAAGCCCATTCATATAAGTGAACCAGGCAGTCCCAGGATCCATTAAGCCAAGGGGAAAGAAACAGCCAAAAAAAAAAAAAAAAAAAAAAAAAAAAAAAAAACAAAGCTGGTGCCTGGACCCTGGCCTTTGGAATATTCACCTCTGTGCCTGGGGCAGACAGCTTACCTGAAATCCCCTTCTCTACACTCTTCCTCTTTTGAAACCCTGTTTAGCCTTCAGGCCCAATGCAAACACCCCTCTTTGCTGTTGGCCTGCAGCTCCCCAGTCACAGCCAATTTCTTTCCTAATTTCACACTTTTTTTTTTGTTTTTGGAGACAGAGTCTCGCTCTGTTGTTCAGGCTAGAGTGCAGTGGTGCAATCTCTGCAACCTCTACCTCCAGGGTGCAAGCGATTCTCGTGTCTCAGGCTCCCGAGTAGCTGGAATCACAGGTGTGCACCACCACATCTGGCTAATTTTTTGTATTTTTAGTAAAGACAGGGTTTCACCATGTTGGCCAGGCTGGTCTCGAACTCCTGACCTCAGGTGATCCTCCCACCTTGGCCTCCCAAAGTGCTGGGATTACAGGCTCGAGCCACCATGCCTGGCCCACACTTGTACTTTTCATTTAGCATGTGTTTCATTATACTGCTTTATAAGTTGCGGTGGATTTTTTGTTTTTGTTTTTGTTTGTTTGTTTGTTTTTTGAGATAGGGCCTCACTGTCGCCCAGGCTGGAGTACAGTGGTGCCATCTTGGCTCACCACAGCTTCCGGGCCCCCCAGGCTCAAGCGATTCTCTCACCTCAGCCTCCCAAGTAGCTAGCACCACGTCCAGCTAATTTTTTGTATTTTTGGTAGAGACACAGGGTTTCGCCACATTGCCCAGGCTGGTCTCAAACTCTGGGGCTCAAGTAATCCTCCCTGCCTGGGCCTACCAAAGTGCTGGGATTACACATGAGAGCCACCGCACCCAGCCTGTGGTGTTTTTTTTTGAGACAGGGTCTCAGGTCTTGCTCTGTCGCTCAGGCTGGAGTCCAGTGGTGCAATCTCAGCTCACTGTAACCTCTGCCTCCCCGGTTCAAGTGATCCTCCTGCCTCAGCCTCCAGAGTAGCTGGGATTACAGATGCATGCCACTATGCCTGGCTAATTTTTGTATTTTTGGTAGAGATGGGGTTTCACCATGTTGCTCAGGCTGGTCTTGAACTCCTGATGTTAAGTGATCCACCAGCCTCGGCCTCCCAAAGTGCTGGGATTACAAGTGTGAGCAACCACGCCCGGCCCTGTGGTGTTCTTTATGGCTGTGTCTCTCACTCCAAATCTGTAAACCTTTTAAGAGTGAAGGCTGGGATTCTGTCTTATTCCATCTCTAATCTCTACAGCACCCAGCACTGAACCAAGAATAACAGACAGTGGATAGGAACATCCAGAGGCAGAGAGGGCTTAGAATCAGGCTCCAGCCCTACCACCTTCTAGCTTTATGCCTTTCAGCAAGTTTCTTAACCCCCTGAAACCTCGGTTTCCCCATGTTTAAATGGGAATAATAATTCTCCTTATGTCATAGGGCTGTTATGAGAATTTAATAAGCTCAAGTTCATAGCTAAAACTCATTGAATGGATATTATTATTAATATGTGTTTAATAACTAATCAGTCCAAGAATAGGCATGATTAATTTTTTCTTCAATTAACACAGGAGGAAACTCTTGCAAAAATAAAACATAATGTTATGAGCAAAGTTATGAGCAGACATTACTCAACTGTGTAAATAATTGGGCTTGTTCAAAGTACATTCTAGATACTATCATATTTGTAATATTTATATCACTGCTATAATAGTTTTGCAATAACTTACATAGTTGCCTGTCAAGAGACAGTGCAGAATCTATCCCTCTCCTAATTCTTTTTTTTTTTTTTCTTGAGACAGTGTCTCACTCTGTCGCCCAGGCTGGAGTGCAATGGTGTGACCTCAGCTCACTGCAAGCTCTGCCCCCTGGTTCAAGTGAGTCTCCCGCCTCAGCCTCCCGAGTAGCTAGGATTACAGGCATGCGCCACCACGCCCAGCTAATTTTTGTATTTTTGGTAGATGTGGGGTTTCACCATGTTGCCCAGGCTGGTCTCAAACTCCTCACCTCAGGTGATCCACCTGCCTCGGTCTCCCAAAGTGCTGGGATTACAGGCTTCAGCCACTGTGCCCGGCCTCCCTCTCCTAAGTCTTAACCAGGTGCTTGATCTTCCAGAGGACAACCCATGGGGCCCTTGTCACACCTTTCACACTCAAGGAAACTGCCACCACTTCTCCAAAATAAAATTGATTAGGAAGGAATCACGGACTATATCAAATGCTGCTTGCATTGATCATCACTTGCCCCGCTATGGACTTATTCCCCATCTAGTACCCAACATGACCCTTTAAAAACAAAAACCAGGCTGGGCGCAGTGGCTCTTGCCTGTAGTCCCAGCCCTTTGGGAGGCTGAGACAGGCAGATTGCTTTTGAGCCCAGGAGTTCAAGACTAGCCTGGAAACACAGCAAAACCCCATCTCTACCAAAAATTCAAAAACTAACAGGGCTGCTGGGCATCGTGGCTCACGGCTGTAATCCCAGCATTTTGGGAGGCTGAGGCAGGTGGATCACTTGAGGTCAAGAGTTCGAGACCAGCCTGACCAACATGGAAAAACCCCATCTCTACTAAAAATACAAAAATTAACCAGGCATGGTGGTGGGCACCTGTAATCCCAGCTACTTGGGAGGCAGAAGAATCGCTCGGACCCAGGAGGCAGAGGTTGCAGCAAGCCAAGATCACACCACTGCACTCCAGCCTGGGCAAGAGAACGAGACTCTGTCTTAATTTTTTTTTTTTTTAATGGGCTCTAGAGGCATGCGAACTTGTAGTTCCAGCTACTCAGGAGGCTGAGGCGGGAGAATCCATTGAGCCCAGGAGGTTGAAGCTGCAGTGATCCGAGATCTCACCACAGCACTCTATCCTGGGTGACAAGCGAGACCCTGTCTCAAAAACAAAAAACCTCAAAAAACATAACAGTTCATGTTAGTCCCTTGATTAAAATTTTTTAGCAGTTTCTCCTGCAATGAGAATAAATTTCAGACTTTTTGTTTGTTTGTTTTAATCACAACCTAAAAGGCCCTACCTAGTCTGGCTTCCCTCTGATTCATCTGCCCTTCACCCTGACTCACTGGGTTCCAGCCACCCTGGCCTTCTGTCTCTTCCTCTAGCACAAGGCCTTTACGTTTACTGCCTGGATTCCTGCTATTGATACAGCAAAATGTCACCTCCTTAGAGAAGCGCTTCCTGAACACCAAATGAAAAGTACCCCTTCCCTATTAATGCCCATGAAACATTTACTATGACCTAAACCATCTTACTTGTTTGCTTATGTAATATTTGACGCCTTCACTCTCAACCCAGGTCTTAACTTCCCCTAAACAGAAGCTTTATGTGGGCAGGGACTTTGTCGAGAAATCTCAAGACTGTACCTGCAGCCCCTAGAACACTTCCTGGCACTTGTAAGGCACTCAGTACCTATTTATGGAGTGAATAAATGGGATCTGGGGAGCAAATGATGGTCGTTTTTTACTTTTTATTTTCATATTTCAGATGAATTCAAATTTTTTATAAAGTACATGTATTACTTCTAGAATCAGAAAAAAAGAAATGATGCAAAACCAAAATAAAATAATAAAATGAGCATATGTAACCAAACAGAAGATAGTTCAAACCTTTCCCCAAGAATCTATTATATAGATTGCCAGCAATTTGCATTATTTCAGCCTCCACACTGTTTATGAAACCTGAAACGCTGGCCAGTTTTACGATCTGCTTGTTAGTCAGTACACAACTTTGAACTTTTAAATAGTAGTCATCTCCCCCGGGCTTATGGAAAGATTGCAGTTTGAGCTCTCTACTTCATTCCAATCTCCTACTCATAGAGCATTTATTTCCAGCACTATGTCTGTGTTGATTTTTTTTTTTTTTTTTTTTTTTTTTGAGATTAAGTCTTGCTCTGTCACCCAGGCTGGAATGCAGCCGTCCAATCTCGGCTCACTGCAACCTCTGCCTCCTGAGTACAAGCAATTCTCTCACCTCAGCCTCCCTAGTAGCTGGGACTATAGGCGCCCATCACCACGCCTGGCTAATTTTTGTATTTTTAGTACAGACAGGGTTTCACCATGTTGGGACAGCTGGCCTCGAACTGCTGACCTCAAGCGATCCGCCCACCTCAGCCTCCCAAAGTGCTGGGATTACAGGCATGAGCCACCACACCCAGCCAGTTGATGCTATTACCTCTCCTGGCATTCCCCTCTCCCGCCTCCAACTCCTCCATTTCCCCTGTCCAAAATCTTGATCATCCTTTAAGACACATACAAATCTATCAAGAAATGGCCACAACAGAGACAACTGTGTTTCTGAAAAGCTCTGCGCTTTTTCAAAAGGCACCTTGTCTGCATGTCTCCCTCAATTAATTACACTTGGTTGAAAGCAGTATTTTTATATATCTAACCACGCTGAAATGTCACTATACATTTTCCAGCTGAGCGGGGAAAAAACCTCCCTGCTAGTGGAAAAACGCTGTTGAAGGTGGCTGGGAGCAATTACTTTGAACCTTTCTCAAAGGAGAAAATACTAGATGGTTTGTAAGGGTGCAGAAGCCTTTCTCCACATGTTCCCATGAGGAAGGCAGTATGTACAGAATCATTAACCAGAATTTACTAAGAAATGGAAGCAATGAAAAGCTGTAACTGGTGAGTTTGGGATAACCTCTGCAAATATTGCTGGGGCAATCCCCTTCTGTCCTCCTATGACAACCATTCAACCTTGATTGAGCGCTTTCAGCATGTGAGGCCCTGTGCTAAATGCATTATATACATATCTCATCTAATCTTCCAAGAGTCCGAAGTGCGCATTACTACAATTATCCCCATTTCACAGATGAGGCAACTGACACACAGAGACCTTGAGCAATTTTCCCAGGGTCACAAATCTACCAAGTGACAGCTGAATGAGGCTGGTTTGAACTCATTCAGCCTAACTTCAAAACGTTCCTTCTTTGCTACTCTGATATAGCACATTACATATCTTTTATCTAAAAACTATAGTTGAAATTTAAAATAGCAGTCAACACAATCTTAACTAAAAAAGACCAGTTCTGCAGTCTCCCTCCCCTCTTCAATTCTGTTTAATTTACACCTACTCAGTGTTTAACATAAAATATTTTAAAATGTGTGGAAGTTAAACAGAGCATGTCTTCTTTTTAAGGGGACTCTTCTTTTCTCCAGCATTTCATGTGTTACAACATTGGCTTGGCAATTGTCATGCCATAGAAACAAAAGTACTAATTTTCACACTTAATAAATAAATGGAGGGCCCAGGCTTTATGGAATGGATCCATAGATACCCTGAGAGTTGAAAGAGTGTTCCAAAAAAGGTTTAATCAAACACCCCCTGCGTGCAAACACGCATCTAGAAAACAGGCCCAGGCATGGTAGCTCACACCTGTAATCACGGCCCTTTGGGAGGCCAAGGAGGGCAGATCACTTGAGGCCAGGAGTTCGAGACCAGCCTGGCCAACATGGTGAAACCCCATCTCTAGTAAAAATACAAAAATTAGCCGGACGTGGTGGTGCATGCCTGTAATCCCAGCTACTCGGGAGGCTGAGGCGGGAGAATTGCTTGAACCTGGGAGGCAGATGTTGCAGTGAGCTGATTGTGCCACTGCACTCCAGCCTGGGCGACAGAGCAAGACCCTGTCTCAAAAAAAAAAAAAAAAAGTCTAGAAAATAAAACTTGCCAGATTCAAGTTTCAAAAGTTAGACTCTGGATCCACGTTTTAAGAATTTCAGCTTTCGCCAGGTGTGGTGGCTCATGCCTGTAATCCCAGCACTTTGGAAGGCTGAGGTGGGTGGATCACCTAAGGTCAGGAGTTCAAGACCAGCCTGGCCAACATAGTGAAAACCCCTCTCTACTAAAACTACAAAAATTAGTTGAGCGTGGTGGCAGGCGCCTGTAGTCCCAGCTACTTGGGAGGCTGAGGCAGGAGAATGGCTTGAACCTGGGAGGCGGAGGTTGCAGTGAGCTGAGATCATGCCACTGCACTCCAGCCTGGGGGACAGAGTGAGACTCCATCTCAAAAAAGAAAAGAAAAACCAGATTTGAGGATCCACGCAAGTACAGATCAGGAGCTGTTCCTCTTGCCTTTGACTAGGAAGCAAGACTGAGTCTTTGATGGTTTGAAACAGAGGGTAAGAAGGACTTTATACCAGACTCTTTTTTTTTGAGAGGGAGTCTCACTCTGTCACCCAGGCTGGAGTGCAGTGGTGCAATCTCGGCTCACTGCAAGCTCCGCCTCCCAGGTTCACGCCATTCTCCTGTGTCAGCCTCCCCGGCAGCTGGGACAATAGGCGCCCACTGCCACACCCAGCTAATTTTTTGTATTTCTAGTATAGATGGGGTTTCACCGTGTTAGCCAGGATGGTCTTGATCTCCTGACCTTGTGATCCGCCCGCCTCGGCCTCCCAAAGTGCTGGGATTGCAGGCGTGAGCCAATGCGCCTGGCCTTATACCTGACTTTTAACAGTGTGCAGCATAGGACCCAGAAGTACAAAAATTTCAGGATTGAAACTGCTGTAAATTGGGTGCTTGCTGCAATTTTCCTGCATGTTTCAAATTTTTTCTCATAAAATGTTAAGATATAAAAAGCTACAAGGGCATTATTGAAGAATTGACCAATATTTACATAATTCCTTGCAAAGAGTAAAAGCAGGTTCTGTCTATAAATGTTGTGCAGTAACCGAATGGAAGTGAACAATACGTATTGAGCACTTAACCTTGAGTACTATATGTATCATCTTATTTAGTATACACAATAAAGACATAATCTCTATTTTCAGAAAATGAAGGCAGAGTGAGGCTTAGCAATACTCCTAAAGTCACATAGCCAGCAAGGCACAGAGTGAGGATTCAAAGCAGCACTCTTGTGAACAGCTTCCATTCTGCGTGGACCCAGCATTTTTTTAAGGCCTCTGTGAGCTTCAGAGAGCAACAGGGCTGCCACATAATTATAAAATCACTGAGCATGTTCTGTGACTATCTCAATAGACTTAGGAAGTTTTCTGAAACCATGAAAGCAATAAACCTTCATGTTAAAAGCAGGCTCTGGGGTCCAACAGACCGGGGTTCAAATCCTGGTTCTGCCACTTAACTGTCAGATCACCTAACAAGTCCCAGTTTTGTTTTGTTTTTTTAAATCTATGCAAGATTTTAAATTTATATTTAAATTTTTTATTTTAAAATGTTTTGTTTTAAAATTTTTATTTTAAAATGTTTTTTTAAATCTAGGCAAGATTTAAATTTATAAATCTTAGTACTGCAGGAGGTTGTTGCGGGGACTAAATGAAATGATGCATTTAGAGTTCTCAGCACATGGTCATCTAGCAATAAAAGGCAGCCATTGTTGAGATTATTTTGAGCTTGTAAGAAACAAGAGACCCTCATGGAGATACAGAGTAGAATGATGGTTACCAGAGGCTGGGGAGGGTATTGGGATGGGGGGACACAGAGATGGTTAATGGGTACAAAAATATAGGTAGATAGAATGAATAAGATCTAGTATCTGATAGCACAACACGATGACTACGGTCAACAATTTATTGTACATTTAAAAATAACTAAAAGAGGGCAGGTGGGGTGCCTCACACCTGTAATCCCGGCACTTTGGGAGGCCAGGGCAGGCCGATCACCTGAGGTCAGGAGTTCGGGACCAGCCTGCCCAACATGGTGAAACCCCATCTCTACTAAAAATACAAAAGTTAGCCAGGCATGGTGGCGAGCACCTGTAATCTCAGCTACTCTGGAGGCTGAGGCAGGAGAATCGCTTGAACCCAGGAAGTGGAGGTCGCAGTGAGCCGAGATTGTGTCATTGCACTCCAGTCTGGGCAACAAGAGCGAAACTCCGTCTCAAAAAAAAAAAAAAAAAGCTAAACTAAAAGAGTATAATTAGTCACACAGCTGGGCTTTTTTAAAAAAGGAGTGTAATTGGATTGTTTGTAACACAAAAAAAAGGATAAATGCTTGAGGTTTTGGATACCCCGTTTACCCTGATGTGATTATTACACATTGTATGCCTGTATCAAAATATCTCATGTATTCCATAAATATGGACACCCACTATGTGCACTTAAAAATTAAAGAAAGAAACAGAGACCCTCAGCCCTGACGCCCTGATATTATGCCAAAGCACCAAGTCATTGGGTCTTGAAAGGATGAACTAGAAAGAAAGACCAAGGTTAAAAAGGGAGAAAAAAAAAGAAAAGGAAAGAGGTTGGCAGTGCTATGACATCCATCCTAGCCCATGAACCACTAAGACATTGGATTGTGATTTCAACTTCAACCCGTCAGAATCAGAACACAGTTGAGCCCTTCTAGGAAGATTTTCTAAATCCATAATTACAGGTATAGAGAAAGAAAGCGCGCACACACAATTTTCCACCAGGTGAGGACAGAATAAGATCACATTCACAATACTTTAGCCCTACATCGCTCAGAGATCCGTGCTGGGGCAGAGCGCGGAGCAGTGACCCAGAGCCGAGGCAGGAAGCTGCCGGGTCCCTGAGAAGGACCTCTCCTTCCCAGCCTGGTGGGCAAGCCATGTGAGAGCAGCGGCTTTGGGGAGCCCCCGGGTTTGCAGGGACCTCCAGTGACCCTGGAGCCCCTGACGCTGCCTCTACACTTTGAGGGCAGGAGTTTCAACTATTGTATCCTATTAATGAAAAACAAAATCCTTCGTTTACTTAGAAATGTTGACATCCAAACACCGCAGAGAGAACCAGTAAATAAATACAGCCGGTCTATTTCGAAACTGCCTTCTAGAGTTGTGCCCAAGCAGACTTTAACTGAGTCAAGAGAGAAAAGAGAACGGTGTGTGCCTTTTGACCCTTTTGCCGCCCCAAGCCTCCCACCCCGACCCAAGGAAGGCGAGGGAGGAAAAGCTGGGAATTTCAGGTGCGCTCCGAAACCTCACGCAGGGGGTAGGAAAGCAAGCGGAAAACCAGCAGACACTCCCCCCTCTCCAGGGACGTGGGCGCTTTCCAGGACGGTCCCGCGTCTCCAGCGCCCTGGCGCATCCCAGGCGGAGAGAGGATCCTCCTCCCTGGGCTGTGGGAGAGACCCGACTTCACAGGACCAGCTGCGAGCTGACGGATCCGGGACTCCTAAGTCGAGCCCAGGCTCCTGCCTTAGCTGCCTGGCCATCTCCCAACCCTCCCAGTGAGGCTCAGCCCGGAGGGTCCCCCCCTTTTGTTCGCGGGGAGAGCGCGTCGCTGCGCAGAGCTGCGTATCCCCCTGAGCTGCCAGCCCCGCTGCGGGGGCGCTTCCCTGGGTCCACTGCTGGCGTTCCTCGCGCTCCCGCGACCACCCGCGCAGGCGCATGGATCCCCAGCTGTCCCCGGCCCCCCGCCCCCCGCCCCAGTACTCACTTCTCCCCAGTCTCTCCGTTTTCCAAGCCGTCTCCTCCACCGCCCCATAGCGCCTCAGAGGCTTCTCGGCTTCCAGATGGGTGGACAAAGATTGCTTTAATTCCATCGCTGATCCCCGTGGCCAGGTCGACGGGTCTCCCTTTACTCCATTCCCGTTGCGGGCTGCAGGGAGGGAGGTGGCTCCAGCCAGCAGCGTTTTAACGGGCCGGGCGCCCGTGACGCTGCTCCCTCTCCTCCGCCGCCGCCAGCGCCCGGGAGCGCCTACGGGTACCCAGAAGGGGCAGGGATGCACGGCACATGCGCAGTGGAGGCTTGGAGGGGAGGCTTGGGGGCTGGGTAGGGAGACAGAGGGGCAGGTGATAACTCTAAGAAAAACAACAAACAAAACAACTAAAATAAAAGCAACACAAAGGAAGTGAGAACAAGGCCCCTGCCTATTCTAGAGCCCCTAGTGATGCTTGGCATGGGGCTGGCACTGTGGGCGGCTTGCGAGCTGTAAGCCGGCAGCGGGTTTTGAGTGGGATTGGTGAGCCCGTCTCTACCTGCGGGCGATGCATCCGTCTTTCTGGGGAGCATGCAGAGGCGTGAGTGTGGACCTAGATCTATGGGTTCTGGGCTTGGCTGACTGCTTTTCTGTGAGAATATCTGTCGTGTGCGTCTGTTTAATTTGAAGTGCGACAGTGGATGCCTATGTCAGTTCCATATGTGTTTGCATGCACTTTGGGGAGAGAGAGAGAGAGATGAAAATATTTTGCACACAGGTATAGCAGAGCTGTTTGGAGCATGGGGCTTTACTTTCCAGAAACCCCAGAGGTTTATCTTTAAAAACAAACAAACAAACAAACAAAAAACACCATGGCAGTGCCTGGGCACGATGGCTCATGCCTGTAATCCCAGCACTTTGGGAGGCCGAGGTGGGTGGATCACTTGAGGCCAGGAGTTTGAGACTAGCCTGGCCAACATGGTGAAACCCCATCTTTACTGAAAATACAAAAATTAGCCAGCTGTGATGGCGCAGGCCTGTAATTCCAGCTACTCGGGAGGCTGAGGCAGGAGAATCGCTTGAACCTGGGAGGCAGAGGTTTCAGTCATCCGAGATCATGCCATTGCACTCCAGCCTGGGCAACAAGAGGAAAACTCCGTCTCAAAAAAAGAAAAGAAACGAAAAAAAGAAAATGATATCCCAGTAGGAAACAGGGAAAGAATATGAATAGTCATGTCATGTGGGCAGAGGAGGAAGGCCTAATGTGAGAAGCTGCTCAACCCCCTTAGTAATAAGGAAAATGAAAATGTAAATAAGAATATATCATCCGATAGGCAAAAACTAAAAAATCTAACAATCATGTGTTGTAAAAGATGTGGATTTTTTTTTTGAGACAGAGTCCAAAAATGCTGGGGTTACAGATGTGAGACACCATGCCTGGCATAATTTGAACTTTTATCTAATGCTAGTGGGAGTATAAATTGGTACAACTGTTTTTTTCTCTCTGTCACCCAGGCTGGAGTGCAGTGGCATAGTCTCGGCTCACTGAAACCTCCACCTCCTGGGTTCAAGCTCCTGAGTAGCTGCGACTACAGGCGTGCCACCATGCCCAGCTAATTTTTTGTATTTTTAATGGAGATGTGGTTTCACCATGTTGGCCAGGCTGGTCTCGAACTCCTGAGCTCAAGTGATCTGCCCGCCTTGGTCTCCCAAAGTGCTGAGACTACAGGAATGAGCCACTGTGCCTGGCTGCATGAATGTAATGTTTATTGTTCTCAGGTATATATGTATAACTCTACAAATTATATATAATAGCGCTATTTAACATTTTCTTATAATTTATACAAATGATATCATACTTTATAATTCTGCAAGTTGCTTTTTTCTGTTGTTGTTCCACAATATGCTTTTCTTCCTTTTAAAAAGATAGAGACAGGTTTTCACTGTGTTGCTCAGGCTGGTCTTGAATTCCTGGGCTCAAGTGATCCACCTGCCTCAGCCTGCCAAAGTGCTAGGATTACAGGCGTGAGCCACCGTGCCCGGCCCACATTATGCTTTTGAGAAATACGAATTCTGATTCATGTAACTCTGGTTCATAGTCTACTGTATAGTATTCTACATGAATGAACCATAATTGGTCTATTTTTTCATTGATGAGGTATAAAGATTATTCCCAATTGTCCACAATTACAAACATGGCAGCAGCAAATGTTTTTATACTCATTTCCCTGTACGACTGAATAGGAGTTTTTCTAGGGGGAAAAATTACAATGGCATGGGGTATGCACATCTGCCAGTTGGACTAGAGTGTCAACCTGCTTTTAAAATTAGTTGTACCAGGCCAGGCACAGTGGCTTACGCCTGTAATCCCAGCACTTTGGGAGGCTGAGGCGGGCGGTTAGTCTGAGGTCAGGAGTTCGAGACCAGCCTGGCCAACATGCTGAAACCCCGTCTCTACTAAAAATACAAAAAAAAAAAAAAAAAAAAAAATTAGCCGGGCCTGGTGGCGCACACCTGTAATTCCAGCTACTCAGGAGGTTGAGGCAGGAGAATCACTTGAACCCGTGGGACGGAGGTTGCAGTGAACTGAGATCATGACACTGCACTCCAGCCTCAGTGACAGTGAGACGCTGTCTCAAAAAAAAAAAAAAAAAACAATAAACATTACATTCAGGATAGTAATTACTTTAGGAGGCTGGGAAAGGGTAAGTAGTTAGTTTCAGCTATATCTAAAATTTATATATTTTTAAACTATTTACAGTATTTTGAAAATTTTTAAATCTACAGAAAAGTTGCAAGTTTAGTACAATAAGAAAAATACAGACCTTGGCCAGGTGCGGTGGCTCATGCCTATAATCCCAGCACTTTGGGAGGCTAAGGTGGGAGGAATCCTTGAGCTCAGGAGTTCGAGACCAGCCTGGGCAGCAAAGCAGTTTTCCATCTCTACAAAAATTAAAACATTAACCAGGTGTGGTGGCACACACCTATAATTCCAGATACTCAGGAGGCTGAGGTAGGAGGACTGCTTGGGCCTGGGAGGTCGAGGCTACAGTGAGGCAAGACCACACCACTCTACTCCAACCTAGATGACAGAGTGAGACCCTGTCTCCAAAATACACACACACACACATATATATATATATATAGTTTGTGTGTGTATATATACAGTATGTGTATATATACGTTATTTTATATAATATGTATGTTATTTTCTTGTATATGTGTGTGTATATATACAATATATATATATATACACACGCACACACATCCCTTACTAGATTCACTAATGAATATTTAAATTTATATTTCTTAAAAGAGATCTGAAGCATATATGTTAAAATCTGTTGGAGATGGCTGGTGGGCACTACACCCTTACCAGAATGACTAAAATTAAAAAGACTGACAATACCAAATGTTAGTCCAGATGCTAGTAAATAAATGAGTTAGCAGTTAGTAAGAATGTAACTACAATTTATTGCTGTTCGGAGTATAAAATGGTACTACCACTTTAGAAAATGAGAGATAATGGCTGGGCGTGGTGACTCACGCCTGTAATCCTAGCACTTTAGGAGGCTGAGGTGGGCGGATCACCTGAGGTCAGGGGTTCAAGACCAGCCCAACATGGCAAAACCTCGTCTGTGCTAAAAAAATTCAAAAATTAGCCAGGCGTGATGGCACATGCCCGTAATCCCAGCTACTCAGGAGACTGAGGCAGGAGAATCGCTTGAACCCGGGAGGCAGAGATTGCAGTGAACTGAGATTGCGCCACTGCATTCCAGCATGGGCGACAGAGTGAGACTGTCTCAAAATAAAAAAGAAAGAAATAAAAAAAGACTGGCAATACCCTCTAAAGCTACAAATACATATATATTTTTCTGTCTGGCAGCAATTCTATTCCTGGATATATCCCTAAGAGAAATACATACTTGTGTCCACCAATGTTAAGAGCTTTACTCATAATGACAAGAAATGAAAACAACTCAAATGTCTATCAACAATAGAATGGACAAAAATTATGCTATATTCATACAACTGAATCTGCACAGCAACGAAAAAGACCAAACTACTGGCCAGGCACAATGGCTCACACCTGTAATCCTAGCACTTGAGGAGGCTGAGGTGGGCAAATCGCTTGAGCCCAGGAGTTCGAGACCAGCCTGGGCAACATGGCAAAATCCCTTCTCTACAAAAAATACAAAAATTAGCCAGGCATGGGTGGTGTGTGCCTGTAGTCTTAGCTACTCAGGAGGCTGAGGCAGGAGGATCACTTGAGCGTGGGAGGTTCAGGCTGCAGTGAGCCGTGATCATGCCACTGCACTCCAGCCTGGGCCACAGAGTGAAACCCTGTCTCACAAAAAAAAAAAAAAAAAAAAAAAACAAATTACTACCAACAAAATGGATGAATCTTACAGACATAATATATAAATAAAAGGGTGTGTATCCCTTAAAAGACGGTTGGTGCATTTAGGGATCTTTGTCATGTAATTATCTCTACATTAAAATATTTTATAATTTAAAAAAGAAAAAATACATCTATTGGATCTAAAAATTCAACTCATGGAAATCTACCCGAAGGAATATCTGAATTACTAAAAATACATTCACACAATATATTTTTTTTACAATTTATGTAAACTGTAGAAAAAATTAGAAAAGGGTCAGTATCTTACAAAAGGGAAATGGCTAAACTTATGGTATGCCTGCAATGTAACACTGTACACTTATTTAAAATGATGTTTACAAAGAAATGTAATAGGGAAATGTCATAGGGAAAACATAGCACAATTTAATCAAAATATCAGGAAAAGTAGAATACAAATTGTAATATAAAGTGTGAGCTGTCATTCTGGATCTTTTGGCTAAGATCAAGTGCACACTGTAATCTCAATCATATTTTATAGAATGATAATGGTAGAAATTTAAAAATACTGTGATTCCTTTTTTTTTTTTTTTTTGAGACAGAGTCTCGCTCTGTCACCCAGGCTAGCGTGCTGTGGTGGGATGTCGGCTCACTGCTCACCTCCCGGGCTCAAGCAGTCCTCCCGCCCAGGCCTCCTTAGTAGCTGGGACTACGGGTATGCACCACCTTGCCCAACTAATTTTTGTATTTTTAGCGGAGATGTAGTTTTTGCCATGTTGCCCAGGTGGGTCTTGACCTCCTGGCCTCAGGTGATTCTCTTGCCTCTGCCTCCCAAAGAGCTGGGATTACAGGCATGGGCTACCACACCCGGCTACTGTGATTCCAATTTTACCTGTTTACGTATATACAAACATGTATACACATCCAGGGTGAAAAAACACTAAAATGTCATACACCAAAATATTGATAGTGACTACCTATGTATGTCATGATAATAAATGTTTTGTTTGTATTCTCCAATGTTTCTACAAAGTATACGTATTACTTTTATTTATTTGAGATAGTCTCACTCTGTTGCCCACCCTAGAGTACAGTGGCACGATCTTGATCTCGGCTTATTGTAACCTCCACCTGCCAGGTTCAAGCAATCCTCCCACTTCAGCCTCCTAAGTAGGTGGGAGTGTAGGTGCCCACCACCACACCCAGCTAATGTTTGCATTTTTAGTAGAGATGAGGTTTCACCATGTTGGCCAGGCTCGTCTCAAACTCTTGACCTCAAGTGATCTGCCCACCTTGGCCTCCCAAAGTGCTGGGATTACAGGCATGAGCCACCAAGCCCGGCCTGTATTACTTTTATAATCAGAAAAGAAATCAGGCTAGGTGCAGTGGCTCACACCTGTAATCCCAGCACTTTGGGAGGCCGAGGCAGGAGGATTGCCTGAGGCCAGGAGTTCAAGACCAGCCTGAGGAATACAGCAAGACCCTGTCTCTACCAAAAAAAAAAAAAAAAAAATTAGCCAGCTGTTGTGGCATACACCTATAGTCCCAGCTACTCGGGAGGTTGAGGTGAGAGGATTGCTTGAGCCCAGGAGGTTGAGACTGCAGTGAGTGAGCTATGATCGTGCCACTGCACTCCTGCCTGGGCTACAGAGTGAGTCTCTGTCTCTAAAATATAAATAAATAATGGTGGTTTGTTTTTTTTTTGAGACAGAGTCTTGCTCTGTCGCCTAGGCTGGAGTGCAGTGGTGCTATATTGGCTCACTGCAAGCTCTGCCTCTCGGGTTCACACCATTCTCCTGCCTCAGCCTCCCGAGTAGCTGGGTCTACGGGCACCCGCCACCACGCCCGGCTAATTTTTTGCATTTTTAGTAGAGACGGGGTTTCACCGTGTTAGCCAGGATGGTCTTGATCTCCTGACCTCATGATCCGCCCACCTCAGCCTCCCAAAGTGCTGGGATTACAGGCGTGAGCCACCACGCCCAGCAATAAATAATGGTTTTAAGGTATGAAAAATAAAATGACTAGCAGTAAATACAAGAGAATATTAACAATGGTTGTTTCTAGAGTTGAAATTTGGGAAAGATTTTTTTTAATTTTATGAATTTTCCAACCATCTATATTGAGCCCATATTGTTTTAGAATTCAAAAACGAATACATTTCATTTCTAAAAGTGTGTAATACAATTCCACAATCCTAGAGGACAAACTATCCCTGCCACCACAGTCCCCAGAACCCTGTCTGTTTGCATTAGCATAGGGTGATAATGCTTCAAGTTCAGTAACTGGCTGAAGTCACCATCTGCATGGAAGTATTAAGCAGCAACACCCCCCCACACCCTCCCCTTCACCCCCTCACCCCCCCGCCACCGCCCCCGAGCCCTGGCTGCTTGTCCTGGCTCAGTGCCTCGGCTTTGCTGGGAATGCCAAGGACTTGGAGGGATCCTGGGTGATTATAAAGAGCCAAGGCAGCAGGGGCCAGTGCAAGACACTTTTATAACTGTCATTTTGCTTGATTGAAAGGAAAAATAATGCAATCTCATCCTGGTAATTTGATACTTCATCCAGCATGTTGAGAATTTCAAACGTCCATGACACTGAGCTTATGAGAATCGCATGGTTTTCAAAAATGCGGGCCGTGAAATCCAGAGGATCTGAGTTTGAGCCCTGACTCTGCCACCTGCTGGCTGTGTGACTCTGTGTGTTGTGTCCCTTAATTTCTTTAATCTTCACTTTCTTTCAAATGCTAATGACATTATTATCTATTCTGAGGACTATTATTATTATTATTATTTTGATGTGGAGTCTCACTCTGTTGCCCAGGCTGGAGTGTAGTGGTGAGGACTATTATTATTATTATTATTATTCTTTTGACATGGAGTCTCACTCTGTTGCCCAGGCTGGAGTGTAGTGGTGAGGACTATTCTTCTTCTTCTTTTGACATGGAGTCTCACTCTGTTGCCCAGGCTGGAGTGTAGTAGTGTGATCTTGGCTCACTGCAACCTCCACCTCCCAGGTTCAAGTGATTCTCCTGTCTCAGCCTCCTGAGTAGCTGGGATTATAGGCGCACATCACCAGGCCCGGCTAATTTTTGTATTTTTAGTAGAGACGAGGTTTCACCATTTTGGCCAGGCTGGTCTGGAACTCCTGACCTCAGGTGATCCGCCTGACTAGGCCTCCCAAGGTGTTGGGATTATAGGCATGAACCACCACACCCAGCCCCAGAGGACTATTATGATTAAATGAGATAAAGTATGGCAGCCCATAGGAGGTCCTCAGTACAAGTTAGTATCATCATCATGATCATCATCCTTCTTGGGTTGAAGCAACGTGTTAGCTGATATTTTGAGTGCTGACTCTTTGAGAATTTACCAAATGAAGTCTCCAAATCAAAACCAAAAACCTATTAAAATGACATTGACCTGTAATCCTAATGTGTCTGGAATGTATTCCTTCTGGTGGGTTCTTGGTCTCTCTGACTTAAAGAATGAAGCTGTGGACCCTCGCAGTGAGTGTTACAGTTCTTAAAGATGGTGTGTCCGGACTTTGTTTCTTCAGATGTTCAGATGTGTCTGGAGTTTTTTCCTTCCGGTGGGTTCACGGTCTCGCTGACTTCAGGAGTGAAGCCGCAGACCCTCGCAGTGAGTGTTATTGCTCACAAAGGTGGTGCAGACCCAAAGACTGAGCAGCAGCAAGATTTATTGTGAAGAGCGAAAGAACAAAGCGTCCACAGCGTTGAAGGGGACCCAAGCAGGTTGCCACTGCTGGTTGGAGGTGGCCAGCTTTTATTCCCTTATTTGTCCCTGCCCATGTCCTGCTGATTGGTGCGTTTTTACAGAGTGCAGATTGGTGCGTTTACAAACCTTTAGCTAGACACAGAGCGCTGACTGGTGAGTTTTTACAGAGTGCAGATTGGTGCGTTTACAAACCTTTAGCTAGACAGAAAAGTTCTCCAAGTCCCCACTCCATACAGGAAATGCAGCGGGCTTCACCTCTCACTAACACTTTGGGAGATTGAGGCAAAAGGATTGCTTGAGCCCAGGAGTTCAAGACCAGCTTGGGCAACATAGGGAGATCCCATCTATACAAGTGATAATTAAAAAATTAGCCAGGAGTGGTGGCATGTGCCTGTGGTCCCAGCAGCTCAGGGGGCTGGGGTGGGAGGCTTACTTGAACCCAGGAGGTTGAGGCTGCAGTGAGCTATGACTGGATCACTGCCCTCCAGCCTGAGTGGCAGTGAAATCCTGTCTCAAACAAAACAAAACAAAACAAAACAAAACACCACACCATTAAAATGACATTGAGTAGAAAAATTAGATCTCTCATACCATGAATATACAATGTTGCAACCTCTTTGGAAGATGGTCTGGCAGTTCCTCCCGGGAGGTGGAGGTTGCAGTGAGCTGAGATCGCACCGCTGAACTCCAGCCTGGGCAACAGAGCGAGACTGTCTCCAGAAAAAAAATAGAAAATATCCGCAATCTTGGGGAAAAAAAATCGTAAAAGATATAAATGGGTTTGGAAGATAGAACAGAGTTCCAGAAAGCATAGTATGTATTCCTCTTAAAGGAGGCTTGAGAGAGAGAAAAGAAGTTGAGGAAATATTTGCTCTCAAGACTTAGGACCTGAAATCCCCTATCTGTTATAGAGCTGGGAGCTGCTGCTTCTCCATGAAGTGCTTGAGGAGTGGGATCAGGTGTGTGAGTTTTGCAGGGGCATGAAGCTTTTACCATAGGAGCTTAGAGCACATGCTATTTGAGAATGGGGAGGGTATCTGAGAAAAATCCCTGGGTTGCATGCGTATTCTCCCTCTATTATAGAATTGTCTGAGTTTTTTTGTGGTTTTCTTTTCTCTTTTTGATGGAGTCTCAATCTGTCCCCCAGGCTGGAGTGCAATGGCGCGATCTCGGCTCAGTGCAACCTCCGCCTCCCAGGTTCAAACGATTCTCCTGCCTCAGCCTCCCAAGTAGCTGGGATTACAGGCATGAACCACCACGCCTGTCCCAAGTAGCTGGGATTACAGGCATGAACCACCACGCCTGGCTAATTTTTCGTATTATTGGTAGAGATAGGGTTTCACCTTTTGGCCAGGCTGGTCTTGAATTCCCAACCTCAGCCCAATCTGCTCACCTCAGCCTCCTAAAATACTGGGATTACAGGCAGCATTGACTGTTTTTTGTTTGAGAGGGAGTCTCGCTTTCTCGCTTTGTCGCCAGGTCAGAGTGTAGTGGCGTTATCTCGGCTCACTGGAATCTCCGCCTCCCAGATTCAAGCGATTGTCCTGCCTCAGCCTCCCCAGTAGTTGGGATTACAGGCATGCACCACCATGCCCAGCTAATTTTTGTATTTTTAGTAGAGACGGGGTTTCACTAAGTTAGCCAGGATAGTCTCGATCTCTTGACTTTGTGATCCGCCTGCCTCGGCCTCCCAAAGTGCTGGGATAACAGGCGTGAGCCACTGCGCCCAGCCCGCATTGTCTGTTTTTTTAAAGCTGATGTTTATTGCGTGGTTACTATGTGCTGGGCACTGTACCAGATTTATCCTTCTTCATTCTATGCTGTAGTATCCTGTGAGACAGGGGCTGTAGCTCAGAGAGTTTGGGTAAGTAAATTACTTGCTAACACATGGCAGAACCAGCATTCAAACTCAGCCAGCCAGTCTCAAAGCCTAAACACTTCGCCACATCCCACATCACCTCTCAAAGGTGTTTCAAGAAACCACCATGGCAGTGCCCATGAAGAGGGATTTATAACCTCAACCTGATCATATTCAAAGTCAGATTCACTATATCAGCCCCCATACCTGCTCCATCCGAGTTGGAAATCTCAGTATATCCTTGGTACCTTATTCTGCAACATCCCAACACTCTCTGCCACAGTCAGTCAACAAATCCTATTGACTCTATTTTGGAAATAGCTCCCAAATCTGATTCTCCTCCTCCTTCCTACTGCCTAAGTTAGCTCAATTTTGCATCATCTCTGACCTACACTGTGGCAAAAAACATCTTTTCTGGGTTTTTTTTCTCCCTACTGAAAACCATTCTCCACACGACTTCTAAAATTAGATACACACACACACACATCCAATGCCACTCTCCTGCTTAAAAACCTCCATTGGGAGGCTGAGGTGGGAGGATCGCTTGAGCTTAGGAGTTCGAGGTTACAATGAGCTGTGATCACCACACCACTGCACTCCAGCCTGGGCTACAGAACAAGAACCTGTCTCTGAAAAAAAAAAAAAAATTAAAAAGAAAATCATCCACTGGTTTCCTGCTATCTATAGAATAATTTATATAACCAATCTCCTTGGTTCTGGGGACAAACAGGTTATTCCTAAATTCTCGAGATTATCAGCAAAATATGAGGAGCAGTCTTGCAGTTAAAGCTTTGTAGATATCTTATTCTTTTGGGAAAAATTCCTTGATGTGAAATTGCTGAATCAAAGGATATGCACATTTTTAAAGGCATTTTATATTATCAAGCCATCCTTCAAAAGTGTCATGCCAAGTTATACTCACCAGAAGTGTGTGTGAGGGCTGGGTATGGTGGCTTATGCCTGTAATCCTAGCACTTTGAGAGGCCGAGGCAGGTAAATCACTTGAGGCCAGGAGTTTGAGATCAGCCTGGCCAACATGGTGAAATCCCATCTCTACTAAAAATACAAAAATTAGCAAGGCGTAGTGGCGTGTGCCTGTAATCCCAGCTACTCAGCTACTTGGGAGGCTGAGGCTTGAGAATCGCTTGAGCCTGGGAGGCAGAGGTTGCAGTGAGCCGAGATCACACCACTGCAGCCTGGGCAACAGAGTGAGACTCTGTCTCAAAAAAAAAAAAAAAAAAAAAAGAAAGAAAAGAAAAGAAAAGAAATGTGCGTGAGTAATACAACTCATTTATAAATCACATATTTACATGAGGATACCCATGAAGTAGAAATGTGTTCTATTTACTTTCAAATCATCAGAGCTGAAATATTGAAAGGCACGTGGTAGATACCCAGCCAATGCTTGTTGAACGTATGAATGAACTGAGTAAGCAGAAGAAAAATTCTAAAGTGCCCCCTGATCTGTGTATGGCTCAAATAATAACATCCTAACATAACTGCTAGTATGCCTTGTCTATTTCATGTGGAATTGATTCAACAGCATCCCCTTGCATACAGGGCTGATATTTCTGGATGCTCCAAAATGCTGCTCCATCCAGGAAATAAAATCCTTGCATCTGGCCGGAGGCGGTACCCCATACCTGTAATCCCAGCACTGTGGAAGGTCAAGGCACGAAGATTGCTTGAGCCCAGGAGTTCAAGGCCAGGCTGGGCAACTTGGTGAGATCGTGTCTCTCCAAAAAAAAAAAAAAAAAAAAAAAAAAAAAAATTCCTTGCATTCTACCTATATTTACTGTGTATTTATAACCCCAACCTTAGTCTCTACAGTTTTTTACCATCATCTATGCAGGGGAGTTACCCTCTGGAAAAAGGTTCACCTAAACTAAACAGTAAAGTGAGTAAAGACATGCTAAAAGTTTACGAACTTATATTTCCAGATGTGTCTATACAACTCTTTGTTGGGCAGCACCACTAGACTAGATATCCCAGAAGCACTTCAAATTTAATATCTTCCTCCAGATCCTATCTTGTGTATTTCCTATGACAGCTGATGACACCTTTGTTTGAGCTAGTCATTGAAACCAGTAAATTTGTACTTTGTTTTTGTTGTTGTTGTTTTTGAGACAGTCTCACTCTGTGGCCCAGGCTGGAGTGCAGTGGCATGATCTCAGCTCACTGCAACCTCCACCTCCTGGGTTCAAGCAATTCTCTTTCCTCAGAATCCCTAGTAGCTGGGACTACAGGCAGCGCCACCACACCTGGCTAATTTCGTTTTGTATTTTTACTAGAGACAGGGTTTCACCATGTTGGCCAGGCTGGTCTTGAAGTCCTGACCTCAAGTGATCCACCTGCCTCACCTTCCCAAAGTGCTGGGACGGTGCCCGGCCGTAAATTTGTACTTTGACCTACAAATCTGGCTGATACTACCTAGGTAAATCTAAATTTATTAACCTATACTCTGTCCCTTACTCTCTACTAGCATTGAACTATTTTGGTCTCAACTTCTCTCTCCCCTAGACAATCCGTTTTTATTTAATGTTCACGGTCTCGCTCTGTTACCCAGGCTGGAGCACAGTTGCAGGATCTCGGCTCACTGCAACCTCCGCCCCTGGGCTCAAGTGATCCTTCTACCTCAGCCTCTTGTCTAGCTGGGACCACTGAGGTGCACCACCACACCCAGCTAATTTTTTGTATTTTTGGTGGAGATGGGTTTCGCCACGTTGTCCAGGCTGGTCTTGAACTCCTGGGCTGAAGCGATCTGCCCACCTCCACCTCTCAAAATGCTTGGAACAGCTACTTACGAGGCTGAGGCAGGAGAATTGCTTGAACCCTGGAGGCAGAGTTTGCAGTGAGCCAAGATTGCGCCACTGCACTCTAGACTTTGTGATAGAGTGAGACTCTGTCTCAAAACAAACAAACAAACAAAAAAACTAGAGGCAGGGGCCCAGCGCAGTGGTTCATGCCTCTAATCTCAGCACTTTGGGAGGCCAAGGTGGAATGATCTCTTGAGGCCAGGAGTTCGAGACCAGCCTGGAAAACATAGTGAGACCCTGTCTCTACAAAAAGTAGAAACGTAGCTGCATGTAATGGCATGCATGTGTAATCCTAGCTATTCAGAAGGCTGAGGCAAGAGGATCACTTGAGCTCAGGAGCTGAAGGCTGTAGTGAGCTATGGAGTGCACCACTGCACTCTCAACTGGGTGAGAGAGAGAGAGAGAGAGAGAGAGAGAGAGAGAGAGAGAGACCCTATCTCTGAAAAAACAAAACCAAACTAGAGTCGGGAGATCATTGGAAGACTCTAGTGAAAAAATTTATTAGTGCTTGTCAAATTTCAGTGTGTTAAAATGCACATTCTAATCCAGAGAGTCTGAGGTGGGTATCTAAGATTCCTAGATGTTCCCAGGTGATGTTGAGACTCTGATCCATGGACCACACTCTGAGTATCAAGGGTCTCCATGAGAAACAGCAATGATCTGAAATAAGCAATGGCAGTGGAATCAAAGACAGGATGGACTAAACCAATATAAAAATGATAGAATGTGGCCAGGCGCGGTGGCTCACACTTGTAATTCCAGCACTTTGGATGGCCACGTAGGGCGGATCACTTGAGGCCAGGAGTTCGAGACCATCCTGGCCAACATGGCAAAACCCTGTCTCTACTAAAAATAGAAAAATTATTATTATGTACCACCGGGTGTGGTAGTGGGCACCCATAATCCCAGCTACTCAGGAGGCGGAGGCAGGAGAATTGCCTGAACCCAGGAGGCAGGGGTTGCAGTGAGCCGAGATTGAACCACTGCACTGCAGCCTTGGTAACAGAGTAAGACCCTGTCTCATTAAAAAAAAAAAAAAAAAAAAAAAAAAAAGAACTTGTTGACAAAGCAGCGTGAGATGGCCACACTGAGTTGACAAAGATCTCATCCATGGTAAAGAAGTCTGGGCCTGTCTGGGCCAGGCACAGTGGCTCATGCCTGTAATCCCAATGCTTTCAGAGGCCGAGGCAGGAGGACTGCCTGAGGCCAGGAGTTCAAGACCAGCCTGGGCTATATGGTGAAACTCTGTCTCTACAAAAAAAAAAAAAAAAAAAAAAAAATTATGCAGGTGTGGAGGCCTGTAGTCCCAGCTACTCCAGAGACTGAGGTAGGAGGATTGCTTGAGCCTAGCAGGTCAAGACTACAGTGAACTATAATTGTACTGCCTCACTCCAGCCTGAGCAACAGAATGAGACACTGTCTCAAACAAACAAACAAAAGTCTGAATTCATCTGCACAACCTGTTTTAAAATACGAGCTTTTTGAAAGTAACTCTCAGTCCCCTGTGTTACTTTTAAGGACCCATTAGAGACATTTGGAACCTCCCACTAAGATTCCCTAGCACAGCAAATTTCTCAGAAGCGCAAAGGAAAATAAAATAGAAACATTTATTTAGCATATACCATGAGCCCTTCACTTCATACTTTTGTCCATGTCTGGTGCCCTGGAATATCTCCATGGCCACCAGACACACACACACACACACACAATGAGCTGATCATTCCTTTATGTCACTATTGTATCCCTTTTATTTATTTAGTTGTTTATTTATTTTGAGATGGAGTCTCGCTACGTTGACCAGGCTGGAGTGCAGTGGCACCATCTTGGTTCACTGCAACCTCCACCTCCCCGGTGCAAGTGATTCTCCTGTCTCCCAAGTAGCTGGGATTACAGGTGCCTGCCACTATGCCTGGCTGTCACTACTGTATCTTTGATATACCTCTTAAACTGCACTGGAGTTACTAGAAGCATGATCATAAGAGTGTGGGTTTGGAAATCAACCTGACTCTGCCATGTATTGGCTTAGTGGCAAAGGGCAAGGACCTTTGTTTTCTCAACTATAACAATGAGAGTGAATGCACTATAGCAAAGATGTGGACTCAATCTAAGTGTCCATCTTCAGATGAGTGGATAAAGAAAATGTGGGCCGGGCGCGGTGGCTCACGCCTGTAATCCCAGCACTTTGGGAGGCCGAGGCGGGTGGATCATGAGGTCAGGAGATCGAGACCATCCTGGCTAACAAGGTGAAACCCCGTCTCTACTAAAAATACAAAAAAAATTAGCCGGGCGCGGTGGCGGGCGCCTGTAGTCCCAGCTACTCGGGAGGCTGAGGCAGGAGAATGGCGTGAACCCGGGAAGCGGAGCTTGCAGTGAGCCGAGATTGCGCCACTGCAGTCCGCAGTCCGCCTGGGCGACAGAGCGAGACTCCGTCTCAAAAAAAAAAAAAAAAAAGAAAATGTGATACATATACGCAATAGAATACTATTCAACCATTAAAAGAATGAAACCATGTCCTTTGCAGCAATATGGACAGAACTGGAAGCCATTATCTTAAACCAGCCAGACACAGAAAGACAAATATTGCATGTTCTCACTCATAAGTGGAAGCTAAAGAATGTGTACACAGAAATGTAGAGTGTGGAATGATAGATGATGGAGATTGAGAAGGGTTAGGGTGTGGGAGGTGGGTGGATGATGAGAAGTTACTTATTCAGTACAATACACGTCATTTAGGTGATGGACAGCCTAAAAGCTCTGACTTCTCCAGTATGAAATCTATGCATGCAACAAAATTGCACCTGTACCCCATAAATTTCTGGAAATGTTTATAATGGGAGTTTGCAAGTTGTTGGTTTGTATGGCAAAAAAAAATGAAAATAAATGAATCAGCTGAGTGTGGTGGCTTACACTTATAATCCCAGCACTTTGGGAGGCCAAGGTGGGTGGATCCATTGAGGCCAGGGGTTCGAGACCAGCCTGGCCAACGTGACAAAACCCTGTCTCTACTAAAAATACAAAAATTAGCTCAGCATGGCGGTGCGCTCCTATAGTCCCAGCTACTCAAGAGGCTGAGGCACGAGAATCGCTTGAACCCAGGAGGTGGAGGTTGCAGTGAGCTGAGATGGCGAGACTCTGTCTTAAAAAACAAAACAAAACAAAACACACAAAAATAAAATGAGAATAATATCTACTGTGTTATAAAAAAGGTCCTGTGTATCCTTTATGATGCTTTCCTTCAAGTAACAGAAAACCTAATTCCCAGTGGTTTGAAAAATAAAGGGAATCTCCTAGCTCCTATAACAGAAAAGCCCAGAGCAGGCTTTGGGCATAGGCTATATCAGAGGTTATGAAATCATCAGGGTTTCTCTGAGATTCTTTCAGTGATACCCTCTTGCCTCCATGTCTTTCACGGTAACAAAAAATGGCTATGGTAGTCCTAGGCCTTACATCTATATTAACATCTCTATGACACAATGAGAGAATATGCCTTTGTCCTGGTTTTCCATCAAAGGTTATGAGATTCACTCTAATTGGGCAGCTGCAGATAACATGATTGTCTCTGAACCCTGTAGCAAGGGGCATGAAACGCCCTGATTGGCTTAATCTGTCATGTGCTCCACCTCTTGAGCCAAGTAAAGTCATCTTCTGGGAAGATCCCCAAAAAGGAACTGGGAGCTGTTGGGAAGTGGGGGAGGTAAGGAAATCGATGGTAGAAACCACTCAACTACACCATATCAATTACCACATGATGTAAAGGGCTTGGCATAGACCCTTATCTACAGTTAGTGAGCATACAAAAAGTGGTAGCTGTAATTTGCTTAGAAGTCTGTCTGCTGGCCAGGTGCGGTGGCTCATGCCTGTAATCCCAGCACTTTGGGAGGCTGAGGCGGGTAGATCACCTGAGGTCAGGATTTCGAGACCAGCCTGACAACGTGGCGAAACCCTGTCTCTACTAAAAATACAAAAATTATCTGGGTGTGGTGACACACACCTGTAAGTTGCAGCTACTCAGGAGGCTGAAGCAGGAGAATCACTTGAACCCTGGAGGCAGAGGTTGCAGTGAGCCACGATCGTGCCACTGCACTCTAGGCTGGGAGACAGAGGGAGACTCCTATCAAAAAAATAAAAATAAAAAATAAAAAAGGTGGCCAAGCGCAGTGGCTCATGCCTGTAATCCCAGCACTTTGAGAGGCCAAGGCGGGCGGATCACGAGGTCAGGAGATCTAGACCATCCTGGCCAACACAGTGAAACCGTGTCTCTACTAAAAATACAAAAAATTAGCCAGGTGTGGTGGTGGGCGCCTGTAGTCCCAGCTACTCGGTAGGCTGAGGCAGGAGAATGGCGTGAACTGGGGAGGCGGAGCTCGCAGTAAGCTGAGATCGCACCACTGCACTCCAGCCTGGGTGACAGAGCGAGACTCAGTCTCAAAAAATTAAAAAAAAAGGTCTGTCTGCTAGACCGTAGGCAAATAGCCGGGTCCTCACCTTATTCACCTTGGAAATCTCCAAAGGCTAGCATAGTGTCTGGGACAGACAGCTTAAATACTGTTGAATTAATGTTGGCAATTGAAATTGTGAAATAGTTATAGAAATTATTTCAACAACCAAAAAAGAGGATTGCATGGCCTCAGGTGATATGAAAACATAAACTATTGCTGATTCATAGCATTAATAAGACAAAGGAGCTGCATATAGCTGAGTTATAGACTGGGGATATAATTGGGATATATTCCAGTACACATTTTAAGTGTCTATTATAAATTTTGGTCACTTTAGAAAAGAAATGCTAAGCAAAGTGTTCTGGTGTGTTTTGCCTGTCTTGGTAGTGGAAGGGAAGAAAATCAGTCTTTTTCTTTCTTCTCCCCCTTAAAACTATTTAAGAAGGGAACTGGGCGAGGTGGCTCATGCTTGTAATCCCAACGCTTCGGGAGGTCAAGGTCGGAGTCCAGGAATGTAAGACCAGCCTGGGCCACATAGTAAGACCTCATCTCTACAAAAAAAAAAAATAAAATACCAGGGCTGGGCACGGTGGCTCACACCTGTAATCCCAGCACTTTGGGAGGCCGAGGTGGGCAGATCACAAGGTCAGGAGATCGAGACCATCCTGGCTAACATGGTGAAGCCCTGTCTCTAGTTAAAAAATACAAAAATACAAAAAAATTAGCCAGGCAAGATAGCATGCGCCTATAATCCCAGCTACTCAGGAGGCTGAGGCAGGAGAATTGCTTGAACCTGGGAGGTGGAGGTTGCAGTGAGTCAAGAACATACCACTGCACTCCAGCCTGGGTGACAGAGTGAGACTCCTTCTCAAAAAATAAAATAATGGGGTGTGGTGGTGCATACCCATGGAGCTACTCAGGAGGCTGAGGTGGGAGAATCTTTTTAGCCAGTGAGTTCAAAGCTTCAGTGAGGCATGGTAGTGCCACTGCACTCCAGCTTGGGCAACAGAGTGAGATCCTGCCTCACAAAAAAAAAAAAAAGGCCAGGCCCAGTGGCTCATGCCTGCAATCCCAGAACTTTGGGAGGCTGAGGCAGCTGGATCACCTGAGGTCAGGAGTTTAAGACCAGCCTGGCCAGCGTGGCAAAATCCTGCCTCTACTAAAACTACAAAAATTATCCGGGCATGGTGGTGCACACCTGTAATCCCAGCTACTCAGGAGGCTGAGGCAGGAGAATTGCTTGAACCAGGGAGATAGAGGTTGCAGTGAGCCAAAATGGTGCCACTGCATTCAGCTTGGGGGACAGAGTGAGACTCTGTCTTAAAGAAATAAAAATTATTTAAAAAAAAAAAGGATCCCCTGGACATACAATAAGTAATCTACTACTACTTAGGCAAATAAATAACAATTCTATCATTTGGGAATCTTAAGATCTGTTCTACCACTTTATGAACCTTCAGACTCAATCTCTATTTTAGAGATACTAACATTGATTGATCCCACTATGTGCCAGGCACTGTCCTTCACACCTTCACATATATGATCTCATTTAATCCTCATTTAATTTTGGCAGAGAAAGGTTGAGCTCCTTACCCAGGATCGTATAACTAGGAAATAAAGACCAAAGCACATGCCTCACTCTTCTTGTTATTAGAAAAAATTTCCTTCTGTAAACCTCAGGGACTTTACAAGTGAAATATTGGATTACTGTAATATGATTCATCAGCCCAATTTAATATTACCTATTCATTATAACGTAATGCTGCTCACACAACTGAGAAAACGCTGTTGCTTTACCCCCTCTGGCTCAGTAGCAGCCACACATAAATCACAAAACTATAAACATATGCTAATTACATAACCTATGTAGGCAATCAATATTAAGAAAAATGTTTACTGCCCAATATTTCTGTGGTTGAAAATGTACAGTCTAATTTTGATCTGCAGTAACATCTAGGTTAATGCTGATTCAGAAGGAAAACATTTGTTGTTGCCATGAGAAGAGGCATTGAAACTCTGAATCACCACCTCAAATGCTACCACTATTAATATAAGTAGATACATAGGAAGATCGAATTAGACCATCTCGGACCACCAGGTTTACAATTCTACCAGCAGATACATGCAAGAAGTATTGTCACAGTACTTATGTCACGTTATTCCATTGAGGTCATCACCAACTAAGCTTATAATTAATGTGTGGTCAATTTGGTCAATGTCACCAGCGTAGCATACTAACAAAAACAAGAGTTGCAAACACAAATGCCTATAAGGCAGAATGTAAGATGGTAGGAAGCAAAGTCTATAGGGAACTATACAATAGAGGCTGCAGATTCAAGGCACATTCTAAAGCACAGCAGTCCCCAACATTTTTGGCACCAGGGACTGGCTTTGTGGAAGACAATTTTTCCACAGGCAGCAAGGGATGGAGCGCAGGATGGTAATGGTCTTGGGATGAAACTGTTCCACCACAAATCATCAGGAATTAGATTCTCATAAGGAATATGCAACCTGGATCCCTTGTGTGTGCAATTCACAACAGGGTTTATGCTCCTATGAGAATCTAATGATGCTGCTGATCTAAGAGGAGGCAGAACTCAGGCAGCAATGCAAGCAATGGGGAGCGGCCAGAAATACAGATGAAGCTTCAATTGTCCACCCACTATTCACCTCCTGCTCTGTGGCCCAGTTCCTAACAGGCCACAGACCAGTACAGGTCCATGGCCCAGGGATTAGGGACCCCTGCTGCGGCACATTGCTTCATAGAGGACTGTAGCAGGCATGTGCCCAGACGTTTCCTTTTTTCTTTTCTTTTTTCTTTTCTTTTTCTTTTTTGAGACAGTCTGGCTCTGTTGCCCAGGTTGAAGTGTGTGAGTGTGATCGTGGCTCAACCTCCCAGCCTCAAGCAATCCTCTCGCCTCAGCCTCCCAAGTAGCTGGGATTACAGGCGCACTCTACCACACCCAGCTAATGTTTTTGTGTTATTTGTAGAGATGGCGTTTTGCCATGTTGCCCAGGCTGGTCTGGAATTCCTAAGCTCAAGCTGTCTGCCCATCTCCGCCTCCCAAAGTGCTGGGATTGCAGGAGTGCACCACCACACCTGGCCTGAAACCCAGATTTTATATATTTATTTATTTGTTTATTTATTTATTTTTGAGATGGAGTCTCGCTCTGTTGCCAAGGCTTGAGTGCAGTGGCGCAATCTTGGCTCACTGCAACCTCCACCTCCCTGGTTCAAGCAATTCTCCCACCTCAGCCTCCTGAGTAGCTGGGATTACAGGCACATGCCACCACGCCTGGCTAATTTTTGTATTTTTAGTAGAGACAGTTTCACCATGTTGGCCAGGCTGGTCTCGAACTCCTGACCTCAGGTGATCCACCTGCCTCAGCCTCCCAAAGTGCTAGGATTACAGGCATGCACCACCGCACCCAGCCTGAAACCCAGATTTTTACTATGAAATCAAAGTCTTCAAACCTTCTAGGTGTCATAAAAAGCACGCTGTGGACCATTAGTTTGCAACTGCCAACCTAAAATATCATAGACAGATAGGCAGATCACTTGAGGTCAGGAGTTCAAGACCAGTCTGGGCAACATGGTGAAATCCCATCTCTACTAAAAATACAAAAATTCGCTGGGTATGCTGGCACATGCCTGTAGTCCCAGCTACTCGGGAGGCTGAGGCAGGAGAATCGCTTGAACCTGGGAGGCGGAGGTTGCAGTGAGCCAAGATCATGCCATTGCACTGCAGCTTGAGCAACAGAGTGAGACTCCATCTCAAAAAAGATAAAAATAAAAATAAATTCTCCGTAGGATGGTCCTTTCTCTTTTCTTCTCACAGAGACCAGAGAGGATCCTCCGCTACCATCCTCTCTAAAGCAAGGCTGTTGAGTCCTTAAGTGTAAGAAGTGTAATAAGCCCTTAGCCTTATTACAATTATTCTGCCCTCCTGGAATGTTCAAGTGGTCATGGCACGGGCAGGGGGTGAGAGGAGAGAGCAGTGGGTTTGGTTGGGTTGTGGACAAAGAAAGAGGAAGGAAGAAAAGGATGAATAAAGATGTAGTTAGAGAAGGATACACTTAACAAAGGAGAAGAGAACTAGGAAAAGACAAGCTTTTACTTGATATATACCAAAAATGTTACTCAGTAATTACTGCCTTCTATTCACAAGGTTAGCTACAGTTCACAGATCTTCATGTGTTCCTAACCTTTCAACTCCAGCACATACTTTATCTTCAAATTCCAGATTTCCCTTTTTATGTATCAGCTGTTGAAAGTATTAAAAGAAACTTTTTCAGTCATTTTAATTGCATTAGCAGTGATTTAATTTTTTTAGATGCTAAACCTTATGGGTGAAAGTGGATTAAATGTAGCCAAATGCAACATCAAAATCTTCAGGCACAAAAACCCATTAACTTTTTAATACTCTCAGAAGATGAACCTAATTTCAAATGAAAGCTGCCTCCAGAATATATTGTTAAGCATATCCTAGATATAATTCATTCTAGCAAACATTCTGTAGAAATTCACATAACATTTTACTGTACTAAAAGTAAATTGCCCATGTAACAAAAACTATCTTTTCATAACTTCAAATGAATTTTAAAGGATGACTGACCGTCCTTGGAAGAGAAACAGTAAACAAATAAGGTTTATAGCAATGATGTATGAGTTAGAAATTGCAGTTCCAGGCCGGGCGCGGTGGCTCACACCTGTAATCCCAGCACTCTGGGAGGCAGAGGCAGGCAGATCACGAGGTCAGGAGGTTGAGACCATCCTGGCTAACACAGTGAAACCCCGACTCTACTAAAAATCCAAAAAAAAAAAAAAATTAGTGGGTCATGGTGGCGGGCGCCTTTAGTCCCTGCTACTTGGGCTGAGGCAGGAGAATGGCGTGAACCCGGGAGACAGAGGTTGCAGTGAGGCGAGATCGCGACACTGCACTCCAACCTGGGCTACAAAGCGAAACTCTGTCTCAAAAAAAAAAAAAAAATTGCAGTTCCAGATAATCTCTCTATTAAAGAGACTGTCTACACTTAACTTGGTCAATTGTAGTGAACATAGTTGATGTGAAGTCCCCATATAAATACAACCTGAAATACCAAAGTTAATTTACTTTTCTTTCTTTTTTTTTTTTTTATAGACACAGTCTTGCTCTGTTGCCCTTCCTGGAGTGCAGTGGCGTGATCTCGGCTCACTGCAACCTCCACCTCCTGGGCTTGAGTGATCCTCCTGCCTCAGCACCCCCAAGTAGCTGGGAGGACAGGTGCAAGCCACCACACCCGGCTAATTTTTGTATTTTTGGTAGGGATAGGGTTTCACCACATTGCCCAAGTTGGTCTCAAACTCCTGAGCTCAAGTGATCCGCCCGCCTTGGCCTCCCAAAGTGCTGGGATTACAGGCATGAGCCACCGGGCCCAGCCAGAAAATTATAAACACGCACAAACTCTCAAGTGGCCTAATTCCCTCTCATCAAACCAATCACAATACAAATAAAAGAGAATAACTTATATTAGTTTTTGTACAAACAAAAAAGACTGATAAATTGTGAATGATGCATGATTTTTAATTACAAGTAAACTGGGCATATGCTTCTGCATTATTTAAAGCTAAAGGGTGATCAGTGGAAATTTTCTTCTGTTAGTACTTTAATACTTTTTATATTTATCGGCTCACTACAACCTATGCCTCCCAGGTTCAAGCGATTCTCCTGTCTCAGCCACCTGAGTAGCTGAGACTACAGGACGCACTACCATGTCCGGTTAATTTTGTATTTTTAATAGAGACGGGGTTTCACTGTGTTGGCCATGCTGGTCTTGAACTCCTGACCTCAACCGATCCACCTGCCTTGGCCTCCCAAAGTGCTGGGATTACAAGCATGAGCCACCGCGCCCAGCCTTCTTATAATTGTTATTATTTAAATCTCTTTTGCTCTCTCCTTCAAGAGAGACCTCATCTCATTCAGTTGCATCCATTTATTTATTCATCTTCTGCCTCCTGAGCTCGAGAGATCCTCCTGCATGAGTCTTCCAAGTAGCTGGGACTACAGGCTCACACCACCATGCTTGGCTAATTTTTGTAGGTTTTGGAGAGACAGGCTCTTGCCATGTTGCCTAGGCTGGTCTCAAACTCCTGGGCTCAGATGATCCACCTGCCTTCGCCTCCCAAAGCACTTGGATTATAGACATAAGCGATCATGCCCAGCCCCAAGTACTTTTATACAAAATGCAAACACTATTCTTCTATCATAAAAGTGATACCACAGCTTCTGTAAAGTTTTGCACCAGGTAGTACTTATAATTAACTTGGGTACAGTTTTTTGTTTGTTTGTTTGTTTTGAGACAGATTCTCGCTCTGTCGCCTAGGCTGGAGTGCAGTGGCCTGATCTCTGCTCACTGCAAGCTCCGCCTCCCGGGTTCATGCAATTCTCCTGCCTCAGCCTCCAGAGCAGCTGGGACTACAGGCGCCCGCCACCATGCCCAGCTAATTTTTTGTATTTTTAGTAGAGATGGCGTTTCACCATGTTAGCCAGGATGGTCTCGATCTCCTGACCTCGTGATCTGCCCGCCTCGGCCTCCCAAAGTGCTGGGATTACAGGCGTAAGCCACTGTGCCCGGCCTACGTTTTGATGTTAAAATGTATCTTCTTATTACGAAACCATTTTTCCATTGTATTAACTACTTTTACAACAAAGCAAATAACAAGTTATTTTACAAACCATTTAGAAATTTCTGTACTATGGTCCCAATAATGTAAAATATATTAATGCCTTTTACATTCAGGTAAATTATCCACTTGGAAACTACATATTTATGACTTACAGAAACTTACATAAACAAATTATACAAATTATATGCTCAATTTTTAGGTATATAGTCTTAAATTAAGCTTAAATATACATTCTCAGGATAAATTAACAGTTCAGGGCTTCACAACTTGAAATCTGTGGAACATGACATTGGAGATGACAGAACTCTGGTGGAATTCTTAGGTGGAATTTACTGAAACTTTTTTTTTTTGAGACGGAGTCTCACTCTGTCACCCAGGCTGGAGTGCAGTGGCACAATCTCAGCTCACTGCAATCTCTGCCTCCCGGGTTCATGCCATTCGTCTGCCTCAGCCTCCCGAGTAGCTGGGACTACAGGCGCCCACCACCACGCCTGGCTAATTTTTTGTATTTTTAGTAGAGATGGGGTTTTACCATGTTAGCCAGGATGGTCTCGATCTCCTGACCTTGTGATCCAACCGCCTTGGCCTCCCAAAGTGAAACTTTTCTTTAAAATAGAGATGGGATCTTGCTGTATTGCCCAGGCTGGTCTCAAACTCCTTGCCTTAAGCAATCCTCCCACCTCAGCCTCCCAAAGTGCTGGGATTACAAGCGTGAACCACTACGTCCAAGTGAAACTTCTTGAGATAGTTACATAATTTTTAAATCTGCTGGTGTAGAAGTTAATAAAGCGTAGAACTGAATAAATATTAAATATTAGATCAAGTTTCTCATGTTTACCTTAAAGTATAAATATTTATCTTAAAGCACTGATTTTCACAAAATAACATCAGTGTGAAATTGGAAAAGAAACCAAGTATTTTATTTCATGTATCTGGGAAATGAGGTGCTTTAGTCAACTGAATCTGCCCAAAACTAAAAAGCATTCATTAAAAATTATAAAAATAGAAGACATCAATAAAATACATTCTACACAGAATACGCCAATCATACACTACTCTGTTTTTGATAATAAAAAATGTACTTACTGAGCCAGGTGCGGTGGCTCATGCCTATAATCCCAGCACCTTGGGAGGCCAATGAGAGTGGATCAGTTGAGGCCAGGAGTTGGAGACTGTCTCACGTGTCCGTGTGAAGAGGCCACCAAACGGGCTTTGTATGAGCAACATGGCTGTTTATTTCACCTGAGTGCAGGCGGGCTGAGTCCAAAAAAGGAGTCAGCAAAGGGTGGTGGATTATCATTAGTTCTTACAGGTTTGGGGATAGGTGGTGGAGTTTGGAGCAATGTTTTGCGGGCAGGGGTGGATCTCACAAAGTACATTCTCAAGGGTGGGGAGAATTAAAAAGAACCTTCTTAAGGGTGGGAGGATTACAAAGTACATTGATCAGTTAGGGTGGGGCAGTAACATATCACAATGGTGCAATGTCATCAGTTAAGGCTATTTTCACTTCTGTGGATCTTCAGTAACTTCAGGCCATCTGGATGTATATGTGCAGGTCACTGGGATATGATGGCTTAGCTTGAGCTCAGAGGACGGACAGAGACCAGCCTAGCCAACATGGCAAAACGCCCTCTCTACTAAAAATACAAAAATGAGCCAGGCATGGTGGCACCTGCCTGTAATCCCAGCTACTCCGAAGGATGAGGCAGTAGGATCGTTTGAACCCAGGAGACAGAGGTTGCAGTGAGCCGAAATCATGCCACTGCACTCCAGCCTGGGTGACAGAGCGAGTCTCTGTCTCAAAAAAAAAAAAAAAAAAAAAGTCGGTTGTGGTGGCTCACGCCTGTAATCCCAGCACTTTGGGAGGCCGAGGTGGGTGGATTATGCGGTCAGGAGATCAAGACCATCCTGGCCAACACGGTGAAACTTCATCTCTACTAAAAATACAAAAAATTAGCTAGGCATCGTGGCAGGTGCCTGTAGTCCCAGCTACTTGGGAGGCTGACGCAGAATGGCGTGAACCCGGGAGGCGGAGCTTGCAGTGAGCCGAGATCTCACAACTGCATTCCAGCCTGGGCGACAGAGCGAGACTCTGTGTCAAAAACAAAAGCAAATGAACAAAAATACAAAAATCAGCTGGGCCTGGTGTCACGTGCCTGTAATCCCAGCTACTCAGGAGCCTGAGGCAGGAGAATTGCTTGAACCCAGAGGATGGAGGCTGCAGTGAGCCGCGATCGTGCCACTGCGCTCCAGCCGGGGAGACAGCAAGACTCCACCACAAAAAAAAAAAAAAAAAAAAAAGGTATTTACTAAAATAACAAATTGTGTATGTTTTGGAGAAAGAAATCTGGTTATTAAATCTTCATTTCGATTGAGTTCTATGTAAATTAAAATTCACTCTAAGAACTATTTTTTGGTATAAAACTTCATCTGCCCAAAAGTGTTCAGGAGATAACCTGAGATTTTAGAATAGAAATGTGAACAATCAAAACCAAGTTTCCTGAAACTTGTGTTAAAATATTAGAAATATTAATAATTCTAAAATGCCATTTTGCCACTATTATTCATATTAACCAAAATATTAGAGAAGTAATATTTCAGACTAGAACAGGAAAAAAGTCTGAATACAATTCAAAAATAATCATTGATAATTTTTTAAAAAGTGGGTCTATAAATAGTAGTAATTCCTCAAAATGAAGTGCATAATTGGCACATCAAATATTTTGTCTGCAGGCAATTCTGTGCATTTTAGGTAAAAAATGTGGTCCCTTTAAGAGAGTCCTTGACTTCTCATTTCTTCGGGTACCCTTCTGTGGCACTGGTCCCCTTTGTATATAAAATGGTGAAAGCTGACTTGAATGTGCCGTCACCACTCTGCTGGGAAAAACAGATGAAGGTGGCCCAGAGAAAACCACAGACTCCAGCGTAAGCTGTTCTCCATTGAACAGGAACAAGGCTGAAGTTGGTCAGCTGGAACAGAGAGAGAGTCCGTTAGGGCCACATGGAAACCAAAGCCCTGAGTTCATATTACTGAGTAGGTGGAACTTACCTGTACAAAGGGCCAGTACATCAGTCCACTCTGGAATTGGGAAAAAAAAAAAGCAACAACTTTATTAGATTGCCTTTTATTTTTTATTTATTTATTTTGTTTTTTATTTTTTGAGACAGGGTCTCACTCTGTTGCCCAGACTGGAGTGCAGTGGTGCAATCTTAGCTCACCGCAACCTCTGCCTCCTGGGTTCAAGCAATTGTCGTGTCTCTGCCTCCTGAGTATCTGCGATTACAGGCACACACCACCTCACCTGGCTAATTTTTGTATTTTTAGTAGAGACGGGTTTTCACCATGTTGGCCAGGCTGGTCTCGAACTCCCGACCTCAGGTGATCCACCCACCTCGGCATCCCAAAGTGCTGGGATTACAGGTGTGAGCCACTATACCTGACCTAGAATACCTTTTAACCACACAAAACAATTGCACAGTTCATTCCATAAAAGAGTAAGAAATACTAGGCCAACAAGATGCCTAGGTAGTATTATATTTCAGACTAAGCTGATTAACTTAGACTACTTAAGGCCTCTAGAGTGAGGGGGTTGGGGAGTTGTGGGGAAAAAAGCTATTAGGTAGAAGACATTCCTATATTAATTATATTTTTAACACCAGAGTGAAAAGTCTACTAGAATCAGTACCAATTCTGGAAGACAGCGGCTTTGGAAATGACAGCATGTATATATGCATTGCAATTTCCTGGTTACCATGAACAAATGATGCAGGAATATATTTGTAAATACAGAATCATCAATGAATTCTTTTTTTTTAAATTATTTTTTTTTTTTCTGAGACATGGTATCTCTATGTTGCCCAGGCTGGTCTTGAACTCCCAGGCAAAAGCAGTAGTCCCACTGCAGCCTCCCAAAGTGCTGGGGTTATAGGCATGAGCCACCTCATCCTGCTGAATTATTTTATTTATTTATTTTGTTTGAGATGGAATCTCATTCTGTCGCTTAGTCTGGAGTGCAGTGGCAAGATCTTGGCTCACTGCAACATCTGCCTCCTAGGTTCAAGCAGTTCTCCTGCCTCAGCTTCCTGAGTAGCTGGGATCACAGGTGCCTGACACCATGCTCGGCTAATTTTTGTATTTTTAGTAGAGACAGGGTTTTACCATGTTGGCCAGGCTGGTCTTGAACTCCTGACCTCAGGTGATTTGCCTGCCTCGGCCTCCCAAAGTGGTAGGATTACAGGCATGAGCCACTGTGCCCAGCCTTGAATTGTTGAAACTATATACCAAACCATTGTTTATGGAATGATTTTCTAATAATATATTGAAACCATGTGATGCTATAGAACAAGTTTAGCTGAAATTTTCATATATTACAAAATATGTTAGATAGACATTTCACAAGCTTTATCCTACACAGTCCTATGAAAAAGTCATCATTATGATTTTTTAAAAAAAAGTCTTGGTATGTAAATTTATCTCAAAAAACAGCTAGAGGTTTTCAAAATAGTCCTTAAAAGTGGTATTACAGACTTATTTTCTTCTTTTTACTAATTTGTATTTTCTGAAGTTTCTAAAATGAACAATTGCAATAAAAGCTTTATAATATTTATGTTTATATTTAAAAGTAGATATTACATATAATGTGTGTATACATATACATATATACGTATATATACACATATATACGTATATGTGTATGTATATATATATATTTTTTGAGATGGAGTTTTGCTCTTGTTGCCCAGGCTGGAGTGCAATGGTGCGATCTTGGCTCACTGCAACCTCCACCTCCTGGGTTCAAGTGATTCTCCTGCCTCAGCCTCCGAGTAGCTGGGATTACAGGTGCACACGACCATGCCTGGCTAAATTTTGTATTTTTAGTAGAGACAAGGTTTCATGATATTGGCCAGGCTGGTCTCGAACTCCTGACCTCAGGTGATCTGCCCGCCTTGGCCTCCCAACGTGCTGGGATTACAGGCGTGAGCCACCATGCCCGGCCATAATGTATATTTTATATTTATTTATTTTTTTTGAGACGGAGTTTCGCTCTTGTTGTGCATCTCAAATTCCCGAGCTCAGGTGATCTGCCCACCTCAGCCTCCCAAAGTGCTGGGATTACAGGCGTGAGACACCGAGCCTGGCCCTTAATTGTTAAATATGCTTTAAATATAAAATATACCCCTGTAATCCCTGCACTTTGGGAGGCCAAGGCAGGCAGATCACCTGAAGTCGTGAGTTTGAGACCAGCCTGACCAACATGTAGAAACCCTGTGTCTACTAAAAATAAAAATTAGCAGGACGTGATTGCAGGAACCTGTAATCTCAGCTACTCAAGAGGCTGAGGCAGGAGAGTCGCTTGAATTCGGGAGGCAGAGGTTGCAGTGAGCTGAGACTGCACCATTGCACTCCAGCCTGGGCAACAGAACGAGACTCTGTCTCAAAAAAAAAAAAAAAATTAAAACTTTAGCAAAAATAATCAGAAGACTAAACTTATCCAAACATGGCTTTCCTTCTTTCTTTTTTTTTTTTTTCTTAATACAGACGAGGCCTCACTATGCGGGCCAGGTTGGTCTTGAATTCCTGACCCCAAACAATCCTCCAACCTCCGCCACCCAAAGGGTTAGGATTACAGGAGCCACTGTGCCCGGCCATGGCTTTATTTCTTATGGCTGTGTTTTTTTTCTTGTCAGAATGTAGTATCATGTGGTAGTATATTTTGTTCTCAAATCATTCCCCCACTAAAAGGAAGCAGGATGCCTCAAAGAATTGGCTGATTCTAGGGCCAGGGCAGGGCAGGTGCAAGTACAAGATGATCCTGGAACACGCTGTCATGCCAGAAAGGAAGTGGCTTAAGAAAGAAGTAAAGGAGAAAGAAGATGGGTGATGCACAGGACACAGGAACCAGCTTGGGGGAACTCCCACTGGCCGAATCTGGGACATGTGAGCGCTAAAAATAATTAAACCCTGCCATGAACTCTCCTCTGTGCTTGGGCAATCTCCCTCTGAATAGGCCAAAGGCATCTGACATTCAACATTTCCCAAGCTGAACTCACCTCATTTCTTTTTTGTTTGTTTGTTTGTTTTGAGATGGAGTCTTGCTCTGTCACCCAGGCTGGAGTGCAGTGGTGCAATCTCAGCTCACTACAATCTCCGTCTCCCGGGTTCAAGTGATTCTCCTGCCTCAGCCTCCCGAGTAGCTGGGATTACAGGCACTCACCACCATACCTGGCTAATTTTTTGTATTTTTAGTAGAGACAGGGTTTCACCATGTTGGTCAGGCTGGTCTCGAACTCCTGACCTCATATGATCTGCTCGCCTTGGCCTCCCAAAGTGGTGAGATTACAGGCGTGAGCCACCATGTTTATTTTTTTAAATACAGACAGGGTCTTGCTATGTTGCCCAAGCTGGTCTTGAACTCCTAACTTCAAGGGATCCTCCTGCTTCAGCCTCCCAAAGTGTTAGGATTACAGGCGTGAGCCACCACACCTGATATGCTTCCTTATTTCTTATGTGAACTTGGTCACGATAACCACCCACTTTGGTTTCCTTTGCTGCCATTACCTAACTGTGAAGTTCAAGATCCTCAGCTCTGGGTGTTCAACAGTCTCCAGGATCCAAACTCATTCCAAGTTGCTCAACAAATACTCTGTGAACACCAAACTGCCTGTGGTTTCTCCCCTCCAGGCATACCATGGTGCTTTACGCATTGTCAACTGTACTCAGCTCTTCTGCCCCTGGAATGACCTGTCCCCCAGTATGTGCATAACTTCAGATCTTTATTTTATTTTATTTTTTTATTTTGAGACAGGGTCTCACTGTGTTACCCAGGCTGGAGTGCAGTGGCACAATCGTAGCTTACTGCAGTCTCGACCTCCTGGGCTCATGCTAATTTTTGTATTTTTAGTAGAGAGGGGATTTCATCAAGTTGGCGAGGATGGGCTCGATCCCTTGACCTCATGATCCGCCTGCCTTGGCCTACCAAAGTGCTGTGATTACAGGCGTGAGCCATCCTGCCTCTTTAAAGGAAATCTTCCCAAAAAATCTCCAGATGGGCTGGGCTTCAGACTACTGGTTTGCCCTCTTTCTTCTCCTGAGGGTAGATGAGACTCACTCATTGTAACCAGTTTTTTTTTTTAAACAGTATGCAAATGTTCCTGTGGTTTTGTTCATTTACAAATCCCTGCCTGAAGCTTCTTTCCCAATTCTACTTCCTGCTCTCTTTTTTTTTTTTTTTGAACCATGGTCTCACTCTGTCACTCAGGCTGGTGTGCAGCGGTGCAATCACAGCTTACTGCAGCCTCGACCTCCCAGGCTTGCAATCCTCCCATCTCAGCCTCCCGAGCAGCTGGGACCACAGACACTTGCAACTATGCCCAGCTAATTTATTTTATTTTTGTAGCGATGGGGTCTCACTATGGTTGCGCAGGCTGGTCTCAAACTCCTGGGCTCTAGTGATCCTCCTGCCTTAGCCTCCCAAAGTGCTGGGATTACAGGTGTGAGCTGCCTACTTCTTGCTGTTTTTTTTTTTTTTTTTTTTTGAGACGGAGTCTCGCTCTGTCGCCCAGGCTGGAGTGCAGTGGCGCAATCTCAGCTCACTACAGTCTCTGCCTCCCGGGTTCAAGTGATTCTCCTGCCTCAGCCTCCCAAGTAGCTGGGACTACAGGCTTGTGCCACCATGCCCTGCTAATTTGTTGTATTTTTAGTGGAGACACGGTTTCACCATGTTAGCCAGGATGGTCTCGATCTCCTGACCTTGTGATCTACCCGCCTCCACCTCCCAAAGTGTTGGGATCACAGGCATGAGCTACTGCCTCCGGTCCTTGCTCTTTAAAAAAAAAAAAAAAAAAGTTAGATGTACATATCTCCATAGACTTTACAACATAATGGAAAAACTTGTTCCTTTTTCTAAAGTAAAACAGAAGAAGTGGCTGGGTATGGTGATTCATGCCTGTAATCCCAGAACTTTGGGAGGCTGAGGGAGGCGGATCACCTGAGGTCAGGAGTTCAAGACCAACCTGGCCAACATGGTGAAACCCTATCTCTACTGAAAAATACAAAAAATTAGCTGGATGTGGTGGTGCAAGTCTGTAATTCCAGCTACTCAGGAGGCTGAGGCAGGAGAATTGAGAATTGCTTGAACCCGGGAGGCAAAGGTTGCAGAGTGCCACTGCACTCCAGCCTAGGCTACGGAGCAAGACTCCGTCTCAAAAAACAAACAAACAAACAAAAAAACCAAAACACACAAACAAAAAACAAAACCAGAAGAAAATCACATTTGGTTGTCACCATGGGGTCCTCAATTTCTGCCCTAAGAGAAATCACAAGAGTTCTGAACACACTTCTTATAGTTACTGTTCCTGAGTATAGAGGCTCAGGGGAAGCCTCTGACTTCAAACCTCTCCATCCTCTGCCTCTAGCCATCAAGTAATGCTGGCTCAGGGGCCTGGTACCATCCAACAGATGATGCTAGAAGCTGTGGAGGTAATAGCTGGGTGTGGCTCAACACTGCTTTTGATAGGGAAGGAAGAACATGTGAAGCCCTAGGCCAGTCTGCGAACATTCTGTAATCCCAAAGATTTACCTCCTTGTGATGAATGCAATCAAACATGCTCTAGGGCAGAGATGAAAACCATCCCTGATTTTGCCAGGCCTTAAGGACACTGTTCAATAAATATTAACTGAATCAATGAATAAATATGTATTGGACTGGACTGTATATATTTGTGCCGAGCAAACAGTAAAAATGCTGATTTGCTTCAAACCTTGGAATAACCCTTGGAAACCTTCTCCTTCTCTATCAATACCTTTGTGATGTTAAAGTTCTTTTCACCAGGACTCCGCAGGATGCTCACCTGAAAACATTGGCTCTGAATGTGGGAATGATTCCATTAAGCCACTCACAATCTATAATCTCTATTTTGCAAATAGAATCCCAAATTTACAGAATAAATTGTTGTCCCTTTGGCTGCAAAATTTACAAAGTAAATTGTGATCATTACTAAGAGTTAATATAATAAAGTCAGAAATCACTGAGAACATGGACTAAAATTCAGAGATATTATTTCTTTTCTTTTCTTCTTTTTTCTCTTTTTTGAGATGGAGTCTTGCTGTATTGCCCAGGCTGGAGTGCAGTGGTGCGATCTCGGCTCACTGCAACCTGTCTCCAGGTTCAAGTGATTCTCCTGCCTCGGCCTACTGAGTAGCTGGGATTACAGACATGCACCACCGTGCCTGACTATTTTTTGTATTTTTAGTAGAAACAGGGTTTCACCATATTGGCCAGGCTGGTTTCAAACTCCTAACGTCAAGTGATCCGCCTGCCTCAGCCTCCCAAGTGTTGGGATTACAGGCATGAGCCACTGCACCGGGCCCAGAGACATTATTTCTTTCCAGTTCATGAGAAGTACAGATACTCTTAAAACCTCTCCTCATACATCTATCAAAATAACTTTAAGATTTCTATGTCAAAATATTGGACCCTTCTGTCAACCAAACTGGAGCTCTAATTTAGGAATAGTTTAATAAAAATGTACTTAATGTTGAGGTGGGAGAATCACTGGAGCACAGGAGTTCAAGGCCAGCCTGTGCTACATAGTGAGACTCTGTCTCTACCAAAAAATTTAAAAATAATTAGCTGGGTGTGGTGGCACATGCCTGTAGTCTCAGCTACTCAGGAGGCTGAGGTGGGAGGATCGCTTGAGCTCAGGAGGTCCAGGCTGCAGTGAGCCATGACCATGCCACTGCATTCCAGCCTGGGTGCCAGAATGAGACCCTGTCTCGAAAAAGGTTTTTTTAATTAAAAAAAAAAAAAAAAAAAAAAAAAAAAAATATATATATATATATATATATATATATATACACACACACATACAAAAAAATCCTGATGTGATTAAACACGTGTCAAATTATCACATGTATATGAAAATATGTACTTATATGTGTCAATTAAAAGATTTTTTAATCTTTATAAATATAAACACAAAACATATATTTTTATACACATATATATACATATATACACAAAAATATAGTGATTACATTTTCAAACGCCTATCTTACCAGATAGGTATTCCAGAATTTCTGTTTCAGGTCCAAAAATATGTCATCCTTTCCTTGGAGAATGCTCATACCTATTTGCAAAACCCAAAAAAAATTTTAAAAGATTCAGTAGAGTACCGTATAACAGTTCATGTTTAAGTTTCCCATTCCAAAATGCAAAGTAACCATCACTATCATCCAACAATATGACCCTCTGACCCAACAGTGAAAAGAGAACATAGACAGGCGCCGTGGCTCAAGCCTGTAACGGGAGGCCGAGGCAGGCAGATTGCTTGAGTCCAGGAGTTAAGAGACCAGCCTGGGCAACAGGGCAAAACCTCATCTCTACAAAAAATACAAAAATTAGCCAGGTGTAGTAGCGTGCCTGTAGTCATAGCTACTCAGGAGGCTGAGGTGGGAGGATCGCTTGAGCCTGGGAGGTGGAGGCTGCAGTGAGCTGTGATCATGCCACTGCACTCCAGCCTGGGCAACACAGCAAGACCCTGTCTCAAACAAAAAAAAAAAAAAAAAAGAAAACATAATCTCCACTCTAAAACTAGATAAATTTTAAAGGAATGATAAATACGAAGTGAGAATAGCAGAGTATAAAAATTATAGCAGAACGATTATTTTTTCAAAAACTAACAATTCACAAAAACAATCAGGTTACAATAGTGGGTCTATTGGTTACTTTCTCTACCTTCCAAACATTTTGTGAAATGTTGAACATTTGAACATTTTGAAATTTTAATTTCTGTCTTTTTAAAAAAGCTAGTGGGCTGGGCGCGTGGCTCATGCCTGTAATCCCAGCACTTTGGGAGGCTGATCTGGCAGATCACCTGAGGTTGGGAGTTCAAGACCAGCCTGACCAACATGGAGAAACCCCGTCTCTACTAAAAATACAAAATTAGCCAGGCATGGTGGCATATGCCTGTAATTCCAGGTTCTTGAGAGGCTGAGGCAGAAGGATCGCTTGAACCCAGGAAGTGGAGGTTGCGGTGAGCCAAGATTGTACCACTACACAACCCAGGATTTGGAGGTTGAGGTGAGCCGAGACTGCACCACTGTGCTCCTGACTGGGTGACAGAGCAAGACTCTATCTCAAAAAAATAAAAATAAAAAAAGGCCAGTGGACCCAAATACTCTGGCAACTACAAATTTTCCATCAGTATTACCCTATTCAAAATTTGAAAGTGGAACACCAATTCACCCTTCCTAAAAACACTTTGATCTTCAATATCCCTGAAGAGAAATTCACAGCCTGGGCAATATATCAAGACCTTGTCTCTACAAAACTATTTAAAAACCAGCCAGGTATAGGGGTGCGTGCCTGTAGTCCCAGCTACTCCAGAGGCAGAGGTGGGAGGATCGCTTGAGCCCAGGAGGTCGAGGCTGCAATGAGCTGTGATCACATCACTGCACTTCAGCCTGGGGAATAGAGTGAGACCCTGTCTCAGAAAAAGAAAAGGAAAAAAGTAACAATAAATTCAGGTAGCAAGGCAAAGCTCTCCTATTTTAGGAAGGTTGTAAAACTGAGAGTACTTTAAAAATTCTTTCCAATCCCTGATTAGGAGGGAGGGAATATAAGAGCTTTATTAGTTAATTACAGACGATTCTTACATGACCCAGCAAAATATTGGTAATACTGTGTTCCACTTACCCAGCATTAATTAAATGCTATGTAGTTTATGTGCCTCATTTCATGTGCCCCTCCTTACAATTCGCTAAGGTGGGTAGAGTTACAAAGGAGGAAAAGAGCTTAGAGAGGTTAATAGCGGACAGAGTTCAACCCAGGTGTCTGATTCCCAAGCCAGAGTTGTTAATCTGTTACGACTCTGGTTCCCCAAGGTAGCCCCAGCACAAAGATCAATTGATTCCTGCAATTTCCATGTAAAGCCTTACGCAAACCTCCACTCTATCCCCTTCCACTTCCCCTTTCATTGAAATGTGAGGTAAGGGAAACTGAACCAGAAAAACTGAAAACCGGCCAGGTGAGGTGGCTCACACCTGTAATCCCAGCACTTTGGGAGACCGAGGTGGGCAAGTCACTTGAGGTCAGGAGTTCGAGACCAGCCTGGCCAACTTGGCGAAACCCCGTCTCTACTAAAAACACAAAAATTAGCCAGGCGTGGTGGCGGGCACCTGTAATCCCAGCTACTCAGGAGGGGCAGGAGAGGCAGGAGAATCGCTTGAACCTGGGAGGCTGAGGTTGCAGTGAGCTGAGATTGTGTCATTGCACTCCAGCCTGGGCAACAAGAGCAAGACTCCGTTTCAAAAAAAAAAAAAAAAGAAAGAAAGAAAAGAAAAACTGAAGACCAAAGCAAAGCTGCAATCTGGCCAGGAATCTGTATCAGAGAGCTTGGCCTGGACTTAGGTTCAAGTCTTGTTAGTAACTCAGCATCTTTCAGTTTCAGGCAAACTGTCAAACTTCCCACCATGAGAGCATCAAGTGCCTGGATTGTGTTGTCTTTGGGTGAGTCACAGAACCCCTTTGAGACTCAGTTTCCTCATTTGTAATATGAGAGTATTAAGAACAATCTCAAGTGTGAGGGCTCACGCCTGTAATCCCAGCACTTTGGGAGGCCAAATGGGCAGATCACTTGAGGTCAGGAGTTCGAGACCAGCCTGGCCAACATGGTGAAACCCCATCTCCATTAAAAATGCAAAAATTAGGTGGGCATGGTGGTGTGCATCTGTAATCCCAGCTACTTGGTAGGCTGAGGCAGGAGAATTGCTTGAACCTGGAGATGCAGGTTTCAGTGAGCTGAGACTGGGCCACTGCACACTCCAGGCTGGGCAATAAAGCGAGACTCTGTCTCAAAAAAAAAAGAAGAAAAAGAGAACAATCTCACTAGTTGTTTGAGGATTAAATAGCATTCTGGTCCCCTACCCCTTCACCAGTGTACCAGGTTCCTGTAACAGGTGCTAGGAAGCTGTTTGCAAATCTAGTCTGCAAATCACACACCGGGCACAGGCACAGACCTTCTGATAAAACAGGAGGCCCTAGCTCTCAGGCTGCCTGTTCTCCTGACCCACTGACCCCGTCAGCCATGTAGTTGGGCCGCAATGACAACAGGCAACCAGGTGGTTTGTGTTTCTGGTGGGGTCTGTAGGGAAAGGAAGTGAATCCAACTCTTAAAAATAAGGCACACGGGGCAGGGTAGGTTTCTTCAAGATGGTGGCTTGTCTGACTTCAACCTGGTTTAGAAAGCACCAACAGCCCTTAGGAGAAGTTCCCTCCCATTTGGGGGGAGATCTGTGATCCCCAATCCCAAGGTCAGGCTTGAGACCCGTAGAGATTTTCTCCCCAGTTACCCACCCCATCCCCTTCAAGGCTCTAGAAATCGCAATGATGCTAGAGGCCACAGGGCCCCTCCTGTGAGCAGACGGGGGATCTCCAAAGATGACAAGAATTTAACCAACTTGAGCGATCAGCCTGTTTTACAGCCTCCTGACCTCAACCTGTTCTTCCCCAACCCTGGGCGGAATGAGGTCACCCTGTTTGTTTAAATCAGCTCCTAAGTGACCCCAGGTTACTTGTAGATGAACCCAAGTTAACTCTCCTCATTACCATGCTAAAGTCTTCACCCCGGGAGAAGCTATAGCTTCACGACTATAACCTATGCAACCTATGCAGCCTATGTGCTAGCATCATGACTCACTGGGACCCCTACTCTACATGCAGTCATGCACCCTCTCCTTTCTCCATCACCTTATAAAACCCTCCTGTCTCTTTCTCTGGGGGACACACTACTTGGGAGAATACGCCCAGTGTCTTCCTTTCTTGTGCCAAGTAAAACTCCCATTGATCAAAATCCGCCTCTTGGTGGAGTCCTTTGTGACTCGTTAAGGGAATGAACCCCGGTATTTTTCAGGTACCATTTCCATTGTTCTTATTGTATGCAGTAGAGAAGGTTTCCACAGTCAAGCCCCTGTCCCCCACACCCCAGGCCCGGGTCGGATTTTCTAAGGAGAGGGTTCCCTGAACCCTCACAGGTATATAGTCCTCCATGGCAAGGATCCAAGGTCCCTTGATGTTTTCCGTGAGACCCCAGGGGAAAATCTTGTTACCAAACCAGGACTAGGCCCCTGGGCATGAATTTGCTGAAGATCCAGGCCCAACCTCAGATTCCACCTGCTCTGCCCCTCAGGGTCACTGATCCCCTTGCATTTTGTTCCTGTGTTGGCCCCGGGGCCCCAGGCGTGGATTTTCTGAACAGCAGGTCGGTTCCTTCCCTGTCCCACGACTGGTTCACGGTCATTGCAGCTGCTACGGCCTTGAACTGGGATCTCCTTTATTTTCCCGTGGGCCTTTTTCAGGGGGCAAAGACCTCCGCAGCCCTGCCTACCTCCAGCCTTGGTCTACACCCAACCCCAGAGTCTGAGCCCCGACCCTAGTCCTCTAAATTCCTGACCTGGTGGACCTCTGGCTCCCCAATTTCTCGGCTCCCCAGCCAGTGCCTCCTGCAAATTTTCGCAATCAAACACCCCAGCCTCTAGCCTTTGCCCTGGCCCTTCAGGCCTCTGAAGCAGCTCCGGTCTCAGAGCCCCGGCTCCTGCCCGGGTCCCCAGGCTCCTGCAGCGCCCTCCCTCCAGCCGCTTGATCCCCGAGTCCCAGCCTCCAGTCCCCCAATACTGGGTCCCACCCCCCAGGTCCCCTCCCGGCCCCTCACCGACATAGAAGGCCGAGACCGCGATGGGCGCACCGACCACCTGGTCGCACAGCAACTTGGCCAGCAGGGCGTGCGGCGCTCGGCCCGGGAGCGCGCGCTCCAGCAGGCGCAGCCACACGTAGTTGAAGTTGGCGTGGAAGGTCACCACCAACGTGGCCACGCGCCGCGTCTGGCGCCAGTTGGCCTCGCGGCCCTGCAGCCGCTGTTGCAGCGCGTCCCCGGCCGAGACGAGCGAGCCGTAAAGCAGCACGTTGGTGGGCCACGGGTGGCGCCGGGCCGCGCGCGACAACGCCGGCCACCAGCCCGCCATGTCCGCGCTGTGGGCGCCCGCGATCAGGAGCCCGCGTGGTCGGCGTCTTCCTGCACCGGGTCCGGGCCTCCCCAGCCTCCAGCAGCTACTGCACTGCAGCAGCCGGCACCTGCATCTGCCCCCTCCAGAAGCTCCGGAGCGATTGAGCGACCCACACACACCCAGCTCGCGCCGTCCAATCCGGAGGCCACGGGCCGTCCTGGGGGCTGAACGTTTGAAAGGTGCCCGGCCCACCCCCATGCATGGGTCCATTGACACAAAATACCGAGAACAGGCAAAGCCACAGAGGCAGAAGGCATGGGGTTATTTATTTATTTATTTTATTTTTATTAATTAATTAGATATTTTTGAGACGGAGTCTCGCTCTGTCGCCCAGGCTGGAGTGCAGTGGGGCGATCTGGGCTCACTGCAACCTCCGCCTCCCGGGTTCAAGCGATTCTCCTGCCTCAGCCTCCCGAGCAGCTGGGACTACACGCGTGCGCCATCACGCCCGACTAATTTTTGTATCTTTAGTGGAGACGGGGTTTCAATATGTTGGCCAGGCTGGTCTCGAGTGACCTGCCCGCCTCGGCCTCCCATATGGGGTTATTTTTTGGAGTGATGAAAACATTTTGAAATTAGATAGGTGTGATGGTTCCATGACTTTGTGAATCTATTAAAAACCATTGAATTGTACACTTAAAAAAAGGGGGTGCATTTGGCCAGGCGCGGTGGCACATGCCTGTAATCCCAGCACTTTGGGAGAATTAGACAGGAGGATCCTTTGAGGGCAGGAGTTCCAGATCAGCCTGGACAAAATAGGAAGACCCCATCTCTACGGAAAATCAAGAAAAGGAAAAAGAAAAAAGTATTGTAATTACTCAGGCTTGGTGGTGCGCACTGATAGTCTCAGCTACTGCTACTCGGGAGGCTGAGGTGGGAGGATCTCTTGAGCCCAGGAATTCAAGGTTGCAGTGAGCCACGATAGGGCCACTGCACTCCAGCCTGCAAAAAAAAAAAAAAAAAAAAAAGAAAGAAAGGAAGAAAGAGAAAAGAGAGAGAAAATAAAATGGTAAGTTTTATGGTATGTGAATTTATCTTAAAAAATGATGGGACGGCCAGGCACGGTGGCTCACGCCTGTAATACCAGCACTTTGGGAGGCCAAGGCGGGCGGATCACGAGGTCAGGAGATCCAGACCATCCTGGCTAACACGGTGAAACCCTGTCTCTACTAAAAATACAAAAAATTAGCCGGGCGTGGTGGCGGGCACCTGTAGTCCCAGCTACTCGGGAGGCTGAGGCAGGAGAATGGCCTGAACCCAGGAGGTGGAGCTTGAAGTGAGCCAAGATCGCCCCACTGCACTCCACCCTGGCTGACAGAGGGAGACTCTTTCTCAAAAAAAGAAAAGAAAAGAAATGCTAAGCAAAGTGTTCTGGTGTGTTTTGCCTGTTTTGGTAGTGGAAGGGAAGAAAATCAGTCTTTTTCTTTCTTCTCCCCCTTAAAACTATTTAAGAAGGGAACTGGGCGCGGTGGCTCATGCCTGTAATCCCAACAATTTGGGAGGTCAAGGTGGGAGGATCACTTAGGTCCAGGAATTCAAGACCAGCCTGGGCCACATAGTAAGACCTCATCTCTACCAAAAAATAAAACATTAGGTCTGGGTGCGGTGGCTTACACCTGTAATCCCAGCACTGTGGCAGGCTGAGGGAGCTGGATCACCTGAGGTCAGGAGTTTAAGACCAATCTGGCCAACATGGCAAAACCCTGTCTCTACTAAATATACAAAAATCAGCCGGGCATGGTGGTGTGCACCTGTAATCCCAGCTACTCCGGAGGCTGAGGCAGGAGAATTGCTTGAACTGGGTAGGTAGAGGTTGCAGTGAGCCAAAATGGTGCCACTGCACTCCAGCTTGGGGGACAGAGTGAGACTCTGTCTCAAAATAAATAAATAAATATTATTTAAAAAAAAAAGATCCCCTGGGCATACAATAAGTAATACCATACTACTTAGGCAAATAAAGCACAATTCTATTATTTGGGAATCTTAAGATCGGTTCTACCACTTTGTGGATCTTCAGACTCAATCTCTATTTTAGAGATACTAACATTGATTGATCCTGCTATGTGCCAGGTACTGTCTTTCACAACTTCACATATATGATCTCATTTAATCCTCATTTAATTTTGGCAGAGAAAAGTTGAGCTCCTTACCCAGGATCGTATAACTAGGAAATAAAGACCAAAGCACATGCCTCACTCTTTTTGTTATTAGAAAAGATTTCCTTCTGTAAACCTCAGGGACTTTACAAGGGAAATATTGGATTACTGTAATATGATTCATCAGCCCTATTTATTTATTTATTTTTATTACACTTTAAGTTCTAGGGTACATGTGCACAACGTGCAGGTTTGTTACATATGTATACATGTGCCATGTTGGTGTGCTGCACCCATTAACTCGTCATTTACATCAGGTATATCTCCTAATGCTATCCCTCCCCGCTTCCCCCACCCCATGACAGGCCCCAGGGTGTGATGTTCCCCGCCCTGTGTCCAGGTGTTCTCTTTGTTCAATTCCCACCTATGAGTGAGAACATGCGGTGTTTGATTTTCTGTCCTGATGATAGTTTGCTCAGAATGATGGTTTCCAGCTTCATCCATGTTCCTACAAAGGACATGAACTCATCCGTTTTTATGGCTGCGTAGTATTCCATGGTGTATAATTGCCACGTTTTCTTAATCCAGTCTATCATTGATGGACATTTGGGTTGGTTCCAAGTCTTTGCTATTGTGAATAGTGCCGCAATAAACATATGTGTGCATGTGTCTTTATAGCGGCATGATTTATAATCCTTTGGGTATATACCCAGCAATAGGATGGCTGGGTCAAATGGTATTTCTAGTTCTAGATCCTTGAGGAATCGCCACACTGTCTTCCACAATGGTTGAACTAGTTTACAGTCCCATCAACAGTGTAAAAGTGTTCCTATTTCTCCACATCCTCTCCAGCACCTGTTGTTTCCTGACTTTTTAATGATTGCCATTCTAACTGGCATGAGATGGTATCTCATTGTGGTTTTGATTTGCATTTCTCTGATGGCCAGTGATGATGAGCATTTTTTTCACGTGTCTGTTGGCTGCATAAATGTCTTCTTTTGAGAAGTGTCTGTTCATATCCTTTGCCCACTTTTTGATGGGGTTGTTTGATTTTTTCTTGTAAATTTGTTTAAGTTCTTTGTAGATTCTGGATATTAGCCCTTTGTCAGATGGGTAGATTATGAAAGTTTTCTCCCATTCTGTATGTTGCCTGTTCACTCTGATGGTAGTTTCTTTTGCTGTGCAGAAGCTCTTTAGTTTAATTAGATCCCATTTGTCAGTTTTGGCTTTTGTTGCCATTGCTTTTGGTGTTTTAGACATGAAGTCCTTGCCCATGCCTATGTCCTGAATGGTATTGCCTAGGTTTTCTTCTAGGGTTTTTATGGTTTTAGGTCTAACATTTAAGTCTTTAATCCATCTTGAATTAATTTTTGTATAAGATGTAAGGAAGGGATCCAGTTTCAGCTTTCTACATATGGCTAGCCAGTTTTCCCAGCACCATCTATTAAATAGGGAATCCTTTCCCCATTTCTTGTTTTTGTCAGGTTTGTCAAAGATCAGATAGTTGTAGATGTGTGGTATTATTTCTGAGGGCTCTGTTCTGTTCCATTGGTCTATATGTCTGTTTTGGTACCAGTACCATGCTGTTTTGGTTACTGTAGCCTTGTAGTATAGTTTGAAGTCAGGTAGCATGATGCCTCCAGCTTTGTTCTTTGGGCTTAGGATTGTCTTGGCAATGCGGGCTCTTTTTTGGTTCCATATGAACATTAAAGTAGTCTTTTGCAACTCTTATCAGCCCAGTTTAATATTACCTATTCATTATAATGTAATGCTGCTCGCACAACTGAGAAAACACTGTTGCTTTACCCCCTCCAGCTCTGCAGCAGCCATGCACAAATCATAGAACTATAAACATATGCTAATTACACAACCTATGTAGGCAATCAATATTAAGAAAAATGTTTACTGCCCAATATTTCTGTGGTTGAAAATGTAGAGTCTAATTCTGATCCGCAGTAACATCTAGGTTAATGTTGATTCAGACGGAAAACGTTTGTTGTTGCCATGAGAAGAGGCATTGAAACGCTGAATCACCACCACAAATGTTACCACTATTAATATAAGGAGATACATAGGAAGATCGAATTAGACCATCTCGGACCACCAGGTTTACAATTCCACCTGCAGATACATGCAAGAAGTAGTGTCACAATACTTATGTCATGTTATTCCATTGAGGTCATCACCAACTAAGCTTATAATTAATGTGTGGTCAATTTGGTCAATGTCACCAGCGTAGCATACTGACAAAAGCAAGAGTTGCAAACACAAATGCCTATAAGGCAGAATGTAAGATGGTAGGAAGCAAAGTCTATAGGGAACTATATAATAGAGGCTGCAGATTCCAGGCAGATTCTAAAGCACAGCAGTCCCCAACATTTTTGGCACCAGGGACTGGCTTTGCGGAAGACAATTTTTCCACAGGCGGCAAGGGATGGGGCACAGGATGCTAATGGTCTTGGGATGAAACTGTTCCACCACAAATCATCAGGAATTAGATTCTCATAAGGAATATGCAACCTGGATCCCTCGTGTGTGCAATTCACAACAGGGTTCATGCTCCTGTAAGAATCTAATGATGCTGCTGATCTGACAGGAGGCAGAGCTCAGGCAGCAATGCAAACAATGGGGAGCGGCCAGAAATACAGACGAAGCTTCAGTTGTTACCCACCATTCACCTCCTGCTCTGTGGCCCAGTTCCTAACAGGCCACAGACCAGTACAGGTCCATGGCCCAGGAATTAGGGACCCCTGCTGTGGCACATTGCTTAATAGAGGACTGTAGCTGCCCTGACCTTTCCTTTTTTTTTTTTTTTTTGAGATGCCAGAAACCCAGAATTTTTTTTTTTTTTTTTTTTTTTTTTTTTTAAGAGTAGTTCTGACTCTGTTGCCCAGGTTGGAGTGTAGGAGTGCGATCTTGGCTCACTGTAACCTCAACCTCCCAGGCTCAAGCAATCCTCTCACTTCAGCCTCCCAAGTTGCTGAGATTACAGGCACACTCCACTACACCCAGCTAATTTTTTTGTATTATTTGTAGACATGGGGTTTCGCCATGTTGCCCAGGCTAGTCTGGAATTCCTGACCTCAAGCTGTCTGCCCATCTCAGCCTCCCAAAGTGCTGGGATTGCAGGAGTGCACCACCACAGCTGGCCTGAAACCCAGATTTTATTTATTTATTTATTCATTTTTTGAGATGGAGTCTTGCTCTATTGCCTAAGCTTGAGTGCAGTGGTGCGATCTTGGCTCACTGCAACCTCCACCTCCCTGGTTCAAGCAATTCTCCTGCCTCAGCCTCCTGAGTAGCTGGGATTACAGGCACATGCCACCATGCCTGGCTAATTTTTGTATTTTTAGTAGAGACAGAGTTTCATCATGTTGGCCAGGCTGGTCTCGAACTCCTGACCTCAGGTGATCCACCCACCTTAGCCTCCCAAAGTGCTGGGATTACAGAAGTGCAGCACCACACCCAGACTGAAACCCAGATTTTTAATATGAAATCAAAGTCTTCAAACCTTGTAGGTGTCATAAAAAACCCGCTGAGGACCACTAGTTTGCAACTGCCAATCTAAAATATCATAGACGTTTTATCACTTTAACCACGAAAAAAAAGTGTGTGAGGCAGAAAATGGAAGCAACCATGCCTAATTTATTGTTGAATACTTTTTCCGTATACCAAGAACTTCCTTTGCACTAGCATCTGAAACTACATTCAGAATGACGTTGGTTTTCATAAAAGTGTTGATCCTCACACCTCTTTATAGTCTTGCACCTAGCACAGCAGAGTGAAACACTTTAAATAGCACTTGTTCCTTGAGTATATATGGAAAAAAGTGAAGTATTGGTAAGTGTTCAGCTAATATGAGCAGCATCTCAGGAGTCTGCAATTCTTGAATTACCAGGGAGTATTTTTACCATTTTCCCCCAGTGAAAGGCCCATTTTGAGAGACTTGCCCTCCAAAATGAATGTATTAAGTCATATTAGTTTTTTTTGTTTTGAGACAGGGCCTTGCTCTGTTGCCCAGGCTGGAGTGCAGTGGCATGATAGTTACAGGAAAGGGGTCCCAATCCAGACCCCAAGAGAAGGTTCTTGGATCTTGTGCAAGAAAGAATTCAGGGTGATCCTGCAGTGTGAAGTGAAAGCAAGTTTATTAAAAAAGTAAAGGAGGAGGGGCACGGTGGCTCACGCCTGTAACCCCAGCACTTTGGGAGGCTGAGACAGGTGGATCACGAGGTCAGGAGATCAAGACCATCCTTGTTAACACAGTGAAACCCCGTCTCTACTAAAAATACAAAAAGATTAGCCAGGTGTGGTGGCGGGCGCCTGTAGTCCCAGCTACTCTGGAGGCTGAGGCAGGAGAATGGCGTGAACCCGGGAGGTGAAGCTTGCAGTGAGCCGAGATCACGCCACTGCATTCCAGCCTGGGTGACAGAGGGAGACTCCATCTCAAAAAAAAAAAAAAAAAAGAAAGTAAAGGAATAAAAGAATGGCTACTCCACAGACAGAGCAGCCAGGAGGGCTGCTGGTTGCCCATTTTTATGGTTATTTCTTGATGATATGCTAAACAAGGGGTGGATTTTTCATGCCTCCTCTTTTTAGACCATATAGGGTAACTTCTTGATGTTGCCATGGCATTTGTAAACTGTCATGGTGCTGGTAGGAGTGTAGCAGTGAGGATGACGGGAGGTCACTCTTGTCACTATTTTGGTTTTGGTGGGTTTTGGCCAGCTCCTTCACTGCAACCTGTTTTATCAGCAAGGTCTTTATGACTGGTATTTTGTGCTGACCTTCTATGTCATCCTGTGACTTAGAATGCCTTAACCATCAGGGAATGCAGCCCAGTAGTTTCAGCCTCATTTTTCCCAGCTCCTATTTAAGATGGAGTTGCTCTGGTTCACATGCCTCTGACATGATCACTGCTCACTGCGGCCTCCACCTCCTGGGTTCAAGAGATACTCCTGCCTCAGCCTCCCAAGGTGCTGGGACTACAGGTGTGTGCCACCACGCTCAGCTAATTTTTGTATTTTTTGTAGAGACTGTGTTTTTCCATGTTGCCCAGGCTGGTCTCAAACTCCTGGGCTCAAGCAATCCTTCTGTCTCAGCCTCCCAAAGTACTGGGATTACAGGCATGTCCCACCATGCCCAGACTAATATTTACTTTTAATCAGACTAAGATAGGGTTACTACTTGAGTTGCTATGGCTCCAGCTGAAAGCCTGTGCAGTCATATCATGGGTAAACATTTGCTTTATGCTAAAAATATGGTGGACCTGGCATTACAGCTGTTACAAATCTCCTAAGGTGTCTCGGGTAGTGTATTAGTTACTTTTCATACTGCTATGAAGAAATACTTGAGACTGGGTAATTTATAAAGAAAAAGAGGTTTAATGTACTCACAGTTCCACAAGGCTGGGGAGGCCTCAGAATCATGGTGGAAGGCAAAGAAGGAGCAAAGGTACGTCTTACATGGCAGCAGGTAAGAGAGCATGTGCAGGGAAACTGCCCTTTATAAAACCACCAGATTTAGTGAGATGTATTCCCTATCACGAGAACAGTATGGGAAAAACCTGCCCCCATGATTCCATTACCTCCTACCAGGTCCCTCCCACGACACATGGGGATGATGGGAGCTACAATTCAAGATGAAATTTGGGTGGGGGCGCAGCCAAACCATATCGGGTAGCAACTAACTAGGGTCAGTTTTGCAGGTGGTAAAGCTATTTACCAAGATAGTTGTAGGTAAAGAAAGGCAGATTTATTAGAGAAATTATGAAAATATGTTGCAGTGGGCAGCTCAGCAGAGAAGGAGCTACCTGCAAAGAGGCAAGGGCTGGAGGAAAGTTTTACAGGGTCATGCTTAAGGGTGCTACATGTGGAATGAGGTCATTGTACCCACAGGTTGTTTGTGATTAGCTGTCTCTAACAATTGTTCATACAATAATTGTTCATTATTCTCCTCAACTTGGGGCTCTCCCCAACCTGGGGACCCTTCCTTATTTTTGCTTACTTATCAGGGCTCCACATAAGGGTGCGGAAACTTCATTCATTCATATCTTCAACACAAATTTTAGGTAGGCTGTTTTTTAAAAAATTTATTCAACAAATATTTAGTCCAAGCCACTATTACTTATTACCTTCTCTACTTCTGTATGGACCTTTAACTATCTCTGACACTATTCACTATTCTTCCACATTCTCTATTATTTATACCTATGGTAAAATTTGCCAGTTTGACCATGCAACTAATACTGACGGGGAATATATAGAGTCTAGAAGAAAATATACAGGTCCTTAAAGGCTGCCCTGCCAACAAAACCATAATGCAGCAACAAACATCACAGCTATGCCAAATAATCAATCCTACAATGTCCAAAATTTTACTTTAAAACTGGAATTTCCAGACTTCCTTTCCGCATTAACCAGTTTAACTAGACAGTAATGAAATATCCCTCCTACTTTATGCTGTGATAGTTTATGTATTTATTTATTTATTTATTTGAGACAGAGTTTCACTCTTATTGCCCAGGCTGGAGTGCAATGGCGTGATCTCAACTCACCACAACCTCCGCCTCCCAGGTTCAAGCAATTCTCCTGCCTCAGCCTCCCGAGTAGCTGGGATTACAGGCACGTACCACCACGCCCAGCTAATTTTGTATTTTTAGTAGAGATGGGGGTTTCTCCATGTTGGTCAGGCTGGTCTAGAACTCCTGACCTCAGGTGATACCCCTGCCTCAGCCTCCGAATGTGCTGGGATTACAGGCATGAGCCACCGTGCCTGGCCAGAAAATTTTAAACACACACAAACTCTCGAGTGGCCTAATTCCCTCTCACCAAACCAGTCACAATACAGACAAAAGAGAATAACTTATATTAGTTTTTGTACAAACAAAAAAGACTGATAAATTGTGAATGATGCATGATTTTTAATTACAAGTAAACTGGGCAAATGCTTCTGCATTGTTCAAAGCTAAAAGGTGATCAGTGGAAACTTTCCTCTGTTAGGACTCTAATACTTTTTATATTTATCGGCTCACTACAACCTATTCCTCCCAGGTTCAAGCGATTCTCCTGTCTCAGCCACCTGAGTAGCTGAGACCACAGGCAACGCACTACCATGTCTGGCTAATTTTCTATTTTTAATAGAGACATTGTTTCACCGTGTTGGCCATGCTGGTCTTAAACTCGTGACCTCAACCGATCCTCCTGCCTTGGCCTCCCAAAGTTCTGGGATTACAAGCGTGAGCCACCGCGCCCAGCCTTATTATAATTGTTACTATTTAAATCTCTTTTTCTCTCTCCTTCAAGAGAGACCTCATCTCATTCAGTGGCATCCATTTATTTATTCATCTTCTGCCTCTTGGGCTCAAGAGATCCTCCTGCATGAGTCTCCCAAGTAGCTGGGACTACAGGCTCACACCACCATGCTTGGCTAATTTTCATAGGTTTTGGAGAGACAGGCTCTTGCCATGTTGCCTAGGCTGGTCTCAAACTCCTGGGCTCAGATGATCCACCTGCCTTCACCTCCCAAAGCACTGGGATTATAGACATGAGCCACTACTCCCAGCCCCAAGTACTTTTACACAAAATGCAAACACTATTCTTCTATCATAAAAGTGATACCACAGCTTCTGTAAAGTTTGCCAGGTAGTATTCATAATTACCTTGGGTAAACTTCTTGATGTTAAAATGTATCTTCTTATTATGAGTTTTTCCATTGTATTAACTACTTTTACAACATTGCAAATAACAAGTTATTTTACAAACCATTTAGAAATTTCTGTATTATGGTCCCAATAATGTAAAATATATTAATGCCTATTACATTCAGATAAATTATATACTTGGAAACTACATACTTATGACTTACAAAAACTTACATAAACAAATTATACAAATTATATGCTCAATTTTTAGGTATATAGTCTTAAATTAAGCTTAAATGTACATTCTCAAGATAAATTAACAGTTCAGGGCTTCACAACTTGAAATCTGTGGAACATGACATTGGAGACAACAGAACTCTGGTGGAATTCTTAGGTGGAATTTGCTGAAACTTTTTTTTTTTTTTTTTGAGACGGAGTCTCGCTCTGTCGCCCAGGCTGGAGTGCAGTGGCACAATCTCAGCTCACTGCAAACTCTGCCTCCTGGGTTCACGCTATTCTTCTTCCTCAGCCTCCCGAGTAGCTGGAACTACAGGTGCCCACCACCACGCCTGGCTAATTTTTTGTATTTTTAGTAGAGATGGGGTTTTGCCATGTTAGCCAGGATGGTCTCGATCTCCTGACCTTGTGATCCGCCTGCCTTGGCCTCCCAAAGTGAAACTTTTCTTTAAAATAGAGATGGGATCTTGCTGTATTGCCCAAGCTGGTCTCAAACTCCTTGTCTTAAGCAATCCTCCCACCTCAGCCTCCCAAAGTGCTGGGATTACAAGCGTGAACCGTTACACCCAAGTGAAACTTCTTGAGATAGTTACATAATTTTTAAATCTGCTGGTGTAGAAGTTAATAAAGTGTAGAACTGAATAAATATTAAATATTAGATCAAGTTTCTCATGTTTACCTTAAAGTATAAAGATTTATCTTAAAGCACTGATTTTCACAAAATAACATCAGTGTGAAATTGGAAAAGAAGCCAAATATTTTATTTCATGTATCTGGGAAATGAGGTGCTTTAGTCAACTGAATCTGCCCCAAACTAAAAAGCATTCATTAAAAATTACTTAACTCAGAAATTATAAAAATAGAAGCCATCGATAAAATACATTCTACACAGAATAAGCCAATCATACACTACTCTTTTTTGATAATAAAAAATGTACTTACTGAGCCAGGTGTGGTGTCTCATGCCTATAATCCCAGCACCTTGGAAGGCCAATGAGAGTGGATCAGTTGAGGCCAGGATTTGAGACCAGCCTGGCCAACATGATGAAACGCTGTCTCTAGTAAAAATACAAAAATGAGCCAGGCACGGTGGCACTCACCTGTAATCCCAGGTACTCCGAAGGACGAGGCAGGATAATTGTTTGAACTCAGGAGGTGGAGGTTGCAGTGAGCCAAAATCATGCCACTGCACTCCAGCCTGGGTGACAGAGTGAGTCTCTGTCTCAAACAAACAAACAAAAAAAAATTCAGTTGCAGTGGCTCATGCCTGTAATCCCAGCACTTTGGGAGGCCGAGGCAGGCGGATTACAAGGTCAGTAGATCGAGACCATCCTGGCCAACATGGTGAAACCTCCTCTGTACTAAAAATGCAAAAATTAAGCTGGGCGCGGTGGCTCACATCTGTAATCCCAGCACTTTGGGAGGCCGAGGCGGGCAGAGCACGAGGTCAGGAGATTGAGACCATCCTGGCTAACACAGTGAAACCCCGTCTCTACTAAAAATACAAAAAATTAGCTGGGCGTGGTGGCAGGCACCTGTAGTCCCAGCTACTTGGGAGGCTGAGGCAGGAGAATGGCGTGAACCCAGGAGGCAGAGCTTGCAGTGAGCCAAGATCCCACCATTGCACTCCAGCTTAAGCGACAGAGCCAGACTGTGTCTCAAAAACAAGAAAGAAAACAAAAGAAAATTTGGACTATTGCCAATTACAAATATTTTTAGAGAAGAATTCAAAACAGTAACTGTGGATGATGGAAACAATAGTTATGATAAAAGTCTGATGAAACTTCCCAGTTCACAAGGAAATTTAATTACTTATGTGCAGCATTTTAAGACAGTAATCAGAATCATGACTGACAGCATCACATCAGGACCACCAGACTTTTATAAATTTCATATAATCTTCAGAAATAATTAATAACTTTTTTTTTAGATAGATTCTACCTCTGTTGCCCAGGTGGGAGTGCAGTGGCATGATCTCGACTCACTGCATCCTCCGCCTCCTGTGTTCAAGCAATTTTCCTGTCTCAGCCTCCCGAGTAGCTGAGACTACAGGCATGTGCCACCAGGCATGGCGAATTTTTGTATTTTTAGTGGAGACAGGGTTTCACCCTATTAGTCAGGCTGGTCTCGAACTCCCAACCTCAGGTGATCCACCTGCCTTTGTCTCCGAAAGTGCTGGGATTACAGGCATGAGTGACGGTGCCCAGCCATTCATAACATGTTTATACAAATATAACTTTAACAAATATTTAGTATAACTATCAAAATTACAAATCATAACATATTAAATTTGTATAAATGTATGTAATTTTTGGAACATGTATATCAACAACATACCCATAAATATAACTGAGATGAGATCTAATGTCACCTCACTTGACAGTGCCCTCCCATGCAGTATCACCACATTTGACAATGCCCGCCCATATAATCTACCAAATAAATCGAATCACTTAATATCTCTACAAGATGAGAGATGCATTCTTCAGACTCCCGAAGGGACGCAGTGGAAAAATCCCAAAGTTAATTTTAAGCCAAAAAGACCTGATTTAGGATTTTGACACTGGAGAAACCCATCAAAGATGTCAAGTTTGAAAACACTTGATCAAAACAGAATCACAGGTCACTATTAAAAAGGGTGTTCATTTAACCAGAGACTTCCAAAGCAATACAGAAACTTACATGGATATAAAAACCTTAACCCTTTTAAAGGTCAGATTTGCTAAGTGATCAAAAGGGGTACTTGAATTGAATCGACACAGGAAGAGTGTGTACAGGGTTATGAGTGTAGGCAAAGGGTTACTTTGGTCATATCTCCATTTGCCACCTGATTACACATGAGAATGGCATCTTTACTCACCAGAAAGCCAGTATTATGGGAGGTGTAGGAGGCATTCTTGGACTTGAGACAAGAACATTGTTGTGTAGAAATTTCATTGACTGTGTTAAAATTATTCTCCATGGGCTGGAGAACACATAACGTGGTGTTTAGAATGAGACGGGCATTGATTGGATGCAAGGTCTCCACACTTACTAGCTGTGTGACATTGGACAAAGTGCTTCATCATTCTGAGACTCAGTTTTTAAAGGAAAAACAACTAACTACCTTGCAAGCTTGCTAGCAGGTTTAAGTGTAATAATGTGTGGGAATGACTGCACCGTGACTAACACGTAGTGACAGCTTAATTAATGTTAACCCTTATCATTATCATATAAGAATGTGAGTTACATAAGAGAGGAATCCTGTCAGTTCGTTCTCTGCTGTGTCCCCAAGACCATGAATCATGGCTGGCACGTAGTAGGCATTTAATAATATTTGTTCAACAAGTATTTGGCAGTCTTGGAGGGCAGAAAAGGAGGTGGGGAAGATGTTTAAATAACATTTTTTAAAAAGTCACATTGTCCTACAATACCAATTTTTCTTGCATATTTAGGAAATTGAGGGTTTTTTCCTAAAACATGCGGACATATGGGAAATAGGATGCAACATTTGCACTAATGTTTCCGACACAGTTAGAGGTTTCCAAGAGATTTTGCGCTGGGGAGGCTGCTTGCTACAAGCTCCCAAAGCTCTGGGAGGACATAGTATTCATTCCTCCCTCAGCAGAAGTGGTGAGGCAAGAAGCTCTGGGGAGCACCCAGCCTTGGACTTTTAGCATAGTGTGTCAGGTCTTCATAGTTTGGGCCCAGGGCACAGAGAAGTCACAGCTCTCCGGCATCCTGTGACCTTTACCCTCTTTGCCAAGGGAAAATGTGGCCCTCCAAAGCAAGAAACTTGAGGGCATGGGTCACCCCAGCCCTGGCATCTGCCCAGAGCCCGAGAAGGAAGGAGCAATGATCCTCCAGCTACCTCACAGGGCTGGCACAGGTGGCCACTGCCCTGGCATCACCCAGCTGTGTTCGGCAGCCTGAACCCCATCTGTGGGGATGTGAGGAGGAAAATACAAAAGTCCTTAGGTGAACACTGAGAAGGCAGATGCAGCAGAAGCCTCCAGGCCAGAACTACCCAGTCTTGGACCTATGGTGGAGATAGAGCATAGCTGGCGATCATGTGTACTTACACTCTAAGGTCACCTGGTTGCACTATGGCCTCATCTGTGGCTCTGAAAATGAAGATTTGGAAGGAGATCATCACAGCTAATGTTAACAAGCCCCTCCTGTGTGCCAAATCATTCACCCCTCACCACAACCGAATGAGCTAAGGATTCTCGTTATATATAGTTTATGGAGAGGGAAGTGCAGACATAAAGAGGTGAATTATCTTACCCAGATCACACAGCTGATAAGTGGTGGAGGCAGAATAGAATCTAAACAGTGTGGCTCCGGAGCCCACATGCATTGATTCGACAAGTGTTTATTGAGCACCTGCCGCGGACAAGGCCTTGTGTGATTAAACAGGGTTATAATTAGTAATGTAAAAATGAGAAATCACTAATGCTTTTTAGACTTAACATTTTCTTTTTTTGTAGGTTTCAGGCACAGAACTGTATATCCAATAATAGTGAAATGGATCCCACTAATTATGACCGAAATGATGATACATTTAAATGACTTGGATGTTTTATAGGTATGATCTCGTGAAACCTTGAGAGAAACTGAATGACGAATGAAACTATTGTTCCTGTTTCACACAGAAGAAAACTGAGGTTAAAAGGGGTAAAGTAATTTTGCATGGCATGAAGTAGAAATTCAAAGTACAGGAATTTGAACTTGGTTCTGTCCTTTTCTGAAGCCCTTGACCACTATAGACTCAAACATCACCTTGTTTTTCCACTCATTCAACACTTTTTTTTTTAAAATTGTCTAATAGGTTGGCACTCATCATGAGCCCCTGTTCTCATTCTGCAAATGGTGAAGCTCTCTATTGTCCTGACCCCACGGTTCCTGTCCCATGACCAGGGCCAGCTCACCAAGGAGCTGCAGCAGCACGTAAAGTCAGTGACATGCCCATGCGAGTACCTGAGGAAGGTGAGTGAGTGCAGACAGATGGGGCCTGGTGCCCTTGAGCAGTTCCCGGGTCTCAGCTGCCACACATCTCATAGCGGGTGATGCTGGGGGAAGCTTACGCAGTCTCAGTACTGGCTTCTTCCTCTTTTTCTTTCCATACAAGTGGCTTAGGGATGGGGTAGAGTAGTTGACTTATTTGGATGAAAACCACTATCTTCTGTCAGAAACTCAAAAGGAATCATTGCTGGCATGGTAACCTAAAGAAAAACAACCAGACAAGTGCCCAACGACACTTAAAAAGGTTATTTATTATCTTGCCAAGTTTAGGCTGGGCATGGTGACTCATGCCTGTAATCCCAGCATTTTGGGAGGCTGAGGCTGGTGGATCACCAGAGGCCAGGACTTCGAGACCAGCCTGACCAATATGGCAAAACCTCGTCCCTACTAAAAATACAAAAATTAGCCGGGCATGGTGGTGTCAGCCTGTAGTTCCAGCTACTCAGGAGGCTGAGACAGGAGAATTGCTGAAATTCAGGAGGTGGAGGTTTTAGTGGGCCGAGATCACGCCATTGCACTCCAGACTGTACGACAGAGCGAGACTCTGTCAAAAAAAAAAAAAAATTATCCTGCAAAATTTGAAAAGGAAATTCAAATCAACAGCTTCTAAACTACTTTTTAACATGACTCATAATAAGAAATACATTCTACAGTACATATATATGTTCTATAATTTTGAATAAAAGAATTAACCACATCACATTTATTTTACAACATGTAATACATATTTTTTATTCTCCTTCATTTGTTTTGAATGCTCTGTGCAGTCTACAAAAAGTCCAGTAGTAATAATTAAATTATTCATTAAGTTGAACATTATCTTGTCTTTTAAAATGATAATCTCAAAAATGATCTTTTATTTTTGAGATTTATAGAGATACACACACACACACACACACACACACAGACACACACACACACATATATATATATTTTTTATTTTTTTTTGAGACAGAGTTTCACTCTGTCCCCCAGGCTGGAGTGCAATGGCACAATCTCGGCTCACTGCAACCTCCGTCTCCCGGGTTCAAGCAATTCCTCTGCCTCAGCCTCTGAGTAGCTGGGACTACAGGTATGCGCCACCATGCCCAGCTAATTTTTGTATTCTTAGTAGAGATGGGGTTTCACCATATTGGCCAGGCTCGTGTCAACCCCTAACCTCGTGATCCGCCTGCCTCAGCCTCCCAAAGTGCTGGGATTACAGGCGTGAGCCACCATGCCCAGCCAAATCTAGGGCTGGAACATGGCTGCAGCATATAAAAAGAATTGAATTCCATACTTTTGTTAACCCTGTTTTTTGTTTGTTTGTAGTTGTTGCTGTTTTTGAGACAGAGTCTCGCTCTGTCGCCTAGGCTGGAGTGCAGTGGTGCAATCTCGGCTCACTGCAGACTCTGCCTCCCGGGTTCAAACTATTCTCCTGCCTCAGCCTCCCAAGTAGGTGGGACTACAGGTGCCCACCACCACACCCGGCTAATTTTTGTATTTTATTAGAGACAGGGTTTCACCATATTGGCCAGGCTGGTCTGGAACTCCTGACCTTGTGATCCGCCCACCTCGGCCTCCCAAAGTGGTGGGATTACAGGCGTGAGCCACCACACCCAGCCCCTGTTTTCTTTTGTTTTGCTTGCTTCTTAGGGTTGTTTTTCTATTTATGGTAAAGGCATTGGCTTTCCATTTGTAGCATCAATAGAATATTTCCTGTTTACAATAACCTTATGTCATAGTAAATGGTAAAGGGATTTAAAGCAGTGCTTTTCAGCTGCCAGAGGCCTGAGAGAGTTTGGGCACACTCTGTGTGATCGGGCAGAAGGCCTGTGGGAAGTTTAGCTGAGGACAGGGCCAGGAAAGGTGATGGACAGTGGGGGTCTGTCCTGGTCACCAGGCCCCTGGGTCCTGCCCACCTGCTTGGAGCTCCCCACCCATCACACATGATGCTGCCAAGCCCTCTGGGTATTGTGGGCAAATACCTTAGGAGAGAAGCTGATGAGCTTTGTTTCTTGAAATGCACAGATTCCTTGGACATCCCTGAGAGGCCAGTCATGAAAGTCAGCTTGGTTTTCTCCCCCTCATTTGGGTTCAGAATTTAAAGTCCACACACACGGGCAGTAAGATAATATAGATAAGGACATCATCACTCGGTTTCGGATGTTAAAATGTCTAGGTGGGTTAGGGGTGATTTGAGATCACGCAACCTTGTGCCACAAAGAGGAATTCCCAGGCCAGAGGGAGACATTTTATTGCCATGTTATGATCTCATCATTGAGTTGAAAGGCAATCTTGTTTCATTTTGGATTCTTTCTTATGTTTATGTCTTATAAGGGCACTTTGAATTTCCAAGCAAATAATAATTTTGAATTAGCTTTTAATCATTGACTTCTAGCACAGTTTTATGATCAGAAACATGCTGTGTGATTTGATTGCTCTCAAATATATTGAGATTTGCTGGAACAAAATAAGTCAGGTTAATTTTTGTAAATGTACCATGCATGCTTAAAATGAATGTATGTACATTTGTTCCTGAGATACAGGTTGATGGACGGATGGCTACATGGATGTGATGGAGATGGTTTACTATCGGGACCTTCCGCATCCTGCTGATGTTTTGTTGCTTAGGATATGAATGGCTGAGCGGAGGCTGTAAAACCTGGCACTCTGCTTGGGTATGAGGTTCTTCCTGCCATCCTGCCATCATTTGTTTTTTATGTTTTGTCGCCAAAAGTGACCTTGAGGAACCCTGGGAGCTCAGGAAGGAAGGAGCGCCCAGAAGCAGGGACAGGGAGCTGGTTGGGGAGGACCAGAAATCAGGTTTGTGAAGGTTCCAGAGAGGACCTGGCCTTGGGAGGAGCGTGGGGGACTGAGATGGGGGAGGGGTCATTGGGATGATGCGGGCACTACTTGGAATGTCCATTGTGAGGCACCACCGGGGTCATCAGGGATTGGTGGAGAGAGAGTCTAAAGCCCCAGGGTTGCTAAGGGAGGGCCCAGACCGAAGAAGGTTTGGTGGAAAGCAGAACCTTTGTCTCCTAATTGCTCCTAAGCCTCACGCTCCCTTGCCCCGCCTGTCCTGTTGCTTCCCTGATCTTCTCCGTGACCTGTAGCTAAACCTTCCACCAGCGCTTGAGAACTTAATTTGAACCGGATCCTTTCCCAGACCCCTTTCTTCTCCTCCTCCTCCTCCTCCCCAACAGCCCCCTTCTCCTCCTTTCCCTTCCCTTACTTCTCCCCTTCCCCTCCCCTTCCCCTTCCCCTCCCCCTCCCCTCCCCCTCCCCAACTCAGATCCGGCCCCGGTCCCCGTCCCCTTCCCTCCGCCCTGCCCTAAGCCACCTCCACCTCTGTCCTGGCTGCCTCAGGGAGCCCTGAAAGGACCAGGACATGCGGGTGCGGTGGCTGCTCTTTTGGCTCCTCTTTTGGCTCCTGCTGGGATTTATCAGCCATCAGTCCACCTGTGTGAGTAGATGGGTGCTGTGGCTGCTCTTTTGGCTCCTGCTGGGATTTATCAGCCATCAGTCCACCTGTGTGAGTAGACGTTGGACCCGCGGGGTTTCTTCCTTTTTACTGGGCTGTGTCACGCGGCATGAAATTACACAGCTCAGGCCTGTAATCCCAGCACTTTAGGGGGCCGAGGTGGGCAGATCACTTGAGTCCAGGAGTTGAAGACTAGCCAGGGCATCATAGCGAAACCCATCTCTACAAAAAATTCCAAAAAAGATTAGTCGGGCCTGGTGGTGCGTACCTGTTATCCCAGTTACTGGAGAGGCTGAGGTGGGAGGATCGCTTGGGCCCAGGAGCTGGACGTTGCAGTGAGCCGAGATGGCCCCGCTGCACTCTTGTCTCCAACAAACAAAACGGACCAAAACAAAGTGAAATGTCATTTGATTTGTGTCATCTGGTTTGATGACTTTTTTGTTTGTTTGTTTTTTAGACAGAGTCTCACTCTGTCGCCCAGGCTGGAGTGCAGTGGCAAGATCTCGGCTCACTGCAACCTCCGCTTCCGGGGTTCAAGCAATTGTCCTGCCTCAGCCTCCTGAGTAGCTCAGATTACAATGCCTGGCTAATTTTTGTATTTTTAGTAGACCACCACGCCTGGCTAATTTTTGTATTTTTAGTAGGCCACCACGCCTGGCTAATTTTTGTATTTTTAGTAGAGACTGGGTTTCACCATGTTCGCCAGGATAGTCTCCATGTCTTGACCTCGTGATCCGCCTGCCTCAGCCTCCCAGTGCTGGGATTACAGGCGTGAGCCACCGCGCCTGGCCAAAATATATAACCTTAAGTGTAAGTTTACTAACTTTGGAAAGTACATACACCAGCATAAACCAACCCCCTTTCAAGATCTACATTATTTTATTTATTTATTTATTTTTTTGAGACAGTTTCTCCCTTGTTGCTGAGGCTGGAGTGCAATGGGCCAATATCAGCTCACCGCAACCTCTGCTTCCCAGGTTCGAGCGATTCTCCTGCCTCAGCCTCCCGAGTGGCTGGGATTACAGACATGTGCCACCACTCCCAGCTAATTTTCTATTTTTAGTAGAGATAGGGTTTCTCCATGTTGGTCAGGCTGGTTTTGAACTCCCGACCTCAGGTGATCCGCCCGCCTCGGCCTCCCAAAGTGTTGGGATTACAGGCGTGAACCACCGTGCCCAGCCAAGATCTACACTATTATGTCACCCCAGAAAGTGAACTCTCACTCTTCCCAGCCAGTCTCTTTCTTATCATAGGTTAGCTTGCTTATTCTGGAATTTCACGTATACAGATGCATGCCATGCCATAGGTACTCTTTTGTGTCTGCTTTATTCTGCTCAACACCGTATTTCTGAAATCATTACCATTGTTGTATGCTTCTCTAACTCCATCATTTCCATTTCAGACTCAGCATATGCTGAGTTCAACCTGTTGAAGGGCTATCTCTGTTTAATTCACCATCTTGAAAGAAACATTTAAAATTGAGATGTTTTCAAGAATATATAGTTAAATCCTGAGGAATCGATGTAGAAATGTTATCACAAGCTGTCTGAACTTACTCAGGGGAAGTCTTTGTCTTCACTCACATAAGAGTCTAATGGAATTAATATCAACAATCTTAGAGAAATCCCACACTATTCATGCCATTTTCATGATCTCCACCTTGGTAATTTTTTTTTTTTTTTTTTTTGAGACAGAGTCTCGCTCTGTCACCCAGGCTGAAGTGCAGTGGTGCGATCTTGGCTCACTGCAACCTCTACCTCCCAGGTTCAAGTGATTCTTCTGCCTCAGCCTCCCAAGTAGCTGGAACTATAGGCGCGTGCCACCATGCCCTGCTAATTTTTTGTATTTTTAGTAGAGATGGGTTTCACCGTGTTAGCTAGGATGGTCTCAATCTCCTGATCTCGTGGTCCACCCACCTCGGCTTCCCAAAGTGCTGGGATTGCAGGCGTGAGCCACCACGCCCGGCCCACCTTGTTACTTTTTAAGAACTAAAATTCGATACTTATTTGTGAATGAAATAATCTCTTCATTGTATTTTTTTTTTTTTACTTATGCTGAGCTTTAAATGACAAAGATTCATATAATCCAAGAGAGAAGTATTATTTAGAGGGATTCTTTTACCATGTGATATATAATAAATGCATCCAATGTTATACATCAATTTAAAAAACAAGTAAATAACTAAAGAAAAGATAACTACTGGCCAGGTGCAGTGGCTCACACCTGTATTCCCAGCACTTTGGGAGGCCGAGGCAGGTGGATCATGAGGTCAGGAGTTGGAGACCAGCCTGGCCAAGATGGTGAAACCCTGTTTCTACTAAAAAGACAAAAATTAGCCGAGCGTGGTGGCAGGCGCCTGTAATCCCAGTTACTCAGTAGCTGAGGCAGGAGAATCACTTGAACCCGGGAGGCGGAGGTTGCAGTGAGCTGAGATCATGCCACTGCAATCTAGCCTGGGTGACAGAGCAAGACTTTGTCTCAAAACAAAAATAAAAGATAAGATAATTACTTTATACTTAGCTTGTCTTACCCATGAGTGACGGGCTGCATGTGGCCCAGGACAGTTTTGAATGCAGTTCAACACAAATTTGTAAACTTTCTTAAAACATTAGGAGATTTTGGCCAGGTACAGTGGCTCATGCCTGTAATCCCAGCACTTTGGGAGGCTGAGGCGGGCAGATTACCTGAGGTCAGGAGTTCGAGACCACCCTGGCCAACATGGCAAAACCCCATCTCCACAAAAAATACAAAAATTTGCTGAGTGCACTGTCAGGCACCTGTACTCCCAGCTACTCAGGAGGCTGAGGCAGGAGAATCACTTGAACCTGAGAGGCAGAGGTTGCAGTGAGCCGAGAGCACACCACTGCACTCCAGCCTGGGTGACAGAGTGAGACCCCATCTCAAAAACAAACAACAAACAAAAACAAAAAAAATGGCTGGGCACGGTGGCTCACACCTGTAATCCCAGCACTTTGGGAGGCCGAGGCAGGCAGATCGCCTGTCAGGAGTTCAAGGCCAGACTGGCCAACATGGTGAAACCTCATCTCTACTAAAAATACAAAAATTAGTCAGGCATGGTGGCAGAGACCGGTAATCTCAGCTGCTCGGGAGGCTGAGGCAGGAGAATGGCTTGAGCCCAGGAGCTGGAGGTTGCAGTGAGCCGAGATTGCACCACTGCACTCCAGCCTGGGCGACTGAGTGGAGCAGAACTCTGTCTCAAAAAAAAAAAAAAATTTTTTTTTTAGATCATCAGCTATTGTTAGTGTTAGTGTATGTTATGTGTGGCTCAAGACAACTTTGCTTCTTTTAATATAGGCAGGGAAGTCAAAAGATTGGATATCCCTGCTTTATACCAAGAAAGACAACACCCCACATTTGCAATGCCTAAAAACACTACCAGCCATCTGAAAAACATGAGACTTCTCTAACTTCTGTTCTTTTTTGTAGCAGTGGAATCCCACGGTGATATCTGAGGGATGTGGTTACCTTTTGGAGGAGGTTGACGGTTTCTAAGGATGATTCTTTCTGAGTGAAATATTGTCAGTGTCATTGACCTTTTCATTATTTCAACTATTATTATTCCAGGTTATCAATACTCTGGCTGACCATCGTCATCGTGGGACTGACTTTGGTGGAAGTCCTTGGTTACTTATCATTACTGTGTTTCTGAGAAGTTATAAATTTGCCATCTCCCTCTGCACAAGTTACCTTTGTGTGAGTATACTAACTTTCTGTAGAGGTATACTTGTAATCACAAATAAGAATAAATTATATGAAACAATTCACGTTTCTGGACTTCATTATGAATATGTGGTTTTACCCAAAAAATCAGGGAAATGATTTATTAGCATAAGAATTATGAAAATATCTGCCATTTACATTATGAAAATTAAATAGGTCGGTGTTTAATAGAATGTCAACAGAGCTTTTGGTCAAAAATAAGTTTTTTTAACCTTTGTGCTATTTGTCACAAATGGAGTATGAGGTTTCGTCACTTAAATGGGAAAGTCTTTCTAAACTCTTCTGCTTTATAGTTCTATCGTATGGGTGGAAGGAAAGCTTCCAATCTCCTCTCTGAAGATTCACTGCAGAAATGAGCTGACAACAGACAGCTTAACAGGAAAAGAAAAACATAGAACAGGCATAAACATGGGAACCAGCTGAAAAATGAGACTGCTAGAAGGGCTGGATGGTTGATGCTTAAAGAGCACCCTCTTCTGAGGGTAGAGGGAGATAGATGGAGATGTAGGCCATTTAGAGGGGCAGCAAATGATTTTTAGGGGAAATGAAAGAGCCCAAGGAACAAACAGTTGGCCTGAGACAAAGTTCCTCTGAGGTCATAGGGACGAGGTGACAAACTGCCGGAAGGTGAAGGGCAGAACTGCACTGCGTCTCATGATGCAGAGAAAGCCCCAGAGAATCTCTTAGAACTGCCCTCCAAGAGAATCAATGAAAAGTGTGTCTGGGCAGGGTAATTTTGAATGACATCATTCAAAGTGCATGTTCCCACTTGCAACTGGAGAGAGATCCGTATGTCAAAAGTCTGTACTTGGTAAGAATTTGGCTGCTAAGTTGTGCCATAATTTGTCTTTTGAGCCTTTTTTCCTTTGGGTAAGTTGAGCTCTACATTTTGTCTTGCCATTCATGACAGTAAAAATGTGGTTGTCTGGGGGCTGAACCTCCTTCTGAACAATGATCCAAGATAAAAGTACTAATACCACAATGCTTTTTGATATTCAAGGGAAGAGGAAGTATGTTTCAGTTTTACTGCCTAGATAATTACACGTCATTTGGCACTGCCTTTCAAGATATGTAGAAAACAGAAAATATATGAGTTATGAAGATATCTAGGCACATTTAACATTCTCTATGCCACTTAGTCCTGAACAGAGAATTTTTGGTATAAATTGGAGGAAGCTTTTTTTTTTTTTCTTTTCTCACCCCCAAGAGGAGTCTCCCTCTGTTGCCCAGGCTGGAGTATAATGGTGTGATCTCGGCTCACTGCAACCTCCACCTCCTGGCTTCAAGTGATTCCCCTGCCTCAGCCTCTCAAGTAGCTGGGATTACAGGTGCCCACGACCATGCCCAGCTAATTTGTGTATTTTTAGTAGAGTCGGGGTTTTACCATGTTGGCCAGGCTAGTCTCAAAACCCGACCTCAAATGATCCACCCGCCTCAGCCTCCCAAAGTGCTGGGATTACAAGCGTGAGCCACCACGTGAGCCAGGGGAAGTTTTTAAATTTACCACTTTTTAACAATTCCATTTAGGAAAGTTCAGTTGAGCTGTTGGACTTGGACAACTTTGTACCTCTCATCTTTGTCCTTGTCATCTAGTCATTACCTCCTAAGCAGGGACATCATGGGTGTCATGAAGCATTCATGTGTGATGGCATTTCTTTGCTTCTCATTTCTTCATGTGTTTGACATTTCTCCTAGCTCCAAACTGGGCCAGCTACCTTTCCTATGAAATCTAGCAGTAGCTGTGGGATAGACGTGGTTGCTCTTTTCATCTTTTTAGATTACCCATTGCTTCTCTTGAAATCCTAGTACATGATTTTTTTTTTATCCTATGTGCAGAAATCAGGAAAAAACAAATTCTACAAAGAATTTGAAAGATATTATTTCAGGCCAGGTGTGGTGGCTCATGCCTGTAATCCCAGCACTTTGGGAGGCTGAGGCAGGTGGATCACTTGAGGTCAGGAGTTCAAGACCAGATGGGCCAACATAGTGAAACCCCATCTCTACTAAAAAGACAAAAATTAGCCAGGCATGGTAGCAGGCACCTGTAATCCCAGCTACTTGGGAGGCCGAGGCACAAGAATCGCTTGAATCTGGGAGGTGGAGGTTGCCGTGAGCCAAGGTAGCACCACTGCACTTCAGCATGGTTGACTGACACTCCGTCTCAAGAAAAAAGTCATTTCAATGACTACCTCAGGAGATTCATAGGTATCTGACCCACATCTCAGATGGGATTTGCGTTGCATTTTAGCTATGATGAGAACAAATATTTAATATCTTCGAAGATTAAAAGCATACTGTGATAATATGGAAATCTTGGTGGGAATTCAATCATTAGTGAGAATGTTTTGCATTAAGTTCAAACCAGCCTCAACGAAGCTGATGTGAGGGAAGGGAAAGTGAACTCTGAGTAGAGCAGGGACAGAAGAAAGATGCTCCAGTGCAGATCAGGAAGGAGCAGGGGGTGAAATGTTACAAATTCTAGAACTCAGAGAGCTGAAGGTAATTAATTACTTCCTTTTCAAGTTGTGAAACATGTTAACCTGTGGTAAAATACTTACAAGATGATAATTACCATCTAACCATGTTGAAGTGTACAGTTCAGTTGTGTGAAGTATATTCATGTCATTTTTTTTTTTTTTTTTTGAGACGGAGTCTCACTCTGTCACCAGGCTGGAGTGCAGTGGTGGGATCTTGGCTCACTGCAACCTCTGCCTCTTGGGTTCAAGCAGTTCTCCTGCCTCAGCCTCCGGAGTAGCTGGGACTACAGGCGTGCGCCACCATGCTCAGCTAATTTTTGTATTTTTAGTAGAGACGGGGTTTCACCATGTTGCCCAGGATGGTCTCCATCTCTGGACCGTGATTCACCCGCCTCGGCCTCCCAAAGTGCTGGGATTACAGGCGTGAGCTACCGCACCTGGCCTATTTTTTTTTTTTTTTGAGACAGAGTTTGAATTTTGTTGCCCATGTTGGAGTGCAATGGCACAATCTCAGCTCAACACAACCTTTTCCTGCTGGGTTCAAGTGATTCTCCTGCCTCAGCCTCCCGACTAGCTGGGATTACAGGCATGCACCACCATGCCTGGCTAATTTTGTATTTTTAGCAGAGACAGCGTTTCTCCATGTTGGTGAGGCTGGTCTCAAACTCCCGACCTCAGGTGTTCCGCCTGCCTCGGCCTCCCAAAGTACTGGGATTACAGGAGTGAGCCACCATGCCAGCCTCATGTCATTCTTGTGTGTTTGTGTGTGTGTGTGTGTGTGTGTGTGTGTGACAGAGTCTCATTCTGTCACTCAGGCTGGAGTGCAGTGGTGTGATCTCGGCTCACTGCAACCTCCACCTCCCAGCTTCAAACGGTTCTCTGCCTCAGCCTCCCGAGTAGCTTGGATTACAGGCGCCCACTGCCATGCCCGGCTAATTTTTGTATTTTTAGTAGAGATGGGGTTTCACCATCTTGGCCAGGCTGGTCTTGAACTCCTGACCCCGTGATCCACCCTGCCTCGGCCTCCCAAAGTACTGGGATTATACGCATGAGCCACCGTGCCTAGCCGTCATTCTTATATTATTATTTCCTAGGTGTCTTTCCTGAAGACTATCTTCCCGTCTCAAAATGGACATGATGGATCCACGGATGTACAGCAGAGAGCCAGGAGGTCCAACTGCCGTAGACAGGAAGGTATGGCTCTGTTGGAGTCCCCATAGTGTGGAAATGAGTTTGCCCTGGAAAGGGAAAGAACAGCTTCTTGCCCTCAGGTTTCTCACCTTCTCCTCTCCTCACTCTCACCAAGGGCTGAGGTCCGTTTGTATGCACACAAAGAAAAGAGTTTCTTCCTTTCCAGGAATTAAAATTGTCCTGGAAGACATCTTTACTTTATGGAGACAGGTGGAAACCAAAGTTCGAGCTAAAATCCGTAAGATGAAGGTGACAACAAAAGTCAACTGTCATGACAAAATCAATGGAAAGAGGAAGACCGCCAAAGAACAGTAAGATGTGCCTTGACACAAATACTGTTGTATGAACCATGTGCCAATCAAAGTAGACAACTGTAAAGTCCTTGAGAATATTTTCTACAATATTTGTGGCAAATTCAGTGGGTTCAAAATTGAGTTTGTCCTTTCTGCTTCATTAGTTTAAGCTGTATAATTCCTTTCCCTTCCTACAATCTTGTTTGTCATTTTTTCAGGGGAAGAGGAGTTGCTAGTACTGGCATTGGTTTTCCTTTCTCTCTCTCTTTTTTTTTTTTTCCTGAGACGGAGCTTTGCTCTTGTTGCCCAGGCCGTAGTGCAATGGCACAATCTCAGCTCACTGCCTTTTGGGTTCAAGCAATTCTCCTGCCTCAGCCTCCCAAGTAGCTGGGATTACAGGTGCCCACCACCACGCCCAGCTAATTTTTGTATTTTTACTAGAGATGGGGTTTCACCATGTTGTCCAGACTGGTCTCGAACTTCTGACCTCAGGTAATCCACCCGCCTCAGCCTCCCAAAGTGCTGGGATTAGAGGCATGAGCCACCACACCCAGGCTTTTTTTTTTTTTTTTAATTTTGAGATAGAGTCTCGCTCTGTCGCCCAGGCTGGAGTGCTATGGTGCAATCTTGGCTCACTGCAACCTCTGCCTCCCAGTTTGAAGCAATTCTGCCTCGGCTTCCCGAGTAGCTTGGATTACAGGTGTGTGCCACCACATTCGGCCAATTTTTTTTTTTTTTTTTTTTTTTTTTGAGACAGAGTCTCACTCTGTCACCCAGGCTAGAGTGCAGTGGCATGATCTTGGCTCACTGCAACCTCCGCCTCCCAGGTTCAAACGATTCTTATCCCTCAGCCTCTTGAGTAGCTGGGACTACAGGCATATGCCACCATGCCCAGATAATTTTTGTATTTTTAGTAGAGGCAGGGTTTCACCATATTGGCCAAGCTGGTCTAGAACTCCTGACATCATGATCCGCACAACTCGGCCTCCCAATGTGCTGGGATTACAGGCGTGAGCCACCGTGCCCAGCCCAATTTTTGTATTTTTAGTAGAGACGGGTTCACCATGTTGGCCAGGCTAGTCTTGAACTCCTGACCTCAGGTGATCTGCCTACCTCAGCCTCCCAGTGTGAGCCACCGCACCCAGCCTGGATTGTTGAATTCAATGCTTGGGTCACCTCCAGATTCATTTTCACAGTCTTTCATGTTTTGGTCATATTACATTGTATTTTGCTGCCATATGACTGATCTTTTTTTGTTAAATGTGAGATACTTGTTAAAAAATATTTAGCAATGAACTGAGACCTAGTAGCATGTTATCTTGCTGCAGAAGAGATGGGAGTCTACTTCTGGGGGATGGTCAGGGGTCCTCCATACAGGCTGCAATTGAGGTCGTCTGTGCAGGCTCAGTCCCTACAAAGGCCAGGGTATTTCCTGTCCACCTCTATTCTGATGCATGACTCTTCTGGGTCTCAACCAGAGCCAGTGGACTTCAGTATGGGTCGCTTTCATTGGCAGACCCTCAATCCACTTGTTTTCCATCTAACCCCACGCATGTGTGCAAAAGCTGCTGTGCTTCTTTGCATCTCAGTAGTTCCTTCTGGAATTCAGCAATGAAACTCAGGGAAATGGGTTCCAAATGCGAGGCTGACTTTCGTCCTGGGTTTCCTTCTTCTCCATCTTCACCTCATGTCTGTTTACTGCCATGTTAGCAATTTGATGTATTCAATCATGGGTTTTATATTCTGTTTGGTGTCCCCCATTGTTCTCATCGGAGATCAGAAGCTTCAGATGCACTTATGTCAACTCAAGAGTAGAATGCTTCCTTAGCTTCCCTCCAGAGTCAGGTTTTGTGTTTCTAGTTCCCAAGTGCACAGCAGGAGTAGTGATGTCCTCACTGGCTTCTCATTTGCATTAAACTGTGAGCTTCTTTAGCGTGGGGACAGGACCCTGCTCCCATTGCATTGTCAGCACCTCACCACACACTCCTTGTTTGAGGCCACTCCAGACAGCATGTGCTGAAGGATGCCCTGTGGTCAGAAACAAGTTCATTAACTTTCTCTTTGAAGTGTTTTCGTCCCTGTTTCCTAGCGTTCTGGGAATTTTACACATCCTTCCTATAAAACCAAGTATCAGGTGAGATCCTTAGGATCACGACCATGAATCAAGTGGTGTGAGGGCAACACAGCAAACTTACCCTTTTGAGGCCGTTTCCTTTTTCTGCCCTCAATCTCTGTGAACTGAACCTTGTTAAAGTCAGTCAACACCAGGGTGGATGGTTTGCCGTTGTCACCTATTTTCAGGACATAACACCCTGACTTAGGAGCCATTCCCATCATTTCTAATTCAATAGATGCGCCCAGCATTCAGATTGCCTTTTCAGGATCTTTAAAGTCGATGACAAGAGTTCCAGTCCTGAATCATGGCAAAGTGCAGTAGTGAACTGCAGGGTTAATGACACCATATTCTGGAAGGATCTCTCTATGGCTGATGGTCTCAGTTCCGGCATCAGCCTCTGACTGAGAATCAGTCTCACACAGGAGGAGTCAGATGAGGAGCAATCCTCTGCTTCCGATGGAGTTAGTTGTGATGAATTGGTGAGGTCTGGTTTTTCACACTGAACTAAAATGAGCTTTTGCTGTGTCAAGCACAAGACTGACCCCAGAGACGCACATAGTGCACCTCATAGAAGCTTTTAATAGTCTTTATATTTACTAAAGAATAGGACTAACTATGGAACTATGAAGATGAGCTGGAAATGACAGGTGACTTGCCAGCAGGCCAGAGTGTGATTTTTTTTTATCCCTCAATGGGAGGTGTCCATTCTCCCTTCGGTTGTGAGAATCAGTTGGTTCATTTGTGGGAAGGTTGCAGGGGGGATCTTTGAATCACAGCCTTCAGATGCCAGAAGGGCAGAGGGAATCCCACACGGGCTGGTGGATCATGTGTGTGCATTTCTCTCCCTTCTAGTCTGAGGAAACTAAGCATGAAAGAACGTGAGCACGGAGAAAAGGAGAGGCAGGTGTCAGAGGCAGAGGAAAATGGGAAATTGGATATGAAAGAAATACACACCTACATGTGAGTTCAGAAACTGAACCCCACCCTCTTGGGAAACGCCCATTGGAGTGTTGTTTTTAACCTTTGTACAATGTTTAGACCCAGTAAATGCAGAAATAGAAACAAATGGTCAGAAGACATATCGTGAGAGAGAGAGAGAGTTCACAAAACAGAAAACAAAGTACCTTAATATTTACCAGTGACCAAAAGATGTGAAGTAGCAAAACGGCTCCTGACCCCATTGCCAGCTAGACTGTGTGGAAACTCGGTTCATACCAGCCATTCTAGGGGTGGGGTGAGTTGTTGTCATCCTTAGGAAAGTGTGTTGTTGTAGGATCAACCACATCCTTCAAAAGGACTATGCCTGTTTATAAGCCCAGCTGTTTCTGCCCTGTGAAACACGGTTAAGATATTAATACAAAGAGAATACAGCTTTATGATAAAAGATGCTCAATGAAGGATGAATTAGGGATATACTGAGAATGGGGAAGGAAGCTATCATCTCAGAAGTCAGCAGGCAGTAAGCAAGAGGAGGAATCAATACAGCAACAGTTTGGATCAGACTGTACAGTTTTTTTTGTTTTTGTTTTTGTTTTTGTTTTTCTGAGATGGAGTCTCGCTGTGTCACCCAGGCTGGAGTGCAATGACGTGATCTTGGCTCATTGCAACCTCTGCCTCCCAGGTTCAAGTGATTCCCCTGCCTCAGCCTCCCGAGTAGCTGGGATTACAGGTGCCTGCCACCACCCCCGCCTAATTTTTTGTATTTTTAGTAGAGACGGGGTTTCACCGTATTAGCCAGGATGGTCTCAATCTCCTGACCTCGTGATCCATCCGCCTCGCCCTCCCAGAGTGCTGGGATTACAGGCGTCAGCCACCGTGACCGGCTCAGACTGTACTCTTACAGCCATCTGAAATACGTTTTCTAGGTAGAGATAGATTGTGTAAGGGTACAGTTGTGAGGATAACAGAAACATGGCAGATTATTTAAAATCATCCTGAAAGTGGTGCTTTATCTGATGAAAGTGATTGTAATCCATAGGGAAATGTTTCAACGTGCGCGAGCGTTGCGGCGGCGGGCAGAGGACTACTACAGATGCAAAGTAAGGAGCTTCCTCCCCGCAGTTGCAGGATAGTTCAGTGCTGATGCAGATGATGCCACGGCCCTTAGACTCTCTCAACATTCAATTTCTCATGTGTTGGCTTTTTCAGATCACCCCTTCTGCAAGAAAGCCTCTTTGCAACCGGGTAAGTTTGCTTGTTTTCCTTGCTTTTGGACATAGTCTGCCAGGTCAGGACATGGATACATTTTTCTCCCTACGGCTCTGTGCTCAAGCCCTGCAGAGGGAGATGGCAGAGAGGAAGGCTGCCTACAAGCATCACAGTCCCATCCCTGTTGGTAACCGTGTTGCGCAAAAACACCTTCATCCCCACCCAGTGGGGCCCCCATCTAATATTCTAAGTGTCAGAGGTTCCATATTTGTAATAGCAAATGGGCCCTGACTGTAAATTAGTGAAGAGTGAATGTAACTTATTACCCACAGGGACAATTCCAAATGAAGGCCTTAAATGATGCTCAGCTAAGCTGGTTCTTGTGTGGCCTCTGTACCTTCAAAAGCTGCCGAGTCCTATGATTACACGCGATGGGACTTGTACACTTGAAGTGAAACACAGTTTTAAAACTTGCTTTGTTTAGAATTCCCACCTCATTTTTCCATGGACAAAAGTATTCTTTAGGTCCTAGTGCACTTACAATTTGGTATTACCTGGGAGTGAAAAGAAATATTACAGCCATGCCTAACTGACTTCTTGAGGTAAGATTGTTCTGTCAGAAAACCCTCTCCCAGTTCCCCTGCAGCTCTTCAGGAATCCACATCTCTCCAGAGCTCTTTGTTCTCATGGGTGGCACCTCCAGAGTGAAGAAGATCCTTTGTCAAGAAGGGAAACAGAGGGGAAATGAGAGGGTCCTGCAGGCAGAGCTGGAATCAACTTCCACTCTGCCTCTTGCAAGCTGTGTGACCCTGGGCACAATTTCTCCTTCCTCTGGAAACCTCTGTTTTCTTAGATTTGGAGCAGGGTGGTCACACTGACCTTGCAGAGTTCTGAGAATCAGAGACAGAACATAAAAGGCCTGGAAAACATTCTCCAAAAAGAAGCTGCAACATGTGTGGACAATGGGCTTTTCATGCCTCTCTTACTGTCTCTTACTGTCTATTGACCTGGTGCAAGAAACATGCTCTGGTGATGGCTGTGAGGGAGGAATGAGGATAGACATAGACACTCCTGTGTCTCAAACATGCTTCTTTATTACTCTGTTATGACTCTGTCTTCCCTGGGGCAGGACCCCAGCCTGCCTACATTTGCAGACAGACACAGTGGCATGTGGAGACAACAGTGTGTCCCAATGACTTTTCTTTACCCCCCAGCTGTCGGCAGTACTCAGTGGAAGGGTGATATTATGACACTGACACTGCTATTTTGAAACCTGGAGGATGGAAAGGTGCAAAAATCTATCACCAGCAACAGAAGGTGCAGACTGTGTTGGTGGCGGTAATTTTGTCCATCAAATGAATATGTGTGAAAACATTCCCTCCTTTGGCCCTACAGGTCAGAATGGCGGCAGTGGAGCATCGTCATTCTTCAGGATTGCCCTACTGGCCCTACCTCACAGCTGAAACTTTAAAAAACAGGATGGGCCACCAGCCACCTCCTCCAACTCAACAACATTCTATAATTGATAACTCCCTGAGCCTCAAGACACCTTCCGAGCGTCTGCTCTATCCCCTTCCACCCTCAGCGGATGATAATCTCAAGACACCTCCCGAGTGTCTGCTCACTCCCCTTCCACCCTCAGCTCTACCCTCAGCGGATGATAATCTCAAGACACCTGCCGAGTGTCTGCTCACTCCCCTTCCACCCTCAGCTCCACCCTCAGCGGATGATAATCTCAAGACACCTCCCGAGTGTGTCTGCTCACTCCCCTTCCACCCTCAGCGGATGATAATCTCAAGAAACTAATGAAGAATAAATAAATAATATAAAAATAAAATGAATACTGCAGTCCTTATGTTATTGCTTTGTTTCAATATCTGGTATGATTGCCTGAGGGACCTGAGGTTTTTAATCATAGGGGTTTTTTTAATCTTTAGAAGTGGTTGGTTATGTAAAATATTATTATTTGTTTTTTTTTTGAGACTGGAGTTTGCTCTGTCACCCAGGCTGGAGTGCAGTGGCTCGATCACAGCTCACTGCAGCCTCAACCTCCTGGGCTTCAAGCAATCCTCCTGCCCCAGCCTCCCAAGTAGCTGGGATCACAGATGTGTGCCACCACGCCTGGCCAATGTTAAAAAATCCTTTAACTTTTTTGTAGAGATGCACTCCTGGACTCAAGCAATCCTCCTACTTGTCCCGACCACCAGCCTCTTTCTGATAAACATTTACACTGTTTATTATCTGATGCCATTTCTATCTTCTTCCTTGTCATCCAGACATCAAAGAATTAGGTTTCTTCAGGGTTTTCTTTTTCAAGTGCTCAGTGTTAAAGATCACTCACATTAGGGCCAGACACCACGGCTCATGCCTGTAATCCCAGCACTTTGGGAGGCCGAGGCGGGCAGAGCACTTGAGGTGGGGAGTTTGAGACCAGCCTGGCCAAGTTGGTGAAACCCCACCTCTACTGAAAAAATACAAAAATTAGCTGGGCATGATGGTGCATGCCTGTAGTCCCAGCCACTTGGGAGGCTGAGGCATGAGAATCGCTTGAACCCAGGAGGCAGAGGTTGTAGTGAGCCGAGATCACATCAGCACACTCTAGCCTGGGTGACAGAGCGAGACTGACTCAAAAAATAAATAAAATAAATATCACTTACATTAGATATACCCAAGGGGTGGTCTATAGAGACTTGGAAGCAGTGGTTATTGCAACAGGGGCACGGAAGTCATCTGGCTATGCCAGGGTGCCCAGGGGATACTCGGGGTGGGTGGCATGGTGCTGCTGGGGACTCACCGCACAGGACGCTCTGATTGACGCACTGCCAGGAGTAGCGCTCTGTCTTGGGGCTGCAGCCGGCCTCCTCAGCTCGAGTGTAACAACAGTCGTGGCCATGGCAGCACCTGCGGATGTCACATGGGCAGGACAGCAGGTGGGTGAAGCTCTCTCCTGGCCCTCCTCTCTTGCCAGGACTATGGGTGACTGAAGACCCCCAGGGAGGCACAGCATCCTCTTATCTAAGATTTTTTTTTTTTTTTTTTTTAAGAGACAGGGTCTTTCTCTGTCGCCCAGGCTGGACTGCAGAGGCACAATCGTAGCTCACGGCAGCCTTGAACTCCTGGGCTCAAGCGATCCTCCCACTTCAGTGTCCCAAGTAGCTGAGACTACAGGCACACGCCAGCATGCCCGGCTGGTTTTTTAATTTGTATTTCCTTTGAGACAGCGTATCTCTCTGTTGCTCAGGCTGGAGTGCAGTGGCTCAATCAGCTCACTTTAGCCTTGAACTCCTGGGCTCAAGTGATACTGCCACCTCAACCTCCCAAGTCTGCTACTACAGGAACACAAACTCCTTTTTTAAATTTTTTATGGATATGGGGTCTTACTATGTTGCCTAGGCTGGTCTCGAACTCCCAGGCTCAAGCAGTCCTCCTACCTCAGCCTCCACAAATGCTGGGATTACAGGTGGGAGCTACTGTACGCCTGGCCTTATCTAAGCTGTTTCCCTGAAAATCCCCGTCTTGGGTAATGATTCCATTGGCCCCACCATGCCCTCTGCCTTCCTGGCTGTGCCCAAGCTTGGTCCCTGCCTGCCTGCCTGCCTCCCTCTCTGGGTCTTGAGCTCCTGTGACACATGACTCCTCTCTCTTCCTGGAGTGATCCAAGCCCTGCCACTTCCTGACTTTGCCCACACTGTACCCTCTGCCTGGGGCAACTTCATGTCTGCCCATTGTCCCTTAGGCCTCAGCCCAGGCACAAGCCCCTGCCTCCGGAGGTCATCCAGGCCTCACCAGGCTACACCCTCTCGTAAAATTGGATTCCCTCCCTTCAGGGCAGGTTTATAATGAAATCCTCCTCAGAGGCCAGGTGCGGTGACACCCATCTGTAATCCCAGCACTTTGGGAGGCTGAGGTGGGAGGATCACTTGAGGCCAGGGGGTCGAGACCAGCCTGGGCAACATAAGAGAGACTCTTGTCTCTATAACAAATTTAAAAATTAGCTCACCAGGCCAGGCTCAGTGGCTCATGCCTGTAATCCCAACACTTTGAGAGGCCGAGGCAGGTGGATCACGAGGTCAGGAGTTCGAGAGCAGCCTGACCAACATGGCGAAACCCTGTCTCTACTAAAAATACAAGATTAGCCAGGCATGGTGGCACGCACCTGTAATCCCAGCTACTCGGGAGGCTGAGGTAGGAGAATTGCTTGAACCCAGGAGGTGGAGGTTGCGGTGAGCCAGGATCACGCCATTGCAGTCCAGCCTGAGCAACAGAGCAAGACTCTGTCTCGAGACAATAAAAACACACAAAAAATTAACTCGCCATGATGGCACATGCCTATAGTCCTAGCTACTTGGGAGGCTGAGGTGGGAGGATTCCCTTCAGCCCAGGAGTTTGAGGCTGCAGTGAGCCACTATGATTGTGCCACTGCACTCTAACCTGGGCAAAAGCGAGACCCCAGGCTAGAGTGCATGATTTTGGGTCACTGCAACCTCCACCTCCCAGGTTCAAGTGATTCCCCTGCCTCAGCCTCTTGAGTACCTGGGACTACAGGCATGTGCCACCACGCCTGGGTAATTTTTGTATTTTTAGTAGAGACAGGGTTTAGTAGAGACCATGGTGAAACCCCGTCTCTATTAAACAAATCTCTACTAACCCCATCTCTACAAAAAACAGCTGGGCGTGGTAGTGCACACCTGTAATTCTAGCTACTTGGGAGGCTGAGGCACGAGAATCATTTGCATCTTGGAGGCAGAATTTGCAGTGAGCTGACATCGCACCACTGCGCTCCAGCCGGGATGACAGAGCAAGACCCTGTCTCAAAAAAAAGAAAAAGGAACAAACAACAGCAACGACAACAAAAAAACCTCTGTGTCAATCACAGCCTTCAAGCTAGGGGAGAGGCGGCCGAATTCTGCCCTCTGCTAACTAACTATAGCTTTGTGGAAATGGGTGAGTGGCGTGCCCTTGTGAGCCTCAGGGCCCCATCTGTAAAATGGGCATAACTGTCATGCCCGTCTTTAAGAACAGCCTTGGGGGTAAATGAGTGGAAGTCATGGAAACATCTCAGCCCACAACCTTCCACAGAACAGACGCTTCTCACACAGTAAGTAGCAGGAGTGCAGAGGCTGCAGGCATGAATCCAGCCAGACTGCCTGGGTTCAAGTCCCAGCTCCCACGTCTTGGTAACTATGTGGCCTCAGACAAGTTACTTAATATTTCTTTTTTTTTTTTTCAGACGGAGTTTTGCTCTGTCACCCAGGTTGGAGTGCAGTGGTGTGATCTCAGCTCATTGCAACCTCTGCCTCCCGGGTTCAAGCAATTCTCCTGCCTCAGCTTCCTGAGTAGCTGGAATTACAGGCACCTGCCACCACACACAGCTAATTTTTGTATTTTTAGTAGAGACGGGGTTTCACCATGTTGGCCAGGATGGTCTCGAACTCCTGACCTCGTGATCTGCCTGCCTCAGCCTCCCAAAGTACTGGGATTACAGGCGTGAGCCACCGCACCTGGACACGTTACTGAATATTTCTGTGCCTAGGTTTCTTCATGTGAAATGGGATTGTTGTGAGAACACAAAGGGATTCCCAGGGCAGTTCCTAGTGCATAGTCTGGCTGCCTTTGTATGTGTGTGTGTGTGTGTGTGTGTGTGTGCACGCGCGTGTGTGTGTGTGTTTAATATAGAGACAGGGTCTCACTCTGTTGCCTAGGCTCGTTTCAAACTCCTGGGCTCCAGTGATCCTCCTGCCTCGACCCAAAGTGGTGGGATTACAGGCATGAGTCAACACACCTGGTCACTTTATATTATTATTATTTTTTTCTTTTGAGACAGGGTTTGGCACTGTTGTCCAGGTTGGAATACAGCGGTGCAATCTCAACTCACTGCAAACTCCGCCTCCCGGGTTCAAGCAATTCTCCTGCCTCAGTCTCCCGAGTAGCTGAGATTACAGACGCCTGCCACCACACACAGCTAATTTTTGCATTTTTAGTAGAGATGGGGTTTCACCATATTGGCCAGGCTGGTCTTGAACTCCTGACCTCAAGTGATCTGCCGGCCTCGGCCTCCCAAAGTGCTGGGATTACAGGAGTGAGCCACCGCTCCTGGCCAATTTTTTAAGGCAACGTTTTCAGCCCATGGCCAGGGTAAGGCACAGCTAGTACCAAGATCTGGCTTCACTGGCCATGTTATCCAAGAGGCCTCTGCCTGCCTGCAAAGTAGTACTGCACACTGGGATCTCCCTGGACCAAACCCCAGCTTCAGTTTTGGGTACTTCCTCATAAGCCTTGACTACCCCAGAGTGTGAGGGATTTTGCAGCCTGGTCCCAGGCATGCACTCACCAGTCAATGGCATCGCGGGGCTGGCCATGGCCTCCCAAGCCACAAAAGCAACCATATTTCACATAGGCGATGGGAGTTCGGGGACCAACACAACCCACAATTCCTGCCAGTTCCAGGATCCCACGCCGGTGCACACATAATATCCTGGAGGCTGGGGGGTAAACAAAGGTGACAGGCTGCAGGTCAGGGCTTCCCAGACCCCTGGGAAGGGCATGAGCCTGAGAAGAGCCTAGGTGTTACAGCCTGGCTGTCTGGGTTTGAATCCTACTTCCTGGCTGTGTGACCTTGGACAAATTCCTAACCTCTCTGGGCCTTGGTTTCCTCATCTGTGAAATGGGGGATAAGCTGACTTCAACTCATATGAATGAAATGAGATAATGAGTATAAAGCCCCTGGTGCATGAAAAGGCTATTATAATCCGGCTGGGCTCAGTGGCTTACACCTGTAATCCCAAGATTTTGGGAGGCCCAGGCGGGCAGATCACCTGAGGTCAGCAGTTCAAGATCAGCCTGGCCAACATGGTGAAACCCCATCTGTAGTAAAAATACAAAAATTAGCCGAGCATAGTGGTGCACGCCTGTAATCCCAGCTACTAGGGAGGCTGAGGAAGGAGAGTCACTTGAACCTGAGAGGCGAAGATTGCAGTGAGCCAAGATTTTGCCACTGCATTCCAACCTGGGCGACAGAGCAAGAGTCTCAAAAAAAGAAAAAAAAAAGGCTAACTATTATAATCAAGGTCCTCAAGGTAGCCAAGGAGGGAAAAGAGTCGTGCATGAAACCTTTGTCCAGTTCCCTGTGTTGGGCACTCGGCATCATATGAGCCTACAGGTGTCTGTCACCAAGGTGGGCTCCTCTGTGGCAGCTCCCAGGCCCTGGCACTGCCCTGTGCTCATGACTTTTCCTCCAGACTCAGGCTCAGGGCCCTTGGTATCTCCTCTTATTTTCACTGCCAGATAGGAAGGCCCCTTGGACTGAGCCCAGCCATTTATCTAGATCCTGGCACAGCTTGGACATGTAATGGTGCCCAATGCATGTGACTGGAACCCCTGCATTGGACATGTAGGAAACGAGGCCAGCCGGGAAAGGTAACCCCACATTCCCACAGCCAGCAGGAACTCAAGCAGAGGCTTCAACCCAGGCTTCTGACTTGCAAACCAGTGCTCCTTCCTCCTTACACAGTAACAACAGGGGAAGGTGGCCTTCCAGGTTGCCAGAGCCGAGTGGTACCAGCAATAGAGTGGAAACTCACACACAGGCTTGCCTGCTTCCTGGTTTAGGTTTAGGGTTTATACGGCTCCGGGAGGTTGATGCATTGTGTTTGATCATCGCTTTTTTTTTTTTTTTTTGAGACAGAGTCTCATTCCTGTTGCCCAGGCTGGAGCACAGTGGTGTCATCTTGCTCACAACAGCTCCGGGAGGTTGACGCATTGTGTTTGATCATCCCTTTTTTTTTTTTTTTTTTTTTTTGTTTGAGACAGAGTCTCATTCCTGTTGCCCAGGCTGGAGCACAGTGGTGTCATCTTGCTCACAGCAACTTCTGCCTCCCAGGTTCAAGCAATTGTCCAGCCTCAGTCTCCCGAGTAGCTGGGATCACAGGCGTGCCCCACCACACCCAGCTGATTTTTGTATTTCTAGTAGAAACGGGGTTTCACCATCTAGGCTGGGCCGGTCTCAAACTCCTGACCTCATGTGATCCACCTGCTTTGGCCTCCCAAAGTGCTGGGATTATAGGCGTGAGCCACTGCGCTCATCCTGATCATCTTGTCTCTCTTTTTTTAAATAGAGACAGGGTCTCACTCTGTCACCCACACTGGAGTGCAGTGGCACAATCATAGCTCACTGCAGCCTCCAAATCCTGGGCTCAAGCGATCCTCCTGCCTCAGCCTCCAGATCCTGGGCTCAAGCGATCCTCCTGCCTCAGCCTCCAGACATACGGGCACGCACCACCATGCCCAGCTAATTTTTAAATTTTTAGTAGATCTGCGGTCTCACTATGTTGCCCAGGCTGGTCACAAACTCCTGGCCTCAAGTGATTCTCCTTCCTTGGCCTCCCAAGGCGCTGGGATTCCAGGCATGAGCCACCATGCCCAGTCTCATTTCTGTTTTATCTAGAACATGTTTTCATCACACTGACTTTTTTTGAGAAGTCCAGGCCAATTTTAAATTCCATTTTGTCTTTTTATCAGTGGAAAAGTAGCATATTTATGTTGCACGACAAAGATGAATCAAATAGGAAGAAAATGTAAAACACATTTGGGGCCGGGCACAGTGGCTCATGCCTGTAATCCCAGCACTTTGGGAGGCCAAGGCGGGCGGATCACCTGAAGTCAGGAGTTCCAGACCAGCCTGACCAACACGGAGAAACCCTGTTTCTACTAAAAATATAAAATTAGCCACGCATGGTGGCGCATGCCTGTAATCCCAGCTACTTGGGAGGGTGAGGCAGGAGAATCGCTTGAACCCGGGAGGCAGAGGTTGCAGTGAGCCGAGCTCGTGCTATCACACTCCAGCCTGGGCAATAAGAGTGAAACTCCGTCTCAAAAAAAAAAAAAAAACACACGAAAATAAAACGGCATTTAGAGTTGAAAGCTTCACCTTCCTCTCTGGATGGTGAGTCCTCACTCTCCCAGCAGCCCACACCTCTGCCTCAAACCTCCATGGCTCCCATGAGTCTGGTTAAAGCTAAGGAGTCTCACTGCACCTCAAGTCCTGGGGGTAGTCAGCCCCTCTCACCCCTCCCTCATCCTCTCACACAAGAGTCATTTACTGTCCCTCCAGTTATGCCCGGTCACGCAGACACTTTGCTGCTCAAATGCCCTCACCCCATCCTCAGCCTGCTCCCAGGCCACCTCCCTCCAGAATCCACCCTGCCTGCCAGGTGGTCATAGGGACCCTCGCCATACTGTCTGCTTGTGGCAGTGCCCTCCAGCCTGGGGGGTCTTCCAGAGCAGATCTCTGGCCAAGCGCAGTGGCTCATGACTGTAATCTCAGCACCTTCAGAGGCCAAGGCAGGTGGATCACCTGAGGTCAGGAGTTCGAGACCAGCCTTGCTAACATGGTGAAACCCCGTCTCTACTAAAAATATAAAAATTAGCCAGGTGTGGTGGTGGTGCATGCCTGTAGTCCCAGCTACTCAGGAGGCTGAGGCAGGAGAATCTCTTGGACCCGGGAGGTGGAGGTTGCAGTGAGCCGAAATGGTGCCACTGCACTCCAGCCTGGGCAACAGTGAGACTCTGTCTTAAAAAAAAAAAAGAAAAAGAAAAAGAGCGGAGCTCTGATATAAGCTGCCCTGGCACACAGTGAGCTTCCAGAAATGGTCCCTTGACCTCTAAATCCACCAAGACCCAGGGAACATGCCCTCTCTGAGCACTCTGACAATGATTTGCATTTCTCTAATGACCAGTGATGATGAGCTTTTCTTCACATGTTTGTTGGCCACATAAATGTCTTCTTTTGAGAAGTGTCTGTTCATATCCTCCGGCCACTTTTGGATGGGGTTGTTTTTTTCTTATAAATATGTTTAAGTTCCTTGTGGATTCTGGATATTAGCCCGATGGATAGATTGCAAAACTTTTCTCCCATTCTGTAAGTTGCCTGTTCACTCTGATGATAGTTTGTTTTGCTGTGCAGAAGCTCTTTAGTTTAATTAGATCCCATTTGTCAATTTTGGCTTTTGTTGCCATTGCTTTTGGTGTTTCAGTCATGAAGCCTTTGCCCATGCCTATGTCCTGAATGGTATTGCCTAGGTTTTCTTCTTGGGTTTTTATGGTTTTAGGTCTAACATTTAAGACTTTAATCAATCTTGAGTTAATTTTTGTATCAGGTGTAAGGAAGGGGCCCAGTTTCAGTTTTCTGCATATGGCTAGCCAGTTTTCCCAACACCATTTTAAATAGGGAATCCTTTCCCATTCTTGTTTTTTATTACAACTTTTTACCTAAACATTCAATAGTTTTCACTAACTTTTTGGCAATGAGGCAGCTGAGTCTAAGTAGGTTAAATCACTTATCTGAGGTCACACGGCAGGACAGTGCTTGTTCTGCAAAGTTAAGTGTGTTTCTTTTTGTGGACCATGAGAACATCTCCAACTGCCCTTTTTGACTTGGCCACCAGGGAACTCAGCGCCATGTTCTCAAATCCAGTTTAGTAACTGGCCTTCTGGCCTGTATATCTTTATTCTACCTTCCATCCTGCTCTGTTCTGCTTTTACCTCTTATTCTAGATTATCTTTCTTTAGTCCTAATTTTAAATTTATATCTATAATCTTGTTATATATATTTCTTGGCATCTACTGTAAGTGGGTAGTGAACGAATAAACAAAATGTGATGAATTTTAGAGGACTAAGAAGGGCCTAAGTCACACCAAGATTCATGCTGGATAATTTGTCATCGACCCAGACTGTGGTTCTGCACTCGCCAGTAACCAGTTTTTGTTTTTTTTTTTTTTTTTTGCTTTTTGCCAACCATACATTTTGCTTTCATGGTATGGAAGTGGTTTAAGCTTATGGCTTCCAGCCTGCAGTGGCTATGAGGGGTCAGTCTCTCATCAGGAGGGGTTGGCAGACTCTGTTCTCAAATAGGCAGCAAGGATGGAGGTGGGGCAGGAGCAATTTCACTACCTGCCTGGCGTCTGGGTCTTGCTTAGAGAAATAATTCCAGGCTCTGCTGCTTTCGACTCTGTCTCTCATGGTTCCACTGATTCCTGCAGAGATCTAGAGAGAAAATTTCCAGCGAGGAGTTTCTGGCTCGTTTGATTTTGAACACGTTTTGAGTATTCCACCCCTTACCCCCCCGCCCCCACTCACTACTCTGTAGTTTTTTTTTTTTTTTAAGAAAACAGTTTGAAAGCACAAATAAATAAATAATTGAAAACAGAGGGGCCATTTTTATTTACTTTGGTTGTTTCAGGATAGGGAAGGGAGCTTACACTTTTTTTGAACTCTTATTCTATGCTAGCCGATGTGCTGCATTCTTAGCTTAAAAGCCTGCTTCTCTTTGATTTCAGAATAACTTGGAAATAAATGATCAGACCCTGCATGCTCTGATCCTGGCTGTCTGCTCTAACTAAATCTCCTCTTCCTTGCTTCCTCCAGCGAGTTGTTCTCCCTTCACCTCCCAGCACAAGCTTTGCACGTGTTGCCGTCTGTCCTACAAAGGTCTGTCCCTTCCCAGTCTCCGTGTGACTCCCTCCTTCACACCCATGGTTCTCCACTGAAATGTCCTTTGAGCACGTCTCAGATGCCTCAGTCTAAAGTAGATGATTCTGGGCTGGGTGCAGTGGCTCACGCCTGTAATCCCAGCACTTTGGGAGGCTGAGGCAGGCAGATCACCTGACATCAGGAGTTCAAGACCAGCCTGGCCAACATAGTAAAACCCCGTGTCTACTAAAAATACAAAAATAAGCCAGGCATGGTGGCGGGTGCCTGTAATCCCAGCTACTTGGGAGGCTGAGGCAGGAGAATCGCTTGAACCTGGGAGGTGGAGGTTGCAGTGAGCTGAGATCACGCCACTGCACTCCAGCCTGGGTGACAGAGCAAAACTCTGTCTCAAAATAAATAAATAAATAAATAAATAAAGTAGATGATTCACAGAAACCTCTGTTCTTTTAGAGCACTCTTCAACACTTTTTATGCTTTTTATGTTTGATTTCTAATAAATATGTTTCTTTCACTATACCATAAGTATATTCCTTCTTCTAAGTTTCATTAAGGTAGAATCACGTATGTCTTATTTCCTGTTATATCCCTAAGTACCTAGCATGTAGTAGGCATTCAATAAAAATTGATTGAATGATTGAACACTCAATCCCATGATTTGAGTGTTTTTTTTGTTTTTGTTTGTTTGTTTGTTTTGAGACAAAGTCTTGCTCTATCACCCAGGCTGGAGTGCAGTGGTACTATCTTGGCTCACTGCAATCTCTGCATCCTGGGTTCAAGCGATTTTCTTGCCTCAGCCTCTCAAGAAGCTGAGACTAACTACAGGCATGTGCCACCATGCCCAGTGATTTGTTTTGCGTGTGTGTGTATTTTTAGCAGAGATGGGGTTTCACTGTGTTGGCCATGCTGGTCTTAAACTCCTGACCTCAGGCCATCCACCCTCCTTGGCCTCTGAAAGTGTTGGGAGTACAGGTGTGAGCCACCACGCCTGGCCTTTTGTAATTATTCTAACAGCTACTACTTATTAGGTGCTGACTATATGCCAGGCACTGTGCCAATTGATTTATTTATTTTCAGGGATTGGGTCTTGTTCTGTCACCATGGCTGGAGTTCAGTGGCACAATCATAGCTCGCTGAAGCTTCAAACTCCTGGGGTCAAGCAGTCCCCCTGCTTCAGCTTCCCAAGTAGCTGGGATTACAGAGATATACCATTACACTCAGCTAATTTTTAAAAATGGCTGATTTTTTTTTTCAGAGATGGAAAAAAAAACAAAAAACAAAAAACAGCTACTACTTATTAGGTGCTGACTGTATGCCAGGCACTGTGCTGATTTTTTTTTAATGTTTTTTATTTTTTTAGAGTTGGGGTCTAGTTCTGTCACCATGGCTGGAGTTCAGTGGCATGATCATAGCTCACTACAGCTTTGAACTCCTGGGCTTAAGCAATCTTCCTGTCTCAGCTTCCCAAGTAGCTGGGATTACAGGCATGGGCTATCACACCCAGCTAATTAAAAAGACATTTTATTGTATAGATAGGGGTCTGGCTATGTTGCCCAGGTTAGTCTCAAACTCCTGGCTTCAAGCGATTCTCCTGCCTCCACCTCCCAATGTGCTGGTGTTACAGGTGTGAGCCATGGCACCTGGCCCTGTGTTGATGTTTTACATACAGCATCTCATTTAATCCCCACCAGGATCCTGTGGGGATGGATTGGATTATCCCCCACTCCTTGGAAGAGCTTAAGGATACCCAACCAGTTGGTGATTGAGCTGGGATTTGAACTCAGGCATTCTAATGGCAAAGCTGTGCCCCTTCCACTCTACCATCGTGTTCCTCTCCAGGGGAGGTGTCCCTGCAGTGCTGTGACTTTGTCGTCGAACATGTGCTGAGGTACGTGAATCCTCTGGAGAAGAAGGGCAAAGGAACAGGCTTTCCAGGCAGGAAGCCCCTGCAGGCGAGGGAGGAAGGCTGCAAGGGACATGGTAGGAGGTATCTTGCTCCCCATAGCTGGGCTGGGAGGATGAGATGGCTGAGAGCCAGGAGCCGGGCTGGGGTTAGGCTCATATCAGCCTGCAGAGGGCTTTGGGGAACCCAGGCTTTGGGGCCAGACAAACATAGCTTCTCACCCACCTGATCATTTCCTCTCTGTTGTATCCTATGTTTCTGGGTCTCAGTTTCCTTATCTATGAAATGGGGATACCATGACCTGTTCTGCCTGCTTCATAGAGTGCTAAGGAGCAGATGACATAACGTGTGCAAAAGCAGCTGTTCTTATTTCTATCACTTATTTTCATTATCGCTATTCTCAAGCAGGCAGACTGTAATTTTTTACCTCTTTCTTTTTTTTCACCCTTGAGTTGTTTGGAAGTTATTTTTAAAAGTCTTTGAAGTGTCCTTTTCCGTATTTGGCAAAAGCAAAATGGAAATTGATAGCATTGTCACCGTCGGCATCCCCTCACTCCGGCCGCCTGGCTGGGGGACAGCTCTGGGAAAATGTGGAGATGTCTGTTGTGGGCGGCTGGTTTGTTATTGCGTGAACTTTTCTGGCGAGACCTGACCAGCTCCCTTTTAAGGCAATTTCTCGTGTTCTTGTTCCTCCTCTTTTCTTTTCCTGCCAATGTCAGGTCCTTTGTGCCATCTCCAGGCTCAGAAATCCGTACAGCCAGAGTCGGTCCCCAGTTTGGCCACTTCCAGCTGAAAAGCTTTCCCATGCCTTCCCTTTAACTTAGAATAGCATCCAAATCCTTCATTGTGACCAAGGCCCTGTGCAGTCTGCTCCTGTCACTTTCCTCTCCATTACTCAGCTCCAAAAGTGTCACCTCCCTTGACTCCTCCAATGCCCCACATGGTTTCCAGCCCCAGGGTCTTTGTGGGGTCTTTGCCAGGAATCCTGTTCCCCGTTTTTTTGTTATGGGTAGCTCTTTCTCATCTTTGACATCTCTGCTCCAGAGTCAACTTCACACATGGCTCTTCCCTAACCCACACTAAAAAATAAGCCTCCTTAAAGAAAAAAAAGAGGCTGGACGTGGTGGCTCATGCCTGTAATTCCAGTGCTTTGGGAGACTGAGGTAGGAGGATCACTTGAGATCGGGAGTTTGAGATCAGCCTGGGCAACACATTGAGACCCCATCTCTACAAAAAAAAAAAAAAAAAAAAATAGCGAGGCGTGGTGCTGTATACCCATAGTTCTAGCTACTCTGGTGGCTGAGGCAAGAGGATTGCTTGAGCCCAGGAGTTCAAGGCTGCAGTGAGCCGTGATTGCACCACTGAACACCAGACGCAGTGTCATGTACTTGTAGTCCCGGCTGCTTGGGAGGCTGAGGTGGGACCATCTCTTAAGCCTGGGAGTTTGAGGCTACAGTGAGCCCTGATCATCCCTGTGAATAGCCATTGCACTGCAGCCTGAGTTACACAGATACGTCTCTTAAAAAATAAATGAAAAGAAAAGCCTTTTAAATTCAGTGTCTTCGCATAGTTAGTCCAACCTTAAGGAGTGTTACCAGATACAAACAGGATGCCCAGTTACATTTTTTTTTTTTTTTTTTTTTTTTTTTGAGACAGAGTCTCACTCTATCCCCCAGGCTGGAGTGCAGTGGCATGATCTTGGCTCACTGCAACCTCTGCCTCCCAGGTTCAAGTGATGCTGATGCCTCAGCCTCCCGAGTAGCTGGAATTACAGACGTGCACCACCAGGCCTGGCTAATGTTTGTATTTTTAGTAGAGATGGGTTTTTGCCCTGTTGGCCAGGTTGGTCTCGAACTCCTGATCTCAGGTGATCTGCCCACCTTGGCCTCCCAAAGTGCTGGGGTGACAGGCGTGAGCCACCATGCCTGGCAAAACTTTGTAGCCCAGTTTGTTCTATTTTTTTTTTTTTTTTTTGAGACAGAGTCTCGCTCTGTCGCCCAGGCTGTAGTGCAGTGGCATGATCTTGGCTCACTGCAACTTCTGCCTCCCGGGTTCAAGTGATTTCCCTGCCTCAGCCTTCCAAGTAGCTGGGAATATAAGGGCATGCCATTGCACCCAAATTTGAACCTTAGATAAACATTGAATAATTTTCCAGTATTACATCAGATACATAACTTGTATTTAAAAAATCATTCCTTATTTCACTGGATTTAAAATTGAATTGGGTGTCGTATATTTTTACTTGTTAAGTCTGGCAACCCTACCCTCTAGAGAGAGGTGTTGAATGAATGAGTGTGAAGTCCTTAGCTTAGGGCCTGGCACTCAGTAGGTGCTAAGTAAATGTCACCTGTCAGCATCTTCCTCCTCCTCTTCTTCCTCCTCTAGTTGCTTCTCGGAGCTAAGGTCTCCCTGCTCCTTTTTTCCTCTATGGAAATGGATGAGAAAAGGTTTTCTAACAAGGGGCCATCACCTGGATTTTTAGAATAGCATAAAATATTCTCTGCTGCAGCTTCGGAATCCGACTGTGCTGGTGTTTGGCAGGAAAATGCAGTGAGTTATCACAGAGCGTTCCCTCCAGCACTGGGTCATGCAAATATTTATTGCGAGTGTTAAATAATAAATGGAGCAGCCTGCCCAATGGTAAATCTGTCATGTTTGGTTTCAGCCAGGAGTTGTGATGGCTCTGGAATCGCTGCCCGTTTCACCGCATCCACCTGCCCTCTAGAGGAGCAAGGCAAACAGCCGAGTTCTCTGGGGTGGCATCAGTGGGCTGGTGTGGAAGCCAGAGGGGCGGTGGGGGGAGTCAGCCAGGCATGGAAACTGGCAGGTAAGGCAGCCCTGTGGCCCAGGAACCTGAGCCGCAGCCACACCGAGCAGGCCTGGACCTTTGAGTCCCTCTGCCACCACAGTTCTCAGGGGACACGGTCTCATTGTCCACATCTGGATTTATCTTTCCGTATTTCCCTCATTGCTCTTGTCAGCTTCACTCTGGCTGACTGGCTGGAGCTGGCAAGCTTCTGAAAGTGGAGTCAACCTTCCGACCCTTTTTCTAGGCTGAGTGGTGGGTGGAGGAATGAGACCGTGTGTTGGACTCAAACTCGATGCAATAACGTTTCCCAGCCCCTGTGGTGTGCTGGGGCTCCTAGCACACATCCTCTTGTTTAACCTCAGCATTGCAACCTGAAACACAGACACGTGGGTTCTTGAGCCAGATGCCTCTGAGTTGGAATCCTATCTCTGCACTTAACAAGCGGTATGACCTTGAGTGAGCCACAGTTTTTCAGAGCCCCTGTTTCCTGATCTGTAAGGTGGGGGAGATGGTGGCACTCACCTTATGGGGCTGTTATGTATTAGTCCATTGAGGTGTCTTAGCCTGTTTTGCGTTGCCATAAAGGAATACTTGAGGGTGAGTAATTTATAAGAAAAGAGGTTTGTTTAGCTCACGTTCTGCAGACTGTACAAGAAGCATGATGCCAGCATCTGCTTCTGGTGAGACCTCAGGAAGCTTTTCTTCACTGTGGAGGGTGAAAGGGGAGCAGGTGTGTCACATGGTGAGAAGAGGGGTGAGAGAGAGACAGGAAGGGTGCCAAACACTTTTTTAACAATCAGACCCCGCCGTGAACTAAAAGAGTGAGAACTCACTCATTACTCAGGGAGGGCACCAAGCTATTCATGAGGGATCTGCTCCCACCACCCAAATACCTCTCGCCAAGCCCCGCCTCCAACATTGGGGATCACATTTCAACATGAGGTTTGGAGGGGACACACATCCAAACTATCTTATGAGGTAGTAGGATAATGTAGGTGAAGACTTGCACAGTGCCCGGGACCTGGGGACAAATGCTAGCTCTAATGGTTAATAATGGTCCAGAGAAGAAAATAACTGCTCAGATGCACAGACATGACTGCACTAGTCAACCATGCAGGTATGAGTCCCCATCCTAGAGTATGGGGTGCATAGAGCTCTAGCCCACCATTATTGAGTTGTAGAACTAAGGCTCCAATCTGGGGCTTTATGGATCCCTAAATCATGCCCTTTCACCTTCCCCATATCTGCTTTATTCCTCATAGGGTGGCAGGGAGGGTGGAGCTCATGCCTGGCCTTAATCATCATGGCCTAAGTTTGGTAGTGTCCAAACAGTGGTGAGGGGTGAAGTTGTAGGGTTGCCAGGTAGGTTGTGTTTGGCTTCAAATCACTGAGAACCCAACTGGAAGTGGTGTAGATGCTAATGGAAGTTATTGTTTCTCTGCAGGGGGCCATGTGGTTAATTGATTCAGTGGCTCCATTGTGGAATGGTGGGCCTTGTTTCCTTCCACTTTTCCACTATTCCATTCTTAGCAGCTGGCTCTTGCCCTCAGCCACACCCCATCATGGTCTCAAGATAATATGGACAAGAGAGAAGAGAGCCTTCTTCCACTTGTTCCCCGCTTGTTTTTGAGACAGGGTCTCGCTCTGTCACCCAGACTGGAGTGTAGTGGTGCAATCATAGCTCGCTGCAGCCTTGAACTTCTAGGCTCAAGTGATCCTCCTTCAGTTTCCTGAGTAGCTGGGACTATAGGTGCATGCTACCATACCCAGCTAACTTCAGAGTTTTTTCTAGAGATGAGGTCTCCCTCTGTTGCCCAGGCTGGTCTCGAACTCTGGGCCTCAAGTGATCCTCTTGCCTCAACCTCCCAAAGCACTAGGGTTACAGATGTGAGCCACCACGCCCAGCCCATCTGTCCCTTTTTATGATCATTTTCTCATTTTCTCAGAAGCTGCCAGCTGACTTCTCCTTCATCGCATTGGTCAGAAATGTATCACGTGCCCTTTTCTAAGCCAGTTGCTGGCAAGGGAATGGAATTCCCAAGGTTGCCTTAGACCAGTGCTTCTTAAAGTGAGATCCCCAGGCCAGCAGCATCTGCCATGTCTAGGCAATTTTAAGAACTGCAAATTCTCAGACCCCAGTTCAGACCTACTAAATCAGAAACTCTGGGGTGGGATCTATGTTTTTATTTATTTATTTACTAGAATCGGGGTCTCTGTTGCCCAGGCAGGAGTACAGTGACACTATCATAGCGCATTGCAGCCTCCAACTCCTGGGCTCGAGCGATCCTCCTGCCTCAGCCTCCCATGTAGCCAGGACTACAGGTGTGCACCCCCACACCCAGCTATTTTTTTTATTTTTTGTAGAGACAGGGTCTTGCTATGTTGTCCAGTCTGGTCTCAAACTCTTGGCTTAAACAATGCTCTGGTCTCAAACTCTCGGCCTCCCAAAGTGTTAGAATTACAGGCGTGAGCCACTGCGCCCGGCCCATAGTCTATGTTTAAACGTGCCCTCCGGGGGTTTCTGATGGACACTGAGTTTGAGAACCTCTGGCTTCCTAAGATCTTTTCCTCTGAAGAGCCAGAGAATAAATATTTCAGGCTTGTGGCCACACAGTTTCTGTAGCAACCACTCTGTTCTGCTGTTGCAGTGTGAAAGCAGCTATAGATGATAATAAATAAGTGAATGGGTTTATTTATGGAGACTGAGATTTGAATTTCATCTAATTTTTATGTGTTAGGAGATATTATTACACTTTTGATCTTTTCTAACTACTTAAAAATGTAAAAGCCATTTCCAGCTCCTGAGCCGTACAAAAGCAGGTGGTGGGCCGGGTTTAGGCAATGGCTTGCCAGCCCTCCATCAGACTGCTCAAGATTCATCCCCTGAAACTGGGGAGAGCCTAATAGTCTTAAAACACAGAGAGCCCCAGATTCTTTAGAAAATTGGAATTTGGGCTGGGTGTGGTGGCTCACATCTGTAATCCCAGCACTTTGGGAGGCTGAGGTGGGAGGATGGCTTGAGCCCAGGAATTTGAGGCCAGCCTGGGCAACATAATGAGACCCCATCTTTACAAAAAATAAAAATAATAGTCGGACGTGGTGGCATGTACCTGTAGTCCCAGCTACTCAGGAGGCTGAGGCAGGAGGATCTCTTGAGCCCAGGAGTTTGAGGCTGCAGTGAGCTATGATCACGCCACTGATTGCAGCCTGGGTGACAGAGCAAGACACTGTCTCTGTCTAAAAAAAAAAAAATGAAATTGGGCCAGGCGCGGTGGCTCATGTCTCTAATCCCAGCACTTTGGGAGGCCAAAGTGGGTGGATCACCTGAAGTCAGGAGTTCAAGACCAGCCTGGCCAACATGGCGAAACCCCATCTCTACTAAAAATACAAAAATTAGCCGGACGTGCTGGTGGGTGCCTATAATCCCAGCTGCTCGGGAGGCTGAGGCAGGAGAATGGCTTGAACCTGGGAGGCAGAGGTTGCAGTGAGCCGAGATCGTGCCACTGCACTCCAGCCTGGGCAACAGAGCGAGACTCTGTCTCAAAAATAATTTTTTAAAAAAAGGAATTTGATGTATAAGGAAGAAGGGTCAAATTGCTGCTGTTTGTTCACCTGCAGCACTTACCATGATAGGCCTGTGTCCAGGTCAGCTAAGAGTCAACTTCCTTAATGTCTCGCTTTTAAAGTCTCGATTTAGTTTTATTCCTTGGGTAGATTTTTTTCCCATAAGTTATTGGGGTACAAGTGGTATTTGGTTACATGAGTAAGTTCTTTAGTGGTGATTTGTGAGATATTGGTGCACCCATCATCTGAACACTATACGCTGCCCCATATTTGTAGCCTTTTGTCCCTCGACCCCCTTCCACTCTTTCCCCCAAGTCCCCAAAGTCCATTGTATCATTCTTATGACTTAGGCAGATTGTTCATCTTCCCACTGAAAGGCAGTCTTCATTGTCCTGAAAAGCCTGGTTATAAGCTGTTCTCTTACCCGAAACACCAGCTCAAATTCCCAGGTGGCATCAGAGCATAGGAAGGTAACAGGACTGGTTTCAAGCTTCCTGCACGTGATTTGTGACTCTTTAAGAACAAAAATTCTAAATGCCATTTGTAGATGGAGCAACAGAATATCAAAAAGGTTAGAGGTGTGATGTCTAGAGCTACCTCTTAGCTTCCCAATTCTGTAATTTTATGCCACTTCCCTGGGTAACACACTCCCTGGAAGGCCAGCAATCCTACGGCCTGGCCAAGGGCCTCCCTCTTTCCTTAGTAAAAGTTAATAATAATAATACTGATAAAGGGCCGTGCGTGGTGGCTTACACCTGTAATTCCAGCACTTTGGGAGGCCGAGGCGGGAAGATCACCTGAGGTCAGGAGTTCGAGACCAGCCTGGCCAACATGGAGAAACCCCATCTCTACTAAAAATGCAAAAATTAGCTGGGCGTGGTGGCACATGCCTGTACTCCCAGCTACTCAAGAGGCTGAGGCAGGAGAATTGCTTGAACCTGGGAGGTGGAGGTTGCAGTGAGCCAAGATTGCACCACTGCACTCCAGCCTGGGTGACAGAGCAAGACCCTGTTTCAAAAAAAAAAAAAGCAAAAAGGGCTGGGCGTGGTGGCTCATGCCTGTAATCCCAGCACTTTGGGAGGCCGAGGCGGGCGGATCACAAGGTCAGGAGTTTGAGACCAGCCTGGCCAATATGGTGAAACCCTGTCTCTACTAAAAATACAAAAATTAGCCGGGCGTGGTGGCAGGCGCCTGTACTCCCAGCTACTTGGGAGGCTGAGGCAGGAGAATTGCTTGAACCTGGGAGGCGGAGGTTGCAGTGAGCCGAGAGTGCACCACTGTACTCCAGCCTGGGTGACAGAGCGAGACTCCGTCAAAAAAAAAAAAAAAAATACTGATAATGACAGTGCTAACAGCAATAATAGATAGCTAACAAGTGTGGAGTGCTTATCCATCTTCTAGTCCCCACCTTCCTTTAGCCCAGGAGTTCGAGGCTGCAGTGAGCTATGATTGTGGCACTGTACTCTAGCCTGGGCAACAGAGCAAGGTCCTGTCTCTAAAAAAATAAAAGCATAAAAATAAAATAACCAAACTTTTTATTAACCTTCTACCCCCAGAGGGCCCCCTCCCTCAAATAGCTCATTAACTAGACCTGGTTTGCATGCCCACCCCCTCTAGGGACTGAGCCCAACTTCTGAGATAGGGACCCTTGAAAGAACTGGGGTTCTGTTAGCAAGAAGAATTAAGACAAGAGGATGACTTTTGGTGTTGACAGTGTCTGCCCCTGTTTTTTGTTTGTTTGTTTGTTTGTTTGTTTTTTTGAGATGGTGTCTCGCTCTGTCACCCAGGCTGGAGTGCAGTGGCGTGATCTCAGCTCACTGCAACCTCTGCCTCCTGAGTTCAAGCGATTCTCCTGCCTCAGCCTCCCGGGTAGCTGGGATTACAGGCGTGTGGCACCACACCTGGCTGATTTTTGTATTTTTAGTAGAGACGGGATTTCACCATGTTGGCCAGGCTGGTCTCGAACTCCTGACCTCAGGTGATCCACCCGCCTTGGCCTCCTAAAGTGCTGGGATTACACGTGTGAGCCACCGTGCCCAGCCTGCCACAGTTCTTTACACATTTGATCTTTAGCTCACCCAACAACCTTGTAAAAATATGATTGCTACCCATAATTTTCAAATAATCTACGTATGCGTAAGAGAGAGAAGTGATTCCCCAAAGATCACGCAGCTAATAAAGTGGAAGGGAGAACCCAGGCCCACCTGGCTCCGAAGCTCACACTCTTTCCACTAAGCTGCCTGCTTCTTTCATTGGAATAGAGGTTCTCAATCGTGAATGGTAGGAGTGGGGTGGGGTGAATTTTGACCCTCGGGTGAAATTTGAAAATGCTTGGAGACATTTTTGGTTGTCATAATTGGGAGAAAGGGTGTGATATTGGAATCTAGTGGATAGAGGCCATGGATGCTGCTAAAGTTTTTATAGTGGGCCGGGCGTGGTGGCTCATGCCCATAATCCCAATATTTTGGGAGGCCGAGGTGGGTGGATCACCTGAGGTCAGGAGTTCGAGACCACCCTGGCCAACACGGTGAAACCGCGTTTCTACTAAAAATACAAAAATTAGCCAGGCGTGGTGGTTGGTGCCTGTAATCTCAGCTACTCGGGAGGCTGAGGCAGGAAAATCACTTGAACCCGGGAGACAGAGGTTGCAGTGAGCTGAGATAGCGCCACCGCACTCCAGCCTGGGCGACAGAGCGAGACTCTGTCTCAAAAAAAAAAAAAAATATAGTACATAGGACAGCCCCACAACAAAGAATTATTCAGCCCACAATGGTGCCAAAGTTGAGAAACCCTATATACTAAAACAAGCTCTTTGAGGGCAGGGATCATACTACCTTGACTACCTTGTTCAATTCTCAATCCTTTATACCCTGCCTGTCCTGGCACATTGTAAGTGCTCAGTAAGTAATGACTGAGCAACTGAGCAGATGTGCTACACCAGATTCCAGAGTCAAATAATCATAGACTTGGAGAAGTGCAGGGTTATGGGGGCTGCAGTATAACACTCTACCTCACAGTGGGTGCATCCAAGCCACCAGCTTCCCCTGGTTCCAGAAGGCCTGTTAGAGACATGTCTTGCATTTGCACTTGGTCCAGCACAGCCCATGCCTCCCACTTGTGAAAAGAGGCTGACTGATGGGTGGTGATCAGGGTTGGCTGCCTTTTCATTTTTGAGATCATGGGAACAGAGGGACCGGATGAAGAAACACTTCTCTGAATCTACCCATTTCTAAATGGATGAATCACCAAGGAGGAAACTCAAAGATTAATTTCTCACTGCCCTTCTTCCCTTGCTCTGCTCTTTGTAGACAGTTACTGGTGCTCCAGGGCAAAAGATAATGAAAGTTCTTCCTTGCATCAAACTATTTTCTTCAGGAGATAGAGCCAGCATTAGCCAAAGAGACGGTCTGGGCTCTGGGAGCTTGGCTTGGAGGCCCAGGACATTCAAACAGTCCTTCCCGGAGAACAGGCTGGACCTGCAGTGATGAATAATTATTTTGCAATTGACAGTTCAATACCCACCAGATTCTTCATTGTATGTTTCTGTATCGTGTCAAGTTATGAGAAAACGCAATATTCTTTAACAGCTAGGCAAGAACAATGGTTTTTGCTCATTTGTTTGTTTGTTTCCACCCCCCAGAGGTCAGTTTTTGCAGTAAGAAGAGTCTCATTCTTTTTTTATTTTATTTTATTTGTATTTTGAGACAGTCTCTCTCTGTCATCCAGGCTGGCTGGACTGCAGCGCCTGCAACCTCCATCTCTCAGGTTCAAGGGATTGTCCTGCCTCAAACTTCTGAGTAGCTGGGACTACAGGCATGCCTACGCCCTGCTAATTTATTGTATTTTTAGTAGAGACAAGGTTTCAACATGTTGTCCAGGCTGGTCTTGAGCTCCTGACCTCAAGTGATCCACCCGCCTCACCCTCCCAAAGTGCTGGGATTACTGCCATGGGCCACTGTGCTCGTGACTCTTCAAGAAGAGTCTTGAATTTACTCTGAATGTGTCCTTGGTTGGCACAACCACGAGCAGAATATGCATCCTATCTATCCTCACAAACACTGGGTTTATTATCCCCAATTTGCCTTTGAGGAAATGGAGGCTCAGAGAGGTTAAATAACTTGCTCAAGGTCACGTGGGCAATGAGTGGTGGAGTGGAGATTTGAACTCAGGACTGTCTGTGACCCTCCCAGCCCTGCAGTCTCCAAGTCTCCAGTACTATCTGGCTCTAAAATCCGTACTATTCCCTCTGCTATGTTTTTGTGGCGACTTGAACTCTTCCTTCAAAGTCTTGGCTGCTGCTATGAACTGAACGTGTACCTTGTGAAGTTGTATTTTTTCCATATTGTAATTCCATCCTTCAAAAGTAAGTCTTGTTACTGCAAGACTGTGTTTCACCCGTCCTGGGGTAGGAGTGGCTAACAGGTTGGCTTGGGTCCCACAGTGAAATCTGTTCTGAGCCAGACCCTCCCGAGGGGACAGGGGACGAGCAGGAGAGATTGTAGCTGAAGTAGACATCTCCTGGTTCCCAGAAATGTGGAAGAACCTTGTGCAAAAACAGCTTCCTGCAGAGCCGCAAGATGGGATCCAGGTTATTGGTATTTGAGCACTGTGTTTAGGGGCTATGAGAGAAACCTAACATGAACCGGCTGAAGGAAAAAAGTGGAGGATTACATGAAAATGAATTCAGGGAGCTTGCAGGTGTACTGAAGGGAAGTGTGAGCTCTAAAAGCTGGAAAAGGTCTAAACGTGTAGATTACAAAAATATCTGCAGCTTAGCATGGCAATGACGGATAAAGCGTCAGATATGTGTTTGTCATCCAGTTGTCTATGGCTGTGCAACAAACCACCCAACATGTAGTAGCTTAAAACATGACAGTCATTTATTTTGCTCACACATCCACAATTTGGGCAGGATGTTGAGGGGACAGTTCGTTCCTGCTCCACATGGCATCAGCTGGAGCTCACCAGGGGGCTGCAGAATTCATTTCTGAGATGGCTCCTCTAGCGGTTGCTAAGTTGGCGCTTTCTGGTTGGCTGGGAGCTCAGCTAGGCTGTGGTCCAGGGGACTTGGTTCCTTTGTTTGGGCCTCTCCTCTCTTCAGCTACTTGGGCTTCCTCATCGTATGGTGGCTGGGCTCTAAGACAAGGAGAACCCAGTGGAAGCTCTGTCACATTTTATGATGTAGCCTTGGATGTCGCATAACGTTTCTTCTATATTCTATTGGTCAAGCAATCGCACAGTCTGGATTCAACGGTAGATGACATAGGTTCTACCTTTTGATGAATCAAAAAATTCTGGGATCATGGTTTGAAACTACCAAAAAGTAGCGGCTGTATTGTTTGTTATTATTACAAAGTAGGCCGTGTGCAGTGGCTCACACCTGTAATTCTAGCACTTTGGGAGGCCAGCCTGGGCAACATAATGAGACCCGGTCTCTAAAAAAAAAAAAAAAAAAAAAAAAAAGGAGAGAGATTAGCCAAGTGTGGTGGTGTGTGCCTGTAGTCCCAGCTACTTGGGAGGCTGAGGTGGGAGGATCACTTAAGCCCAGGAGATCGAGGTGGCAGTGAACTATGATCACACTAGGCTGGGAGACAGAGTGAGACCTTATCTCAAAAAAAAGTTAATGATAATTACTACAAAGCAAGGCCAATAGTACAAAAACAGTGATCTTTCACAGTCTATGATATAGCAGGACAGTGCTAGATGTTTCCCATCTGCTATGCCATTTATTCCTCCCCAAAACCTGGGAAGCTCAGGGAGGCATATAAACTGCCTAAACAGGGCCGTGAAGCTAGGAAGTGCTAAAGCCAGGATTTAAACCCAGAAGTCAAATGCTAAAGACTCTGCTAGACTGACTACCTGATTCTAGAGGCTGGGGTGTGTGCTAGGTATCTGAACGATTGGAGAGAAGCAGACAGAAATGTGTGAATGTGAGTGTGCAAATTTGCACAAGGCCAGTAGCACCTAAGGGAGCCCATGTGGGAGATGGGAGGGTCCCTGCCATCTGCTTCCTTCTCCTCATCCATTTCACCCTGGTCTTCTCAGCCCTCCCCTCTCCTCCATGCCCCTCCTTGGTCTCTTCCCATGGACCCTGTGAGAGCCCCTCTCCAGCTGTTTATGGGAGATGTTGAAGGAGAAGCAAGGGCTCCTCACGACCCTGTCTCTGCCTCTTTCCTGTGCTCTGGGACATCTGAACTGTCACATAGTCAGCTGGCAGGGAAGCCCAATTTTCCTTTGGCTCTCCAAAGGGCCTGATTCATGGGTTAGGCTGAGATCAGATAGAGCCCTTGGGTCAGGTGGGTGGGATTCTGGCTCCCAGGGCTGCTGGCAGGTGCCATCTGGTTGTTCTGGAGGGAGTTGAGGGGAATGGTTCCCACCTGGACAGTGTCTGAGGGGTGAGCTGGTGAAGCACTGGGCGGGTGGGGAGCTGGCAGGGACGGGACAGATACAGAGAGTGCCAGGAGGTGTGGACAGCTGCTCGCAGGGCTCTTGGTGACTTTGCCAGGAAACTGTGTCTAGACAGCCTCTGTCTGATCTCTCTTCTCATCCCACATCATCTCCCCGGTTCCTCCCTGGCCTGAGGCCGTCCTGCCAGGTTGGTGCAGGGATATGTTGAACAAAGTTCAGATGTGCTGTGTGCACAGTACCAGGCTCAGCATAGTCTGAGAATGAAAAGCAGCTTCTGAAACTCAGCCCTGCCTCAGGGGCAGGGAGCTGCTGGTCTTGCCAGGAGGCTTAATGCCTGGATCAAATATGAGGGGGCTGGCTGGGCATGATGGCTCACACTCGTGATCCCAGCACTTTGGGAGGCTGAGGTGGTGGGAGGATTGCTTGGGGTCAGGAGTTCGAGATCAGCCTGGGCAACATGGTGAGACTCTGTCTCTACAAAAAAACTAAAATAAAAAAATAGTCGGATGTGGTAGTGCACATCTGTGGTCCTAGCTACTGGGGAGGCTGAGATAGGAGGATCACTTGAGCCCAGGAGTTCAAAGCTGCAGTGAGCTGTGATTGTACCATTGCACTCCAGCCTGAATGACAGAGGCAGACCCTGCCTCCAAAAAAAAAAAAAGACAAATATTTGGGGGCTTCCCCAGATAGACGTCTGGTGCTATGGTCTGAATGTCATTGTTCCCCTTGAATTCATATGTTGGAACTTAATACCCAATGTGATAGTAGTAAGAGGGGACCCTTAGGAAGTGACTAATTCATGAGGAATCCACCTTCATGAATGGGATTAGTGCCCCCTTTTATAAAAGGGGCTTGAGCAAGCGCCTTTGCCTCTTTTGCCATATAAGGACACGGCAACAAGGTACCACCTATGATGCAGAGTGAGCCCTCCTCACCAGGCACTGAATCTGCAGGTGCCTTGATCTGGGACATCCCAGCCTCCAGAACTGTGAGCAACGCACTTCTGTCATTTATAAATTACCCAGTCTAAGGTATTTTGTGATAATAGCCCCAAAATATGACACCCAGAGAGTGTGGGCCCTCTAGAGGTCATTTCTTCCAGGCCCCTGCCAGATGCTGAGCTCAGCCTGCAACCCCAGGCTGTTGAAAATCCGAGGAGGCTGAGGTCAGGGAGGGAGGCAGGAGGCCAGCAGGCCATCAGGGAAGGGACCCCAGTGGGCTCTTGAGGAATGAGGAAGGGGCATTAAAGGGCCCAGGTAGAGGCCTGGAGTGGTGGTGGTGGCCGTGGGGGTGTGAGAAGCTGGTTTGGGTGAAGATGCAGGGAGACAAACAGAGACCCATTGGGCACGGACAGGTGCTCACATGTTTCCTTGCACCTGGCATGCTTCCCCTGGTGAACACTGCCAATGTCCACCCACCTGTTCTTCACCCAGGTGGGCCTCGGGTCTGCAGGGACACAGCAAAGGAATGAAAGCCAGGGGCAGGGGTTTAAATCCTGGCTCTGTCTCTTTTCCTCCGTGTGACCTGGGGCAAGGAAATGGTCTTTATAGCTCATGCGGTCTTTATGCAGTTGTCTTAGGTGATGGGGGATGAGAAAGTGCCTTGTAATCAATAAAGACAGATTTATTACGATAATACAAATTTATTGATTTGTAATCAGTAAAGGCAGATTAACCATACCATTTTTTTTTTTAAATAGGGTCTTGCTGTGTCTCCCAGGCTGGAGTGTAGTGTCATGATCGTAGCTCACTGCAGCCTCGAACTCCTGGCTCAAACTATCCTTCCACCTCAGTCTCCCGAGTAGCTGGAACTACAGGCGCACACCATCATGCTCAGCTAATTTTTATTTTTATAGAGATGGGGATCTCACTATGTTGCCCAGGCTGGTCTTGAACTCCTGGCCTCCAGCAATCCTCCCATCCCAGCCTCGCAAAGTGCTGGGTTTACAGGCGTGAGCCACTGCACCCAGACAGAATCAACCGTATCTTTTGAGCATCTGTTCTGTGCCTGGCACCAGGACCAATTGCTGTGGGTCAACAGAACAGTTTCAGGTGGGTGGTGGATGGAATGGCTGGTGGGCTCAGAGCTAGAGCTTAGGCCCCTCAGCTACTCCTCTGGGCAGGAGTGAGCAGTGCTCACCCTACCCCAGGCTTAGGCCACTTGCGATGTGGGGTTCCTCTTCGGGCACATCTACTGACCCTGGAACTATTGAAGCTATTTTGTGAGTGCTGTGCCCTCTCTGCTGAGACACAATCCCTGTCTGCCACACCCCCAACACATCATTTGCCCCTGGAGTTTAACTGTACTTTGGTGAAGAGTGGCAGAGGCCAGAGGGACCCCAGGGGTGGACATGTGATTAGCTTGATGGGCAACCCCAGGACAGAGAACAGGGATGGGGAAGGAGATGCTTCCCACTGAAGACCCCATGCACTCTGCAGCTTACAATGCTCCTAAAACCCCAATGCTGGTTTATAAACTCTCTTGTCCAATTGCTGGGGGTCAACTGGGAGCCTTGGTGTGTCCCACCCCTCCCCCAGGCTGTCCCGTTGTTAGGCGAGAATGAGGCTTATTTCTGCTCATCCACCAAGTTTGTCTGTTTCCAACTGTCCATTTTTTTCCATCCATCTATCTGCCCGTCCATCCATCTTTCCATCACCTCCTGTCCTTAGGCTTAGGGGATTTCCTCTTGGGAGGGGAACTCTTTTTGCAGAAAAGGACGCTGAGCCCCAAAAGCTGAGTATTTCCCAGCATAAATGTCTGAGCCCTGTTCCCTGGGCAGGTCCTGTATTGGGGATTCAGAGTTGAATTGGAGTTGTCTCAGCCTGTGAAGGAAAGAGACCTATCAACAGGGGGTGACAAGGAGAGTTTGTAGCCAGGTGTGGTGGTGCACACCTGTAGTTCTAGCTAATTGGGAAGCTGAGCAGGGAGGATTGCTTGAGCCCAGGAGTTTGAGACCAGCCTGGGCAACATAGTGAGATGGCCCCATTTCTACAAACATTGTGAAAACTAGCCACGCATGGTGACACATGCCTGTAGTTCGAGCTAATCGGTAGTCTGAGGCAGGAGGATCTTTGGAGCCTAGGGTTTCGAGGCTGCAGTGAGCTAGGATTGTGCCACTGCCTTACAGCCTGGGAGACAGAGTTGCAAGACTCCCAGTTGCGATCATTTAAAAACTGGGAGACTGACATAGCATCTGGCTTTTAGCTTCTCTTAATTTATTAGAAGCTCTGACAGCATTGGGCCCATGTTCCCACGTGGAGACAGTTGGTGGATACAAGATAGGCAGCTACCCCCGTCTTTCAATGAGGCATGCACTCCAATTCACCACAGACCCCACCATTCCCTACTGCTTCTCATTCCTCCCTTTCTTCACTTATGTTATCTGCCTGGACTCTCTGCAAGGATTTTCATTTGTGGTTCCTGTTTCAGGAACAGGCCATGGTGTGGCCTTTCCTGACCTTGTCAAGCCTCAGGTTCCCAGAGGGGACCAAAATAGATACTGCACATTGTAGAGGGATCAGCTGAGGTAATATAGGTGAAAGCTCTCAGGAAGCCTAAAGCTCTCTGCAATCACAAAGCTACACAAATAGAAATTATTATCATCATTATTTATAACCATTGAAAGGACAGGAGACAAAGAAGTCAGTCCCCACCGTACCCCTCCCAACCCCAAGCCCACAAGGGTATTTGTGCCATTATGATGGCATTGATCATTGACATTGACAGTTATTATTAAACGATGTCAACTTCCAAATGCAAAATGTTTACCAGATGAACTCAAATGGGCTGGCAGAAATAATGTCCAGGTGCCGTCTACCTTCAACTCCTCTTCCCATGAATTTCTGTGGCATTTCTCCAGGGCCCAGAGTCAATAAGGGAGAGAGAAATGACTCCTCTGGTTTACTGAAGGTGTGACTTGTGATTCCAGCCAATGTCCTGTTGGTTCCCATTGTCTCCCCTGCCACTACCCATGTGGAGTCTTAGATCTTGGAGACTGTACTATGTGGGCCAACTCTCTCCTCAAGACACATTTATTAAAAGGTGGGTGAAGTATCTTCTCCTTTGCCTGTGTCTTTTGCCCAAAGGGAAGTTGATTGACGACAATGCTCCTTTTTCAAGCTCTGATTGCCGGCGGAGGTTGGATAAAGCATCTTGCTGTGATCTCTAAGTGGGCTGTGCCTTGAAAACATGATTTTTGTGTCTAATCATGTGTGTCTGTGGCTCCCTTGCCACTCCTGATTGCCGTGTCACTGTGACTTTATTTAACATACTTTCAGGACCCACTGTATCTGTCCCGCCTCTCTCTGGATCTTCCCAACTCTGTGGTTGCCTCCCTGCTATATTCATGGCCCCTAGGGGATGCCACGTGTGTTCGGTTCTTCATGCTGTTCCTCTGTCTAAAATGTTCTCTTCTGTGGCAGCTTCCTGCAAACATCTTCTTCTCTTTCCAGACTTTCTTTGATGATTAAGAAGCTTGCACGACCTAAGTCTTATAATTCTGAAAATCATCTCCTAGTTTCCAGGACCCCAGATGCACCAGCATGGCTTAGGGAAAGGAAAATGACCTTTGGAGAGAGAATCTTTGGAGGGATTTGAGCCTCGGCATTGCCACTTACTAGCTACACCATTTGGGACATGTTACAAGCCCCCCTGAACCTCAGTTTCCTCATCTGTGAAATGGGCATAATGATAGGCCCTAAATCTTGTGGTGAGGCTTACATGTGCCAATGGATATAAAGTATACATCATCACAATGCCTGGCACATAATGAAAGATTAATAGGGGCAATTAATATAGTGTTTGTGATAGACCCAAAGATAGACTGACCCGAGGCCGACCCTGGACACCTTTTCAACTGAAATCCCACCACCTTATGTTTTGACTTCTAGGTTTCCTTTCCCTAAAAGAGAAGTTTGGAGAAGGATCTAGAATTGTTGGTTAATCAAGGGCTTGCTACCTTCTAATCACTTCATGTTGATATTAGGATAAAGAGCAAACATCCTTCATGGGGTTTACAAGGCCCTCCATGGCCAGGACCGTGTTTATGTCCCCAGCCTCATAGTCCACTTCTCCTCTCTCCCTGGGTGGTGACACATTGCACAGTACCCTTGCACATGCTCTTTTGCCCACTTAATGCCTGCTCATTCTTCAAAGCCCAGGCACTTCCTCTGGAAGCCTTCCGCAACTCCCTGTGTTCCTTCTCGACAGAGTGTGACCGCCCATTGGGTCCACCTTGCCCGCTGCCTAGACAGAGCTGATTTATCAAGACAGGGGGATTGGAATACAGAGAGAGTAATTCATGCAGAGGGGCATTGTGGGAGACTGGAGTTTGATTATCACTCAAATCAGTCTCCACAAGCATTTGGGGAGCAGAGTTTTTAAGAACAGCTTGGTAGGGGTGGTTAGTTGAAGCCAGTGAGCCAGGAGTGCAGATTGGTCAGGGAAGAAATCATAGGGAGTCGAAGCTGTCCTCTTGCGCTGAGTCAGTTCCTGGGTTGGGGCCACAAGATCAGATGAGCCAGTTGATCGATCTGGGTGGTGCCACCTGACCCGTCACGTGCAGGGTCTGCAAATTATCTCAAGCACTGATCTTAGGAACAGTTTAGGGAGGGTCAGAATCTTGTAACCTCCAGCCGCCTGACTCCTAAACCATAGTTTCTAATCTTGTGGCTCATTTTAGTCCTAACAAAGGCAATCTAGTCCCCAGGCAAGAAGGAGGTCTGCTTTGGGAAAGGGCTGTTATCATCTTTGCTTTAAACTACAAACTATGAACCATGAACTCAGTTTCTCCCAAAGTTAGGTCAGCCTACACCCAAGAATGAATAAGGACAGCTTGGAGGTTAGAAGCAAGATGGAATTGATCAAGTTAAATCTCTTTCACTGTCTCAGTCATAATTTTGCTAAGGCAGTTTCAAGAGCACTTACTCTAGTTTCTGGTTTTACATTCATGACTGTGTTTTATTTGGTTCATGTCTAATTCCTCCACTGGACCGAGAGCTCCATGATGGCAGGAACCAAGTCCGTGGGTGGCCCCCTGTGGTGTCCCCAGCATTGAACACAGCAGCACGTCCCTCATGGGTGTTCACTACATAATAATTTGTTGGATGCACAGGTGGATACATGACTTACTACTTTAAGAATGTGTGCATTTGAGATGTTTACTTGGAACAACGAAGGCTTATTCTTGAAGAAACAACAAGTGATAAGTCACCAGAAGACAGAAAACAGCATGTTGGAGCTGGGTGGCTCCTGGTGCCTGGGAAATGAACCCTTGGGGTGGTTCTTGGAAGGAAGTGAGCAGGTTTAGTCCCATCTGATGAACTCTTTCCTCTCCATGGTTAAGTTGGCTTCTAACTCAGGGACTAAGTTTTATTTGAGACTGAGGCCACTGCTGGTGGGTTGGTTGGTCTCCTCCACCTTTCCCTTCACCCGTAAATGGGACATTAGTGAATGGGTGGCATAACCCACCTGAGGGTTCTTATAGGGTTTTAGGAGAACAGCCCTCATCTCCCAAGTTCCTGAACTGCCATCAAGATAACTGTGTGTGTGTGTGTGTGTGTTTGTGTGTTTAATCGAGACAGAGTCTCGCTCTGTTGCTCAGGCTGGAGTGCAGTGGCATGATCTTGGCTCACTGCAACCTCCGCCACTCAGGTTCAAGCAATTCTCATCTCTCAGCCTCCTGAGTAGCTGGGATTACAGGCACGTGCCACCACACCTAGCTAATTTTTTTTTTAAGATAGACTGATTTTTGTATTTTTAATAGAGATGGGGTTTCACCATGTTGGCCAGGCTGGTCTCGAACTCCTGACCTCAGGTGATCTGCTCACCTTGGCATCCCAAAGTTCTGGGATTACAAGTGTGAGCCACCACACCTGGCTATCATCAAGATAACTCTTTAAATAAGCCAAACATTTATTGGCCAAAAGCAATGCACATGTTCTGTCAACAAGCAAATTTGGGGAAACACAAAGAGAATAGAAACAGAAAATAAATATTAACCACCCGGATGTAATCATATTAGCATTTTGGGGCATATGTTTCTGATTCTTTTTAAAAAATATTTATGTCTTTCTGTGTTTTCTATTTATATATGTATTGCAACCTGATTTTTTTCATTGAGCAAATGTAAAATGAACAGAAAATGTCCAGGAAAGCAAATGTCTCCCTTCTGCTGGCCTGGTGTATTACACAGGGTTCTGTGGAGGGACAGAACTAATAGGATAAATGTATATACGAAGGGGAGTTTATTCAGGGGTACTGACTCACACGGTCACAAGGTGAAGTCCCACAATAGGCCATCTGCAAGCTGAGGAGCAAGGAAACCAGTCTGAGTCCCAAAACCTCAAAAGTAGGGAAGCCAGCAGTGCAGCGTTCATTCTGTGGCCAAAGGCTTGAGAGCCCCTGGCAAACCACTGGTGTAAGTCCAAGAGTCCAAAAGCTGAAGAACTTGGAGTCCAATGTTCCAGGGCAGGAAGCATACAGCACAGGAGAAAGATGAAGGCCAGAAGACTCAGTAAGTCTGTTCTTTCCAACTTCTGCCTGCTTTATTCTAGCCATGCTGGCAGCTGATTAGATGGTACCCACCCAGATTGAGGGTGGGTCTGCCTCTCCCAGTCCACTGACTCAAGTGTAAATCTCCTTTAGCAACATCCTCACAGACGCACCCAGGATCAATACTTTGCCCCCTTCGATCCAATCAAGTTGACACTCAATATTAACCATCACACCTGGTATGACAGTACTAGCCTTGTCCCAAGAGGCAGGAGCCCCAGAACTGCAGAGCATCTGATAGAGATGTGAATAGTGGCTTTGGAAGGAATGACTGTGGCCAGGTAAGGTGACAGGTAATGGCGAAAACAGAGGCATGAAATCGTGGGGCAGTTCAGGTGAGCCATTCCCCAATATTCACCAAGAGATAATAGGGAAGGGAGAGAGAGTAGGGGTCTCAAAAGCAGGGTCACGGTGCTGATAATCTGAAAGGTAGGGTCTCAGAGCCATTGAATGTTTCATTTATTCACTCAACGAGAATTTCTTGAGTGGCTAATATGTGCCAGGTGCTGCAGCAGCCAGTGGGGATTGTAGGTCACAAAAACATGACTTCATTCAAAGCATGCACCATTATTTACATATGTAAAGTGCCTTGGCATGAAATAGAAGCCCAATAATCTCTTGCAACCATAGAGATGAGCATTAATGACTTTTCCAGAATTGCATCTATGGTTGGTGATTATTCCTATGTGGCCAAATGACCAGAAGGAGCAGAAAGCTACATTTTTGTGGCATCTTGTATACATAGAAATGATTGCTGTAAATATGTGTTGACTCCCTTTAATACATATGCAACTAATTGAAAGCGGGCAGTTTACGGTGTAGTATCAGTGAAACGTGCTCTGTTGCCATTAAGTATAGCTTTGTTACATTATTGAGACAACTTGCCTTGGGGGCACTGGGGTAAGTTATTGCTTCTTCAACCATATTTTGGTCCTTAGAGGACCAACCGCTAGTCCAGCTTTTATTACCTGCTGTTTCTTTAATCACAACAGGGAAATGTTGGCTAGGCATCGGACGGGAGACTTTTCTTATAAGATGAAATGAGCCAAGATTGGAAGACGACATTTTTATTTGCCTTACAAATGGACTGGATACAGTGTGAATGGCTTGGTGAATGAGATGAAGGGCTCTGCTGAGCAGCAATCCCAAACCATTCACCCTTATGCAGAGGCAGAGAGCCTCCTAAATGAATTGGGTTCTGTTGGAGTTAGCTGCTCTTATTTTCCTGTGCTGAGGAGTCTGGAGTGGGAGGGTATCCATTTCCCAACCAATAATAATTAGCTTTGATTCCAGGCATCATGTGCATTTTTAATCCGTTAGGCATAGGGTCTTCCCGGGACCTATACGTTTTTCAAGATCTACAGAAATGTTTGAGACCAAAAACAAACAAACAAACAAACAAACAAACAAAAAACACCACACAAACACACATACACACACACACATTGGCTTAAAAATGCAAAAGAGAAAATGACAAAATTGAAATTAATGAATATCTTAAAAATTACCTACGCTGGGCATGGTGGCTCACGACTGTAATCCCAGCACTTTGGGAGGCTGAGGCAGGCAGATCACCTGAGGTCAGGAGTTCGAGACCAGGCTGACCAACATGGTGAAACCCTGTCTCTACTAAAAATATGAAAATGAGCTTGGTATGGTGGTGCATGCCTGTAAACCTGTAATCCCAGGTACTCAGGAGGCTGAGACAGGAGAATTGCTTGAACCTGGGAGGTGGAGGTGGCAGTGAGCCGAGATCATGCCATTGCACTCCAGCCTGGGCAACAAGAGTGAAACTCCTTCTAAAAAAAAAAAAAAAAATTACCTACAAATTGTGCTGCTTTGTCAATATCACTAATTGTTAAATTTAACATTCCTAGGGATTTCATTACATCTGAAAAATGTGGATAGTTAGAATTTCCCACTTTCTAGACCTCCTGAATATGCACAATTACCAAGAAATCACATCCAATCTAAATTTAAATAAATCACCTATTGCCAGATAATTTCAGGAGCAGAATTTTAAAATTTTCTCAAAAAATGTTTAGAGCCAAAAATCCATTTAATGTAGGATACAGGCAAATTTGTAGCATGTTTCAAATGCTTTCTGGTGAGACCTCCAAAAGTGAATGTGTCTAGGGTATATAAAATTCTTAAAGGGGCTTTGTCATCCTTCTTCCCCACTCACCCATAAAATAGATGAGATAAAAGCTATTTCTAAGGGTGGCTCTTTTGTGAAGTATTTGAGCTTTACGGTAGATGAGACTATTGTTTAGTAAATATTTGTTCCCTCTCCTATTACATCATTGATGTTCAGCTAGGCTATGTGACTTCCTTTTCCCTGAGAGATGGCATAGTGTACTTCCCTACCCTTCAACTGTTGAGTTGAGCTTAACTTTCTTTGGCTAATGGGATGTGAGAGGACATAACCCTTATGAAAGGCTTGAAATGCTCTCGTGTGATGAGTTTGCCTTCTTGTGCTTTTGCCTTCTCTATGAGAAAAACATGACTTAGTTGGTCACTGGTCCTAGAAAAATGAGATGCATCTAGAGCAGAGCCGCCCCAGCATGTCTTCAGACCTGCAACCTCCAGCAGAGCTGCTCCAGCCAAGCTATATGGGCATGGCAGAGAAATAAGCTCTTTCTGGGATTTGGGGTTGTTTGTCTTACAGCATCTAGCTGACTGCTGCAAGTTCCTGCACACAGTGGTGCTTACTCATGTTTCTGAAGGAATAGCAGTTTGTTTATTTCAACCACATTGCTAGTTATTTGTTATTTTCCACCATATTGCTAGGGTTATAACTCTGAAAACAAGTTCAGCTACTTCTCACATGTTCCTTCTGCCTGAAAACTTTGTCTCCTTGCTCTTCACGTGGATGGCTTTCTCTCTTTGGCTCTGGATTTAAATATTACTCCCTTGGGATGACCTCTTCTGATACATTATTTAAATACCATCTGTGGTGGAGCCTACTATTTACATATTGAAACATCTACATTCCCTTTTCTTCTCTGAAATAACACCTTATTTTCGGGGGAAAAATTTCAAACTGAGACAATAGTTGGAAGAACAGTACAATTAAGTTTTCCCTCTCCTCGAATCATTTCCCAATACTTTACTGTGTGTTTCTTGCAATAAGGACCTTCTCCTATATGCCCATAATACAACCATTAAAGTCAGGAAATTATTATAACATTGATACATTACCACCATCTAATCCAAAGGCCCCATTCAGGTTTCACTGACCATCCCAATAATGTCCTTTATAATCTTGCAGGGCAAGATTATCATAGCATTTAATTGTCACGTCTTATTCCGGCAGATTCATCAGTCTCTTTGTTACTTTCTCGACCTTGATACTTTTGAAGATACAGGCCATTTATGTTGTATAAGAGCTCTCAATTGGGGATTGTCTGATGCTTTTTCGTGACTAGAACTAGGTCGTGCACCAATTCTAGGCTTCAACACCCCATGCCAGATCTCTGTCCTATCCCCTCTCATTGATGCTTACTTTGGTTGGTGCCCTTTAGTGACTTTAACACTGAATATTTGAGGAAGAATAAAAGATGAAACACTGATTTTAATTAGGGTGACATAGACTCTGCTTTAAACAACAACAACAAAACCAAAACCCTCTAATTTCCCAGTCTCTCATGAGGCTACCCAAGCCATGTGATTTAGCTTTGGCCAAGGAATGCAAAGAGAAGAGTAATATGGACATTTTCTCAGAATGAGGACCACATATTTCTTTGCCCATTTTTCCTGTTGTTGGTCTTGAATTAGGATGCAATGGCTAGATCTCTGGATGCCATATTTGACCATGAAGTCAAGTCCAAATGAGAAACGATCATTCCCAAATTAAGGCCGTGACTTAAGGAGGTATATAAAAGAGAAGGTGGCAATTGGTTGAATGTAGGGTGTGATGGAGAAGGACTCAAAGATGTTGTTCAGGCTCTTGGTTTGGGTAACTGGGTGAATGGCGATGATATTCATGGAGAAAGTGAGCTAAAAATTAGGAGTAAAATTATTTGGAAGGCAAGTTAAATTCGTTTTTGGAAAGAAATGAATCTGAGATATACAATGGACATCTGATGGTGTTCTCTAAGGTAACGGGAATTGGAAACAGATTTCAATATTGAGGTGGTAGAAGAAGGGGTCAAATCATCAAATCATGATTCTGTTACTTGGAAGGAAGGCTGAAGGGGAGACCTTGAGCATCTTGTTTCTTCTTAGTTCCAGTTATGCTTTATGCTTTTGAGCACTAATCACAACAGATACTGTGGAGGCTGAGCTCCAGCCATTGTCAAGCCTGTGCTCCAGCACTGGTATAAATTACTGGAGTCCTCATTCTAGAGGAAAGCACGGGGACGAATCTTTTCTAGGGCTCTTTACCTTGTCTACTCTTCCTGCAGGGAGTAGTTCAGACTTTCTTCTTCTACCTCCTCTTCTTCTTTTTTTCTTTATAGAGACAAGATCTCAGTCTGTCACCCATACTGGAGTGTAGTGGCACAATTATAACTCACTGCAGCCTCAAGTTCCTGAGCTCAGGTGATCCTCCTGCCTTAGCCTTCTGAGTAGCTTGGACTGCAGGGTTCATGCCACCATGCCTGGCTTATTTATTTATTTATTTAGTAGAAACAGGGTCTCACTATGTTGCCTAGTCTGGTCTAGAACTTCTGTCCTCAATTCATCCTCCTGCCTCAGCCTCCCAAAGTGCTGGGATTACAGGTGTGAGCCACTACACCCAGCCTAGGTTTTTCTTTCTTTTCAATGAATCATAACCCTTCTCTCTTCATTTCTAGTGAACATGCATCACCTTATCCTATCACAAACCAACTCTGTGACAAATGTACTATTACTATGCCCATTTTACAAATGGAAAAACTGAGACTTAAAGAATTTAAATTGGCTGGGCACAGTGACTCACACCTATAATCCCAGCTCTTTTGGAGGCCAAGATGGGAGGATTGCTTGAGGTCAGGAGTTCGAGACAAGCCGAGGCAAGAAAGCAAGACCCTGTCTCCACAAAAATTAAATAAATTAGCCAGGTGTGGTGGTGCACACCTGTAGTCCCAGCTACTCCACAGGCTGAGGCAGGAGGATAGCTTAAGCCCAGGAGTTCAAGGCTGCAGTGAACTATGATCATGCCCACTGTACTCTAGCCTGGGCAACAGAGCAAGACCCTGTTTCTAAAAATTAAACAAAATACCAAGCAACAACACCAACAAAACAACACCACCACAAAACAAAGTTAAGTATCCTGGGGTTATACTGGAATCCAAGTAATCTGGTTTAAGAGCTTAACCTCCTAACCACCATGCTATACTGCCTTGTGGCAACTCATGCCTTGTGAATCTTTACTCCTGGTAGTGTTTCACAGTTGACAGAGAGCTTTTGCATTCTTGATCTCATTTGGTCCTCCCAACAGCCCTGTGGGGCAGGTAGGAAAGACCTTGTTATTAGACATGAGGGTCCTAAGAACCAGAAAGCTAATGGACATGCCGAAGGTGGCCCAGCCAATGAATAGCAGAGTTAGATAAGAATTGTGATCTTCAGGCCGGGCACGGTGGCTCACACCTATAATCCCAGCACTTTGGGAGGCCAAGGAGGGTGGATCACTTGATGTCAGGAGTTCAAGACCTGACCTCAAGTCTGGCCAACATGGTGAAATTCTGTTTCTACTAAAAAATACAAAAATTAGCCAGGTGTGGTGGCGCACACCTGTTATCCCAGCTTCTTGGGAGGCTGAGGTAGGAGAATCGTTTGAACCTGGGAGGCGGAGGTTGCAGTAAGCCGAGATTGCGCCACTGCACTCCAGCCTGGGACACAGAGCAAGACTGTCTCAAAAAAAAAAAAAAATTGTGATCTTCAGCAGCCTTATAGAGCACTTCTTCTACTGTATAATCCTCGCTTTCCTCATTTACATCTGTGAAAAAGATATTCCTTTTGTTCAGATGCTCTTAGGTGCTCTGAAGCAAGCAATAGCCCAAGCTGGCATTTTGAGAGTCATTTCATGGATGGAAAGCGGAGGCTCAATGGCTAAGGGAATTAGCCTTGGTTCTCCAGTGTGTCTGCAGTCTTCATGGCATTGGTGCTGCTGATCCACAGTCATGCCAGAGGTTGGGTCCGCAGTGAACCGCTTCACAGCTGGCTGGTTGGGGGAAAAGAGAGGTCTAATGATAGAAACCTTTCCCAAAGCAAAGGATGTAAGCCCACACCGAGAATTATTAGAAAGAATAATATTCTCCCACACTGAGAATTATTAGAAAGAAAGAAAGAAAAACTAGAAAGAAGGACAAAGGCATTCCAGCATGCTTCCTGTGACAGATTGAGCCAGTCTTTGTAACCTCAGATTCACAAGGACATTGCAAAGAATTTCCTGTTGCGCTCACCAAAATTGGCTGGCCCTTGTGCCAGAGTCCCACTGACATCCAGAAAACTATTGCCCATCTTCTCTGGGCTGTGCAAGGATTAGTGTCATAATAGATCATCACAGCCAAATGTTATTATACAAAGCAGAAAGCTGCAAGAAATGGATCTTCATTCATTGAATTTGCATGTTTGGTGGGGACTGCTTCAGACTTCCTTTATCTCGTGATCAGTCGTGTGTGTTGATCCTCTTTGCAAGTTGTTGTGAGAACTGGGTGCAGCAAAAGCTGCCACTTCAAGAGACCAAAGGGATGAAAAAGTGCATCAATTTGCATAAAGAACTCAGATAATTTCTAGGTAGAAAGCAGGTCAGAGAGGCTCTAGACCTAGGACTCTCATGTTGGATTGCTTAGTTTCAAATCGTGCTTATGTCACTTACATGCATGCAATCTGGATAAGACATTTAATATCTCCCCAAGCCTCAGTGTTCTCATCTGTAAAATTAGATGATGTGGTGATGATGAAAGAACATATATAGGCTGGATGCAGTGGCTCATGCCTGTAATCCCGGCATTTTAGGAGGATGGGGTGGGCGGGGCACTTGGGGTCAGGAGTTGAGAACCAGTCCGGCCAACATGGTGAAACCTTGCCTCTAAAGAAAATACAAAAATGAGCCAGGCCTGGTTGTGGGCACCTGTAGTCCCAGCTACTTGGGAGGCTGAGACAGGAGAATTGCTTGAACCCGGGAGACGGAGGTTGCAGTGAGCCAAGATCATACCACTGCACTGCAGCCTGGACAATAGAGCAAGACTCTGTCTCAAGAAAACCCCCAAAAAACAAAAAAAACAAAAATAATATAAATAAAACATATATATTATATAATATATAAAAAACATATATAATATAATATATAAAACATATATTATTTAATATATTCTGTAATATCTATTTTAATAACATATATTGTATATTATATAACTTGTTATATAACACGTTATATAATATATAATTTGTTATATAACACGTTATATAATATATAATTTGTTATATAACACGTTATATAATATATAATTTGTTATATATGTTATATAACATATAAACCATGTATTATATATAATATATGTTTTATATAATATATAATAATTATAATTTATATAATATATGACATTATATATTATATATAACTTATACATTTATGTATGATAAAATATATGGTATATGAAATATACATAATTATATATTATATGATATAATTATATAATATATCATATATGTATTATGTATATTTCATATACATTATATTTTATTATATAAACATAAGTATATATTATACTATGTAATAGCATAATATATAATTATACAATGTATAATTATATATTATATGTAACAGTATAATATACAATATACAATGTATAATTATATATTATAATATGTATGACATACATATCTAACATATATTATAACATGTATGTTATATATAACACATATAGCATCTAGATACCATGTATAGCATGTGTACATGCATATATATTTATGTTATTCAACATGGGTCCAGGAATGGAGTAAGAGATCAACAAATACAGTCATTAAAATCAGTGATTCCTCATTCTTCTCCCAGCTCCTTCTTTATGAGATTTTGAAATCCATATGGATGGATAAAAATATCCCCAAATGGTGTCTAATGTTGCAGGGAAGGAAAATGAAACTCTGGAAATAAAATTAGTTCAAGGAGAAGGAGCATCTCCGCTGTTGACCCGGCTTAACACTAGACTAAGAATAGATTGCAATGGCCCCAACCTCAGGTATGCCGGATAAGTCCCTGAAGGCCCTAGAGGGGAACCTGAGAAGGGTTTGAATGTTTGCATGTGTGTTCGACAAGCTGGTACCTGGTAGCTGAGATGTAGAGGAGAATCATTGTGCCCTATGTAGAGACTGGACTATGTGGACTTTTTCATAGCTGTAGACAAAGACACGCTGACAGTACCAGACTGGTTTTCAACCTAATGGCAGCCTCGGGGACAAGGGAAGGTGAAAATGGGGCTGCCTATGAATGGATCCGACTCCTCAGGTTTCCACCAGCCTGAAGTTTGGAAGTGATCTTTGGATTAACTGAGTCGGCAGAGTGTTGGACCACGAGAAGGCAGATGTGGAGTGAGATACTGGACTTCTTGGCTCCTGTGAGCAAAGAGGATGGGCATGAGATTAAATGGAAAAGTAAGAGACGTGACAGTTTCCCAGGTTAATAACATGAGTAATGCCAGTTACATGCATGGGAGCTCATTTAACAACTCTTCAGGGTTGTCTTACTACCCAAACCCTTTATGATGCTGAGCACGCACTGCAGACACTGATTCCTGCCTGCCCCTCCACTCTGTTTCCTGGTTACCTTCTGCCTGATTCATTTTGATCTAGACACACTGGCTTCCATTCTTTTCCATGAACAAGCCAAGCTCCTTCCCACCTCTGGGCCTTTGCACATGCAGTTTCCTCCACCTGGAATGCTGCTCCCAGATCTTTTTACAACACATTTCCTCTCATCTCTTGAACCTCACCTTACACGTTACCCTTTCAGAAAGATTTTCCCGTTCATGTCCTCTCCGCTACATTATTCTCCCTCCCATCACCCTCTCTAACATCATAGTCCTCACCATTCCTGAAATGATCTTTGTTACTTACTGGGTGGCATGTTTAGAGGCTGCTTTCCCCACTGGCTCTGTGACAGTGACTTTGTCATGGTAACTCAACATTCTGTTTCCTGTGGCCTGAAGATTGCCGGGTATATACTAAGTGCTCCATGAATATTTGTTGGAAGATTCAATGAATCATATCTTACCAATGCAATATTGGAAGCCTAGAGAAATGAAATAACGTTTTCACAATTGCACAGAGTAACAGATGCTTTCAGTGCTTCCCTTGTATCTTCTAACCCTTTACCTCTTAAGCATCCACTGACCCATCCAAATGTAGTTGCATTCTCTTTCTGAGGACTTTTTCTTCTTCTTTTCTTTTTTTTTTTTTTGAGATGGAGTCTCACTCTGTCGCCCAGGCTGAAGTGCAGTGGCGTGATCTCAGCTCACAGCAATCTCCGCCTCCCAGGTTCAAGCAATTCTCCTGCCTCAGCCTCCTGAGTAGCTGGAATTACAGGCATGCACCACCATGCCCAGCTATTTTTTTTTTTTTTAGTAGATGTGGGGCTTTGCCATGTTGGCCAGGCTGTCTCGAACTCCTGACCTCAGGTGATCCACCTGTCTTGGCCTCCCAAAGTGCTGGGATTACAGGCGTGAGCCACCATGCCTGGCCCTCTTTCTGAGGTCTTTTTCTGGTTGTACTGTCTTTGCCCACCCATATGATGGCTTGGAAGTCTTGGAGGAATCAACACCTGCCCTGGGAGCATCCCTCCACCAGGAACTGATGAGAGTTGGTGTATGTGGATAAGTACCCCATCTCCCTCACCCCTTAGGTCAGATAACTATGAAGCAAGAGCTGGTATGTGCATCTTTCCCCAAGTCCTTGTTCAGGGACAAGGTAGTGTGAAATCAGCCATGGTGGGAGGATTTACACCATGGATATGGGCAGACACTACAAATCTGGGCTTTTAATATTTTTCTGCAGTGTTGGTTGTTAAACATCTACCAGCACATTGCTAGAGATGTTCTACAGTGTATCCTAGAGTTTTCCAGCAAGTTTAAGCTCCAGTTATTGTCCCAAGTGGTAACTTGTTTTATAATATGCCCTTTACTGGCTGCCTCCCTGACCTATTTCATTTCCTGTGTCATGTTTCATTTACCTCCCACATAGATGACTTACTCTTGGAGTCTTGTCTCAGGGTCTGATTCTTGGGAAACCCCAATGAAGGCATACAACTAGTATGCGATAAAACCAGCATTTAAACCTAGGTAGGTCTGACTCCAAATCCACGTGTATTTTACTAATACTCCACTGCCTCTTGTGTCTGACCAGTTCATTGCCAATCCACTGTGACAGGAGTCCTTTAAGGAGTGAGACAAATGCATTATATTGATGAAAGTAGCTTGCAATTAAGAAGTTAGCTTTCTAGGCCAGGCACAGGGGCTCAAGCCTATAATCCCACCATGATTGGGAGGCCGGGGCAGGAGGATCACTTGAGGTCAGGAGTTCAAGACCAGCCTGGTCAACATGGTGAAACCCCATCTCTACTAAAATTATAAAAATTAGCTGGGCATGGTGATGCACACCTGTAATCTCAGCTACTTGAGAGGCTGAGGCAGGAGCATCACTTGAATTCAGGAGGCAGAGGTTGCAGTGAGCCGGGATCACACCACTGCACTCCAGCCTGGGTGATAGAGTGAGACTCCATCGCAAAAAAAAAAAAAAAAAAAAAAAAAGAAGTTACGTTTCTTATGATAAGGGATGGGTTAACTAGATAAAACATGTGGAAATCTAATTTAGTTAGTAAATTATTTTTTATTTCAAAAACACTTTTAAAACATAGACATGTTTTCCATAAAACATGTAGGCACCAAGACAGATTTGATTGCTCTCTTGTGAATGATCAGCATCAGGCTTCCATTTCATGCTTGTTATAATTTACTGTTTATAGTTCCTAACTCTCTGCTTACACGCTGGTTTGAATATTCAAGGGTCTCACCAAGTGGTGAGGCACTGGACGCAATGATGATGTTGGGTGCAAATGAATAGGGCTTCAGCTGGAAAGGGGCAAGGGGCAGACTGGAAAGAGCTTAGGCTTTAGACCTCTGTACTGGTCAGGACACTTTGGTTCACAAGGGAGAGAAACTCAGTGCAAGCTAGCCTAGGCAGAAAAGAAAAAAGAACTTAATGCCTGGGGAAATTGGAAGGTTGAAGGATGTGGCATTAGCTTCAGGTATGGCTCGATCAAGGATTACTCGCTAATAAAGCCTCTCTCCTTCACTAGAATAGAAGCTCTGTAAAGACAGGCACCTTGTCTGCCCTATTCATAGCTGCATCCTCCATCATATAGAATAATGCCTGGCACACAGTGATAATAAAAATTATAGAGCATGTCATATGGGCATGCCACTGTTCTTAGTTTATCCACTTAACCCAATGAGGTAGGCAATTATTAATTATAATCCCCATTTTTCTGGATGGAGAAACCAAGGCACTGAGAAGTCATTTAGCTGATAAGCAGGGTAACTGGGATTTGAACCTAGGACCTCTTGCTCCAGAGTCTGTGCTCATAACCATGCTGCCATATTAACTCAGTAAGTAGTTGTTGATTGAGTGAATGAATAACTGACTAATGATGAAACTTGCCAGACACAGAGTATTCAGTAACTAGGAGTGCTGACATTTATTTGAGTGGCCTCTGTTTTCTGTGTCCCATTAGCTTTGGGTGCTGGTGTCTTCATCTGCAGGATTCCATATATTTAGACCAGATCAATGGAGTGCTGGAGGGTCAGGATGAGTCGTGTTCAAGAAAATAAGGTTGGAGTTATTTCTAGATTTTTTTTTTTTTTTTGAGACAGAGTCTCGCTCTGTCACCCAGGCTGGAGTGCAATGGTGTGATCTCGGCTCACTGCAACCTCTGCCTCCCAGGTTCAAGTGATTCTCATGCCTCAGCCTCCCAAGTAGCTGGGATTACAGGTACCCACCACCATGCTTGGCTAATTTTTGTATTTTTAGTAGAGATGGGGTTTCTCCATGTTGACCAGGCTGGTGTCGAACTCCTGACCTCAAGTGATCCACTGGCCTTGGCCTCCCAATGTGCTGGGATTACAGGTGTGAGACACCACACCCAGCCTGAAATTTTGTTTTAAGTTCCTGAGATCCAGGGGTTGTTTGTTACTGCAGCATAGTCTAACCCATCCTGTGTAGAAGCCCTTACTTACTTAGGATGTGTCATTGAGTTCAGAGAGAGGCAGTAGAGGAAAGGGCCCAGACTTTAAAATCAGAGAGATGAAATTCCAACTCTCCACTCACTAGCTGTGTGACCTTGGGTAAGTTCCTTAACCTCTCTGAGCCTCACTCTGCATTCTCACTAGTGAAATTACAACTGTAATTGCTACTCCATGAAATTGCTTTGACTACTAAAATAGGAAACCCTGTCAAGGGTATAACATAGTAGGTGTTGATGAATGTTGGATATTACTTTTGCTATTATGTAGCAAAGCATAGATTACTTTGGCTATTTTGAAAAAACCTGTTGCTATCAATTAAGGATAGAGTGGCTAAATTAAGTAAATTCTGTAAGCAAACAAGGATGGGTCTTTAATTCTCCTCCACTTTCGATTTATGGCTGAAGATTTGACAGTTATCTGAAGTCTGACTAGCTTGAAAACCAAGACATCTGTGATTAGACTTACCTTTTGTTCTTCCCATTAGTGTAATTCATTGCTTTAGGACATCTCTGCTAACCCACTCGCCCAATATCCATCTAGCTTGGAGCCTTTATGGCCCTCATAAGGACCCGGCTTCCCCCTTGGTCTTTAAAATTAGACAACAGATGTTCATAATCGAACCTGTCTTGGTTCCAGAAAGTCTGAGATGTTCAGAAATAATCAGAACGTCTCTATAAATATCATAAAGGATATATCATTTTGGCAGAACCAGATCCAGTTTTTGTGGGGACTGAAGCTTATATAATATGGGGATCTCTGTTTAAGAAAAAGAATACAAAATTATGAATTTAAAATTAGGCACAAAAGAGAATGTTATTTTGGAATGAGAAATTAAGTATAATATTCCTGTAGCTGCCTGGACATGGTAGCTCATGCCTGTAATCCCAGCTTTTTGAGACGCCAAGGTAGGAGGATTTCTTGAGCCCAGGAGTTCAAGACCAGCCTAAGCAACATGGCAAGACCCCCATCTCTACAAAAAAAAAAATTCAAAAAATTAGCCAGGTGTGGTGGTGTGTGCCTGTAGTCCCAGCTACTCAGGAGGCCGAGGTGGGAGGATCGCTTGAGCCAGGGAGTTAGAGGCTGCAGTGAGCGATGATCTTGCCACCACACTCCAGCCTCCAGCCTGGGGGTAACAGAGTGAGATGTTGTCTCAAAAAAATAAAAAGAGAAAATTCTGGAGCCTTTAGCTATTTCCATTCCATTCTTCTGGGATCTGTGTAGGCAATTAATCAGAAATGTGAACATAGAGGTGCTTCATTATTGAAACCCAGCTTTCCCTTCTCACCTAAAGCCTTCCCCAAGTCCAGCATTTAAAGAGACAGGTACAAGGAAAAGACCCTGAAGCCCAAGCCTCATTAGCTTCAGGTAAATTCACCTCCGCTCTCTGGAGAAGCAGACAACAGAGGCCTCTTGTGAATATTGAGGAGAAGGTTGTATGTGTGTTCATGTGCGTGAGATCCAAGTGGAGAGCATGGGAACCTAGCTCAATTTTCCCCTGAGGTGAGCTTGAAGCTTTGGGTATCTTCCTCTCAGAGAACGTAAACCCATTTTTCCAACATTGTTGTAAAATATTCTGTTCCCACCTTTCCCACAATCAGCTTGCCTGACCCCACCACAGGGTGTGTCATCTTGTGCTTCTGGCACACACACACACACACACACACACACACACACACTCTCAGAGCCCTGCCATCTGAAGGCAGCCAGCTCCAGAAAGGCCAACCCTTAGCTGTAACTCAGCATAGCACTGTTCATGATCTTTGGTTTCCATTTCTAGGCTGGTTTCCTTTTTTGTTTTGTTTTTTCCTTTGCCAAGACTGTAGTTGAAATAGGATAAAGGATTTATTTTTCCATAACAAGGTAGGAGAAAGGGTGCTAGGTTACAAGCACCCTGTCAATATCAGAGTTGGAAGCTTCTTCCTACCATCAGGTGTGTGTTGTGAAAGGAACGAGGGGTTCAGGCAAGTATTTCCCAGCGGGTGGGAAGGGGTCTTGATGGGATGGAAACTAGGAAAACAAACCAGATTCCCTGAGGGAAAATCAACTGTTCCTGAACTGTTATCAGTGTGGGAGTAGGGTTCACGGATTTCATATTCTAAACATGTTTGTGTGTGGTGTGTGCACACACACCTACTATGTGGCAGAGCCTGTCATAAGTGGTGATGGATTACTGTAGATATAGTTTGCTGGAGCTGCCATAACAAAGTACTACAGACTGGGTGGCTTAAATGACAGAGATTAATTTTCTCACAATTCTGGAGGCTGGAAGTCTGAGATCAGGGTGTCAGCAGGGTTGGTTCCTCCAAAGACCTCCTCTTGGCTTGCAGATGGTCGATTCTGGTGTGTCCTCAGATGGTCTTTCCTCTGTGCCTGTCCATCCCTGGTGTCTCTCTGTGTGTCCTAATCTCCTCTTCCTATAACAACATGAGTCTGATTGGATTAGAGCTCACCCTAAATGAGCTAAATAGGTTTAAACTTAATCACCTATTTAAAGCCCCTATCTCCAAATACAGTGATATTCTGAGGTGCTAGGGGGTTAGGGCTTCAACATATGATCCATATGGTTGAAGGGCTTCAAATTCATATATATATATATATATGTATATATATATATATATATATGTATGTATATATATATATGTATATATATATATATATGTATATATATATACATATATATATATATATATATATATATAGAGAGAGAGAGAGAGAGAGAGAGAGAGAGGGAGAGAGAGACAGTCTCGTTCTGTCGCCTAGGCTGGAGTGCAGTGGTGCGATCTTGGCTCACTGCCACTTCCACCTCCCAGGTTCAAGTGATTCTCCTATCCTGGCCTCCCAAGTAGCTGGGATGATAGGCATGCGTCACCACACCTGGCTAATTTTTGTATTTTTAGTAGAGATGGGGTTTCGCCATGTTGGCCAGGCTGGTCTCAAACTGCTGACCTAAGATGATCTGCCCACCTCGGCCTCCCAGAGTACTGGGATACAGGCATGAGCCACTGTGCCTGGCCTCAAATTCATATTTGAACATTTATTCAAATTTGAATTTTAGGGGGACATAATTCAGCCTGTAGCACTGTCAACCTAAAAGGAAGAAGCTGAGGCAAAATTAATATAAGTAAAGACTCTGTTTGGGCCAAGCTTGAGGACTGTAGCCAGGGAGCGTAGATTCAAGTTTCCCTGAATATACACTCCAATTAGCAGCAGTTACAAGTGGATTTATAAAGGCAAAAAAGGGGGACATGGAGTGGGCTGGTACACAGTTGGTTGTCAGGAATTCTCACTGGTTTTCAGAAATAACATTGACGAGTGATTGGCTATACATTGTTAAGCTATAAGGTGTGGGTTATAGCATCCAGTGGGGGCATTATTAGATTAATTTATAGCTACTTGTGGCAATGGCAAGCAGTTTTAAGAAATGAATACCGAGCTCAAAGGGGGTATGTAGGACATGATTGCTATCTCGTTCTATTGCCTCTCTGGGCCTAATAATTTAAAAGGCTTGTATTCCTCAGATGAAAGTTCTGTTCTTTTCTCAGCACCTTGAATGGCTGGAGAGAGCACCACCCCATCCTTGACCACGCTGAGTGCTGGCTGGACTTCAACTGGGCCAGTACTCCCTTTTCCCTTGTGGAAGGTCCCCTGATTAATGCTTACCTGAACGCCTGCTCTTCCTTCAGTCCCCAGTTCTCTGCATTCCCCAGCACTGGGAACAGAGACAGCATGTCTGTGTTATACAATAGGGAAGAGTATGGGCTCTGGCTTTAAACTTTGACTCTGCCCCCTTGTTAGCCCAGCGACTGTGAGCAAGTCATTTCACTTCACCCAACTTGTTTTCCTTTTTGTACATTGGAGGTTACTAAAAGCACCTTACCTGTCCAATTGTAGAGAGGATTAGGTGTATTAATGGGCATGGCACAGTAAACACTCACAAAATGCTAGCTACTATTAATTGTCAAGATTATGTTGGTTGCAAGGAGCAGAAACTCATATGGAAGTCATTTAGGCAATAAAAGGGGATAATTTATTGACTCTCATAACCAAATCCAGGAAGGTAGGAGAGCAGTTGAGTGGCAGGGGCAACTGGAAAGAGACCATTCCCCATGTCTGTCTGTCTGTCATATCTTTTTCATTTTTATATATATATATTTTTACCATGGTGGGTTTTTTTTGTTTCTTTTCTTTTTTTGGTTGTTTTTTCCATCCTTGGCTAGAACCATGGCTGCCAACAAGCTTCTCTGTTTCATAATGGGAGACCTTCTCATGTGGTTATGATGTGAAAAAGATCCCAGGGAAGGACTCTGATTGGTTCAGCTCGGGTCACATAGCCACCCACGTGGCCAGGTCAGGGGCTGGGGTGCTTAGGTGGGGCAGGGGGTTCTGGGTAGATAAAAATAATTAATGCCTTCTGCCTTATCTAAATGTTCTTTGTACTATGCCTGGCACTTGGTAGAAATTAAACAAATTCCCCTTTTTCCCTTTCTGTTTGACCCTCATGTCTACTTTTTATTACATAAAAGAGTAATCCAGAAAAGAAAGTCAGCTCATTGGAGACACTGGGTAGGGAGAAAAAGCTTTTTATAGAATATTAGGTAGGAGTAGTGGCTTAGGATGGTAAGAGCTCTGCACGAAAGGAAGACATTACGGTCTAAGGCCACCTGGGAGATCTGAGTCAAGCAGCTCTATCCCTTCCTGAGGACAAAAGAGATTTCAGGCAATGACTCATATTTGTTTGGAGAGCTAATTGACAAGACATATTAAGAGTTTTAGCAATTGTTCATGCTTTTTGATCCAACAAATTCACTTCTAGAGTGTCAAGAACTGTGCTGGTCTAAGATATTATCCTACATGGAGGCTAGCGAGTTTTATGGATGTGGGCAGAAGACATGAGACTCTGGATTGAGAGATAAAGGACTTTATTTTTCATGGTACAACAGGAAGCTTGAGCTTCATGTCTGCACCAGTTCCCTTTGACCCCCAAGTCCCTCAAGGGTGACACAGGTTGACATGGTTTGGCTGTGTCCCCACCCAAATCTCATCTTGAATTGTAGTTCCCACAATCCCCATGTGTCATGGAAGGGACCCAGTGGGAGGTAATTTAATCATGGGGGCAGTTATCTTCATGCTGTTCTTATGATAGTGAATGAGTTCTCACAAAATCTGATGGTTTTATAAGGGGCTTTTTCTTCTTTTGCTCATTCTTCCCCTTGCTGCCGCCATGTGAAGAAGGACATGTTTGCTTTCCCTTCTGCCATGATTGTAAGTTTCCCGAGGCCTCCCTGAGTCAATTAAATCTCTTTCCTTTATAAATTACTCAGTCTAGGGTATGTTTTTTGTTTGTTTGTTTTTTTGGTTTTTTTGAGACAGAGTTTCACTCTTGTCACCCAGGCTGGAGTGCAATGGCAGGATCTCAGCTCACCCCAACCTCTGCCTCACAGGTTCAAGCAATTGTCCTGCCTCAGCCTCCTGAGTAGCTGGGATTACAGCCATGTACCAACACACCCAGCTAATTTTGTATATTTAGTAGAGATGGGGTTTCTCCATGTTGGTCAGGCTGGTCTTGAACTCCTGACCTCAGGTGATCTGCCCACCTCAGCATCCCAAAGTGCTGAGATTACAGCCATGCCTAGCCTTTTTTTTTTCTTTTTTTGAGACAGAATCTCACTCTGTCGCCCAGGCTGGAGTGCAGTGGCTCATTCTTGGCTCACTGCAACCTCCACCTCCCGGGTTCAAGCGATTCTCCCACCTCAGCCTCCTGAGTAGCTAGGATTATAGGTGTGCACCACAATACCTGGCTAATTTTTTGTATTTTAGTAGAGATGAGGTTTCACCATGTTGCCCAGGCTGGTCTCAAACTCCTGAGCTCAGGCAATCTGCCCACCTCGGCCTCCCAAGGTGTTAGGATTACAGGTGTGAGACACCACACCCAGCCTTGGGTATGTTTTTATTAGCAGTGTGAGAAATGAGTAATACACGGATGGATCCAGGTAGAATCTGTGCCTGCAGTGGATTTGCATCACACCTGAGGAACCCCAAGTTTAGGAATCTTGGTCTTTTCAACCTTTACCCTGGATGGAGGGAGACATTGTCATTATAATCCTTTCTTTTTCTTTTTCTTTTTCTTCTTCTTTTTTTGTTTTTTGTTTTTTTGAGGTAGAGTCTTGCTCTGTCACACCAATGTTGGAGTGCAGTGGAATGATCTTAGCTCATTGCAACCCCTGCCTCTTGGGTTCAAGCAATTCTCCCACCTGTCTCCCAAGTAGCTGGGATTACAGGCACCCACCACCACACCCAGCTAATTTTTTAAGTGTTTGTAGTAGAGACGGCGGTTTCACCATATTGGCCAGGCTGGTCTCAAACTCCCAACCTCAGGTCATCTGCCTGCCTCAGCCTCACAAATTGGTGGGATTACAGGCATGAGCCACTGTGCCTGGTCTGGAGATATTATCGTTATAATCCTAATCAGCAAATAAATCTGTCTTCTACTATATTAGCCCTATCTTCCAATGCTATTAGCTATACAAACATCCTTATGAAGACGGTCTAGAACAAACGCTGACACAAGATGTGCAGAAATGTAAGAGACACATGGGGAATTGTTGCACAGCATAGAGAATCTTTCCTAAGGAAACTACATCTGAAACACACACAGAAAATGTATGCTTAAAGCAACAATAGTTCAGCATTAGGGGAAGAGGTTAAACAGACTGTTGTTGGGATATTCTTCTCTTTCTAAACATGTTTCTGAAGATCTTGGAATGGGAAGTGTAAACGTTCAACTTAAAGTGTAAAGTGGAGCAAAAAGCTGCAAAACTTGAATGTATGTTTTTATTAACTACGTAGAGACATCTATTCTAGGAAAACCTCGGGGGAGACTTGCTAAGATGTTCATAGTCCTCCTCTGGGCAATGAGTCTAGGAGCCACTGTTTTTCTTCATTTGGAATGTTCATAGTCCCCCTTGGCCAGGGTTCTCTGGTTTGCAGAGATGAGAGCTGGTTTTATTGAGCACTGACCCTGCCCTGAGCACATGCGACATTCTTGCCATACACAGTCTCATCAGCTGGAGTTTACTTGCTTCCTTTGACTCATGGGGAAACCAAGGCTCAGAGAAGTGACAGCACCTTGTTCAAGGACACGCAGATGATCTGGTCCAAATTGTGATGCTCCTGCTGCCACACCACAATGATTTTTGCATCTGCTGCCCTGTCATCTGGTCAGAAACACCCTAATTTTCTTTCTTTTTTTAATTTAAAGCATTTTTTATTTTTTAATTTTAGGTATATGTGTGTGTGTGTGTATACTTTTTTTTTTTTTGAGACGGAGTCGTGCTTTGTCACCCAGGCTGATGTGCAGTGGCATGATCTTGGCTCACTGCACCCTCCGCCTCCTGGGTTCAAGCGATTCTCCTGCCTCAGCCTCCTGAGTAGCTGGGATTACAGGCATGTGCCATGACCCCTGGCTAATTTTTGTATTTTTAGTAGAGATGGAGTTTTACCATGTAGGCCAGGCTGGTCTTGAACTCCTGACCTCAGGTGATCCGCCTGCCTTGGCCTCCCAAAGTGCTGGGATTACAGGCATGAGCCACCGCGCCCGGCCTGATATATATATTTCTGGATGACGTGAGATATTTTGATACAGGCATGCAATGCATAATAATCACATCAAGGTAAATGAGGTCTCCATCCCCGCAATCATTTATCCTTTCTGTTACAAATGATCCAGTCTACTCTTGTAGTTATTTTATTTTTTAGTTTATTATTGAGTTGGAGTCTCACTCTGTTGCCCAGGCTGGAGTGCAGTGGCTTGATTTTGGCTCACTGCAACCGCCGTCTCCTGGATTCAAGTGATTCTCCTGCCTTAGCCTCCTGAGTATCTGAGATTACAGATGTGTGCCAGCACGCCTGGCTACTTTTTTTGTATTTTTAGTAGAGACAGGGTTTCACCATGTTGCCCACGCTGGTCTTGAACTCCTGACCTCAGATGATCCTCCTGCCTTGGCCTCCCAAAGTGCTGGAATTACAGGTGTGAGCCACTGTGTCCAGCATCTTTTAGTTATTTTAAAATGTACAATTAAATTATTATTGACTATAGTCACCCTGTTGTGCTATCAAATAGATATTATTCTTTCTGTTTTTTTGTACCCATTAACCATCCCCATTTCCCCCACCCACTGTCCTTCCTAGCCTCTAGTAACCTTCCATCTACTCTATATGTTCATGAGTTACATTGTTTTAATTTTTAGCTTTCACAAATAAGTGAGAATATGTAAAGTTTGTCTTTCTGTGCCTGGCTTATTTCACTTAACATCCATGTTGTTGAAAATGACAGTACCTCATTCTTTTTTATGGCTGCATAGTACTTCATTGTGTATATATACCACATTTTCTTTATCAATTCATCTGTTGATGGACACTTAGGTTGCTTCCAAATCTTGTTTATTGTGAACAGTGCTGTAATAATCATGGGAGTGCAGAGATCTCTTCCATGTACTGATTTTCTTTCTTCCTAAGTTTTTTGCTTGTGTTCGGGCGTGTGATTTGTGCAGAACTGACTCTACTCCGAGGCTGGGTGGGTGAATGAGGCCTGGCCAACGAATACGTTCTGGTCTTTTGGCTACCATGGCAGGGTTAGGAATGCACATAGCACCCCATGCTGGGTACTTGAGAGCTGGAACCATCGGGAGATTCTGCTGGCTTTGCTACATGCTAGAATGTAAGTGTGAAGGTATTGGTGGCTCTTCTTGCCACTCCATTGGAGAATCAAGCTAACATGGCAGAGCCAAGAGGCAGAAGTGGAGATCTGGTGATGGTACCTGGTCCCAGGCCTGGATCAGTCATGCCTGGGAGATCCCATGGGTATGAGCTAATGAATGCATGAGCTAATGAACCCCCTTGACTTACCCTTTTCATTAAGCTAGTGTGAACTGAGGTTTTATGGCTTTAAACCAGAGCCCTAGTTTTAAATCATGATTCCTCTACTGGATTTTATACTCTTCTAGTTTTGGGTTTTTTTTGTTTGTTTGTTTTTTGGCAGATAGCAGACAATTGGATATTCCAATGACAATATGGCCCATCTTCCCTAAACTCCCACTGTTTCCCCACTGTTTCTCTCAGAAAGTTTGTTCTGAATTTGCCTGAGATGAACTCGGGCTCTGCACTCCCAAGCTTTGTGGCCCTGAGGCCGTCATTCCCTTCTCCTAGCCTTAGTCTCCCTCATCTTTAAAATGGGACGGCTAGAATTCATCATTGGCTGGGGCACATTGGCTCAAGCCTGTAATCCCAGCACTTTGGGAGGCTTAGGTGGAAAGATCGCTTGAGCCCAGGAGTTTGAGACCAGCCTTGGGAACATAATGAGACTTTGTTTCTATTTCTATTTAAAAAAATAAAGAAGAACCCATCACTGTGAACTCTTGTGAGAATCCAGTGAGGAGACGTGTGTAAGTGCCTGCCACAGTGCCTGGCACATGGTTGGAACCCCAGAGTGTATATGGTCCCAGTATTATTGTTTCTATGCTGTGTCCCAAAAGGCTGACTTATGTCAACTGTGGGAGCCCACCATTTCAGAAATTACTGAATAACCTGTGGAATTTCCCCTTAGTTACAAAGGTTACTCTTTTAAAAACTCTGTCCTCGGTCAGGCGCTGTGGCTCACGCCTGTAATCCCAGCACTTTGGGAGGTCGAGGCGGGTGAGTCACTTGAGGTCAGGCATTTGAGATGAGCCTGGCCAACATATTGAAACCTTGTCTCTACTAAAAATACAAAAATTAGCCGGGCATGGTGGCACATGCCTGTAATCCCAGCTACTTGGGAGGCTGAGGTATGGGAATCGATTGAACCCGGGAGGTGGAGGTTGTAGTGAGCCAAGATCGTGCCACTGCACTCCAGCCTGGGCAATAGAGAAAGACTCTGTCTCAGAATGAACAAACAAAAAATAAAAACTCTGTCCTTAAGGACAGGGTGATGCTTCTCTACCTTCTCCTTTAGGGGCAGGATGGAGTAACCACTGGACTGAAGAAATGATCTGTGAGTCCAGACGTGGTGGCTCATGCCTCTAATCCCAGCATTTTAGGAGGCTGAGGTCAGAGAATTGCTCGAGCCGAGGAGTTCAAGATCAGCCTGGGCAACAAAGCATGATGTTGTCTCCACAAAAATAAAATAATGAAGTAAAATATCTGAAACCTGCTGCAGCCTGTTCATTGGTGTTAAGATAACTCCCTCTCCCAGAAGCCTTGGCTAAGCACACTGTCGAGGCCAGTGCTTCTCAATAGGTGGGTGACTTTGTCCTCCTCACCCCCAGGGACACTTGGTAATATCTGGAGACATTTTGGGTTACTGCAATTGGATGGTATGCTACTGGCACCTATGGGCAGAAGCCAGGGATGCTGTTTCACACCCTGCAGCAAACAAGACAGCCCTGTCCACCCAACAAAGAATTGTCTGGCCACAACATTACTAAAGCTGAGGCTGAGGGAAGTTGGTCTAGGCTACATGTTTTTCTCTTTACAGAGAAAATGACCCATCATGTCTCCTAATAGAGAAACGCTGCTTCCGGCCGAATGACAAGAGCTCACGCCTGTAATCCCGACACTTTGGGAGGCCAAGGCAGGTGGATCACTTGAGGTCAGGAGCTCGAGACCAGCCTGGCCAACATGGTGAAACCTCGTCTCTACTAAAAATACAAAAATTTTTAGTAGAAATTTAGTAGAAATTTTTAGTAGAAATTTAGTAGAAATTTAGAATAAGCCAGGTGTAGTGGCACACACCTGTAATCCCAGCTACACAGGAAGCAGAGGCAGGAGAAGTGCTTGAACCCGAGAGGCAGAAATTGCAGTGAGCTGAGATCATGCCACTTCATTCCAGTCTGGGCCACAGAGCAAGCCTCTCAAAAAAAAAAAAAAAAAAAAAAAAGCTGCTTCCCAGATTGGGCAACAGAAATACGAGTGGTGTGCAGAATGAGTGTGTAAATATAGGTGCATAGGAACATGGGGAGGGTGAATCCATGACATGAGGGGAGGTGTGCACGGAGGGGTATGTGTGCACACAGGTGTGTCTGTGCCCAGGTTGTGTGTGTGTGCATGCATGCATGTACTTGTGCGATGTATGAATCAGTGCCTATAAGTGTGTGCATCGTGTGCAAGTGGCACGTGTGATGTGGGCGTGTAAGACAGGAAATTGTGTGGATAAGCAATGTATGGGATGATGGGTACTGACAGGTGCGGGAGTGGATTTTGTGTCTCTAGAGTGTAAGTGACTGGCTTGTGTGTGTCACTGTATAGAGAATAAGTTGTATGTGGAAACAGGAGGAGAAAGGAAGGGACCCAAGGCATGAGCCACCATTTTGGTTTCCCAGGGTGGCCCACGCCCCGACTTACCACTCCGGAGGCCTGCTGGGCAGCGTTGGTAGCTGGCAAGACAAAGCAGAGAAGCCAGTAACCAAACAGCACTCCAGATGACTGGACTCCCTTTTTCCTCTCGGTGTGAATCAGGAACACTGCGAAGCTCTGGACGGGAAAGTCAGGGAGGCCCCTTAGGGGAGGGTGGGAGGCTGAGGGGAGCCTCTTCTCTTCCCCTTGTTCTCCACTGTGGCAGGCAAAGCAGCAGCTGGGAGGAAGCCGGGCTCCAGACTGAAGGCATCATTACCATCGTGGTGAGCCACACAGTAGGATGAATGAGGAATTCTGGGGCCTCAGGCGTTCCCTGTTGGATTTTCCAAAGAGCGACAGCCACGCTGGAGGTACACAGGACTATGAGGGTGAATCCAAGCACCTGAGGATACAGGCTTAGATAAGCTTGGGGGGCAATAAGAGAGGTCACAGCAAACTGGTAAGCAGCCCCATGTCCAACTGGGAGCTGGTTCTGCAACATCCTGGCTGATACTGAGTATACCAGGGTCACCAGCTAGCAACGTGCCAATGTGAACAATGTGTAAAGGGCATTGCAGATCACTCCTGACCTGTAACTGTCATATAAATAATGCACAGGAAGGGCTTGAGCCAACCGAGTGTTTTCCAAAATGCAGGAAGTGCTCCAATCGTGCACATATGAGATGACTCTGGGTATGGAGAAACAGCAGGAAATGAAATGTACTCACCAGGTAAAAAACTATCCTTTCTCCAAGTCATTTTTCAATCCCTGCTATGAAATCAAGGAGCAACTCTCTGTTGGGCCAGTAAGTCTCTAGGGTCTCTCTAATATATTTTGGTTTCTCTATTGAATAAAAGAAAGGAAGAAAATGAGAGAACGTGGGCACACCAGAGGGAAGGCCAGAGCTAGGTTACGTTGGAGTAACTGCTCAAAGAACCTCAGTTTAAAGCAGAAGTTGGCAAACTATCAATCATCAAAGAAAAACAAAAAGCATATGTCATGACAGGTGAAAATTACATGAAATCCAAATTTCAGTGACTACAAATAAAGTTTTATTGAAACGCAGTCGGCCGGGGGTGGTGGCTCACACCTGTAATCCCAGCACTTTGGCAGGCCGAGGCAGGCAGATCACCTGAGGTCAGGAGTTGGAGACCAGCCTGGCCAACATGGCGAAACCCTGTTTCTACTAAAGATACAAAAAAATAGCGAGGTGTGGGGGTGGGCACCTGTAATCCCAGCTACTCGGGAAGCTGAGGCAGGAGAATCACTTGAACCCAGGAGGCGGAGGTTGCAGTGAGCCGAGATCGCACCATTGCACTCCAGCCTGGGTAACAAGAGCAAAACTGCATCTCAAAAACAAAACAAAACAAAAAAGTAACACAGTCATGACTATTGTCTATGGTTATGACTATTGCGTTCATTCTGGAATGGCAGAGTTCAGTGTTCGGAAGGAAGATTACCTGGCTCACAAAGTCTCAAATACTGTGTGCCACTTGGCTCTTTAAGTTTGCCAACCCCTGGGTTGGTGGTGGGTGATAATGTAAAAATTAATACAATGGCAGAAGAATGAATGAACTCTGAAGAACATTCTTTGGAAGTCTACAAGAATGGAGTAGAAGAGGATGGATGAGCAGAAAGGCTCACACTTGGAATGCCAGTGTTTATTTAACACACTAAGGTAAATACATATCACATATAAAAATTGTCCTATAATACAGCTAGTGGGGAAACATAAAAATAAATGCATAACTTTTTAAAAGGTTCATCCTAATGTGGCCCTAAAATTACCTTGTGTATCCAAGAGTCTACATGGTATGTTTTGGAAAATGCCAGGTTATGGTAGCTATAAACTGTCCAGGAACATGGGAGTGTATGCGTATGTTTGCGCATGCGTGGATTTTCGGAATTACAAAATCTGTTTGGGAGAACCGTGTTCCACTGAGTTGACCTCTGTAGCCTTTCTAATATTGCTCTGTTTGATTAACAGATTCCCTTCTACACCCCGATAGGAGGAGTCTACTTTAAGACTTCACCAGGTTCCAGCCTGTCCCCTGCCTCCCCCCACCATTGCCTGGTTCCAGGCTCCCAGGGATGGCAGCTACCATCTTGGCTTTGAAGAGTGGGGACATCTGGAGGTAGCCCCGGCCATGGTGGTGGATGAAGAGGAGGTAGATGGGACCAAGGACCCAGAGGTACATGGGGGGCACCCAGACCCCTGCTGTTCTCAGGAAGCACAGGCTCAGCAGGCTGGTGGCGGCAGGTTCAGGCTCTGTCTGGTTCCAGACCTGAGGGAACACAAAGAGGACCCTTAGGATGGTACAAGGCAGGGGTCCCCAGCTCACCTGCCAGGGGGGCCAGGCAACTTTTTGGATCTTTAACATTTACACAAAAATGTGCCAAGTACTCTTTGGAATACCTACTAATTCTCAATTCCTTTCATCCTGACATTAACCCTAGGTAGTTGCAATTATATTGATATGCAGATGAAGAAGCTGAGGACCAGAGAGGTTGAGTAACTTTGCTGACTTTACCCAGCTGAGGAGTGGAAGGGCTGGGATTTGAACCCAGGGAACTGGGCCATGTGGTCTAGGAGACCTGGGCTCCATAATCATTGCTAGGCATGGACTGTCAGTTAATCCTTATAACAACTCCAGGATGCAGACAGTACTGTCTCCATTTCAGAAACCAGCAGACTGAGGCACCAATCAGGGAACTGCCTCCCCCAGGGACACACAAATGGGAAGTGGCAAAGCTGACTCTGACCCAGGCTTATCTGACCCCAAACCTCGTTCAACTGGTGGTCTTGATGTATGATTTATTTTTATTTTTTATTATTAATTAATTTATGTTTTAGAGACAGGGTCTCACTCTGTTGCCCAGGCTGAAGTGGCACAATCAAAGCTCAACAAAGCTTCGAATTTCCTGGGCTCAAGCAATCCTCCCACCTCGGCCTCCCAGAGTGCTGGGATTACAGGCATAAGCCGCCTCACCAGGCCTGGCTAATTTTTTTTTTATGTTTTGTAGAGATGGGGGTCTCTCTATGCTGGTCTCGATCTCCTGGCCTCAAGCAATCCTCCTGCCTCAGCCTCCTAGGTACTGGGATTACAGGCAAGAGCCACCGGCCCAGCTTGATCTGTTATTTTCATCTCAGCAGGTCTGCTGGTCCTATCTAACCCTAGAAGAAATTTGAAGTTTAGTGGACGTGGCCTCTTCAATTCTCTCTCCGCTGTCTTTTTACTCCTCCTGGTTTCACAACTCACCGGCTGTGCAAACTTTAACCTCTCTGTATCTCAGTTTCCTTCCCTGCAAAAGGGGGATAACGAGACTCTACCTCTATGAGTTGTATTAAATGGATGAATAGCAGCAAAGTTCATAGCAGCATGGCACAAGGTTGGGCACAAGGCTAGGCACAGAGAAAGCCCTCAGTTCATTGCCAGTTTATTGCTTCAACTCCCTGGCCCTCGAAATGCTGGCAGTTTGCAACCCCCACCCCCACTCCATGAACTCCACTCCCTGGAGTCCTTTGCTAAGAGCAATGGAAAAAGAAACCAGAGAGGTAAGGGCTCTCCGGGGGTAGGAGGGCTTGGGGGACCCACTAGCTTTATGCAAAGAAGGGTCAAAGCCCCTAGTAGCTGGGAGGTCTGGTGGCCCCTTAAATAGAGCTGGGCTCTCGGCTGCTGGCTTGGTGAAAGAAATCCAACCCGCTGCAGTGAGGGGGCCGGAGTAAGTCTCCTCGCTTCCCGGGTCCAGGAATTTGGGGGTCTCTCCTCTCCCCAGTATCGCAGCCCGAGAGATCTGCAGCCAAACCAAGCCTGGAAAAGGAGAGTGGGGCGCGATGGGGGGCACTCACCCCCTGCCCCGCGCAGGGCTCAGCAGGCGCGGCCATCGGCGCCTTCTGTCGTCGTGGGTCCCAGCGTCTGTCTGTCGCTAAGTCTCTGGGCAGACTGCTCGGCCGCGATCCTGCCGGAGAAGAGGCGGGGCTGGGCTGGTCGGGCTGGGCTGGTCCGGCTGGGATTCGAGCTCCGGGATCGGGAGGCCCCGGGCAAGGTCCAGCTGCGCGGCGGGAGTGAGGCCACGGGAGGTGAAAACAGGCGAGGTGGGGGATGGGGGAAGAGAGGCGCTCGGGGAGCTGGGACGGGCACCGGGTTGGGGGGTCCCGGAACCCCTGAAAGTTCAGTGACACCTCCAGAGTTCCCTCTTCCCCCTGCAACAAGAATCACTCCAAACTTCCCAAACACTTTGGACCCAGCAATTTCCAGGAGTTCATCCTGATGAGAGAACTGAAAGGTGTGCACACGTTAGTAACAAGGAGGCCTGGTGACCGCCTAAGCGTCCAATCCCGGGGACCACCGGGTCGAGGCCGAGAGGATGGAGACCGCGTCACAGGCACCTCGCTGCTGGAATGGAGGGTGGTGGGGAGAACTTAGAAGATTATGCAATGGGCTGGCAGGGCTATACCCAGCCGCCCTGGTAAGCAGAAACTCAAGAAACTTCTAGGGTCCTGTTTTCTGGTCGTATGATCCCAGGAGTGCACATGGGCCCCTCGGGTGTCTGAACAGAAGGGCATAGGAGGGAGGGCCGCAGCCCTGCAGTCTTACTCTGCTGGTGTAGCGGTCACCTGCCAACTCCCACCCCACCCTGCACCGCGGGCTCCTGAGTCGGCAGATTAAGCATTTTATAAATTCTATTTTAAATACGTGTTTTAAACTTGTCAGATATTTGTCGTCATTTCAGTCCCTGCGCCTCTACCTCTTGCTGTGGTCGCTTATTTAACACTGGGGGGCTACGTTCTGCTAAGTCCCAGGGAGAGACTGTTCCTAATATCCGAGGGAGATATTATTCCTAATATCACGCTGGGTGAACACCACGTGTGTACAGCCTCTGATACGATTGGTAATATCCAAGGGAGATATTATCCTAACATCCCAGTGGGTGAACACCATGTGTGTAAACGCTGTGGTATTATTAGAAATATCCAAGGGAGATATTACTTCTAATATCACAGTGGGTGTACATCCTGTGATATTATTCGTAATATCCGAAGGAGATTTTACTCCTAATATCACAGTGGGAGTACACACTGTGATATTATTTGTAATATCCGAGGGAGATTTTACTCCTAATATCACAGTAGGTGTACAACCTGTGATATTATTCATAATATGCTAGAGATATATTACTCCAAATCTCATGGTGGGTGTACACTCTGTCATAGAATTCGTGATATCCTAGGGAGTTATTACCGCTAATATCACAGTGAGAGTACACCCTGTGATATTATTCATACTATCCTAGAAAGATATTACTTTTAATATCACAGAGGGTGTACACCCTGTGATATTATTCGTAATATTCTATGAAGATATAACTCCTGATATAACCGTAGGTGTATACCCTGTGATATTATTTGTTATATCCTAGGGAGATACTACACCTAATACCACAGTGGGTGTACACCCTGTGATATGATTTGTAATATCCTAGGGAGATATAACTCCTAATATCACAGAGGGAGTACACCCTGTAATATTATTCACAATATCCTAGAAAGATAATACTTTTAATATCACAGTGGGTGTACACTCTGTGATAATATTCGTAATTTCCTAGGGAGATACTACTCCTAATATCACCTAGAGTGTACACTGCGTGATATTATTCGTAATATCGTAGGGAGCTATTGCTTTTAATTTCACAGTGGGTGTATACCCTATGATATTATTCATAATATCTTAAGAAGGTAGTACTCCTAAAATCACAGTGCCTGTACACACTGTGATATTATTCATAATATTCTAGGGAGATGTTACTCCTAATCTCATAGTGGGTGTACACCTTGTGATACTATTTGTAATGTTCTAGAAAGATATTCCTTTTAATATCACAGTGGGTGTACACCCTGTGATATGATTCGAAATATTCTAGGGCGATATTACTCCTAATATCCCAGTGAATTTACACCATGCGTGTACACGCTGTGACCTCCCAGAAAGATATGACTCCTAATATCACAGTGGGGGTACACCCTGTGCTATTATTTGTAATACCCTATGGATATCATAATATCACAATGAACGTACACCATTGTGTACATGCTGTGATATTATTTGTAATATTTTTGGGTGATATTACCCCTAATGTCACAGTGCGTGTACATCTTTTGATATTATTTGTAATATTCTGTGGAGATATTGCCCCTAATATCACAGTGGGTGTATACTCTTTGATACTATTCGTAACATCCTGGAAGATATTATCCATATTGTCACGGTGGGTGTACACCCTGTGATATTATTCGTTATATTCTGGGGATATACTATTACCCCTAATATACTGTGGGTGTACCCCCTGTGATATTATTCACTATATCTTGGAGATATAATATTACCCCTAATATCACAGTGGGTGTATACTTTGTGATATTATTCATTATATCCTGAAGAGATATTATTTCCTTTAATATCACAGTGCATGTACACCTTGTGATATTATTTGTTATATCCTGGGGAGATACTACTATATTACTCCTAGTATCACAGTGGCTGTACGCCTTGTGATACTATTCATTATATCCTGGGGAGATATTATTACTCCTAATATCACAGTAAGTGTATACCCTGTGCTATTATTCATAATATCCTGGGAGATATTACCCGTATTGTCACAGTGGGTGTACATCCTGTAATATTATTTGTAATATCCTGGGGAGATATTATTACTCCTAATAGCACAGTGGGTGTACACCCTGTGATATTATTGGTTATATCCTGGGGAGGTATTATTATTCCTAATATCACAGTGGGTGAACATTCTGTAATATTATTCATTATATTTTGGGGAGATATTAATTCCTCTAATATCACAGTGGGTGTACACCCTGTGATATTATTCATTATATCCTGGGAAGATATTAATTCCTCTAATATCACAGTGGGTGTACACCCTGTAATATTATTCATTATATCCTGGGAAGATATTATTTCCTCTAATATCACAGTGGGTGTACACCCTGTGATATTATTTGTTGTATCCTGGGGAGATATTATTATGTCTCATATCACAATGGGTGAACACCCTGTGATAGTATTCGTTATATTTGGGGAAGATGTTATTACCCCTAATATCACAGTGGTGTACACCCTGTGATATTATTCATTACATCCTAGGGAGATATTGTTACCCATAATATCACAGTGGATGTACACCCTGTCATATTATTCGTTATATCCTTGAGAGATGTTACTACCCCTAATATCACAGTGGGTGTATACCCTGTGATATTATTCGTCAAATTTTCTGGAGATATTATTACCCATAATATCACAGTGTGTGTACCCACTGTGACAGTATTGATTATATCTTGGGGTGATATTACTCCTAATTTCACAGTGGCTGTATCCCTGTGTTTACACCCTGTGATGTTATTCATAATATTTTAGGGAGATATTACTCCTAATATCACAGTCAGTGTACACCATGTTTGTACACCCTATGATATTATTTGTAATATTTTAGGGAGATATTACCCCTAATATCGTTGTGGGTGTACAGCATGTTTGTAAACACTGTGATATTATTCATAATATCTGAGAGAGATATTACTGCCAATATCACAGTGGGTGTACACCCTGTACACCGTGTGATACGATTCATAATATCTGAGGGAGATATTACTCCCAGTATCACAGTGGGTTTACACCCTGTGGTATTATTCATAATATTCGAGGGAGATATTACTCTCAATATCACAGTGGATGTACACCCTGTGATATTATTTGCAATATCCGAGGGAAACATTACTGCTAATATCACAGTGGGAGTACACCCTGTGATATTATTTGTTTTATCCTGGAGACATATTATTCCTATTATCACAGTGGTTGTACACCCTGTGATATTCTTCGCTATATTCATGGAAGATGTTATTACCCCTAATATCACAGTTGGTGTACACCCTGTGATATTATTCGTTATATCCTGGGGAGATATTATTACCCCTAGTATCACAGTGGGTGTACGCCCTGTCATATTATTCATTACATCATGGGAAGATATTATTACATCTAATATCACTGTGGGTGTACACCCTGTGATATTATTTATTATATCCTGGTGAGATGTTATTACTGCTAATATCACAGGGTGTGTCAAATTTTCTGGAGATATTATTACCCTTAATATCACAGTGGGTGTGCACCCTGTGTGTACACTCTGTAATATTATTCATAATATTTTAGGGAGATATTACTACTAATATCACAGTGGGTGTACACCCTGAGGAGATATTACTTCCTCTGATATCACAGTGGGTGTACACCCTGAGGAGATATTACTTCCTCTGATATCACAGTGGGTGTACACCCTCTCATATTATTCGTTATGTGCTAAGTAGATATTATTACCCCTAATATCACAGTGGGTGTACACCCTGTGATGTTATTCCTTATATCCCAAGAAGATATTATTATAACTAATATCACAGTGGGTGTACACCCTATGATATTATCTGTTATATACTGGGGGGATATTATTTGTAATATTTTAGGGAGATACTACTCCTAATATCATAGTGGGTGTACTCATATTTTACAGATATATTACTTTTAATATCACAGTGGGTGTACACCCTGTGTGTACACCCTGTAATATTATTAGTAATATTTTAGGGAGATATTACTCCTAATATCATAGTGGGTATACACCATGTTTGTAAACCCCAGGATATTATTCATAATATCCGAGGGAGATATTACTCCCAATATCACAGTGGGTTTACACCCTATGATATTATTTGTAATATCTGAGGCAGGTATTACTCTCCATATCACAGTGAGTGTACACCCTTCTATATTATTCATAACATCCGAGGGAGATATTACTTCCAATATCAAAGTGGGTGTGATAATATCTGAGGGAGATATTATTCCTAATATCCGTGGGAGATATTATTCCTAATATCTCAGTGGGTGTACCGCGTCACAGTGGGTGTGCACTGTGTGATATTATTCATAGTATCCAAGGGAGATCTTACTCCTAATATCACAGTGAGTGTACACCCTGTGATATTATTCATTATATTTGAGGGTGATTTTACTCCTGATATCACAGTGAGTGTATACCCTGTGATATTATTCTAATACCCAAGGGAGAGCTTTCTCCTAATATCACAGTGGGTGTACACTCTGTGATATGTTTCATAATATCCGAGGGAGATAGGATGGAGACCACGTCACAGTCCCCTCACTGCTGGAATGGACACTGTCTACCCGTGGAGTGGTGGGGAGAACTTAGTGAGATTATGCAAGCGTTTAGCACACTGCCAGATATACATTAAATGCTCAGAAGACTTAGCTTTTATTACTACCGTTATAATTGAGGCCATGGGTTACTAACCAGTGGTTTAAAATGCCATTGCAGCTGGGCACGGTGGCTCATACCTGTAATCCCAGCACTTTGGGAGGCTGATGAGGGCGGATCACTTGAGGTCAGGAGTTTGTGACCAGCCTGGCAAACATAGTGAAACCCCGTTTCTACTAAAAATACAAAAATTAGCTGGGTGTTTTGGTGCGTGCCTGTAGTTTCAGCTTCTCAGGAGGTTGAGGCAGGAGAATCGCTTGAACCTGGGAGGCGAAGGTTGCGGTGAGCCAAGATTGTGCCACTGCACTCCAGCCTGGGTGACAGAGCGAGACTCTGTCTCAGAACAAACAAACAAAATGCCATTGAAGACATATATGAATATGAAAAGGTGGTTGCTAAGTGATGATTGAATAAAAGAGATTATAATATAAAATAGGCTTTGGTTTTTTTAAAGCAAAAAAGAAAAGGATATGCCTAAATTAGGGAACATGGAGAAGAAGGCCAAGGCATTTACCTTCCTCTCTTGAGTCTTTTTCTCTCTCCGTCTCTTTTTTTTTTTTTTTTTTTTTTGAGTCAGGGTCTTGCTCTGTCACCCAGGCTGGAGTGCAGTAGTGCCATCATGGCTCACTGCAGCCTTGACCTCCTGAGCTCAAGCAACCTTCCACCTCAGCCTCTCCGGAGTATCTGGGACTACAGGCACACACCACCAAGCCTGGCTGATTTTTAAATTTTTTTGTGGAGACTTGTCTCACTTTGTTGCCCAAGCTGCTTTGGAACTCCTGGCCTCAAGCCATCCTCTTGCCTAGGCCTCCCAAAGTGCTGCGATTACAGGCGTGAGCCACCATGCCCAGCTCTCTCTTGGGTCTTAAAGCAAAGTGTCAAAGACCCAGCCACCACTTCTTAGAAATGACTCGATGTCATACTAGCATAAATGCATCGATAAAAAGATGGAAATGTGGTAACACAGTGATCTTGGGGAATCCTAGTTTTCTTTTCCAATTTCTTTGTTGTTGCAGTGAGCAAGTACTTGTTTCAAGATAGGAATGAAATATTCGGCTCTTTTAGACAGACAAGCACAGGTGCTCAGTTTGGGAGAAGAATTAAAATCCTCTGCACTCTCCATGCTGCCTTGCTAATTCTCGGGGTCCTGTCCTCATCTTCTACTCTTGCCTTCTGCAGGGACCCCACAGCGTGTTTTCCCCGATCTTTTTGTATCACTCTAAATCCAGTATTGGGCCCAGGGAGCACCCCCTCCCCTGCCCCCTTCAGCTGTCCTCCTGCCTGAGTCTTCTGGAAGCTTCGGGACAGAAAGAACCCAAGGATTTGTCATGAAGCTCAGTGTGGCAGGTCTACTGTTTCCATGTAAATCATGTCTGCTTATCTGAGCTGGTTTTGGTGGAAACTGATGGAAATTATGGGGAAGCTAAATCCCTGTCTCTCTGCAAGCCACTCCCCAATCCCACCCCCATGAATTGGCATTGTCACAGTCCTGGTGCTTCATTTCTTTCTATATTTGAAGATGAATTTGAGGGAAATAGTCAGAAAGTCAAGAAGAACACAGCAGAAATCAATTGGGGTGAGTCCAGAACAAAACTTGGGGATCCCACTTCCTGCTTTTTTTTTTTTTTTGAGATGGAGTCTCACTCTGTCGCCCAGGCTGGAGTGCAGTGGCAAGACCTCAGCTCACTGCAACCTGTGGCTCCCTGGTTCAAGTGATTCTCCTGCCTCAGCCTCCTGAGTAGCTGGGATTAGAGGCATGCGCCACCACACCTAGCTAATTTTTGTATTTTTAGTAGAGACAGGGTTTTGCCATGTTGGCCAATTTGGTCTCGAACTCCTGACCTCAAATGATCTGCCCACCTCGGACTCCCAACATGTTCATATTACAGTAGTAAGCCACGGCTTCTGGCCCCAATTCCTGCTCTCTAGCTCCGGGAAAACCTATGGCTGCATGCAGAGTCTTAGACAACTTCCTTTTCCTCTCTGGGCCTCAGTTTCCCATTCTGTAAGATGAGAGGTTTCCATAGGCCTACACTTTCTAATTGGTGGCTTTCAATCCTCTGGTGATTTGCATAAAAGGCATCTATTTCAATTGTGGTTATAAATAACAAACCCCAATAAATAGACGAATTATTTAAATGGTTTCTCATTATCACTGAATAGTTGAGAGTCTACTGTATTTGAGTGAAAATGCAGCACGAGAAACTGAAATCAGATGCACTCATGATTATGACCCTGAGGTCAATGTGTCATTCCCTTCATTCCCTCCTTGCCCCCATGAAAGTTTGACTACTGTATGGTTTGAACCTGTGCTTCTTAGTTGTTTATTGCTTAAGTTTTAGCCACAATGGCAAATTGCAGCGGGAAATTCAGTCTTACTTTGTCATTTGGAAACAAAATACAAAACCTATCAAAATAAAGCACTAGCTTTTTTTTTTTGAGACAAAATGGAAGAAATCCTAATATTAGGTAAGAAAAGCAATTTTTTGGTGTTTTTTTAATTTTATTTATTTATTTTTTTGAGACAGAGTCTTGCTCTGTCGCCCAGGCTGGAGTGCAGTGGTGCGATCTCGGCTAACCGCAAGCTCCGCCTCCCAGGTTCACGCCATTCTCCTGCCTCAGCCTCCCGAGTAGCTGGTACTACAGGCGCCCGCCACCACGCCCGGCTAAGTGTTTATATTTTTAGTAGAGACGGGGTTTCACTGTGTTAGCCAGGATGGTCTCGATCTCGTGGCCTCATGATCTGCCAGCCTTGGCCTCCCAAAGTGCTGGGATTACAGGCGTGAGCCACTGTGCCCGGCCTCTTTGGTGTGTATTTTGATGTGGTGACTGGTAGTTAAATTCAGTGTACATATGAATTCACTCTTGGGACAAAATATGCTGGATTTGAGCTTGTTTTTAGGCAAATCATGTTTCATCTTGCAGAGCTAATTCAAAGTATACTGACTGCATGCACTTCTTGCTTAGGGGAAGAAAACTCATCAAAATTTGTTTCTAGGCATATGTTATTAGAGCTAGGATTAAAATAAATCTTACATACTTTCTTTAATATGCTAACATTAACACGTTTTGCTTAAAAAAGTATCGATCATTTATCATGGAAAAATACACCAGCTTACACAAATTCTTAAAGCGTTTTTCGTGTGTGTTTTTCGTGTGTGTGTGTGTGTGCGTGTGTGTGCGTGTGCGCGTGTGTGTGTAGAGATGGGGTTTCGCCATATTGCCCAGGCTGGTCTCGAACTCCTGGGCTCAAGCGATCCACCCACCTCAGCCTCCCAAAGTGCTGGGATTACAGGCGTGAGCCACACACCCGGCCCTAAAGCTTTTTGTGAGATTATATATTTTACCTGCGAAATATATGGGTCAGAAAGATTTGAGAAAGTTGTTAGATAATTCCACCAACAAAATCTCCCGTCCTTTCCAGCTGTGATGGTGAATTCTAAAGTAGAATTCATCTTTGGAGCTTCTCCCTGTAGGCATGCACCTTGCGTTGCGCCTGCCAGATGTCGCGCGGAGTCCTCCAGGCCTCTAGAAGGCAGAGATGGTCTCGTTTCCTTGCCGAGCATGCGCCTTAGTTCTCTCTTCTGGGGCTGTGAACGTGGGGTCGAAGCGCGCGTGCGCGGCGGCTCTGGCGGCGGCGGTGGGGCGGGGCCTGGGCTGTCAGCCGGCCTAGGAGGAGGAAGGAGCCTGCGGCGTGCAGTGTGAGGGGCGGGACCCGGCTGCCGGCGGTGGGTCTAGCTGGGGGAGGTCGGGCCATGCTGGTGGGCCAGGGCGCGGGGCCGCTGGGGCCCGCGGTGGTCACCGCCGCGGTGGTGCTGCTGCTGAGCGGCGTGGGGCCGGCGCACGGCTCGGAGGACATCGTGGTGGGCTGCGGTGGCTTCGTCAAGTCGGACGTGGAGATCAACTACTCTCTCATCGAGGTGAGCGCCCGCCCCGCCGCCCGGCGCCGAGTCGCCGGGCCGGTGGTTCAGCCTCTCTGGGCCGCGCTGGCCTCGTCTCTGACACCGGGCGGTGTGGAGTCCTTGGAGCCCTTACCTCTTCCGAGGCTATGCTGTCCGCGGGCTCCCTGCAGCCCCTCCCCAGTCGCGCTGGAGGGGAGGTTCTTATCATGGGGTCGTCTAAGGACTGAGGGGTGCCAGACCTCAGGTTCTTCAAAACCCCGACTCCAGATCCCCGGAACACAGACCCCAGATCCTCAAAACCCAGACCCTAAATTCCCTGGAGCCCAGACTCCATTTCTTTAAAACTTAGACCTGAGATCTCCTCGAATCAGACCCCCTGAAACTCAGATTTCCCCAAACCCACATTCCAGAACCTAGAGACCACATGTCTTATCCCCCAAACTCCACAGCCCAGAACCCCCCGAAGTTCTAATCCACTGCTCCTCCAAACCCCGCGGCATGATTTTAAAGAGCATCAATTCCCATCCCATAGATTCTGACCTAGTAGATCAGTATTGGCAACCCTGGGGCCGGAAAGCTATTTTTTATTTCTCCGGCTCCCCTCCACTTCTGAAAATGGAGAGTTGCCAGCTGCCCTGATTGCCTTAATGAGTAGTTAATGGAATTACCCTAGAGATTTGTGCTGAAGGTTTTTTTTTTTTTTTTTTAAATTAAGTTGTAAAGTCCTGTTAAATGTTTATCAGCCCGGTGGGATTATGACCCAGAAAGGTTCCCGTAAAGAGGAAAGGGATGGATGGAGGTAGGGGCAGAATGTCATTTGTCCCGGTAGATGGGAGGGGACCAGAGCAAGGCCTGGGCCTCATTTTTGGGAGGGGATTTATGGTGGGGTAGGACAAGGAAGAGGAAAAGAGCGGGTGCCTCGGAGGTAATTTAGGAGAAAACGAAGGAAGAGGCTGGGAAATGCCAAAGAGAGGGATTGGGGAATAAGACCCCAAAGATCGTCTGAAAGCACCTTTGAGCTGTTCCAGGGCTGGCAGTGAAGGGTGAAGCTCTGTGTTCTGCAAAGCGGGCTGCTGAGGATTGGGGGAGGGGTAGGGAGTCAGTTCCACACCCCACCAGCTCTGCGACCTGCCCTTGCTCTAGGTTTCAGTTTTTGTACCTATAGGATGGTGTTGGGAGAGAAACAGTGGAACCCAGCAGATACATTTCTTTAACAAGCGGATCCGTGATCTTCTTCAAGGCCCCCTTGTTTACTGCTTTTTCAGACTGAAGAGGTCAGAGGTCAGGCATTGAATGAATCTACCCACTGGCAGCGGCAGGGCTCCTAGGATTTCCTGGGTACATGTTTCTGGGTGCCCATGCCACCGCCTAGGTCTGCACTGGGGACAGGACGCGTTCAGGGTGGTATGGCTGTAGACGGCACAGGGCATTTCAGAAGCTGAAATGCAAGAGGCCGCTAAGGCCTCTTGCAACTTGTAGTTTCCAGGGGTTCTGGAAGGAAGGAAAAGACAGGCACCCCCCTCCACCCTCACCCTCATACTAATAGTGACCTTGAGAGCAGAGAACAGGTTTTGTGACCCATTTCAAAGTGTGTTCCTTAAGCCCAAGGGCTGCCTGTCCAGATGGTGTGGGACACTCATTCTTTCATAAGTAATTCAGATTCTGAAATCAGACATTTCATACTGGCCATCTTGATGTAGATTACATTGCCATCCTGTGTCCTGATTGTACTTTATGAAAGATGTAGAAATAATCATGATATTTCACGGTTATTTCTTGATTGTGTTTTTTGTGTTCCTATGCAACTGCCGCCATTCTTCTCTAGCTTTCTCCCATCCTGAGTGTTTTTACATCGTGTTCATTGAGTCAACAACTATTTACTGAGCCCTGGCACATACTGAAGCCTTGTCCCCAGTGTGGATATAGCAGTACAGTGAACAGAACAGACAAAACTCCATACTCTCATGAGACTGACATTTTGTTCTCTAACAGGGACCTTACTGTTAAAAAAAAAAAATTATACTGGTTGCTAATACTTTAACAATCCGCAGGTTTCACATTAAAAACCGGGTTCTTTATTTCTCTGGAAAGCCAGCCGATCTTTAGGCTGCCACACTTGGCTTGGGTTTTGTAGTGATCTGAATCCTTTTGGATGAATGTCCCTTGATGTTGCCTCCCTAACCGGTCTAGGCTGGTGAATTTCCAGTCCCTGCCTTAAATGCATGTATCTGAATCTCTTTGTCACCTGTAGCAAATTCACTGAGTACCTAGAGTAAGCTAGACACTGTCTCAGGCACTGGGGAATGAAGTTGTCACTGACCTCAGAGAACTTTACATACAGGCTTAACCTTATTTCACACGAGTCCTTTCCCAAATGTTCAAATGTTCGTTTTATGAGTTAGTCACTTTGTACATCTTCTTAGCTGGTGAGATTCGACTGTTTCATTGCAGCTCGTGTCATGGTTTGTTTCATGGTCATAGAGCATTAACATTTTGGAGGTGAGGCTTTTAGGTGCATCAGACCCAACTGCTTCCTTTTACAGACATGGAAACTGAGCCTCAGAGTGGTTGAGCTGTGCAGGTACATTTAGGAAATTTTCCTTGAGCCCAGTATGTTCCCTACGTATTACACTGTGTTGCCTTTTTCTTCAGAGAGAGATATTAAATAGTAATACAAACTGCTTTTTCCATTTTACTTTTTTTTTTTTTTTTTTTTTTGAGACGGAGTCTCGCTCTGTCGCCCAGGCCGGACTGCAGACTGCAGTGGCACAATCTCGGCTCACTGCAAGCTCCGCTTCCCGGGTTCACGCCATTCTCCTGCCTCAGCCTCCCGAGTAGCTGGGACTACAGGCGCCCGCCACCGCGCCCGGCTAATTTTTTGTATTTTTAGTAGAGACGGGGTTTCACCTTGTTAGCCAGGATGGTCTCGATCTCCTGACCTCATGATCCACCCGCCTCGGCCTCCCAAAGTGCTGGGATTACAGGCGTGAGCCACCGCGCCCGGCCCCATTTTACTTATTTTATTTTGTTTTATTTTGAGGCAGGGTCTCACACTGTTGCTCAGGCTGGAGTATAGTGGCACCATCATAGCTCACCAAAGCCTCTGACTCCTGGCCTCAAGCAGTCCTCCTGCCTCGGCCTCCTGAGTAGCTGAGGCTACAGGCACGTGCCATCATGCCTAGCTAATTTTTTTTCTAGTAGGGATGAGGTGTGGCTATGTTGTCCAGGCTGGTCTCCTGGGCTCAAGTGATCCTCCTTCTTTGGCCTCCCAAAATGCTGGGATTACAGGCATGAGCCACCATGCCTGGCCGCAAACTGATTTTTCTTTGAATCCATATTCTGTAGCAGGTGCTTAATATGCATTGATGTGAATCTGTACAACCACATGAAAAGGAGTGGCTCTGTGTCTACATCTGAAGAAACCGAACACGAGCTTGCCCAAGGCCACGCAACACGTGGAAGACTCAGATGGCATTTGGGCATCTTACTGGGTTAACACTTCGTGTCTGGTAATGCTCAGAATGTAAGAGTTTTAGAGAGTCCTTGAAGAGAGGACAGATATTAAATGTCTTTTTAGTCTCTTTTTCTTCGGAGAATGAAAGTAATGAGAAAATTAAGTTTCTAGATGAATGTTGCTCCAAGTATTTGAAATTATTCAGAGTTAGTAAGGAAGATTTCTGGCCCTCATTCCAGACCTTTAGTTGAGAAATAGAGGTGGGCCCCAGGAATTTGCAATTTATTTTACTTTATTTTTTTTTATTATTATTTTTGAGACGGAGTCTTGCTCTGTCTCCCAGGCTGGAGTGCTGTGGCATGATCTTGGCTCACTGCAACCTCCGCCTCCTGAGTTCAAACAATTTTCCTGCCTCAGCCTCCCAAGTACCTGGGACTACCGGTGCCTGCCACCATGCCTGGGTAACTTTTTTTGTATTTTTAGTAGGGACAGGGTTTCACCTTGTTGGCCAGGCTGGTCTCAAATTCCTGACCTTAAGTGATCTGCCCACCTCAGCCTCCTGAAGTGCTGGGAGTACTGGCATGAGCCACCGTGCCCAGCCAGGAATTTGCATGTTAATAAGCACCTTACTAATGGCAAAGTTTGCAAATTTGTTTTAGACCCGGAAACTTACACGAGCAACCTAGAGACAGCCACTAAAATAAACAGAAAAGCATTGAAAAATAAGGCATTGTAATAGGCTGTAGATGGTTTCTAATCTGAAAAACATTGAGTCACATGATTTGGGAGAGAGTTTGTTGATTTCCCTCTGTCCCCAGTAATGCCCCGTGTTAAAAGCTGGCATATAATAGGTCCTCAGTGAATGTATACTGACTGAGTGCATTCAGGTGTAACATGTGTAGTTAATTCCCAAAGGCAATGTTATGATTTCTGTTTTCCTTCCTTCCTTTCCAGATAAAGCTGTACACCAAGCATGGGACTTTGAAATACCAGACAGACTGTGCCCCTAATAATGGTTACTTTATGATCCCTTTGTATGATAAGGTAAGAGGGGACTGCTTGTCACTTATGATGGGAAATCACTAGTGTGCCTCACCAGGCTGCATTAACCATGCCCTTTCCTACACTAGCAAATGCTCATCTGTTTTGTAAATTATTAGTGGAATATGATAATCCTAGCCACATTTGGAGGGAGACAACTTACAAACTGCCTTGACGAATACAGTGGCTCTCTCTGTGTTTAGGGCCATTTGGCAATGTCTAGAGACGTTTTTGTTGTGACATCTGTGGCTGTGCGCTACAGTCACCCAGTGAGTAGTGGCCAGGCGTGGAGCTAAATGCGCTACAGTGCTGCCTACGACAGCCCAGATGTCAGTAGTGCCAGGGCTGAGAAACCCTGATTTCATGGAACCCGTTACTTGCAAGCAGCTTAAAGTATTGTTAAAACAATTGTACAAGTAATACATGAATTCATGAACTTTGTGAAAAAGAAAGTCAAGGTCTTTAGAAGTATGTGAAATAAATTTGTACCCTTTTCCCTCCAATTTTACCTCCCTCTGTAGTGATAACCTTTGATAATCTGATAAAGGGTTTTTTTGTTGTTTTTTTTTTTCTTCTTTTGAGATGGAGTCTCGCTCTGTCGCCCAGGCTGGAGTGCAGTGGTGTGATCTTGCCTCACTCCAACCTCCACCCCCCAGGTTCAAGCCATTTTCCTTCCTCAGCCTCCCAAATAGCTGGGATTACAGGCACCTGCCACTACACCCAGCTAATGTTTTGTATTTTTAATAGTGACGGGGTTTTGCCATGTTGGCCAGGCTGGTCTCGAACTCCTGACCTCAAGTGAACCACCTGCCTCAGCCTCCCAAAGTGCTGGGATTACAGGTGTGAGCCGATGTTTCCGGCCCTCTTATAAAATTTTGATGTGCATCCTAACAGATTGCTTTCTATTTATAGTTATTCAGATAGCCACGGGTACACATGCATATGTATACATGGAAATACACACAAGCACACATGCACATCGATATGTATCCACAAACACCTCTATACAATCCCATCCTCCCACATATAAACCTTTTATTTGGAAATACAGATTCATAGGAAGTTGCAAAAATAGTCAATACACATAGTTTTGATTTTGATATATTTTTTAATACAAATGAAATCAAACAATAGGATTTATTCTGCAGTTTCATTTTTTCCCCTGTGTTAATGCTTTCAATACCAGAGGGACATTTGGTTTTTTCCTCTTGCATGCTTTCAACATTAGCATAGATAGATCTACTGACTTTTTTTTCTTTTTTTTTTGAGACAGAGTGTCACTCTGTCAGCCAGGCTGGAGTGCAGTGGCGCGATCTCGGCTCACTGCAACCTCTGCCTCCTGGGTTCCAGTGATTCTTCTGCCTCAGCCTCCCAAGTAGCTGGGATTACAGGCACCCACCACCATGCCCAGCTAATTTTTTTTGTATTTTTAGTAGAGATGGTGTTTCACCATGTTGGCCAGGCTGGTTTTGAACTCCTGACCTCAGGTGATCCGCCCACCTCAGCCTCCCAGAGTGCTGGGATTACAGGCATGAGCCACCATGCTCAGCCTACTGACTTCTTTTTAATCGCTGCATAGTGTGTCAGAGTCAAACCCAAACTGTAATTTATTTAACTACTTGGACATATAGACTTTCCCCAATTTTAAAATAATAGTAATTTTAACATAACACACCAGGAAATATTCTTGAACTTAACTCTTCATCCAGAATGCATAGGACTGATTTCTAGAGATGGACTAGCTGGGTCTGTCCTGAAATCTATTTAATTAATTTTTAAATAGTATCAGTATCAGTCTCAAGAAACCAGGAGGCTGGACGTGGTAGCTCATGCCTGTAATCCTAGCACTTTGGGAGGTTGAGGCAGGTGGATCGCCTGAGCTCAGGAGTGTGAGACCAGCCTGGGCAACATGGTGCAACCCCGTCTCTACTAAAATACAAAAAAATTAGCCGGGTGTCACGTGGATGCCTGTAGTCCCAGCTACTTGGGAGGCTGAGGCAGGAGAATCGCTTGAACCCAGGAGACGGAGGTTGCAGTGAGCCAAGATCGCACCACTTCACTCCAGCCTGGGCAACAGAGCGAGGCTCCATCTCAAAAAAAAAAAACTAAAACAAAAACAAAGAAACCAGGGTTGATAAGTAAAATCTAGTTTTATTTATTGAATTAATGAGTTAATGTATTGTTTAGAGACAGGATCTCCCTCCGCTGCCCATGCTGGAGTGCAGGGGCACAATTATGGTTCACTGCAGCACTGACCTCCTGGGCTCAAGTGATCTTCCTGCCTCTTCCTCCTAAGTAGCTAAGACTGTAGGCGCCTGCCACCACACCCAGCTGATTTTTTAAGAACATTTTTTGTACAGATGGGGTCTTGCTATGTTGCTTAGGCTGGTCTTGAACTCCTGGCCTCAAGTGACCCTCCTGCCTTGGCCTCCCACAGTGTTGGGATTATAGGTGTGAGGTGCTGTGCCTGGCCAAATCTAGTTTTAGGGGGTGCCTTTAGTTCCTGAAGATACATGCTAACTTGTGCAACTGTAGGCATGTGAGGGCTTAATGGGAGACTCAATTAATAGAATTATAGTATGTTTAGTATTAAAAGACAGTGAGTGGCTGAACCTAGTGTCTTTAGAACTCATGAATGGGCTTCAGCACTGTCTTCTGATTGTTTAGATGAAAACTTCTGGTGTTCAGCTTCAGCTTGTAGCTTCTGAAGAGAATCAGTGCTCAGTACCATGTAGAAGAACAAGGCTCACTCTTAGAATTTCATTTCCGGTGTAAAAAAATTTTAGATTAAATGATAACACTAAACTAAATTTAGCCAGAGTCACAATTCTCATTTCTTGAAATTACATTTTCTTTTTTTCCTTTTAGGGGGATTTCATTCTGAAGATTGAGCCTCCCCTAGGGTGGAGTTTTGGTAAGTTAACTGAATCACTAGACATTCTTTGTAAAAGATTAGATGATATGCCGAATATTAATTTAGGCTAGCAGAGTGCATAAACTATTAAAATATTAAGGATCATTTCCAGTATGGAAGAGGGTTTGTATTCCTCCCCTCCTTGCCCCCATCACTCTGGTTTAGTTCGGATTTACCTTAATCTACCTTAAGACTTTCTGTCACCTTTGAAAAATAGACATCTTTTCTTCTACCTTTCTGGAAACTCTTCCCTTGCAGTTTCACTCATTACGTGGCCGTGGAACAGTATAGAAATCAAGAGTGGGGACTTGGTTCCCGTCCCAGGATGGCTTCTTTTTTAGCCCCCTCAGTTTTTTAAGTTTTTATGGAATTAATTGAAACATTTAAAGATTGTGAGATTTGTCATAAAAATCCAGATTTATGTCCCATGAGATGAGAAGACTGTCAGCCTTATACCTTACCAGTTAAATAACTTTGGGCAAGTTACTTCCCCCGTGTCAGCCTGGCTCCTCACTGTCGAGCAAGGGTAGTTATAGTCCCTGCCCCACTGGGTACTTGGACGATTAATAAACCAATACTGAGTGTTCAGAGGGGCTGGCACGTAATTAGCAAGTACTCAGTATTCAGAAACAGCCCTTCTGCACACATCCCAAACAAAAGCTCCAAACTTTCCTCATATAACTGCCTTCAAGCATAGCTGGGGAGTCGGGGATGGGGTTGAGATCAGAAGAGAGGGTCTGTTTTGATGTAGTTTACATTTTTGAAGAGGAGAGACTCTTGATGTTTCAGTAGAGCAGGTGTGGGTGACCCCAGTCCATGGCTTGGGGAGAGGAGTAGGGATCACCGTTGTTGATATCAGGCTTGCTCGTGCATTAGACAAGGAAGAATTTAGCACCTGCCATCGCCAAGGCTAAAATGAGGCTCAGGCAGCTGACAGCTAATTTGGCTCTGTGAGAGCAGCTCTTTTATCAGTTTATAGTCAGGGGTAGGGTCGGGGGTGCCTGGCTGGTACGTTCCAGAAAGCTGGAGAGGAATGCAGCCCTGCTCATGGCCAAAGCAGAAGTCCAGATTGGTGGCCTGGAGGAGTGTTGTGTTTGCCACCCCCCACCCTACCCCCAACTGGTGCTGTTGATAAGCTTTTTAATTGAATTATACTTTCAGAAAAGTGCCTTGGATGAATTTTCACTAAGTGAACACACCCATGTATCCACCATCCAGATGATAAGATAGCACTTCACCAGCACCCCAGAAGTCCCCATCCTGGGTGCTCCTTAGCCATCCCGCCCCACCCTCCAGGTGACCACCACCCTCACCTTCTACAAATTAGAGATCCATTTGGTCTGTTTTGAACTTTATACAAATGCTATCATGCAGGGAACTTTTTAATATCCGGTTTCTTTCACTCAACATTATGAACTTTATCTGTATCATTTGTAGCTTTAGTTCATTCTCTTTGCTGTTGAGAATTCTGATGCATAAATATAAAATTATTTATATTTTATAAAATATTTATATTTTATTTTATTTTTTCTTTTTTTTGAGACTGAGTCTCGCTCTGTTGCCCAGGCTGGAGTGTGATCTCAGTTCACTGCAACTTCTGCCCGGGTTCAAGCAATTCTTGTGCCTCAGCCTCCTCAGTAGATGAGATTACAGGTGTGCACCACCACACCCAGCTAATTTTTGTATTTTTAGTAGAGATGGGGTTTCATCATGTTGACCCAGGCTGGTCTCGAACTCCTGACCTCAAGTGATCTGCCCGCTTTGGCCTCCCAAAGTGTTGGGATTATAGGCAAGAGCCACCACGCCTGGCCTATATTTATATTTTATATTCATATTTTGTATCAGTGATCTCTTCTACTGTTGATGGCCATTTGAGTTGCTTACTGATTTTGGCCACTAAGAGCAGTGCTCCTGTGAACATTCTTGTATGTATATTTTGATACATGTGTCTGCATTTTTGCTGAGTATATCACAGGAGTAAAGTCGCTGAGCCATAGAGCTGATACATGCTCAGCTTTAGGTGTTTGCAAACATCCAAAGTGGATGCACCAGTTGGTGTTCTCCCAGCAGTGTACAAGGGTTTCCATTGCTCCACATCCTAACCTACACTTGGTATCGTCAGTTTTTTTTAATTTTAGCCCTTCTGGTGGGGGTGTGGTATTATCTCACTGTGGCCTTGATTTACATTCCACTGATGGAATGTAAATGAAAATTCCACTTTTTTGTATGTTTATGTTTGTTTGCCATGGGCTAGCTATTTTTGTAAGATTCCTGTTCAAGTCTTTTGCCCATTTTTTATTGGAGTCTTTGTGTGTGTGTGTGTGTGTGTGTGTGTGTGCATGTACGCGTGCAAGCACGTGTGTAATTCATCTTAACTGAAAATCTCATCTCATGGTTTTCCATTTTTTTCTCTACTCATTACTCCATATTCTTCCTAACCTTTCAAAAACTCAACCTTAACCCCTATTATGATGAACTCTTCAGTTAAAAAATGGAGTTAATTGCTGATATTGAAAAATCAAGAGATGGTATATAAAATCCAGATTTCCAGTTTTTCGGAGAAGTTGGAAGCTCTGGCAAAGCATGGTAGTGGTTGGCAGACTTGAGTGGCGGTTGTCTCCTTTCAATTTGCCACAGTCCCCCTGAGGATGCTCCGCTCACTTCGAACCCATGAGGCCCCTGTGGCCCTGGAGTTTGTGTTCCTGGTTTAACATGGCTGAGCTCATGTCCTTGGTCAGAGAACAGATCCAGAGCCAGACTTTTAGGGTTGAATTGGGGCTCTGTCACTCAGAAGCTCTGTGATCTTGGGAGCTCCTTTAACCTTTCTGTGCCTTAATTTACCCCTCAGTAAATTGCAGCTATTACTGCCTGTCTCTTAAGATAATTGTGAGGATTAAAGGCACTCAGCTCAGTGCCTGGTCGTTGATGAGCATTCAGGAAATAAAATTATTTGGTGCTCACTGAATTTTCACTGGAACTCTGAGATATAACTTAGCTGAAAGGCGTTGTAAAATTATTTTATACTCTAAACACGAATTCCCTCTGGGGCAGGAAACCAGGAGGCTAGGGGGATAGGGGTGAGAGGGAGACTTTTCCCAGAATACTTTTTTGTACCTTTGGATTTGGAAACACACGAGTGTATTAAGTGTTCAAAAGTAAAATGAAACCTGAATAATAAAAATACGTTCTACTTAGGTTCACTGTACCCCAAAACTAAGCTTGCCTTTGTGTCTTGTGCCCCGGTTTCCTCCCCTGCTTCGTTCCTCAGAGCCGACGACCGTGGAGCTCCATGTGGATGGAGTCAGTGACATCTGCACAAAGGGTGGGGACATCAACTTTGTCTTCACTGGGTTCTCTGTGAATGGCAAGGTTTGTCTTTGGAACTTGATTATTTTTCCTGTTCACTCTATAATGTATACTAAATCCTTTTTTAAAAAAATGCAGGATATTTTAACCTGGGGACTTTGATCCCACAAGGGACCCATGGATAAGTGGCAAGTGAGCCTGTGAACTCTGTACTTCATCCGTGTAGAACGCAGCAGGTGTATTTAGGAATGAGATTGAGGTTGCTGGTCATCCCCTCTGCTCCCAGAGCATAGGCTGTTGGTGTTTTTATTTTTTTATTTTTTATTTTGAGACAGGGTCTTGCTCTGTTGCCCAGGCTGGAGTGCAGTGGTGCAATCTTGACTCACTGCAGCCTCCACCTCCCAGGTTCAAGTGATTCTCCTGCCTCACCCTCCCGCTCCTTCACCCTCCCGAGTAGCTAGGATTACAAGTGTGTGCCACCATGCCTGGCTAATTTTTGTATTTTCAGCAGAGATGGGCTTCTGCTGTGTTGGCCAGGCTGGTCTCAAACTCCTGACCTCAGGTGATCCGCCTGCCTCCACTTCCCATAGTGCTGGGATTACAGGTGTACGCTGTGCACCCAGCCGCTGTTAGCGTTTATGTCAGGGATGGCCTTTTACAGGGATGCCGAATTGGAAGGACGCACTCTCTAAGCCTTGTGGCATCTTGCTGTCCCTGTGGGTGAATTGAAGTCAGCTTCTCCCAGAGAGAGCATGCATCTGCTTCTGACACTTACCTAGGAGGATTCCTATTATTTAAGTTCTGAGATTTTTTTGGACCGCCACGGTGGTGTGAATTTAGAGTCCTAATGGGTGTGTGCCCAGCTCCCGCGATTCAGATTCTCAGGGGAGAGTCATTTCTCCTCCACCTGCCCTGTGCCTGCGGTTGAGATGTGCTTCCTTCCTTCCTGTCCTTCTCTTCATGATGGACTTCTTTCTCCTCTACCTTTGCGGTGACGGGGAGGCCCTTCCATCCCAGCTGTATGTGTGGGCTTCTTGTTAGAGATGGGGATCTTGGGTAGTTTTTTCTTTATCGATGGTTTGCAAAATAATGGTGAATCTTTTTTTATTTTTATTTTTATTTATTTATTTTTTTGAGACAGAGTCTCGCTCTGTGGCCTAAGCTGGAGTGCAGTAGCGCAGTCTCTCTCACCACAACCTCCGCCTCCTGGGTTCGAGCAATTCTCCTGCCTCAGCCTCCCCAGTAGCTGGGATTACAGGCGTGTGCCACCTGACCCAGCTAATTTTTATATTTTTATTTTTATGTACATTTACTTTTTTTTTTTTTTTTTTTTAAGATGGAGTCTCCCTCTGTCGCCCAGGCTGGAGTGCAGTGGCGCGATTGCAGCTTACTGCAACCTCCGCCTCCTGGGTTCAAGTGATTCTCCTGCCTCAGCCTCAGGAGTAGCTGGGATTACAAGCATGTGCCATGACGCCCAGCTAATTTTTGTATTTTTAGTAGAGACAGGGTTTCACCATGTTGGCCAGGCTGGTCTCAAACTCCTGACCTCAAGTGGTCTGCCTGCCTCAGCCTCCCAAAGTGCTAGGATTACAGGCGTGAACCACCACACCCGCCCAGACCAATAATGGTGAATCTATAACTGATGATGTCTTAGATTCATTGAAATAGAGTCTTATTTTACTGTTACTGTTCCCTCTCCTACCTCATCCCCAGGAAACATATCCATGATTTATAGCATCTTTTCAATGGGATTCTTGACCCAAAGAGGGTTCCTGGGCTCCACCTGGGAGTTGTAAGCAGGACTGCCAGTGCTTTGAGAGGAGGGTGCTTTGCTGGGTGGGCCCTAACTTTCTTCTCCATGGCAGGTCCTCAGCAAAGGGCAGCCCCTGGGTCCTGCGGGAGTTCAGGTGTCTCTGAGAAACACTGGGACCGAAGCAAAGATCCAGTCCACAGTTACACAGCCTGGCGGAAAGTGAGTAGCGTCCTGTCTCTTAGTGTTGCCTTAGAGCCGGGCTCTGACAGGGGTCATGGAGCTGGGTTTGGGAGTTTGGATTCAGGGAGTTCTGGGTTCAGATCCTGATTCAGCCTCTTTGGGTGAGTTCATGCCCGTCAGAGTGCTGAGTTCCCCACATGTGAAATGGAATCCATTTGACCCATCTTGCCTAGCATTGATGAGATGATTAAATATGAGTTCATACTGGCCAGGCATATTGGCTTGCGCCTATAATGCCAGCACTTTGGGAGGCCAGGATGGGAGGATCACTTGAGTTCAGGAGTTCGAGACCAGCCTGGACAACTTAGGGAGACTCAATCTCCACAAATAATTTAAAAAATTATATCAAGTAGAGTCCCACGGGGGAAGAAAATTAGCTGGGTGTGGTGGCATGCTTCTGTGGTCGCAGCTACTCGGGAGGCTGAGGCGGGAGGATTGCTTGAGCCTGGAAGGTTGAGGCTGCGGTGAGCCGTGATCATGTGCCACTGTGCTCCAGCCTCGGCAGCAGAGCAAGACCCTGTCTGAAACAAACAAAAAAAGAGTTAATACCCATAAAGCACCTGCTTCAAGGCCTGGGGCTTAGTGGGTCTTCATTTAGCAGCTCAGCCTGGCTCTGGAGCCTGCCAGCCCGGGCTTGAATCCCAGCTCCCCCATTTGCTGGCTGGTTGACCTAGGGCAAGTTCCTTAACCCCTCTGTGCCTCAGTTTCCTCTTTTGTAAATGAAGATAATTGTGGAACCTATCTCCTAAGGTACTGGAAAGATGAAATTAATATTATTACTTCAAGCTGCCTGGCATATTAGCTCAAATAGGTTAGCTCAGTTATGATTAGAAAAAATCATTATCATTATTATATCAAAACTGCTTTGTAGTTGGAACAGATGCCTAGCTGACCTTGCTGAGTCAGATTTAAAGCATTTATTTAATGGATGTATATAGTTGAGTTGTAAATGTTAACAGATATGCCAAGATTAATACCAGAATAGTTCAAACTGATAATTCCGAAAGCGTTCAAATCATTACTAACTCCGTTAATATACAAACTAAGTAAATTGCAAAATAGAAGTTTATAATGAGTCTGTCAGTAAGTTATTCAATTTTAAAGTTATTATTGTTGAAACTAGTTTTCATTTTTGAAATAACATTTACTTCTGCTTGACTGGTGCCTCTCCAGGCCTGGTGTGTAGCAGGAATATGAAGCTGTAATTTTTTTTCTGGGCTAGTAATTTGGTGTTGACCTTACTAGAAAAAAATAGTGTCTTGAGCCTTCTGAATACCTTTCATCTGCACTAACTGAAACAATGAAACATGTAGCACTGGGCTATTATGAAAATGAAATAGAAGCTCAATCTTACCAATACTTGTAGTAATGTGATTTCCAAGCCCTATCCAGTTATTGCAGGCAAGATTTGACACAATAAAATACCACAGAAGAAGAAATCAAATGCGTTTTCTAGTTCATTTCACCGGACTTAGCCTTCTCATTTGTCAGTTGCCTTACAAATTTGAAGGGATAAACATGTTAGTATACTGGCAGCAGCATTTCCAGCTTTAGCTCGGCTCACTCTGGTGTTAGTCTGTCTATGGCTAGTAGAGTAATTTTCATCAGCTGCTGGTTTCTTATCTCAGTTGCTTTGTGCAAAAACCCAGAATGACTTATCTGTGTTTCTCTAAAGCCTTTTTTCTGGGATTCAAAGCTTATCATAGTTTACCCTGCCCTGTGTCATTTGCATCATCTTGGGTCAGCGTCCCCCTCAGCCTGTGCATCTGTTCTGTTCTTTTTCACCCCACTTCTCCCTTCCCATGTGTTTCCTTGGACACTTCTGTCCCCTTCTCCTTGTCAGTTCATGCCTGTCACCTCTGTCAAACCCAGTCGAATGTTCTGTGACTGGTCCCTGCTGTGCTGCAAGGATTGGTTTTATGCCAGAAATCCTTGAGATTAAGGGAGACGTAAGCACTCCTCTTTCCGATCAGCACATGGAGCACCCCTCTTGGCACACAGTAAGTGCTCAATAAGCGCTCTTTTATGCAGATTTGTACAGTGAAGGATTGAATTTCATTCATGCTCATTTAACAAGCTAATGGAAGTTTGCGATAATTCCAACATTGTTTTCTTGTGCTGCCAACATTAGTCATAGAATTAGAAATACTTGGGTTGTTTGGAGAAAGTTAAATGGTTATTTTTTATGTCTTAGGTTTGCATTTTTTAAAGTTCTGCCTGGAGATTATGAAATCCTCGCAACTCATCCAACCTGGGCGTTGAAAGAGGTGAGTGACAGCTACGTCTATAGCCATGCCAATAATATGCTGGTCTTGGGACAAATGTAGGGCTTTTCAATTTAGGATATGAAAAGAATTTATGGTTCCTCCAGGACTAGATGAAGAACCAATGGTGCTGTTGTTTAGTTTGGTAGTTATTTATAAGGTGTAACTCCTCACTGTAGCAGATGTTGCTTGTGTTAGTTTCAGTTTTAGGTGACAGTGTTGTCTTCCTGCTGTGAAATAGATCTGTTTTATTAACTATAGCTATTTTAAACTAAATCAACAACAGAAGGCCCTGACGAGATTTATTTGTTGTTCTTTTTTCAGCCTGAAACAGAAATCTGTAAATATACTAAACATTCTAGAAACTGTGGTACGCGTGACCAAGGAGAATGTATGAGAATGTTTATTGCAGCTTTGTTTGTAATAGCAAAATATTGTAAACAACCTAAATGCCTTTTAAGAGAAGAATGGATTGGGGTTCCATCATACAATAGGCTGCTGTATGTCAGCAGTAATGAATGAACCAGAGCTACATATATCAATGTAACTACATTTAAAAACAGAGTTGAAGGAAATATGATTTTAAATACTTGTGATAATCATTTATGGATACAGTCTTTTTTTTTTTTTTTTTTTAAAGACGGAGTCTCGCTCTGTTGCCAAGACTGGAGTGCAGTGGCATGATCTTGGCTTATTGCAACCTCGGCCTTCTGTGTCCAAGCGAGTCTCCGGCTTCAGTCTCCTGAGCAGCTGAATTACAGGGATGTGCCACCACGCCCAGCTAATTTTTGTATTTTTAGTATATATGGGATTTTGCCATGTTGGCCAGGCTGGTCTCGAACTCCTAGCCTCAAATGATCCACCAGCCTCGGGCTCTCAAAGTGGTGGGATTACAGGTATAAACCAGTGCACTCGGCCAGATACAGTCTTTTTTTTTTTTTTTTTTTTTGCAACAGGGTCTTGCTCTGTTGCCCAGGCTAGAGTACAGTGACATATTCATGGCTCATTGCAGCCTCTGGTTCCTGGCCTTAAGCGATCCTTCACCTTGGCTTCCCAAGGATCTGGAACTGCAGGCATGTGCCACTGCCCCTAGCTAAGGATACAGTCTTTTTTTTTTTTGAGATGAAGTCTTGCTCTTGTTGCCCAGGCTGGAGTGCAATGGGGCGATCTCGGCTCATTGCAACCTCCGCCTCTTGGGTTCAAGCGATTCTCCTGCCTCAGCCTCCTGAGTAGCTGGGGTTACAGGTGCCTGCCACCATGCCCAGTTAATTTTTGTATTTTTAGTAGGGACAGGGAGGATACAGTCTTATGTAGAAAAATTATGAAGACATGTATGGGAATAGCAGACGCTGTTCAAAATGATACTGACTTCTAGAGAAAGAGGGAGGAGGGGGACTTCGGGGTATGCCAGCATCTTGAATTGTATTTTTTTAAATTTCTTTAGCTGGTTAGAAGGTATGTAAGTGTTCTTTAGCATATCTTTTTTTGTTTGACTGAAATAGTTTATAGTCAAAGATCAAAAAAGGAACTCCACCTAGTAGGTGAGGTTCTGTAATAGCCGTGAAAGACCAAATTGAAATAAGACTTAAGGGACATCTTGACATGTTAGCTTCTGTGTTAGTATTGAAGCTGTATCTCATTTTTGCTAAAGAAGCATTGGAATCAGTATTTCAGCTTCTACTCTATCTGTTTTATTATTATTTTTACTCTGTAGGTTTTACGCACTTATAATTGATGATAGTTTCACACCTAGATTCTCTTCTTACTGTTTATGACTTTTGGTTTTGGGGGTTTTTCTCTTCTGCAGCAACATTTAAAAATATTTTATTCAAGGCTGGGCGCAGTTGCTCATGCTGTAATTCCAGCATTTTGGGAGGCTGAGGTGGGTGGATCACTTGAGGTCAGGAGTTTGAGACCAACCTGGCCAACATGGTGAAACCGCATCTCTACTAAAAATAGAAAAAAATTAGCCAGGAATGGTGGCATACACCTGTAATCCCAGCTACTCGGGAGGCTGAGGCAGGAGAATCGCTTGAACCTGGGAGGTGGAGGTAGCAGTGAGCCAAGATTGCACCACTGCACTTCAGCTTGGGTGACAGAGTGAGACTCCATCTCAAAAAAAAAAAAAAAAATTTATTCGAAATGAAAGAGCTTACACATTTATAAATAGAAGAGATTTTAAGGTTTACATTGTATGTTAATTGTCTGCATAGAAGAATCTGAGTTTATTAATATGAGATTGGGATTTTCAAGTAAAGCATGTTGTTAGAAGTCAGGATAATGTTTATCCTCCTGGGGTGTTAGTGACCGGAAGCAAGTGTGAGGGCACTTCTGGCTTGCTGGTGCTATTCTGTTGGGTAACCAGTACCCAATTTGTGACAAGCCCTGTGCTGTGTGCTTAGAATCTGTACACTTTTCTCTGTGTTTATTGTACCTTAACAAAAATGTTTAAAAATATACACATATTGTGAAAAGAACAACTTAAGGCAAATTAAACAGAGTTTAATTGAGCATAGAACAATTTGTCAATTGGGCAGCTCCCTGAGCCAGAATAGGTTTACAGCGACTGTGGCACTGTTGCGTGATTGGAAAGGGTTTATGGACAGAAAAAGAAAGTGACGGACAGAAAGTGGAAGTGAGGTACAGAAACAGTTGGATTGGTTACAGCTGGACGTTTGTCTTATTTGCACATGGTTTGAACAGTTGGCTGCCTGTGAGTAGTTGAAGGGTGGCTGCTTGAATTGGGTGAGACTTGGCAACACGTACAGAGAAACCTTTAGGCCAAACTTAAAATATGTAAGGAGGCAGCTTTAGGCTAATCTTCAGTTAACACTATATATCATTAAAAATAGAAAAAAAGGCAAAATATGCTCATTAAAAAAATTGGAACATATAGAGGAATATAAAGCAGTGGAAACAAATTTTGGAAGCTGGAAAAGTATACAAGTAAAATAGCACCATATAGACAAAATCATTATTGTTTACATTTTGCCACATTTCCTTTCACTTCATTTTGGGCATTAAAAAATAATGATAAGCCAGGCACGGTGGCTCACACCTGTAATCCCAGCACTTTGGGAGGCTGAGGCGGGCGGATCACCTGAGGTCAGGAGTTCGAGACCAGCCTGGCCAACACGGTGAAACCCTGTCTCTACTAAAAATACAAAAATTAGCCGGGCGTGGTGGCGAGCACTTGTAATCCCCGCTACTTGGGAGGCTGAGGCAGGAGAATCTCTTGAACCCAGGAGGCAGAGGTTGCAGTGAGCCGAGGTTGCACCATTGCACTCAAGCCTGTGTGACATACTGAGACTCCGTCTCAAGAAAAGAAGTGATCATACTGAATAAGCAATTTTATAGATTACGTTTCCCAGTTAATATTTTAGCTTCAGCATGTCCTCATGTTGTTAGGCACTTTGCAAGTGTTTATTTTTTTACAGGTTAAAATCTTTTTCTGTTACAGGCAAGCACCACAGTGCGTGTAACCAACTCCAATGCCAATGCGGCCAGTCCCCTCATAGTTGCTGGCTACAATGTGTCTGGCTCTGTCCGAAGTGATGGGGAGCCCATGAAAGGCGTGAAGTTTCTTCTCTTTTCTTCTTTAGTAACTAAAGAGGTAAGCAAAGAAAAGAACAAAAGAGATGGTGTGAAGGGTAGGAGGGTGGGGGATTATAGACCAGAACGTACTGTTTTAAAAAATGCAGGTCTGAGTTGATTTATCATTTTAACACTTAAGAATATCGTCTGTCTCAGGCCGGGTGTGGTAGCACATGCCTGTAATCCCAGCACTTTGGGAGGCCAAGGTGGGTGGATCACTTGAGGTCAGGAGTTTTAGACCAGCCTGGCCAACATTATGAAACCCCATCTCTACTAAAAATACAAAAACATTAGCCGGGCATGTTGGCACGTGCCTGTAGTCCCAGCTGCGTGGGAGGCTGAGGCAGTAGAATCGCTTGAACCCAGGAGGTGGAGGTTGCAGTGAGCCAAGATCACACCACTGCACTCCAGCCTGGGTGACAGAGTGAGACTCTCAAAAAAAAAAAAAAAAAATTCAAGAATATCATGTGTCTCTGTTGACTCACAAGACATTGCACATCTACACTGGGAGGCAGTGGTATGTGATGGAAAGTACACAGGCTTTGAAATCAGACCTGGGTTTAAACAAATCTCAGGTTTAAACAAATTCCTCTTCCTAGCTATGCGACCCTGGGCCGGTCACATTACCTTCCTGAGCTTCCGTTTCCTTATTTGGAGAATGGTGACCCATGATAAGGAAGGACAGTCATGTCATCTTTCCCGGGAAGACTGTGCCAGTTTTTAACTTTGCAACTTGAATGTCAAGATTTTTGTTCCTTTTATCTGTATTAATGTGTCTTAGATTTCAGAAATACATATATTGACATGAAACTTAAAAAAATTTTCCTATAATGTGGCTAATTGATGGTATTCAGAACATGTAAATGGAAAAGGAAGTCTTGTCTTTTTTACCCCCTGGCATAGGATGTCCTGGGCTGCAATGTCTCACCAGTGCCTGGGTTCCAGCCCCAAGACGAGAGTCTGGTGTATTTGTGCTACACGGTCTCCAGAGAAGATGGCTCGTTCTCTTTCTATTCCTTGCCAAGTGGGGGCTACACTGTGGTGAGTAAAGCAGATTTCCGTTCTGTTTATGTCTGAGACTCTCATGACACAGTAAAAGCCAATGCTGTTTGGGTGTTAAAGGAAAAGATGGTTGGCCTGCAGTTCTCTGAACACGCTGTTAAGCAGTAACTTACTTAAGATGAGACACTCACCCCTTCGTAATAGCTACAAAAAGGGCAAGGCTTCCTCTTTTCGAATCTGCAACAGTTATGATGAATGTTTCTCTTGGTCTGTCTGAACCCCTTGTCATTTGTGGGCTGCTAGATCGATTATTAATATTGCTGATTGATCATGTTAGTGGTTCTTAGTGATTAACAGACTCTTCCTTCCAGATTCCGTTCTATCGAGGGGAGAGGATTACCTTTGATGTGGCGCCTTCCAGACTTGACTTCACAGTGGAGCATGACAGCTTGAAAATCGAGGTAAGGCTTTTCTGTCTTCTGGAGGGACAGGTGTTTGAGTTCCCATCCCTAGGCACAGGTATTGCAAACATGTTTTAAAAAAAAATCAATTATTTTATCTGGAAGGGCTGTTGGAAAAAATGCCATCTGGTATTATATTCTTACCCATGATGTCCTTATCGTAGAGAGCTGGATTCCTAGTTAAATCTACTCATTCAATGAAATATATTTATTGATTGCCAGTGACATGCATTTCAGGCACCATTCCAGGACTGGGGATATAGCAGTGACCAAAAGAGGCAAAAATTCTTGTCCCTGTGGACCTCATTTTTTTTTTTTTTTTTTTTAAGATAGGGTCTCACTGTGTGGCTCAAGCTGGAGTGCAGTGGTACGATCTCATCTCACTGCAGCCATTGCCTCCAGGGCTCAAGTGATCCTCCCACCTCAGCCTGTTGAGTAGCTGGGACCACAGGCACGTGCCACCATGCCCAGCTAATTTTTGTATTTTTGTTAGAGATGGGGTTTCACCATGTTGCCCAGGCTGTTCTCTAACTCCTGGGTTCAAGTGATCTGCCTGCCTCGGCTTCCCAAAGTGTTGGGATTACAGGTGTGAGCCATCGCACCTGGCTAGACCTCATGTTCTAATGACAGGAAGGGTCAATACATGTATAGATGTATAAGTTAGAAAGTACAGTAGAAGGTGATAAGTGTTCTCTAGAAAAATAAAGGAAGAAAGGAGGTCGTACAGTATCAGGGTGGAGACAGGGGTTGCAGTTGTACATAGGGTGTTTTTGGGAAGTCCTCCCTGTGAAGGTGACATTTGAGCAACAACCTGAAGGGAAAGAACAAGAGAACCATACTTCACTCCTGCAGGAAGAGTGTGTAAGACTGAGGGAACGGCACGTGCAAAGGTCCTGAGGCAGGAGTGTGCTGAAGGGTTTGGGGCATCCCAAGGAGGCCAGGGTGGCTGGAGTGGAGGGAATGAGCAAGGAAGGAGGAGGCGGAAAGAGGGTCAGGGAGGTGACAGGGCAGATTGTGCAGGGCTTGGTGGGCCACTTTGCCTATAACTCTGGGTGAGAATTGGTGCCACTGGAAGGTTCCTAGCAGAGGAGTGGCGTGATCCTTCTGGCAGCTGCATTGAGGAGAGTTTGCAGGGTGTCAGGGTGGAAGTGGGAGACCAGTTGGGATGCCATGGCCGTAAACCAGGTGAGAACTGGCAGAGCTTGGACCGTGGTGGTAGGAATGGGCAGTGTGATACATGGCTTGATAAACTGCCTAGACCCTCACATAAATGGTAAATGTATTTTTCATCTCACTTACGTCTCCTTTAATTACAGAAGTAGAAAATGGTTACTGTAGAAAATTGGCTAGCTAGAACAAATCCCAAAAGAAAATAACAGCCTCTCCTAAGTGGACCACCCAATGTTAGAGTTATCGAAGCAATTATATTTTAATCACTTTCTTTTAATATTACATTTGAAAGTACTGTGTTAAAATCGCTTAAACTGGCAGAAGCGGACTTTTAGGTCATATGCACAGTGGGGTGCAGACTCTGCATTTTAAGATTCAGTGGAGTGTTTGACCGTTCTGCTGTACACTGGAGGGGAAAGAGAAGGGTAAGAAGATGAAGCCTTTACTTTGCTTCTCATAGCTTGCAGAGAAGGATGGGGGCAGGTGAGCAGAGACAGCTATTCCCAGATTACAGCCAAATACATATTTTGAAAATGATGAATGGAATTTCAGGGAATGGGGCCCTGTAAGTTCCCTGAGGTCAGGTACCGTGTCTTATTCTTTACTGTTTTCCTAACGTGTGATTTAGTGCCTGGCACATAGTAGGTGCCCAGCAAAAATATTTGTTGAGTACATATGTGAATTAATAAGTAGGTAATGCATGGAATGAAACATGTCTTTTTGGAAAGATCAAGAAGGACTACCTGTCATGTGAGACCATCACTAAGAAACCATTTGCTGAAAAAAAAATAAAAAAATAAAAAAGAAGGGCTCCCTGCATAAAAAGGAAGTCATTTAATTATTTAAAGCTTCATCTCAAATGCTGTTGCACACGTGCGTGCACACATTCATTCATTCAGGAGTCAGTTATTGAGTGCCTGCTGTGTACCAGGTGACTAAGACAGAAAAAATCCCTGTCTCCATGAGGTAACATGCTAGTGGGAGGGAGACAACTAAGAAATCGAACGAGGACATTTCAGATACTGGTAAGTTTGATGAAGATACTAAAATGGGTTAGCAGTGGTGACCTTGGGGATACACAGATCAGGGCTGGAACTCAGTAACTGCAGAGAAAGCACCGGTGTGCTGCTCACAGGCGAGTGGGGCACAGACACAGACACAGACACATGGAGCATGGGACCACGTGTGAGCCAGTGATGGTGGTGGAGGAGGGTGGTCTAGGTGGATTTCTTTTTTTTTCTTTGAGACAGAGTCTTGCTGCGTCACACAGGCTGGCACTGTCTTGGCTCACTGCAACCTCCGCATCCCGAGTTGAAGCGATTCTCCTGCCTCAGCCTCCCGAGTAGCTGGGATTACAGGCGCCTGCCACCACACCTGGCTAATTTTTGTATTTTTAGTGGAGACAGGGCTTCACCATGTTGGCTAGGCTGGTCTTGGACTCCTGACCTCAAGTGATCTGCCTGCCTCGGCCTCCCAAAGTGCTGGGATTACAGGCGTGAACCACTGCGCCTGGCCTAGGTGGATTTCATAAGGACCTGTGTTCAGGTCGTGGTGGAAAGACAGGAGGGGGCACGTGAGACCTTGCAGAGGTGGAATCCACAGGACTGATCGATGCTGGAGGAGCGGGGCGGGGCATCCAAAGTGATGCCGGGGTGTGCATGGGAGACTGGAGGAAGACGTGGTTCACCAAAATGGGGGCATCTGGAGGGGAGGAGATGGCACCGGGGTAAGGGTGGGGGGCTTCTAGAAGCTTGAGTCAGTGACCTTTTAACGAGGGAAGTAAGTCTCTAGACTTTTCTGTTGTTTGACACTCAGCAGTGTGTTGGGAACACAACAGAGAAGACAGATGTGGGTAAAGTGAGAGGGAGCCTGGCTGGCACACAGGACCGGGGCACTGAGTGTTGGGAGGTGGGCGGCAGGAGCAGACATGGTAGGTGGTGGCCGGCGCAGCAGAAGGAGTCTTTGTGGCTCTGGCACAGGAGCACCTTCGAGCACCTTCTTCTTGTTCTTTGTTTTCTAGCCCGTGTTCCACGTCATGGGATTCTCCGTCACCGGGAGGGTCTTGAACGGACCCGAAGGAGATGGTGTTCCAGAAGCAGTAGTCACCCTGAATAACCAAATCAAAGGTGGGCTGACACAGCAGCCCCAGGCTGATGGCCAGCGCTCTTTTTGGATCACAGAGAGAAATGGAGAGGAACTGATGACTATATGAGAACATGGCAGCTTTTGGTCCAAGTATTCTGGTGTACATGTAAGGATACACTGTTGTTTTTGGCTTATCTTCTGTTTGTGTGTTTTTGTTTTACAGTTAAAACAAAAGCTGATGGCTCATTCCGCCTTGAGAACATAACCACAGGGACATACACCATCCATGCTCAGAAAGAGCACCTCTACTTTGAAACGGTCACCATCAAAATTGCACCGAACACACCTCAGCTGGCTGACATTATTGCAACAGGGTAAGCTTATCGTGTGGATTTGGAAGCGCCAGTAAATATGCTGGCAGCCAGTGTAGAACCGAATGACCTGTGATCTGTGTGTCTTTGCCGAGCTTAAGAACTTAAGAAAGATTAGTACTTTTTTTTTTTTTTTTTGAGAGACAGAGTCTTGCCCTGTTGCCCAGGCTGTAGTGCAGTGGTGCCATCTCGACTCACTGCAACCTCTGCCTCCCAGGTTCAAGTGATTCTCCTGCCTCAGCTTCCCAAGTAGCTGGGACTACAGGCGTGCCCCACCACACCCAGCTAATTTTTGTATTTTTTAGTAGAGACAGGGTTTCACTATATGTTGTCCAGGCTAGTCTCAAAACTCCTAACCTCAGGCTGTCTGCCTGCTTTGGCCTCCCAAAGTGCTGGGATTATAGGTGTGAGACACTGCACCCGGCCAAGAAAGATTAGTTCTAAATCTTACAAACTGAAGGTACTGACATGTCGGATGCTTAATGAAAAGTCCCTTGCTTCAAATTAAAATGGGCTTGTGAAATTAAAAAATCTTTCATGTCTGACTTTCACGATCTTTCACAGGACCCCTCTTTGCTTAATCTTTGAGGATTTTTGGAAGATGGTATTGTTGGTTGAGAAAGCTTATTGGAAGATGCTTCAGGTCATTGGTGTAGTTCTTCCTGCTTGTAGTTACTCATTATACTATAAGTACAGGCAGGGACATCTTGTGGTTGAATTCATGTGGTTTTACCATCATCTGAAGCAAGATTGTGTAGTGCCAAGAACTTGGGCTTTGGAGTCAGATACCAGATCCACCTGTATGTAACCTGCAGAACAGCTTTAGACATAACAGGTGCTCACAAAACAGTAGCTTAGAAGGAGACTGCAGGGTCTGCTTGGGAGAAGCGCGGCATGAGCAAAGTCAGGCAGTCTCACAGCAGCATGAGGTGGCTGCGGGTGTAAAGCTGGGTGCTACTGAAGCAGAATATACTGGCAGGTGAAGGTGATGATGAGGCCAACCCCATAGCACCTCCTCACACCCCACCGGGGCGTAGGGGCTTTCTCCCACTGGGGCCAACGGGCCATGAGTGGTTTTGAGCATTAATATAACAAGCTTTGATCATTGTTTTCAATAGGGCATTCTGAAAACAATGGCATGGAGTAGAGTGGCTTTGAAGGGGACAGGACTTGGGCACAGGAGCTCTGAAAGCAGAGACGACAAGGGCTTGCCTTGTAGGGAAGTCAGGGACAGACTGGTGAGATATTTAGGGTGCCCAGCTTGAGAGGTGTGATGGCTGGGGACAGAAAGAGAAGCCAGTTAGGTGATGAGGGTTCAGATTTGGCCACATTGGTCTGTAGGACCACTGGGTGGAGCTCTTCAATAGGTACTTGGATGGATGGTAAATCCTGAAGATTTGGCCGCAGGTGGCAGCCAGGACCTCAAATATGTATGTGCAAGTAGAATTAGAAGAACAGTAGGCCAAAAACAGAGTGCCAGGTGGCCCAGGGGGGACCTAGGGAGCATGAGGTCACAGGAGCTAAGAAAGTAAGTTTGGGGTAGGAGGTAGTGCCCAACAGGGAGGTGCAGGGAGCTGGGCCCTGGTGAACACAGTCCCCTGGCTTGATCACTGAGGAGGCCACAGTGACTCTTTTCTGTAGACAGATGGAGGTCGAGGTCAAGGAGTCCAGTGGTGAATGGAAGACAGGGAAGCAAATTACCCTCAGAAAGTAATTCTTGGATTTAAGTCTTTCCCACCTTCCATAAACACTTTGTGCAATTACTCTAGATGAGGCACTGAAAAATGCTTCATACCTAATAATTAATCAAACTAGTGTTCCAGAGATGGGGCTTTCACCCTACCAGGGAGACAGACTGAAGACAAATACATCTGTGGCCAGGCTTAATGCCTCACACCTGTAATCCATCCCAGCACTTTGGGAGGCAGAGGTGGGCGGATCGATTGAGCCCAGGAGTTTGAGACCAGCCTGGGCAACTTGGCAAAACACCATCTCTACCAAAAATGCAAAAATTAGCTAGTTTCATAACCTGGTCTAAAAATAAATAAATAAAGAGATAAAAATTAAAAAATAAAATAACAAGATTTTAAAAAAAGACAAGACAAATACATTTATGCTGCTAAATTATGGCAAGTGTTGTGCAGAGAAGAGATCAGGGTGCTGCAAGAAGAGCTAATTTAGAGTGGGAGCTCTGCAAGGCTCTCTGGGTTGCAGAGACCTTAGTAAAGACTAAAAGTTAGCTAAAGAAAGATCTTCCCTAGTAGAGAAGCAACATGCTCAGAGGCCTGCATAGGATAGGAAGGACCTGAAAGGCAGTCTGCGCAGCTGGAGGAGGTGGGTGAGGTCAGGGAGCTCTGGGGCCTTGTAGCCTTGCTTTGGGATTGGGCTTTGCTCCCTAATGCAGTGGAAACCCGTTAGGAGTTGTCTGTTGGTTGGCCGGGCACGGTGGCTCACGCCTATGATCTCAGCACTTTGGGAGGCTGAGGTGGGCGGATCATGAGGTCAGGAGTTCAAGCCCAGCCTGGCCGCATGGTGAAACCCGGTCTGTACTAAAGATACAAAAGGTTGGCGGGGCATGGTGATGCGCGCCTATAATCCCAGCAACTCAGGAGGCTGAGGCAGGAGAATCGCTTGAACCCGGGAGGCAGGGGTTGCAGTGAGCTGAGATTGCACCATTGCACTCCAGCCTGGGCGACAGGGTGAGATTCCGTCTCAAAAAAAAAAAAAAAAGAGTTATCAGTTGGCAAGGGAGTGATAGGGATCATGGTACTTTAAAAAGTTTGTTTTTCTTCCTGGCTGCTGTGTGGAGAATGGATTGGAGGAAAGCCATGGTGTGAATGGAGGGGCCAGATATGAGGCAGTGGTGGTTGTCTGGAGGAGATATGGTAGTGGCCGGGCCCAGGCGGCTGGCAGGCGAGGGAGCGAGGAGTAGATGGATTTGGTAGGTCACATGGAGAACACACCCACAGGCCTGTGCTGTTGAGGTTACAGGTTTCTTATTTGAGCCACTGGGTAGATGGAGGCGGCGCTGTTCACGGAGATGGAGGAAATATATTTATTTTCTCCTTTAAAGTAGAGTATTTGGGTCAAAGAAAGAAAAATAGCATTTGTTGAACATTTTTGGAAAAATCTCTGTTTTTTAATTGGCCGACGTAGTACATTTGCCTTTTTAGCACACTGATACTTCTTACTATTTCTTTTCCTTTTTATTTTTTTTTTGAGACAGGGTCTTACTCCGTTGCCCAGGCTGGAGTACAGTGGCGCCATCTCGGCTCACTGCAGCCTCCGCCTCTCGGGTTCAAGTGATTCTCCTGCCCCAGCCTCCTGAGTAGCTGGGATTACAGGCTAATTTTTATATTTTTTAGTAGAGATGTGGTTTTGCCGTGTTGGCTAGGCTGGTCTCGAACTCCTGACCTCAAGTGACCCACCCGCCTCGGCTTCCCAAAGTGCTGGGATTACAGGCTGAGCCATGGTGCCTAGTCTTCCTTTAAAGTAAAATAAAAAAATTACTCAATTTATTGTAAAAACAAACTCTTTGGCTTCTGTCCAAATGACTGTGAAAATAGATTTCTCTCAATATCCACCAATATTACCTGTTTCTGTCCATATATGTATTTAAACCCTGTTGAAAGAATTTATTGATACAAATCAATTTTTAAGGGCTTCAGTATAACGGAACCTTTTTCTACCACCCTTTTGGTTTATTTTTCCAGACTAAGCCAGTATAGATTTGAGGTTTAGGGAAAATAGGCACTTCTTTTTAATAAGAATGTGGGCTAAAACAGATCTTATGGTTCAAATATTTACAACTTAAGGAGGCAAAGAGATTTGATAGGAAATAGACAAGGTGATGTGTCCTCTGACAGGTACACAAATCAAGAGAATATGACAGGTCCTTGGGAATGATTGTGTCAGTGTTCGCTTCCCATCCTTTTATTCTGAAAGTTCACAGTAGGGGAATGTGAGAACCAAAATGCATATGCTAGGTCAGGGACTGGGACACTTTCTCTGTGGAGAGCCAGAGAATAACTATTTTAGGCTGCGTGAGCCATACGGTCTCTAGGACAACAGCTGAGATAGACAATTTGTAAATGAATGGGCAGAGCGCAACACAACTACATTTTTGGACACCACAGTTTGCATTTCATGTAATTTTTACATGTGAAATATTATCTTTCTTTTGATTTTTTTTTTTTAACTTTAACCACTTAAGAGTGTAAAATTCTTTTTCTCGGCTTGCAGTTCATACACAAACGGGAGGGGGGTCCTTGGGTGGTAGTTTGCTGACCCATGCTGGAGATAGTGAGCTCATATGGCTGGGCAGTCCCTTCACTCTGAAGAAATGGCTGTGTTTTTCATGATTCCTAGATTTCACATACACAATCTTCCACCATTTCCTTGTGTTTTCCACTGTTTTTTTTATTTGAGGCGGAGTGGTGGTTCCAACATTTAATGTACCCCTAATTGTCAGAATCCAACATTCTTGATTATCTTTATGTCAGAAGTAACTAATTTTTATCTAAAATGATTCTTGAAGATTCTTTAAAATGAACAGTTGAAAAGACAACTGTGACCCCCAGCTAGGATGTACTATTACACTTTAACACACCAGCTGCTTCAGAAATGAAGACCAGCACTCCAAGGATGATGGTCGTTGTAGGGGGGCCTCTCGTGTGTTATTCGAGGGATGCCTTGCAACACCTTACTCCTTATTTAGAATCTCAAATCTGAAGCATTACCTTAATAGGGCTTTTCAGTTATAAGTTACATTTGTGGCTCCTACCTCCCAAGGAGTTCAATTTTAGCTTTGCATTTTTTAACTTAATTACCTTTTCTGTTCCAATCTCCCTGTTTGCTTTCATCCATGTATTATATATAATCACAAGCAAGGAAGACGTCTTTGATAATCCTGACTTATTTGATGGCCTGGTAATGCCACAGTTTCTTAGGCAGCTTAGAGCTCTTGCTTTTAAGGGCTAGCCCACATTCTCAGTCCAAGGCCGCTCCGCTGTCAACGATCCAATTACCTGAAACGTTTTTATTATCTGCAGATTTTCTTAAAATTGCCTCTGCAGTGGGGGATTGCCAGATGTCACCCGGAACACACAAACAGCCCCACTACGGGCCCCTGTTCTGTAGAAAGATGCCCAGTCTTGCTTCTGAAGGTTGCTTTTTAAAACCAGAATGAAGGTTGCTTTTTAAAACCAGAATCATCTGGACTGCATTCTGTCTCTTCATTAAGATTAGACTATTCTCAGGAACAAGGGCTGGGAGAGGGCTGCATCTTTTTTGGTCTATAAGAGCCTTTCCTGTTATAATTGAGTCCTCGTGCTGGAATGAATGGTCTTCTCTTTGCAGGTTCAGTGTCTGTGGTCAGATATCAATCATTCGCTTCCCCGACACCGTCAAGCAGATGAATAAATACAAAGTTGTCCTGTCATCTCAAGACAAGGACAAGTCTTTGGTCACCGTGGAGACAGATGCTCATGGATCATTTTGTTTTAAAGCAAAACCAGGGACTTACAAAGTGCAGGTGCGATGCATTGTTTTAAATTTAAAATGTTTTGAGAAAAAGCAGTGATTTTTAGAAGGGTTATTAGGTCGAATGGGGTTAGAGAAGGAGCATTCCAGTTTCCAACTTCTTGTTTCTAAGTCTTTACAATCCTGCACCAGTAGAGGAGAGTCAGATAGGCATCCAGCTAAAAAATAATGCCATCTGCCTCTCTTTTTTCCAGTCTTGATGTTTATTAGTATCAGGCTGCCAGTCACTCCTCTACCTTCAGGCTTCTGGCTGCTGTAGAATGTCGATGAGTCCAAGAGGACACCAAAAATGAACTCTACTAATGGCCGCTCAAAAATGGCCATAGTGCGTGGCTTCTGGGACCCCAGGCCAAAATGGAGCTTCCCATTTCCTGCTTTGCCTTGACTTCAAGATGGCTAGGCAGGGACCACGCGACTTATCCATTCAAGCAGGCCGAGAACGGGGAGACGGTCTGGCCTGTGGTCTCATCACCATGGTGAAGGCCCAAGCCACAGCTGGCCCAAGCAAGCAAGAGACAGGACAGAGCAGAGGTCAGCCCACCATGCCTTTCAGTGCAGTGGCCCTGCCCTTGGGGAGAGACTGTTTCCGTGGGCTGTCACCCATCAAATCAGCAGCTGCCCTTCCTCCCTGTGGAAGAGCAAATAACACAAAGGGAGAGGGCCGAGAAGGTTCCCTGTTAGACTCTGCTGTCCTCTAGGGCAAAGTGGGGTCCCTCCCTCTGTGGGAAACAGGGTAGGAGATTGCGTTCTCCCTGCTTCCACAGAACAGCGTGGTGTGTGGGTTGACAGCTGCCTTTATTAGATGGTAGCTGGCTTCTTGCGAAGATGTCCACATTGACAAGTCTTTGGAAGCCCTTTCGGAAGCATGATGGACTTCTCCAAGGAAGGGCAGTGTCGTCTTTACTAGGGATGAAAGAGTTGACCGCTGCTACCTTCACCTGTTCCTCTTCTTAGCCCATGAAAGGCACGCAGAACAATAGGAGGAAGAAAATGACTTAATTCCACCAAAGTGTCATCCACATAGTGTTAACAGGTTCAGAGCTTATGCTACAAGTGATCCGAAGCCGGGAAAAGTGACTGGGATGTAGTATGGTTTCTAGTATGTAAGTGAGGCGTGTCCGCATTGCGGGCCTGTGGGGAATTAGGCCAGATAGACTTTTGTTCATACACATCGGTCTGTTGAGGCTAATTTTTCATCTGGGTAGAACTGTGCTTACTTCACACAAGTTATTCGTGGATTTGTTGTGATTGTAAAATCGGCCTGGAAACGAACCTTTGGCCTTCAAAATCTCTTTAGCCTTGGTCCCAGATGAATGTTCTAGCGCCCTGTAGGTCAGGGGGAAGATCTCCCCGAATGCAGCCTCTAACGTTCCATCCACGTTTCCACAGGTGATGGTTCCTGAGGCAGAAACCAGAGCAGGGCTGACGTTGAAACCCCAGACATTTCCTCTTACTGTGACCAACAGGCCCATGATGGATGTGGCCTTTGTACAGTTCTTGGCATCAGTTTCTGGGAAAGTCTCTTGTTTGGGTAAGATATCACTGGAAAGTAAGAACACATAGTTTCAAAGAAGTCAGCCGGTAGGAGTGGGATTTGGGAAACTTTTCCTTTTGCCTTTGTTGTTTGCTACTGATCACCTGCGTGCGAGGGAGGCTTCTTGGAGTCAAGTGGGTGCATGTTAGCTTGAAAGAAGCACTCCGTCTGCCTCCGGCCACTGCCTCTTAGGAGCTCAGCAGTAGCAAGAAGCTATTACATAGGGTTAGGATTCAAACCTGTGCTGAAGCCTTATAAGGGGTCACATGGAGCCCTCCCTTCTTTTCCCTGCAGACACCTGTGGTGACTTGCTGGTGACTCTACAGTCCCTGAGCCGCCAGGGTGAGAAGCGGAGCCTCCAGCTCTCCGGCAAGGTCAACGCCATGACTTTCACCTTTGACAACGTGCTCCCTGGAAAATACAAAAGTAAGAATTGGAATGCAACATCCTGTGGCCCTCACACACTTCTTGTCTTTGTAAACTTTCTAAAACTCAGGTCTCAAATTGTATCACGACCATGTACCTTTCCTTGTTTTAAGTCGTCTTTGCCTCGTGACCTTGACTGCATTATTTAGCGTTGGACAAGCATGGAGGAGTCCAGGCCCTGAGCTGACCGCCAGCTTGTCTGCACAGCCCACTGGCGGCTTCTGTTAAGGGAGGGTGCCCCGACGTATGGCATTTTATTTCTAAAGCCCAGAGAAAGGAGTGTGAAATAGTTCCACTGATGTGTTCTACTAACTTAGCAGTACTGGTGCTGAGTACTGGCCATGGCAAGGTACTTGACCTCCCTGAAACTCAGTTTTCCCATCTGTAAAATAGACGTAATAGAACCTTTCTGCAGAATATAAGACTAAAAGAAGTAAAGTTTATAAAGCCCGTTGTGCAGAGAGCCAGCTAAGTAGCTGGTGCCCACAAATGTTACTTCCCTTTTCCTTGCCCTTCTTAAGAAGCCACTTCTTGCCTGTATTTCTGCTTTTTCAGAAATCAGCTTGGGGCTGCTGGCAGTGGATAGCTCATAAAACAGACTGCTTTTTCTGGAATTATATTAATATTTTCTGTTATGGCAGGGCTTGGCAGACTACAAAAACTGCCTTTTATAAGCGTAGTTTCCTTAGAATACAGCCTTGCCCATTTGTTTATGGATTCTCTATGGCTGCTCGTGTGTAACAGTGGCCAAGTCGAGTGGTTGAGGCTGACAAAGCATGTGGCCTGCAAAACTGAAAAGAGTTACAGAAAAAGTTTGTGGATCCCTGAATACCTTACTTGCAGCCTGATCTTACAGGCCCCATTAGATTTCTTTCTTGATGTAATGGAAATTGGTTCCAGTTTTTCTTTCTTTTTTTTTTGAAATTTAGCCTCGCTCTGTCACCCAGGCCGGAGTGTGGTGGCGCGACCTTGGCTCACTGCAACCTCTCCGCCTTCTGGGTGCAGGAGATTCTCTTGCCTCAGCTTCCCGAGTAGCTGGGATTACAGGCATGCACCACCATGCCTGGATAACTTCTGTATTTTTAGTAGAGATGGGGTTTTGCTATGTTGGTCAGACTGGTCTTGAACTCCTGGCTTCAAGCCATCCAAGTGCGTCGGCCTCCCAGAGTGCTGGGATTATAGGCATGAGCCACCACGCTCGACTCCAGGTTTTCTTTAGCAGTAATTTATTCCAAATACTGCTAGTTATAAATATATGTATGTGTATATTTCTATCTTTATGTCTACATACACACCTGCTTTTTAAAATTGATTAATTCATGATCATTGTTTCTGGTGGCGTGGAGGGAGGTGGTGTGCTCCACGCCCATGTATCCGTTTTTGGTGTTTGCTTTTGCAGTAAGCATCATGCATGAGGATTGGTGCTGGAAGAACAAGAGCCTGGAGGTGGAAGTGCTGGAGGATGACATGTCTGCAGTTGAGTTCAGGCAGACGGGCTACATGCTGAGATGTTCCCTGTCTCACGCCATCACTCTGGTATGTACGGCTTATTGAGTCTCTTATTTGGAAAAGCGCTCGCCTTGTGGATGTCAAGAAAGACTAACATCCCAGGAATATTGTAAACGTAGGCAAGTTAGATTTCCTTTTCTGCCTCTCCACTCGCCCACCTGTTACGCAACGCATAATCAGGAAGCATTTATACTCTCTCAGTGGAAGGACCCCTGTATTTAGGAGGTTTCCTTGTCCTGGCCCTACACTAAATCTGACTGGTGATTCGGGGTGACCTTTGGTACAGTGCAGAGCACACTGGCTTTATATTATTAGTAATAATAGCTTTGGGTAAATTCGTTTACTGCTTCTCAGCCTCAGTTTTCACCGAAAATTGAGATCTTAATACCTACTTCTCAGGGTTATGGCAGGGCTTAAGTGAACCCTCTTAGGTATCAAAGTGTCCTTGGTGTACACCGCTCTGTACTGCCAAGTGAGTTTCTCTGATATATATATATATATATATATATATATATATATATATTTTTTTTTTTTTTTTTTTTTTTTTTTTTTTTGAGATGGAGTCTTGCTCTGTTGCCCAGGCTGGAGTGCAGTGGTGCAATCTCGGCTCACTGAAACCTCCGCCTCCCGAGTTCAAGCGATTCTCCTGCTTCAGCCCCCCGAGTAGCTGGGACTAGAGGTGCGTGCCGCCATGCTCAGCTAATTTTTTTCTTTTTTTTTTGTATTTTTGTTAGAGACAGAGTTCCACCATGTTGGCCAGACTGGTCTTAAAACTCCTGACCTCAGGGGATCCACCCGCGTTGGCCTCGCAGAGTGCTAGGATTACAGGCGTGAGCCATTGTGCCCCACCTTCTCTGGTGTATTTGTTCCAGTGCAGGGGAAGAAGCTGTAAACAGGATCTTAGCTTCTTGTTGACTGTGGTCTCTGTGGCCTGAAAGGCAGTGTGAAATGGGTTTCAGGAGCACCTCCGTAGATCCCTTCGTGAATTTTCTATAATGTTTTGATGTCGAGCGGCGGCAGATGTCATCGTCAGGTCTTAGTTTCTCTGTAGAGAAACTAGAAGAATTGGAACTGGTGTTTCATGTGCCAACTTACTCCCCTAACTGCTTAATTACAAAAACTCGACAGGTCGATTTGTTATAGGAGATCGATTAATATCCGGTTCATAATAAGTGATAGATATTTAGGAAACCTTTCCCTTCCAGCAGTGGAGTGGATTTCCAGCTCTCTTGTAATAAGATCCTTTTTTTTTTTTTTTTTGACACTTCCTTAACCCCTTCTTTATCTCCTCCCACTGTCCCCTCACTCGCCGGGCCCCAGCCACAGTGGTCCTCTGCAGTCCCACACCAAGCTCACTCCCTCCTCGGGGCCTTTGCACATACTCTCCCCTCTGCCTGGAGTGCTGTGTCTTCTCCAGAAACACGTGTTGTTGGTTTTTCCTCCTCATTCAGGCGCAGCCCTATTGTTCAGGAGAGATGTGCCCTGGGACCAGCGAGCTAAAGACCCCTCGGTGGGGATTGTTCTTCTCTTGCTTTCCTGTTTATTTTCACAGCTTCGTTACTGACCAGTTGAGATCACTAATTTATTTGTTGATGCGTTGATTTTGTCTTCCTGTATTAGAACATAAGCCCTGTGAGAGCAGGAGCCATGGTCATGACTCCCAAGGCCCAGCCTTGTGTCTGTCACATAGCAGGTGCTCAATAAATATTAGTTGATTGAATGAAAAATAGCACACTTTTGTTGGAAGTTTTGGGAGGTTTTTAATTTTCCTGTGGCACCCAACTGCTCCAATGATTAATGGGCAAAACAGATGACTGGTTTGGAAAGAGAAATATTATTAATCATCTTGGTGTCTCCATCTCTCTTAGTAGTCATTGTATTGGCTTTGCTTCCTTAGGAATTTTATCAGGATGGAAATGGGCGTGAGAATGTGGGGATTTATAACCTCTCCAAAGGAGTCAACCGATTCTGCCTGTCCAAGCCTGGTAAGTTTGGAAGGATTGATGTGCCATGAATTAGAAAAATGGAAAGGCACCAGAGGATGGTTTTGAAGGCATTTTTTTCTACCTTAGTTCTGTTTGCATCAAGCTTTCAATTTCTGTGTGTTCAACCTGCTCTTGTTTTTCTGTCTGTCTTGGGTTTGAGTTGGGTAGACACCACTGGGCCCTTTCACCTCCAAAAATATACCATTGGCCAATGGCCTCTCTTTATAGAGCTGTTTTAAAATTTGAATCATTTCCCACTTTGCTTAAAATCTTTCAGTGGCTTCTCGCTCTTTCTCATTTTTTTTTCTCTTTTTTTTTTTTGAGATGGAGTCTTGCTCTGTCACCCAGGCTGGAGTGTAGTGGCTTGATCTTGGCTCACTGCAGCCTCCGCCTCCTGGGTTCAAGCGATTCCCCTGCCTCAGCCTCTCGAGTAGCTGGGATTACAGGTGCCCACCACCACATCCGGCTAATTTTTGTATTTTTAGTAGGGATGGGTTTCACCACATTGTCCAGGCTGGTCTCAAACTCCTGACCTAAAGTGATCCGCCCGCCTCAGCCTCCCAAAGTGCTGGGATTACAGGTGTGAGCTGCTGCACCCAACCTTCTCTCTCTTTTATAATGGCTTTTTTTGGAGGCAGAATTTGCATATCATAAAACTCACCTATTTAAGATGTACAATAAAATGATTTGTAGTAAATTTATCAAGTTGCACAACCACGGCCAGAATCCAGTTTTAGATTTGTTCATCACCCACAATGTAAGATCCTCTGTGCCCGTTGACAGTTAATCCCTGTTTCTAGCCATGGCCAGCCACTGATCTATTTTCTGTCCCCATGGATTGGCTTTTTTTGGACGTTTATCATACGATGCTGGTATTTTGTTTGGCTTCTTTTATTTAACATGTTTTTGAAGTTTATCTGTGTCATGGCACATATCAGTAGTTTGTTCTGTTACATTGCTGTGTAGTATTCTGGTGTGTGGTTATATCATATTTTGTGTATCCATTTATCAGTTGGTGGATATTTGAGTGGTTTCCAGTTTGACGCTGTTATGACTAATGTTACGGACATTCTTGTACAAGTCTTTGTGTCCGTATGTTTTCATTTTTCTTGTTTCGATACCTGGGAATGGAATTGCTGCATTGTGTGATAAGTTTATGTTTAACCTTTTAAGAAACTGTCAAATTGTTTTCCACAGAGGCTGTGTCATTTGATATTCCCACCAGCAATGCACGAGGGTTCCGGTTTCTTCACCTCCTTCGCCAACATTTGTTATTGTCTGTTTTATTATAGTCATCTTGGTAGATGTGAAGTCGTGTCTCATGGTGGTTTTGTTTTGCATTTTCCTAATGAATAATTCAGTGGCTCCTCTGTTTGGTTCCCAAGATAAAATACAAACTCCTTAACCTGATCTTAGCTCCTGTGTAACCCAGCCCTGTATGCCACTGTCTCTACTCCAGCCACTCTGTCCTTCTGGGTGTCAGTTCAGCTGCCTTTGGCTACATGTAACAAAATCCATACAGCAGTGCCATTGGCAAGTGGTAGTTTATTTGGCTCAATAAAGAAGTGTGGCAGTGCGTGGCTGCCAGCATGGGTTCAGCAGCTGGTAGATGTTAGGGGTGGTGTCTTTGTGATTCTTTAGGCCTTTCCCTTCTATTTTTTGCCTTGTATTTTCAAGATGGCTGTTGTTAGAAAACTTATGTTTAAAGGAGAAAGTCAAGGAGAGGGCAGGCAAACATTTCCTTGCGCCCTCTCCTCCAGTAAGCTACTTGTCTGTATTATTGGCCAGAACCGTGCCACATGGTTACTTCTAGCTGCAAGGGAGGCTGGGACAGTTGGATGTGCTACCCGAGGCTGAGCACGTTGCCACCCTCAACATAACCAGGGTTTGTTCTCAAGGCAGGAAGGATGCCTGTTGAGGAAACAATGAGCCAGCCTGTGAGGCAGATGCTGTTCTCTGTGGACATGTCCTCCTGCCCCTCCTAGCTGGGGCCTTCTTACCCATCAGTTCAGTATTGCTTCCCTGGGGAAGGATGGCCTCCAGGGCCACTTAGGCCTGCCTCCTACACTCTTGCTATCAGCACTCACTTCTATCCCCTTCTTGCATGTGCCACAATTGATATGTTTGTGGCTGTCAAATGCTCCCCCTCTCTGTGGATGGTAAACTCCATGAAGACAGGGACCACTGCTCTGTCATTCCCCACTGTGTACCAGTACCTAGCATAATACCTGGCCAGGAAGAGGTGCTCTGTCGATATTTGTTGAATGAAAGACCAAACAAAACAAACAGAGAAACCTGATTTTTTTTTTTTTTTTGATGGTAACTACTCTGGGGCTTGTTGAGTGCAATGAAAACAGCAGGGTGGTTTTAGCTAATTTCAGGTTTTTGTAGGAAGTGTGGCCAAAATATTGGTTAATGATGATTTGGGGGAAATACATTGTTATTCCTTGTATCTTCCTGAAATTGACTGTGTTCCTCTGGCAAGTGATGAAATGTACCCCTAGCCGGAGTGTCCTCCCACACAGACTCACACTTTTCTGGGGCTTCCCTTACTCCTTACCTCCTTTTTAGGAATATTTATAGGAAGAAATTGAGGCTGTGGTTATCTCTTGGATCCTTAATAGAATCTTTTAAGTAGGAAATTATCCTCAGTCCAATTTGCAGTAGAAACGTACTTTCTGTTCCTTCTCGTGCATGGGTCCGTTCACCTGGTCTGTGCAGATTTAACTACTGTGAGTTGTTACCTTATGGAAAATGAAAATCATGCGCCTGTGATCGCGCCATTGCATGGATCGGGTTATTGGTAAGACGCCTTCATAGGCAGTGAAAACGATGCCTGCCCAGTATTTCTGATCCCATTATTGCAGATCTGCGATACGTTTGAGTTTTCACATGCAAAGAGCTGCCACTCGATTTCAGATGTCGGAATTGCTCGGTGTAATAGATGCCATTCTCTGAAAATTACTTTTGATTTCCTGTCTGTAGGTGTGTACAAAGTGACCCCTCGCTCCTGCCACCGGTTTGAGCAAGCGTTCTACACCTATGACACGTAAGCCTGGGAATTGAATGCTTTGTGGTGTTTGTATACATTCCGTGGAGGATTCTTCATTTACTTCAGAGAACAAAAGGAGTTTTTCTGTTTTTTTTTCTGAAAGAGGCAAGGTTAGGCCTTCAACAGCATTTCTAGATAAGGATTTTAAGACACTTGGATTAGTTACTGAGGAACCGGAGACAGGATCCCTTTCCCAAGAATTCTGTAACCCCAGGATAGAGGGCTGTGTTTTTGAAGTGCCTTAAATAGAAGCTTTGTCAAATCTCCCAGCCCTCACCGATGGGCGTCTGTCAAGTTCAAGTCTGCCATTTTTGTATTTTTACAGAAGTGTGTGGGTTTCACTGGGAATTGGAAGCATAAAGTTGTGGAGTGGAGAATTAGTTTACTCTTTAAAATACTTCTCTGGATCTCCAGAGTTATTTTACCCCAGACTAAGAGCAATTTTCTGTAGTATATTTAGGGTGAAGAAGGATGCCCAAAAAGGGTATTGCTGATGATCTTCTGAGAATGAGTAGGTTCTAGCGTTTCCTCTGCTTTGATTTGTAGGTCTTCACCTAGTATCTTGACATTGACAGCCATTCGCCACCATGTCCTTGGAACTATCACCACCGACAAAATGATGGATGTCACTGTGACTATCAAGTAAGATGAGCGTTCTGCAGTGGGCCGAGAGTGGCGGGAGAGGGTGTGGATGAGGCCTGGGGAGTCTCTAATAGGCTCTCTGGAAATTAGTTTTGATTTCTTATCTCTAGATGTATATACAAATGGCCTTCCCTCTCTTATAGGACATTGCCGTCAATTCCCAGCAGCCTTGATCCTTTCCTTTTCTGATTCAGAAATTACCTGTGGGTGAGGAAGAGCGTTGCGACAGCTTGTTTCAGTGTCTTCAATTTCTGTTTGAACTCTTTGTACTTCTCATCTTTGCTAAGGAAAAAAAAAATCTCTGGGGTTTGTGCATTGTATTTCAAGTGTTTTAGCAAATTCAAATTGCCTATTTTTCTTTAGACTTTTGCTTGAAGGCTTGGGAAATAGAGATGGCACCTGGTATAAGAGAAGGGTCGTGAGAGAGGAAGTATTTGAAAGGCAAGTCCCTCACCGAAGGTCACGTTCATGTGAATGTCACCTTTCAGGGAATTTTTGCAGTGTGGTGAGGTACCTGTGACGCCCCAATTTTCTTGAGAAATGAACGAGTTTTGGCAACATGACCGTCTCTGTCAAGTAGAATGGGCATCGCAGTCCCTGTCTCCCTCCTGCCCCTGGTTGAAGTCACCTTTCCAGCTATGTTTCCATCTTTCTGTCCACCATCTGTTTATCCATCCGTCATCCCTGCAGAGTACATGATGACTGAAAAACTGAGAGTCTTCAGTGTTTAGGCACTGGGCTTATGAGGCCACAGCCCCTACACTTATGGGATTGACAGTCTCATGGGGGGAACAGTGGTCAGATACTCACATGCAGAACCGTAAAATGACAACTGTTCTGAGTGCTTTGAGCTTGACCTTGGGGGCATGCAGGACAGGTAGGCTGCGGGGGGCCAGGCCATGTTAAGGTCCATAGTCTTTGTCCCATGATGCAATTGACATGTTTTACATAGAGGAATGACATTTTTCTTCCTGAAGGTCCCCCTATTGGCCGAGTGGAGAACAGACAGAAGAGGCCTGAGAGTGGGAGGTGGTGGAGGCAGGGGGAGGCAATGGGGGCCCCAGACTAGTGGCTGCGGAGATGGAGAGCGACGGACTGGTCGGAGAGTCGTTGAGGGACTGAGTTGATGAGACATGGCACTAAAGTGACCACTGGGTTAGGGCGGGAGAAATGTCAGGGCTGGCCCTGGTTTCTGGTGATGGGGAGCCAGGTTTTTAGCTGGGGGTGGATTTGCCGAAGGTCTGTTGCTGTCTTTTACTATCATTTACTGTCTCCCTGCTTGGAAAGTATGAATTACTGATAGGACTAGCAATCTACCTTCTTACCAGTAGTAACTGCATATTACCTCCTTTCAGCTTGATTACATTCATTTTTGTAACTTCACAAGGGTGTTTGTGTTGCTTGCTTGTGCCGGAGGTTGTATGGAATGCATCTTCCAGCTAGACAGAGCCACTCGGATTCCCCCTGGGGATCTTGTACTCAGCAGACCCAAAACCCGACTGCTGACAGTTGCCCTCCATGAGCCCCTCTGTGGTCTTTTCTGATTCAGATATGGCAGCTCCCGCTTTCTCCTTGTTTCTTGATTCTTATTTCCCTTGAACCCTAGGCCCAGCCAATTCCCCAACAAAGCCTTGGCTTTACAATCAAAATACACCCGTCATCTAGTCCCTTTTTACCACTTGGCCCTCAGCCTTGGTCTGACCCCCCTCTGGGGTCACTGCAGCAGCTTCCCAGCTGGCCTTCCTGTTTCCGCCATTGCTTTGTGTATTTTCCATGAAGGAGCGAACGATTTCTTTTATCATACCATTCCTCGACTGAAAACTCCAGTGGCTCCAGGTCGGCACCAAGCCTGTGAAGCCTCAGTCTGACATCTGCTGCCCCTTGGACCTCTCTGTTGGATATGACTCTTCCGTGGGCCCCTGTGCCCCAGGCTGGACTGGTGTTGCCATTGCTTGAACATCTGAGTGAGCTTTCTCTCCAAGGACTTTGCACTTGGCATCGCTTTTCCCAAGCTACTGTTTACCCAGAGAGCTGCGTGGCGCATTCTCTCCCTTCCTTCAGACCTTTGCTCAACGTCACCTTATCAGAAAGGCCTTGACTGTCCCTTTAATGTAAAACAGTGCTCCGGGCTCTCCGTCTTCCCACACTGCTTTATTTTTCTTTATTGCACTTTTCCTCTGGTATTATTTTTCTCTTTATTTTCAGCCCCTTCCCATTGAAACGTGGATTCCACAGGGGTAGGAAGTGTGGTCTGTTTTGTTGATGCTGTATCCTTGGTGCCTAGTTCTCTATCAGAGCAGTTCTCAGCGAAGGTAGAATGGAGAACAGAGGATGGTGGTGTGGAGAAAACTCCATGTCCTACATGGAAGCTACAAGCTTATATCCAGTCGCCATAAAATCAACCGTATTTCATTCCAGCCCAGATCTACCAGATACTGCCACCATCACTGCGAAGCTCAGTTGTTATTTTTTGTGAAACTACTAGTTTATTTAAAACAGAAGACTCCGCCACTGTGGTGTCATGATAAGATGTCCAGTTTGTAACTCGCAAGTCCATACTCGTAGAAAGGTCAAATTCCCACTGACCACAAGGATACGCAACTATGTCCTAGGGGCCGTCTTTCTTCTAGGTCTTCCATCGACAGTGAACCCGCCTTGGTCTTAGGCCCTCTGAAGTCTGTGCAGGAGCTGCGGAGGGAGCAGCAGCTGGCTGAGATCGAGGCCCGCAGGCAGGAGAGGGAGAAAAACGGCAATGAGGAAGGCGAAGAAAGAATGACCAAGCCTCCCGTGCAGGAGATGGTAGATGAGTTACAAGGCCCCTTCTCGTATGATTTCTCTTACTGGGCGCGGTAAGCTCTCTTGTGCGTTTCCCTACAGTGTCCTCTGTTTTGTGGGGACAGGACCCGCCAAACTGAAGTATATTAATTATTTTAGGTCTGGAGAGAAAATCACTGTTACACCGTCATCTAAAGAGCTGCTCTTTTATCCCCCTTCAATGGAAGCCGTTGTCAGTGGAGGTAAATGTCAACTCAGCGAGCGAATGTCACACACACCTTTGCAGTTGTTCCCTTGCCTGCATTTACAAGTAGATTTGTGATGTTATAGTGAAGCCATCTTTGTAAGCCACCTTACATCCTCTCTGGCACACAGATGTTACTGTTGGTTGGATGGATGGATGGTTGGGTTGGATGGATGGATGGATGGATGGATGGATGGATGGATGGATGAATGAATGAATGATTTAGATAAATAAAAGTAACTTTTGCTGTTAGAATTGAGTTGATCTTTTTGGAAAAGGACTTGGTTTTCTTTGACATTATCAGGTCGACACCAGAAGGTAGATGAAGCACAAAGCTGCCAGTGATGATCTTTAATGATCTTTCTGTTGTTCGGCAGAGCATGATGGGAGGGTCTTTTTTTGGGGAATGGATGACTGAAGTGATCACTTGTGGAGTATTTGTCTTTTGCCACTTATTATTTTTTTCCCAGCACTCTGGCTTCGTTAAGTTGTGGGTGTTATGTGGTTCGTGTTTGGAAGCAGAGGGTGTTGAAGAGCGTGACTTCTAGCAGGCAGGCTGTTTGGGGCGGTCTTTCTCAGTGGGTCCTCCAGAGGCTGAGCAGCACGGCCTCCTGTCTGCTGTAAAGTGTTCCCTCCTGATCTGTGGCCTCCTGAGAACCTAGGAAGAGTAGTAGTAAAAACCCAGCCTTCAGCGTTTTTTGATTCTCTTGCTAAAGTCCTTCACACTGAGAAAGGCCTTTCAGGGATGGAAAGAGGCTTGGGCTGTATCCGATTATTGAGCTCCCCGGGGTGTTAAATAACCGCATTTGGAACTAGCTTCTAAGATCTGTTTTAGCCACTTTTGTCATGGGAAACCCCCAACCAAGAAGCTCCTGTCTCTGCTACCAAGCCCCATCCTTGTGTTTATTTCTTCCCCTCTTAGAAAGCTGCCCAGGGAAGCTGATCGAGATCCATGGGAAGGCAGGCCTGTTTTTAGAAGGCCAGATCCACCCCGAGTTGGAAGGAGTCGAGATTGTCATCAGTGAAAAGGGGGCAAGTTCACCGCTGATCACAGTCTTTACTGATGACAAAGGTGCCTACAGGTGAGCCCGGGATAGAGACACATGTGCCTGGGATCAGCGTGGGAGTCCTCTGAAGAAACTGGGGCCCACATTTCCTTGGGCTTGGTAAGGCTTCCTGCAGGGTGTGAACAAAGCCGTTGCTAGCATTCTGCTCTCTCCTCTTCAGTGTTGGCCCCCTGCACAGTGACCTGGAGTACACGGTGACCTCACAGAAGGAGGGCTATGTTCTGACTGCGGTGGAAGGAACCATCGGAGACTTCAAGGCCTATGCCCTGGCAGGCGTAAGCTTTGAGGTAACTAACACTGTATTTTCAAAAGGCAGTTATACTGAGGTATAATTAACATATAATAAACTGCACAAAAAGGGTACAGTGTGGTAGTCTTGACCTAGGAATACACCCATGAAAACACCTCCACAATTAAAATAGCACATCTGTGGCCCTCAAGGTTTCCTCCTGCCCCTTGGTAATCCCTCCCTGCCACCCTTCCGCTGAGCTGATGATCTGCTTTTCATCACCATTGGTTAGTTTGCATTTTCGAGTTTTTATAGGTTGGTGCAAAAGTGATTGTGGTTTTTGCCATTGAGAATAATGGCAGAAACCGCAATCACTTTTGCACCAACCTGTATATAAATGGAATCAAACGGGATATACTGTTGTTTTTTTTTTTTTTTTGGTCTGACTTCTTTCACGTAGCATAATTTGGAGAGCTGTTGACTTTAGCATGTTTGTGTACCTTCTGGGAAGTAGTTAAAGCTGTCATCCATAACTGTTCCATTTTGAAGGACACAGAATGTTCTTACTGAGGCGTTTGCTGCCTAGCTCCCTTCCACCGGTCCTTTCTGGGAAGAAGCGTGCTGCGATTGTACAGAGTGGGTCTGGAGATCGTTGAGAATGAATATTTATAAACTATAGGCCAAAGGAAAAGAGTGACAGATTACATCGCATAAAAATTTAAAATTCTATATTGCTGAATACATTTGGAACCAAACTGAAAGATATTCAAACTCGGAAGAAATGTTTGTATCATAAATAATATCCCCATTTTACAAGGAGCTCCTAAGATTGGTAAGAAAAAGACAACCCGCTAGAAAAAAAATGAACAAAGATTATGAAAAGGAAATTCATGCAAGTAACGCAGGTGACTAATAAACACAGAAACACAAAGCCTCTGTAGTTACTGAGGAAATGTGCTAAGGAAGTTACAGTCGAAACACTGTTTTGCAGGGATTAGATTTGCTGTAATTAAGACAATCTCTATTTTTTGGTAAGTGTGGGTTTTCCCAAGCATAAATAATTTATGGGACTGTAAGTGGTTACAGCCACTTTGGAATGCAATTAGATAGTATCTTTCTGAATTTAAAGTGCATGTATCCAACAATTCTACTTCTAGGAATGGATTGTTCAGGAAATAAAAATAAAACTAAGTGCCTAGAGATACATATTTGGGGATATTCCAATTGTCTCTTGTGTACCACAAGAGTAGGTGCTGTGGTTTGTCAAACCCTGCCTTAGAATGCTATGCAGTAGTTAAGAAACAGGCAGATTTCTATTGGCTGGCAGAAGAGAACCAGGATAAATTGTTGAGGAAGAGAGCAAGAACTGTACATATAACATGCCATTTTTATTTCACCTCCTCCACCCACTCAATGAACTTGCCAGTCTGTGAACAATAATATGTAATGTTTATAAAATTTGTGTGGGCATAGAAAGAGTTCTGGGCGGGGCACGGTGGCTCATGCCTCTAATCCCAGCACTTTGGGAGGCCCAGGCATGTGGATTGCTTGAGCCCAGTAGTTTGAGATCAGCCTGGGCAACGTGGCAAGACCCGTCTCTATAAAAAATACAGAAATGTAGTTGGGCATGGTGGTGTGCGCCTATAGTCCCATCTCCTCAGGAGGTTAAAGCTGAAGGATTGCTTGAGCTTGGGAGGCGAAGGTTGTAGTGAGCCCAGGTTGTGCCACTGCACTCCAGCCTGGGTGACAGAGCAAGACCCTGTCTCAAAAAAAAAAAAAAAAAAAAAAAAAAAAGTTCTAGAAGGCTACACACCAAACTTACAAAACTTACAACAGTAGTTACCTGTGGGGAGGAAGATTAGGTCCCCTGTCCTCCTTTGAGTAACAATAAAAGAAAAAAACCTTGAAAAAATGACCTCTTGACTTGTGGAACTGTTATTTTCATAGTTAGTAGGAGTTTAACCTTGCTCTGGTCTCACCTTCTCATCCCCAGATAAAAGCTGAGGATGACCAGCCCCTCCCGGGAGTCCTCTTATCCCTGAGCGGTGGCCTGTTTCGTTCCAACCTCTTGACCCAGGACAACGGCATTCTGACATTCTCAAACCTGGTAACGTGTTCTGCAATTTACCACCTGCCTGTCTTCCCTGAGAGAGAGCCAGGATGCAGCATGCGAGACTTACGTGTTGCTTGACAACGTGAGAAGAGAAAGCCAATGTGGAGTGGTTTCAGTTTCTTGGGGGCCCACGGTCATTAGAGTATTGCTCTTACTCGAACTTAATGCTGCTGATTCATGTTCCCTTCCACACGCGCTTCTTGTTTTCTGATCACCCACTTGTCACTAAGACAGTGTAATTAATTTCCCTGGCCACAACGGCTGCTCTCTTAGGCATCTTCTCGTTTTGCCACGGAATCATGCTTATGATGCTGAGTCTTGTTTGGTGGTTAGCTTGCGTTTCTTCTGAAAAGACATTCCACTTGGTGGGAAGAGAGCAGCAGTTTTTCTTTCAAGATGCAGTCGGAGGCCCTGACTGGTGGGGATTCAGGAAGTGTGTGTTAGTTGGTCATCTTGTCAGTCATGGTGACAAAGTGGCTGTGGTGGGGCTACTGGAGACCGGGCAGCGGGGGCATCTGAAGACACCACTTTGCAGTGATGCAGACTGCTCCTTACTTGCTGTGTCCTATCAGGCAAGTTACTTTGCCTCTCTGAGCCTCAGTTTCTTTATTCATTAAATTCAAATATGAGCCAGGTATGGTGGCCCACGCCTGTAATCCCACCGCTTTGGGAGGGTGAGGCAGTAGGATCGCTTGAGCTTGGGAGTTTGAGACCAGCAACATAGGAAGACCCCATCTCTACAAAAAATAAAAAAATTAGCTGGGCATGGTGGTGCATGCCTGTGGTCCCAGGTACTCAGGAGGCCGAGGTGGGAGATTTGCTTGAGCCCAGAAGGTTGAGACTACGGTGTGCTGTGATCGTGCACTCCATCCTGGGGGACAGAGTCAGGCCCTGTCTCAGAAAAAAAAAAAAAAAAAAGAAAAGAAAAATTAAATATGACTTCTACCTCTCTGAGTCATTGCAGGCAGGTGATACCATCAGCTGCCGTTGTTAGAGTTGTGATTGCCACTACCTGACTGTGAGTGGTGATTATAGAGAGAGGGTTACTATTTCTGGCTGCCAGGGAAGCCATGGCGCTCCCCTGGTGTAATTCTGGTCCATCGTGACATTCGCCCCTCACTTTTAAGCCATGCCTAGATGTGGCTGCTGAGGCTCAGTGTGATTATCTTGGTAGAGCCCTGGCCAGTATTACTTCAAACCCATGATGAAGGAGTTCCGGTTTGAGCCATCCTCACAGATGATCGAGGTGCAGGAAGGCCAGAACCTGAAGATCACCATCACGGGGTACCGAACCGCTTACAGGTAAGTGCCCTGGCCACCCCACTCTCTTCCAGGGCTGGGCTGGTGAATCACATTCAGGCCTCTGTTGCCTGGAAACGCATCCCAGGCTTCACACTGATTTTACTTGGGAGGGAAGGGAGATGAGATATGAGGGCAAAGGAGTTTTGACTGCTGCCCTTCTCTCCTAGGAGCTCAACCTGGTGGTTCAGTCTCAAATTTCCTATTTTGGAATTGGCTTGAGAGAGCCTATTGAGTTGCTAAAAGCTTTTATTTATTTTTTATTTTTTGAGACGGGGTTTCATTCTTCTTGCCCAGGCTGGAGTACAATGGCGCAGCCTTGGCTCACTGCAACCTCTGCCTCCTGGGTTCCAGCAATTCTCTTGTCCTGGCCTCCCAAGTAGCTGGGACTGCCACCATGCATGGCTAATTTTTCTATTTTTAGTAGAGACAAGATTTCACTTTGTTGGCCAGGTTGGTCTCGGACTCCTGATCTCAGATGATCTGCCTGCCTCGGTCTCCCAAAGTGTTGGGATTACAGGCGTGAGCCACCGCGCCTGGCCACTTTTATTTTTTAAAAGAGTTTCAAACCTGAATTAAATTATTAAAAGGAGAAAATGTGCTCAGTTGAATAAAACTTCAAAATGCTGAAAAGAGTATAGTGTAAAATTTCCCCTCTGTCTCGTCTCCTAGCCACCCAAGTTCCTCTTCTGGGAGACAACCAGTACTTCCAGTTTTTCTGAATGCTCCCAGCTGTAGATAGATAGATACACATGAGTGTCTGGCAAGGCACAGTGGCTCACACCTATAATCCCAGCACTTTTGGAGGCTGAAGTGGGAAGTTCTCTTGAGTCTGGAAGTTCAAGACCAGCCTAGGCAACATAGCAAGACCCCGTCTCTACAAAAAAATAAAAATACAAAATAAAAAAGATACACATCTATAGATAGAGAGATGCATACATATATACATGTATACACACAGATACACACATATATGTGTATTTTTTGTAGACTTATACAGAATCACTTTAGAGGAAGAGTAATTGGAAAGATTGGGTTTAGAAAAATGGACCATTTTCTACTGAATATATGGAGTGAAAGAGGAAGTGAGTTATTTCCATGTTATTGAAAGCTCCATTATTTCAAATAAAGCCTAGAAAGAATAAAATAAAGCTTTAGCCTTCTTAAATTACAATTTTCCAGAGCATCCCTCAAAATGTATGAGAAAAGAAATTGATGGCAGCTTATCCCTCCGGCAGGAAGGTGTGGTTTGGAAGTGGGCCGGCCACACTGAGTTGCCTGGGTCATTGAGGCACGGTTATCCCCTGAACTATTTTGCCCCATAATTGTTGGTAAACGGGAAACACTTGGGTCCTTCAGATAACCATGAGAATATCTCATTCGTGCCTGTTCTTGCCATACTAGTTGCTATGGCACAGTGTCTTCCTTAAACGGAGAGCCCGAACAAGGGGTTGCCATGGAAGCGGTGGGCCAGAACGACTGCAGCATTTACGGAGAAGACACCGTGACAGACGAAGAGGGCAAGTTCAGATTACGTGGATTGCTGGTGAGACTTGGAATGGGTTTTCTTTGGGGACTTTTTTTTCATCCTGTGTCCAGAAGTATCTTGTGGTGGCCCCAAGACTGCTAGGAGTGGGTTGGGCGAGAGGGCTGGGGGTGGGGCTCTGGAGCCCTCCCAGTTCTTACCTTTAATTGGTAGAGTTTGCCTTTTTTCTAGCCAACAGGTCAGATCAAGGATCTGTGGCACAATGGAGTTGGAAAACCATGGGTTTGGTAGGGCTTTTCCCTAGCAGTGTGTGGCCATGGCTTACGCCAGGGCTCAAGCCAAACGCCTATGGAGCCAGAAGAGCAGTATGAACGGGGGAGAGGAGGCTGTGCGAAATGATAGGGAGTGGTGAGGGCTGTGGAGTGGGCACGGCCTGTGGAAAGGGACAGCCTGTCACTTGGTTCCAGCTTATTGTAGCCATGGGGGAAGACAGAGTCAGGGTTGCCAGATCCTTGAAATTTTAAAAAGAGAAGTCAGAAATTCCCACTTCCCAGAAATAATACCCAACACAAGCATTTGGGAATGCTTATGGTGGACATTCCAGATATCCATCAATGTGTATATACGGGTAGAGGGGAGGGGTGGATGGAGAGGAAGAACATCTTAGAAGAGTAAGAGCACATAGTATGCTTGGAATTTTGAAATAAGAAACCAAATTTGATTTATTTTGGGGTAGGAGAAAATGAAACTGAGTTGGGATGGAAGGAGTCGCAAAATTTCAGATGTTTCAACACTAGGGGTGTTCTTAAAGGAACTCTGGACTCTTAAGGTTAACAGGCCACAGATTAGGAAATGAGGGGAGAGAAATGCTCCTGTCTTAATGATCTCGTGCAGCCAAACCAGGCTTGGACCAGGCACGATACGACAAGCCCCCTTTCTAGAGAGCTGACTCCTGAGTTTTTTTGCAGCCGGGATGTGTGTACCACGTTCAGCTCAAGGCAGAAGGCAACGACCACATTGAGCGGGCGCTCCCCCACCATAGGGTGATTGAGGTAAGGCATTCAGTGCTGCCGCTGCACCTGGGTGTGGGTGCCTCCCTGATCAGAAGTCCTCCCGTCTCCTCTGGCTGTCTGCCTTTCATCTGTGGCGGGGGGAACTTTCATCCTAATTAAGGGTCCTCTTAGAATAGTGTCATCTTCACAAGCAGCATCTTATGTGGGTTTTTAATGAACAGCGTTGCTGTCATGCATCCAGAAAGGAAATTGGAACTGTTGTATCCTCCCCGCGACTTGCCCTGTAAGCTCTGATCATTATTCTGCAAGTTAAGGAACTTAAGGCCTAAGCAGCATTTCAAATCAAGGGACAATAATAGAACATGGGCTTAATGGGTGGCAGGGCCACGCAGTTATCTTAGGTTCAGATGACCTTTTTCCTGCTCCCATTTTGTGGGCAGAGTCTTTTGATACTCAAGATCATGACCTAGCTAAATTAATCCCTAAAGAGGACATCCTTCGAGTCACAGAATGTGGCCTGGGAATCATTTGAAGTAAGGCTTTTCTCTTACTGAGTAACTCTCATTGGGAAGACTAGAGGGCTTAGGTAGGGTAAGAGGGGCTGCCTCTTAGTGGCTTTATTTAGGTGGCTTCATTATGCATGAAGATTGTGAGGGAGGATAGAACTTTTGACCTAGGAAGTGGATTTTCTTTTCTTTTTCTTTTTTTTTTTTTTTGAGACGGAGTCTCACCCTGTCACGCAGGATGGAGTGCAGTGCCGTGATCTCGGCTCACTGCAACCTCCTCCTTGTGGGTTCAAGTGATTTTCCCACCTCAGCCTGTAGCTGGGACTACAGGCACACACCATCACACCCGGCTAATTTTTGTATTTTTAGTAGAGACGGGGTTTCACCATGTTGGCCAGATTGGTCTTGAACTCCTGACCTCAGGTGATCTGCTCGCTTCGGCCTCCCAAAGTGCTGGGATTACAGGCATGAGCCACCGCACTGGGCCGGAAGTGGATTTCCTTGACGTCTTTACGGTGTTGGCATTTTAAATGGCTGGGATGACTGCATCTCACACCAAAATGCTTTGCATGTTCTCGGTGTAGTAACTTAGGCCAGGATCACTAGCATAATGTGGACTGTGGCCGGGCAGGTATGAAAGGGAAGGGGGCCGGCCCTCTGGGATCTCGCAAACTCCATGTACAGACCTCACGCAGAGGGGGTGCTGTGACTCTGCCCCTGCTCTAACAGGCAAGAGCATCCTTCTCCTTTTTTTTTTAAGAGAAGCTGGAAAATCTGGCTTCATATATGAAATTTCTTAATTTTTAACATGTTGGCAAGTAATTCAAACGTAGAAAAAAAATACTGTGCTTTCGAAATGAAATGTGTCTATGGGCCAGGGACATGCCCCTGCTCTAACAGGCAAGAGCATCCTTCTCCTTTTTTTTTTAAGAGAAGCTGGAAAATCTGGCTTCATATATGAAATTTCCTAATTTTTAACATGTTGGCAAGTAATTCAAACGTAGAAAAAAAATACTGTGCTTTCGAAATGAAATGTGTCTATGGGCCAGGGATAGCCATCTTCTGTCAGTTTGTGACCTTGGACGTAGGGTACTCAATGACAAACTTCGCTTCCTTAATGTAAGAAGCAAAGTTTGCCATGAAGCAGCTCTCAGGCCATCGGACAGCTGGCATAGAAGTTCCTCCACCAGCTTTCTCATTACTGGCATTCCCTCTTTCTCTCTCTAGGTTGGGAATAATGACATCGATGATGTAAACATCATAGTTTTCCGGCAGATTAATCAATTTGATTTAAGTGGAAATGTGATCACTTCCTCTGAATACCTTCCTACATTATGGGTAAGTCCAGACTTTTAAGCTCCAAGTATTGTGTTCCCTTTGGCTTTGAGACAAGTACGAATGGGATGTTTTTGGGTTTGTGCCTGTCTCGTGCCTTAGGTGTGACAGGTGGAGGTGCTCCAGAGCGCCGCCTGCTGAGGGTTGAGGTTGAGATTTAAGAACCTTGGACCACAACACGTATTTGGGAGAGTGATTGCCAGTTGTGGGAGAGAATGTGGTCCAGTTTCAGATAACTGTCTGCCATCAGTTAATCTTCCAAAGAATTATAGTAGAAGCCTGATCAATGATCAATACAATATGGAATCTAACGTGGAAAGCCAATTTTAAAGAAAGCGCCTTGTAACTTAAAATTTTCTCTGGAGTGGAGGTCGTATTAAATGTTCTTGCATTGGTTTAAAGAAATGCCTGAGGCTAGATAATTTATAACAAAAGAGGTTTCATTGGCTCCTCGTTCTGTAGGTTGTACAGGAAGCATAGTGGTGTCTGCTTCTGGGGAGGCCTCAGGAGGCTTCCAATCATGGCAGAAGGTGAAGTGGGAGCAGGCATGTCATGTGGGAGAAGCTGGAGCAAAAGAGAGAGTTGGGGCATGGTGCCACACACTTTTAAATGATCAGATCTCACAGGACTCATAACGAAGACAGCACCAAGCCACGAGGGATCCACCCCAAAGATCCGATCATCTCCCACCAGGCCCTACCTCCGGCACGGGGGATTACAATTCAACATGAGATTTGGGCAGGGACAAATATCCAAACAGTATCAGAGGTGGTGGACGGTGGGCTGGAGAGCAGGTGGTCTGGGCTTTCTCTTGTCTCCAGTAGTGACTCACCTTGCTGCCTGGGCCAGTCACTTCATTTCCACATGCCTCGACTTCGTCCTCTGCAAAACCTAGATTTTGGACTCAGAGACCTCTTATAATCTTGTTCAGCTCTAACAAAATCTCCATGTTACCATTAATGAAGAAATGTTTATAAAATACCCTGCAGACCCTCTACGGATGTTAGTGATTTGCTCTGGGGGTACATTGTTAAGATGCACTTGTAATTTTATAAGCAGTTAAGTATTTGGCATGGGTGAGAAAGTGTGTGTGCGCTTTAGTCCACTCTGTTCAGGGCTTGCAGGCGTGTGCTTGTAGGGACCAGGCAGGTAATGTCAGAGAGTGCAGAGGGTTGGGTAGGGTGGGGGGCAAACTGGGGAACTCCTGCCCCATCCATGAGTGGCACAGGGGAGGGGAAGAGGCAGAGAGGAGGGGAGGGCGCCACTCTCTTGCTCCTGAGTGTTGCTGTGCTAGAATTGAGGCTCAGGGTTGGTGTCACTTCCCAGTTTTCCGGAGAAGCTGGAAATTAGAATTATTTGAAATCACCTGATTTTTAAATATAGTCGGTGAATTCAGATTTACTTAAGATGTTATAGAAGAAAAAAGAACACATAAGGGATCTTCAATGCGACCCATAACCTTCAGTCTGTGACTTTCATTTTAGGAAAATTCCCCTTGTGTGTTATGTAGAAAGGTGCCAGTGTGGGCCCAGGGAGGTGGTCCTGGCATTCTCTTGCGGCAGGTGCACTGTGGCATCCTCACAGCCTTTGCCATCAGCCAGGGCTGCACCTTAACCCTGCTCATGCCCCATGCCGTGTGGGAGTGAGAACAGGCAAGAACCCCAGAAATAAAGCCAGAAACAAAGTACTCCAGTGCCTCCTGAAGCAGCGTGGAGAGCCACGTACATGATGGAATGCGTTTTGAGTTTAACAGATTGGTGGAGTTAAGGTGACATCATATGATGAGGCAGTGCAAGGCGGGAAGGACCCTCAGGAGTCGTCAGGGGGTTGAGTCCCAGGCTCTACCATGTGTAAGTTGTGTGACCTTAGGTGACTTTGGCTCTCTGGGTCTCCATAGGGATAATAACAATACCTGTTTTGTAGTCAGGATTGGCGATAATGTAGATAAAATATCTGGCGCCTGCCTGGCATATTACAGATGTTCAACACGTGTTAGAAGCTATTTTTAATATTACTATTATATTAACTTATATTACTATTTTGAGCAAGAACATGGGTAGTCAGAATCTGATTTGAATCTTAATTTCTGTGCATGATACATAACTGGATGGAGTCTCAGATGACAGAGGGATGTGTGATGTCTATGGAGGGAGCTTTCTTTTTCAAATATCCATGTTTCCAAAGACACCCACCCAGAAAGCGGCTGTCCTGAGGATGTCTGCTATGAAATATTGATTGTGTTTCAGTTTCAAAGCATGTCTGACTTTGTTTCTCCCTCCAGGTCAAGCTTTACAAAAGCGAAAACCTCGACAATCCAATCCAGACAGTTTCCCTTGGCCAGTCCCTGTTCTTCCATTTCCCCCCACTGCTCAGAGACGGCGAGGTAATGCCTGTGGCCGGATTCTACCTTCTGCCTTTGTTTTAATAATTCTGCTGTTTAGTTTAAGGAAGCACAGTTCTCTCCTTTTCTCCCTAAATACCACTCTGCAGAAATACGCTCTCTGAATCAAAAGAGGTTGGGTTCTGTAGGGATTATTTTTTCTTCATTGTTTTTCTGTTTACAAAAAGAATACATATTCATGGCAGGAGATTTTGGGAAAAAGAAGACATAAGCCCATCATCCAGAAATAGCCACTGCTAACACGGTGATTGGTATCCTTTGGGTCTTTTTTCAGGCACGTGTGCGCATGCATGTATAAATATAAATAGACATTTATTTTAATAATTCAAAACTGACACTGTTTTGTACATTGTTTTGTAATCCGTGCTTTTCAATGAAGAATTTATCACAAATCTGTTCCTCATCATCAAATCTTTCTTTTTTTTTTTTTTGAGACGGAGTCTCGCCTTGTCGCCCAGGCTGGAGTGCAGTGGCGCAATCTGGGCTCACTGCAAGCTCCGCCTCCTGGGTTCACACCATTCTCCTGCCTCAGCCTCCGAAGTAGCTGGGACTACAGGCGTGTGCCACCACACCCGGCTAATTCTTTTTTTTTTTTATTTTTAGTAGAGACGGGGTTTCACCATGTTAGCCAGGATGGTCTTGATCTCCTGACCTCGTGATCCACCTGCCTCGGCCTCCCAAAGTGCTGAGATTACAGGCGTGAGCCCCCGTGCCTGGCCAAATCTTTCATACTATGATTTTTATGGACAGTAGTCCATAAACTAGGAAACGCCATGATTTATTTAACCAAGGCCTACTGTTGGGCATGATCGACTCTTGCACTTTGAACATATCACCCCATGCTTTCCTGCTAAGAAGTCCACTTTTAAAAATGCCTTGTAATTTTTAAAAATTCCTCTATTTAACATTCTGCTATTGAGTTTAAGGAAATACAGTTTCCTCATGATGGGGGATCCCTTGAATGAGATGAGTTGCTTTTCTCTTGCTGCTTTGAACGTTCTCTCTGTCTTTGATAATCTGATTATAACGTGTGTCGTGTAGAACACTTGCAGCTCCACCTTTTCAGTGTCCTTTGGGTTCCATGAATCTGGATGTCTCCCTCCTTGGAACTGGGAAGTTTTCAGCCTTTATTCTGGCCGTCATTTACTGATTATAAAGTGCTTATTATCAATTCTATTTGGACAGAGCTAACTTGTAGTTGGTGTGGGGAGTGCAAACTTTGCAAAGAATTTGGTTCTTTTCTGGTGGTCTTAGCCTGAGGATGTCAAGTGTGAGCCTAGAGGGTGACGTTTCCTCTCCTGGCTCCTTACCACCTGCCGTGAAGATGATCTACTCTGGCCTTTCTCTGTGGAAAATGGCTGCAAAATAATGAAACAGGCTGTCACGGAATTTTCTCCTCCTCTTTCTCCAGGGGTGTTGAAATAGTCACTTCCTACAGCGATGCGGAAACATCTTGGGCTTTGGGGTCACACTTCCCCTGAGTTCAGAGCCTTCATAGATGTGTGGCAGCCTTCTTAGCTGAGTGACCTTGGGCAAGTTACTCTTAGTCTCTTCGTGCTTGACTTTCCTCGTCTATAAGACGGGGTGATGATCCCGACCTTGCCAGTGGTAGAAAGCAAAGCAGCCGCGGGCCTCATGCAATGTGCATGGTGCCTGGCAGCTGGTCGGTGCTCAGCACACAGAGCTGTGATGGGTCTCATGCAATGTGCATGGTGCCTGGCAGCTGGTCGGTGCTCAGCACACAGAGCTGTGGCTGCCCCTGGTGCCGTTCCAGGGATGCTGTATTTTTAGGATTTGCCAGCTTACGAGCCTCTCAAGCATCGTCCCTTTGAAGTCAGCCCCATTGTGGATCCTCAGTTGTATCACGTACCTCCCTCATCAGAATTGGCTCATAATAATTTTTTGTGTTTCATAAAGTCAGATCCTCAGAGGACCGTAATTGTCAAGGTTGGGTACTCATAAAAAGGCTGCAGGCTCTGACAGCCTTATCAGAAGCCACAGTCTCAGAGACACTGGGGACACATGCCCGCCACTGATGGAATAGCCCGCTGAGGTTGATACTTTGAAGGCAGCAACCTTGGTTTGGATGTGTAGTCTTGGGGATTTCTTTAAAAACATAAAGTTCTTTACATCACAGCCATACGTTAGGTTTTAGTTTTCATTTGCTTTGCCAGAGCTGTCCTTGTAAAAATAACTTCTTCCCATGTGTGCACAGAACTATGTTGTGCTTCTGGACTCCACACTCCCCAGATCCCAGTATGACTACATCTTGCCTCAAGTTTCTTTCACCGCAGTGGGCTACCATAAACACATCACCTTGATTTTTAATCCCACGGTAAGTAAAAGAGGGAGTTAAAAAAAAACCCATGGGCTGGGTTTGGTGGCTCACGCCTGTAATCCCAGCACTTTGGGAGGCCAAGGCTGGTGGATCTCTTGAGCCCAGGAGTTTCAGACCAGCCTAGGCAATACGGTAAAACCCCAACTCTACAAAAAATACAAAAATTAACCGGGCGTGGTGGAACGCACCTATAGTCCCGGCTACTCGGGAGGCTGAGGTGGGAGGATCACTTGAGCCTGGGAGGTTGAGGCCTCGATGAGCCATGATCATGCCCCTGCACTCCAGCTTGGGTAACAGAGTGAGACCCTTTCTCCAGAAGAAAAAAAACAAAACAAAACAAAACCAAACAATCCATGGGGTGGCGAAAGAAGGCATGTCCATACAACCTGTGCTCCAGATCGCAGGTTGCAGGGCAGATATTTAAAGGGCTCCTGGCATTGGGTCACTTTCTCATTCTGCCTTCTGGATTCTGGGCTTCCCCAGATTGTTTTTAGCTTTTCTGAGCACTGATGCCTGCGATTCCCTTTGAGGAGGAAACTGGTAATAAGAGCAGTGTAATTGTTTAGATCGGTGGCTCAGGAATGATTTTGGGGGAGGAGGGACACCACTATCGCTGGTGTGGCGTGTGCTTCTCCATGAGGGAGCACATGGTACATGGCCACGCAAACCTCTAGAACCAACTGCTACTTTACAGGAAATAGGGAGGACCCAGGAGCACGCAAATGACTCCACAGGGATGCAGGACAACCACCTGGAGCCTGATTTGTTTGACAAATAAATTGCAAGGAAAAAAAAACCAACAACAGATGGACAGAATACCTGTGGGTTAAAAGAAACTTAACTTATCGCTTAATTCATTGCAATATGTGGCCCTTACTATTTGCAATATGTGTATCTGTTGCATACGGTCTGTCCTGTATCCGATAGGCTGGAACAGTGGAACAAACAAAACATACACGTATCTTTTACCTTCTTGATAAAATTGTTTAGTGATTCCTAAAGCTCAGATGCAGTATTGTCACCTGATGATTAAACAGACACATCAGCAATAGCAAAAACAGAGTCCAGGGCTCAGCCTCAGGACTGCTGATTCTGAACTTGACGGGGTGAAAGTGTAGCACAGGAGTCTGCATTAAAAACAAAAATCTGGCCTCATAGCTACTGTGTTGGTTGTTGCTTCTAGGCCTTTTCAGTGGGCAGAATAAGAACTTTATTGTTTTCAAAAAATGTAACTGTAAGTGGAACAATATCCTCCGATCCTCCTTTTTCCTTTTTTGATAACGACACAGCATTCCTCTGTGTGGATATACCGTGTGTCTTAGGCCATTTGGGCTGCTATTTTGTATCTTAGACTGGGTAACTTATAAACAACAAACATTTATTTCTTACAGTACTAGAGGCTGGGAAGTCCAAGATCAAGGCATTGGCAGATTTGGGGTCTGGCGAGGACTTGCTGTCTGCTTCATAGATGGTGCCACCTAGCTGTGTCCCCACAAGGCGGAAAGGGGCAAACAAGTTCCCTCAGGCCACTCTTACGGGGCATTAATCCCTGACTTAATCACCTCCTAAAAAGGGTGTCCTCTTGACACTATCACATTATGGATTAGGGTTCAACCTATGAATTACGTAGGCACAGACACATTCAGATCCTGGCACTACATGTAGGATATTCAGTTAGCCCCTGGTTGAGGGGCGTTTGTGTTGTTACTGGTTTTCTGCTATTACACATAACCCTTTAATGAATTGCCTTACGCATGCATGTTTTTGAGTGTTCGTCAGTCTCTCTTTGGAATAGACTCCCAGAAGTGGAATTGCTGAGTCAAAGGGTAAATGCATACGGAATTTTGATTGATACGGCCACTTCCCATCCATGGGGGTTTTACTGTTTTATATTCCCGCCAGCAGTGAATGAGTACCCTTTTTTCCCCAACAGAGTATTTTGTCAAATTTTTCAATTTTTGCAGGCTTATAGATGAGAAGTGATATTATCTCAGTGTACTTCTAATTGCATTTCTCTCTTTTCATGTGGTTAAGAGCCATTTGTATTTTCTGTGAACTATTTAACCTATTTTTCTATAGAATTTTTGGTCTTTTTCAACCATTTTCAGCTCTTTGTATACTAGGAATATTAACCCTTTGTAATGTTTGTTGTACATATTTTTCCCAATTTGTCATTTATCTTTTCACTTGGTTTCTGCAAAGATTTACTTTATTTCTATGTTAAATGTGTTGATTTTTTTCTTATTGCTTCTGGATTTTAGAGTCATAGGAAGGTTTTCTTCATTCCCAGCTTTTACAGGAATTTATTGTGTTTTTTTCAGGCAGACTTTTATAGTTTCTGTTTTTACATTTAAATCTCTCTATCCATTTGGAGTTTTTCCTGGTATAGATGTGAAGTATGGCTCCAGATTGTCTTTTTCCACATGCTATCCAGTTACCATTTCATGCTTTTCAAACGCCATCCTGCATGGAAGGTGGACAGGAATTACCTTTCATTTAGAGATGAGAAGATGGGAACCTAGAAGGAGATGTGAGCAGCCCAAGGTCACCAGCTCACGTGGAGCAGTGCTAGGGCTTGAGCAGAGCTCTGCTGCTGATTCCGGGCTTCTGTGAAGAGTGATTCATGCTCAGTGAGCCTGTAAATATGATCTTACCTGAACAAGAGAGTTTTTCTCATGACCCACGAGGAAACACTTCCTTGTTACTCACAGTAGAGACCTGGTTAGAAAGTGCCGGAGAGGGCTAGGTGTGGTGGCTCACGCCTGTAATCCCAGCATTTTAGGAGGCTGAGGTGGGCAGATCATTTGAGGTCAGGAGTTCGAGACCAGCCTGGGCAATGTGGTGAAAGTGAAACCCCATCTCTGCTAACAATACAAACATTAGCCAGGCGTGGTAGCACGCACCTGTAATCCCAGCTACTCGAGAGGCTGTGGCAGGAGAATTGTGAACCTGGGATGCAGAGTTTGTAGTGAGCTAAGATAGCCCCAGTGCACTCCAGCCTGGGCGACAGAGCAAGACTGTTTCAAAAAAAAAAAAGAAAGTGCCAGAAAGATAAGCATATACAAGAACCACTTACCTTTGCTTGGGGCTGCACTGTGGCCCCAGTTGCTGGGAGAGGCTTCTGTGAAGGCCGTTGATAGCTGCAGGCAGTGACATTCTCAGGGGCCCCTAGCAGACAACTCATCCGGGCTCAGGGACACACCTGGGAGCCAGTGGCAGGAATGTGGAGACACTGCTTGGTGGTGGCCAAGCAGCCCAGCCTCGTAGCTGCTGCCTGTCACTTCTGAGAATGTAAGAAACTGTGCCCTGGTGTGTGATGTTCCCCTTCCTGTATACCTATGTAACTAACCTGCACATTGTGCACATATATCCTAAAACTTAAAGTATAATTAAAAAAAAAAAAAAAAAAAGCTATGCCTGCTGGGGCTTGGATTCCCGAGCAGGGCCAAGTGTTGAATGAAGAGAGCGCCCACTCTGTGCCACCCCGTACAGGGCCCTCACAGGTTGATCCTCACAACAAGCCTTCGAGCAGGTGTGCCATTCCTCCCATTTTCACAGAAGCCCAGAAAGATTGAGTCACTTACTGAGTGTTAGCAGAACCAGGACTCAAGTGAGGCGGTTTGTCTCAAGCCACATGGTTTCCACCTCGTTCTGCCCTCCGCGTGATGAGTGGCTCAGCATTGCATGTTCACGGGGGCTTTGTAAGCACATTGGTTTCCTTCTTTGTTGATGTGACTGCCCACAGCCTCGCGACTGGATTTTACTCAGTATTCCATGCCCTGCTGAGCATTTCACATACTCCTTTCATCAAGTTTCACAGCATCCACCCCCAGTGGGTGTTGTTCATATGATCTCCATGTCATAGTTGAGTAAACTGAGTCTCAACGTGGTTGCCTGAGTTTACCCAGTGAGGCCTGGGACCTGAGCCTAGACTGAATCACTCTAATTCCTGCTGAATTAAACTTTTATTTATTTATTCATTATTATTTTTTTCTGAGACAGAGTCTTGCTTTGTTGCCCCTGCTGGAGTGCAGTGGCACGATCTTGGCCCACTGCAACCTCTGCTTCCCGGGTTCAAGTGATTCTCACCTCCTGAGTAGCTGGAATTACAGGCATGCACCACCACTTCTGGCTAATTTTGTATTTTTATAGAGACGGGGTTTCACCATGCTGGCCAGGCTGTTCTCAAACTCCTGACCTCAGGTGATCTGCCCACCTCAGCCTCCCAAAGTGCTGGGATTACAGGCGTGAGCCACTGCACCTGGCCTGAATTAAACTTTTAAGTAAGTGTTTACTTCAGTGGAAAAATGGGTTGGGTTCTAAGAGATGTCCAAAGATACAGGAGTAGGCAGTTGTTGATGGAAATCTGTTCCTGCCCTTATTCTTTCATTTATGAAAGGGCATCCCAGGTACAGCGGCGCCCACAGTCACTCTCTAGCCCAGCAGTTCTCGGATGGGTTGGTTGCAGGACCCCTTTATACTGTTAAAAATTATTGAGGATTTTAAAGAGTTTGAGTTTGCATGGATTATCTCTGTGTATATTTATCATATTAGTAATTAAAACCGAGATGTTGAAAACGCAAGAACTCACAAGCTACACATTCCGTTAGCTGTGGGCGTGATGACATCAGGGTGCGTAGTCTCTGGAAAAGTCCACTGTGCGCTTGCGAATGAAAGAGGGCGGAAAAGGCACATCACATCTTACTATTGGCTGAAAATAGCTGTGGCCTCGGGAACCTCTGCGAGAGGAGTCCCGGTATCCTACACTGAGAACACTGCTCTGGCTCATTAACTTGTTTTTATCATTATTGGGAAGTTCTCCTTCCATTTATTTGCTTCCTTTATGAGAGTAGAGTGGGCCAATGGGATATAGGTTCACTTGATGCTTTAGAACCCAGCATTTCAGGGGCTTTAGCAAGATGGAAATGTCTGTCTCATGTCAAGTGTCCAGGAGTGACCAGTGCAGAGATAGTCTGGTAGCTCCAAGGCGTCAGGGGACCCAGGCCCCTTCTGTCTCATTGCGCTGTTCCAGTGCATTGCTTTTCTCCAAAATGGGGCAATTGGCCAAATGCTGTCTGCCCAGCAAAAGGGAGGGCACACCACTTCCCTAGGGTCCAGCCAGGGTGTGGCACTTACCGCTTCTGTTCCTGTACCATTGGCCAAAATTTAGTTCCAGGGCTGCGCCTGCTGCAGGGGAGGCTGGAAAAGGTGATCTATATTGTCGGTGGCCCAGATAAAAGTTGGGGGTTCTATTGGGAGAAAGGGAGAATGGCCACAGGGATGCTAGTAGCAGTGCCTGCTTTGCTTCCTCACTAGACCGTACTGGCTGGGAATAGCTGCCCATCACTGTGTGCCCTGGGTCTAGAACTGTAGGTTCTTGATACATCCTTGTAGGACTAAGTCCCTGCATGTTGCTGGGACTCAACAAACTGAGACCCAGTTGCTTTTCAACCACCAAGACTCTCTGATAGCTGCATCTCTTCATTTCCTCAGTTGGGAGGAGGGTCCAGAGGCTGAGGAATGCCTTGTCATTGGAATCTCTTTGTCCCTGAGTTTCAGAAGCAAATAGTGAAGCTTTGGGCAGAAGAGGATTCATGGGAAAATATATCCAAATCACTTTGGTTCCTTCCTTTGGATAGAAGGAATTTGGATCATGAGGGCCCCTGGGTGTCCTCAAGTGGCCACTTTGGAAGGCTGGGTGGGTGGTGGCTGTGGCATTGTGGATGATGGACAATCGTGTGGCCTTGGTGAGGAGTGATGGGGCTCTCGGTGTTTGCAGAGGAAGCTGCCTGAACAGGACATCGCACAAGGATCCTACATTGCCCTGCCATTGACGCTGCTGGTTCTGCTGGCCGGTTACAACCATGACAAGGTAGGAAATCCAGAGGCCTCAGGAGATGGCGGGCATGTCAGGGAGAGCGAGTCCTCACAGCTGCAGGAGTGATAGCAGAGGGATGTCCAGGGTCACAGAAATCACATTTCCGGGTCGGGAGGGCCCGTGAAGGCCTCAAGTCCAGACTTAGGTCTCCTTTCAAGGCTGTAAACTTCTGTAACATCTCCTAATCCTTAAACCTGGAACACCTCTAGGGACATATTAGGCCCGGAGAGAGGCCAGCCCATCCCTGGGGACTCATTAGTAAGAGGCCTGCCTCGTTTGAACTGAAACCCACCCATTAGCACGTGGCAGCTGCTGATCATGTCTGAAGAAGGTGTGTTGAGAAGTGAGGCTCCGCTGTTCATCTGGCAAAAGCCTCCTCTTTGTACCCCTCTCTCTCACACTTTCTCTCTTTTCTAGCTCATTCCTTTGCTGCTGCAGTTGACAAGCCGGCTACAGGGAGTCCGCGCGCTCGGCCAGGCAGCCTCTGACAATAGCGGCCCAGAAGATGCAAAGAGACAAGCCAAGAAACAGAAGACAAGGCGGACTTGAGGAGGAAGGGGACAGTTGCAGTCTCACTTGGGACAGGCCACAGCCAGGGGTCCGGCCACTACCCGCCCGTGGGATAAAAGCCAAAAGCATGCGTCAGCTAACTTCAGCCTGTGCTGCTGGGCCCGCACCCCATGTCCCTTGTCACTGTGGCATCCTGCACCCATCCTCACCCCTCCGTAGAGCCCCTCGTGCAATGCAATGAATGGACCCTCCTGTCACTCTGCTGAACAGAATTTATTTTCTGAGTCAAATATAATTTATTATTATTTTTGTCAAAGAAGTATTTAAGCTGTGCTGTGGTGTGAGAATGTCATTCTTGATCTTCAGCCTTCGTTTGCAAGAAGAGTTCCAGTTGACGTGGTGTTTGGTTCCATGGCGGGGTACCCTAGGGATTCATCTGTTTTCTTCACTTCCCTTTGCATCTGAGATCCTGCTGGAAACCACAGCAACCTGTATCCACTATTAGGAGGTAAAAATCAATAAAATGGCCCATTCATTTGTGTTGTAGCTCATCATAGATGTATTTCTTGGATGACATGCGCGTAACCCCCGGGGGTCTTCAGTTGAGCCAAATGTAGAGCAAGTCAGAGTCCTGAGTGAAGCTGGCTGGGGCAGGAAAAACACGAGCTCAGCCGACATGGTCCCCAGCAGCTTTTGGCGTCAGTGATAGAGAAATCGGAGATAGTGGAGGTTGTGGCAAGTTGAAGTGTGCCCACCACGTCTAAGGGAAGCTTAGGGACTCAGCTCTGGCTCACCCCTGCTGTGCAGAAATGTGCGTTCATTTTTCTAGAGAAGCCAGAAAAACAAAGATTTACGTGAAATTTTCCCAATTTTAAATGTTAGCCACAAATGCAGTGTTTTTTTAAGAAAACCACACACTTTGGCCAAACAAAATGCCTACGTCGGCCGGGTGAGGCTTAAAGGTTGCCGGCTTGCATCAGAGATCCAGAGGAAGTCACAGCATTTTAACAGCTAAACTTAATCCTCACAGGAAGTCATCAAGTGAATTAAGTGATATTGAAGGAGGGGACACATCCATCCATCCGACATTTATTGAGTGCCACATAGGACAGGCATGGGTATGTGAGGATGAGTAGGGTAGACAACACTCTACAGCGAGCTGGAAGAGGCCAGGGAGGCCCCGTCTGCCTTGTTCTTCGTACCCCAATGCTTGGCACTTGGTGGGCATTCAGTAAGGAATGAATGAACGCACGCACAGAGGAATGAATAGATGGGCACACAGTGTGTGCCCTCACAGCACATGGCCCATCACTGGGTAGAAGGCAAGTCAGTAAGTAGACAGGGGTAATGCAGGGAGCCGAGGGCCTCCAGGTGGAGGAACATGGAGGACCACAGGAGCACAGAGCAGAGTTCTCATCCCACTGGAGAGCTTAGGGAACTTTCTGGATGTGATGCGTGAGCAGAGTCCAAAAGGACAAAACGGAGAGAGGGAAAACAAGGTGGAAGTTCTTGTTAGGTGCCACTGCCACCCCAGGGGGTCAGCTTGGGGGACTCCCTGGCTCTTGGGGGCCAACCGCAGAGCTGCCCTGTTCCCACCTATCAGCTAGCTTGGTGTTGGCACCGTGGAAGGAAAGTGAACAGTGTTGGAGATCTGGGACAGATGTGATATTAATACAGAATCCATTTCTTGGAGTGTTTTCCAACTCTTATTCCAAGTGGACACCCAGAAACATCCCTTTTAAATGTTAATGGGGTTTTTATTGACGGTATAAAGGTTAAGAGCTTGCGAAAGATACAATTGTCAGTACACTCCTTCCAGTTCCGGAGGCCGCCAGTAAGTGGCAGTCTTTCCCTGTCGCTGGCTGCAGGTCACCCTTGGCCTCGGTGGAACTTGTGTGGGTCATTCTCAGTCCATTTGAAAGTTGGGCCTGTTCGGTTGTGTATAATTTTCTGTTCATCATTTTTCTGGCAATCTCAGGACAGAAGTCCTCTGATCCTCCTGTGAGAAGTAAACATTAATGTTATTAGATTCTTTTTTTTTTTTTTGAGTTTCGCTCTTGTGGCCCAGGCTGGAGTGCAGTGGCGTGATCTCGGCTCACTGCAACCTCTGCCTCCCGGTTTCAAGCGATTTCCTGCCTCAGCCTCCCGAGTAGCTGGGATTACAGGTGCCCACCACCACGCTCGCCTAATTTTTTGTATTTTTAGTAGATACGGGGTTTCACCATGTTGTCCAGGCTGGTCTTGAACTCCCTACCTCAGGTGATTCATCAACCTTGGCCTCCCAAAGTGCTGGGATTACAGGCGTGAGCCACCGCACCCGGGCTGTTATTAGACTTGGAATGGGACAAAAGTCATATGAGACAGACTTGTTTGCTGAGGTATTTAAAAAACAAAATGGTCTAAGATGGCAGATTCTTGGGGAACTCTGCTCTGTGCACATTTCTGCCTATTAAAGTGGCCGTAAAAACAACCATAAATCCTTGATGAGGACACCTCAGGAGCTTTAGGACAGTGCCATTCTTTTTTAATTAAAAGCTTTTTATTTGATTTGATTTTTCTGTAGAGACAGGGTCTCGGCTATGTTGACCAGGCTGGTCTTGAACTCTTGGCCTTAAGTGATCCTTCTGCCTCAACCTCCCAAAGTGCTGAGATTATAGGCATGAGTCACCACACCTGGCCAGGGCAGTGCCATTCTAAGGCAACGGCTTCACCTCGGTCTTCTTTTCTGGGGTTACAGGAGATGGGAAGGGCCGAAGGTAGCATGAGAATGTGTGTGTGTGTGTGTTTGTGTGTGTGTGTGTGTATGTGCATGTGTATGTGGAAGGACTGGTGAGATGGCTGGAGGAAGAGGCAGTCCTTCTGCTTAACTCTAATGGCCTAAATGTGAGAAACAAAGATTCAGGAAATAAGGAAAAAGCAAATGAGTGATTGCCTCTCTGGATCAAGCACACCAGCAGGCACAACCAGCCTTTCTTGAGCTACTGTGTGCCGGGCGCTGTGCCGTGCCCTTGCATGCATGTGGATGCTTCATGAGTTCATGAAGTAGGTATGCTTCCAGCCCCATTTTTCAGAGAAAGAAACTGAGGCTGAACAATCTTGCAGCTGTCAAGTGGCAGAGCAGGGGTTTGAACCCAGGTCCAAGAGTTCTTAACCACCATGTTTTCCTGCCCTTGATGTATGAAATGAGATGATGTAGTCACATGCCAGCTTGTCTAGGGATGACTCAGAGGTTTAGAGATGGATGTCACGTGGATGTTGTACAGGAGAGGCAGGTATAAGCTGTAGTAAAGTTAGGAAAGGCACAGTGACGTGGAGCACTGTGTGCAGTGGACGGGGTCATGGCTGGGGGTGAGAATGGTGGAGGACCTTCGATTATTTCATCAGCGTTGTTTCTGTAACCAAAGAGCTGCATGACCAAACCCTGAGATCTAGTTCCTTAATAGGAACAATTATTCGGCACGATTCCCTTTACTTAAAAGCAGGGGCCGTCCTAAGGGAGGAGTTGGAAAGAGTTTGGGGGATAAGGTTTGCTTGGTTGCCTTCTGTTTAGGCTGATGTTCAGTGGGGGTCAAAGGCTGTGTGTCCAGTCCCTGGCATGTGGCGGGTGTTTGTGGTACACAGCCAGCCTCAGGATGGCCCCCAGGGATGCACACTGCCTTTGTGTGTGGTCCCCTCCCACACTGAATCAGGCTGGCTCTGTGCGACCAGTGGGAAGTGGTGGAAGTGAGTGATGATGTGTGACTTCTCGGGCTAGGTCGTAACAGGCATTGCACTTTGGCTCTCGGGAAGCCAACTGCCTTGCGTGAGGGTGCTCAGGCAGCCTCGTGGGGAGGGGTGAGGCCCCTGGCCCCCAGCATGTACAGCTTGCCACCACGTGAGTGAGCCAGCTTGGAAGCGAATTTCCCCGCCCCGGTCAAGCCTTCTGGTGAGTGCAGCTGCAGATGACATCTGACTTCCACCACTCAAGAGACCCCAGGTCAGTGCTGCCCAGCTGAGCTCTTCCCAGGTTCTTTATGTCCCCCGAAAATGAGCTGTTTTAAGTTTAGAAAACTTAAAAACACAGTGACAATGAAGCACAGATATGCATTACATACAGTCCCAAATCAGTAATGACTTCAAGCTGTGTCCTCTCTTTCCAAGAAAGACAAAGCAGAGAACAAAGTTCAACCTACAGTGTCTTCCCAAATTCTTGACCCACGGGATCTGTGAATATCTTATACGACTGAATTAAGCCTCTAAGTTTTGGGGTAACTCATGCAACATTAGGTAACTGGAATAGTGCTCAATAAATGTCTGTCACATGAATGGGCAGTGACCATGGATGCATTTCTAGTTATGTATTAGTTAAGGCTCTCTTGGTTTCAAGTAACAGAAATCCAACTCCAACTAGCTTGAGCAAAATGGGGCATTCCTCTGGTCAAGTAACGGAGAAATCCAAGAGTCTCTGGCTTCATGCATAGCGGGACCCAGTCTCAATTTCCACCTCCTGGCTCTGCTTCCCTTGATGCCAACTTTCAGGAATCAGCTTTCTGAAAGACCACTCTGCTAGAAACAGACAGGCCCATCCTTTCAACCAGGTCCAGGACTGTTTGCTCAGTCACTGCTCTCAGAGGCAGGGGCAGAGGCAGATGCCGGGCACACATCCACAGAAGTGGAGATGGCAGGAAACTGAGAGTGGAGTGCTGGAAAGCTGGCTTTTGCCTATGGGTTCTGCTTCTGACATCATCCGGCAATGTCAGGCTTTACATTGCCCCCATCTGCAGACCCAGCAGAAGGACAGCTTCCATCCCACCACATCAATATGCCAGTCCTGGGGCGGGGGAAGGACTTATGGGCAACCTTTGCAGAATCACTGGGGCCTGGCCGCACATGAGCCATGCCCACGCTTATGTGACAGGCGGCCCCTGTGCCTGGGGTGCTGTATTACCCAGAGGAATAAGTGATCCTGGGTGGGCAAAAGCAACAGAAGAGAAGTGAGCTCCACTTCCTTCCAAAACTTGAGAAGGCCTGGTCAAAATCACCCTCCAGGCCCGGTGTGGTGGCTCATGCCTGTAATCCCAGCACTTTGGGAGGTTGAGATGGGCAGATCATGAGGTCAAGAGATCGAGACCATCCTGGCCAATATGGTGAAACCCCGTCTCTACTAAAAATACAAAAATTAGCTAGGCGTGGTGGTGGGCGCCTGTAGTCCCAGCCACTCGATAGGCTGACAGGAGAATCACTTGATCCAGGGAGTCGGAGGTTGCAGTGAGCCGAGATCACACCATTGCACTCTAGCCTGGCGACAGAGTGAGACTAAAAAAAAAAAAAAAGAAAAAAGAAAAAAATCAGCCTCCATTTTTGGCTTTCTCTTTCATTAGAAAAATGAACCTGACTTTATGACCATGACAATGAAATGCCTAGAGAAGGGAGCACTCATTTTCCAGTGGGCCTACTGTGTGCTGGGGTGGCGAGACTCTTCCTGCCCTGGAACTTGGTGAGGTCAGGAGGGAAGATATGATATGACTGCCTTCCTCTGTACTTTTTCAGTGGGGGCAGGTGTTTATGCTTGATGATGCAATGGTGAGATCTTGGTTGGAATATGAACTTTTCTTTCTTTTTTTTTTTTTAGATGGGTTCTTGTTCTGTTCCCCAGGCTGGAGTACAATGGCACCATCACAGCTCACTGCAGCCTTGATCTCCCAGGGTCAAGGGATCATCGTGCCTCAGCCTGCTGAGTAGCTGGGACTACAGGAGTGCACCACCACACCTGGCTAATTTTTTTAAAAAAAATCTTTGTAGAGATGAGCTCTCACTAGGTTGCCCAGGCTGGTCTTGAACTCCTGAGCTCAAGCAATCCTCCCACCTTGGGCTCCCTAAGTGTTGGGATTACAGGCAAGAGTCACCACGCCCAGCCAGGATCACAGACGTTTAAATTACACTCCTTCTGCTGTGCCTTACAGCAGTAGAAGGGGTGAAATTTAAACGTCTGTGATCCTGGGGTTGTTGAAGATGCCACCCATCTACATATTCTTTCAGATGCACAATATTTCACTGTGTGAATGAAACAGCAGCCCTTCTTACGTGTGCTTTTGGAATTTGAAGATTTTGTAAGATAAGATGAATGCATTGGAACAAGTGATCCTCAATTCTGTGCAGTCTGTGCCTCCGGAGACTGGCGGCTGCCCCTCCCTGTCTAGTCTTGCAAGAGAGGCAGCTGGCAAGAGGACAGAAGCCGGCAGCTGCTGCGTTTTCATCCTGTTTCTGCTCTTGGAGCTGAGGGGGAGAGGTGGCTAGCAGCCACCCAGTGATCAAACTTGCAGCCTGCCTCTCTTGCTTCCTTTTCACAGACTGGAGTGTGCCTGGGTATGGAGAAAGAACATTTTGCTTCTTGCCTCTCAGAGTTTCAAGAACGCCTCACCTGAGTGGCATGCATTCACGGAATGAGTAATTATTACAGTGGAGAACTCCTCACTGTGAATTAATTACACAGATGATATTCAAGACTTAGACTGGGCTAGTGCAGGGGTTAGCAAACTATGGCCCACTGTTCTTGTTTTATAAATAAAGTGTTATGAGCACACAGCCATGCCCATTCATTTGCAGATTATGGCTGCTTTTGCCTGACAGTGCCAGATATAAGTAGTTGTGGCAAAGACCAGGTAGCCTAAAAAGCCTAAAATACTTGCTATCTGGGTCTTTACAGAAGACATTTTGTTGTTGTTGTTGTTTTTGAGATGGGGTCTTTCTCTGTCACCCAGGCTGGAGTGCAGTGGTGTGATCTCAGCTCACTGCAACCTCCGCCTCTTGGGTTCAAATGATTATCGTGCCTCAGCCTCCCTAGTAGCTGAGATTATAGGCGCCTGCCACCAAGCCTGGCTAATTTTTGCATTTTTAGTAGAAACAGGGCTTTACCATGTTGGCCAGGCTGGTCTCAAACCCCGACCTCAGATGATCTGCCTGCCTCAGCCTCCCAAAGTGCTGGGATTACAGGTGTGAGCCACCGCGCCTGGCCTATAAAATGTTTTCTAACCTGTTGTCTAGTGGGTGCTTTGTAAAGTTTAGTTTTAGGGGGAGCATCATTAATTCATTCAACAAGTATTAACTGAGCATCTCCCCTGTGCTGGGTGCTGCTTGGCATACTGGGGGTTTAGTGGTGTGAGAGAGACCGAGCCTCAGCTCTTAGGAGCACAGTGCTGATGGAGGACGAAAGGTAAACACACACATTAGAAGTTATTGGATAATGCCAGGCGTTACGAAGAAAAGAAGCAGAACAAGGCAATGTGACAGAGGATGATTGGTATCATGGAAGGTCTCTCTGAGGAGGCAGCATCTGAGCTGAGACCTGAGGAGGGGAAGGGCCAGTTTATGCAAAGATCTGGGGGAAGAGCTGCCCAGGCAGAGGGGACCATAATTGCAAAGGCCCCCAGGAGGAAATGAGCTCCCTGAGTTTCAGGAATAGCAAAGAGGCCAGGGTGGCCAGAGTCAAGTGATTGAGAGGAAGAGATGAGAACGATGGCAGGGACCGGGTCATGTGGGTGCCCTGGAAAGGAGTTTAGATTTTATTCTAATGGCAACAGAAGGCATTGGAGGGTTTAAGTAGGGAAAGGGGAGTGATCTGATGTATGTTTTTAAACAATTGCTTCTTTAAATTTTGAGGAGATTGGATTATTGGGAAGCAAGAATGAATTTAGGGAGAGAAGCAAAGAGGACGTTGTGTTGGTTTAGGCAAAAGACAGCAATGGCTTGGATTGGGGTGATGGAAGTAACAGTGGCAGGAAGTGGTGAGCTTGGGGCTATGCTTCAGAGATAGAGCAGAAAGGTCTTGCTGATGTATTTAATACAGGAGGTGAGGGAAGGGAGGAATCAACGATAAGTGAATCGTTTGTTTCTAGCTGAACCACTGAAATGTGTAGGTAAATTGAGACTTCTGTTTTGGCCATCATGAGTTTGAGATGCTTATCAGACACCCGAGTCTGCAGCCTGGGTGAGAAATCACGGCTGGAGATGAGACGTGGTGAGCTGGGAGTGTTTTTGGATGACAGATGAGGCCACGGGATTGAATAATAGGTATCCTTATGAAGACTGAGAAAAGGAGAGGGCTGGGGGCCAAGCCCTGGGACAGTGCAACCTTCAGAGGATGGGGGAGGAGGGCCCTGCCCAAGAGACAGAGAGGAAGTGGCCAGTGAGGTAGGGGGAAGTCCAGGAGAGGACAGTGTGGTGAATACCTAATGCTTTACTCATTCACTGGTGAATGAATGGATGGATGGATGGATGGATGGATGGATGAATGCATGAATATTCCTTAATAATATGGTTGGCCATGGTCCATCCATATGACTCCTACGGACACCATGTTACCATTTCACACTCGTCTTCTATTTAGGAGAAATCAGACGAAACTGCCATCTTATATATAGGTCAAAAATGGTTTCCATAACCACCCACCTCACATGCTTACTGAAATTCATTAAGTAATAGATGGGGTGGGGGGCGGGAGGTTTACAGGTCGGCAAAGGAGGCAAGGCTAGAGTGATCCATGTGGCAGTGGATTAGAGTGGCAGGCATCAGTATGAACACATGTTTAGCTCAATATAGATACAGATGGCTACATAGAGAAATATTTATGGATATGTGCATATACACAAATTAGTAAGACACACGTTACTAATCCTGGCTGTCAGCGAAGAGAGCCTAGAAGCAAGGATACCCCAGTAGCAACAAACCTCTGGTGCCCAGGTCTCTGTTCTCCAATAAACACCATTCTCCAGTAAAAGGAACCAGGCTTCTTGAACAAATGTCGATCCTAGGACCGAGGGAGGAAATAGATAAGAAGAACCTGAAGCATCTTGTAGGGTCACAGGGTGAGGAGGCGCGAAATGAAACAAAATGAAACTGCTGCAGTGATGGGGCATCTCAGAGGGACACAGGAGCCAATGGAAAAGCTCCCAGGGGTCAAAGCCAGAACAATTTGAGCCCCAAAAAAGTACTATTGGATTAGAATTCAAAGAACAAATACCCATGATTCCATACTGCTATAAATGATCAGATAAGAGAGAAGAGACAAATCTCCCAGGCAGAAGAATTCCAGATTATTTATTTATTTATTTTTATTTAATTTTTTTTTTTACACAGGGTCTTGCTCTGTTGCCCAGGTTGGAGTGCAGTGATGTAATCTTGGCTTACTGCAACCTCCACCTCCCAGGTTCAAGCGATTCTTGTGCCTCAGCCTCCCGAGTAGCTGGGATCACAGGCATGCGCTGCCACACTCGGCTAATTTTTTGTATTTTTAGTAGAGGCGGGGTTTCACCATGTTGACCAGGTTGGTCTCAAACTCCTGACCTCAAGTGATCACCCTCCTCGGCCTCCCATTCAAGTGCTGGGATGACAGGTGTGAGCCGCCGTGCCCGGCCCCAGGTAAATTATATAGCTATTCCATCGTCAAGGAGGTGGAGCGGACTTCCCACATCCTAAGTGTGGGCTGTGCATAGTGACTCTCTTCCAAAGAGTACAGTGTGAAAAGAGAGGAGAGAGTAACTTTACAGTGGAGAACACGGACAGACACTACCTCAGCCAGGTGATCAAAGTCAACTTCAATAGCGGCAAGTCATCTTGAGAGAATGCGTGCCTGATACAGAGTGCTGAGAATGATTCTTAAGCTCTGTGGTCCTCCTCCTCAAAACACACACAAGCCAAGACTAAGGATGAGAAGCATCTGCCAAATCCCAGTTGAGGAACATTCTACAAAATACCTGGCCAGCACTCCTCAAAATGCTCCATGTGGTATCCTGGAACAGAAAAAGGACATTAAGCAAAAACTAAGGCAATCAGAATCAACTATGGACTTTAGGTGGCCAGGCACGGTGGCTCGCGCCTGTAACCCTAGCACTTTGTGAGGCCGAGGCCGGCGGATGGGTTGAGCCCAGGAGTTCAAGACCAGCCTGGGCGACATGGCGAAACCCCATCTCTACAAAAAATACAAAAAATTAGCCAGGCTTGTGGTGTGCACCTGTAGTCCTAGCTACTCGGGAGGCTGAGATGGGAGGATCACTTGAGTCCGGGAAGTCAAGGCTGCAAGTGACCCGTGATTGTGCCACTGTATACCAGCATGGGCAATGAGAGTGAGACCCTGTCTCAACAAACAAACAACAAACAAACAAACAAAAACAAATTCTCTGGGGATGGTAGCAGGCACCTGTATTTCCAGCTACTTGGGAGGCTGAGATGGAGGATCGCTTGAGCCAGGGGAGGTGGAGGGTTGAGGCTGCCATGAACTATGATCACACCACCACACTCCAGCCTAGGTGACGAGCAAGACCCTGTCCCCACCCCCCTAAAAAAAGTATGGACTTTAGTTCATAATGCATCAAGCTATGGGGTACATGGAAACTCTCTGTACTGCTTTCACCATTTTTCTAAAACTGTTCTAAAATAAAAAATTTACTTAAACATTTATTTAAAAAAAAAAACAAACCATTTGAGTACCAACAGTGTCATATGCTCAACTTAGCACATCTTTTTCCTGGTTTGGTTTGTGGGCGTGAATGTGTACTGAGCCATCTAAACCTTGGTTGCCCGACCTTCACTGTAGCCACTGACCCAGGTTAACAGACAAAAGGCCCAGGTTAAGGTTATGCCCAGTGGCCATAAAATAGCCCAGCATCCAGACTGCACTCCTTGATGTACCCAAAAAAGCCAAGGAATAGGACGGATGGGCGGGGAGTGGGGGGCAAACTACTGCCCATTGCCCAACTCTGGCCAGCTGTCTGTTTTATAAATAAAGTTTTATTGGAACACAGTCACACCCATTCATTTATTATCATCTATGGCTACATTTGCATGACAATGGCAGTGTTGAGTAGTTGCACCAGAGATCGTGTGGCCCACAAAATATTTATTATCTAGCACTTTACAGAAAAAGCTTGTCAACCTCCAGGACAGTGGCCACAAGTTCTGCCATCATCTCATCCCTTAGCAAGAAGGGAAAGGAATGCCCATTAAGGCACAAATTGTTTTCTGTTGTTGTTTGTTTGTTTGTTTGTTTTTGAGACGGAGTTTCAGTCTTGTCGCCCAGGCTGGAGTGCAATGGCGTGATCTTGGCTCACTGCAACCTCCGCCTCCCAGGTTCAAGCGATTCTCCTGCCTCAACCTCCCGAGTAGCTAGGATTACAGGCGCCAGCCACCACATCCAGCAAATTTTTGTATTTTTAGTAGCGACGGGGTTTCACTATGTTGACCAGGCTGGTCTCGAACTCCTGACCGCAGGTGATCCACCTGCTTTGGCCTCCCAAAGCGCTGGGATTACAGGTGTGAGCCACCGTGCCTGGCCACAAGGTGGTCTTTTAACAACAGAGCACACAGCTGGACAAAGCCCAACGCTCTCTTCTTTGGGGCCGAGGTGGGTCATTAATATTGAACATTTACAATGTACTTGCTCCAGGTGATTCAGTTTAATTTCTGCCGTCTCTTGTAACAGGGCTCCCACGTGCACGGGTTGGGGCCGTGTGTCTGCCTCTGCTTTCTGAGGCCCCACAGCGTATTGATTCTGCGAAACGTACGTTTCTTTGAAAACAGCGTCTCTTGACATGACAGGAGATCACACATCGCTTGTTTTCTGTCCCTTTCATTGCCCTCTGAACATGATAAAATCATGACCTAGTGTCACCGAGGGACCTCAGCATCTCTTGGAAAGAAGGACTTGCCTTCTTTTTTATCTTTGTCAAGCCAGTGAGGCCAAGTAGAAAATTTTTAGCAGCTTTGGAGCCAGACAGATCGGAGTGCGAGTTCTGCCCGTTATTGACTGGACCGTGTGACCCTGGGAGAGCCGCCTAGTGTCTATGAGACGAAGGCTGTTGGGCAAGAAAATGGGGATGGTCCCAGCATTATGGGGCGGTTGTGAGAATTCAGTGCAATGATGCAGTGCTCCCAGAACAGCTGGTCTAGGGCTTGGCTCATGGGACTGTCCCTTCGCAGAGGCAGCGTGGACATTCCGCTGGTATCCACTGGTGTGGCTGTGCCTGTTTGGTCACCGTGTCTGTTCTGATTGGTCGGTGCTCCTGCATGTCAAGAGTTCAATGTTATGAAAATCATCCCTGCCTAGAGATGAATTCCCCCTTCCCCTGAGGTCTAGACTGGTATAGCTGCTTTTGGAGCCTCACCTGCTGAGAGCTCACAGCTGTCCTTCTCTAGAGAATCACCCTCAGATGGGAGCCACATTGCCTGGGATGGGATGCCATGCCCAGTAATGGCCCAGTGACTAACTGATACAGCAACGTGAATGGCTGGTCCCTGCCCCACGGTGGGGACGATCCTGTGGCGTGCTCTCTGCTGCTCGTGGGATAGGTCAAGGCGGGACTTTAAGGGACCACATTCTCACTCTGCTCTGTCCCCTTCTGCATCCTGTAGTCCTCACCTCCCTTCTCCTGAAAGCCCCTTTCAAAACAAAAACAAAAACCACATCCACCCAAGTCCCTGTCTCCAGCTCTGCCTCCAGGAAAGCCGGCGGAAGGCCGCCAGTCTCAGCTGTGACAGATACAGATATTTCTGCATTTCCAGGACTGAGGTCAATCCCTGGGGACCCAGTGAGGCGGTATCTGAAGGGCCATGGAGCTGGCTTGATGGGGTCTACAGGTAGGCAGGGACCTGGTGGGGATGTGACTCAAGGATTTTTATCAAATATCTTTATCCCCTGACAGATGCAAAAAAAAAAAAATGAGATCAGACTCCAGGGTTTCCTCCATGCCACACTGTGGCCCCATTGTTTGTTGTGCTATCAGCAGAAGTTGATTTTGCAAGGAATGTACACGTGTATGTGATGTTTGAATGCACCTATCTGTGTGTGCGTGCATTTGTGTGTGTGTGTGCGCATTCGCTTGTGTGTGTGTGTGTGTGTGTGTGTGTGTGTGTGTGTGCTGAGGATGTGAGCCCCACTTCCGGCCCAGTGCCCCTGCCCAGGCTGGCTCTGCCCTCCTGCTGCTCTGGGCCCCTCAGGCAGTGACTACCTGGTACATAGGGAAGGCATCAGCATCCCTTATTCATGGGGACTGTATACTGTCTCCACCATATTGGGCCTTTTGGCCTCTTGGACATGACTTGGCCTCTGCTGGCTTTAAGGGACTGCCAGAGATGCCATCTTCTCTGGGAAATGTTCTCAGCCTGGGCACAGCCCACTAACCACTGCCTGCTTGTCTGAGACTTCTCTGTCCAGGAAAACAGCCCAGCCTGACCAGAGATGGGCATAGAGCCATATTTTGGGAAAGACTGGTTGGGGGTCAACTTGGTTTCTGGAACCAGTTCTGATTTCAGTTGCAGGGGACAGTGAGCCAGTTACTGCCCACTGGCTGCATCCTAAGCCTTCCTAGAGGAGAGCTAGCCTCCTCCTAGGGTTGCCCAGGCTGGACCACTTCTGCCTGGGTGATGGGTTGGGAGAAAGACGTTAATATTTGGAGCAGTGTTATATTAGTCAGCCCTCCCATTTGCAAACATTAGAAAACCAGCTCAAATTAGTGATAAAAGAAAATCTCAGCTGAATTAAATTTAAAGTAGTTTAATTGAGCAATGAATGATTCGCGAATTGGGCAGACCCCAGAATCACAGCAGATTCATAGAGACTCCAGCGCAGCCACGTGGTGGAAGAAGATTTATGGACAAAAGAAGGGAAATGATGTACAGAAATCAGAAGTGAAGTACAGAATGGCTGGATTGTTACAAGTTGGCGTTTGCCTTATTTGAGTACAGTTTGAACACTCAGCAGCGTATGAGCGGTTGAACTACGGCCTCTGGGATTGGCCAAGACTCAGCTATTGTTACAGGCGCATACTCCTAAGTTAGGTTTTCAATCTTGTCTACCTATTAAGCTAGGTTGCAATTTGTCCACAAGGACTCAACTATAGAAGTACGAAGTCCCACTCAGGCCATATTTAGTTCACTTTAACACTAGCTTCGGCAACTGTCTCTCAGAGCCCAGGGCAGGGCAGGGATGCAACTGGGCTTCAGGAAACTTGAATTCATTGACTGTCTCTTCCCCATCTTAGATGCAGTGCTAAGGGCTTTTTAGTAATTTTCTCATTTGACTCTCAAAACAAACTGATGAGGAAACGGTCTGAGAGTAGTTAGGCAGCTTTTCAAGGTCACACAGATAGTAAATGTCATCACTGGGACTTGAACTCAGGTCTTTCTGACTCTCATGTCTGTGCAACATGTCATCTCAGCCACTGTTGACACTGTATATGTGGATTAGGGTTGGCTAAACTGCTGTAACAAATAGACCCAACTCGAATGGTGCATGTATGTACAATAGGGGTTTATTTCTTATGATATAGTTCACGGTGGTCCCAGGTGAATAAGGATGGGTAGGTCTGCATTTTTCATAATCATCTGGGTTTCTGCTCAGGCTCCTAGAGTCTCTGCCACCTTCCCCATGTGGCTTCCAAGGCCACCTTGGAGACAGAGCTTGGTGGAGCACATGTGGTAGGATTTTTTTTGTTTTTTTGAGACGGAGTCTCACTGTATTGCCCAGTCTGGAGTGCAGTGGTGCAATCTCGGCTCACTGCAACCTCTGCCTCCCAGGTTCAAGCTATTCTCCTGTCTCAGCCTCCCTAGTAGCTGGGACTACAGGCACCTGCCACCACGCCTGGCTAATTTTTGTATTTTTAGTAGAAATGGGATTTCACCTTGTTGGTCAGGTTGGTCTCAAACTCCTGACCTCAGGTGATCCACCCACCTCGGCCTCCCAAAGTGCTGGGATTACAGGCATGAGCCACCACTCCCAGCCAGTTCTTTTTTTCTTTTTTCCATTTTTTTTTTTTCGAGACAGGGTCTTACTCTGTTGCCCAGGCTGGAGTGCAGTGGCACAATCACGGCTCAGCGCAGCCACTGCCTCCTGGGCTCACACGCTCCTCCGGCCTCAGCCTCTCGAGTACCTGGGACTACAAGTGTGAGCCAGTTTGGCTAATTTTGGCTAATTTTTGTAGAAACGGGGTCTCGCCATGTTGGCCAGGCTGGTCTCCAACTCCTGGGCTCAAGGGATCCACCTTCCTCCCCCTCTCAAAGTTCTGGGATTACCGGAGTGACCCACTGTGCCCTGCTGGCAAATTTCTTAAACTGTGCCTCAGTGACCTCATTTAATAAAGGGAATAATTGTAGCACACTTTTTCTAGAGCTGTGAAGATTCAATGGAATAAATAAGGCAATAAATGAATGGATGGGGAATGAAGGATGTGGGTTTCCTCCCTCTTGTCTTTCAATAAGCTCTCACCATCAACCTCCCATTGCCTGTTCTCTCTCTTCCCCCTCTCTCCCTCTGTCTCTCTCTTAGCCAGGAAACCTGGGGTAGGGAGGCTTGGAGCCAGCGGGTGCGTCGGGAGGCTGCGGGTACTGACTGGGGACGCGCACGGAGATTGCGGGAGAAGGATCCACGCCGCGGGAGAAGGATCCATGCCGCGGGAGAAGGATCAGAGTGGAGCCTGTGGCTGCTGCAGGAGGAGGAAGCCGCCGCCTGGCCCACACCACAGGAGAAGGGCGGAGCCAGATGGCACCCTGCCCACCGCTTCCCGCCCACGCACTTTAGCCTGCAGAGGGGCGGAGCGTGAAAAATACCTCGTGCGCCTCGGCCGACTCTACAGTGCGACGGGCGGAGCTTCCAGACGCTCCGCCCCACGTCGCATGCGCCCCGGGAAAGCGTGGGGCGGAGCTTCCGGAGGCCCCGCCCTGCTGCCGACCCTGTGGAGCGGAGGGTGAAGCCTCCGGATGCCAGTCCCTCATCGCTGGCCCGGTCGCGCTGTGGCGAAGGGGGCGGAGCCTGCACCCGCCCCGCCCCCCCTCGCCCCGTCCGCCCTGCGCCGCGCGGGGAGGAGGAGGAGGAGCCGCGGCGGGGCCCGCACTGCAGCGCCAACGTCCGAGCGGGCGGCCGAGCTCCCGGAGCGGCCTGGCCCCGAGCCCCGAGCGGGCGTCGCTCAGCAGCAGGTCGCGGCCGCAGCCCCATCCAGCCCCGCGCCCGCCATGCCGTCCGCCGGCCCCGCCTGAGCCGCGGCCTCCGCGCGCGGGCGGGCCTGGGGACGGCGGGGCCATGCGCGCGCTGCCCTAACGATGCCGCCCGCCGCGCCCGCCCGCCTGGCGCTGGCCCTGGGCCTGGGCCTGTGGCTCGGGGCGCTGGCGGGGGGCCCCGGGCGCGGCTGCGGGCCTTGCGAGCCCCCCTGCCTCTGCGGCCTAGCGCCCGGCGCCGCCTGCCGCGTCAACTGCTCGGGCCGCGGGCCGCGGGCTGCGGACGCTCGGTCCCGCGCTGCGCATCCCCGCGGACGCCACAGCGCTGTGAGTAGCGGGCCCAGCGGCACCCGGGAGAGGCCGCGGGACGGGCGGGCGTGGGCGCGTTCCCTGGCCCGGGACGGGAAGCAGGACGCGGGCCAGGACGCTCCCAGGGCGAGGCTCCGGCGCGGCACAGCGGCCCTGCTAAATAAGGAACGCCTGGAGCCGCGGTTGGCACGGCCCCGGGGAGCCGAAAAACCCCGGGTCTGGAGACAGACGTCCCACCCGGGGGCTGTGCAGACGCCAGCGGGGGCGGGGCGCGGAGGCCGCGCTCAGCTGGGAGGACAAACAGTCGCTAATTGGAGAGGAATTGGGATGCGGCCTGGGGCTGCGGGGTACCCGGAGAGGTGGGGATGGCTGTAGGGGGCTGCAGGGAAGAGTTCCAGGAGGTGTCTGGACAAGGATTTGATGGATGTGCAAGAATTGGGCTGATGCTTAGGAAGGGGCGATGAGGTGGGTCCAGAAGAAGGGGGGTGAACGGTGTGAGCAAAGACCGTGAGGCTGGAGGCTGGCCACGGGAGGTGTGAGGGGTAGGGGCAGGGTGGGAGGTGGGCTCGCGGGTGGGCTGGGGTCATGAAGGGCCTCAGGCGCTCTGCTATTGGGTTCCAAGGCTATCCTGAGAACAGGGGTGAGGGCGGATTGCCGTGGGGGGTTAAAGCCTTGTCATGTTCGCTTTCGGGAGATAAAAACAACAGGTGGCCTTTATGGAGACGCTGCCCAGAGCCAGGTCTGTGCCAGGCTCCTGTTGGGGGTCGTCATGCGGAATCCTGACTCTGACCATCCGAGGCATAGGGACCGTGGAGATTTGCATTTCACAGATGAGGAAACAGGTTTGGAGAGGTGACACGACCTGTCCCAGGCATCACAGCCAGGACAGGACCTGTCCCAGGCATCACAGCCGGGATGTGCATAGCAGGGGTTTGGAACTATGAGGTGCCCAGGACCCAGGGTTGGATTGAAAAGGGCGCAGGGGACTAAGATAAGCAGACAGTTGTCCCCAGCGCTGGGGAGAGTCTTGGGACCAGTCTGATGCCTTGTATTTCCCAGGCTCCAGGCTCCTCGCCGGGACAGTGTCTCTTTGGGTGCGTGCTGGATCCCTGGGGGACGTGGCACATCCCCAGGCTTGCTAAACATTGGGTGGGTTCTGGCATTTGGTTTTGTAACGTTTCTGGGTCACTCCCGCCTGTGGCCACCCTTCCTTAGGGGAGCCGTGTGTCCTTGGGGCTTTGCTGGGTGGTCTCGAGGGTGGGAGAAGAATGGGTTCTCCTGGACCAATGGAGCCCGTGCCCCTCGGGGCCACATTGCTCCTGCGCTCCCTGACTGCGGACGCGTGTGTCTCGCGGCTGTCTCTGTGGAGATGGCCTCCTCCTGCCTGGCAACAGCACCCACAGAATTGCATCAGACCTACCCCACCCGTTGTTTGTGATGCTGTAGCTGAGGGCTCCTCTGTCTGCCAGGCCGGTCACTGGGGACTCTGTCCAGGTCCTGGTGGTTCCTGCTTCCCAGCACCTGATGGTGTCCATGAGAGCAGCCCCTCGGGAGCTGTCCGGGAGAGAAGGGCGCTGGTGGCTGCTGAGCGGAGAGCAAGGCCCGTGTTCTCCAGGCCCTTGGCACAGCAGTGGAGCCCCCGCCCCTGCCTTGTGTTGTCCTCTTAGGCTCTGGTCCTGGGGTTTGGAGGAGGGGGACCCTGGGGGTTGGTGGCCTGTCCCAGCCTGAGCTGGCAAGATTCCGAATGCCAGGCCCCTCAAGTGTGCAACAGGGCACAGGGTGACCTCATGTGGGCAGGTGGGTGCTGTTCTGTACACACCTGGGGCCGCCGCTGGGAGAGTTCTGGAAGGTGGGGTGAGGGGACCCATGGGAAACTAGGGCCCTAGGAAGGATGTGAAGGCCCTGGCTGGCCCCCCAGGCCACCCTCTGTGCTGTGGGGCAGCCCAGCCATTTTGCTGTCTACCCTGCAAACTCCTCCTCGGGGAGACGGCTGGGTTTTCCCCAGGGAAGAGGGGTCAAGCTGGGAGAGGTGAAGGACACAGATCACAGCTGCTGGCAGGTGTTCAAGGGTCCAGGAGCGTTGCTGTCTGGGTGTCACCAGTAGCCTTCCTGGGGGGCTCACGCAGGTGCCTCTCCACTTGTGGCTCCCTGGCTGCTGAAGCTCAGCAGGGACAGCTGTGTCCAGTTCCAGGTGGAGGACAGCCGGGGCTTCTGAGGCCACAGCCTGCCTTGGGTTAATGATGCTGCCGAGAGGTGGTGGCTTTTGGAAAAGATGGCGTACTGCAAAACGTGCTGCTCTGCGTGGCTCGAAGCTTCGTGGGGAGACGTGGGCAGAGCCGTGGCTGACTCACAGACCCCCCACCCCAGAGCCTGCCCTGCCCTCCCTGCCCCGACCCTTCCCCTCCTGACCCATGTGTTTTTTTTTTTTTTTTTTGAGACAGAGTTCACTCTTGTTGCCAAGGCTGGAGTGCAATGGCACGATCTCGGCTCATGGCAACCTCCGCCTCCTGGGTTCAAGCGCTTTTCCTGCCTCAGCCTCCCGAGTAGCTGGGATTACAGGCGTGCACCACCATGCCTGGCTAATTTTGTATTTTTAGTAGAGACAGGGTTTCTCCATATTGGTCAGGCTGGTCTTGAACTCCTGACCTCAGATGATCCGCCCGCCTCGGCCTCCCAAAGTGCTGGGATTACAGGCATGAGCCACCACGCCCAGCCCTGACCCATGTTTTGAACCAAATTCCAGCCACCCTTTTATCTGCAAGCATTTTGGAGGGCATCGCAATACTGCAGACCCACCTAACACAACAGACAATTCCTTCATGCCACCGAAGGCCTGGTGTGTTCACATTTTTAATAGTTTGAATTAAGAGCCAAATAAGGTCCACACACTGCAATTAGTTGATGTCTTTTTTTTTTTTTTTTTTTTTTTTTTGAGACGGAGTCTTGCTCTTGTCTCCAGGCCGCAGTGCAGTGGCATGATCTCAGCTCGCCGCAACCTCCGACTCCCTGGTTCAAGCGATTCTCCTGCCTCAGCCTCCCGAGTACCTGGTAGCTGGGTTTACAGGCATGCACCACCGTGCCCAGCTAATTTTTGTATTTTTAGTAGAGACGGGGTTTTACTGTGTTGGCCAGGATGGTCTCGATCTCCTGACCTCGTGATCTGCCCACCTCGGCCTCCCAAAGTGCTGGGATTACAGGCGTGAGCCACCGCACCCGGCCAATGTCTTTTAAAAATATATACTTTTTTTTTTTTTTTTTTGAGACAGAGTTTCGCTCTTGTTGCCCAGGCTGGAGTGCAGTGGCGCGATCTCAGCTCACGGCAACCTCCGCCTCCCGGGTTCAAGCGATTCTCCTGCCTCAGCCTCTCCAGTAGCTGGGATTACAGGCGTGTGCCACCATGCCTGGCTAATTTTGTATTTTTAGGAGAGACGGGGTTTCTCCACGTTGGTCAGGCTGGTCTCAAACTCCTGACCTCAAGTGATCCGCCTGCCTTGGCCTCCCAAAGTGTTGGGATTACAGGTGTGAGCCAGCGCGCCCAGACAAAAATGTGTATGTGTGTCTTTAAGGCTGGTCAAGCAAAGCAGTGGAACTGGAGAAAGAATGAAGAATTCTACCTGGCTGTGATCAATTCGTTGTGAACACCACTGTGCTTGGACCAGCTAGCTGATGTCTTTTGTTTTGTTTTGTTTGAGACGGAGTCTGGCTCTGTCACCCAGGCTGGAGGACAATGGTGTGATCTCGGCTCACTGCAGCCTCCACCTCCCGGGTTCAAGCGATTCTCCTGCCTCAGCCTCCTGAGTAGCTGGGATTACAGGCGCGCGCCACCACGCCCAGCTAATTTTTAAAAATATTTTTAGTAGAGATGGGGTTTCACCATGTTGGTCAGGCTGGTCTTGAACTCTTGGCCTTAGGTGATCTGCTTGCCTCGGCCTCCCGAAGTGCTGGGATTACAGGTGTGAGTGATGTCTTTTATTTATTTATTTATTTATTTATTTTTTATTATTATTTGAGATGGAGTCTCACTCTGTTGCCCAGGCTGGAGTGCAGCAGTGCCATCTCGGCTCACTGCAAGCTCCGCCTCCTGGGTTCACACCATTCTCCTGCCTCAGCCTCCCGAGTAGCCTGGACTGGTGCCCGCCACCACGCCCAGCTAATTTTTGCATTTTTAGTAGAGACGGGGTTTCACCCTGTTGGCCAGGATGGTCTCGATCTCTTGATCTCATGATCCACCCACCTTGGCCTCCCAAAGTTCTGGGATTACAGGAGTGAGCCACCGTGCCCAGCCATCTTTCTTTTCTTGCTTTCTCTTTCTTTTCTTTCGAGACCGGGTCTTGCTCTGTCGCCCAGGCTGGACTGCAGTGGCACAATCATAGCTCACTGCAGCCTCTACCTCCCTGGCTCAAGCGATCCTTCCTCCTCAGCCCCCCGAGTAGTTGGAACTACAGCTCCACACCACCATGCCTGGCTGATTCTTTTTTTCCTTGTAGAGATGGGGTCTTGCTATGCTGTCCATCCTGGTCTCAAACTCCTGGCCTTCCCAAAGCACTGGGATTACAGGCATAAGCCACCACAGCCAGTTTCCTTTTCTTCTTTTTAACTGGAATAGTTGACTTTTTCTTTATTAGCTGTGTGTCAGGAGGGTATTTTTGGCCTTTAGTATGTCGTCTAAGTTGCTAGTGCTTTTCTGAGATTGTAGTTTGTTTTCTAATTTTATTTATATTTTGCGTAGAAGTTGTGTATTTTAGATGGAGTTAGGTCGGCTGGTCTTTGATGTTTTATTTATTAATTATGTATGTATTTATTTATTTTTGAGGTAGAGTCTCGCCGTTTCACCCCAGCTGGAGTACAGTGATGCGATCTCAGCTCCCTGTAGCCTTGACCTCTCTGGGCTCAAGTGATTTTTCTCTCCTCTACCTCCCGAGTACTTGGGACCCCAGGCGCATGCCGCCATGCCTGGCTAATGTGTATTTTTTTGTAGATACGGGGTCTCACTGTGTTGCCCAGGGTGGTTTCAAAATCCTGGGCTCAGGCGATCCTTCCGTCTCAGCTCCCACGGTGCTGTGTTACCGGCGTGTGCCCCAGTGCCTGGCCGTCTTGGAGGTCTTGTTTCTCTGGGTTTATGCCTCAAGGTGGCGCCTGCTCCCCTGTGCTCCCTGGTAGCCTGGTAGTGAGCCTGCTTCTCACACAGTCATACCTGGTTGTGGTCCCACAGTGGGACCACCCTGTTGGGTTCAGAACAGGAGATGGGGGCCCCTCGAGTCTGTGTGGGGGCTGTGGACAGGGTGCCTGGCTAATTTTTTGTATTTTTAGTAGGGGCGGGATTTCACTATGTTGGCCAGGCTGGTCTCGAACTCCTGACCTCAGATGATCTGCCTGCCTTGGCCTCCCAAGGTGCTGGGATTACAGGTGTGAGCCACCATGCCCGGCCAATTCAGGTGACTTCTGAATTCTCATTCTGATTCTGGTAAGTTACATGGGAATGCTAATCTACCTAAATTTAGCCCAAAAGAAAAGAAAATGCCCCTCCAAAAAGAGCTGCTAATAACTCTAGGAGAATGGAGTATCATAAGGGCAAGCTAATCTACCCAGCAGCCCCAGAACAAAAGCAAGGGATGTCCACCAAGCCTGGTTTACCTGCTGCGGTCATCAAAGGGCTGAACCGCAAACACGTGCCCTCAGCTTCCAGATCCATGACTGTGAGGCCGCTTGCAGGCACCAGCTGCTTCAGCTGTTCTCCCAGCTGTGAGGAGGACACAATGAACACCCTCCTGTAACAAGGGACTCAGACGTCTTCAGGACCCACCCTCATCCCCTCGGCCCCAGACCAAAGAGCCTCCTGGAGAGCTGATTCCTGCTCTTTTGACTGTCTGATTACTTAGAGCAGCTTTTTAAAAACAGTAAATTTTATGGTTTTTTCTTATTAATACAAGTTCATTGTAGAAAAATTTAGGAAATACAAGTAAACAAAAAGAAGAAAATAACAATGACCCACAATATATTACTAAGCGACACCCACTGCTGACATGTGGTCTGCCCCCAGCGTCTTTTCTCCTAGTGGCGGGCAGGGAGTTGTAGTTGTTGTCATAAAACATGCTACTTGACACTGCTTAGTAACCTGCATTGATTCATTTCGTTTATGACCAGTTCCTTTCTGCTTGAGACACTCAGCTCTGTGGTCTCTCACAGCTGTGCTGAGCCCCAGCATGGATGTACCAGGACTTATCTGCCAACCCTGCTAGGCTGGGCGTGTCCAGCATTGGCTAGAACCGCTGCTGCCGCCATCCCACACTGTTCACAAGACCCTTCAGACTCAAATCCTAGAGCTGCTATTCAGTGCCCAAAACGCTATCAAAGTGCAGGCCTGGCTCCACACTGCCAGCTGCAGATGCTCGGCAGACTCTGCCTGGGGCTCCCGGCTGTGCTGCCCAGGCTCACCAGAACCCACCGCAGCTGCCCTGCAGCCCACCTTTTGCCTGTTGTCTCACAGCCTTATACAGCAGCAAGGAAAGTGAGGGAGCAATGCCAGAAGGACTTGCCAGAGGTGACCCAGCTCGTGAGGTGGTAACGCAATGGGGAACAGAACTCCAGAGCAGGCCCAGCACTGGCAGGGCGGCTCCTCCTGTGGGCCTCAGTTCCCATACACGAGCACGCGTCACCCTCACCAGCAGGTCGGATGGTGATGGACGGGGACCTGAAAGGAAAGGGGGGTGACTGCCATTCTCACCCAGCGATTCAGCGCGTCACACGAGTGCCTCTCCCGGCCGACTCCTGAAGGTGTCATGTTGGGCACTGGGACGGCTTTAAACACCGGATCTGACACCAAAACACAGAAAGGGAGTCACTCCCAGAAACACGGCTGACCAAAAAAAACACCCTCCAAACCCCACATCATTCCCATCCCAATATTAGCCCCAGGGCACTGACTCGTATTACTGAATTCTCATGTATTATCTGACAGAAGGGCTACATTTCTTTTTCCTCGTGATCTATGTAACACTTGAATACATTCACATAAGACAGAATTATTAATTTCATTTTTGAAAAGGTTTGCTTTCAAGGGATTTCAAGGGGAAACAGCAATTGTTTTAAGTTACTAACTAGTTTACCAAGCACCGTGCGAGGTCTGTGAGTGCCACGATCATCTAACTAGGCCTCACAGTGGGTGCCAACCCGTGCCAGGCACAGAGCCCGACACTTGGGACAGAAGGCAGGTAAGGTTTCTGTCATCTTGGAGCTTACATTTTAGTTGAGGAAACAGACCATAAAGAAAGAAAATCACTCCATGTGGTTGTTAGTGTCACAAGTGAAGCTGGGGGCTCTGATAGAAAATGATGGAGTCCCCTCAGGCACGACAGGCAGGGAAGGCTGAGGATGTGGATACTTAGTGGAGACCGAAATGGTGAGGAGGAGCTGGCACCAGAAGAGAGAAATGTGTGTAAGACAGAGGGAACGCCGAGTGTTAAGCCCTTGCGGTAGGAAAGGGCAGAGTGTTCTGGAGCGCGGAGAAGACTGGTCTGACTGAGGCACAACGAACAAGAGGGAGAGTGGAAGGGGGGAAGGCAGAAGCGAATTCGGGGCAGAGTGTGCAGGCCTCATGGGGCATGGGAGAGCCTGGCCTTTGTTCGACCGAAATGGTAAGATACCCAGGGACTCTGGGCAGGGAAGTGACACTGATACGGGAGTGCTGGGAAGGGAAGAGCGTGGTCCCTTTAAATGACACAGAAGCGGGGAAGGGAAGTGCTGGGGAGAGAAAGGCGGGTCCCTGGCTAGGACTCTACCCCCACGGACCTAGGTGAGGACAAGCACTCCTGCCTTCCCCCAAATGTTGCATTTCCCAAGACCACGCTGGCCCACCACACCACCATCCTGGGCCTATAAAAACCTGAGACCCTAGTGGGCAGACAGAAGTGGCTGGATGGCCAGAGGAACACATTGGTGGAAAAAGACACAAGCGGCTGGTCATGGAGAGCAGGCCGGCAGAAGAGCACCCCGACAGGCCCCGGCAAGCCAGCAGGCCATCAACCACGGGGACGAGGCGGAGTTTGGCCAGGGCCGCTGAGCGGCCCAACTCCAAGGGAAATCTGTCTCCCTTCTGGCTCCCCCATCAGCGGAGAGCTACTTTCATTCAATAAAACCTTGCACTCATTCTCCAAGCCCACATGTGATCCCATTCTTCCGGTACACCAAGACAAGAACCTGGGATACATTAATCCCTCTGTCCTTGTGATAAGGAAGGGGGTCTAAGTGAGCTAAAACAAGCTGCCTACAGACGGCTAAATTAAAAGAGCACACTGTAACACATGCCCGCTGGAGCCTTAGGAGCTGTAAAACATTCACCCCTAGATGCTGCCATGGGGTCGGAGCCCCACAGCCTGCCCGTCTGTATGCTCTCCTAGAGGTCTGAGCAGCAGCGGGGCACTGAAGAAGCGAGCCACACCCCCATCACATGCCCTGCGAGGGGGACAAGGGAACCTTTCCGGTTTCAACACCATGTGACTTCCACTTATAACCCTCTCTGCCAGGTGGAGAATGGTCTGGAATGGGCTGTGTAGAATGTATGAAAGTCAGAGGTCAGTTGAGAGGGGACAATGGCCAACCAGGTAAAAAAAGAGTGGTGCCCTGGACTAGACTGGCGGCACTTGGGTCATTCTTTAAAGATACAGATTCCTGGGCACAACCTATTGACTCAAAATATGTGGGAAGTAAGACCCACAAATCTTTATGTTCAAGCAACTCTTTCTTAGCCATTCCAGCACTGGTCCAGGGACTGGCATTTGGGAACCCCTGGTTTAATCACCGCAAACTATCAGCAAATTGCTAAGGCGTTTCGGACTGTAGTTTTCATGAAAATTATTACATTTTTCTGAAATGCTGACTGAAGATTGTCAGCAATAAAAATATTTTGAACTATTTAACTTGAAATGGTATCAAATTCAAAGCCTTTAACACAGATATGAAAATAACCCTCTTTTAAAATTCACCGACCTGAGCCTGGTAATTCCTGGAAAAATCTGAACACCACCACTGGGGAGCTGAGCTCATCTTCCACCTGGAAGAATGGAAGTCTCATATCACCAAGTAACATTAAACTCCAGACGCCTTCAAAATGAAATGCTGAGTTCAAAAACTCGCTTAGAGATGCTCTATTTGTAAATAAACACACTAAAAAGTTCAGAGGTTAATTTCAGTTGCTAGAGAAAAATCAAATGTTTAGTAAAATTTTAAAAAATAACTATGAGCCAGCCTTGAGAGTACACTGTGAATTATAAGATGTTTGACCCTGGTACATTGAAATTAAAGCAGGGGGAAATTTTAATAAGGGATAAACATAGGTCTAACATTAAAGATTAAAACCAGTAAGAAGCAGTGAAACTAGACTCAGTGCGGAGAGAGCCCATGCTTTCAAGAATCCCAGAAATTATGCAGGATTTATTGAAACTTAAACGTTTTTTTTAGAGATGGGGTCTTGCTATGTTGTCCAGGCTGGCCTTGAACTCTTGGCCTCAATTAATCCTCCTACTTTGGCTTTCCAAGTGTTGGGATTACAGACGTGAGACACCGTGCCTGGCCAACTAGAATTTTTCATACTCATAGAAAAAAAGAGGGGGCAACAAGTACTTTCCTCCCCTTTGCAAAACTTTCAGAACAAGATGCAAGTCCTGCTGGTGATGTAGACAAGCACAGCTGAGAACTGGATCTGTGTATTTTCTAATATATTTAATTATTATTAAAGACAGGCCGAAGACGACTAACTTCATTAGTGGGTTTCCTAACAGTTGAAAACATCCACTGCATTATGTATTATGATAATCCAGCAGCGAGTTCCTGTTTTGCATCAAACAGTATACCCTGACTTGGTCAAGCCATGGGGTCAGGGTACCGTAAGCATCCATGTCCTTGGCAGGCTCTGTGGTACTGTAGGGGAGTGTGGGTGGCCCTGGGGGGGGAAGATCTCTAAGCATCCAACAATCCCAGTACTATAGCTCTAGTAATAAAACTTATGTTCCAAGGCTCTGAGTGTGATGACTCACTGGTAGGGCCGCAACAGGAAATGCTAACTTGGAAAGACAAGAAGCAGTGGCCCAAGATCTTTTCTACTAACTTTTCAAAGGACCGTGTGGACAGTATTCATACCAAGCAGGATGTGAATTCAAATCTGCCAATTATTTAGGGGGCCAGTCCTGTGCTAAGTGCCTTCACATCTATCATCTTTAACTTTCACAGAGACAAATAAAACGTGATACTTTTAAAGGTACGGCGGCGGGCGGCAGGGGGGCGGTGCTTAATATTTAAATAGGGGCGCACGCCCAATAAGCAAGGAGGAACAAAAAGGCAACAAAATAATCCGCCCATTCTCCCATCCTCAGCTAGGAGATGGCAGAATGAGGTGAGTGCCAAGACTGCTATGAATATTATGATCATCTTTTCTTTCTTTGAACTCAGTGGTCTCAAATGTCAATGTGTGTAAGAAATAGTATACAGGGTTGGAGACACTTCTGGTTCTAGTAACGTGATAGACTGAGTGAACACTGAAGTTGTCAATTCTGAATATCTGAAATACTGGATTAAATATAACCAAGAACCAAAAAAAGGTTAAACCATGGCTGGGCTCACACCCAAAAAAAGGTGAATCCACAAAGAAGAGGAAACAGAAAGAGGACTGTAAGCTGAGTGGCAGGGGATGGGAGCATGTCTGGGGCCTGGCACTGGGCTTTCAGGGCTAGGGTCTTGGGTGTTAATGCCCAGGTGAGGCACAGTGGTGAGTCTGTATAAGGCCTTTACAAACCTTCTATAGGAAAAAACAAACAGATTTGATTTCAGATAGTAGTAAGAGTGATGAAGACGACCCAGGGGGATGGAGTGATGTCTGACGGTGGGAGATGATCTTAGGGTGGCCAGGAAAGGCCTTTCTGAAGAGGTGAGATTTGAATTAAGATCTGAAAGATAAGAAACCAGTCATGAGAAGAATTGGGACTGGGGAGGCTGGGCGCTTTGGCTCATGCCTGTAATCCCAGCACTTTGGGAGGCTGAGGCGGGTGGATCACGAGGTCAAGAGTTCAAGACCAGCCTGGCCAACATGGTGAAACCCCATCTCTACTAAAAATACAGAAATTAGCTGGACATGGTGGCATGCGCCTGTAACCCCAGCTACTCGGGAGGCTGAGGCAGGAGAACTGCTTGAACAGGGACCCAGGAGGCGGAGGTTAGAGTGAGCCAAGATCGCACCACTGCACTCCAGTCTGGGCTACATAGTGAGACTCTGTCTCAAAAAAAAATAAACAGAAGAATTGGGGGCGGGGGGTGGGAAACAGTGTTTCCAGGCAGAGAGAACAGCACGTACAAAGGAGACTGTTGGGAGGGTTAAATGAAATAATTCATGTAAGGTACTTAGTACCACACATGAATTTCACAAGCAGCAGCTGGAATGGTGGTGATGGTGATGGTGATGATGAGGACTCACAGGCCATAATGCCTCATGGTATTAGCCAATTATTGTATCCTCTACTGAAAAAACAGCCATTGGAAGAAGGGACAGAGCAGGCTTTCTGCCTGGGCCAGTGTGGCCTACAGAGATGCTCCAAAACAACTGGTGATTAACTAGCACCACTGGGTCCCCCAATTTGAGAATAAGGGAGCAGCGATGACTGAGGAAAAGCCAAGTGCGCTCAACATGGCAGGGGCAGGAAAGCAGATGGGCCCAGCACCGCCTGGATTCTTAACAGCTTGCTCAATCTAGGCCATAATTTGCTTCTCTGTTTGCAATCAGAGGAGACCAACCGGCATACTTTCATTTGACAGTCAGGCTTGGAAAGAAAATGACTCAATGTCACAGGGCCACCCTGTGGCACTGCTCAGAGCAGAGCCCAGGCCTCTGAACTTAGATTCATCCCTTCTGCTTCTCCAGTGGTCCACTTCCTCGTCCAAGGATAGAACTCCCACTGAGCTAGAACTCGGGTCAACTGGCTCCAGACTCCCACTCAGAAGGCAGAGTAGCCACACCCCCTTCAACCAAACCATGCATTTTTTTTTCTTCCTTGAGACAGGGTCTCTGTCACCCAGGCTGGAGTGCAGAGGCGCAATCTCGGCTCACTGCAACCTCCGCCTCCCGGGTTCAAGCAATTCTTTCACTTCAGCCTCCCCAGTAGCTGGGACTACAGGCGTGTGCCACCATGCGCGGCTACTTTTTGTATTTAAACCAAACCATGTTCTAAAAGAAAAATAAACCTACTGACTTGAACCCCAAATACACTCAAATGTTAAACTTAAGCATACCTTGCAGAATTGTCAAAGAAACACTCAATGAACCTATTTAAATCAGAATTTGACATATATTTCCTGAAGTTCTAAAATACCATGAAGCAAAACACAAAAACTTTCAAACCTGAACTGATCCCCATTCTCTCCTAAGTCCTTATTTCCTTGTCTAGTTATGCCTAGGGAACAATCTGTTGGATTCACTTCAGGAAGATATCAGAAGACAAGAGCAGGGCCATTTGCTTTTCTCTTTCTCCCACTTCATGCAAATGAAAACTGATGGCAGAAGGTTGCAGAAAGAGAACCCCAAAGCATTCTGAGGCACAAAGTGACTTTTCATTTTGGGAAGAAGAGTGTGCCCAAGGCCTTGGGCAGCTGAAGTCAATGGTGTTTATCTTTGTGCAATTCTGAACTTTAACACAATAAATGAAGTACATGAAAAGCACCATAGGAATTAAACATTGTATGGTTCAAATTTCTTCGCTTCAGACTCACTGTATAAATATAAGCAGGTTTTTTTGTTTTTGTTTTTTGTTTCGTTTTTTTGTTTTGTTTTTTTACTGGAGCTGCCACAATTCCACTGAAATGTGGAGAAAATCATTCTAAAGTTCTAAAATCATTCAAAGTTGCTGAGGTTCAAAAAAAGTTATATTTTGAAAACAGATGAAATTATATACTATACCAAGATTTTGATGTAATTCACTTTCTTCAAACTTTCCTGCAACCGTTGACTCTGCAAATGACAAAAAATAACACATGTAATTAGATGGACATGGGACATGAAGAAGTGGTTTTCACCAGGGGCTGTGGAGGTCTGTGAACACGGATGTCAGGCAAAGTCACCTGCCACTTGGTGGTTTCTAAGTTCAGCCACCTGTTTTTGTATTTCAACATCTGTAAATATTCACCAATCCTTCAAGTTACATGTAGTAATTCAAGAAAAGCAGTTTCTAATAAGACATGGAAATCTGTTGTATTTGCAATGTAAGTCTGTCATTCAAAAGCTACTGAGTATAAACACGTGCAAGGCACAGTACTGAACACTAGGGGAGACCAACGACAAATGAGAGGATGCAGCACGCTCAAGAGCTGGTGATAAGAGCACAGTGCTGCCACTCATCACCTGCAGGACCACGGCTAAGTCAATTCATCTGCCAGTCACCAGCTATGTAACCTGTCTATGCTTCAGTTCCCTCAATTATAAAATGGGGAGGATAGTATGTATCTCACATTGCTGTGAGGATTAAATGAGTTGATATGCAATACAGGAAGTGCTTAGAAACAGGGTCTAGAATGTAGTGTCATTAGACTAATGTCTCAATCCCAGGTCCCTCATCACTAATCATATCTAACTCATGGGATTGGAGTATATTAATTCAACAGATATTCACTGAGTACTGGACAGTAGAAAGCCCCTCAAGAAATTCCTTTTTGTTTTCTTAAAGAAAATTAATTCTGAATACACTGTCATCAGTGGAACTGACATTCTAGTGAAGTTGCAGGGATCAAATGAGATGATGCATGAAAGTACTTCATGGTGCCTGACACTGAGGTGAATGCTCAATAACTACTGAAGACGAGAAAGAAGAGAGGGAGAAGAGAAGGAAGAGGAGGATGAGGAGGCGAATGCTGATTTACGCTCTCAGGAAATGTATGCTCCACTGTGGACTATAAGGCATGGCTATATACAGATCACCATGTCTGCTAAATGTCCAAGTAATTTAACACATGCATTTATTAGCCTGTGAGTCAGCAGCAGGACAGCATTCAAATCCTCAGGAGTATACGGTTCTGCCTGCAGGAAGATGCCAGAGCTGTGCTGACCTCAAGGGTCTGGTAGTTAATGGCATCATTCTCCCGCACTCCATAGCCACGGGATATTGAAAAAATCTCCCGAGTGCCCAAGTCGTCTCTAAACTAAGTTACTAAGGCTTCTCTTTCCTAAGAACCACATCTCAAGAAGTGAGCTAATAGCACAGTGAGACACTTTTCAAAAAATGCAGTGCTTTTGTAAACATAATGAGCATCAATCTTTTTTTCTTTTTTTTTTTTGAGACAGGGTCCTACTCTGTCGCCCAGGCTGGAGTGGAGTAGTGCAGTAGTGCTATTTGGGCTCACGGCAACCTTGACCTCCTGGGCTCAAGTGATCTTCCCACCTCAGCCTCCTGAGTAGCTGGGATCACAGGTGTGTGCCACTACACCTGGCTAATTTTTGTATTTTTTGTAGAGACAGGGTTTGACCACATTGCCCAGGCTGGTGTTGAACTCTGAGGTTTAAGTGATCCACCTGCCTTGGCCTCCCAAAGTGCTGGGATTATAGGCATGAGCCACTGCACCCAGCCCAGAGCATACTTAAAACTGTTGAACTATCCTAACATATGATGAACGAAGGGACTACTGCTAGAGCACTACGCAAATACTTTTCGTGTGTGTGTGTGTGTGTGTGTGTGTGTGTGTGTGTGTTTAGATGGTGCCACCCAGGCTGGAGTGCAGTGGCACGATCTTGGCTTACTGCAACCTCTGCCTCCCAAGTTCAAGCAATTCTCCCTGCCTCAGCCTCCTGAGTAGCTGGGACTACAGGCGCCTGCCACCATACCTGGCTAATTTTTGTATATTTAATAGAGACGGAGTCTCACCATGTTGGCCAGGCCGGTCTCAAACTCCTGACCTCAGGTGATCCACCCGCCTCGGCCTCCCAAAGTGCTGGGATTACAGGCATGAGCCACCACGCCCGGCCTATTTTTCTTTCTTTTTTTAAAAGACTGAGTTTCGCTCTGGCTGGAGTGCAGTGGCGCAATCTCGGCTCACTGCAAGCTCCGCCTTCTGGGTTCACGCCATTCTCCTGCCTCAGCCTCCCAAGTAGCTGGGACTACAGGCACCCGCCACCATGCCTGGCTAATTTTTGTATTTTTATTAGAGACAGGGTTTCACCGTGTTAGCCAGGATGGTCTTGATCTCCTGACCTCATGATCTGCCCACCTCGGCCTCCCAAAGTGCTGGGATTACAGGCGTGAGCCACTGCACCCGGCCACCTATGTTTCTTAAATATAGAAATGATACTTGAGGAAGTGCTAACTCCCCAAGAATATATTTAAAACAAAGATTTCAACCCACGTGCATAACTTACTATATGAACAGACACTACTGCAAGAGCTCTACCTGTATTCGTTCCTCGAGCCATCCTGGCAATCCTTGTCATATAATTTATATTTCACAGGTAAGAAAATGGAGGTGACGCACTTCTGAGCTTAGGGAGGGCTCAGCTCTAACCCTGAGTAAACATGACCCTGTTTTTTGGCTTTTTTTTTTTTTTTTTTTTTTTTTTGAGACGGAGCCTCGCTCTGTCACCCAGGCTGGAGTGCAGTGGCGCGATCTCGGCTCACTGCAAGCTCTGCCTCCCGGGTTCACACCATTCTCCGGCCTCAGCCTCCTGAGCAGCTGGGACTACAGGCGCCCGCCACCACGCCCAGCTAATTTTTTGTATTTTTAGTAGAGACGGGGTTTCACCGTGTTAGCCAGGATGGTCTTGATCTCATGACCTTGTGATCCACCCGCTTCAGCCTCCCAAAGTGCTGGAATTACAGGCGTGAGCCACCATGCCCAGCCTGTTTTTTTGCTTTCTAAATGCTATGATCTGAATATTTATGTCCCCACAAAATTCCTATGTGGAAACCTAATCGCAAATGAGTTGAGGCCTTTGGGAGGTCATTAGGGCATGAGGATGGAACCCTCACAAACAGGACTAGTGACCTTCTGAAAGAGGCTCAAGGGACTGTGCTCACCCCTTCTGCCATGTGAGGCCACATGCAAGGCACTATCTATGAGGAACGGGCCCGACATGGAATCTCCTGGCACCTTGATCTGAGACTTCTCACGTCCAGAACTGTAAGCAATAAATGTCTGTTGTTTATAAATTACCCACTCTAAGGTATTTTGTTATAGAAGCCTGAATGCTCTAAAACACTGAAATATAGCATAATTATATATTTTTCACAATTAGAACACACCTAAAATGGAGAGAGAATTAGAATTGTCCCCAAGAGCCCTGCAATTTGGAAACCCAAGCCAGCTGGTTTATAAAATATCCATGCCCTCCATAACCACCTTGTAACCTTCCTATTCCCTCACCGTAGTCAGTCAATCAAGGGGAACACTCGCTCCCCACCCCTCCACCTTTTGCACCCTTCTCCACTCCTTGGAAGTCATCTGTGACTTCTTTTCTGATCCCATGCTGACAGTGGTGTTCCTTTTCATCTGATTTCATCTGCACACAAATGCTGGGACAGACAACCCAGCACTTTCTCCCAGAACTTTGAACAAGAAATATTTACATGCAGGGCGATTAGTCTCTGGCTCACGAGACAGTCAATCCAGACAACACCACTCTGGATGGAAGGTACAGAAATGAGATGTTTTTCTGTCTCTGCTGTGGCCAAGGAGTCTTTCATTTAAATGTCAGGCTTCTACTCACCAGTTGACAGGCATGCTTGATCCTCTCCACAAACCCATCAAGTCCCAAGTATTGTAAAGATAACCACAGAGGCAGGGCACGGAGTTTGTCTGTGGGCTTATTTGATGTAAGACCAGCAACTAAAGTCTAAAAAAGCCAAAAGAGGTTTATTAATCAAAGCCATTGCAATCTCATAATAGAACTAACCAGCTACCATTTGCTACCCACTTAGTGTGGGCTAGATGCCATACTAGTCACTAGGCTTGCATTATCCATGTGATCTTCCAACAACTCTGTGAGCTAAGTATTCTAGGTAACTTCACTCAGAGACCTCGGTTTGTCCAAGGGTTCACAGCTCAGGAGTGGCAAAGCCAGGAAAAGCCAGTGGAAAACCCAGATGGGTCACATCCCAGAACCTAGGAGACTCCCCACTTCGAAGGTAGCTCTGAGCATCCTCAAACACCTGGCCATTATTAGCTGAGCAAGACAGCAGTGTTTTAGCAGAAATCACTTAAACCTTATTTTGCACGCTGACCTATATTATCAAGAACCACATTATTATTATTATTTTTTGTGACAGGTTTCGTTTTCATTCTGTCGCCCAGGCTGCAGTGCAGTGGTGTGATCATAGCTCACTGCAGCCTTGATCTCCAGGGCTCAATCAGCCCTCCCACATTAGCCTCATGAGTAGCTGGGACTACAGGCTCACACCACCATGCCCAGCTAATTCTTTGTTGTTGTTTTTTCTTATAGAGATGAGGTTTCACCATGTTGCCCAGGCTGGTCTCAAACTCCTAGGCTCAAGCGATCTGCCTGCCTCAACCTTCCAAAGTGCTGGGATTACAGGCATGAGCCACCATGCCTGGCCCACAACTACGATTAAAAAAAAAAAAAAATGTGGCCAGGTGTGATGGCTCATGCCTGTAATCCCAGCACTTTGGGAGGCCGAGGCAGGCAGATCACCTGAGATCGCGAGTTCAACATGACCAACTTGGTGAAACACTGCCTCTACTAAAAATACAAAATAAGCCGGGCGTGGTGGCGCATGCCTGTAATCCCAGCTACTTGGGAGGCTGAGGCAAGAGAATCACTTGAACCCAGGAGGTGGAGGTTGCAGTGAGCCAAGATCATCTCACCATTGCACTCCAGCCTGGGTGACAGAGCGAGACTCCATATCAAAAAAAAAAAAAAAAAGTTAAAACCTATTGGGCAATGTGGATCAGGAGGCTTAAAACTCCCCCACTCAGTCATTCCACATCTGGGAACCTATTCTAAGGAAATAATTAGAAACACAGAAAGACGTTCACTGCTTCATTATTTCAGTAACAAAACTCTGAAAACATCCTATAAGTTCATAAATGGAGAATAATTAAATTGTGACAGAATATTATACAATCATAAAATGTCATTAAAAAAAGTCTCACAAGTTTCTCTTTAAAAAAATGAAATAGAAGTGAAATTATGGGTATTTTTCACTTTTTCCTGTATTTTTCTGGATTTTGCCCCCAAAGCCAATAATGTGTATTAGCCACACCCACTCCCTCCCCAGTGAGTGGAAACTTACCAAGGCAGGGTCATCGTGTTTATACAGTGTCACCGCAGGAACAGCTGGCAAACCCAGCCACGGGCCAGGAGTCATCGTCATGCTATCACATTTGGCTGCAGCCTACCAAAACAAGAACAACTCTTTGTTAGATTATCAGAATACACAAACCTAACACCCTCCTCCATTCATAAAAACTGTGAAGAGCCATGAGGGACTGAGTGACTTTAAATTCATTCTTAAAAACACCAATATTCAGTAAATCAACAACATACCAGCACTGATGAGGAGACATAACCCAGAGCCAATGTTGCCAGATTCACACTGGAAGAAAAAACACCAGTCCAAGAACTAATTATTTAATGTTGCTTACTCACCATGTACTTAAAAAAATAAAGGCTGTGCTGTTGCAAGTTGACACTTAAGTATATTTTTAATGTTATTAGCTTTCATTAACAGCAACAGAAGGTGTGCTTTATACATATGAAGGAAAATCCTGAAAATGCACTTTAATAAAAATGTGTCTCAGGAACTATCCCCGCTCATTTAATATAATGGGAGTATTCTTCTCTTTCATGGATCTTATTTTCCAGTTATCATTCTTTACTTAGGGATCAAAAAGAAACCTCCCTGTATGATGTGGTGGATATGGGCTACTCTGGCTGCCCACGTCCGTTCCCCCTGCTTCTCTTAATGGCCCTACAATAGCCTTCCAGGGCGCCATCTCCATTTCTTCCAGCAGAACATGAGCTTTGTGGGGAGGAGACACCACTATCTGCTCCAGAGGAGAGCAAAGAACCTCAACTATCAGAGGATTACTTCTCCCTGGCCACAGTGGCTGGTTCAATACGAGACTTCTGTTAGGACTTCCAGCTGACCACGAAGCTGGAAAGAAGGCTGGAGTTTCTGCAGCTACTTTGCACTGTAACAGGAAGATCTGTCCACAGATAGAGGAAACCAAGCCCAGTGCCTGTGACTGGGGGAGCAGAGGTGGGAGTAACACACTGGATCCTGGTTGATGTCGTGCCTGAGGCAGTCATAACACTGCTCTTTGTAGTTATGTGAGCCAGTAAGATCTCTTTGGGCTTAAGCCAATTTGGGTTATTTTGTGATCTGTGACCCAAAGAGCCCTTCGTGATAAATGTCACCAAAGTGAGAGCCTGGATGTCCAGTCCTCATAAGGACTCTGTGCAGGCCCGAATGGAGCCACCAGCCTCACCGCCAGCTTACCCCTCCACATGAAGCCATATGCCATACTGCTCACAGAGTTCTTTCAATCTCCCAATCTTGTCTGTGTGTCCTACTGCTGCCGTTCCTAGGATAAAACACATCAGGGCATTAAAAGGAACAAATGTTTTCTAAGGCTTTATACCTTAAACACTTTTATACACATTATCGCCCTAGGAGGGAAGTGACTTATTATATCCCTATTTTATTGAGATTTTCTTTGTGGAAGGACTTAAAATCAGTGTTTGTGAGTTGACTTATTACAAGCTTTGAAGAGTATGTAATCTCTATTACATGTATCTAATTGTGTCATTGAATTCTTTTATATACTTATTTTCTATCTACTTGATCTGCTGACTCATGAGAAATATATTCAAATCTCCCACCAAGATTGTGGTTTGTCAATATATACTTGTGTTACATCAGACTTTTCCTTTAGCTTTCCTTTATATATTTTAAAGTTATGTTCACAAGCATTCATAACTGTTTTTTTTTTTTTTTTGAGACGGAGTCTCACACTGTCGCCCAGGCTAGAGTGCAGTGGCATGATCTCAACTCTGCAACCTCCACCTCCCAGGTTCAAGCAATTCTCCTTGCCTCAGCCTCCCAAGTAGGTGGGATTACAGGCGGTGGCCACCACGCCCGGCTAATTTTTTTGTATTTTTAGTAGAGACGGGGTTTCACTACGTTGGCCAGGCTGGTCTCGAACTCCTGACCTCGTGATCCACCTGCCTCGGCCTTCCAAAGTGCTGGGATTATAAGCATGAGCCACCGTGCCCAGCAGCTATAACTGTTATTTCTTTTAGGAGATTACATCTTTCATCAATATGAAGTCTATTTTATCCCACACTAATATGGCTATGGTACTTTCATTTTGTCAGCATTTGTCCAAGATAAACTTTTCCACCTTTTTATTTTATTGTCACTTCCTGGATTATTTTGATTTAGATATGCCCTTTATAAAAATCATATAGGTGGGCTGGGCACAGTGGCTCACATCTGTAATCCCAGCACTCTGGGAGGCCCAGGCGGGTGGATCACAAGGTCAGGAGATGGAGACCATCCTGGCTAACACGGTGAAATCCCGTCTCTACTAAAAATACAAAAACAAAATTAGCCGGGTGTAGTGGTGGGCGCCTATAGTCCCAGGTACTCGCGGGGCTGAGGCGGGAGAATGGCGTGAACCTGGGAGGCAGAGCTTGTAGTGAGCCGAGATCGTGCCACTGCACTCCAGCCTGGGCAACAAAGCGAGACTCCAGCTCAAAAAACAAACAAACAAAACATAGATGAATTTGTTTTGTTTCCACCCAGGTTCCTTGTAATACAGAACATGCATTCTGAAGCCAGCTTAAGCATATTAAGCACTTTCAGCCGCTCCCTTGGTAATTGATTGCACTACAGATTTTGCTGGGGAGATCCCTTTTCAGAGAGAGCTTAGTTAAAACGTTGAGTCAGGCATTCCCCCAACCGTCCTAAATTTCCAGTTAGCAGTAAGCCAACTAAAAAGATTTCAAACACTCACCAACGGCCTCAACAAACACAGCTAAAGAAAGTAGTTCTTTTGTAAGGTCTATGCCAGGAAAAGGGCTGAAAACTTTTTCCCCTCATACCTAAATCTACCTCAAATTAAAAAAAAAAAATCTTAACAGACACATTTAGTTTAGCTGAAACAAGATCAAATGTCAATGCATGGGCTGTGCCACAGGCTCTTCCAGCAAAATAAAAGCGTACTGCTGTGTTAGTGCCTGGATCGCATGCAGATTCTCTTTTCGTATTTCTTGGCAACGTCTGGTGACTAACCCTTGACATGTGTCTGCTGACATCTGCAACATAATCACACTGGCAAGTCACTCAGTCACATGCAAACTGCAGCCCCTCCAGTTTATCATGTGATTGAATATGGGTGAATTTGTGTTTTTAAACAATAAGGCAGGAAGTGATGGTTTTCCTGTTGGCAATAAAGTGAATATTTATGTGGTTTTTCTATTTTGTCTTTTTTTTTTTTTTTGAGACAGAGTCTCACCCTGTTGCCCAGGCCGGAGTGCAGCAGCGCAATCTCGGCTCACTGCAATCTCAGCCTCCTGGGTTCAAGCTATTCTCCTGCCTCGGCCTCCTAAGTAGCTGGGATTACAGGTGCCTGCCACCACAACCAGCTAATTTTTATATTTTTAGTAGAGACAGGGTTTCGCCATTTTGGCCAGGCTGGTCTTGAACTCCTGACCTCAGGTGATCTTCCCGCCTTGGCCTCTCAAAGTGCTGGAATTACAGGCATGAGCCACCGCACCCGGCCTAAATAAGCAGTTTTATTGTAGTATGATTTTTTTTTTTTTTTTTGAGACAGAGTCCCTTTCTGTCGCCCAGGCTACAGTGCGGTGGTGCGATCTTGGCTCACTGCAACCTCCACCTCCCAGGTTCAAGCGATTTTCCTGCCTCAGCCTCCCAAGTAGCTGGGACTACAGGTGCACACCACCACACCTGGCTAATTTTTGCATTTTTAGTAGAGATGGGGTTTTACCACATTGGTCAGGCTGGTCTTGAACTCCTGACCTTGTGATCTGCCTGCCTCAGCCTCCCAAAGTGCTGGGACTACAGGCATGAGCTCTCATGCTCGGCCTATTGTAGTATGATTTACATGCAACAAAACTCACTCATGTAAGTATACGGTCCAATGAGTTTTGACAAATATATAGAGCATGTAACCATCAACACAATCAAGATTCAGAATACTTCCATCAACCCCCAAATCCCATCAACCCCAATATAATTACCCTTTCCCTGACTCCTCACTGGCCCTGGAAAATCCTGATCTGCTTCTGTCACTGTAGTTTTTTGCCTTTTTTTTTTTTTTTTTTTTTTTTTTTGAGATAGGGTCTCACTCTGTCGCCCAGGCTGAAGTGCAGTAGCACAATCTCGGCTCATTGCAAGCTCCGCCTCCCGGGTTCAAGCCATTCTCCTGCCTCAGCCTCTCAAGTAGCTGGGACTACAGGTGCCCACCACCACACCTGGCAAGTTTTATTTATTTACTTATTTATTTTTTACAGAAACAGAGTCTCACTCTGTCACCAAGGCTGGAGTGCAGTGGTGCGATCTCACCTCACTGCAACCTCTGCCTCCCGAGTTCATGCCATTCTCCTGCCTCGGCCTCCCAAGTAGCTGGGACTACAGGTGCCCACCACCACACCCAGCTATTTTTTTGTATTTTTAGTGGAAACGGGGTTTCACCATGTTAGCCAGGATGTCTTGATCTCCTGACCTCGTAATCTGCCCGCCTCGGCCTCCCAAAGTGCTGGGATTACAGGCTTGAGTCACTGTGCCTGGCCTGACATTATATTTTAAAGAATTTTTTTTTTTTTTTTTAAGAAAGGATCTGGCTCTGTCACCCAGGCTGGGGTATGGTAGCACAATCTTGGCTCACTGCAACCTCTCTCTCCTGGGTTCAAGCCAACCTCCCACCAAAGCCTCTGGAGTAGCTGGGACTACAGGTACACACCACCACACCTGGCTAATGTTTAGTATTTTTTGTAGAGATTTCCTAGGGGTTTCGCCATGTTGCCCAGGCTGGTCTCGAACACCTGAGGGCAATTGATCTCGCAGTCTCAGCCTTCCCAAGTGTTGGGATTACAAGTGTGAGCCACCTGTAATTTCTCCATTCTAACAGACATGTAGTAATGTCTCATGGTGATCTTAATTTGCATTTCACTAATGACTAATGATGTTAAACATCTTTTCAAGTGCTATACATTTTCATTTTCTTTGATGAAGTATCTGCTCAAATCTGTTGTTCATTTAAAAAATTGTATTGTGGGCCGGGCACAGTGGCTCACACCTGTAATCCCAGCACTTTGGGAGGCCAAGGCAGGCAGATCACCTAAGGTCAGGAGTTCAAGACCAGCCTGGCCAACACGGTGAAACCCCATCTCTACTAAAAATACAAAAAAACTAGCTAGGTGTGGTGGCACATGCCTGTAATCCCAGGTACTCGGGAGGCTAAGGCAGAAGAATCACTGGAACCCGGGAGGCAGAGGTTGCAGTGAGCCAAGATCGCACCACTGCACTCTAGTCTGGGCAACAGAATGAGACTCCATCTCCAAAAAAAAAAAAAATTGTATTGCTTGTGTCCTTATTGAGTTGTAACAGTTCTTTATATATTTTAGATACAAGTTCTTTGTCAAACAAATGTTTTGTAGCTTCTGGGGAAAAGAATGAAAAAGAAATTTTAAAAGAAGACAGGACTGGGACAGTGGCTGGCTGAGTGTGGCGGCTCACGCTTGTAATCCCATCACTTTGGGAGGCCAAGGCAGGTGGACCACCTGAGGTCAGGAGTTTGAGACCAGCCTGGCCAACATGGCGAAATCTCGTCTCTACTAAAAATACAAAAATTAGCCCGGCATGGTGGCGTGCGCCCGTAATCCCAGCTACTCGGGAGGCTGAGGCAGGCGAATCGCTTGAACCTGGGAGGCGGAGGTTGCAGTGAGCCAAGGTCGCACCACTGCACTCCAGCCTGGGCAGCACAGCAAAACTCCATCTCAAAAACATAAAAAATAAAAATAGAAAAAGACAAAAAAAAAAAAAAAAAAAAGAAAAAAATGTTTTGCAAATATTTCTCCCAGTCTGTAACTTGCCTTTCATCTTCTTAATAGGGGCTTTCAAACAGCTAATGCTTTTAATTTTTGATAAAGTACAATTTATGGTTCACATATTTTGTATCCTAAGAAATGTAACCTAAGGTCACAAAGATCTCCTGTATTTTCTTTGAGACATTTTATTGTCTTAGATCTATGCTTAGGTTGATGAACCATTTATAGTTAATATTTATATATACAGAGAATAAGATAAGGGTTAAGATTCAGTTTTTTTCCATATGGATATCCAAGCTCTAAGACCACTGATGGAAAAAGATGGTCCTTTCTCCCTCGAATTACTCAGGCATCTGTAAAAACCTGAAGTGTCCATATACTTCACATGAGTCTATTTCTGAATTCTCTATTTTCTTTGGTTAATCTCACACAGTCTTACTTGCTACTTTACAGAAGTCTTGAAGTATGACAAGGTAAGTCTTCCAATTTTGTTCTTTTTCAAAATCCCTTGGGCTGTTCCTAGATCCCTTGTATTTCTATATAAACTTTAGAATTAGCTCATCAAGTTCTATTAAGAAATTGTAGCCTGCTGAGATTTTAAGATGGATCAAGTTGAATCTACAGATTAGTTTGGGAAGAACTGACTTAATACTTAGTCTTCCAACCCGTGTGTATGGCATATCGTTCTTGGGTCTTCTTGAATTTCTCTCAGTAACATTCTTAGTTCTCAATGTACAGATCTTGCATATATTTTGTTAAATTTATCCATAAATTTTTCATCTTTTTTGATCCTATTATAAATGACATTTAAAATTCAATTTCCAATTCTTCTTTGCTAGTATGTAAAAATCCAGAAAATGGTTTAGATTTGATCATTAGTTCCAGTAGCTTTTCTTTAGTTTTCTATCTATACAATCATGCCTACAAACAAAGTTTTATTTCTTCCTTTCTAATCTGTCAGTTATTTTTTTTGCCTTATTGCACTGTCTTAGATTTCAAGTATGATGCTGAATGAGATAAATGGAGCAGCAAGTGGTAGTTGCTCTGCCGCCTATAAGGTAGATATTTAAGTGTGACATCTTATGAATTTTCTTGTTTAATTTTTACAACAATCTTACAACGTCAGTACAATTATTTTTATTTATTTATTGAGATGGGGTCTTGCTATGTTACCCAGACTGGTATTGAACTTCTGAGCTTAAGCCAACATCTTGCTTGTCTCCTGAGTAGAGGGACTATAGGCATGTGCCACCACACCTGGCTTAAATGTGTCATTTAAAAATTCAGGCCAGGCACAGTGGCTCATGCCTGTAATCCCAGCAATTTGGGAGGCTGAGGCAGGCGGATCACCTGAGGTCAGGAGTTCGAGACCAGCCTGGCCAACATAGTGAAACCCTGTCTCTACTAAAAATACAAGAAATTAGCCAGATGTGGTGGCATGCACCTGTAATCCCAGCAATTCAGGAGGTTGAGGCAGGAGAAACACTTGAACCCGGGAGGCAGAGATTGCAGTGAGGTGAGATTGTGCTACTGCACTCCAGCCTGGGCAACAGAGTGAGACTCTATCTCAAAAAAATAAAATAAAATTCAGTTTAGAACAGGGAAAAGAAGTACATGAAGGAGAAGATAGAGAAGCATTTACCATCTAAATGAAAAAGTATACACACACATAAAATAACTTCCAAAACAAACCAACGATTAAAGAAAAATCTAACGAGCCAACCTTACTATTACAGTTTTTGCTACAATGTGGATATGGACTATCTTAAACATGTGGTACACACACATTTCTTAAGACTTTATCTTTTATAGGCTGAGGACGTAGCCTCGCTCCTATATATTCAAAATGGTAGATTCAGCATCATGCTACCTACCTGCATTTGCGACAAGCAACAGGGGCAGTCTTCCTCGCTCTATATCATCTTTAATCAGTTTCTCCAGGAAGGCAACATCCTGGAACCAAAACAAATCATTAAAAAATGAGGTGCCCAGTATAAAAGCTATAAAATGAAAAATTATGACTTACAAAAGAAGCAGATAACTCTCAAAAGTAATGTCAAATCAATTCTTACTCTTGACAATTTTTCTGTTTTCTCTCATCATAGATGTGAAAATCAAATAGTTTTCCTTGAAGACTAGAAAAATCAGTTAAACAAAATTAAAGGTAAAAACTGTACATATGCAGGAACATTTCTTTGATTTTAAACATTTACATTTAAATGAAATGTTCTCTTAACTCTCCTAAAACAGCCAAGAATGTATCTCTACTATTACTCACTGATGTACCTGAACTAGAAAATAAAACTACCTTGACAAAAGAAATAAAAAACTCTAAAATCCATCCCTTCCTTTTCCTTCTGGAATCATTAAGGAGAGATTTATCACCTGCATGTCTGAAAATAAGCAGAACTCAATTCCATGATGACAATGAAGAACCTCATTTTCAAAATCTGCCCATTCATAAATCCAGGCAACAGTGCTAACTCATTAAAAGTAGGAGCTTCAGAAGAAATTTCTGGTGCTTAATTGAGCTGCCATGTTTCTACTTAAAGCAGGTGATACAGTAATTACAAGACTCCTTAAAAGCCAGGTGCTCCTGACCTATATACCAACCAACCTTCATGGACATTCACATATTAACAGAAGCATATATTACACAATGTAAGGATCCAAGCAATACATGAGTAAGTTACTAATTATCTGGAGGCCAGCAAAAAGAACTTCATTTGAAAGGCAGTTTCAAAACACAATCCCACATGATTTTACAAACCAAAAGTAGAACTCACCATCTGATGCTGGGATCCAAACACAGTGTTACAGGGTACACGGCACAAGCAGGGGAAGGGCAAGCCGAGCTGCAGGAAGAAACATATGACTTGACAAGAAAGCTCTCTGCACCATTCACTTCAGATTGTGAAAGGCTGTGGCTCTAAGACAAGACACGATTATTCTTCTAAGAAATCTCTCTCCTTAGGAACTCTTAATATTATAAATTGATGTTAAAGTACATTTAGAAAGCCAAGCCGAAAAAAAAAAAGGGTGAATTTCCAAGTGCCTTATAAGAGGATATAATGTAAAATTTTCTAAATGATTCAAGTAATTATCTTTGGTATATTCTAGAATATACCAGAAACACTTTGACAAACACAGAAACAACTGGGTCGTGAGCATTTTAGTGGGGGTAATTTTGGATTCTTTCTCCAAGCATTACTGGTAAATAACACCAGCTAAAGGCATTCAAAGAACAGTATCTTATTTATGGGTTCACCCACCCCTAAAAAGTAATAAATATGGATTAGCAGATGCACATTTCTCAAGAGAAGTGAAGTCAGTGTTATGCAGGAGACAGTGATTGTCAACTTAATTTTATATTCTTCATGTTTAGCCTCCAAGTCCTTGAGGAGTTTACAGTTTTAGGAATTGTAAACAGTTGCAGCATATTGTTCTGTATGACTAAGACTTGGTAGCATTCAGAGACCAAAAATTTAATAAGCACATTTTTCTCCTTAAAGGATTAAAAATTATGAATGTGACACCCAAGTAAAACAAATCCTCAAAAAAAATACAGGTATTAAAAGTGAAAATGCCTAGCCCCCTACCCTATAAGCCACCAATCCACCCCGTTAACAGTTTAATACATAACCTTTCAGATATTTTCTAGGTATAAATTTACGTATTTTTCTAGGTACAAAAACATAGGTATAAAGGATACACACACTTTAAAAAACGTGAACATAACCATCTTATATATGCTGCTCTGCCAGCTGCCATTCCCAACAGAACACTCTTACACATCTTTTGAAGGTTAGACTGTTGTCCCCAAACAGCCTTGTGTCTGCAAGAGCCTGGCTTGCAGTAGACACTAAGTAATTCATTTCACGTTTCAGAGGATTATTATTAAACTCCCCATTTTGTACACCCCTCAAGAAGAGGACATAATTTCTTAACACCAGTGATCACAGCTCAGAATCAATTTAAAAGTCACTAAGTGTCTCCCATACATCCCCCTGGGACTCCTACAGCTTACAAAAGAGGAACCCTCCAACCCTATGGTTTTGCTTTCAAACGTTCTTGGCAAAGACGGTTAACAATGTCTTATCTCGATGTAGTCCTCCCAGTTGGGCTAGAAGCACCATGAACTTTAAAAATAGTCATGCTCGGCTGGGCGCAGTGGCTCACACCTGTAATCCCAGCACTTTGGGAGGCTGAGGTGGGCAGATCACGAGGCCAGGAGATCGACACCATCCTGGCTAACACGGTGAAACCCCATCTCTACTAAAAAAAATACAAAAAAATTATCTGGGCGTGGTGGCGGGCACCTGTAGTCCCAGCTACTTGGGAGGCTGAGGCAGGAGAATGGCATGAATCCGGGAGGCGGAGCTTGCAGTGAGCCGAGATCACGCCACTGCACTCCGGCCTGGGCGACAGAGCAAGACTCTGTCTCAAAAAAAAAAAAAAAAAAAAAAAAAAAAAGTCATGCTCTTTGATCCAGCAATTCTAGACTGACTCTGAAAATCCATCTGAGGACCATAACCCTAAATAAAATACAGGAAGAGCTTTATGCACAGAGAAGTCCTTAACAGCACTACACAAAGAACATTACCTGAAAATGGTCACAGAAAGCAAGAGAATGCAAACACTCTTAGTTGTCCAAAAGGGCAACAGTTAATTACTATATATTCACTTGAAGGAATACCATGAAGACATTAAAAATAAACTATACTTTGAAAAATTATTATTAAAATGATATATTCCTGTTTTAACAATAAGTGAAAAGAGCCAGATACAACCATATAAACACAAACACACCCCCTTCGATTAAAGTCTGGGAAAAAAGAGAAAATGTTGACTGTGGATGCCCCTGGGTAATCTATCCCATATTCCTTATTTCTAAATTCAGTAATTTTTACAAATATGACAAAAGCATATAAGACCATCTTTCTTTTCACTCAGCAAGAACAGCAACTAGACAAACGGGTCAACTTTAAAACTTTCAGAACAAAATAAGACATTATTTCTTTAAAATAGCCACCTGATACCACATTACCTGATTACAAAGGTATTGGCCCAGGCCAGGTCTAGCAGCAGCACTAAGATATATGACAGGCTTCTTGTTATATAACACATTGAAGCCATCCACTACGAAGTCTTCATATCGAGAATGAATGGCAAGCCTACATATCTTTGCAAGTCCTTCTCTTTCCTCTTCGTGGAAATAAGCACACCCATTTTCATATCTGTTAAGAGATACATATTAATATGCTCTTATTTCTAGTTAAGGATTGCATAAGTCAACCTTATAATCATGGAGACAATTCTTTTCTCAAGCTAGGAATTGTCACTTTTATCAGGCAGAGAGGACAGGAATGTGAAACATCCTCATCATAGATGGCTGACACCTCATTACAGCTGAGGTTACCAAGCAGCGAGACAATAACCCTCCATCCATACCCAATTCCATAAAGAGCAGAAACTATGAAAACAAGTAGAGACCAGGAATTCTCAGATATAAAAAGCCTGAAGATCATGGTTCTGGCTTATTATGAACTAAGGCCAGCACTGGATAACACAGGCATAGTTCATAGCAGAGTTTCAGCCCTAAAACATCCAAAGTAAATAAAACTGTCAAAAATGCTAGTTAGAGGCTGGGTGTGGTGGCTCACGCCTGTAATCTCAGCACTTTGGGAGGCCAAGGCGGGTGGATCACCTGACCAGGAGTTTTGAGACTAGCCTAGCTAACATGGTGAAACAACTGTCTCTACTAATTGCCAGGTGTGGTGGTGAGTGCCTGTAGTCCCAGCTACTCAGGAGACTGAGGCAGGAGAATCGCTTGAACCCAGGAGGTGGAGGGTGCAGTGAGCCGAGATTGTGCCACTGCACTCCAGCCTGGGTGACAGAGTAAGACTCCATCTCAAAAAAATAAAAAAGCTAGTCAGGCTAGCTTTTGGTTTTACTATAATCTGCTGAGGCTCCATCTCCTAGAGGAGGATGGACAATTTCAATTACAGGCAGTAGATTTTTACTAGAACAACAGAACACTGCTCCTTTAATAAAGTTGGGCAAACTTATACTCCTGCTTGGCCAAGTTCTTTCCCAACACTGAAAGTCAGGGTCTCTCAAGATAAATGTCTCAAGTTAGGCAAACATTCCTTCTCCATAAAAGTAACAGCATAAACCCAATGCCACTAGTCCTATGTCTCCTACTGAATCCTTCACCTGTTGTAATTCCTTAGTACTGCCAGGATTATCACAGAATAAAACAAATTTCAGTTTCATAGCACATTTTCATCTTCCTTATGACAGAGTTTTCTTTCTTTTTTTTTTTTTTTTTTGAGACAGAGTCTCACTCTGTCGCCCAGGCTGGAGTGCAGTGCCTCAGCGTCCAGAGGAGCTGGGACTACAGGTGCTCACTACCACGCCCGGCTAATTTTTTTGTATTTTTAGTAGAGACAGGGTTTCACCATGTTAGCCAGAATGGTCTCGATCTCCTCACCTTGTGATCCGCCCACCTCAGCCTCCCAAAGTGCTGGGATTACAGGCGTGAGCCACCGTGCCTGGCCTCAGAGTTTTCTTTCTAATAAAAACACAAGCTAATATTTTCAAAGCACAGCTGGCCCTCTGAACCTATGGGTTCTGCATCTGTGGATTCAACCAAGCATGAGTAAAAAATCTTCAGAAATTTAAAAAGATGGGTGCCTCTGTACTGAATATCTACAGACTTTTTTTCCTTGTCATTATTCCCTAAACAATACAGTGTAACAACTATTTACACAGCATTTACATCGTATTAGGTATTATATGTAATCAAGAGATTAAAGTATATGGGAAGATGTGCCTCAGTTACATGAAAATACTGTGCTATTTTATATAAGGGATTTGAGCATCCATGAATTTTTTTATCCATAGGGTGAGGATGGGAGGTCAAGAACCAATCCCCCAAGGACACCCAAGGATAAGGGACAACTGTATTTGAATCTAGATCATTGCTCTATCTTCTACCGACATGTGCCAATTAGATACCCCACAAATAAATAACTGCTGACCCTATCAAACACATATGTGCTTCTATTCTCCACCCTTCACATGTATTAGTCCATTAGCTCATTTAATCCTCACAACGCTTCTATGAAATAGGTATTAATACTATCCCCATCTAACAGATGATGAAACAGGCATTGAGAGGTTAAACACCCCTTTCAAGGAGAAGGAAATCTGAACCCAAGTAGTACAGCTCCAGAAAAAAGATCTTTCAGTCTACACCCGACTCATAAAAGTCTTCACTGGAAACTCATCATGTCTTTACCTGAAAATTCTGCATAGCCATAAGGTGGTATCTGAAAGTATCCTAGTTGTAAGTTTTCTCAGCTTCTCTTTGTCCAGAGTTGAAATATAAGCTCCCAGACTATGTCCCAACAAAGCCATATGACCTTGTTCTCCAATATTTTGGATTCTGTTAAGCAAAATTAAAGTATTAGAGTCAAACCATAAAAAAGGACATAGAACTTAGAGACACAGAATTCCACAGAAATATCTGTCAGACTCGAAATCTACTTAATGGCCCAGAAGGCAAATCAATGCATAAACAGTAGTGATAGTTTGGTGAGAATTTTTTCTATTTTTTGAGATGGAGAAAAAAATATATTTTTTTTTCTGAGATGGAGTCTCCCTCTTGATGCCCAAGCTGGGGTGCAGTGGTGCGATCTCAGCTCACTACAACCTCCACCTCCTGGGTTCACGTGATTCTCCTGTCTCAGCCTCCCGAGTAGCTGGAATTACAGGCGCGCACCACCAAGCCCGGCTAATTTTTTGTATTTTTAGTAGAGACGGGGTTTCACCATGTTGGCCAGGCTGCTCTTGAACTCCTGACTTCAGGTGATTCACCTGCCTCGGCCTCCCAAAGTGCTGGGATTACAGGCATGAGCCACTACTCCTGGCCAGAAAAATATTTTTATAATTTGAGTTCCAGGAGATAAATAGCCCTTTTTAAATTGAGTACCTACAAACTGTTTTAAAATAATTTCCTATTAAAGTATTTTAAAAATTAAATACCAGCCTTAAGAATTGTGGAGGGTAGAGCTAAGGTAAAATGAGCTGAAAGCATTTTTTAAAGAACTAAATCCTGGCCAGGCGCAGTGGCTCATGCCTGTAATCCCAGCACTTTGGGAGGCCAAGGCGGGCGGATCACGAGGTCAGGAGATTGAGACCATCCTGGCTAACATGGTGAAACCCCATCTCTACTAAAAATACAAAAAATTAGCCGGGCCTGGTGGTGGGCACCTGTAATCCCAGCTACTCAGGAGGCTGAGGCAGGAGAATGGAGTGAACCCGGGAGGCAGAGCTTGAAGTGAGCCGAAATGGCACCACTGCACTCCAGCCTGGGCAATAGAGTAAGACTCCATCTCAAAAAAAAAAAAAAAAAAGAATTAAATCTCAGGTCTATGCATCAAATAAGAATTATTTATTGCAATAATACAGCAAATTCATGGGGGACTAGGTATTATTTTATATATAATTAAAATTGATTATATAAAATGTTTTATATAGAATTAAAACTAATTTTCCTTATAAAGAATAACTGTAAAAAAGAAGGAAAAAGTTTACAATTGTTAACTGTGAATAATAAGAAAAAGACAAATCACCTAATAGGATCATGGGCAACAGACAGTTCCTAGAAATATAAATGGGTCTTAAAACATACAAAAAGACACGTCACTTGGTTCATAATTTAAAAAACCTGCAAATTCGAATTATGCTGAAACACCATTTCTCACTTATCAGATTTCTCATCAGAATATCACTTATCAATGATCCTTCAGTCTGATAACGCCTTTGCAGGTGAAAAGTGTGGAAATAAAGTACTCTCATACATTGCTGGTGGGACTGCTAAATGCCGCAACTCCATGGAGGGAAATTTGGCAGGATCTATCAAAATTACAAAAGCACACACTGTCTGAGACAGCAACTCCACTTTCAGGACTTTGTCCTCCAGACACCTGCTTCTATGAGAAGTGACACATGTCGAAAGTTGTTTGCTGCAGCAATGTTTGTAACAGTGCAACATGACAGGGGACCAATAAAATAAAATATGGTTCATCTGTTCAAAGTAAAACACATAGCTCTGACAAAGGAGAAAGTTCCTGTGCATTAATATGCAGTGAACTCCAAGACATAAGTGAAAAAATGCAAGATGCACAGCATATGCATAGTAATTATGTATTAGAGAGGGTGGGCATAGACATTTTGCTGGTGTATAATACATATAAAATCTCTCTGGAAGAATACACAAGAAACTGGTAATGTCTGTCTCTAGAGAAGAAAACATGGTAGGGAGATAGAGGTAGGAAGGAAAACTCCCTTTGTATATCATTTTTCATTGTCTGAATTTTGAACCAAGAGAATAATTTTACTTATTTCAAAACATTAAATTTAAAATAATTGAAGAGAAAACTAACTAAATACCTAATGAATACAACTACAGCAATTCTTAGGAAGCAGAAGCACAGCAGCAGAAAGACATCCGACACTCACTCTTCAGTCCTTCTGCCAGCGCCTCTCTAAGGCATGATACCATAAAAACTATGGGATCTAATTTCAATAAATGCCTTCATTTCACAAAATATATATTAATATAAATGTCTTTCTGAAAATAAAAAGGATTATTTTAATATCATATGTAACTCAATGAAATATAGCTTCTTATTTGAGCAACTTGTCAGAGCGCAATCACTACTGAAATCAAGAACACATACACTTGAAAAGAGAAGCTGCCAGGTTCATTACCTGGGGCTCTGGGGCTCCTCATCTTCATCTCCATGCATGAGATTCTGAACTAACTGGAGGATGCTCACCATATCTTGCCCACTGCAGAATAAAAAGAGTTGATGGGCTGATGGGAACAGCACACATCCCCCGCCACTCTCCCGCTACTTCCCTCATTCAACTAGCGTTGCTTCAAGTTTTTTTTTTCTTTCTTAAGCAACTATAAGAGAAAGAACGTGGTATATAGTTTATGCTTTTTAAAAAACAAAGCTCAAATTATAAACTGAATTCCGATATAAATTTACTTGTGGTTAAATAAATCTTCTACCTAATTATGAGTTTCATTTTAATAAATGTCACCAGTCTTTTTATTTTTATTTATTTATTTTGAGACAGGGTCTCACTTTGTCACCCAAGCTGGAGGGAAGTGGCATAATCTGGGCTCACTGCAACCTCTGCCTCCCGGGTTTAAGCGATCCTCCTGCCTCAGCCTCCTGAGTAGCTGAGATTACAAGCTTGCGCCACCACGCTCGGCTAATTTTTGTATTTTTAGTAGAGATGGGGTTTCACCATGTTGGCCAGACTGGTCTTCAACTCCTGGCTTCAAGTGATCCACCCTCCTCGGCCTCCCAAAGTGCTGGGATTACAGGCATGAGCCACCACGCCCAGCCGTTTTTTTATTTTTGGTAGAAACAGGGTTTTGCCATGTTGCCCAGCCTGGTCTCAAACCACCAAGCTCAAGCAATCCTCCTGCCTCAGCCTCCAATAGTGCTGGGATTACAGGCCTGAGCCACCTTGCCCAGCCACCAGTCTTGCTCTAGCAACATTTCTATACATTTCATTTGAATCTTGGAGTACAAGACAGAGAATATTTAATAAGCATGTAATAAGAGCCAAAAGTCCTTATAATATGTACTTATAATATATAAGTGTATTATATACTATACATTATATAAAATATAAAATATATTATATAAAATATAATATATAATCATCCTTAGTATAGTATAATGCTAGACAGTCACAGAACACTCCAATGCCACTGGTATATCTAATTTTCCTCCATAGGGATCTTGTCCGTTTGGACTAACAGCCTCTAACAATGCAAGCTTCATTTATTACCAGCTCTTCCCCAAGCTGGGAACCTTGAGATCTGCTTAGAGTATAAAAACATTTTACTTCTATCCAAGATGTGTTGCTATGAAATGCTCATTACATGAGGAGATGGAAAGTTACGAAAAGAATTCGAACGGCTGAAGTAGCAAGCAATGGCAAGGCAACTTGCAACAGGAATAACGCAGGGCTATTCGTCTGTTAATGAGAATAGACTAAAAAGAGGTTTCCTCTTTCAACAAAGGAAGCGCCATCAAAACAGTGTCCCCAAACCAATTGTCCCCAAGGTGCTGCCCTTCAAGTGAGAGGGGCTCTGGGCCTTGGACACTGTAGAGATCAGAGCAGGCAGGGGCCCTTGAGGCACACTGGCTGCCTGCCACATGACCTCGAGCAAGCTATTCCAACTTGCCAAGCCGGACGTTATGGATTTGGGAGGCTTCAGACAGTGAAGGTATGGCACTTAGCTGTGCCTGGCATGTTACTAGTCTTGAATGCTGGGTGGTAGCACTCCTAAGTGTGAATCCTCCTAGTCAGTGGCTTAAGGCTGAGAATTACAGATGCTGCTGGGAGTATCTCCCCTGGGAAAACTTCCGTGGAATTAGGAGACTAAACCTTAAAACCTTTGGTTTCCATCAGTAGGCCTGGAATGAGGAGATTTTATAGGGCCTGCCTCCTGTTCTGAGCTGAGAATGCACTTCACACCTAGCTTCACATCAGCATTATTCATGCTACGAATAGGAGTGACTTTTAAAGTATTAGTATCTCAGCGTGTTATTGGCACACTGTGATCCTTCCTCCATACTTTTCTTTTGCAACCTGGTTCAATTTATATTCAAGTCAAAGGATATTTAAGGGAGTTGTACTGTTTACTTATGTGCAGTTTCCTGGTTATAACAGGAAAAAAAAAAAAGTTTGTCTCAGGGAAGCTGGGCTGGGATACTAATCCCAGATTAACTGCTAATGTCTTGTGAAAATTTTAGTCAGCTACTTACTTTTTTGCTATTTTTCCTCCTACTCAAACATGACAGATTTGCTTCAGTTGCCAAAAAATAAGTAATTTGACATTTTCCTTTCATTTACATTATGAAAACAATAAATCTTATCAAATTAAAATACCTCTTAGAATAAAACTCAGTCTACCAAATAGATGACAGGTTTCAAGAGTGAACTAAGTATGACACACCAGTTATAATGATGAATTTGTATATCACTTTTATTTTATTTGATAGGGTCTCGCCATGTTGTTCAGGGTGGCCTCGAACTCCTTGACTCAAGCCATCCTCCTGCCTCAGGCTCCCAAGCAGCTGGGACTACAGGTGTGCACCACGGTGCCTAGCTCCATGTATCACTTTTGACTCATGAGGTTGTATTAAATTGTTGGTTTTCTAAAAAATTTTTGGCCAGGTGCGGTGGCTTATGCCTGTAGTCCCAGCACTTTGAGAGGCTAAGGCAGGCGGATCACCTGAGGTCAGGAGATGGAGACCGTCCTGGCCAACATGGTGAAACCCCGTCTCTACTAAAAATACAAAAATTAGCTGGGCGTGGTGGTGGGTGCCTATAATCCCAGCCACTCGGGAGGCTGAGGCAGGAGAATCACTTGAACCTGGGAGGCAGAGGTTGCAGTGAGCCGAGATCACACCACTGCACTTCAGCCTGGCGACAGAGCGAGACTCTGTCTCAAAATTAGAGAGTGTCTCTATCACTCAGGCTGGAGTGCAGTGGTACAATCACAGATCGCTGTAACCTTGAACTCCTGGGCTCAAGTGATCCTCTGTCCTTGGCCTCCCAAAGTGCTGGGATTACAGATGTGACCCACTGTACTTAGCATCTATTAAATTCCAAATGGGAGAGGGAGAGAAGCCAGCAGGTGCAGCAATATCACCAACCAGCCAACGACACTTCAGTTTTCTAATGTTATACTGCACATAAGTCTATTTAAATTTGCTATGTGTTCATTAAAACTAAAACCATAAATCAATGATGATAAGACACTGGTTTAAGAAAAATGTAGGCCGGGCACAGTGGCTCACACCTGTAATCCCAGCACTTTGGGAGGCTGAGGTGGGCAGATCACCTGAGGTGAAGGTCAGGAGTTAGAAACCAGCCTGGCCAACATGGCAAAATCCCATCTCTACTGAAAATACAAAAATTAGCCAGATATGGTGGTGCACGCCTGTAATCCCAGCTACTCGGGAGGCTGAGGCACAAGAAAGAACTGCTTGAACCCGGGAGGCGGAGGTTGCAGCGAGCCCAGATTGTGCCACTGCACACCATCCTGGGCAACAGAGCACGACTCCATCTCAGAAACAAACAAAAATTTACACCTTAACTAAAGGTATGGATCCTCAGTGCCACCTACCTGCCCTGGAGTGGGCCTGGAATATCTCCGGATATGAGCTTCTTTCCATTTTCCTCTTCTGTTCTTCTAATTTAAAGAAAAGAAAAAGCTGTTCATTTGTTTCATCATACCAAATTTCTAACTCCTGAATATGCAAACATGACCATGTTGCCTATAACCTCCCAGTGACTGAGGCAGGATTTCAAACACATTTATCACATCTCCCTGCCTCCAGTTTCAGGTATCGTTTGAATTTCTGGAAAAGACAAGAATATGCAACAAAAAAGTTCCACCCACTTCTTGTTTACTTGGTGCTCTATATGACCTGAATATATAATAAGTATTTATAGAGTCAAATCAATATATTAAGTAAATGAAACTCTTAATAGACAGAATTAAATAGTATAAGTCTTTCCTCTCAATTTCAAAATCCTTTAATTACAAGGCACCTTTTACCCAAGACAAATACCAATTTTCAAGTCAGCCAAAGCTGTGTGTGACACTGTGAAGCCAAGAGGCACCTTTAACAGAAAGGACCCAGAGCCACTGGCTTCACAGCAGGCTGAACTCGTTGAACAGGGTCACCTCTGTCCTACTCACCTCTGACTGTCCTCCAGCATCTTCACTGCCTCCTTCAAGTTTTTTCCCATTTCAGCTAACGTGGGGTCTGCTATCTGGGAAACAAAAAAAAAAAAGAAAGAAATTTTAATAATCCTCTATTACCTCTATAACACAATTCACCCAGAAAAATTAAGTGCATAATTTCTTCTGGATTTACTGTGAAATACATGATTTTAAAACTTGCAATAGTACAAAAGTATAACAGAAAAAGTAAAAATCTTCCAGCCCCACTTCCTAGAGGAAGCCGCTGTTTTTATTTTTATTTTTTGAGTTGGAGTCTTACTCTGTTGCCCAGACTAGAGTGCAATGGCATGACCTTGCTCACTGCAACCTCTGCCTCCTGGGTTCAAGTGATTCTCTTGCCTCAGCCTCCCAAGTAGCTGGGATTACAGGCACACACCACCATGCCCAGCTAATTTTTGTATTTTTAGTAGAGACGGGGGGGTTTCACCATGTTGGCCATGCTAGTCTCGAACTCTTGACCTCAAGTGATCTGCCCGCCTTGGCTTCCCAAAGTGCTGGGATTGCAGGTGTGAGCCACCGTGCCTGGCCTCCTTAAGTTCCTTTTGAATTTTAGTGCCATGTGTACACCTATCTCCCATCCAAAAAGTAAACAAAATAGAATTTAAATTTTTCTGCAGAATTATAATTTTTTCACCATTCATTCTGGGAAGAACCACGTGAGGCCAAAACCAAGGACCCTACCCTTCTTCACTTGGTACCACCTTCCCACTTGACAAGTTACAAGTCCCATGGGGGTAACCACAAGGTCCCCTCAGCCTGGCCATTGTACACAGCCCCAGGGTACCGGCAACGCATGACCTACACTCCAAGGCAACTGGACAACTTGGTCTTTGGTAAGATCACTTATGATAACAAAGTGAGTCAGCTTCGTTTCAAACAAGCAATGTGGCAGTGATACAAAGACAAGCTATTTTGACAAATATTATTTTTGAGGCAGTCGCTCTGTTACACAGGCTGGGGTACAGTGGTTTGATCGTGGCTCACTGCAGCCTTGACCTCCAGGGATCAAGTGATCCTCCCACCTCAGCCTCCTGAGTACCTGGGAATACAAGTGCTCGCCACCATGCCTGGCTAATTTTCAAAATTTTTTTGTAGATACAAGGTCTCATTATGCTGCACAGGCTGGTCTCAAACTCCTGAGCTCAAGTTATCCTTCTGCTGGGATTACAGGCTGAGCCACTGTGCCCGAACTTTTTGCAGAATTAAAACATACGCATTCCTTTCCTTTTCCTTTCTCTATTCTTAATCTCTGTAGTTATGTTTAGGGAGAAAATTCTTGTTGACTTCAATCTCTATGTAGTATGAGTTGTGTTATAACAATAAATTATATATTATATATTATATTACATATAATATCATATATAAGTTATAGCTCTTTTGTTCCCCTCTTACTCTTCTAAGTGTGCTGCTTAAAGGAAGAGCTGTGTTTACCTTTTCCTATTGCTCACTGTATCTAGCAATATGTTACAGCATGGCATACAATACGTACGTATTTAAAACTGCATTGCCTCCTCAAAATTGTTTTTAAGAAATTCCACTCCATTTATCAATATAAGATTCAGAAATTGTTACATTCTAGAAGGGACCTAAGGGATCTAGTCCAGGGATTTTCCAGCTGTGTTCTCCTGAGCTTTAAGGTCCCTGGGAGGACTCTGAGAAGGAAGGGTTAGGTAAGCAGTTGGGGCTTCTAACTCCCTAGCAGATCAGCTCTGTTTTGTATAACAGGGTTTTGAGTAAAGTAGTAAAGTTTTTATTTGTAAAAAGTTTCATTGAATGATAAAGGGGATATCACCACCAATCCCACAGAAATACAAACTACCATCACAGAATACTATAAACACCTCTACGCAAATACACTAGAAAATCTAGAAGAAATGGATACATTCCTCAACACATACACCCTCCCAAGACTAAACCAGGAAGAAGTTGAATCTCTGAATAGACCAATAACAGGCTCTGAAATTGTGGCAATAATTAAGAGCTTACCAACCAAAAAAGGTCCGGGACCAGAGGGATTCACAGCCAAATTCTACCAGAGGTAAAAGGAGGAGCTGGTACCATTCCTTCTGAAACTATTCCAATCAATAGAAAAAGAGGAAATCCTCCCTAACTCATTTTATGAGGCCAACATTATTCTGATACCAAAGCCTGGCAGAGACACAACAAAAAAAGAGAATTTTAGACCAATATCCCTGATGAACATCGATGCAAAAATCCTCAATAAAACACTGGCAAACTGAATCCAGCAGCACATGAAAAAGCTTATCCAGCATGATCAAGTGGGCTTCATCCCTGGGATGCAAGGCTGGTTCAACATACGCAAATCAATAAATGTAATCCAGCATATAAACAGAACCAACAACAAAAACCATACGATTATCTCAATACATGCAGAACGGCCTTTGACAAAATTCAACAACCCTTCATGCTAAAAACTCTCAATAAACTGGGTATTGACGGACCATATCTCAAAATAATAAGAGCTATCTATGACAAACCCACAGCCAATATCATACTGAATGGGCAAAAACTGGAAGCATTCCCTTTGAAAACTGGCACAAGACAGGGATGCCCTCTTCTCACCACTCCTATTCAACACGGTGTGGGAAGTTCTGGCCAGGGCAATGAGGCAGGAGAAGGAAATAAAGGGTATTCAATTAGGAAAAGAGGAAGTCAAATTGTCCCTGTTTGCAGATGACATGATTGTATATCTAGAAAACCCCATCGTCTCAGCCCAAAATCTCCTTAAACTGATAGGCAACTTCAGCAAAGTCTCAGGATACAGAATCAATGTGCAAAAATCACAAGCATTCTTATACACCAATAACAGACAAACAGAGAGCCAAATCATGAGTGAACTCCCATTCACAATTGCTTCAAAGAGAATAAAATACCTAGGAATCCAACTTACAAGGGATGTGAACGACCTCTTCAAGGAAAACTACAAACCACTGCTCAATGAAATAAAAGAGGATACAAACAAATGGAAGAACATTCCACACTCATGGGTAGGAAGAATCAATATCGTGAAAACGGCCACACTGCCCAAGGTAATTTATAGATTCAATGCCATCCCCATCAACCTACCAATGACTTTCTTCACAGAATTGGAAAAAACTACTTTAAAGTTCATATGGAACCAAAAAAGAGCCCACATTGCCAAGTCACTCCTAAGCCAGAAAAACAAAGCCGGAGGCATCATGCTACCTGACTTCAAACTATACTACAAGGCTACAGTAACCAAAACAGCATGGTACTGGTACCAATACAGAGATATAGACCAATGGAACACAATAGAGCCCTCAGAAATAATGCCGCATATCTACAACTATCTGATCTTTGGCAAACCTGACAAAAACAAGAAATGGGGAAAGGATTCCCTTGTTAATAAATGGTGCTGGGAAAACTGGCCAGCCATATGTAGAAAGCTGAAACTGGATCCCTTCCTTACATCTTATACAAAAATTAATTCAAGATGGATTAAAGACTTAAATGTTAGACCTAAAACCATAAAAACCCTAGAAGAAAACCTAGGCAATACCATTCAGGACACAGGCATGGGCAAGGACTTCATGTATAAACCACCAAAAGCAATGGCAACAAAAGCCAAAACTGACAAATGGGATCTAATTAAACTAAAGAGCTTCTGCAAAGCAAAAGAAACTACCATCAGAGTGAACAGGCAATCTACAGAATGGGAGAAAATTTTTGCAGTCTACTCACCTGACAAAGGGCTAATATCCAGAATCTACAATGAACTCAAACAAATTTACAAGAAAAAAACAACCCCATCAAAAAGTGGGCGAAGGATATGAACAGACACTTCTCAAAAGAAGACATTTATGCAGCCAAAAGACACATGAAAAAATGCTCATCACCACTGGCCATCAGAGAAATGCAAATCAAAACCACAATGAGATACCATCTCACACCAGTTAGAATGGCAATCATTAAAAAGTCAGGAAACAACAGGTGCTGGAGAGGATGTGGAGAAATAGGAACACTTTTACACTGTTGGCGGGACTCTAAACTAGTTCAACCATTGTGGAAGTCAGTGTGGCGATTCCTCAGGGATCTAGAACTACAAATACCATTTGATCCAGCCATCCCATTACTGGGTATATACCCAAAGGATTATAAATCATGCCGCTATAAAGACACATGCACACGTATGTTTATTGTGGCACTATTCACAATAGCAAAGACTTGGAACCAACCCAAATGTCCATCAATGATAGACTGGATTAAGAAAATGTGGCACATATACACCATGGAATACTATGCAGCCATAAAAAATGGTGAGTTCATGTCCTTTGTAGGGACATGGATGAAGTTTGAAACCATCATTCTCAGCAAACTATCTCAAGGACAAAACACCAAACACCGCGTGTTCTCACTCATAGGTGGGAAATGAACAATGAGAATACATGGACACAGGAAGGGGAACATCATACACTGCTGCTTGTTGTGGGGTGGGGGGAGGGAGGAGGGATAGCATTAGGAGATATAACTAATGTTAAATGAAGAGTTAATGGGTGCGGCACACCAACATGGCACATGTATACATATGTAACAAACCTGCATGTTGTGCACACGTACCCTAAAAATTAAAGTATAATTTTAAAAAATTAAAAAAAAAATTTTTTTTTAAAGTGTCATTGAAAAGAAAAAAAAAATTCTTTGGGAGGCCAAGGCAGAAGAATCACTTGAGGCCAGGAGTTTCAGATCAGCTTGGGCAACATAGTGAGAAATAAATTAGCTGGGTGTGGTGGTGCACACCTGTAGACCTAGCTACTTGGGAGGCAGAGGTAGGAGGATCGCTTGAGCCTGGGAGTTTGAGGCTACAGTAAGCTATGATTGTGTCACTGCGCTCCAGCCTGGAACAGAGTAAAACCCTGTCTCAAAAAAAGAAAAAAAAAAAAAGTATAGCATAAAAACGTCTGATTCTGGTCTAACATTTTGGAGGTGAGGAAACTAAGATGCAGAGAGGTTAAGCGACTTGCCTATGGCCATAGAGCTAATAAACGACAATGAGGTGCCAAAACCTAGGGTCCCTGACTCCTGTTTCTGACCTCTATTATATCACACTGGCTCCCACAAGGGCTTACAAGGTAATCATTTAGCCATGACCAAATTTTTAGATAAAATAGACAAATTTTAAAACAAGTGTTTTCAATAAAATTCACCACTTTAACTATGAGAAGGCTCAGAAAGCACTCGAAAAAGGCCTCAGTGCAGACAGTGAAGAGAATGAGGAATATGATGGTCAAGAGAATTTATCTTCACCCCTGAGTCAGCTGGTGATGCTCCTGACGATCCTCACTGCTGTGACACTCCCGTGTGTCCCCTACCACCTAGCCAAATGATAAACAGTTTGGCTTGATTCACACCTTCATGCTCCCAACGACCATAGTGTCTGAAATATCCTCATGACTTTTATCTATCTCTCTCCTAGCACCTATTCAATTACAAGTCAATAATTCCAGGAAGCCTTTACAGATAAAGCCACTTTTGCTCTTTCCCATCCCCTCTAATGATACTGATGCCTTTTTTCCTAAACCAAAAATCTAGACTTGTTGCTTGACAATGTTGGTTGTATTTATGGGGACAATGGGACAGAATGCTTGCAGTTGTTGCGGCTGCCATTTATCCTCATGATTCCTTACACCCTTTACTGTGAATTGTTTTATAGATGTGCTTTCCAGTATAAATGTGCTCTCCAATTAGATTACAAGCTTCTTGAAGGCAAGGATTCAGACTCCTACTAATTTTGACTTCTCTTTAGACCACGGGTCTAAAGTTGGCTCAATTCTCCAATTGTCATATTAACCTGAAAATCCCTTAGGAAGGCATGCCAGAGTGGATATCAACATACCGTTCTCTAAGTGCAACACAGCTATTTCTTTCAATAGAATTATAATGAATATTTCTGTTAAGAATAGATAAAATACGCCAGGTGTGGTGGCTCATGCCTGTAATCCCAGCACTTTTGAGAGGTCAAGGAAGGAGGATCAGTTGAGTCCGGGAGTTTGAGATGAGCCTGGGCAACATGGCAAAACCTCGTCTCTACAAAAAATACAAAAAAAGTAAGCCGGGCATGGTAGTGCATGCCTCTGGTCTCAGCTACTCAGGAGGCTGAGGCAAGAGGATTGCTTGAGCCCAGGAGGTCAAGGCTACAGTGAGACAAGATTGTGCCACTGCCTGGGTGACAGAGCAACAACCTGTCACCAAAAAAAAAAAAAAAAATAGACAAAATACAGCTTAGGCAATATGACAAAACCCCATATCTGCAAAAAGTACAAAAATCAGCCAGGTGTGGTGGTGCACGCCTGTAGTCCCAACTACTTGGGAGGTTTAGGTGGGATGATCACTTGAGCCTGGGAGGTTGAGGCTCTGGTGGTGAGCCATGATCACACCACTGCACTCCAGCCTGGTCAACAGAGAACCTGTCTCGACAACAACAAATACACACACACACACACACACACACACACACACACACACACACATATCTATATACATATATAATACATATATATACACACAAAATAGTTTAGAAGCCACATTGTGTGAACATGCATTTATAAACACTAAAATCCCGTGTAATGACAAGATGCTTAAACTGAAAGGCAGGAGGGAAATGCAGATTCACAATCCCCAGGTGAATCTCTGACTCTGGAGTGTACATGCAGTTTACGTAAACGTAAACTGGCTTATGTTTAAATTGTTCTTGCTGGCCGGGCGCAGTGGCTCACGACTATAATCCCAGCACGTTGGGAGGCCGAGGTTGACGGATCACCTGAGGCCCAGGAGTTCGAGACCAGCTTGGCTAACACGGCAAAATCCCGTCTCTACTAAAAATACAAAAATTAGCTGGGCATGGTCACGTATGCCTGTAGTCCTAGGTACTCGGAAGGCTGAGGCAGGAGAATCGCTTGAACCCAGGAGGCGGAGGCTGCAGCGAGCTGAAATTGCGACACTGCACTTCAGCCTTGGCGCCAGACCAAGATTGTCTCAAAAAATTAAATAAAAATAAATAAATCATTCTTGCTCTTCAGGGAGTAAGCCCAGGGGGGAGTGGGTGGGTAGGAAAAGCAGCACTGATAGTTAAGTTTGGGTGAATAAATGTGAACAATGACTCCAATGCCATAGACCCTCACGTGTTTGTTGCATTAATTGGATAATTCAAAATATAAAGTATTATCCAGTTTCAGGATAATATTAAGATCTAAACCAATGAATGCTCTATGAAAAGTTGTAGATTAACTGATCCCTTAAAACTAAAAACAGCGTCTTCATAAGCTTCTACTGGGGGCAGCTACCACTTTCTTCATCACATTTCTTATCCTCAATAGCTGTGGGCAATGCCAAAATAGCTGTATGATCAACATTAATAAACAACACCAGGGCAACAGCCAGACACAAACCTAAATGAAGAATTAAATTGTAGGAGAAGGAGGAGGAAGCAGCGATGGCGGCTGCTGCGGCGGTTGCGGCGGGGGCCGGGGTGGGCGCCGCGGTCTGGGCCGGGCAGTGAGGCACGGGCGGCCGGGCCGGTGGGCTGGGCGGCGGGCCCGGCGGCCGCCCTCGCGCCCTTGCCCGCGCCTGGCGGCCCGATGTGGCTACAGCAGGGGCTCAAGGGGCTGCCGGGACTGCTGTCGAGCAGCTGGGCCCGCCGCCTCCTCTGCCTGCTTGGCCTCCTACTGCTGCTTCTGTGGTTTGGGGGGTCCGGCGCGCAGCGGGCGGCGGGCGGCCTGCACCTGCTTCCCTGGTCCTGGGGTGAGCCGGGCGCCACCGAGCCGTCTGCCTGCCTGGAGGCGGCCACCCGCGCCTGGCGCGGCCTGCGGGAGCGCGGCGAGGCGGTACCGCTGGGCCCTGGAGTGCCGGCCCTGGTGGCCAACGGCTTCCTGGCCCTGGACGTGGCTGCCAATCGGCTGTGGGTGACTCCCGGGGAGCGGGAGCCCGCCGTGGCGCCGGACTTTGTGCCCTTCGTGCAGCTGCGCCCGCTGAGCGCGCTGGCTGAAGCTGGAGAGGCGGTGCTGCTGCTGCGGGAGGGGCTGCTGCTGCGCCGCGTGCGTTGCCTGCAGCTGGGGTCCCCAGGTCCTGGCCCCGTGGCCGCCGGCCCCGGGCCCGCCTCCGTCTCTGGCCTTGCCGCGGGGTCCGGCCGCGACTGCGTGCTGCTGCAAGAGGGCTTTCTGGCGCACAGGGGCCGACCCCACGTCTACCTGCAGCGCATCCAGCTCAACAACCCCACGGAGCGCGTGACCGCGCTGCAGACTGTGGGGCCCACTGCCGGCCCAGCCCCCAAGGCCTTCACCAGTACCCTGGAGAAGGTCGGAGACCATCAGTTCCTCCTCTACTCAGGCCGGTCCCCGCCTACGCCCACTGGGTTGGTGCACCTGGTGGTGGTGGCCGCCAAGAAGCTGGTGAACCGCCTCCAAGTGGCTCCCAAGACGCAGCTGGATGAGACGGTGCTGTGGGTGGTGCACGTCTCTGGCCCCATTATCCCCCAGGTGCCCAAAAGCAAAGCAGCCAAGGAGCTCAAGGCGCTGCAGGACTTGGCACGGAAGGAAATGCTGGAGCTCTTGGAGATGCCAGCGGCGGAGCTGCTTCAAGACCACCAGCTCCTCTGGGCTCAGCTCTTCAGCCCAGGAGTGGAAATGAAGATCACTGACACCCACAGGCCGTCTGGCCTCACCGTGAACCTGACGCTCTATTACATGCTCTCCTGCTCGCCAGCCCCGCTGCTCAGCCCCTCCCTGAGCCACAGGGAGCGAGACCAGATGGAGTCGACGCTCAACTATGAAGATCACCGCTTCAGCGGGCACGCCACCATGCACGCCGAGAACCTGTGGCCGGGGCTGCTGTCCTCCGTCCAGCAGATCCTGCAGCTCTCTGACCTGTGGAGGCTGACCCTCCAGAAGAGTGGCTGCAAGGGGCTGGTGAAGGTGGGTGCCCCAGGCATCCTGCAGGGCATGGTGCTCAGCTTCGGGGGGCTGCAGTTCACAGAGAACCACCTCCAGTTCCAGGCCGACCCCGACGTGCTGCAGAACAGCTATGCATTGCATGGCATCCGCTACAAGAACGACCATATCAACCTGGCCGTGCTGGCGGATGCCGAGGGCAAGCCCTACCTACACGAGTCCGTGGAGTCCCGTGGCCAGCCTGTCAAGATCTATGCCTGCAAGGCAGGCTGCCTGGACGAGCCAGTGGAGCTGACCTCGGCGCCCACGGGCCACACCTTCTCGGTCATGGTGACACAGCCCATCACGCCACTGCTCTACATCTCCACCGACCTCACACACCTGCAGGACCTGCGGCACACGCTGCACCTCAAGGCCATCCTGGCCCATGATGAGCACATGGCTCAGCAGGACCCCGGGCTGCCCTTCCTCTTCTGGTTCAGCTTGGCCTCCCTCATCACCCTCTTCCACCTCTTCCTCTTCAAGCTCATCTACAACGAGTACTGTGGGCCTGGAGCCAAGCCCCTCTGCAGGAGTAAGGAAGATCCCAGTGTCTGAGTGAACTAACAGTCCTGCTTTCAGCCACCATTTGCACAAGACACCCAGCACTGAAAGTCCCACTGCCAGGAGCAAGGGATCCTTTGGAAGCACCCGCCCTTTGTGCCTTGTTGGGGGAAACCAGTGACGCAGAAGCGAGTGTGGATACACCAGAGTTTGCATTGGAAGGAATGAGTGTCACGTGGGGAGGGAAGGGGCCAGTGGACCTTTTGTAAGCTTTCCACTCAATAAAATGAACCTGTATGGCAAAAAAAAAAAAAAAAAAGAATTGTATAAAGATGTATAAAGATGTCTATTAGTTAGTACATAGGAAAATGTTTGATAATGTTGGCAGAAAAAAAAAACAGGCCAGGCGCAGTGGCTCACACCTGTAATCCCAGCACTTTGGGAGACCAAGGTTGGTGGATCACCTGAGGCCAGGTGCTTGAGACCAGCCTGGCCAACATAGCAAAACCCCGTCTCTACTAAAAATACAGAAATTAGCCAGGCGTGGTGGGGGGTGCCTGTAATCCCAGCTATTCGGGAGACTGAGGCAGGAGAACTGCTTGAACCTGGGAGGCGGAGGCTGCAGTGAGCAGAGATGGTGCCACTGCACTCCAGCCTAGGCGACAGCAAAATTCCATCTCAAAAAACAAAAAAACAAAGGAAAAACAGTATTCTATGTCAAGTTCCTCGGAAGAATGTCAAATAATTTCTGAATCCCTTAGCACTGAGTGCAGGGTCAGACACAGAGTAAATATTCAATCAGATTTATGATCCTTATAATTACTAATACTTACTGGGTTGCTTACTATATTCCAGGCATTGTGCTAATAATTAACGCCTCTACACACATTACTTCCTCACAAGCCCCAAATCATAGTACATTTTAGAGCCAGAATTTAAAACTAAGTAAAATTCTAGGACCAGTGCTCTTAACCACTGGGCAATACTGCTTCTCAATTTTATCAAGTAAGTAAATGAAGCAACTCAACACTTTAAAAAAGCTTGTACTCAAAAATCATATTTAGAACTAAGGTTTAATTTTAAAGATTATCCTTGCTTGATTAATGTTTTCACCTGGGAAGAAAGTGACACTTTACAGGGAAAATTTCTACTTTACAACAGTCTCAACCAGATGGCCGTAAACTCATCATCCAGATCAGGGCATTTTTTTTTTTTCCTTTTTCCACCAACTCTTAAACCCAAGCATTTTTAAGAGTGAAAGCATGGCCACGCATGGTGGCTCACACCTGTAAAACCAGCACTTTGGGAGGCCAAAGCAGGGCAGATCACCCAATGTCAAGAGTTTGAGACCAGCCTGGCCAACATGGTGAAACCCCGTCTCTACTAAAAATACAAATATTAGCTGGACGTGGCGGTGTGCGCCTGTAGTCCCAGCTACTCAGGAGGCTGAGGCACAAGAATCACTCGAACCTGGGAGGCGGAGCTTGCAGTTAGCCAAGAACGCGCCACTGCACTCTAGCCTGGGCAGCAGAGCAAGACTCTGTCTCAAACAAAAATCCCAAAACCAAAAAAAGTGCAACAAAGCATTTACAGAGTGGGTATATCTACATGCACATTTTCTGATAGATACTAATTGCTGAGAATTTAGACACAGTTTTACCTCTCTACAAATTCATAAATTATATTTCAAGTACAGTTAATTCTGTTGTATAAATGACGTGGGTTCAATATTTTTGCTACAATTTTATCTAACACAGTTGCATGATAGGTATGATTTAATTCTCCTTTCCTAAGAAGAGCCATTCAATTGCATGCTCACTGTCACAAAACTGAGACTTTTTTCGAGATGCAGTCTCATTCTGTCTCCCAGGCTGGAGTGCAGTGGCTTGATCTCGGCTCACTGCAACCTCCGCCTCCCGGGTTCAAGTGATTCTGCTGCCTCAGCCTCCTGAGTAGCTGGGATTCCAGGTGCCCGCCATCACGCCCAGCTAATTTTTTTGTATTTTTAGTAGAGACGGGATCTTACCATGTTGGCCGGGTCAAACTCCTGCCCTCAGATAATCTGCCTGCCTTGGCCTCCCAAAGTGCTGGGATTACAGGCGTGAGCCTCTGCACCCAGCCAGAACTGAGACTTTAATAGTTAGCTCATTTTATAAAACAAGCCCTACTATTCATACCTTCGTGAGCATTTTTTACAAACTTTTTTTTTTTTTGAGACATAACCTCGCTCTATTGTCCAGGCTGTCACAGTGGCGTGATCATAGCTGGCTGCAGCCTTGAGTTCCTGGGCTCAAGTGATCCTCTAACCTCAGCCCCCTGAGCAGACATGGCTACAGGCACATGCCACCACACTTAGCTAATTTTTAAAAATTTTTTGGAGAGACATGGTCCTACTATGTCACCCAGGCTGATCTCAAACTCCTGGCTTCACGAGCAATCCTCCTGCCTTGGCCTCCCAAAGTGCTGAGATTAGAAATGTGGGCCACAGTGCCTGGCCAAGAATCGTTTTTATGCTAGGCGATTTTTATCAGACAGTATGGGATATTAAAATACTCCCTCACTACCAGAAGAAATATTACATATGTAATGTTAAAATTGCTTAAAAGTTCTGACAATTTAAATGTTGGAGGAAAAGTCAAGAATCAAATGCAAGGTAAGATGGTAAAGGAGGTCAAGGAGCAACTCTCAACTTTTCAAAAAAGCTAACGGAAAATTATAAATTGGCAAGGCCAGGCGCGGTGGCTCACACCTGTAATCCCAGCACTTTGGGAGGCCGAGGCAGGTGGATCACGAGGTCAGATGGAGACCATCCTGGCTAACACAGTAGAAACCCCGTCTCTACTAGAAATACAAAAAATTAGCCAGGTGTGCTGGCGGGCGCCTGTAGTCCCAGCTACTAGGGAGGCTGAGGCAGGAGAATGGCGTGAACCCGGGAGGCGGAGCTTGCAGTAAGCCGAGATTGTGCCACTGCACTCCAGCCTGGGCGACAGACCAAGACTCCGTCTCAAAAAAAAAAAAAAAAAAAAAAAAGTTGTTTATCATATCTTCCAAAACTGGTAACTACAATAGAAATAAAAGGTGTCTTTAGAGCCTAAGATTTGGGAATTAATGAACTAGTCACTTTAAAAATTTTTTCATCTTAGGCAGTGGCTCACACCTGTAATCCCAGCACTTTGGGAGGCCGGGGTGGGCAGATCACGAAGTCAGGAGTTCGAGACCAGCCTGGCCAAGATGGTAAAACCCCATCCATCTCTACTAAAAATACAAAAACTAGTCGTGTGCAATGGCGGGCACCTGTAATCCCAGCTACTCAGGAAGCTGAGGCAGGAGAATCGCTTGAACCCAGGAGGTAGAGGTTGCAGTGAGCCAAGAATGCACCACTGCACTCCAGCCTAGGTGACAGAGCAAGACTCTGTTTCAGGGGAAAAAAAAAAATTTCATCTTTTGAAAACACACGAATCAACACTTTTCCTCAGTTAAACCAGTTCACCAAAGTGTGAATTTAAAAAATTATACATTTGGCTGGCAGCGGTGGCTCATGCCTGTAATTCTGGCACTTTGGGAGGCAGAGGCGGGCGGATCACGATAGGAGTTTGAGACCAGCCTGTCCAACATGGTGAAATCTCGTCTCTACTAAAGATACAAAAAATTACCTGGGCGTGGTGGTGTGCCTGTAACCCCAGCTACTCAGGAGGCTGAGGCAGGAGAATCGTTTGAACCCGGGAGGCGGAGGTTGCAGTGAACCGAGATGGCGCCATTGCACTCCAGCCTGGGCGACAGGGTGAGAGTCCGTCTCAGAAAAAAAAAAAAAAAAAAATATATATATATATATATATATATGTATACACACACACACACACACACTCTCTCTCTCTCTCTCACTTTTATGTGATTTGGAAAAAAAAAAAAACCCACACAAACACACACCTCAAATCCCAGAATTTAGAGACATTACAGTTGAGGACAAATCTAAGTTAAAAAAAAAAAAAAAAAAAAAAGGCGGGGGTGCAGGGATGGGATGGGTGGGTAAAGAGGTCTAGAGTGACAGAAAGCAGGGCAGGGATCCACTGCAAAGGGACATAGGGACATTTTCAGGGAGACAGAAATGCTCTGTACCTTTTTTGGGGTGGGTGGGTAGGGGACTTATTTTCTGAGACAGGGTCTCACTCTGTCACCCAGGCCAAGTGCAGCGGCACTATCGTGGCTCCCTGCAGCCTCACCCTCCTGGGCTCAAGCGATCCTCTCACCTCAGCCTCCCAAGTAGCTGGGACTACAGGTGCATGCCACCAAGCCTGGCTAAGTTTTTATTTTTTATAGAGATAGGAGTCTCACTGTGTTGCCCTGGCTGCCCTCAAACTCCTGGGCTCAAGAGATCCTCCTTCCTTGGCCTCCCAAAGTGTTGAAATTACAGGTGTGAGCCACTGCACCAGGTCAATGCTTTGTATCTTGATCATGCTGGTGGTAATATCACTATATACAACTTCCAAAACACAAACTATATAATTAAAATGGGTCTATTTGTTGTAAGTAAACGGTTCCTCAATTTTTCATAAAGGGGGAGTAAATTGATGTAAAGTAGATTTAAAAGAAAATACTAAGCAAATAATAGTATAGGTGGTACAGTGATGTGGCCAAATTCACAGATGGTACATGAATAACTGACATGAATAACTGCTGTTTAAGACATACAGAGCTAAGCCTTCAAAGAGAAGGCTTTTTTTTTTTTTTTTTTTTTTTTTTGAGACGGAGTCTTGCTCTGTCGCCTAGGCTGGAGTACAGTGGCATGATCTCGGCTCACTGCAACCTCCGCCTCCCGGGTTCAAGCGATTCTCCTGCCTCAGCCTCCCAATTAGCTGGGACCACAGGCACATGCCACGACACCCGGCTAGTTTTTTTGTATTTTTAGTAGAGACGGGGTTTCACCATGTTAGCCATGATGGCCTCGATCTCCTGACCTCATGATCTGCCCGCCTCGGCCTCCCAAAGTGATGAGATTACAGGCATGAGCCACCATACCCGGCCAAGAGAAGGCTTTTAAGAGAAGCAGCCTCTATAACAAAGAAAGTCTAAAATTTATTTTTAAAAGTATATTAATTGTAACATTCATCAATGCTAGAAGTATATAATACTTTCGTTTCAACAAAGTTTTTTTTTCAGGAGAGGAATGTTCTTATTTGGGGGACTTTTAGGACTTATTTCGGAGGCCTCTTAGGGCTAACTAAAGAGAAACCAGCTGCTCATATTAGAAGACCTTGGAGTTATGAGATGCTAGTTTATACCATATGCATTAGACATAAAAAAAATCACTACCTACCTTCGGCTGAGATAAAAAGCAAGAGGTAAAGCTCCAGACAGCTGTTCCTAACTTAACTACTCTTGCCTCCCACAGCTTTCTGAACAAGGTAAATCCTGAATAGTGATCATCATTCAACCTTCATCTCTGCAAAAAGCATTTCTTTTCCTCCCAGGCGAAAACAAACAGTGCCTGCTGTCTAGCACTAGTTAAACAAGTTCCCCAAACACCACACACGTCTATTATAATACATACCACTGAGAAGCCACAGCAAGAACATAATGTTCCTTATGGGCCAAGGATGAGAGAAGAGGACAGGAATCCTCCAAGCTGATACAGTGACTTGTAAACCTGGTTTATCTTATTGGAGTCTCAGTTTCTACATTTGTAAGTATTTTGGCCTGATTCAACAGTACAGTATTTAAGAACCAGAACTTTTGTCTCCTCCCATCTTCTTTTTTTTTTGAGATGGAGTCTCACTCTGTTGCAGTGGCACAATCTCCTGAGTAGCTGGGACTACAGGCGTGAGCCACCACACCTGGCTAATTTTTGTATTTTTAGTAGAGATGGGGTTTCACCACGTGGGCCAGGCTGGTCTCGAACTCCTGACCTCAGGTGATCCACCCACCTCGGCCTCCCAAAGTGCTGGGAGTACAGGCATGAGCCACCATGCTCAGCCGTCTCCTCTCATCTTCTAAGAACTGGATATTGTCATTTGAAAGTCTTATTTTTAACCATCATGGTCTCTACGCTTGAGTGTGTCTGTGAGAATATGAAGACATACTGTAATTACTGGCTCATTAAGATTAAGCATCATAATCTTCCTAGTTGAAAAGGGTTAGCCAAGTACTGTATAAGGTGTAACTATAAGTATTTAACCTTACAAATTCCTCAAGAAGATAGGCAGAAAATAGGAAAGAAAAGGGCAAAAATAGGCCGGGTGCAGTGGCCCACCTGAGGTACAGAGTTCAAGACCAGCCTGGCCAACATGATGAAACCCTGTCTCTACTAAAAATACAAAAAATTAGCTGGGCGTGGTGGTGGGCGCCTGTAATCCCAGCTACTCAGGAGGCTAAGACAGGAGAATTGCTTGAACCCAGAGGCAGAGGTTACAGTGAACCAAGATCGCACCACTGCAGTCCAGCCTGGGCAACAAGAGCAAAACTCCATCTCAAAAAAAAAAAAGAAACAAAAGAAAAGGACAAAAATACCCAACAGTGGAAAGGAGGCAGCAAAGTTAACTGCACAGATCACATCTCAGTCAGAGAGCAGTATGTGAAGGAGGGAAAAAGCCTCTAATCACTTGACTCAGATATACGTTGGAGATGCTAGAGATCCAACTCCGTGTTCCAAAAACCTGTGTTCCCAGAGACCACTACTGCAGTGTCAGTTCACACAGATCTTATAACACGAGTAAACACTTCCAGATAATGACACTGATGGAAAAATAGCATACAATAGGGAAGCTCTATTTCTAAAAACTTTACTGTTTACCTGGAATCACACCTTTATTCTGGAACAAAAAGAAAACTGCTAAACAGAAGCAGATACTGTTATAACTCTTCCTTAAGATAAGCTTTATAGGCAGTGTTTAACTAGTTTAACTAGTGCTAGACAGCAGGCACTGTTTGTTTTTGCCTGGGAGGAAAAGAAATGCTTTTAGCAGAGATGAAGGTTGAATGATTATCACCATTCAGGATTTACCTTGTTCAGGGATTGTTAGGGAGCGATCAAATCGGAAAGGTAAAGATGAAATGCTTTTCCTGTTTCTTGATTTTTATCTACCAGCAATAATATGAGGCACACTCGTAAAGTAAAGGTTTGCATTATATTTACAATTAAACTCTAGAAAAGCATAATTCTGAGCTAAATATTCTGCCTAAAGAATCTCTTTCACATAATCCTTCCTGGTCACTTGCTCCTTGCACTCACAATTTGTTTCTTAATTCCTATGCTTTTTATCCCTTTCTATACAAGGATTTGTCCAAAAAAAAGTATACTCCCTTACCAGAACGCAACCTCCTGCAGGGGCCACATCTTACTCACCTTGTGTCTCTGTCAGCACTCAGCATTGGGCTTTGACCACAGCTCACCTTCGATTAATAAAAATTATAAATCAAGGCCGGGTGCAGTGGCTTACATCTGTAATCCCAGCACTTTGGGAGGCCAAGGTGGGCAGATTACTTGAGGTCAGGAGTTGGAGACCAGCCTGGCCAACATGGCGAAACCCCGTCTCTATTAAAAATACAAAAATTGGCCAGGCGCGGTGGCTCACGCCTGTAATCCCAGAACTTTGGGAGGCTGAGGTGGAGGTCAGGAGATCGAGACCATCCTGGCTAACACTTGGTGAAACCACATCTCTACTAAAAATACAAAAAATTAGCTGGGTGTGGTGGTGGGCGCCTGTAGTCCCAGCTGAGGCAGAAGAATGGCGTGAACCTGGGAGGTGGAGCTTGCAGTGAGCCGAGACTGTGCCACTGCACTCCAGCCTAGGCCACAGGGCGAGACTCCATCTCAAAAAAATAAAAAATAAAAAAAACAAAAATTAGCCGGGCGTGGCACAAAAATAATCCCATCTACTCGGGAAGCTGAGGCAGGAGAATTGCTTGAACCCAGGGGGCAGAGGTTGCAGTGGGGCAGAGGTCGCATAGAGCTGAGATCGCACCACTGCACTCCAGCCTGGGTGACAGAGCAAGATTCCGTCTCAAAAAAAAAAAATTATAAATCAAAACAGGTTTCTGCTTTAGGTGACAACAGATGAAATCAAGCTCAACCAACTTCTACCTATAACTCATATAATCCTAGATATAGTGGAGCAAAGACGGAAATGGGACCATCAATAGCTCTGCCACTGACTTCCCCTGCAAAATTGAATAAATCAAGAATGAACAAAGCCATAAATATCTAGGATCAGGAACTTTGTACTATGGCCGAGTCCCATCAGTTTTCCCTGACAGCCAGTATTAGATAATCATTTACAGCCATAGCCACCATGCATCTGTATGCAAAACCCTCACATTGTAACATTGGAATTGGCTTTATATGAAAGCTACAATTACAGCCTCTCATCTCCTCTCATTCTATATAAAAGAGTGGGATCTACAAAGCCATACACGGAAACTGGTCATTTCAACCTTGCCTAACAGGGGTTCTTTTCTCATGCTTTTTAAGGAAGGAGCAGGAATAGAAATTCTCGGAGTCCTTATCAGTAAGTAATGATCAGGAATGTTCCATTGATGCTGCTATAAACCTCTAGCATAACAGCAAGGTGACAAAGAATTTTCTAAAATCAGTCCCAAATAGCAGGAAAGAAACACTTAGCTCAGGATGAGTTCAAGAACCAAAAATGGGCTGAGTTGTGCTGATTTAGGTCAGAAACAGGGTCAAAGTTGCCTCTTTCAGAGATGAGAATTAGATATAACAAGTAATTGGCTGGGCACAGTAGCTCATGCCTGTAACCCCAGCACTTTGGGAGGCCGAGGCGGGTGGATCACTTGAGGTCAGGAGCTTGAGACCAGCCTGGTCAATATGGTGAAATCCCATCCCTACTAAAAATACAAAAATTAGCCAGGTGTGGTGGTGGGTGCCTGTAATCCCAGCTACTTGAGAGGCTGAGGCAGGAGAATCGCTTGAACCCGGAAAGCAGAGGTTGCAGTGAGCAGAGACTGTGCCACTGCACTCTAGCCTGGGCGTCAGAGGGAGACTCCATCTCAAAAAAAAAACACGAATTGCCAGCTCTTAGCACTGTCCAGTGGAACCTTCTTTGCGATGGAAATGTTCCACATCTGTGCTGCCCAGTGTAGCAGACATCAGCCACATGTGGCTGCTGAGCACTTGAAATGTGGCTAGCATGACTGAGGAAATGAATTTTAAATTGTGTTTAATTTTAATCTCAATGTAAACTGCCAAATATGGCTAGTGGTGACCAAACCGGAACTGTAGCTCTAGATTCCCTAAATTAGGGACTTTCAATGACAGGCAATTCCCTCTACCCCTTGGGGGACAACTGCCCCCATCTTGAGACATTTCTTATTGTTACAACTGGGTGTAGGGAGTGCGACTAGCATCTACTGAGCAGAGGTCTGGGACACTGCTAAGCATGCTGCCATGCACAGGCCAGCCCCCATAACAGCAAATTATCTGACCCAAAATATCACTAGTGCTGACGCTGAGAAACTGCTTTAAGTTTGCTCAAGGACAGAATTAAAGTAAATGCAAACAAACTGCAGTATACCTTGCCTAAACATAATACCCAGGAAGAATGAGATCTTTTAACCAACAGAAAAAGGTCTGGGCTATTCTACAAGTTTAGAGTAGCAGGTTTTGGCCTGGCACGGTGGCTCACGCTTATAATCCCAGCACTTTGGGAGGCTAAGGCAAGAGGATGGCTTCAGCCCAGGAGGTTGGGACCAGCCTGGGCAATATAGTGAGACCTTGTCTCGAGAACAAAAAAATTGTTTTAATTAGCTCAGTGTGGGGGTGAGTGCCTGTAGTCCCAGCTACTCAGGAGGCTGAGGCGCGAGGATCACTTGAGCCCTGGAGACGGACGTTGCAGTGAGCCGAGATTGTACCACGGCTCTCCAGCCTGGGTGACAGAGAGAGATCCTGTCTCAAAAATAATAATAATATAACAGGTTTTTACTGGAAGGTGTGTTTAATAACTTAAAATCTTCATCATTATAGTGATTACTTCCTGTGGCATTTTCCTTATTGAATATTAACATAAGTACACACTGTGAGACTCTGCTACAGGGCCTTGTTCCTTATGCCTTGGACATACAGTGGGGGGCAGGGGCAAAGCCCCTACTCCTACTCTCCTAAGTTTGAATTTCCTTTGCCTCCTCAATTAACCCATCTGATTTATTGGGACATCACTGATCTCAGATACAAGAAAACTGATACTGTTGTGGAAGAAAAGCAAATCGTGACGAGAAAATGGCTCTGTTATCACAGGTCTGCACGTTTACATAACAGAAAAAGCAAGGGACAGAATTATATTTGGACCAAATCCAAATCACTGAGTGATTCTACTAAATGATGATCGCATACTACATTTTGTTTTTGTTTTTTCACATACATTTTAAAGTGAGAGATATTATTTTAAATTTTAGAGGGTGAGCATCAAATAACATTGTGGTTTCTGTAATCAGTATAAATTATGCAACAATCAGTTTAAATGGGATCATTTACAACTGCTCACATAGCTCTTGAGTTTATATTAACAATGTAGAATTTAACGCAGGATAGTCTATTCCTCAAAGAAACAGGAATAATGAACACAATTAAATGTTTCACTTTGACCCAGACTATTTTTCAGAACATAAAGTCATCAACATTCATATTACAGCAATGCTTTTTCTTTTCTGCCCAATTAGCACCAATATAAATCGTTTATTCCATCTAAGGCCCTGTATTACTTCAGGGAATATAAATCTAAGTCCCGGCCAGGTGCAGTGGCTTACGCCTGTAATCCCAGCACCGTGGGAGGCTGAGGCTGAAGGATCACAAGGTCAGGCGTTTGAGACCATCCTGACCAACGTGGTGAAACCCCATCTCTACTGGGAATACAAAAATTAGTCGGGTGTGGTGTCACACGCCTGTAGTCACAGCTGCTCGGGAGGCTGAGGCAGGAGAATCACTTGAATCCGGGAGGCGGAGGTTGCAGGGATCCGAGATCGCCTCACTGCACTCCAGCCTGGGCAAGAGACCGAGACTCCCTCTCAAAAAAAAAAAAAAAAAAAAAAAAAAAGTAAGTCCCATAGTTCTGAAAAACTTACACTCAGAATTTTCACATTGACCTAAGGCAGAAACCTCCAGCCCACACGTTCTGAATTCCTAAAAGATCACTACAATTTTTGTGAATGCTCCAATATTAAACACACTGGAATTTCAGTCCCTCTTGCGATCCTCATTGAGAGAGTTTAAGATCTTTTATCATCAATTAACACTTAGGGAGCAACTACTGTAACCTACTGATCAAATGCCAGAAAAGTAATATTTAAAGCAGGATTCTGACCCACCCTGCAGATTTTCCTATAAAGGCTAATTATTCCTGGAGGAAAGATCACCCCAGTTCTTCAGGATTCCAATTACAATCACATGAAGCCCACCCACCTTCTTAGGAAATTGATAACACCACTTTGCATCGTTTTGTACTCAACTGCTGGTGTTATAAACATGATCTTGACCAGGATTTCTCAGCCTCAACACTGCTGACATTTTGGGCCAGAGAATTCTTCAGCGTGGGGGGCTGTCCTGTGCAACGTAGGATGTTTAGAGGCGTCCCTGGCCTCTACCCACTAGGTACCGGCAGCACCTCCCTGCCCCCATTGTGACAATCAAAACTATGTCCAGAGATAGCCAAATGTCTCCTGGGGAAATAAATTGCCCCCTGCTTTAAGAACCACTCATCTGGACAAACTCAAAGTACCAAAAGGTAGACACCCTGCTAATCAGACGACCGGAAAGACTTTATTCCCAGCCAGGAAAACACGTAACATTCACCCCAGAGATGGCACAAGAAAACCATATTATCTTTTTCTTGTCTTCCACCCAATTTATGCTAAGCAACCCAGGAGTAGGCTATACCACTGTGAGCACATGAAGACATCTGGCCCAACCTTTACAATTATTGCCTTCAACTCTCCAGTGACAAGTGAACAAAATCTACAGCAGCTGCTGCCTTGAAAAAAGACAAAATATATTATTCCTACCAGCTCAAAATTAAAATGTAGCCGTCTTAAAACACGAGCATTGCTCCTGAATGCCACATGCATGAAAAACCGGGTATGCACTGGATTGGACAAGCAGACTCCCAAGCTGGAACAGACAGAAGGGCTTTGAGGGAGGGCAGAATGTCAGGTACCGAAAGCAGGAATCCGTGAAGAAACCCAAACTGGTTTCCATTTACAAGCCCTAACACTGGGACAATGAGAATCCGTTTCACATGGTAGAGCAGTCAGCCTGGTACACCACGCTGCCGTTCCCCCAAGGGGAAACCAGAGGTAGGCTCTGTTACCAGTGGATTTCGAGTTGACTCGGGGATCCCTCCTCGCCACTGGAATGGGGGAGCCAGGAAGTTGTGGAGCAGCTGCGATCCCCAAAACTCAATTCGCAATCTACGCAACACCCACCCCTTTCTGGAACTCAGAGGTTCTCGCCCGGTGATCGCAGGCTCAGCATCAGAATCACCTGCGTGGGGCGGAGTGGGAGCGGGGCGGTGGCGGTTAAACACGCAGTTCCCGGTCCCGCCCCCAGAGGTTCTGACCCCGGGACTGAACCTCCGCATTTTACCAAAGGCCCCAGGTGATTCCCACTCAGGCTGAAGTTGGAAAACCACTGCTTTGGCAATTTTCATTCCTAACTCGGAGACCAAGAAAAACCTACAGGTTTGCAGCTGGCTCTGAAATAACTGCGGCTTCTTTCCGGGAGCATCTGGGGCCGCCAACGGAGAGCTCCCGGTCCTCCGAAAGGGCCAGCCGAGCTCAGGCCGGCCACTCGCGGAACCTCGGCAGGGCCCAAGGTCGGCCCCGCGGTCCCAGTCCTGGGCTCCGGGCCCGTCGCGGCCCCCACCGAACCCCGCCCAGCCTCTTCGGCCCACGGGGACCCAAGAGACACCCGGCCCCGTGACGCGCCCGGGCCCCAGCCGCCCTCCCGGCGAGGCCTCCTCAGGCAGGGCCTGTCAGCCCGCGTCCCCCTGTCCGGGTCACAATGGCAGCTCGCGACTGGGAAACAGTTGCCTCGGAAGCGGGAGCCCCGGGCCGCAGCACCGTCCCCATCGCCCCCTCCCGGCACGGACCTTCTCCAGGGACGCGTCCATGGCTGAGGCGGCCGGTGGTGGCCTGGCGGTCCCGGGCTCTACTTCCTCCTCCCGCGCCCCGCAGCTCCTTCCACGCTGGCAGCGCTGACGTCCCCCGCGCCCGCGGCCGGCGGGGCGGAGAAGAGGAGGAGCTGCCAGGCGGCGCCGCGGGCTGCCGAACCTGATGGTTGAGAGGCGGCGGGGCGGGGCCCCGTAGCGCTGGGCGGAGCCCTCTGGGATTCCGTACCTGGGCGCCACGCCGGCCCTCCCTAACGTGCGCAGGTGAAGGGGGGAGGATGCCCGGTGGATTGTTCACCAAACTCTTTCCAGCAGCCTGTTGCAATCATCAAGGTAGAAGTATAATAATCACAAAGTACTATTCATGGAGTGAAAGGCTGGAAATACTAGTGACGCACCTCACTTCCGGGCCCAGGCTTCCAAGTCTCCCGCCTCACCTCCCGCCGGCATCCCTCGAGAATGGAACAGGCCATTCGCCAAGGAGGCGGTGAGCGAGTGGGCAACCTTGCGCATGCGCAGGACTCGCAGCGTCCTCGGCGCCCGGGGACTTGGGGGTTTTGGGGTTGGGGGCTGCTTAGTGAACGCTGTTCAGAGAAGGCACTGATCTAAGCTGAGGTGTTGTCTCAGACCTTACCGCCGAATTCTAGACGGAAAAAATTGTTGTAACAACCGGTCCAGCCTCTTTCATGTCACAATTATCACTTGTCAGGTAATGGGTAGTAGTAATAATGATAATATTAATACATCAGCTGCTGTTCTTCCATTTTCCTATTTCAGCAGCTCTAGGAGATCATTATCCCCATTTCGCAGTGCCGATCTAGGTAGGATTCAGACCCAAGCCCCATGAGTCCACATACTGCTTCCACTCCTACTTTACTTTAAATGTTTTAAAAAGTTAATTTTTTATTAATTTTTTTATCTTGTTAACCGATGAACTGAAGAGAAAAAAAATTAAAATCTCATTTTAATAGAGAAGGTAGGGGTGTCTCACTATGTTACCCAAGCTGGCTTCAAACTCCTGGCCTCAGGCGATCTTCCCGTCTCAGCTTCCCCAAGTGCTGGGATTACAGGCATGAGCTACCACGCCCGGCCACTTTTGCAATTTTACTGCAATGTGTTTCGAACGAATGGGGAGGGCGTACATTTGCTTAGTAGATTCCTCCCACCTTAATGTGGGAAACTGATATAGACTACCACAGTGGCAATCAATGGAACACTTCACCTCTGCGATGACGCTACAACCACAATCTTACTCCTTTTCTCTCCTGTTTTATACTCTTCGTCCCGAAATCTGTGTAAACAGGGTCACATTTTCAGCGCAGTAACTCCATGTTTTGAGCTATCTACGTTGTATTTGGTAAATTGCCTGGTTATGTTAATAAAATTATTTTCTACCAAAAAACCCTTGTGTGCTGGTTTAGACTGTACTGTGGGGATTATTCTGACTCTCTAAAGAGCTTTCCAAACAGAAGGAAAGATAGATTTATGTCTTTCAAGAATTGAAGATTGAATGTACCCCTGCTTGAGCAAAACAAGTCACTTTTCCAACGTGTTATGAAATTTTTCAAACGTAGAAAAGTTTAAACAGTTGTACAGTGAACAACCATATACCCACTACCTAGATTCTACAGTTAATTTTCCCTATATTTGCTTTAATCACATATGCATCCATATATCCATCCATCGATATATGTTAGTACATTTCACCTCTGAGCACCTCAGCATGGGTATCATTCAAAACTAGTAAATTTTACTAAAGTCACCTCCAAGTTTCTGTGGATTACATTACAAAGTATAATAGATTCTACAAAACAAATACTAGAGAGAAAAGTTAACTTTACTGTTTTAAAAGTAGACTTTGAAAACCCAACATGAAAAAGTGGAAATAATCAACCGTATTATTTATTATATTTAGCCAAACATTTATTGACTGCCATCTTGGACAGTTGTGCTGGAAATAGTATGTAAAAGAATAAGAGGCTGGTTCAAGAGCAGCCTGGCCAACAGAGTGAAACTCCGTCTCTACTAAAAATACAAAAAATTAGCTGGGCGTGGTGGCAAACACCTGTAATCCCAGCTACCTGGGAGGCTGAGGCAGGGGAATCACTTGAACCCCGGGGGCAGAGGTTGCAGTGAGCCGAGATTGTGCCACTGCGCTCCAGCCTGGGCAATAAGACGAGACTCCATCTCAAAAAACAATAAAAATACAAATAAGAGGCTGGGCCGGGCGCGGTGGCTCACGCCTGTAATCCCAGCACTTTGGGAGGCCGAGGCGGGCGGATCACGAGGTCAGGAGATCGAGACCATCCTGGCTAACACGGTGAAACCCCGTGTCTACCAAAAATACAAAAAGAAATTAGCCGGGCATGGTGGCGGGCGCCTGTAGTCCCAGCTATTCTGGAGGCTGAGGCAGGAGAATGGCGTGAACCCGGGAGGCGGAGCTTGCAGTGAGCAGAGATCGCACCACTGCACTCCAGCCTGGGCGACAAAGCGAGACTCTGTCTCAAAAACAAAATATAATAAAAAATTTAAAAATTTAAAAAAGGCTGGGCGCGGTGGCTCATGCCTGTAATCCCAGCACTTTGAGAGGCCGAGGTGGGCGGATCACCTGAGGTCAGGAGTTGGAGAACAGCGTGGCCAACATGGTGAAACCCTCGTCTGTACTAAAAATAGAAAAATTAGTGGGTGTGGTGGTGTGCGCCTGTAATCCCAGCTACTCGGGAGGCTGAGGCAGCAGAATCGCTTCAACCTGGGAGGCGGAGGTTGCAGTGAGCCAAGATTGCACCACTGCATTCCAGCCTGGACGACAAGAGCAAGACTCCGTCTACACACACACACACACACACACACACACACACACACACACACACACACACACACAAAACAAAGACAAGCTCTCTGCCCTGAAGAAAAACACTATTTTGGGTAGAAGTTTTTACTTTGGGATGCAGATGGAGGTCTCTGAAACTATACTCAACATTTTGTGTGTGAGTGAGTGCATTTTTCTGGGGAAAACATCCATTGTCTTCATTATATACTCAAGTCTGTGATTCCCCCATCCCCGAAAAAAAAAAAAAAAAGTTGAAACCATTTGGCTTGTGGATGCACAGATAGGAAAACTGATACATTATAATGCAACATTCTATGGACTAGTGAAGAGAGATAAGCAGAATATTGTACAGTTTGGAGCATGAAGCCATCAGTTGTGGGGAGGTTTAATCTCTACTGACATATGGCTTTATGTGCTGCTAACAGACCTGTCTTTTTCTTTCTTTTTCTTTTTCCAGACGAGTCTCACTCTGTTGTCCAGGCTGAAGTGTAACGGCGCAGTCTTGGCTCACTGCAACCTCTGCCTCCCCGGTTCAAGTGATTCTGCTGCCTCAGCCTCCCGGAGTAGCTTCGACTGGAGGCGTGCGCCATCGCACACACTGTATTTTTAGTAGAGACAGGGTCTTACCATGTTGGCCAGGCTGGTCTCAAACTCCCAACCTCAAGTGATCCTCCTGCCTCGGCCTCCCAAAGTGTTTGGATTACAGGCCTGAGCCACCGAGCCTGGCCTCAAACACTTCTCTTTTTTCCTTTTTTTTGAGATGGAGTCTCGTTCTGTCGCCAGGCTGTAGTGCAGTGGCACCATCTCTGCTCACTGCAAGCTCCGCCTCCCGGGTTCAAGCAATTCTCCTGCCTCAGCCTCCTGAGTAGCTGGGATTACAGGTGCGTGCCACCAAGCCTGGCTAATTTTTGTATTTTTAGTAGAGACGGGGTTTCACTAGTTGGACAGGCTAGTCTCCAACTCCTGATCTCAGGTGGTCCACCCACCTCGGCCTCCCAAAGTGCTGGGATTACAGGCGTGAGACACCAGGCCCAGCCTCAACTGTAGACTTTTAACTCAAAGGTACAAAAATTGGATTATGTCTGGGCCAGTTTTTTCCCTTGTCGATGGTATAGCCCATTGGTTAGAGTTCAGACTGTGGCTACAAGTAGAACTGGATTCTTTTTTTTTTTTTTTTTTAAGCTGTATAAGTGAAAACTACTTGGGCAAGTTACTTAACCTCTTGGTATATTAGTTTCCTCATCTGTAAAATTCTGGTTATGCTTGCCTTTTAGTGTTTGTTAAACATTCTTATGCTCAAAAAACAAGCAAATAAAAACTCCTTATCTTCATCCACATCCCCTTCTGGTTACACCTAATGGTCTCAATTTTCTCATCACACAAGCACCACCAACTCATCTGAATCTAGCTTCGGCCTTGTTCCCTCCACCCAAACCAGTGTCACTAAAACCATCTCAGTCCATCACACCTGACCTCTCAGCAGCCCTAGAACCAGATGATCACTTTCTTCTTGAAACTGACTTTCCATGCTTCCCACAATATCAAATTCTCCGGATCGTCACCTTCCCTTTCTGCCTGTTCCTTCTCAATGTCTTTTGGAGTTTCCTCCTCCTCCACCCAATGTTTCATTGTTGGATTTCCTCAGCACTCAGCTGGCAAGGCTTTTTTTTTTTTTTTTTTTTTTTTGAGACAGAGTCTCGCTGACTCACTGCAACCTCCACCTCCCAGGTTCAAGCGATTTTCCTGCCTCAGACTCCTGAGTAGCTGGGATTACAGGCACGTGCCACCATGCCCAGCTAATTTTTTATTTTTAGTAGAAACGGGGTTTCATCATATTGGTCAGGCTGGTCTGAAACTCCTGACCTTAGGTGATCTACCCACCTCAGCCTCCCAAAGTGCTGGGATTACAGGCGTGAGCCACTGTGCCCAGCCTGGAAAGTCCTTTTGATTTCTTCTTCTACATAATTTCATCCTCCATTATTTCAATTAACATCTATATCAAACTGAGAGTAGTTCATCAGTGGGTTGTGATATCAACCATTGGGTCATGAGTAGCAATTTTTTAAAAAATGAAATAGGATGCAAAACATCAGAGCATATCACGTGGATTAAGGATAATTGGGCAGTAACCCAAATGTCCATCAACAGACAAACAGGTAAACAACTTGTGGCCTATCCCTACAATGGAATGGAGTACTGTACTGCAAGTAAAGGGAGTACATTATTGATCCATGGGACACCACAGATTAGGAGTTGGCAGACTTTTTCTGTAAAGGGCCTGGTTGTAAATATTTCAGGCTTTGCAAGCTGTAGTTTAGGTTCTTGCGATCTCGGTCTCAAGTATTTGATTCTGTAGCATGGAAACAGCCACAGACAGTATGTAAACAAGTGAGCGTTGCTGTGTTCCAATAAAGCTTTATTTATAGACATTGAATTTTGGATTTCATTTAATTTACATGTGTCACAAAATATTCTTCTTTGAGTTTTTTTTCAATCTCTTAAAAATATAAAGTCATGCTGAGCTCTTAGGCCTTTGCATAATCAGGTACTGGGCCAGATTTGGCCCACAGGCCCTAGTTTGCTGGTCCCTGTCATAGATGAATCTTAAAAACATTATGCTGAGTGAAAGAAGCCAGATACATGGCCTGGAGCCTGTAATCCCAGTACTTTGGGAGGCCGAGGTGTGAGGTTTGCTTGAGCCCAGGAATCTGAGGCCAGCCTAGGCAACAAAGAGAGACCCAGTCTCTACCAAAAAAAAAAAAAACAAAATTAGCTGGGAATGGAGGATTTCTCAAGCCTGGGAGGTTGAGGCTGCAGTGAGCTGTGATTGCACCACTGCACTCTAGCCTGGGTGACACAGCAAGACCCTGTCTCCAAGGAAATAAAAAAGCCAGATACAAGTGAATACCTATTTCATATGTATACTGTATATATGCTCTATGGTTTCATTTATATGGAATTCTAGAAAATGCAAACTATAATGACAGAAAGCCTGGGGCTGAGATGGAGGGGGAATTGACTGCCAAGGGGTGCTGGGGAGTTTTTGGAAATGACAGAAGAGCTCTGTATTTTAATCGTGGTGGTTACACAGGTATATACATTTGTCAAAACCTGTTGAACTGTACATGTAATATGGGTGAATTTTATTATATTATGTAAAACATATGAAAATCTATTATGTAAAACATACTTCAACAAAGTTGATTAAAAAATATCAGCGCATTGGTTGGTTATTTTACTATTGGGTAAAAAAATTCTTTTCTTTTTTTTTTTGAGACCGAGTCTCACTCTGTTGCCCAGGCTGGAGTGCAGTGGTGTGATCTCAGCTCACTGCAATGTCTGCCTCCCAGGTTCAAGCGATTCTTATGCCTCAGCCTCCCAAGTAGCTGGGACTACAGGTGTGAGCCACCATGTCCAACTAATTTTTGTATTTTTAGTAGAGACAGGGTTTCACCATGTTGGCCAGACTGGTCTCGAGCTCCTGACCTCAAATGATCCAACTCAGCCTCCCAGAGTGCTGGGATTACAGGTGTGAGCCACCATGCCTAGCCAAAAATTTCTTAAAAAAAAAGAAAAAAGAAAAAAAATCAGAGCATCTTCTATGGTAGTAAGGGTACTCATTGCTTCTGAAACTTCTGCCTCAGTTGTACACATTTATAGCTGTGCCTTGATTGCACTGAACTCGTCTTCTACCCTAAACCACGGATTCTCGCACTCCACATCCCATAAAAGCTCCCCATCATCCACCCAGCTGTTCACGCCAGGAACCAGGGTGTCTTCCTCTCTCTCACACTTTCCCTTCCCTAACCCCTTCCAATCAGTGTTGCCACTTCCACCTCCTAAATATCTCTCAAAGCTGTCTGCATCTCTATTTCCGTTGCTACCGCCTTGACTACTGCCATATCTAAGCAGTCTGTGTAGCCAAACCATTCTCAATACAGAAACCAGAGTCATCTATTTAATGTAGAAATCAGATCATCTGCTTACAAACCTTCAGCTGTCCATGGAATAAAGCGAGCATCCTTCACTTGGCCCATGAGTATAGAATATGGCCCCTGCCTACCTCTTTGGTCTCTGGCTGTCATTATTCCCTTGATTATTCTCTTGGTCTTTTTGTTGTTGTTGTTGTTTCTTTTTGTTTTTGTTTTGAGACAGGGTCTCACTTGGTTACCCAGGCTGGAGTGCAGTGGTGTGAACACAGCTCACTGCAACCTCCACTTCCCAGGCTCAAGTGATCCTCCCACCTCAGCCTCCCGAGTAGCTGGGACCACAGGTGTACACCATCATGCCTGGCTAATTTTTTTGTATTTTTGTGGGTTTCACCATGTTGCCTAGGCTGGTCTCCAACTCCTGAGCGCAAATGATCCACCTGCCTCGGCCTCCCAAAGTGCTGGGATTACAGGCGCGAGCCACAGTGCCCCCCTTGGTCTTTCTGTACAGCAAGATCTTTCCTGACAAGCTGTTTTCTTCGATGAGACTGTTCTTTTTTTCCCTTCCCTTTTGTCTTGTGTAACTTCTAATCCCTTTGGTAGAAGTGTAAGTATCATTTTCTCAGGGAAATCTCATGAGTGCTTATAGGCACCTGTCTTTCTCCTTTATGTACTTGGCACAATCACGATTAATTAGTTGCTTAATGTCTACCTCCCTTGATAGATTATCAATGCCATATCCGCAGGGACAGAATCTGTCTTTAATATTATTGTGTCCCCAAGTGACTGCAAATAGGCTCTCAAAAAATAGTCATAGAATTAATGAGTAATGAATCCACATACTGGCACAGTGTGTATATTTTATTTCCAAAACATTTCCATTGTTTTCAATCTGGTTTTAATGAGCATCATACTTTATTTTATTTATTTATTTTTTGAGACAGAGTCTTGTTCTGTCACCCAGGCTGGAGTGCAGTGGCTTGATTTCAGCTCACTGCAACCTCTGCCTCCTGGGTTTGAGCAATTCTCCTGCCTCAGCGTCCTGAGTAGCTGGGATTACAGGTGCCCACCACCATGCCTGGCTAATTTTTGGAGTTTTATTAGAGACCGGGTTTGACCATGTTGGCCAGGCTGGTCTCGATCTTGTGACCTCAGGTGATCTGCCCGCCTCAGCCTCTGAAAGCTCTGGGATTACAGGTGTGAGCCACCATGCCCGGCCGAGAATCATATTTTAAAGACACTACATGGAGGCAGAGGCATTTACCTCCCAAGTCTAGCTAATCCAGTGCCTAGGATGCAGTGGGAGTTCAATAAATAATTACTAAATGCGTGAATTCAACAAATATTTTCTGAAGGTGCATTATATACCACACAGTATTTTAGAAATTGGAGATACAATAATCATTAAAAGGGATTAAGTCTTTGCCTTTTGCGGATTTTTTTTTTTTAACTTGAGGTAGGTAGGTCTCACTTTGTCCCTCAGGCTGGAATGCAGTGGCATGATCCTGGCTCACTGCAGCCTCAACCTCCTGGGTTCAAGTGATCCTTCTACCTCAGCCTCCCAAACTGCTGGGACTACAGGCATGCACCACCACGCCCAGCTAATTTTTTAATTTTTGAAGAGGTGGGATCTCCCTATGTTGCTCTGGCTGGTCTTTGAGCACCTGGGTTCAAGTGATCCTCCTGCCCTGGCCTCCCAAAGTGCTGGGATTACAGGCATAAGCCATTGTGTCTGGCTATTTTTGTGGATCTTATATCCTATTGTAACAGAGAGATAAGTAGCTATATAATGTATGTTAATTACTTGTAAATACCATAAGAAAAATAAAGCAAAATAAAAGAAAGTAAATTATGCATGAATCCGTCCCTTGGCTGTCAATTTGAAATCTCTGCTCTGAAACATCGAAAATGTTTTAGAAAATGTTTGTTCAGTGATAACTAGCTAGATATAGAAGAAAGCAACACCAGCCACTACCATCAATGATTTGTTGATTTATTATTAATTTTCAAGACCTTGAGGAAAGTATTCCCATTGACAATTTTTCTGGTACTCAAAGGACCTTTTTGTTTTTGTTTTTGTTTTTGTTTTTTTGAGCTAGGCTCTCACTCCTGTCTCTCACGCTGGAGTGCAGTGGTGTTTCAGCTCACTGCAACCTCTGCCTCATGGGCTCAAGCCATCCTCCCACCTCAGCCTCCACAGTGGCTAGGACACAACCACCGCTGGCTAATTTTTGTATTTTTGGTAGAGATGGGGTTTCACCATGTTGTCCAGGCTGGTCTCAAACTCCTGAGCTCAAGCATCCATTCACCTTGGCCTCCCAAAGTGCTGGGATTACAGGCATAAGCCACCACACCTGGCTGAAAATAAGAATTTTTATTAGCATTTTAAACTATAATTGATGTTTAATTTGTTTCAGATTTATTTACATTTCATGAAAGTGAACAGGCTTCTCTAAAACTGTGTGCCCAGAAGGCAAATGGGCAAAGACATTAACCGACAATATAAAAAGGAAAAACATGCAAATAGTCAACATGACAAAAAGTTCAACATTACTAGTGACCAAAATTGCAGAAATGGATCAAATAGCATTTTTGCCTATAATTAGCAAAGTTTTTTTAAAAAATAATAACATCCGGCTGGGCATGGTGGCTCACACCTGTACTCCCAGCACATTGGGAAGCCGAGGCAGGCGGATCACGTGAGGTCAGGAGTTCGAGACCAGCCTGACCAACATAGTGAAACCCCATCTCTACTAAAAATAAAAAATTGGCCGGGTGTGGTGACGCATGCCTTGTAGTCCCAGCTATTCAGGAGGCTGAGGCAGGAGAATTGCTTGAAACCAGGAGGCGGAGGTTGCAGTGAGTGGAGATCGTGCCAATGAACTCCGGCCTGGGCGACAGAGCGAGACTTTGTCTCAAAAAATAAAATAAAATAACATCCCGTGTTAGTGTAGACGGAAATAAGTATTCTCGGCCGGGCCCGGTGACTCACGCCTGTAATCCCAGCACTATGGGAGGCACAGGCGGGTCGATCACCTGAGGTTGGAAGTTTGAGACCAGCCTGAGCAACGTGGAGAAATTCCTGTCTCTAGTAAAAGTACAAAATTAGCCAGGCGTGGTGGTGCATGCCTGTAATCCCAGCTACTTGGGAGGCTGAGGCAGGAGAATCGCTTGAACCCAGGAGGCAGAGGTTGTGGTGAGCCGAGACAGTACCATTGCACTCCAGCCTGGGCAATAAGAGCGAAACTCCGTCTCAAAAAAAAATAGAAGAAAATAAGTATTCTTATGGATTGCTGGTAGAATTTCAGATTGTTATAAAACCTTTGACGTATTTCATTTGTGTTGAACTGAATGGAACTGGGCATTCAGTAACAAAAACACTTAAAATATACCTAGGTTTTGTACTTAAAATTCTACTCCCAAAGTGTAAACTAAATACATAAATATGTTAGAGGTTTAACTATAAGACCGTCCACAGTAGCGCTGCTTATAATGAAACAAAATTGAAAACAAACTATATATACAACAAAATAACAGGGAATTGGCTAAATAGTGGTACTTCCATAAAACTGGTTAAGACACAAGCTGTAAAAAAAAAAAGTGCCAGGTGCGGTGGCTCTCGCCTGTAATCCTAGCACTTTGGGATGCCGATGTGGGAGGATCACTTAAGGTCAGAAGTTTGAGACCAGCCTGGCTGACATGGTGAAACCCCGTCTCTAATAAAAGTACAAAAAAATTAGCCGGACATGGTGGTGGACACCTGGAATCCCAGCTACTTGGGAGGCTGAGGCAGGAGAATCACTGGAACCTGGGAGGCACAGGTTGCAGTGAGCTGACATCACGCCACTGCTCTCTAGCCTGGGAGACAGAGTGAGACTCCTTCTCAAAAAAAAAAAAAAAAAAGTGATGCAGGTACACAGTTGTTAATATGGAAAGTTGACACTGTTAACTCAAAAGGGCTGGTAAGAACACAGCATGTGTAATATGAACCTAATTTTTTTTTAAATGAAAAACTACATGCATAGAAAAGACTATAAAAAATTCATAAAAAATGAAAAGAGTGGTTAACACTAGAGATGTTAATTTTGTTTTTTTTTTTTTTGGAGATGGAGTCTGTCTCTGTTGCCCAGGCTGGAGTGCAGTGGTACAATTTCGGCTCATTGCAGCCTACACCTCCCAGGCACAAAGGATTCTCCTGCCTCAGCCTCCCAAATAGCTGGGATTACAGGCACCCACCATCACTCCTGGCTAATTTTGTATTTTTAGTAGAGATGGGGTTGTGCCATGTTGGCCAGGCTGGTCTCGAACTCCTGGCCTCAGGTGATCCACCTTGGCCTCTCAAAGTGCTGAGATTACAGGTGTGAGCCACCGCGCCCAGCCAAGATGTTAATTTTCTTAATTACACTTTTTTGTTTTTCATACTTGTAGAATTATTTTTTAAAACCACTAAACAGCCAGGCACAATGCCAGGAGCCCATGGTCCCAGCTACTCAGGAGATCGAGTTGGGAGGATCACTTGAACCCAAGAGTTTGAGGCCAGCCTGGGCAACACAGCAAGATCCCATCTCTAAAAAAAGAAAATAAAAAACATCAAAACAGTCAGTTTTTGATCTATTGCCTTCCAGCTCCAAATCCATCCTTTTTGCCTTCTGGGTAAAAATGGATCTGGGCCCTTTAAATAGCTTTCCTTTGCCAGGAGGCACAATGTTATTTTAAGTTTTGTCAGTACAGGGTGCTGGAGAGACACTGCAGGAGGAAAGGGTTTTGCTTATTGGTTCCTGCTGATGGCTTCTCCAGTGCCCAGCTCCTATACCACTCATTGGCAGGCAGCTTCCCCTGGCACTCCCCTCTGGTGGTCTTGCAGCAGAGTACCTTCAGTGAGACACCTTGCCATGAAAAGTTTACCCTGAGGGTAGATTTCCAGCAAGTTCCACCAACCAGCAGGGCATCACGTCAACTGTCTTCTTTGCTATTCAGTGACCCAGGGCTGTACCCTCTCTACCTGGTCAAGATCTCAGCCCTCCAGGGGTGATTGTTTCCGTAAGTGTCATATCTCAGTCCTAGGGGTAGTAGCTGTTCCTTGTATCTACTACTTGTATACTTTTTGGTTTTTTTTTGAGACAGGGTCTCACTCTGTTGCCCAGACTGGAGTGCAGTGGTACAATCTCGGCTGACTGCAACCTCTGCTTCCCTGGCTCAAGCAATCCTCCCACCTTAGCCTCCCGAGTAGCTGGGACTACGGACATGAGCCCCCATGCCTAGCTAATTAAAAAAAAAATTTTTTTTTTTTTTAGAAATGGAGTCTTGCTGTATTACCCAGGCTGGTCTCCAAATCCTGAGCTCAAGCTAATCACCTGCCTCAGCCTCCCAAAGAGCTGGGATTACAGACATGAGCCCCCTGCATCTGCCTGTATACTCTTCAGAGTTCCCTTCTTACTACTCAAACCCTCATTATTCCAGTCTCCTATTAACAATTCTTCATACAGTCCATCCTCATTATTCATGGGTTCCATATTTATAAATGTGTCTACCTTTCTAAAATGTATTTGGACCCCAAATCAATACCTCTGGTGCTTTTGCTATTATCTGAAGACATGTACATGCAGAGAGCAGCAAAATATTTAAGTCACATGATGCACCCATTCCCAGCTGAGGTCCAACAAGGTGACACTCTGCCTTCTTTTTTTTTTTTTTTTTTTTTTTTTTTTTTTAAGACAGAGTCTTGCTCTGTCGCCCAGACTGGAGTGCAGTGGCATGATCTTGGTTCACTGCAGCCTCCACCTCTGAGGTTCAAGCAATTCTCCTGCCTCAACGAGTAGCTGGGGCCACACACGTGCCACCATGCCCGGCTAATTTCTGTATTTTTATTTTTATTTATTTATTTATTGAGACAGAGTCTTGCTCTGTCTTCAGACTGGAGTGCAGTGGCGCAATCTCAGCTCAGTGCAACCTCTGCCTTCCAGGTTCAAGCGATTCTCCTGCCTCAGCCTCCTGAGTAGCTGGGACTACAGGCGGGTGCCACCATGCCTGGCTAATTTTTGTATTTTTAGTAGAGATGGGGTTTCACCATGTCGGCCAGGATGGTCTCGATCTCTTGACCTCTTGATCCACCCGCCTTGGTCTCCCAAAGTGCTGGGATTACACGCGTGAGCCACCACGCCCGGCCAATTTCTGTATTTTTAGTAGAGACAGGGCTTCACCATGTTGGCCAGGCTGGTCTTGAACTCCTGACCTCAAGTGATCGTCCTGCCTCAGTCTCCCAAAATGCTAGGGTCACAAGCATGAGCCACTGCACCTGGCCACACTCTGCCTTCTTGTCTCAGCTTTCAGACTGCAAACAAGTGTCCTCTCTGCAGTGTATTCAGTGTCACATCTTTCACAGTTCTGTGCTTTTTGTGATTTTGCTGCTTAAAATGGCCCCCAGCCAGGTGCGGTGGCTCTCACCTGTAATCCCAGCACTTTGGAAAGCCACGGCTGGTGGATCACCTGAGGTCAGGAGTTGGAGACCAGCCTGGCCAACATAGTGAAACCCTGTCTCTACTAAAAATTAAAAAAATTAGCCGGGCATGGTGGCGCATACCTGGAATCCCAGCTACTCCAGAGGCTGAGGCAGGAGAATCGATTGAATCTTGGAGGTGGAGGTTGTAGTGAGCCGAGATCACGCCACTGCACTCCAGACTGGGGAATAGAGCGAGACTTCATCTCAACATCAACAACAACAGAAGGCCCCTAAGTGTCCTCCTGAAGTGCTATCCAGTGTCTCTGAGTGCAAGAAGGCTGTGAAGTACCTAATGGAGAAGGTACATTTGTTAGATAAGCTTTGTTCAGGCATGAGTTACAATGCTGTTGGCCGTGAGTTCAATGTCAATGAATCAACAATATGTATTAGATAAGGCGTCCTTTAACACACACACATAAAAGAAGATTATGTATTGATTGCTTTATAAAAATGTTGCGACCAGAGGCTTGGAGACACCCAATCCTGCATTTCCTTTAGAGCAAATGATTCAATATTCACCAATTCAGTGTCCTTGGTGACTTTTTTGAATGTAACTATCTTGAATAATGAGAATCAACTATATTAAACTTTCCCTCTTCTAGCTGGGTGCAGTGGCTCCTGCCTGTAATCCCAGCACTTTGGGAGGCTGAGGAGGGCAGATTGCTTGAGTCCAGGAGTTTAAGACTAGTCTGGGCAACATGGCGAAACCCTGTCTACAAAAAACACAAAAATTAGCTGGGCGTGTAGTCCCAGCTACTTTGGAGGCGGAGGTGGGAGAATCACTTGAGCCTGGGAAGCAGAGGTCGCAGTGAGCCAAGATCGTGCCACTCCACTCCACTCCAGCCTGGGCAATGGAGTGAGACTCTGTGTGAAAAAAAAAAAAGAAAAAGAAAAATTGTATGGAAAATTTGCAGAAAGCGTAGCAGCAAGAGAGCACATCCCCAAGGTGATCCGGGCGCAGCTTGATTTTATACATTTTAGGGAAGCATGAAACATTAGTCAAATACATTTAAAGATTTACATTGGTTTGGTCTGGGTTATAGATAGATTAAAAATTTTCTGGGCTGGGCGCGGTGGCTCATGCCGGTAATCCCAGCACTTTGGGAGGCCGAGGCAGGCGGATCACAAGGTCAGGAGATCGAGACCATCCTGGCTAACACGGTGAAACCTCATCTCTACTAAAGATACAAAATATTAGTGGTGTGTGGTGGCGGGCGCCTGTAGTCCCAGCTACTCAGGAGCCTGAGGCAGGAGAGTGGCGTGAACCCAGGAGGCAGAGCTTGCAGTGAGCCAAGATCGCACCACTGCACTCCAGCCTGGGCGACAGAGCGAGGTTCCGTCTCAAAAAACAAAAAAAACAAAAAAAAAGAAAAAAAAGAAAAAAAGATTTCTGATGGGCAATTGGTTGAAAGAGTTATTATTAATAGAAAGGGATATATGGGTTACAATAAGAGGTTGCAGAGACTAAAGTTTTATCTCATAGATGAAGCATTCAGGTAGCAGGCTTCAGAGTAAATAGACTGTAAATTTCAGAGTGAATAGATTGTAAATGTTTCTTTTCTTTTTTTTCTCTTTTTTTGAGATGTAGTCTCACTCTGTCGCCCAGGCTGGAATGCAGTGACACGATCTCAGATCACCGCAATCTCCACCTCCCGGGCTCAAGCAGTTCTCATGCTCAGCCTCCCAAGTAGCTGGGATTACAGGCACATGCCACCACGCCTGGCTAATTTTTTGTATTTTTAGTAGAGATGGGGTTTCACCATGTTGGCCAGGCTGGTATCAAACTCCTGGCCTCAAGTAATCTACCCCCGTCAGCCTCCCAAAGTGCTGGGATTGTGCCACTGCACTCCAGCCTGGGTGACAGAGCGAGACTCCAACTCAAAAAAAAAAGGATAGAAAAGAAAATCAGGAAGGAGGGAAGATTACATATCATTTCCTTGCCAGCCTCTCTCCATTCTCATTTCAGGTGACAAAGAGGAAGGCAGTTGCTTTAGTTTCCTGCTCTGTGTCTGCACATATGAACAAGTCTCAGAGGCAGATGTTGAAGAAACTTCAGTGCTACATTTTTTGAGGGGTTGGCCTTACTGGTTGATTCATCTGCTTCATTGCAAAACAGTCCTTTTGGTCTTAAACATGTTGCGTGTTGGCCGGGCATGGTGGCTCACGCCTGTAATCCCAGCACTTTGAGAGGCCGAGGCAGGCAGATCTCCTGAGGTTAGGAGTTCTAGACCAGCCTGGCCAACATGGCGAAACCCCATCTCTACTAAAAATACGAAAAAATTTAGCCAGGCGTGGTGGCGCATGCCTGTAATCCCAGCTACTCAGGAGGCTGAGGCAAGAGAATCGCTTGAACCCGGGAGGCAAAGGTTGCAGCAAGCTGAGATCGTGCCACTGCACTCCAGCCTGGGTGACAGAGTGGGACTCCATCTCAAATTAATTAATTAATTAATTAATTAATTGTGCATCGTAGTCTTTTGTTTGTCAGTAGAAATTTCAGGATTCGCAAGAGAAGTTACATTTTAGACATGGTAGCCCCCTTGGTGGTTCTTATGAAACTGGGATTCATTTAAATGAAATAATAATAGCTACAATAAGCTTTACTGTAGTCATCTTAATATATTTTTAATGTGATCCTTAGTTGTAAACAGAAGCTCAGTTCCCACATCAGTACTTATTCCCTGCTGAAAGAGCGCCGAACAAAACCCTTTTTTCATTCGAACACAGCCCTATGTTCTCCATTCATCTCCCACTGTTTGGGGACATTAACGGGACATGAACGCACTGCCTAATTATTGCTGCAGGGCTCTGAGTCACAGCTTCCACGGATGATGAAGCATCAACGTAATGAAGTAATTTATCTTAGAGCATCTCTTCTTGTTTGAAGACCATGGGAGGCCTTTAGCATTTGCTTGAGTAATAGATTGTCTTTAATTCCTGATTTTTTTTTCTATTGCTTCTAAGAAGAGACAAGTATACAGTAATGCATTGGAAATCATCGAAGCCTTCTAAGTCTTCATTTTTCCTTCTTTCATTTCCCATTAAGTAAATCCATTGAGCTGCTCCACAAAGAACACCATGGATATTAGAGGATATTTGCCTCTAGAGATTGCTACCAATCCCTTGCCTCTCTGGGTTCCTAGGAGAACTGACTTGTGCAGAAGGTGCCCAGTAAATGTCAGTTTCATCCCTTTGGCTTTGCCAGATTTAGCAAAATAATTTTTTTCTTTACGTTTTTTAAATTTTTTAATTTTTTTTTTTTTTTCTGAGACGGAATTTCGCTCTTGTTGCCCAGGCTGGAGTGATCCTCCTGCCTTGGCCTCCAGAGTAGCTGGGACTACAGGTGTGCACCACCATGCTCAGGTAATTAAAACAATTTTTTTTTTTTTTTGTAGATATGGAGGTTGTATCAGTCCGTTCTTGCATTGCTATAAAGAACTCCCTGAGACTGGGTAATTTATAAAGAAAAGAGGTTTAATTGACTCACAGTTCCACAGGCTGTGCAGGAGGCATGGCTGGGAGGCCTCAGGAAACTTTGAATCATGGCGGAAGGCAAAGGGGAAGCACGCACATCTTACATAGCTGGAGCAGGAGGAAGGGAGAGAAGGGGGAAGCGCTACATGCTTTTAAACCAACCAGATCTCATAAGAACTCACTCACTATCAGGAGAACAGCAAGGAGGCACTCTCCCCCCATGATCCAATCACCTCCCACCAGGTCCCTCCCCTAACACTGGGGATTATAATTCGGCATGAGATTTGGGCAGGGACCCAAATCCAAACCATAGCAGGGGGGTCTCACTATTTTGCCCAGACTGGTCTTGAACTCTTGGCCTGACAAGCGATCCTCCCGCCTCAGCTTACCAAAGTGCTGTGATTACAGATATGAGCCACCACATCAAGCTAACATAGGGATCGGCACTCTAGCCTGGGCGACAGAGGAGACTACGTCTCAAAACAATTAATTAATTAATTAAAATAAATAACCCCATACTTTCTGCCTCTGTGGCTTTGCCTGTTCTGGGTATTTCGTGTGAACGGACCCATGCATCTGGTGGTCCGGGCTCATTTCAAACGCTCAGCCCCCATGTCGGCCCATGGCCTCCGGATTGGATGGTGTGAGCTGGGTGTGCGCGGGGTGCTCAATCCCTCCGGAGCATCTGGAGTGGCCACGTGCAGGTGCGGGAGGCGGCGGCGGCGCAGGGGGCAGCTGGAGGCCCGGGAAGCCCGGACGTGGTGTAGGGAGCTGCCGACCATGCTGGCTTCTGATCGCGGGCTCCCAAATTCAAGACAGCCCTGGTGACATAGCAAGAGCCTGTCTCTATAAAAAATTAAAAATCAGCCAGGCATGGTGGTGCATGCCTGTGGTCCCAGCTACTCGTGAGGCTGAGGCGGGAGGATCACTTCAGCCTCGGGGTTTGAGGCTGCAGTGAGCTATGACTGTACCACTGCGTTCCAGCCTAGGTGACAGAGTAAGACTTTGTCTAAAAAAAAGAGAGAGAAAGGGAGATGGGAAGATTTATGCTGCTGACTTTGAAGATGTTGGATGGGGAGCCAAGGAGTGCAGGGAGCATCTAGAAGCTTGGAAGAGGCAAGAAAATGAACTCTCCTTTAGGACCTCCAGGAGGAATGCAGTCCTGCAGACCCATTTTAGACTCTGACCCCCCAAATTCTAAGACAAGAAGTTTGTGTTCTTTTAAGCCATTAAATTCGTGGTAATTTGTTACCTCAGCCATGGAAAAATGATACAAGGGGGATATAAGTAAAAAGCAAAGAAGGAGATGTTTTGGTGAGCTGGAAGCCTGCCCAGCTGGGAGAAATCTAACAGAAGTTTACTCCGGACCAGTAACAAGGATAAGGAGCCGGAGAAGGCTATAAATCAATAAACGGGCAGATAAAAAGGGTCAGAGAACATAGAAATGGGCAGATTTCCAAGAACTGAAGAGAATGGATATATTAGTTTGCTGGGGCTGCCATAACAAAATAGCGCACACAGCGTGGCTTAGACAATAGAAACTTATTTGCTCACCCTTCTGGAGGCAAGAAGTCCAAGACCAGGGTGCCTGCTGGGTTAGTTTCACACGGCTGCCTTCTTGCTGTGTCTTCACATGGTCTTTCCTTGGTGTGAAAACATCCCTGGTGCCTCGTTTTATTTATTTATTTTTTAAATAAAAAAAAAGAGAGAGAGAGTGACAGGGTCTCACTACGTTGCCCAGGCTGGTTTTGAACTCCTGAGCTCAGGCAATCCTCCTGCCTTGGCCTCCTAAAGGGCTGGGATTACAGGCATGAGCCACCATGCCCGGCCCCTGGTGCCTGTTTGTGTGTCCAAATTTTTTTTTTATTTTATTTTATTTTTAAAGACGGAATCTTGCTCTGTCACCCAGGCTGTAGTGCAGTGGCTCGATCTCCTCTCACTGCAACCTCCCTCTCCCAGGTTCAAGCGATTCTCCTGCCTCAGCCTCCCAAGTAGTTGGGATTACAGACATGTGCCACCACACCCAGCTAATTTTTAGTAGAGATGGGGTTTCACCATGTTGGCCAGGCTGGTCTCAAGTGATCTTCGTACCTCAAGTGATCCTCCTACTTTAGCCTCCTAAAGTGCTGGGATTACAGGTGTGAGCCACCAACCATGCCCCCAAATTTCCTCTTCTTATAAGGACACCAGACAGATTGGATTAGAGCCCATCCTAAAGGTCTCACTTTAACTTAATTGCCATTTTAAAGGCCTTATCTTCAAACACAGTCGCCTTCTGAGGTACTGGAAATTAGGGCTCCAATATATGAATTTTGGAGGGCATCATTTAGCCCATAACAACTGGGTTGATAAACTGAGGGACAGCCTACAGAATAGCCGGTTAGTGATCTCACTTGGAGACTAAGGCCATTTGACAGTTCAACACAATGTGAAGCAATCTGGGATTGGAGGCCAGACTGGGAACAAAGAACCTTAGGGTGACGATCGGTGATCATTTGAATAAGATCTGTAGATTAGGTACGTGTATGATTTCCGTGCTTATTTCCTTGTTTTGATCATTGTACTATGGTCATGTAAGATATCAATATTTCAGGAAGCTTGGATGAAGAGTATGTGGTAACTCTTTGTACTATTTTTGCAACTTCTTTCAAAGTCTGTAGTTATTTCAAAGTTAAAAGCTAAAAATCAAGGCCAGGCACGGTGGCTCATGGCTATAATCCCAGCACTTTGGGAGGCCGAGGCCGGCGGATCACCTGAGGACAAGAGTTGGAGACGAGCCTGGCCCACATGGCGAAACCCCGTCTGTACTAAAAATACCAAAATGATCCAGGCATGGTAGCGCATGCCTTTATTCCCAGCTACTGGAGAGGCTGAGCCAGGAGAATCGCTTGAACTTGGGAGGGAGAAGTTGCAGTGAGCCAAGATCGCACCACTGTACTCCAGAGCCTGGGCAACAGGAGTCTGTCTCAAAAAAAAAAAAAAAAAAAAAGAAAAAAGAGAAGTTAAAATCAGGGCCAGGTGCGGTGGATCATGCCTGTAATCCCAGCACTTTGGGAGGCCAAGGTGTGTGGATCACAAGGTCAGGAGATCGAGACCATCTTGGCTAACATGATGAAACCCCATCTCTACTAAAAATACAAAAAAAAAAAAGAAAGAAAGAAAAATTAGCCGGACATGGTGGCGGGTGCCTGTAGTCCCAGCTACTCAGGAGGCTGAGGCAGGAAGCTACGTTGAGCCCAGGCATTTGAGGTTGCAGTGAGCTATGATTGTGCCACTGCACTCCAGCCTGGGAAACAGGGTAAGACCCTATCTCAAAAAAAAAAAAAAAAAAAAAAAGGTGAGAAAAAGAAGCAAGGAGAAAATGAGTTCTATGAGGTGCGAGACTCTATATTGTCTGTTGCTTGGGTTCCCACTGACACCCCACTTTTGGGACAGTGCCTGGAAGCTGGGAGCTCAGCATATGTTTTGGGAGGTGATGATCATTGAGGCACAAACCGAAGAGGAGAAGGCACACTGGGCCTCATCTCACATTCATAAAAGCCATCACATTGTAACTTTTGACATTCTCTCTAGAGGAAGTCACACAATCAGTAGTGTATTGCGTGGGTTGCAAATGTGAATTCTTGGCCTGTAAACAGTTCAAACACATTGCCATTTTGGTAACTGAGTTTTGCTATCCCTTCAGTACAGCAAATCTTCAGTAAAGATTTGTTTAATAGAGATGGGGTTTCACCATGGTCTCTACTAAACCCTGTCTCTACTAAAAATACAAAAATTACCCAGGCGTGGTGGCACATGCCTGTAGTCCCAGGTACTCAAGAGGCTGAGGCAGGGGAATCACTTGAACCTGGGAGGTGGAGGTTGCAGTGACCCAAAATCATGCACTCTAGCCTGGGGTCTCGCTTTTGCCCAGGTTAGAGTGCAGTGGCACAATCATAGTGGCTCACTGCAGCCTCAAACTCCTGGGCTGAAGGGAATCCTCCCACCTCAGCCTCCCAAGTAGCTAGGACTACAGGCATGTGCCATCATGGCGAGTTAATTTTTTATGTGTTTTTATTGTCTCGAGACAGAGTCTTGCTCTGTTGCTCAGGCTGGACTGCAATGGCGTGATCTTGGCTCACCGCAACCTCCACCTCCTGGGTTCAAGCGATTCTCCTTAGTAGAGACAGGGTTTCGCCATGTTGGTCAGGCTGCTCTTGAACTCCTGACCTCGTGATCCACCTGCCTCGGCCTCTCAAAGTGTTGGGATTACAGGCATGAGCCACTGGGCCTGGCCTGGTGAGCTAATTTTTAAATTTGTTATAGAGACAAGAGTCTCTCTTATGTTGCCCAGGCTGGTCTCGACCCCCTGGCCTCAAGTGATCCTCCCACCTCAGCCTCCCAAAGTGCTGGGATTACAGATGGGTGTCACCGCACCTGGCCTCTGAGGAGGATTTCATTATAAAGCTGCCCTGAAGGGAGGGAATCCAATTTTACGAGAGGGTGTAGCCTGGTGAGGCCTGGATGACCTCCGGAGGCAGGGGCTTGTGCCTGGGCTGAGGCCTAAGGGTCAATGGGCAGACATGAAGTTGCCCCAGGCAGAGGGTACAGTGTGGGCAAAGTCAGGAAGTGGCAGGGCTTGGATCACTAGGAAGAGAGAGGAGTCATGTGTCACAGGAGCTCGAGACCCAGAGAGGGAGGCAGGCAGGCAGGCAGGGACCAAGCTTGGGCACAGCCAGGAAGGCAGGACAGGGCATGGTGGGGCCAATGGAATCATTACCCAAGACGGAGATTTTCAGGGAAACAGCTTAGATAAGGCCAGGCGTACAGTAGCTCCCACCTGTAATCCCAGCATTTGGGGAGGCTGAGGTAGGAGGACTGCTTGAGCCTGGGAGTTCGAGACCAGCCTAGGCAACATAGTGAGACCCCATATCCATAAAAAATTTAAAAAAGGAGTTTGTGTTCCTGTAGTAGCAGACTTGGGAGGTTGAGGTAGCAGTATCACTTGAGCCCGGGAGTTCAAGGCTAAAGTGAGCTGATTGAGCCACTGCACTCCAGCCTGAGCAACAGAGAGATACGCTGTCTCAAAGGAAATACAAATTAAAAAACCAGCCGGGCATGCTGGCGTGTGCCTGTAGTCTCAGCTACTTGGGACGCTGAAGTGGGAGGATCGCTTGAGCCCAGGAGTTCAAGGCTGCCGTGAGCTATGATTGTGCCTCTGCAGTCCAGCCTGGGCGACAGAGAAAGACCCTGTCTCTTAAAAAAAAAAAAATCTTAGATAAGAGGATGCTGTGCCTCCCTGGGGGTCTTCAGTCACCCATAGTCCTGGCAAGAGAGGAGGGCCAGGAGAGAGCTTCACCCACCTGCTGTCCTGCCCATGTGACATCCGCAGGTGCTGCCATGGCCACGACTGTTGTTACACTCGAGCTGAGGAGGCCGGCTGCAGCCCCAAGACAGAGCGCTACTCCTGGCAGTGCGTCAATCAGAGCGTCCTGTGCGGTGAGTCCCCAGCAGCACCATGCCACCCACCCCGAGTATCCCCTGGGCACCCTGGCATAGCCAGATGACTTCCGTGCCCCTGTTGCAATAACCACTGCTTCCAAGTCTCTATAGACCACCCCTTGGGTATATCTAATGTAAGTGATATTTATTTTATTTATTTTTTGAGTCAGTCTCGCTCTGTCACCCAGGCTAGAGTGTGCTGATGTGATCTCGGCTCACTACAACCTCTGCCTCCTGGGTTCAAGCGATTCTCATGCCTCAGCCTCCCAAGTGGCTGGGACTACAGGCATGCACCATCACGCCCAGCTAATTTTTGTATTTTTTCAGTAGAGGTGGGGTTTCACCAAGTTGGCCAGGCTGGTCTCAAACTCCCCACCTCAAGTGCTCTGCCCGCCTCGGCCTCCCAAAGTGCTGGGATTACAGGCATGAGCCGTGGTGTCTGGCCCTAATGTGAGTGATCTTTAACACTGAGCACTTGAAAAAGAAAACCCTGAAGAAACCTAATTCTTTGATGTCTGGATGACAAGGAAGAAGATAGAAATGGCATCAGATAATAAACAGTGTAAATGTTTATCAGAAAGAGGCTGGTGGTCGGGACAAGTAGGAGGATTGCTTGAGTCCAGGAGTGCATCTCTACAAAAAAGTTAAAGGATTTTTTAACATTGGCCAGGCGTGGTGGCACACATCTGTGATCCCAGCTACTTGGGAGGCTGGGGCAGGAGGATTGCTTGAAGCCCAGGAGGTTGAGGCTGCAGTGAGCTGTGATCGAGCCACTGCACTCCAGCCTGGGTGACAGAGCAAACTCCAGTCTCAAAAAAAAAAACAAATAATAATATTTTACATAACCAACCACTTCTAAAGATTAAAAAAACCCCTACGATTAAAAACCTCAGGTCCCTCAGGCAATCATACCAGATATTGAAACAAAGCAATAACATAAGGACTGCAGTATTCATTTTATTTTTATATTATTTATTTATTCTTCCTTAGTTTCTTGAGATTATCATCCGCTGAGGGTGGAAGGGGAGTGAGCAGACACACTCGGGAGGTGTCTTGAGATTATCATCCACTGAGGGTGGAGCTGAGGGTGGAAGGGGAGTGAGCAGACACTCGGGAGGTGTCTTGAGATTATCATCCGCTGAGGGTGGAAGGGGATAGAGCAGACACTCCGCAGGTGTCTTGAGATTATCATCCGCTGAGGGTAGAGCTGAGGGTGGAAGGGGAGTGAGCAGACACTCGGAAGGTGTCTTGAGGCTCAGGGAGTTATCAATTATAGAATGTTGTTGAGTTGGAGGAGGTGGCTGGTGGCCCATCCTGTTTTTTAAAGTTTCAGCTGTGAGGTAGGGCCAGTAGGGCAATCCTGAAGAATGACGATGCTCCACTGCCGCCATTCTGACCTGTAGGGCCAAAGGAGGGAATGTTTTCACACATATTCATTTGATGGACAAAATTACCGCCACCAACACAGTCTGCACCTTCTGTTGCTGGTGATAGATTTTTGCACCTTTCCATCCTCCAGGTTTCAAAATAGCAGTGTCAGTGTCATAATATCACCCTTCCACTGAGTACTGCCGACAGCTAGGGGGTAAAGAAAAGTCTTTGGGACACACTGTTGTCTCCACATGCCACTGTGTCTGTCTGCAAATGTAGGCAGGCTGGGGTCCTGCCCCAGGGAAGACAGAGTCATAACAGAGTAATAAAGAAGCATGTTTGAGACACAGGAGTGTCTATGTCTATCCTCATTCCTCCCTCACAGCCATCACCAGAGCATGTTTCTTGCACCAGGTCAATAGACAGTAAGAGACAGTAAGAGAGGCATGAAAAGCCCATTGTCCACACATGTTGCAGCTTCTTTTTGGAGAATGTTTTCCAGGCCTTTTATGTTCTGTCTCTGATTCTCAGAACTCTGCAAGGTCAGTGTGACCATCCTGCTCCAAATCTAAGAAAACAGAGGTTTCCAGAGGAAGGAGAAATTGTGCCCAGGGTCACACAGCTTGCAAGAGGCAGAGTGGAAGTTGATTCCAGCTCTGCCTGCAGGACCCTCTCATTTCCCCTCTGTTTCCCTTCTTGACAAAGGATCTTCTTCACTCTGGAGGTGCCACCCATGAGAACAAAGAGCTCTGGAGAGATGTGGATTCCTGAAGAGCTGCAGGGGAACTGGGAGAGGGTTTTCTGACAGAACAATCTTACCTCAAGAAGTCAGTTAGGCATGGCTGTAATATTTCTTTTCACTCCCAGGTAATACCAAATTGTAAGTGCACTAGGACATAAAGAATACTTTTGTCCATGGAAAAATGAGGTGGGAATTCTAAACAAAGCAAGTTTTAAAACTGTGTTTCACTTCAAGTGTACAAGTCCCATCGCGTGCAATCATAGGACTCGGCAGCTTTTGAAGGTACAGAGGCCACACAAGAACCAGCTTAGCTGAGCATCATTTAAGGCCCTCATTTGGAATTGTCCCTGTGGGTAATAAGTTACATTCACTCTTCACTAATTTACAGTCAGGGCCCATTTGCTATTACAAATACGGAACCTCTGACACTTAGAATATTAGATGGGGGCCCCACTGGGTGGGGATGAAGGTGTTTTTGCGCAACACGGTTACCAACAGGGATGGGACTGTGATGCTTGTAGGCAGCCTTCCTCTCTGCCATCTCCCTCTGCAGGGCTTGAGCACAGAGCCGTAGGGAGAAAAATGTATCCATGTCCTGACCTGGCAGACTATGTCCAAAAGCAAGGAAAACAAGCAAACTTACCCGGTTGCAAAGAGGCTTTCTTGCAGAAGGGGTGATCTGAAAAAGCCAACACATGAGAAATTGAATGTTGAGAGAGTCTAAGGGCCGTGGCATCATCTGCATCAGCACTGAACTATCCTGCAACTGCGGGGAGGAAGCTCCTTACTTTGCATCTGTAGTAGTCCTCTGCCCGCCGCCGCAACGCTTGCGCACGTTGAAACATTTCCCTATGGATTACAATCACTTTCATCAGATAAAGCACCACTTTCAGGATGATTTTAAATAATCTGCCATGTTTCTGTTATCCTCACAACTGTACCCTTACACAATCTATCTCTACCTAGAAAACGTATTTCAGATGGCTAGAAGAGTACAGTCTGAGCCGGTCACGGTGGCTGACGCCTGTAATCCCAGCACTCTGGGAGGGCGAGGCGGATGGATCACGAGGTCAGGAGATTGAGACCATCCTGGCTAATACGGTGAAACCCCGTCTCTACTAAAAATACAAAAAATTAGGCGGGGGTGGTGGCAGGCGCCTGTAATCCCAGCTACTCGGGAGGCTGAGGCAGGGGAATCACTTGAACCTGGGAGGCAGAGGTTGCAGTGAGCCAAGATCACGTCATTGCACTCCAGCCTGGGTGACACAGCAAGACTCCATCTCAGAAAAACAAAAACAAAAACAAAAACAAAAAAACTGTACAGTCTGATCCAAACTGTTGCTATATTGATTCCTCCTCTTGCTTACTGCCTGCTGACTTCTGAGATGATAGTTTCCTTCCCCATTCTCAGTATATCCCTAATTCATCCTTCATTGAGCATCTTTTATCATAAAGCTGTATTCTCTTTGTATTAATATCTTTACCGTGTTTCACAGGGCAGAAACAGCTGGGCTTATAAACAGGCATAGTCCTTTTGAAGGATGTGGTTGATCCTACAACAACACACTTTCCTAAGGATGACAACAACTCACCCCACCCCTAGAATGGCTGGTATGAACCGAGTTTCCACACAGTCTAGCTGGCAATGGGGTCAGGAGCCGTTTTGCTACTTCACATCTTTTGGTCACTGGTAAATATTAAGGTACTTTGTTTTCTGTTTTGTGAACTCTCTCTCTCTCTCTCACGATATGTCTTCTGACCATTTGTTTCTATTTCTGCATTTACTGGGTCTAAACATTGTACAAAGGTTAAAAACAACACTCCAATGGGCGTTTCCCAAGAGGGTGGGGTTCAGTTTCTGAACTCACATGTAGGTGTGTATTTCTTTCATATCCAATTTCCCATTTTCCTCTGCCTCTGACACCTGCCTCTCCTTTTCTCCGTGCTCACGTTCTTTCATGCTTAGTTTCCTCAGACTAGAAGGGAGAGAAATGCACACACATGATCCACCAGCACGTGTGGGATTCCCTCTGCCCTTCTGGCATCTGAAGGCTGATTCAAAGATCCCCCCTGCAACCTTCCCACAAATGAACCAACTGATTCTCACAACCGAAGGAAGAATGGACACCTCCCATTGAGGGACAAAAAAAAATCACACTCTGGCCTGCTGGCAAGTCACCTGTCATTTCCAGCTCATCTTCATAGTTCCATAGTTAGTCCTATTCTTTAGTAAATATAAAGACTATTAAAAGCTTCTATGAGGTGCACTATGTGCGTCTCTGGGGTCAGTCTTGTGCTTGACACAGCGAAAGCTCATTTTAGTTCAGTGTGAAAAACCAGACCTCACCAATTCATCACAACTAACTCCATCGGAAGCAGAGGATTGCTCCTCATCTGACTTCTCCTGTGTGAGACCTGATTCTCAGTCAGAGGCTGATGCCGGAACTGAGACCATCAGCCATAGAGAGATCCTTCCAGAATATGGTGTCATTAACCCCGCAGTTCACTACTGCACTTTGCCATGATTCAGGACTGGAACTCTTGTCATCGACTTTAAAGATCCTGAAAAGGCAATCTGAATGCTGGGTGCATCTATTGAATTAGAAATGATCGGAATGGCTCCTAAGTCAGGATGTTATGTCCTGAAAATAGGTGACAACGGCAAACCATCCACCCTGGTGTTGACTGACTTTAACAAGGTTCAGTTCACAGAGATTGAGGGCAGAAAAAGGAAACGGCCTCAAAAGGGTAAGTTTGCTGTGTTGCCCTCACACCACTTGATTCATGGTCCTGATCCTAAGGATCTCACCTGATACTTGGTTTTATAGGAAGGATGTGTAAAATTCCCAGAACGCTAGGAAACAGGGACGAAAACACTTCAAAGAGAAAGTTAATGAACTTGTTTCTGACCACAGGGCATCCTTCAGCACATGCTGTCTGGAGTGGCCTCAAACAAGGTGTGTGTGGTGAGGTGCTGACAATGCAATGGGAGCAGGGTCCTGTCCCCACGCTAAAGAAGCTCACAGTTTAATGCAAATGAGAAGCCAGTGAGGACATCACTACTCCTGCTGTGCACTTGGGAACTAGAAACACAAAACCTGACTCTGGAGGGAGGCTAAGGAAGCATTCTACTCTTGAGTTGACATAAGTGCATCTGAAGCTTCTGATCTCAGATGAGAACAATGGGGGACACCAAACAGAATATAAAACCCATGATTGAATACATCAAATTGCTCACATGGCAGTAAACAGACATGAGGTGAAGATGGAGAAGAAGGAAACCCAGGACGAAAGTCAGCCTCGCATTTGGAACCCATTTCCCTGAGTTTCATTGCTGAATTCCAGAAGGAACTACTGAGATGCAAAGAAGCACAGCAGCTTTTGCACACATGCGTGGGGTTAGATGGAAAACAAGTGGATTGAGGGTCTGCCAATGAAAGCGATCCATACTGAAGTCCACTGGCTCTGGTTGAGACCCAGAAGAGTCATGCATCAGAATAGAGGTGGACAGGAAATACCCTGGCCTTTGTAGGGACTGAGCCTGCAGAGACGACCTCAATTGCAGCCTGTACGGAGGACCCCTGACCATCCCCCAGAAGTAGACTCCCATCTCTTCTGCAGCAAGATAACATGCTACTAGGCCTCAATTCATTGTTAAATATTTTTTAACAAGTATCTCACATTTAACAAAAAAAGATCAGTCATATGGCAGCAAAATACAATGTAGTATGACCAAAACATGAAAGACTGTGAAAATGAATCTGGAGGTGACCCAAGCATTGAGTTCAACAATCCAGGCTGGGTGCGGTGGCTCACACTGGGAGGCTGAGGTAGGCAGATCACCTGAGGTCAGGAGTTCAAGACTAGCCTGGCCAACATGGTGAACCCGTCTCTACTAAAAATACAAAAATTGGGCTGGGCACGGTGGCTCACGCCTGTAATCCCAGCACATTGGGAGGCCGAGTTGTGCGGATCATGATGTCAGGAGTTCTAGACCAGCTTGGCCAATATGGTGAAACCCCGCCTCTACTAAAAATACAAAAATTATCTGGGCATGGTGGCATATGCCTGTAGTCCCAGCTACTCAAGAGGCTGAGGGATAAGAATCGTTTGAACCTGGGAGGCGGAGGTTGCAGTGAGCCAAGATCATGCCACTGCACTCTAGCCTGGGTGACAGAGTGAGACTCTGTCTCAAAAAAAAAAAAAAAAAAAAAAAATTGGCCGAATGTGGTGGCACACACCTGTAATCCAAGCTACTCGGGAAGCCAAGGCAGAATTGCTTCAAACTGGGAGGCAGAGGTTGCAGTGAGCCAAGATTGCACCATAGCACTCCAGCCTGGGCGACAGAGCGAGACTCTATCTCAAAATTAAAAAAAAAAAAAAAGCCTGGGTGTGGTGGCTCACGCCTCTAATCCCAGCACTTTGGGAGGCTGAGGCGGGTGGATTACCTGAGGTCAGAAGTTCGAGACCAGTCTGGACAACATGGTGAAACCCCATCTCTAGTAAAAATACAAAAATTAGCTGGGCGTGGTGGTGGGCACCTGTAATCCCAGCTACTTGGGAGGCTGAGGCAGGAGAATTGCTTGAACCCAAAAGGCAGTGAGCTGAGATTGTGCCATTGCACTACGGCCTGGGCAACAAGAGCAAAGCTCCATTTCAGGAAAAAAAAAAAAAAAGAGAGAGAGAAAGGAAAACCAATGCCAGTACTAGCAACTCCTCTTCCCCTGAAAAAATGACAAACAAGAATGTAGGAAGGGAAAGGAATTATACAGCTTAAACTAATGAAGCAGAAAGGACAAGCTCAATTTTGAACCCACTGAATTTGCCACAAATATTGTAGAAAATATTCTCAAGGACTTTACAGTTGTCTACTTTGATTGGCACATGGTTCATACAACAGTATTTGTGTCAAGGCACATCTTACTGTTCTTTGGCGGTCTTCCTCTTTCCATTGATTTTGTCATGACGGTTGACTTTTGTTGTCACCTTCATCTTACGGATTTTAGCTCGAACTTTGGTTTCCACCTGTCTCCATAAAGTAAAGATGTCTTCCAGGACAATTTTAATTCCTGGAAAGGAAGAAACTCTTTTCTTTGTGTGCATACAAACGGACCTCAGCCCTTGGTGAGAGTGAGGAGAGGAGAAGGTGAGAAACCTGAGGGCAAGAAGCTGTTCTTTCCCTTTCCAGGGCAAACTCATTTCCACACTATGGGGACTCCAACAGAGCCATACCTTCCTGTCTACGGCGGTTGGACCTCCTGGCTCTCTGCTGTACATCCGTGGATCCATCATGTCCATTTTGAGACGGGAAGATAGTCTTCAGGAAAGACACCTAGGAAATAATAATATAAGAATGACGGCTGGGCACGGTGGCTCATGCGTATAATCCCAGTACTTTGGGAGGCCGAGGCAGGGTGGATCACGGGGTCAGGAGTTCAAGACCAGCCTGGCCAAGATGGTGAAACCCCAATCTCTACTAAAAATACAAAAATTAGCCGGGCATGGCAGTGGGCGCCTGTAATCCGAGCTACTCGGGAGGCTGAGGCAGAGAACCGTTTGAAGCTGGGAGGTGGAGGTTGCAGTGAGCCGAGATCACACCACTGCACTCCAGCCTGAGTGACAGAATGAGACTCTGTCACACACACACACACACACACACACACACACACACACACACCACACAAGAATGACATGAGGCTGGCATGGTGGCTCACTCCTGTAATCCCAGCACTTTGGGAGGCCGAGGCAGGTGGATAACCTGAGGTCGGGAGTTTGAGACCAGCCTCACCAACATGGAGAAACGCTGTCTCTGCTAAAAATACAAAATTAGCCAGGCATGGTGGTGCATGCCTGTAATCCCAGCTAGTCGGGAGGCTGAGGCAGGAGAATCACTTGAACCCAGCAGGAAAAGGTTGTGTTGAGCTGAGATTGTGCCATTGCACTCCAACATGGGCAACAAAATTCAAACTCTGTCTCAAAAAAAAAAAAAAAAAAAAAATATAGGCCAGGTGCGGTAGCTCACGCCTGTAATCCCAGCACTTTGGGAGGCCGAGGCGGGTGAATCACAAGGTCAAGAGATGGAGACCATCCTGGGCAACATGGTGAAACCCCGTCTCTACTAAAAATACAAAAATTAGCTGAGCATGGTGGCGCACGCCTGTAGTCCCAGCTACTCCGGAGGCTGAGGCAGGAGAACTGCTTGAACCCAAGAGGCAGAGGTTGCAGTGAGCCAAGATCCCACCACTGCACTCCAGCCTGGTGACAGAGTGAGACTCCGTCTCAAAAAAAAAAAAAAAAAAATGACATGAATATACTTCACACAACTGAACTGTACACTTCAACACGGTTAGATGGTAATTATCATCTTGTAAGTATTTTACCACAGGTTAACATGTTTCACAACTTGAAAAGGAAGTAATTAATTACCTTCAGCTCTCTGAGTTCTAGAATTTGTAACATTTCACCCCCTGCTCCTTCCTGATCTGCACTGGAGCATCTTTCTTCTGTCCCTGCTCTACTCAGAGTTCACTTTCCCTTCCCTCACATCAGCTTCGTTGAGGCTGGTTTGAACTTAATGCAAAACATTCTCACTAATGACTGAATTCCCACCAAGATTTCCATATTATCACAGTATGCTTTTAATCTTCGAAGATATTAAATATTTGTTCTCATCATAGCTAAAATGCAATGCAAATCCCATCTCAGATGTGGGTCAGATACCTATGAATCTCCTGAGGTAGTCATTGAAATGACTTTTTTCTTGAGACGGAGTGTCACTCAACCATGCTGAAGTGCAGTGGCGCTACCTTGGCTCACGGCAACCTCCACCTCCCAGATTCAAGCGATTCTTGTGCCTCGGCCTCCCAAGTAGCTGGGATTACAGGTGCCTGCTACCATGCCTGGCTAATTTTTGTCTTTTTAGTAGAGATGGGATTTCACTATGTTGGCCCATCTGGTCTTGAACTCCTGACCTCAAGTGATCCACCTGCCTCAGCCTCCCAAAGTGCTGGGATTACAGGCATGAGCCACCACACCTGGCCTGAAATAATATCTTTCAAATTCTTTGTAGAATTTGTTTTTTCCTGATTTCTGCACATAGGATAAAAAAAAAAATCATGTACTAGGATTTCAAGAGAAGCAATGGGTAATCTAAAAAGATGAAAAGAGCAACCACGTCTATCCCACAGCTACTGCTAGATTTCATAGGAAAGGTAGCTGGCCCAGTTTGGAGCTAGGAGAAATGTCAAACACATGAAGAAATGAGAAGCAAAGAAATGCCATCACACATGAATGCTTCATGGCACCCATGATGTCCCTGCTTAGGAGGTAATGGTATAGATGACTAGATGACAAGGACAAAGATGAGAGGTACAAAGTTGTCCAAGTCCAACAGCTCAACTGAACTTTCCTAAATGGAATTGTTAAAAAGTGGTAAATTTAAAAACTTCCCCTGGCTCACGTGGTGGCTCACGCTTGTAATCCCAGCACTTTGGGAGGCTGAGGCGGGTGGATCATTTGAGGTCGGGTTTTGAGACTAGCCTGGCCAACATGGTAAAACCCCGACTCTACTAAAAATACACAAATTAGCTGGGCATGGTGGTGGGCACCTGTAATCCCAGCTACTTGAGAGGCTGAGGCAGGGGAATCACTTGAAGCCAGGAGGTGGAGGTTGCAGTGAGCCGAGATCACACCATTATACTCCAGCCTGGGCAACAGAGGGAGACTCCTTTTGGGGGTGAGAAAAGAAAAAAAAAAAAAAAAGCTTCCTCCAATTTATACCAAAAATTCTCTGTTCAGGACTAAGTGGCATAGAGAATGTTAAATGTGCCTAGATATCTTCATAACTCATATATTTTCTGTTTTCCACATATCTTGAAAGGCAGTGCCAAATGACGTGTAATTATCTAGGCGGTAAAACTGAAACATACTTCCTCTTCCCTTGAATATCAAAAAGCATTGTGGTATTAGTACTTTTATCTTGGATCATTGTTCAGAAGGAGGTTCAGCCCCCACACAACCACATTTTTACTGTCATGAATGGCAAGACAAAATGTAGAGCTCAACTTACCCAAAGGAAAAAAGGCTCAAAAGACAAATTATGCCACAACTTAGCAGCCAAATTCTTACCAAGTACAGACTTTTGACATACGGATCTCTCTCCAGTTGCAAGTGGGAACATGCACTTTGAATGATGTCATTCAAAATTACCCTGCCCAGACACACTTTTCATTGATTCTCTTGGAGGGCAGTTCTAAGAGATTCTCTGGGGCTTTCTCTGCATCATGAGACGCAGTGCAGTTCTGCCCTTCACCTTCCGGCAGTTTGTCACCTCGTCCCTATGACCTCAGAGGAACTTTGTCTCAGGCCAACTGTTTGTTCCTTGGGCTCTTTCATTTCCCCTAAAAATCATTTGCTGACCCTCTAAATGGCCTACATCTCCATCTATCTCCCTCTACCCTCAGAAGAGGGTGCTCTTTAAGCATCAACCATCCAGCCCTTCTAGCAGTCTCATTTTTCAGCTGGTTCCCATGTTTATGCCTGTTCTATGTTTTTCTTTTCCTGTTAAGCTGTCTGTTGTCAGCTCATTTCTGCAGTGAATCTTCAGAGAGGAGATTGGAAGCTTTCCTTCCACCCATACGATAGAACTATAAAGCAGAAGAGTTTAGAAAGACTTTCCCATTTAAGTGACGAAATCTCATACTCCATTTGTGACAAATAGCACAAAGGTTAAAAAAACTTATTTTTGACCAAAAGCTCTGTTGACATTCTATTAAACACCGACCTATTTAATTTTCATAATGTAAATGGCAGATATTTTCATAATTCTTATGCTAATAAATCATTTCCCTGATTTTTTGGGTAAAACCACATATTCATAATGAAGTCCAGAAACGTGAATTGTTTCATATAATTTATTCTTATTTGTGATTACAAGTATACCTCTACAGAAAGTTAGTATACTCACACAAAGGTAACTTGTGCAGAGGGAGATGGCAAATTTATAACTTCTCAGAAACACAGTAATGATAAGTAACCAAGGACTTCCACCAAAGTCAGTCCCACGATGACGATGGTCAGCCAGAGTATTGATAACCTGGAATAATAATAGTTGAAATAATGAAAAGGTCAATGACACTGACAATATTTCACTCAGAAAGAATCATCCTTAGAAACCGTCAACCTCCTCCAAAAGGTAACCACATCCCTCAGATATCACCGTGGGATTCCACTGCTACAAAAAAGAACAGAAGTTAGAGAAGTCTCATGTTTTTCAGATGGCTGGTAGTGTTTTTAGGCATTGCAAATGTGGGGTGTTGTCTTTCTTGGTATAAAGCAGGGATATCCAATCTTTTGACTTCCCTGCCTATATTAAAAGAAGCAAAGTTGTCTTGAGCCACACATAACATACACTAACACTAACAATAGCTGATGATCTAAAAAAAAAAATTTTTTTTTTTTTTTTTTTGAGACAGAGTTCCGCTCCACTCAGTCGCCCAGGCTGGAGTGCAGTGGTGCAATCTCGGCTCACTGCAACCTCCAGCTCCTGGGCTCAAGCCATTCTCCTGCCTCAGCCTCCCGAGCAGCTGAGATTACAGGTCTCTGCCACCATGCCCGACTAATTTTTGTATTTTTAGTAGAGATGAGGTTTCACCATGTTGGCCAGTCTGGCCTTGAACTCCTGACAGGCGATCTGCCTGCCTCGGCCTCCCAAAGTGCTGGGATTACAGGTGTGAGCCACCGTGCCCGGCCATTTTTTTTGTTTTTGTTTGTTGTTTTTGAGATGGGGTCTCACTCTGTCACCCAGGCTGGAGTGCAGTGGTGTGCTCTCGGCTCACTGCAACCTCTGCCTCTCAGGTTCAAGTGATTCTCCTGCCTCAGCCTCCTGAGTAGCTGGGAGTACAGGTGCCTGACAGTGCACTCAGCAAATTTTTGTATTTTTTGTGGAGATGGGGTTTTGCCATGTTGGCCAGGGTGGTCTCGAACTCCTGACCTCAGGTAATCTGCCCGCCTCAGCCTCCCAAAGTGCTGGGATTACAGGCATGAGCCACTGTACCTGGCCAAAATCTCCTAATGTTTTAAGAAAGTTTACAAATTTGTGTTGAACTGCATTCAAAACTGTCCTGGGCCACATGCAGCCCGTCACTCATGGGTAAGACAAGCTAAGTATAAAGTAATTATCTTATCTTTTATTTTTGTTTTGAGACAAAGTCTTGCTCTGTCACCCAGGCTAGATTGCAGTGGCATGATCTCAGCTCACTGCAACCTCCGCCTCCCGGGTTCAAGCGATTCTCCTGCCTCAGCTACTGAGTAACTGGGATTACAGGCGCCTGCCACCACGCTCGGCTAATTTTTGTCTTTTTAGTAGAAACAGGGTTTCACCATCTTGGCCAGGCTGGTCTCCAACTCCTGACCTCATGATCCACCTGCCTCGGCCTCCCAAAGTGCTGGCAATACAGGTGTGAGCCACTGCACCTGGCCAGTAGTTATCTTTTCTTTAGTTATTTGTTTTTTAAATTGATGTATAACATTGGATGCATTTATTATATATCACATGGTAAAAGAATCCCTCTAAATAATACTTCTCTCTTGGATTATATGAATCTTTGTCATTTAAAGCTCAGCATAAGTAAAAAAAAAAAAAATACAATGAAGAGATTACTTCATTCACAAATAAGTATCGAATTTTAGTTCTTAAAAAGTAACAAGGTGGGCTGGGCGTGGTGGCTCACGCCTGCAATCCCAGCACTTTGGGAAGCCGAGGTGGGTGGACCGCGAGATCAGGAGATTGAGACCATCCTAGCTAACACGGTGAAACCCATCTCTACTAAAAATACAAAAAATTAGCAGGGCATGGTGGCACGCGCCTATAGTTCCAGCTACTTGGGAGGCTGAGGCTGAAGAATCACTTGAACCTGGGAGGTAGAGGTTGCAGTGAGCCAAGATCGCACCACTGCACTTCAGCCTGGGTGACAGAGCGAGACTCTGTCTCAAAAAAAAAAAAAAAAAAATTACCAAGGTGGAGATCATGAAAATGGCATGAATAGCGTGGGATTTCTCTAAGATTGTTGATATTAATTCCATTAGACTCTTATGTGAGTGAAGACGAAGACTTCCCCTGAGTAAGTTCAGACAGCTTCTGATAACATTTCTACATCGATTCCTCAGGATTTAACTATATATTCTTGAAAACATCTCAATTTTAAATGTTTCTTTCAAGATGGTGAATTAAACAGAGATAGCCCTTCAACAGGTTGAACTCAGCATATGCTGAGTCTGAAATGGAAATGATGGAGTTAGAGAACCGTACAACAATGGTAATGATTTCAGAAACATGGTGTTGAGCAGAATAAAGCAGACACAAAAGAGTACCTATGGCATGGCATGCATCTGTATACGCGAAATTCCAGAATAAGCAAGCTAACCTATGATAAGAAAGAGACTGGCTGGGAAGAGTGAGAGTTCACTTTCTGGGGTGACATAATAGTGTAGATCTTGGCTGGGCACGGTGGTTCACGCCTGTAATCCCAACACTTTGGGAGGCCGAGGCAGGCGGATCACCTGAGGTCGGGAGTTCAAAACCAGCCTGACCAACATGGAGAAACCCTATCTCTACTAAAAATACAAAATTAGCTGGGAGTGGTGGCACATGTCTGTAATCCCAGCCACTCGGGAGGCTGAGGCAGGAGAATCGCTCGAACCTGGGAAGCAGAGGTTGCGGTGAGCTGATATTGCCCCATTGCACTCCAGCCTCAGCAACAAGGGAGAAACTGTCTCAAAAAAATAAATAAATAAATAAAATAATGTAGATCTTGAAAGGGGGTTGGTTTATGCTGGTGTATGTACTTTCCAAAGTTAGTAAACTTACACTTAAGGTTATATATTTTGGCCAGGCGCGGTGGCTCACGCCTGTAATCCCAGCACTGGGAGGCCGAGGCAGGCAGATCACGAGGTCAAGACATGGAGACTATCCTGGCGAACACGGTGAAACCCAGTCTCTACTAAAAATACAAAAATTAGCCAGGCGTTGTAATCTGAGCTGCTCAGGAGGCTGAGGCAGGACAATTGCTTGAACCCCGGAAGCGGAGGTTGCAGTGAGCCGAGATCTTGCCACTGCACTCCAGCCTGGGCGACAGAATGAGACTCTGTCTTAAAAAAAAAAAAAAGTCATCAAACCAGATGACACAAATCAAATGACATTTCACTTTGTTTTGGTCCGTTTTGTTTGTTAGAGACAAGAGTGCAGCGGGGCCATCTCGGCTCACTGCAACGTCCAGCTCCTGGGCCCAAGCGATCCTCCCACCTCAGCCTCTCCAGTAACTGGGATAACAGGTACGCACCACCAGGCCCGACTAATCTTTTTTGGAATTTTTTGTAGAGATGGGGTTTCGCTATGATGCCCTGGCTAGTCTTCAACTCCTGGACTCAAGTGATCTGCCCACCTCGGCCCCCTAAAGTGCTGGGATTACAGGCCTGAGCTGTGTAATTTCATGCCGCGTGACACAGCCCAGTAAAAAGGAAGAAACCCCGCGGGTCCAGCGTCTACTCACACAGGTGGACTGATGGCTGATAAATCCCAGCAGGAGCCAAAAGAGCAGCCACAGCACCCATCTACTCACACAGGTGGACTGATGGCTGATAAATCCCAGCAGGAGCCAAAAGAGGAGCCAAAAGAGCAGCCACCGCACCCGCATGTCCTGGTCCTTTCAGGGCACCCGGAGGTGGCCAGGACAGAGGTGGAGGTGGCTTAGGGCAGGGGGGAGGGAAGGGGACGGGGACCGGGCCGGATCTGAGTTGGGGAGGGGGAGGGGAGGGGGAGGGGAAGGGGAGGGGAAGGGGGGAAGTAAGGGAAGGGAAAGGAGGAGAAGGGGGCTGTTGGGGAGGAGGAGGAGGAGAAGAAGAAAGGGGTCTGGGAAAGGATCCGGTTCAAATTAAGTTCTCAAGCGCTGGTGGAAGGTTTAGCTACAGGTCACGGAGAAGATCAGGGAAGCAACAGGACACGCGGGGCAAGGGAGCGTGAGGCTTAGGAGCAATTAGAGGGAGACAAAGGTTCTGCTTTCCACCAAACCTTCTTCGGTCTGGGCCCTCCCTTAGCAACCCTGGGGCTTTAGACTCTCTCTCCACCAATCCCTGATGACCCCGGTGGTGCCTCACAATGGACATTCCAAGTAGCGCCCGCATCATCCCAATGACCCCTCCCCCATCTCAGTCCCCCACGCTCCTCCCAAGACCAGGTCCTCTCTGGAACCTTCAGAAACCTGATTTCTGGTCCTCCCCAACCAGCTCCCTGTCCCTGCTTCTGGGCGCTCCTTCCTTCCTGAGCTCCCAGGGTTCCTCAAGGTCACTTTTGGCGACAAAACATAAAAAACAAATGATGGCAGGATGGCAGGAAGAATCTCTTTGTCCCTGAGTTTCAGAAGCAAATAGTGAAGCTTTGGGCAGAAGAGGATTCATGGGAAAATATATCCAAATCACTTTGGTTCCTTCCTTTGGATAGAAGGAATTTGGATCATGAGGGCCCCTGGGTGTCCTCAAGTGGCCACTTTGGAAGGCTGGGTGGGTGGTGGCTGTGGCATTGTGGATGATGGACAATCGTGTGGCCTTGGTGAGGAGTGATGGGGCTCTCGGTGTTTGCAGAGGAAGCTGCCTGGACAGGACATCGCACAAGGATCCTACATTGCCCTGCCATTGACGCTGCTGGTTCTGCTGGCCGGTTACAACCATGACAAGGTAGGAAATCCAGAGGCCTCAGGAGATGGCGGGCATGTCAGGGAGAGCGAGTCCTCACAGCTGCAGGAGTGATAGCAGAGGGATGTCCAGGGTCACAGAAATCACATTTCCGGGTCGGGAGGGCCCGTGAAGGCCTCAAGTCCAGACTTAGGTCTCCTTTCAAGGCTGTAAACTTCTGTAACATCTCCTAATCCTTAAACCTGGAACACCTCTAGGGACATATTAGGCCCGGAGAGAGGCCAGCCCATCCCTGGGGACTCATTAGTAAGAGGCCTGCCTCGTTTGAACTGAAACCCACCCATTAGCACGTGGCAGCTGCTGATCATGTCTGAAGAAGGTGTGTTGAGAAGTGAGGCTCCGCTGTTCATCTGGCAAAAGCCTCCTCTTTGTACCCCTCTCTCTCACACTTTCTCTCTTTTCTAGCTCATTCCTTTGCTGCTGCAGTTGACAAGCCGGCTACAGGGAGTCCGCGTGCTCGGCCAGGCAGCCTCTGACAATAGCGGCCCAGAAGATGCAAAGAGACAAGCCAAGAAACAGAAGACAAGGCGGACTTGAGGAGGAAGGGGACAGTTGCAGTCTCACTTGGGACAGGCCACAGCCAGGGGTCCGGCCACTACCCGCCCGTGGGATAAAAGCCAAAAGCATGCGTCAGCTAACTTCAGCCTGTGCTGCTGGGCCCGCACCCCATGTCCCTTGTCACTGTGGCATCCTGCACCCATCCTCACCCCTCCGTAGAGCCCCTCGTGCAATGCAATGAATGGACCCTCCTGTCACTCTGCTGAACAGAATTTATTTTCTGAGTCAAATATAATTTATTATTATTTTTGTCAAAGAAGTATTTAAGCTGTGCTGTGGTGTGAGAATGTCATTCTTGATCTTCAGCCTTCGTTTGCAAGAAGAGTTCCAGTTGACGTGGTGTTTGGTTCCATGGCGGGGTACCCTAGGGATTCATCTGTTTTCTTCACTTCCCTTTGCATCTGAGATCCTGCTGGAAACCACAGCAACCTGTATCCACTATTAGGAGGTAAAAATCAATAAAATGGCCCATTCATTTGTGTTGTAGCTCATCATAGATGTATTTCTTGGATGACATGCGCGTAACCCCCGGGGGTCTTCAGTTGAGCCAAATGTAGAGCAAGTCAGAGTCCTGAGTGAAGCTGGCTGGGGCAGGAAAAACACGAGCTCAGCCGACATGGTCCCCAGCAGCTTTTGGCGTCAGTGATAGAGAAATCGGAGATAGTGGAGGTTGTGGCAAGTTGAAGTGTGCCCACCACGTCTAAGGGAAGCTTAGGGACTCAGCTCTGGCTCACCCCTGCTGTGCAGAAATGTGCGTTCATTTTTCTAGAGAAGCCAGAAAAACAAAGATTTACGTGAAATTTTCCCAATTTTAAATGTTAGCCACAAATGCAGTGTTTTTTTAAGAAAACCACACACTTTGGCCAAACAAAATGCCTACGTTGGCCGGGTGAGGCTTAAAGGTTGCCGGCTTGCATCAGAGATCCAGAGGAAGTCACAGCATTTTAACAGCTAAACTTAATCCTCACAGGAAGTCATCAAGTGAATTAAGTGATATTGAAGGAGGGGACACATCCATCCATCCGACATTTATTGAGTGCCACATAGGACAGGCATGGGTATGTGAGGATGAGTAGGGTAGACAACACTCTACAGCGAGCTGGAAGAGGCCAGGGAGGCCCCGTCTGCCTTGTTCTTCGTACCCCAATGCTTGGCACTTGGTGGGCATTCAGTAAGGAATGAATGAACGCACGCACAGAGGAATGAATAGATGGGCACACAGTGTGTGCCCTCACAGCACATGGCCCATCACTGGGTAGAAGGCAAGTCAGTAAGTAGACAGGGGTAATGCAGGGAGCCGAGGGCCTCCAGGTGGAGGAACATGGAGGACCACAGGAGCACAGAGCAGAGTTCTCATCCCACTGGAGAGCTTAGGGAACTTTCTGGATGTGATGCGTGAGCAGAGTCCAAAAGGACAAAACGGAGAGAGGGAAAACAAGGTGGAAGTTCTTGTTAGGTGCCACTGCCACCCCAGGGGGTCAGCTTGGGGGACTCCCTGGCTCTTGGGGGCCAACCGCAGAGCTGCCCTGTTCCCACCTATCAGCTAGCTTGGTGTTGGCACCGTGGAAGGAAAGTGAACAGTGTTGGAGATCTGGGACAGATGTGATATTAATACAGAATCCATTTCTTGGAGTGTTTTCCAACTCTTATTCCAAGTGGACACCCAGAAACATCCCTTTTAAATGTTAATGGGGTTTTTATTGACGGTATAAAGGTTAAGAGCTTGCGAAAGATACAATTGTCAGTACACTCCTTCCAGTTCCGGAGGCCGCCAGTAAGTGGCAGTCTTTCCCTGTCGCTGGCTGCAGGTCACCCTTGGCCTCGGTGGAACTTGTGTGGGTCATTCTCAGTCCATTTGAAAGTTGGGCCTGTTCGGTTGTGTATAATTTTCTGTTCATCATTTTTCTGGCAATCTCAGGACAGAAGTCCTCTGATCCTCCTGTGAGAAGTAAACATTAATGTTATTAGATTCTTTTTTTTTTTTTTGAGTTTCGCTCTTGTGGCCCAGGCTGGAGTGCAGTGGCGTGATCTCGGCTCACTGCAACCTCTGCCTCCCGGTTTCAAGCGATTTCCTGCCTCAGCCTCCCGAGTAGCTGGGATTACAGGTGCCCACCACCACGCTCGCCTAATTTTTTGTATTTTTAGTAGATACGGGGTTTCACCATGTTGTCCAGGCTGGTCTTGAACTCCCTACCTCAGGTGATTCATCAACCTTGGCCTCCCAAAGTGCTGGGATTACAGGCGTGAGCCACCGCACCCGGGCTGTTATTAGACTTGGAATGGGACAAAAGTCATATGAGACAGACTTGTTTGCTGAGGTATTTAAAAAACAAAATGGTCTAAGATGGCAGATTCTTGGGGAACTCTGCTCTGTGCACATTTCTGCCTATTAAAGTGGCCGTAAAAACAACCATAAATCCTTGATGAGGACACCTCAGGAGCTTTAGGACAGTGCCATTCTTTTTTAATTAAAAGCTTTTTATTTGATTTGATTTTTCTGTAGAGACAGGGTCTCGGCTATGTTGACCAGGCTGGTCTTGAACTCTTGGCCTTAAGTGATCCTTCTGCCTCAACCTCCCAAAGTGCTGAGATTATAGGCATGAGTCACCACACCTGGCCAGGGCAGTGCCATTCTAAGGCAACGGCTTCACCTCGGTCTTCTTTTCTGGGGTTACAGGAGATGGGAAGGGCCGAAGGTAGCATGAGAATGTGTGTGTGTGTGTGTTTGTGTGTGTGTGTGTGTATGTGCATGTGTATGTGGAAGGACTGGTGAGATGGCTGGAGGAAGAGGCAGTCCTTCTGCTTAACTCTAATGGCCTAAATGTGAGAAACAAAGATTCAGGAAATAAGGAAAAAGCAAATGAGTGATTGCCTCTCTGGATCAAGCACACCAGCAGGCACAACCAGCCTTTCTTGAGCTACTGTGTGCCGGGCGCTGTGCCGTGCCCTTGCATGCATGTGGATGCTTCATGAGTTCATGAAGTAGGTATGCTTCCAGCCCCATTTTTCAGAGAAAGAAACTGAGGCTGAACAATCTTGCAGCTGTCAAGTGGCAGAGCAGGGGTTTGAACCCAGGTCCAAGAGTTCTTAACCACCATGTTTTCCTGCCCTTGATGTATGAAATGAGATGATGTAGTCACATGCCAGCTTGTCTAGGGATGACTCAGAGGTTTAGAGATGGATGTCACGTGGATGTTGTACAGGAGAGGCAGGTATAAGCTGTAGTAAAGTTAGGAAAGGCACAGTGACGTGGAGCACTGTGTGCAGTGGACGGGGTCATGGCTGGGGGTGAGAATGGTGGAGGACCTTCGATTATTTCATCAGCGTTGTTTCTGTAACCAAAGAGCTGCATGACCAAACCCTGAGATCTAGTTCCTTAATAGGAACAATTATTCGGCACGATTCCCTTTACTTAAAAGCAGGGGCCGTCCTAAGGGAGGAGTTGGAAAGAGTTTGGGGGATAAGGTTTGCTTGGTTGCCTTCTGTTTAGGCTGATGTTCAGTGGGGGTCAAAGGCTGTGTGTCCAGTCCCTGGCATGTGGCGGGTGTTTGTGGTACACAGCCAGCCTCAGGATGGCCCCCAGGGATGCACACTGCCTTTGTGTGTGGTCCCCTCCCACACTGAATCAGGCTGGCTCTGTGCGACCAGTGGGAAGTGGTGGAAGTGAGTGATGATGTGTGACTTCTCGGGCTAGGTCGTAACAGGCATTGCACTTTGGCTCTCGGGAAGCCAACTGCCTTGCGTGAGGGTGCTCAGGCAGCCTCGTGGGGAGGGGTGAGGCCCCTGGCCCCCAGCATGTACAGCTTGCCACCACGTGAGTGAGCCAGCTTGGAAGCGAATTTCCCCGCCCCGGTCAAGCCTTCTGGTGAGTGCAGCTGCAGATGACATCTGACTTCCACCACTCAAGAGACCCCAGGTCAGTGCTGCCCAGCTGAGCTCTTCCCAGGTTCTTTATGTCCCCCGAAAATGAGCTGTTTTAAGTTTAGAAAACTTAAAAACACAGTGACAATGAAGCACAGATATGCATTACATACAGTCCCAAATCAGTAATGACTTCAAGCTGTGTCCTCTCTTTCCAAGAAAGACAAAGCAGAGAACAAAGTTCAACCTACAGTGTCTTCCCAAATTCTTGACCCACGGGATCTGTGAATATCTTATACGACTGAATTAAGCCTCTAAGTTTTGGGGTAACTCATGCAACATTAGGTAACTGGAATAGTGCTCAATAAATGTCTGTCACATGAATGGGCAGTGACCATGGATGCATTTCTAGTTATGTATTAGTTAAGGCTCTCTTGGTTTCAAGTAACAGAAATCCAACTCCAACTAGCTTGAGCAAAATGGGGCATTCCTCTGGTCAAGTAACGGAGAAATCCAAGAGTCTCTGGCTTCATGCATAGCGGGACCCAGTCTCAATTTCCACCTCCTGGCTCTGCTTCCCTTGATGCCAACTTTCAGGAATCAGCTTTCTGAAAGACCACTCTGCTAGAAACAGACAGGCCCATCCTTTCAACCAGGTCCAGGACTGTTTGCTCAGTCACTGCTCTCAGAGGCAGGGGCAGAGGCAGATGCCGGGCACACATCCACAGAAGTGGAGATGGCAGGAAACTGAGAGTGGAGTGCTGGAAAGCTGGCTTTTGCCTATGGGTTCTGCTTCTGACATCATCCGGCAATGTCAGGCTTTACATTGCCCCCATCTGCAGACCCAGCAGAAGGACAGCTTCCATCCCACCACATCAATATGCCAGTCCTGGGGCGGGGGAAGGACTTATGGGCAACCTTTGCAGAATCACTGGGGCCTGGCCGCACATGAGCCATGCCCACGCTTATGTGACAGGCGGCCCCTGTGCCTGGGGTGCTGTATTACCCAGAGGAATAAGTGATCCTGGGTGGGCAAAAGCAACAGAAGAGAAGTGAGCTCCACTTCCTTCCAAAACTTGAGAAGGCCTGGTCAAAATCACCCTCCAGGCCCGGTGTGGTGGCTCATGCCTGTAATCCCAGCACTTTGGGAGGTTGAGATGGGCAGATCATGAGGTCAAGAGATCGAGACCATCCTGGCCAATATGGTGAAACCCCGTCTCTACTAAAAATACAAAAATTAGCTAGGCGTGGTGGTGGGCGCCTGTAGTCCCAGCCACTCGATAGGCTGACAGGAGAATCACTTGATCCAGGGAGTCGGAGGTTGCAGTGAGCCGAGATCACACCATTGCACTCTAGCCTGGCGACAGAGTGAGACTAAAAAAAAAAAAAAAGAAAAAAGAAAAAAATCAGCCTCCATTTTTGGCTTTCTCTTTCATTAGAAAAATGAACCTGACTTTATGACCATGACAATGAAATGCCTAGAGAAGGGAGCACTCATTTTCCAGTGGGCCTACTGTGTGCTGGGGTGGCGAGACTCTTCCTGCCCTGGAACTTGGTGAGGTCAGGAGGGAAGATATGATATGACTGCCTTCCTCTGTACTTTTTCAGTGGGGGCAGGTGTTTATGCTTGATGATGCAATGGTGAGATCTTGGTTGGAATATGAACTTTTCTTTCTTTTTTTTTTTTTAGATGGGTTCTTGTTCTGTTCCCCAGGCTGGAGTACAATGGCACCATCACAGCTCACTGCAGCCTTGATCTCCCAGGGTCAAGGGATCATCGTGCCTCAGCCTGCTGAGTAGCTGGGACTACAGGAGTGCACCACCACACCTGGCTAATTTTTTTAAAAAAAATCTTTGTAGAGATGAGCTCTCACTAGGTTGCCCAGGCTGGTCTTGAACTCCTGAGCTCAAGCAATCCTCCCACCTTGGGCTCCCTAAGTGTTGGGATTACAGGCAAGAGTCACCACGCCCAGCCAGGATCACAGACGTTTAAATTACACTCCTTCTGCTGTGCCTTACAGCAGTAGAAGGGGTGAAATTTAAACGTCTGTGATCCTGGGGTTGTTGAAGATGCCACCCATCTACATATTCTTTCAGATGCACAATATTTCACTGTGTGAATGAAACAGCAGCCCTTCTTACGTGTGCTTTTGGAATTTGAAGATTTTGTAAGATAAGATGAATGCATTGGAACAAGTGATCCTCAATTCTGTGCAGTCTGTGCCTCCGGAGACTGGCGGCTGCCCCTCCCTGTCTAGTCTTGCAAGAGAGGCAGCTGGCAAGAGGACAGAAGCCAGCAGCTGCTGCGTTTTCATCCTGTTTCTGCTCTTGGAGCTGAGGGGGAGAGGTGGCTAGCAGCCACCCAGTGATCAAACTTGCAGCCTGCCTCTCTTGCTTCCTTTTCACAGACTGGAGTGTGCCTGGGTATGGAGAAAGAACATTTTGCTTCTTGCCTCTCAGAGTTTCAAGAACGCCTCACCTGAGTGGCATGCATTCACGGAATGAGTAATTATTACAGTGGAGAACTCCTCACTGTGAATTAATTACACAGATGATATTCAAGACTTAGACTGGGCTAGTGCAGGGGTTAGCAAACTATGGCCCACTGTTCTTGTTTTATAAATAAAGTGTTATGAGCACACAGCCATGCCCATTCATTTGCAGATTATGGCTGCTTTTGCCTGACAGTGCCAGATATAAGTAGTTGTGGCAAAGACCAGGTAGCCTAAAAAGCCTAAAATACTTGCTATCTGGGTCTTTACAGAAGACATTTTGTTGTTGTTGTTGTTTTTGAGATGGGGTCTTTCTCTGTCACCCAGGCTGGAGTGCAGTGGTGTGATCTCAGCTCACTGCAACCTCCGCCTCTTGGGTTCAAATGATTATCGTGCCTCAGCCTCCCTAGTAGCTGAGATTATAGGCGCCTGCCACCAAGCCTGGCTAATTTTTGCATTTTTAGTAGAAACAGGGCTTTACCATGTTGGCCAGGCTGGTCTCAAACCCCGACCTCAGATGATCTGCCTGCCTCAGCCTCCCAAAGTGCTGGGATTACAGGTGTGAGCCACCGCGCCTGGCCTATAAAATGTTTTCTAACCTGTTGTCTAGTGGGTGCTTTGTAAAGTTTAGTTTTAGGGGGAGCATCATTAATTCATTCAACAAGTATTAACTGAGCATCTCCCCTGTGCTGGGTGCTGCTTGGCATACTGGGGGTTTAGTGGTGTGAGAGAGACCGAGCCTCAGCTCTTAGGAGCACAGTGCTGATGGAGGACGAAAGGTAAACACACACATTAGAAGTTATTGGATAATGCCAGGCGTTACGAAGAAAAGAAGCAGAACAAGGCAATGTGACAGAGGATGATTGGTATCATGGAAGGTCTCTCTGAGGAGGCAGCATCTGAGCTGAGACCTGAGGAGGGGAAGGGCCAGTTTATGCAAAGATCTGGGGGAAGAGCTGCCCAGGCAGAGGGGACCATAATTGCAAAGGCCCCCAGGAGGAAATGAGCTCCCTGAGTTTCAGGAATAGCAAAGAGGCCAGGGTGGCCAGAGTCAAGTGATTGAGAGGAAGAGATGAGAACGATGGCAGGGACCGGGTCATGTGGGTGCCCTGGAAAGGAGTTTAGATTTTATTCTAATGGCAACAGAAGGCATTGGAGGGTTTAAGTAGGGAAAGGGGAGTGATCTGATGTATGTTTTTAAACAATTGCTTCTTTAAATTTTGAGGAGATTGGATTATTGGGAAGCAAGAATGAATTTAGGGAGAGAAGCAAAGAGGACGTTGTGTTGGTTTAGGCAAAAGACAGCAATGGCTTGGATTGGGGTGATGGAAGTAACAGTGGCAGGAAGTGGTGAGCTTGGGGCTATGCTTCAGAGATAGAGCAGAAAGGTCTTGCTGATGTATTTAATACAGGAGGTGAGGGAAGGGAGGAATCAACGATAAGTGAATCGTTTGTTTCTAGCTGAACCACTGAAATGTGTAGGTAAATTGAGACTTCTGTTTTGGCCATCATGAGTTTGAGATGCTTATCAGACACCCGAGTCTGCAGCCTGGGTGAGAAATCACGGCTGGAGATGAGACGTGGTGAGCTGGGAGTGTTTTTGGATGACAGATGAGGCCACGGGATTGAATAATAGGTATCCTTATGAAGACTGAGAAAAGGAGAGGGCTGGGGGCCAAGCCCTGGGACAGTGCAACCTTCAGAGGATGGGGGAGGAGGGCCCTGCCCAAGAGACAGAGAGGAAGTGGCCAGTGAGGTAGGGGGAAGTCCAGGAGAGGACAGTGTGGTGAATACCTAATGCTTTACTCATTCACTGGTGAATGAATGGATGGATGGATGGATGGATGGATGGATGGATGAATGCATGAATATTCCTTAATAATATGGTTGGCCATGGTCCATCCATATGACTCCTACGGACACCATGTTACCATTTCACACTCGTCTTCTATTTAGGAGAAATCAGACGAAACTGCCATCTTATATATAGGTCAAAAATGGTTTCCATAACCACCCACCTCACATGCTTACTGAAATTCATTAAGTAATAGATGGGGTGGGGGGCGGGAGGTTTACAGGTCGGCAAAGGAGGCAAGGCTAGAGTGATCCATGTGGCAGTGGATTAGAGTGGCAGGCATCAGTATGAACACATGTTTAGCTCAATATAGATACAGATGGCTACATAGAGAAATATTTATGGATATGTGCATATACACAAATTAGTAAGACACACGTTACTAATCCTGGCTGTCAGCGAAGAGAGCCTAGAAGCAAGGATACCCCAGTAGCAACAAACCTCTGGTGCCCAGGTCTCTGTTCTCCAATAAACACCATTCTCCAGTAAAAGGAACCAGGCTTCTTGAACAAATGTCGATCCTAGGACCGAGGGAGGAAATAGATAAGAAGAACCTGAAGCATCTTGTAGGGTCACAGGGTGAGGAGGCGCGAAATGAAACAAAATGAAACTGCTGCAGTGATGGGGCATCTCAGAGGGACACAGGAGCCAATGGAAAAGCTCCCAGGGGTCAAAGCCAGAACAATTTGAGCCCCAAAAAAGTACTATTGGATTAGAATTCAAAGAATAAATACCCATGATTCCATACTGCTATAAATGATCAGATAAGAGAGAAGAGACAAATCTCCCAGGCAGAAGAATTCCAGATTATTTATTTATTTATTTTTATTTAATTTTTTTTTTTTACACAGGGTCTTGCTCTGTTGCCCAGGTTGGAGTGCAGTGATGTAATCTTGGCTTACTGCAACCTCCACCTCCCAGGTTCAAGCGATTCTTGTGCCTCAGCCTCCCGAGTAGCTGGGATCACAGGCATGCGCTGCCACACTCGGCTAATTTTTTGTATTTTTAGTAGAGGCGGGGTTTCACCATGTTGACCAGGTTGGTCTCAAACTCCTGACCTCAAGTGATCACCCTCCTCGGCCTCCCATTCAAGTGCTGGGATGACAGGTGTGAGCCACCGTGCCCGGCCCCAGGTAAATTATATAGCTATTCCATCGTCAAGGAGGTGGAGCGGACTTCCCACATCCTAAGTGTGGGCTGTGCATAGTGACTCTCTTCCAAAGAGTACAGTGTGAAAAGAGAGGAGAGAGTAACTTTACAGTGGAGAACACGGACAGACACTACCTCAGCCAGGTGATCAAAGTCAACTTCAATAGCGGCAAGTCATCTTGAGAGAATGCGTGCCTGATACAGAGTGCTGAGAATGATTCTTAAGCTCTGTGGTCCTCCTCCTCAAAACACACACAAGCCAAGACTAAGGATGAGAAGCATCTGCCAAATCCCAGTTGAGGAACATTCTACAAAATACCTGGCCAGCACTCCTCAAAATGCTCCATGTGGTATCCTGGAACAGAAAAAGGACATTAAGCAAAAACTAAGGCAATCAGAATCAACTATGGACTTTAGGTGGCCAGGCACGGTGGCTCGCGCCTGTAACCCTAGCACTTTGTGAGGCCGAGGCCGGCGGATGGGTTGAGCCCAGGAGTTCAAGACCAGCCTGGGCGACATGGCGAAACCCCATCTCTACAAAAAATACAAAAAATTAGCCAGGCTTGTGGTGTGCACCTGTAGTCCTAGCTACTCGGGAGGCTGAGATGGGAGGATCACTTGAGTCCGGGAAGTCAAGGCTGCAAGTGACCCGTGATTGTGCCACTGTATACCAGCATGGGCAATGAGAGTGAGACCCTGTCTCAACAAACAAACAACAAACAAACAAACAAAAACAAATTCTCTGGGGATGGTAGCAGGCACCTGTATTTCCAGCTACTTGGGAGGCTGAGATGGAGGATCGCTTGAGCCAGGGGAGGTGGAGGGTTGAGGCTGCCATGAACTATGATCACACCACCACACTCCAGCCTAGGTGACGAGCAAGACCCTGTCCCCACCCCCCTAAAAAAAGTATGGACTTTAGTTCATAATGCATCAAGCTATGGGGTACATGGAAACTCTCTGTACTGCTTTCACCATTTTTCTAAAACTGTTCTAAAATAAAAAATTTACTTAAACATTTATTTAAAAAAAAAAACAAACCATTTGAGTACCAACAGTGTCATATGCTCAACTTAGCACATCTTTTTCCTGGTTTGGTTTGTGGGCGTGAATGTGTACTGAGCCATCTAAACCTTGGTTGCCCGACCTTCACTGTAGCCACTGACCCAGGTTAACAGACAAAAGGCCCAGGTTAAGGTTATGCCCAGTGGCCATAAAATAGCCCAGCATCCAGACTGCACTCCTTGATGTACCCAAAAAAGCCAAGGAATAGGACGGATGGGCGGGGAGTGGGGGGCAAACTACTGCCCATTGCCCAACTCTGGCCAGCTGTCTGTTTTATAAATAAAGTTTTATTGGAACACAGTCACACCCATTCATTTATTATCATCTATGGCTACATTTGCATGACAATGGCAGTGTTGAGTAGTTGCACCAGAGATCGTGTGGCCCACAAAATATTTATTATCTAGCACTTTACAGAAAAAGCTTGTCAACCTCCAGGACAGTGGCCACAAGTTCTGCCATCATCTCATCCCTTAGCAAGAAGGGAAAGGAATGCCCATTAAGGCACAAATTGTTTTCTGTTGTTGTTTGTTTGTTTGTTTGTTTTTGAGACGGAGTTTCAGTCTTGTCGCCCAGGCTGGAGTGCAATGGCGTGATCTTGGCTCACTGCAACCTCCGCCTCCCAGGTTCAAGCGATTCTCCTGCCTCAACCTCCCGAGTAGCTAGGATTACAGGCGCCAGCCACCACATCCAGCAAATTTTTGTATTTTTAGTAGCGACGGGGTTTCACTATGTTGACCAGGCTGGTCTCGAACTCCTGACCGCAGGTGATCCACCTGCTTTGGCCTCCCAAAGCGCTGGGATTACAGGTGTGAGCCACCGTGCCTGGCCACAAGGTGGTCTTTTAACAACAGAGCACACAGCTGGACAAAGCCCAACGCTCTCTTCTTTGGGGCCGAGGTGGGTCATTAATATTGAACATTTACAATGTACTTGCTCCAGGTGATTCAGTTTAATTTCTGCCGTCTCTTGTAACAGGGCTCCCACGTGCACGGGTTGGGGCCGTGTGTCTGCCTCTGCTTTCTGAGGCCCCACAGCGTATTGATTCTGCGAAACGTACGTTTCTTTGAAAACAGCGTCTCTTGACATGACAGGAGATCACACATCGCTTGTTTTCTGTCCCTTTCATTGCCCTCTGAACATGATAAAATCATGACCTAGTGTCACCGAGGGACCTCAGCATCTCTTGGAAAGAAGGACTTGCCTTCTTTTTTATCTTTGTCAAGCCAGTGAGGCCAAGTAGAAAATTTTTAGCAGCTTTGGAGCCAGACAGATCGGAGTGCGAGTTCTGCCCGTTATTGACTGGACCGTGTGACCCTGGGAGAGCCGCCTAGTGTCTATGAGACGGAGGCTGTTGGGCAAGAAAATGGGGATGGTCCCAGCATTATGGGGCGGTTGTGAGAATTCAGTGCAATGATGCAGTGCTCCCAGAACAGCTGGTCTAGGGCTTGGCTCATGGGACTGTCCCTTCGCAGAGGCAGCGTGGACATTCCGCTGGTATCCACTGGTGTGGCTGTGCCTGTTTGGTCACCGTGTCTGTTCTGATTGGTCGGTGCTCCTGCATGTCAAGAGTTCAATGTTATGAAAATCATCCCTGCCTAGAGATGAATTCCCCCTTCCCCTGAGGTCTAGACTGGTATAGCTGCTTTTGGAGCCTCACCTGCTGAGAGCTCACAGCTGTCCTTCTCTAGAGAATCACCCTCAGATGGGAGCCACGTTGCCTGGGATGGGATGCCATGCCCAGTAATGGCCCAGTGACTAACTGATACAGCAACGTGAATGGCTGGTCCCTGCCCCACGGTGGGGACGATCCTGTGGCGTGCTCTCTGCTGCTCGTGGGATAGGTCAAGGCGGGACTTTAAGGGACCACATTCTCACTCTGCTCTGTCCCCTTCTGCATCCTGTAGTCCTCACCTCCCTTCTCCTGAAAGCCCCTTTCAAAACAAAAACAAAAACCACATCCACCCAAGTCCCTGTCTCCAGCTCTGCCTCCAGGAAAGCCGGCGGAAGGCCGCCAGTCTCAGCTGTGACAGATACAGATATTTCTGCATTTCCAGGACTGAGGTCAATCCCTGGGGACCCAGTGAGGCGGTATCTGAAGGGCCATGGAGCTGGCTTGATGGGGTCTACAGGTAGGCAGGGACCTGGTGGGGATGTGACTCAAGGATTTTTATCAAATATCTTTATCCCCTGACAGATGCAAAAAAAAAAAAATGAGATCAGACTCCAGGGTTTCCTCCATGCCACACTGTGGCCCCATTGTTTGTTGTGCTATCAGCAGAAGTTGATTTTGCAAGGAATGTACACGTGTATGTGATGTTTGAATGCACCTATCTGTGTGTGCGTGCATTTGTGTGTGTGTGTGTGCATTCGCTTGTGTGTGTGTGTGTGTGTGTGTGTGTGTGTGTGTGTGTGTGTGTGTGTGTGCTGAGGATGTGAGCCCCACTTCCGGCCCAGTGCCCCTGCCCAGGCTGGCTCTGCCCTCCTGCTGCTCTGGGCCCCTCAGGCAGTGACTACCTGGTACATAGGGAAGGCATCAGCATCCCTTATTCATGGGGACTGTATACTGTCTCCACCATATTGGGCCTTTTGGCCTCTTGGACATGACTTGGCCTCTGCTGGCTTTAAGGGACTGCCAGAGATGCCATCTTCTCTGGGAAATGTTCTCAGCCTGGGCACAGCCCACTAACCACTGCCTGCTTGTCTGAGACTTCTCTGTCCAGGAAAACAGCCCAGCCTGACCAGAGATGGGCATAGAGCCATATTTTGGGAAAGACTGGTTGGGGGTCAACTTGGTTTCTGGAACCAGTTCTGATTTCAGTTGCAGGGGACAGTGAGCCAGTTACTGCCCACTGGCTGCATCCTAAGCCTTCCTAGAGGAGAGCTAGCCTCCTCCTAGGGTTGCCCAGGCTGGACCACTTCTGCCTGGGTGATGGGTTGGGAGAAAGACGTTAATATTTGGAGCAGTGTTATATTAGTCAGCCCTCCCATTTGCAAACATTAGAAAACCAGCTCAAATTAGTGATAAAAGAAAATCTCAGCTGAATTAAATTTAAAGTAGTTTAATTGAGCAATGAATGATTCGCGAATTGGGCAGACCCCAGAATCACAGCAGATTCATAGAGACTCCAGCGCAGCCACGTGGTGGAAGAAGATTTATGGACAAAAGAAGGGAAATGATGTACAGAAATCAGAAGTGAAGTACAGAATGGCTGGATTGTTACAAGTTGGCGTTTGCCTTATTTGAGTACAGTTTGAACACTCAGCAGCGTATGAGCGGTTGAACTATGGCCTCTGGGATTGGCCAAGACTCAGCTATTGTTACAGGCGCATACTCCTAAGTTAGGTTTTCAATCTTGTCTACCTATTAAGCTAGGTTGCAATTTGTCCACAAGGACTCAACTATAGAAGTACGAAGTCCCACTCAGGCCATATTTAGTTCACTTTAACACTAGCTTCGGCAACTGTCTCTCAGAGCCCAGGGCAGGGCAGGGATGCAACTGGGCTTCAGGAAACTTGAATTCATTGACTGTCTCTTCCCCATCTTAGATGCAGTGCTAAGGGCTTTTTAGTAATTTTCTCATTTGACTCTCAAAACAAACTGATGAGGAAACGGTCTGAGAGTAGTTAGGCAGCTTTTCAAGGTCACACAGATAGTAAATGTCATCACTGGGACTTGAACTCAGGTCTTTCTGACTCTCATGTCTGTGCAACATGTCATCTCAGCCACTGTTGACACTGTATATGTGGATTAGGGTTGGCTAAACTGCTGTAACAAATAGACCCAACTCGAATGGTGCATGTATGTACAATAGGGGTTTATTTCTTATGATATAGTTCACGGTGGTCCCAGGTGAATAAGGATGGGTAGGTCTGCATTTTTCATAATCATCTGGGTTTCTGCTCAGGCTCCTAGAGTCTCTGCCACCTTCCCCATGTGGCTTCCAAGGCCACCTTGGAGACAGAGCTTGGTGGAGCACATGTGGTAGGATTTTTTTTTGTTTTTTTGAGACGGAGTCTCACTGTATTGCCCAGTCTGGAGTGCAGTGGTGCAATCTCGGCTCACTGCAACCTCTGCCTCCCAGGTTCAAGCTATTCTCCTGTCTCAGCCTCCCTAGTAGCTGGGACTACAGGCACCTGCCACCACGCCTGGCTAATTTTTGTATTTTTAGTAGAAATGGGATTTCACCTTGTTGGTCAGGTTGGTCTCAAACTCCTGACCTCAGGTGATCCACCCACCTCGGCCTCCCAAAGTGCTGGGATTACAGGCATGAGCCACCACTCCCAGCCAGTTCTTTTTTTCTTTTTTCCATTTTTTTTTTTTCGAGACAGGGTCTTACTCTGTTGCCCAGGCTGGAGTGCAGTGGCACAATCACGGCTCAGCGCAGCCACTGCCTCCTGGGCTCACACGCTCCTCCGGCCTCAGCCTCTCGAGTACCTGGGACTACAAGTGTGAGCCAGTTTGGCTAATTTTGGCTAATTTTTGTAGAAACGGGGTCTCGCCATGTTGGCCAGGCTGGTCTCCAACTCCTGGGCTCAAGGGATCCACCTTCCTCCCCCTCTCAAAGTTCTGGGATTACCGGAGTGACCCACTGTGCCCTGCTGGCAAATTTCTTAAACTGTGCCTCAGTGACCTCATTTAATAAAGGGAATAATTGTAGCACACTTTTTCTAGAGCTGTGAAGATTCAATGGAATAAATAAGGCAATAAATGAATGGATGGGGAATGAAGGATGTGGGTTTCCTCCCTCTTGTCTTTCAATAAGCTCTCACCATCAACCTCCCATTGCCTGTTCTCTCTCTTCCCCCTCTCTCCCTCTGTCTCTCTCTTAGCCAGGAAACCTGGGGTAGGGAGGCTTGGAGCCAGCGGGTGCGTCGGGAGGCTGCGGGTACTGACTGGGGACGCGCACGGAGATTGCGGGAGAAGGATCCACGCCGCGGGAGAAGGATCCATGCCGCGGGAGAAGGATCAGAGTGGAGCCTGTGGCTGCTGCAGGAGGAGGAAGCCGCCGCCTGGCCCACACCACAGGAGAAGGGCGGAGCCAGATGGCACCCTGCCCACCGCTTCCCGCCCACGCACTTTAGCCTGCAGAGGGGCGGAGCGTGAAAAATACCTCGTGCGCCTCGGCCGACTCTACAGTGCGACGGGCGGAGCTTCCAGACGCTCCGCCCCACGTCGCATGCGCCCCGGGAAAGCGTGGGGCGGAGCTTCCGGAGGCCCCGCCCTGCTGCCGACCCTGTGGAGCGGAGGGTGAAGCCTCCGGATGCCAGTCCCTCATCGCTGGCCCGGTCGCGCTGTGGCGAAGGGGGCGGAGCCTGCACCCGCCCCGCCCCCCCTCGCCCCGTCCGCCCTGCGCCGCGCGGGGAGGAGGAGGAGGAGCCGCGGCGGGGCCCGCACTGCAGCGCCAACGTCCGAGCGGGCGGCCGAGCTCCCGGAGCGGCCTGGCCCCGAGCCCCGAGCGGGCGTCGCTCAGCAGCAGGTCGCGGCCGCAGCCCCATCCAGCCCCGCGCCCGCCATGCCGTCCGCCGGCCCCGCCTGAGCCGCGGCCTCCGCGCGCGGGCGGGCCTGGGGACGGCGGGGCCATGCGCGCGCTGCCCTAACGATGCCGCCCGCCGCGCCCGCCCGCCTGGCGCTGGCCCTGGGCCTGGGCCTGTGGCTCGGGGCGCTGGCGGGGGGCCCCGGGCGCGGCTGCGGGCCTTGCGAGCCCCCCTGCCTCTGCGGCCTAGCGCCCGGCGCCGCCTGCCGCGTCAACTGCTCGGGCCGCGGGCCGCGGGCTGCGGACGCTCGGTCCCGCGCTGCGCATCCCCGCGGACGCCACAGCGCTGTGAGTAGCGGGCCCAGCGGCACCCGGGAGAGGCCGCGGGACGGGCGGGCGTGGGCGCGTTCCCTGGCCCGGGACGGGAAGCAGGACGCGGGCCAGGACGCTCCCAGGGCGAGGCTCCGGCGCGGCACAGCGGCCCTGCTAAATAAGGAACGCCTGGAGCCGCGGTTGGCACGGCCCCGGGGAGCCGAAAAACCCCGGGTCTGGAGACAGACGTCCCACCCGGGGGCTGTGCAGACGCCAGCGGGGGCGGGGCGCGGAGGCCGCGCTCAGCTGGGAGGACAAACAGTCGCTAATTGGAGAGGAATTGGGATGCGGCCTGGGGCTGCGGGGTACCCGGAGAGGTGGGGATGGCTGTAGGGGGCTGCAGGGAAGAGTTCCAGGAGGTGTCTGGACAAGGATTTGATGGATGTGCAAGAATTGGGCTGATGCTTAGGAAGGGGCGATGAGGTGGGTCCAGAAGAAGGGGGGTGAACGGTGTGAGCAAAGACCGTGAGGCTGGAGGCTGGCCACGGGAGGTGTGAGGGGTAGGGGCAGGGTGGGAGGTGGGCTCGCGGGTGGGCTGGGGTCATGAAGGGCCTCAGGCGCTCTGCTATTGGGTTCCAAGGCTATCCTGAGAACAGGGGTGAGGGCGGATTGCCGTGGGGGGTTAAAGCCTTGTCATGTTCGCTTTCGGGAGATAAAAACAACAGGTGGCCTTTATGGAGACGCTGCCCAGAGCCAGGTCTGTGCCAGGCTCCTGTTGGGGGTCGTCATGCGGAATCCTGACTCTGACCATCCGAGGCATAGGGACCGTGGAGATTTGCATTTCACAGATGAGGAAACAGGTTTGGAGAGGTGACACGACCTGTCCCAGGCATCACAGCCAGGACAGGACCTGTCCCAGGCATCACAGCCGGGATGTGCATAGCAGGGGTTTGGAACTATGAGGTGCCCAGGACCCAGGGTTGGATTGAAAAGGGCGCAGGGGACTAAGATAAGCAGACAGTTGTCCCCAGCGCTGGGGAGAGTCTTGGGACCAGTCTGATGCCTTGTATTTCCCAGGCTCCAGGCTCCTCGCCGGGACAGTGTCTCTTTGGGTGCGTGCTGGATCCCTGGGGGACGTGGCACATCCCCAGGCTTGCTAAACATTGGGTGGGTTCTGGCATTTGGTTTTGTAACGTTTCTGGGTCACTCCCGCCTGTGGCCACCCTTCCTTAGGGGAGCCGTGTGTCCTTGGGGCTTTGCTGGGTGGTCTCGAGGGTGGGAGAAGAATGGGTTCTCCTGGACCAATGGAGCCCGTGCCCCTCGGGGCCACATTGCTCCTGCGCTCCCTGACTGCGGACGCGTGTGTCTCGCGGCTGTCTCTGTGGAGATGGCCTCCTCCTGCCTGGCAACAGCACCCACAGAATTGCATCAGACCTACCCCACCCGTTGTTTGTGATGCTGTAGCTGAGGGCTCCTCTGTCTGCCAGGCCGGTCACTGGGGACTCTGTCCAGGTCCTGGTGGTTCCTGCTTCCCAGCACCTGATGGTGTCCATGAGAGCAGCCCCTCGGGAGCTGTCCGGGAGAGAAGGGCGCTGGTGGCTGCTGAGCGGAGAGCAAGGCCCGTGTTCTCCAGGCCCTTGGCACAGCAGTGGAGCCCCCGCCCCTGCCTTGTGTTGTCCTCTTAGGCTCTGGTCCTGGGGTTTGGAGGAGGGGGACCCTGGGGGTTGGTGGCCTGTCCCAGCCTGAGCTGGCAAGATTCCGAATGCCAGGCCCCTCAAGTGTGCAACAGGGCACAGGGTGACCTCATGTGGGCAGGTGGGTGCTGTTCTGTACACACCTGGGGCCGCCGCTGGGAGAGTTCTGGAAGGTGGGGTGAGGGGACCCATGGGAAACTAGGGCCCTAGGAAGGATGTGAAGGCCCTGGCTGGCCCCCCAGGCCACCCTCTGTGCTGTGGGGCAGCCCAGCCATTTTGCTGTCTACCCTGCAAACTCCTCCTCGGGGAGACGGCTGGGTTTTCCCCAGGGAAGAGGGGTCAAGCTGGGAGAGGTGAAGGACACAGATCACAGCTGCTGGCAGGTGTTCAAGGGTCCAGGAGCGTTGCTGTCTGGGTGTCACCAGTAGCCTTCCTGGGGGGCTCACGCAGGTGCCTCTCCACTTGTGGCTCCCTGGCTGCTGAAGCTCAGCAGGGACAGCTGTGTCCAGTTCCAGGTGGAGGACAGCCGGGGCTTCTGAGGCCACAGCCTGCCTTGGGTTAATGATGCTGCCGAGAGGTGGTGGCTTTTGGAAAAGATGGCGTACTGCAAAACGTGCTGCTCTGCGTGGCTCGAAGCTTCGTGGGGAGACGTGGGCAGAGCCGTGGCTGACTCACAGACCCCCCACCCCAGAGCCTGCCCTGCCCTCCCTGCCCCGACCCTTCCCCTCCTGACCCATGTGTTTTTTTTTTTTTTTTTTGAGACAGAGTTCACTCTTGTTGCCAAGGCTGGAGTGCAGTGGCACGATCTCGGCTCATGGCAACCTCCGCCTCCTGGGTTCAAGCGCTTTTCCTGCCTCAGCCTCCCGAGTAGCTGGGATTACAGGCGTGCACCACCATGCCTGGCTAATTTTGTATTTTTAGTAGAGACAGGGTTTCTCCATATTGGTCAGGCTGGTCTTGAACTCCTGACCTCAGATGATCCGCCCGCCTCGGCCTCCCAAAGTGCTGGGATTACAGGCATGAGCCACCACGCCCAGCCCTGACCCATGTTTTGAACCAAATTCCAGCCACCCTTTTATCTGCAAGCATTTTGGAGGGCATCGCAATACTGCAGACCCACCTAACACAACAGACAATTCCTTCATGCCACCGAAGGCCTGGTGTGTTCACATTTTTGGTTTAATAGTTTGAATTAAGAGCCAAATAAGGTCCACACACTGCAATTAGTTGATGTCTTTTTTTTTTTTTTTTTTTTTTTTTTTGAGACGGAGTCTTGCTCTTGTCTCCAGGCCGCAGTGCAGTGGCATGATCTCAGCTCGCCGCAACCTCCGACTCCCTGGTTCAAGCGATTCTCCTGCCTCAGCCTCCCGAGTACCTGGTAGCTGGGTTTACAGGCATGCACCACCGTGCCCAGCTAATTTTTGTATTTTTAGTAGAGACGGGGTTTTACCGTGTTGGCCAGGATGGTCTCGATCTCCTGACCTCGTGATCTGCCCACCTCGGCCTCCCAAAGTGCTGGGATTACAGGCGTGAGCCACCGCACCCGGCCAATGTCTTTTAAAAATATATACTTTTTTTTTTTTTTTTTGAGACAGAGTTTCGCTCTTGTTGCCCAGGCTGGAGTGCAGTGGCGCGATCTCAGCTCACGGCAACCTCCGCCTCCCGGGTTCAAGCGATTCTCCTGCCTCAGCCTCTCCAGTAGCTGGGATTACAGGCGTGTGCCACCATGCCTGGCTAATTTTGTATTTTTAGGAGAGACGGGGTTTCTCCACGTTGGTCAGGCTGGTCTCAAACTCCTGACCTCAAGTGATCCGCCTGCCTTGGCCTCCCAAAGTGTTGGGATTACAGGTGTGAGCCAGCGCGCCCAGACAAAAATGTGTATGTGTGTCTTTAAGGCTGGTCAAGCAAAGCAGTGGAACTGGAGAAAGAATGAAGAATTCTACCTGGCTGTGATCAATTCGTTGTGAACACCACTGTGCTTGGACCAGCTAGCTGATGTCTTTTGTTTTGTTTTGTTTGAGACGGAGTCTGGCTCTGTCACCCAGGCTGGAGGACAATGGTGTGATCTCGGCTCACTGCAGCCTCCACCTCCCGGGTTCAAGCGATTCTCCTGCCTCAGCCTCCTGAGTAGCTGGGATTACAGGCGCGCGCCACCACGCCCAGCTAATTTTTAAAAATATTTTTAGTAGAGATGGGGTTTCACCATGTTGGTCAGGCTGGTCTTGAACTCTTGGCCTTAGGTGATCTGCTTGCCTCGGCCTCCCGAAGTGCTGGGATTACAGGTGTGAGTGATGTCTTTTATTTATTTATTTATTTATTTATTTTTTATTATTATTTGAGATGGAGTCTCACTCTGTTGCCCAGGCTGGAGTGCAGCAGTGCCATCTCGGCTCACTGCAAGCTCCGCCTCCTGGGTTCACACCATTCTCCTGCCTCAGCCTCCCGAGTAGCCTGGACTGGTGCCCGCCACCACGCCCAGCTAATTTTTGCATTTTTAGTAGAGACGGGGTTTCACCCTGTTGGCCAGGATGGTCTCGATCTCTTGATCTCATGATCCACCCACCTTGGCCTCCCAAAGTTCTGGGATTACAGGAGTGAGCCACCGTGCCCAGCCATCTTTCTTTTCTTGCTTTCTCTTTCTTTTCTTTCGAGACCGGGTCTTGCTCTGTCGCCCAGGCTGGACTGCAGTGGCACAATCATAGCTCACTGCAGCCTCTACCTCCCTGGCTCAAGCGATCCTTCCTCCTCAGCCCCCCGAGTAGTTGGAACTACAGCTCCACACCACCATGCCTGGCTGATTCTTTTTTTCCTTGTAGAGATGGGGTCTTGCTATGCTGTCCATCCTGGTCTCAAACTCCTGGCCTTCCCAAAGCACTGGGATTACAGGCATAAGCCACCACAGCCAGTTTCCTTTTCTTCTTTTTAACTGGAATAGTTGACTTTTTCTTTATTAGCTGTGTGTCAGGAGGGTATTTTTGGTCTTTAGTATGTCGTCTAAGTTGCTAGTGCTTTTCTGAGATTGTAGTTTGTTTTCTAATTTTATTTATATTTTGCGTAGAAGTTGTGTATTTTAGATGGAGTTAGGTCGGCTGGTCTTTGATGTTTTATTTATTAATTATGTATGTATTTATTTATTTTTGAGGTAGAGTCTCGCCGTTTCACCCCAGCTGGAGTACAGTGATGCGATCTCAGCTCCCTGTAGCCTTGACCTCTCTGGGCTCAAGTGATTTTTCTCTCCTCTACCTCCCGAGTACTTGGGACCCCAGGCGCATGCCGCCATGCCTGGCTAATGTGTATTTTTTTGTAGATACGGGGTCTCACTGTGTTGCCCAGGGTGGTTTCAAAATCCTGGGCTCAGGCGATCCTTCCGTCTCAGCTCCCACGGTGCTGTGTTACCGGCGTGTGCCCCAGTGCCTGGCCGTCTTGGAGGTCTTGTTTCTCTGGGTTTATGCCTCAAGGTGGCGCCTGCTCCCCTGTGCTCCCTGGTAGCCTGGTAGTGAGCCTGCTTCTCACACAGTCATACCTGGTTGTGGTCCCACAGTGGGACCACCCTGTTGGGTTCAGAACAGGAGATGGGGGCCCCTCGAGTCTGTGTGGGGGCTGTGGACAGGGTTGGGAGACCTTGGCTCTGTGGGGGACTGTGGACAGGGGATGGGGGGCCTTGTCCCTGCGTGGGATGGGTTGGGGGTCCGTGCCCTTCCTGGCCCTGGGTGGACAGGTCCAGGTGGCACTCGGCATAGGGCTGAGATGGGTGCAGAGGGCTGAGGCCCCCAGGCCTCTCCCGGCTTGGTTTCCCCAGATGAGTGTTCATTTGGGTCTTCCATCAGAAAGGCCCCTCCTGACCTCTGGGAGTGGGGAGCTCAAGGGTGGGAGGCCATAGCTTGGGGATGCTGGCAATGTGTGGGATGGGCCCAGGGATGGCCTCTGGCCTACTAAGGGCTCTGGCCCTGACCCACGGCCACTCACTCCTCAGAGACGTCTCCCACAACCTGCTCCGGGCGCTGGACGTTGGGCTCCTGGCGAACCTCTCGGCGCTGGCAGAGCTGTGAGTGTCCCCCAGTCGTGCCAGCATGCGGGGCTCACTCCGGGTGGGCTGGCGGCACCGCCTCTTGCTGCTCAGCTGTGGGGGCTTCCGTCAGCTTTGCCGAATCCCCCCTCTCTTCCAGGGATATAAGCAACAACAAGATTTCTACGTTAGAAGAAGGAATATTTGCTAATTTATTTAATTTAAGTGAAATGTAAGTTGTGGTTCTTTGGGTGGGGTCCTGGCTGGACCCCAGGCCCCCAGTATCCCTTCTGCCCTCCCAGTTGGTCCGTGTCCCCTTCCAGGCTTGAGACCAGATCCTGGGGGCAGTTCACTACCTGCTTGGAGCCCCCCAGTGCCGGCTTGGTTGGGGCAGGGGAGGCGGTGCTGTCAGGGTGGCTCCAGGGCCTGGTTGCCAGTGGGGGGCTGGCATAGACCCTTCCCACCAGACCTGGTCCCCAACACCTGCCCCTGCCCCGCAGAAACCTGAGTGGGAACCCGTTTGAGTGTGACTGTGGCCTGGCGTGGCTGCCGCGATGGGCGGAGGAGCAGCAGGTGCGGGTGGTGCAGCCCGAGGCAGCCACGTGTGCTGGGCCTGGCTCCCTGGCTGGCCAGCCTCTGCTTGGCATCCCCTTGCTGGACAGTGGCTGTGGTGAGTGCCGGTGGGTGGGGCAGCTCTGTCCTTCCCAGCCAGGTGGGACCTGGGCCCTGCAGACACTGGGCAGGGCTCAGGAAGGCCTCTCTGGGGGGGGCCTCCGGGCCAAGGGAACAGCATGGGAGCCTGTGAGTGCGGCGGGCGGATGGGGGGGTGTGGGGTGGAGCCAGGAGGAGCAGAACCCGGGGTCCAGTGGCTGCCTCTTCTAGGTGAGGAGTATGTCGCCTGCCTCCCTGACAACAGCTCAGGCACCGTGGCAGCAGTGTCCTTTTCAGCTGCCCACGAAGGCCTGCTTCAGCCAGAGGCCTGCAGCGCCTTCTGCTTCTCCACCGGCCAGGGCCTCGCAGCCCTCTCGGAGCAGGGCTGGTGCCTGTGTGGGGCGGCCCAGCCCTCCAGTGCCTCCTTCGCCTGCCTGTCCCTCTGCTCCGGCCCCCTGCCGCCTCCTGCCCCCACCTGTAGGAGCCCCACCCTCCTCCAGCACGTCTTCCCTGCCTCCCCAGGGGCCGCCCTGGTGGGGCCCCACGGACCCCTGGCCTCCGGCCAGCTAGCAGCCTTCCACATCGCTGCCCCGCTCCCTGTCACTGCCACACGCTGGGACTTTGGAGACGGCTCCCCCGAGGTGGATGCCGCTGGGCCGGCTGCCTCGCATCGCTATGTGCTGCCTGGGCGCTATCACGTGACGGCCGTGCTGGCCCTGGGGACCGGCTCAGCCCTGCTGGGGACAGACGTGCAGGTGGAAGCGGCACCTGCCGCCCTGGAGCTCGTGTGCCCGTCCTCGGTGCAGAGTGACGAGAGCCTCGACCTCAGCATCCAGAACCGCGGTGGTTCAGGCCTGGAGGCCGCCTACAGCATCGTGGCCCTGGGCGAGGAGCCGGCCCGAGGTGAGTGTCTGCTGCCCACTCCCCTTCCTCCCCAGGGCCATCCAGATGGGGCAGAGCCTGGTACCCCCGTCTTGGGCCCACACTGACCGTTGACACCCTCGTTCCCACCGGTCTCCAGCGGTGCACCCGCTCTGCCCCTCGGACACGGAGATCTTCTCTGGCAATGGGCACTGCTACCGCCTGGTGGTGGAGAAGGCGGCCTGGCTGCAGGCGCAGGAGCAGTGTCGGGCCTGGGCCGGGGCCACCCTGGCAATGGTGGACAGTCCCGCCGTGCAGCGCTTCCTGGTCTCCCGGGTCACCAGGTGCCTGCCCCACCCCCCGAGGGGCCATAGGTTGGGAGATCTCTGAAGCAGTGGGGCAGAGCCTGCGGCTGGGGAGTCTCAGGAGGAGGGAGGTGGGAGCTGGGCCGGCCCTGGTGAGCAGGTGGCGCCGGCCGGTGGGGCCGTTCCTGTCAGCTCTGCAGATGCAGAGGTGGACGCGAGCTGGGGGCAGCCTCCGGACACTCCTGGGCACGCCATACGGGAGGTGGCCTGCACGGGGATCCCTGCCGGTGCCCACAGGCCCCGTGGGTGGGTGCTGCTGTGAGCCTGGGCTGGTGGGCCCTGCTCTCCGGGCTCTGAGCCTCAGTTTCCCCATCTGGAAAGGGGGACAGTGACGGGGCTCCCAGCGGGCTGCTGTGAGGGTGGGAGGATGGAGGAGTGCCCTGAGCCCCCTGCCATCCCACACCCGCCCCCAGGAGCCTAGACATGTGGATCGGCTTCTCGACTGTGCAGGGGGTGGAGGTGGGCCCAGCGCCGCAGGGCGAGGCCTTCAGCCTGGAGAGCTGCCAGAACTGGCTGCCCGGGGAGCCACACCCAGCCACAGCTGAGCACTGCGTCCGGCTCGGGCCCACCGGGTGGTGTAACACCGACCTGTGCTCAGCGCCGCACAGCTACGTCTGCGAGCTGCGGCCTGGAGGTGTGCGGGGGGCCAGGCAGGGGCCTGAGACGCTGGCTGTGGTTAGGGGCCTGCCGAGCGCCCGCGGTGGAGCCTGGGCTGAGGAGGAGGGGCTGGTGGGGGGGTTCTCGGGCGGCTCGGTCCCCAGTCTGTTCGTCCTGGTGTCCTGGGCCCTGGCCCGGCGCCTCACTGTGCACTTGCCACCCCAGGCCCAGTGCAGGATGCCGAGAACCTCCTCGTGGGAGCGCCCAGTGGGGACCTGTAGGGACCCCTGATGCCTCTGGCACGGCAGTACGGCCTCTCAGCCCCGCACGAGCCCCTGGAGGTAGTCGGCCCCCCACGTTCTATAACCTGCCCTCCTGCCTGCCCCTGGAGGCCTCGCCTGCCCTGCCCACTGTGGGTCTCGCCAAAAAACTTGGGGGCCTTAATGTTGCTTGTGCCCAGTGAAGATGGTTGGGAAAATCCAGAGGGCAGAGAGGAAAGCGTTTACTCACATTACCCCCAGGCCTTTTCTCTGAGTGTGGGTGAGTTATTCCTGAAAGGCAGGTCAGGGGTCCTGCCCCCCATGGACAGTTTCCATCGGAGTCTTCCTCTCGAGCGACAGGAGCCAGGCCTGTGGGGGTCCGATGGCTCGCTCTCCTTCCCTCCCCTCTTCCTGGGAAGTTCGGGTGGGGGGAGTCTGGGCTTCAGGCTGGGATGGGGTCTGTGGAGCTGAGGCGGCCCCCTGCCCACCAGGTCATGGTATTCCCGGGCCTGCGTCTGAGCCGTGAAGCCTTCCTCACCACGGCCGAATTTGGGACCCAGGAGCTCCGGCGGCCCGCCCAGCTGCGGCTGCAGGTGTACCGGCTCCTCAGCACAGCAGGTGGGACTCTGGGGTGGTGGGCGCCGCAGGACTCGGGGTGGCCTCTCTGAGCTCTCACGTCTGCTGGTCCTGTGGCCATCAGAGTGGTTCCCAGTCTTAGGTGGACAGAGCAGGGGTTCCAGAGACACCAGCTCATTCCAGGTGTCCTGGGGGTGGATCGGGTGGGGCCTGCCTGGGGACCGGCCTGGGTCAGTCAGCTGGCCGGAGACAGGGACGCAGCACTGGGCTGGGAGTGCTGCCCGGGCGGGGAGACCTGTCCTCACAGCAAGGCCAGGCTCGCTGGTGCAGGCAGTTGGGCATCTCTGACGGTGGCCCATGGGCGAATCAGGGCCCCAACACCCTCCCCTCCTCGCAGGGACCCCGGAGAACGGCAGCGAGCCTGAGAGCAGGTCCCCGGACAACAGGACCCAGCTGGTCCCCGCGTGCATGCCAGGGGGACGCTGGTGCCCTGGAGCCAACATCTGCTTGCCGCTGGACGCCTCCTGCCACCCCCAGGCCTGCGCCAATGGCTGCACGTCAGGGCCAGGGCTACTCGGGTCCCCCTATGCGCTATGGAGAGAGTTCCTCTTCTCCGTTCCCGCGGGGCCCCCCGCGCAGTACTCGGTGTGTGGCCCTGACCTGGGTCTGTTCCCTGCATCTCCTCAGGCCACCTTCCTGTCTGCTGCCCAGGGTCTGGGTCTGCGCAGCAGACACACCCAGCCTGCAGGCCCCTCCCACGTCCTTGCCACCTCTGACCTCCGACCTCCGACCTCCAACCTCCGACCTCTGCAGTGCCCTTGCCCCTCTCCCAGTGGGAGAAGCTCTCGCCTGGGCCCTTGGCACGAGCTGTGCCTCCTCTTCCTCTCTCCCAGCACAGCCGCTCCTTCCTGTCTGTCAGGTCTTGGCCTGTGTCCTCTCCCCGTGTGTCCCCCTGTCTGCAACTGTCCTGCCTGTCCTTGTCACGAGCACTGTGGGGAGGCTCCCTGAGGTGTGGCTGACGAAGCGGGGAGCCCTGCGTGTCCACCCTCATCCGTCGTGCAGGGGTCCACGGGCCATGACCGTGAGGACGTGATGCAGCCCTGCCTCCCTCTCCACAGGTCACCCTCCACGGCCAGGATGTCCTCATGCTCCCTGGTGACCTCGTTGGCTTGCAGCACGACGCTGGCCCTGGCGCCCTCCCGCACTGCTCGCCGGCTCCCGGCCACCCTGGTCCCCAGGCCCCGTACCTCTCCGCCAACGCCTCGTCATGGCTGCCCCACTTGCCAGCCCAGCTGGAGGGCACTTGGGCCTGCCCTGCCTGTGCCCTGCGGCTGCTTGCAGCCACGGAACAGCTCACCGTGCTGCTGGGCCTGAGGCCCAACCCTGGGCTGCGGCTGCCTGGGCGCTATGAGGTCCGGGCAGAGGTGGGCAATGGCGTGTCCAGGCACAACCTGTCCTGCAGCTTTGACGTGGTCTCCTCAGTGGCTGGGCTGCGGGTCATCTACCCTGCCCCCCGCGACGGCCGCCTCTACGTGCCCACCAACGGCTCAGCCTCGGTGCTCCAGGTGGACTCTGGTGCCAGCGCCACGGCCACGGCTTGCTGGCCTGGGGGCAGTGTCAGCGCCCGCTTTGAGAATGCCTGCCCTGCCCTGGTGGCCACCTTCGTGCCCGGCTGCCCCTGGGAGACCAATGATACCCTGTTCTCAGTGGTAGCACTGCCGTGGCTCGGTGAGGGGGAGCACGTGATGGACGTTGTGGTGGAAAACAGCGCCAGCCGGGCCAACCTCAGCCTGCGGGTGACGGCGGAGGAGCCCATCTGTGGCCTCCGCGCCACGCCCAGCCCCGAGGCCCGTGTACTGCAGGGAGTCCCAGTGGTGAGTATGGCCGAGGCTCCACCACCAGCCCCCAGGCAGGTGCCTGCAGACAGGGTGCTCACACAGGGCGTGAGGCCTGGCTTCCCAGTGAGGGCAGCAGCCCAGTTACTGGGGACGTCGGCCCCGGGCAGGTCCTGCTGGCTGGCTCCTCAGGCTACCTGGTGGGCTTTAAATTCCTGGAAAGTCACGGCTCTGACAGCGGCTCCGCTAACTCATTCCACCGTCTCATTTCACGAAATGAATTTAAAACTCCGCTCCCTGACCTCACACGAGTCCCCGTGAGTCTCTCACGCCCTCTGCTGTGTTCTCGCCTGGCTAAAGCAAGTGGCTTTTGAGGTGGAGTCCGAACCCCTGATGGGAAACTGCGGGCTGCCCGCGGTGCCACCATGCTGGGTACATGGGGGACAGGGCTGTTCCATCTTGCGGGTACCTGCCCCTTCACCAGGGGCCTTGGGAGGGGCCATGAGAAATGGCGTGACCTGTGCAGCCTGTCCTGGGTTCTGTAAGCCAGTGTAGGTGCTGTCCCTGTGAGGCCCGTGTGCCTCCCCTCACTGCTCCGAGCTCTCTGGCTGAGGAGCTGGGGCAGGAGCCCCGGGAGGGTCTGAGAAGACTCAGAGAGAGGTGGACTCTTTGTAGCTGGTACTAGGTTTGCTTTACAGATGGGGAAACTGAGGCACAGAGAGGTTGAGGCATTAGTAGTACTACATGGCTGGCTGGAGAGCCGGACAGTCAGTGTCCCAGCCCGGGCTTGGCTCTCATGGCATGCAGAGCCCCGGGCACCTCCTCTCCTCTGTGCCCCACGTGGGACTCTCCAGCCCGACGGGAGGTGTGTCCAGGAGGCGACAGGCTAAGGGCAGAGTCCTCCACAGAGCCCAGGCTGACACCAGTCCCCCCGCAGAGGTACAGCCCCGTGGTGGAGGCCGGCTCGGACATGGTCTTCTGGTGGACCATCAACGACAAGCAGTCCCTGACCTTCCAGAACGTGGTCTTCAATGTCATTTATCAGAGCGCGGCGGTCTTCAAGCTCTCAGTAGGTGGGCGGGAGTGGGGAGGGGAGGGGATGGGGCGGGGCGGGGGCGGGCTCCACCTTCACCTCTGCCTTCTGCTCTGCTTCATGCTGCCCGAGGACGCTGCCATGGCTGTGGTGAGTGGAGGGAGGGACGCCAAGCAGGGCAGGCCTCTCACCTGCCACCTGGGCCCACTGATGCCTGTCCCTGCAGCTGACGGCCTCCAACCACGTGAGCAACGTCACCGTGAACTACAACATCACCGTGGAGCGGATGAACAGGATGCAGGGCCTGCGGGTCTCTACAGTGCCAGCCGTGCTGTCCCCCAATGCCACGCTGGCACTGACGGCGGGCGTGCTGGTGGACTCGGCCGTGGAGGTGGCCTTCCTGTGAGTGACTCAGGGGCCGGTTTGGGGTGGGCACCAGGCTCTTGTCCGGGCACCAGGCTCTTGTCCCGGCTCCAGCCTCAGCCGAGGGACCCCACATCAGGGGGTTGCTTTTCTGAGCCTCGGTTTCCCTGTCTGTTGGGAGGTACTGGGTGCACAGGAGCCCTGAGGCTGCACGGGAGCCGGGAGAGGCCTCAGCACAGCCGGGTGGGCCCTGAATGGAGGCCCGGGGCGTGACTGCAGAGTGGAGCCTCGGCTGGGTCCCAAGCACCCCCTGCCCCGCCACCGCGCACCTGTGCCCCGCCACTGCGCACCCCTGTCCCGGTTCACTCACTGCCTCCCACCGCCCCGGCAGGTGGACCTTTGGGGATGGGGAGCAGGCCCTCCACCAGTTCCAGCCTCCATACAACGAGTCCTTCCCGGTTCCAGACCCCTCGGTGGCCCAGGTGCTGGTGGAGCACAATGTCACCCACACCTACGCTGCCCCAGGTGAGGGATGAGGGGGTGAGGGGGCCACTGCCTTTCAGGCTCTGAGCACGGGGCCCCCCCAGTCCCCCAGTCAAGCTGCCCCGCTTCCTCCCCAACAGCCCTCACTGTGACCTCACCTGGGCTGATGGCTTAGGCCCCTACTGGGGTGAGGGAGGGGCCAGGCGTGGGAGGAGTGGACAGGGAAGCTGGGCCCCCTGAACTGCCCCCCACCGCGGCCTGGCTCTTGCTGCTCTGCTGCCCCGAGTGCAGCTGCACTTGGAGGCGGTGCCGTCCTCACCAGGCAGCCCTCAGTGCTGCTGCACCTGTGCTCCGTCCCGCACGTGGCTTGGGAGCCTGGGACCCTTAAGGCTGGGCCGCAGGTGCAGCCGTTCACCCCGGGCTCCTCAGGCGGGGGGCTTCTGCCGAGCGGGTGGGGAGCAGGTGGGGGTGCCGCGGCTGCCCCACTTGGGCCTGTCCCCACAGGTGAGTACGTCCTGACCTTGCTGGCATCTAATGCCTTCGAGAACCGGACGCAGCAGGTGCCTGTGAGCGTGTGCGCCTCCCTGCCCTCTGTGAGTGTGTGCGCCTCCCTGACTGGGGCCTGCTGGTACCCCAGAGTGGGTGTCTGTTCCCCAGTCCCTGCTTTCCTCAGCTGGCCTGATTGGGGGTCTGCCCAGAGGGGTCGTCTGAGGGGAGGGTGTGGGAGCAGGTTCCATCCCGGCTCAGCCTCCTGACCCAGGCCCTGGCTAAGGGCTGCAGGAGTCTGTGAGTCAGGCCTACGTGGCAACTGCGGTCCTCACACCCCCACATACGTCTGTTCCCACACGCATCCCCCCAGGGGCCCTCAGTGAGCATTGCCTGCCTCCTGTCAGGGTCCAGCTGGCTCCAGTACACCAGAACACACACCCCAGTGTCCTCTGCCCTGTGTATGCCCTTCCGCCGCCCAGGTTGGAAGGTGGCAAACCGGATGAGTATCCTGGGAGGGGGTGAGCTCACCGGCAGTGGCCAGGCCCCTGGGAAACCTGGAGTTTGGGAGCAGCATCCTCCACGGGTCCCCCAGACCTTCCAGCAGGCCAAATAGACCTGTGTTGGAGGTAACCCCACTCCCACGCCAGGTGCTGATCCGCAGTGGCCGGGTGCCCATTGTGTCCTTGGAGTGTGTGTCCTGCAAGGCACAGGCCGTGTACGAAGTGAGCCGCAGCTCCTACGTGTACCTGGAGGGCCGCTGCCTCAATTGCAGCAGCGGCTCCAAGCGAGGGGTGAGTGTTGAGCGGGGTGTGGGCGGGTTGGGGATGGGTCCCATGGCCGAGGGGACGGGGCCTGCAGGCAGAAGTGGGGCTGACAGGGCAGAGGGTTGCGCCCCCTCACCATCCCTTCTGCCTGCAGCGGTGGGCTGCACGTACGTTCAGCAACAAGACGCTGGTGCTGGATGAGACCACCACATCCACGGGCAGCGCAGGCATGTGACTGGTGCTGCGGCGGGGCGTGCTGCGGGACGGCGAGGGATACACCTTCACGCTGACGGTGCTGGGCCGCTCTGGCGAGGAGGAGGGCTGCGCCTCCATCCCCCTGTCCCCCAACCGCCCGCCGCTGGGGGGCTCTTGCCGCCTCTTCCCACTGGGCGCTGTGCACGCTCTCACCACCAAGGTGCACTTCGAATGCATGGGTGAGTGCAGGCCTGCGTAGGGGGAGCAGCGGGATCCCCCGACTCTGTGAGGTCACGGAGCCCTCCCGTGATGCCGTGGGGACCGTCCCTCAGGCTGGCATGACGCGGAGGATGCTGGCGCCCCGCTGGTGTACGCCCTGCTGCTGCAGCGCTGCCGCCAGGGCCACTGCGAGGAGTTCTGTGTCTACAAGGGCAGCCTCTCCGGCTACGGAGCCGTGCTGCCCCCGGGTTTCAGGCCACACTTCGAGGTGGGCCTGGCCGTGGTGGTGCAGGACCAGCTGGGAGCCGCTGTGGTCGCCCTCAACAGGTGAGCCAGGCCGTGGGAGGGCGCCCCCGAGACTGCCACCTGCTCACCACCCCCCTCTGCTCGTAGGTCTCTGGCCATCACCCTCCCAGAGCCCAACGGCAGCGCAATGGGGCTCACAGTCTGGCTGCACGGGCTCACCGCTAGTGTGCTCCCAGGGCTGCTGCGGCAGGCCGATCCCCAGCACGTCATCGAGTACTCGCTGGCCCTGGTCACTGTGCTGAACGAGGTGAGTGCAGCCTGGGAGGGGACCTCACATCTGCTGCATGCGTGCTGGGGACCAAGACCTGTTCCCCTGCCTGGAGCTTTGCGGAGGGCTCATCCCGGGCCCCAGAGATAAATCCCAGTGACCCTGAAGCAGCACCCCGACGTTCCGCTCCCAGCAGCCACACCCACCGGGCCCTCTCCGGCGTCTGCTTTCCACAATGCAGCCCCCGCCCAGGAGGGCCCATGTGCTTACCCTGTTTTGCCCATGAAGAAACAGCTCAGTGTTGCGGGTCAGTGCCCACATCACACAGCATCTAGCACGTAACTGCACCCCGGGAGTCGTGGGCATCTGCTGGCCTCCTGCCGGCCTCCTGCCCTGCTGACAGCTTGCTGTGCCCCCTGCCTGCCCCAGTACGAGCGGGCCCTGGACGTGGCGGCAGAGCCCAAGCACGAGCGGCAGCGCCGAGCCCAGATACGCAAGAACATCACGGAGACTCTGGTGTCCCTGAGGGTCCACACTGTGGATGACATCCAGCAGATCGCTGCTGCGCTGGCCCAGTGCATGGTAGGATGGCCCCACATGCTCTCCCCGCCCCGCATGCCTGCCAGGGTACTGGGTTCAGCCCCCCAGGGCAGACGGGCAGCTTGGCCGAGGAGCTGAGCCTCCAGCCTGGGCTCCTTCCTGCCATGGCGTTCCTCGGTCTCTGACCTGCTTCAGTAGCCTCAGCCATTCTGCTGTCCTGTGTGAACGCAGGGTGCCTCTCGGGGGACCCAGGGTGTAAAGAGGGGCCCAGATGTGGGGAGGGACTAAGAAGATGCTGCTCTGTGCCCTCCACTCTCCCCTCCCCTCCCCCTTCCCTCCCCTAGCCCCTCCCCTCCCCTTCCCTCCCCTAACCCCTCCCCTCCCCCTTCCCTCCCCTTCTCTCTTCCTCTCCTCCCCTTTTCCCCTCCTGTCCTCCCTCCCCTTCTCTCCTCCTGTCCTCCCTCCCCTTCTCCCCTTCTCTCTTCCTCTCCTCCCCTTTTCCCCTCCTGTCCTCCCTCCCCTTCTCTCCTCCTGTCCTCCCTCCCCTTCTCCCCTTCTCCCCTCCTCCCCTCCCTCCCTTTCTCGCCTTCTTTTCTCCGTTCCCTTCTCCCCTGTTCTCCTCCCTTCCCTTCTCCCCTGTTCTCTTCCCTTCCCTTCTCCCCTCTTTTCCTCCCTCCTCCTTTCCTCCCCTCTTCCTTTTCTCTTTCTCTTCCTTTCCCCTCCACTTTCCCCTTCCTTTCCCCTCCCCTTTCTCCTTCCTTTCCCCTTCCTTTCCTCTCCCTTCTTCTTCCTTTTCCTCTCTCCTCTTCTTTCTTCGCTTCCCCTCCCCTTCTCTCCTCCTGTCCTCCCTCCCCTTCTCCCCTTCTCCCCTCCTCCCCTCCCTCCCTTTCTCGCCTTCTTTTCTCCGTTCCCTTCTCCCCTGTTCTCCTCCCTTCCCTTCTCCCCTGTTCTCTTCCCTTCCCTTCTCCCCTCTTTTCCTCCCTCCTCCTTTCCTCCCCTCTTCCTTTTCTCTTTCTCTTCCTTTCCCCTCCACTTTCCCCTTCCTTTCCCCTCCCCTTTCTCCTTCCTTTCCCCTTCCTTTCCTCTCCCTTCTTCTTCCTTTTCCTCTCTCCTCTTCTTTCTTCTCTTCCCCTCCCCTCCTCTTCCCCTCCCCTCCTCTTTTCCTCCCCTTTTCCCCTCTCCTCCTCTTCCCTCACCTTCCCCTCCCCTCCCCTCCTCTTCCCTCCCCTTCCCCTCCCCTCCTCTTCTCTCCCCTCTTCCTTTTCTCTTTCTCTTCCTTTCCCCTCCACCTTCCCCTTACTTTCCCCTCCCCTTTCTCCTTCCTTTCCCCTTCCTTTCCTCTCGGTTCTTCTTCCTTTTCCTCTCTCCTCTTCTTTCTTCTCTTCCCCTCCCCTCCTCTTCCCCTCCCCTCCTCTTTTCCTCCCCTTTTCCCCTCTCCTCCTCTTCCCTCCCCTTCCCCTCCCCTCCCCTCCTTTTCCCTCCCTTCTCCCCTGTTCTCCTCCCTTCCCTTCTCCCCTGTTCTCTTCCCTTCCCTTCTCCCCTCTTTTCCTCCCTCCTCCTTTCCTCCCCTCTTCCTTTTCTCTTTCTCTTCCTTTCCCCTCCACTTTCCCCTTCCTTTCCCCTCCCCTTTCTCCTTCCTTTCCCCTTCCTTTCCTCTCCCTTCTTCTTCCTTTTCCTCTCTCCTCTTCTTTCTTCTCTTCCCCTCCCCTCCTCTTCCCCTCCCCTCCTCTTTTCCTCCCCTTTTCCCCTGTTCTCCTCCCTTCCCTTCTCCCCTGTTCTCTTCCCTTCCCTTCTCCCCTCTTTTCCTCCCTCCTCCTTTCCTCCCCTCTTCCTTTTCTCTTTCTCTTCCTTTCCCCTCCACTTTCCCCTTCCTTTCCCCTCCCCTTTCTCCTTCCTTTCCCCTCCTTTTCCTCTCCCTTCTTCTTCCTTTTCCTCTCTCCTCTTCTTTCTTCTCTTCCCCTCCCCTCCTCTTCCCCTCCCCTCCTCTTTTCCTCCCCTTTTCCCCTCTCCTCCTCTTCCCTCACCTTCCCCTCCCCTCCCCTCCTCTTCCCTCACCTTCCCCTCCCCTCCTCTTCTCTCCCCTCCCCCTCTCCCTCTTCTATACCCTCCCCCTCTCTCCCCCTTCTCTCTCCTCCTCTCTCCCCCTTCTCTCTGGCTTCTCTTTCCTTCCCCTCTCCCCCCCTTCTCTCCCCTCCCCCCTCTCTTTCCTCCCCCCTTCTCTCCCCTCTCCTCTCCCCTCCCCTTTCCCCCTTCTCTCCCCCCTTCTCTCCGTTCCCCTCTCCCCTCCCCCCTCCCCTCTCCCCTTCTCTCCCCCTTCTCTCCCCTCCCCTCTCCCCTCCCCCTTCTCTCCCCTCCCCTCTCCCCCCTTATCTCCCCTCCCCTCTCCCCTCTCCCCTCCCCCTTCTCTCCCCTCCCCCCTTCTCTCCCCTCCCCTCTCCTCTCCCCCTTCTCTCCTCTCCCCTCTCCTCTCCCCCCTTCTCTCCCCTCCCCTCTCCTCTCCCCCTTCCCTCTCCTCTCCCCCTTCCCTCTCCTCTCCCCCTTCCCTCTCCTCTCCCCCTTCTCTCCCCTTCCCTCTCCTCTCCCCTTCCCTCTCCTCTCCCCCCTTTTCTCCACTCCCCTCTCCTCTCTCCCCTCTCCCCTCCTCCTCCTCTCATGTGAAGAGGTGCCTTGTGTGGTCGGTGGGCTGCATCACGTGGTCCCCAAGTGGAGGCCCTCGGTCATGCAGAGCCACAGAAAATGCTTAGTGAGGAGACTGGGGGGGTCCAGTCAAGTGGGCTCTCCAGCTGCAGGGCTGGAGGTGGGAGCCAGGTGAGGACCCGTGTAGAGAGGAGGGCGTGTGCAAGGAGTGGGGCCAGGAGCGGGGCTGGACACTGCTGGCTCCACACAGGGGCCCAGCAGGGAGCTCGTATGCCGCTCGTGCCTGAAGCAGACGCTGCACAAGCTGGAGGCCATGATGCGCATCCTGCAGGCAGAGACCACCGCGGGCACCGTGACGCCCACCGCCATCGGAGACAGCATCCTCAACATCACAGGTGCCGCGGCCCGTGCCCCACGCCACCCGCCCGCCCCACGTGGCCCGTCCGCCCCATGCCGCCCTTTCCTCTGCCTCCCTCCTCCCCACAACCGCCTCGCCTTTGCCCCATCCCATCTTCGTCCCCCTCCCCTCCCCCCAATTCCCATCCTCATCCCCCTCCCCCAATTCCCATCCTCATCCCGCTCCCCCAATTCCCATCCTCATCCCGCTCCCCCAATTCCCATCCTTATCCCCCTCCCCCAATTCCCATCCTTATCCCCCTCTCCCAATTCCCATTCTCCTCCCCCTCCCCCTTCCCTATTACCATCCCTTTTCTCCATCTCTCTCCCCTTTTCTCCATTTCCCCCCCGATCCTCCCCGTCCTTTTGTCCATTCCCCTCATCTTTCTTATCCCCCTTATCCTCCTTCCCCTCCCTTATTCCCCTTCCCCTCCCTTATCCGCCTTATCCCCTTCCCCTCCCTTCCCCCTGCTCCTCTTCTTCTCCCCTTTCTCTTTTCTCTACCCTTTTCCTTCCTTTTTCCTCCCTCTCCCCATCATCCCCCTCATCTTCGTCCTCATCCCCATCCCCTTCCCCCTCCCCCTCCACCACTCTCTCTCCAGCTTCCCCCTTCCTTCTGCCTGCACCTCGCTCTCTGCCCCCTCAGGTTCCCCCTTTCTCCCAGTCCCCACCCTCCGGCTCCCCCTTTTTGCCTGCCCCCACCCTCCCTCTGCCTCCCTGTCTCTGCACTGACCTCACGCCTGTCTGCAGGAGACCTCATCCACCTGGCCAGCTCAGACGTGCGGGCACCACAGCGCTCAGAGCTGGGAGCCGAGTCACCATCGCGGATGGTGGCGTCCCAGGCCTACAACCTGACCTCTGCCCTCACGCCCATCCTCACGCGCTCCCGCGTGCTCAACGAGGAGCCCCTGACGCTGGCGGGTGAGGAGATCGTGGCCCAGGGCAAGCGCTCGGACCCGCGGAGCCTGCTGTGCTATGGCGGCGCCCCAGGGCCTGGCTGCCACTTCTCCATCCCCTAGGCTTTCAGCAGGGCCCCGGCCAACCTCAGTGATGTGGTGCAGCTCATCTTTCTGGTGGACTCCAATCCCTTTCCCTTTGGCTATATCAGCAACTACACCGTCTCCACCAAGGTGGCCTCGATGGCGTTCCAGACACAGGCCGGCGCCCAGATCCCCATCGAGCGGCTGGCCTCAGAGCGCGCCTCACCGTGAAGGTGCCCAACAACTCGGACTGGGCTGCCCGGGGCCACCGCAGCTCCGCCAACTCCGTTGTGGTCCAGCCCCAGGCCTCCGTCGGTGCTGTGGTCACCCTGGACAGCAGCAACCCTGCGGCCGTGCTGCATCTGCAGCTCAACTATACGCTGCTGGACGGTGCATGCAGCGGTTGGGGCACACGCGGCCCCCTGGCCTTGTTCTTGGGGGGAAGGCGTTTCTCGTAGGGCTTCCATGGGTGTCTCTGGTGAAATTTGCTTTCTGTTTCATGGGCTGCTGGGGGCCTGGCCGGAGAGGAGCTGGGGGCCACGGAGAAGCAGGTGCCAGCTCTGGTGCAGAGGCTCCTATGGCCTTTCAGGCCCATGGCAGAGGGTGGGCTCAGGAGGGCCATCGTGGGTGTCCCCCGGGTGGTTGAGCTTCCCGGCAGGCGTGTGACCTGCGCGTTCTGCCCCAGGCCGCTACCTGTCTGAGGAACCCGAGCCCTACCTGGCAGTCTACCTGCACTCGGAGCCCCGGCCCAATGAGCGCAACTGCTCGGCTAGCAGGAGGATCCGCCCAGAGTCCCTCCAGGGTGCCGACCACCGGCCCTACACCTTCTTCATTTCCCCGGGGTGAGCTCTGCGGGCCGGCCTGGCAGGGCAGGGCAGGGCATCATGGGTCAGCATTGCCCGGGTTACGGGCCCCGTGGGGACGGCAGGCAGCGAGGGGACTGGACCGGGTATGGGCTCTGGGACTTCGACATCCAACCTGGCGGAGCCTGGGCTCACGTCCACTGCCCCTTCCCTTCCCAGGACCAGAGACCCAGTGGGGAGTTACCGTCTGAACCTCTCCAGCCACTTCCGCTGGTCGGCGCTGGAGGTGTCCGTGGGCTTGTACACGTCCCTGTGCCAGTACTTCAGCGAGGAGGACGTGGTGTGGCGGACAGAGGGGCTGCTGCCCCTGGAGGAGACCTCGCCCCGCCAGGCCGTCTGCCTCACCCGCCACCTCACCGCCTTCGGCACCAGCCTCTTCGTGCCCCCAAGCCATATCCGCTTTGTGTTTCCTGTGAGTGACCCTGTGCTCCTGGGAGCCTCTGCAGAGTCGAGGAGGGCCTGGGTGGGCTCGGCTCTATCCTGAGAAGGCACAGCTTGCACGTGACCTCCTGGGCCTGGCGGCTGTGTCTTCACAGGAGCCAACAGCGGATGTAAACTACATCGTCATGCTGACATGTGCTGTGTGCCTGGTGACCTACATGGTCATGGCCGCCATCCTGCACAAGCTGGACCAGTTGGATGCCAGCCGGGGCCGCGCCATCCCCTTCTGTGGGCAGCGGGGCCGCTTCAAGTACGAGATCCTCGTCAAGACAGGCTGGGGCCGGGGCTCAGGTGAGGGGCGCGGCGGGGTGGCAGGGCCTCCCCTGCTCTCACTGGCTGTGCTGGTTGCACCCTCTGGGAATGAGTCTCGTCGCAGGCGTCAGAACAAGGCAGTTTTTGCAGTACTGTGTGAAGGGCTCGTGTGTTCATCCTGGGAATGACCTCGTGAGCACTCACTGTCCCTGAGGACTAGGACAGCTCCTAGCTGGAAGTAGGTGCCAGTCAGTCAGGGTGGGCAGCCCACGTTCTGCACAGTAGCGTGGCCCCACAAGTGACATGAGCATCGCTACCACTGTGGGAGACCATGCATCCACCCGCGATCCTGACTGCATAGCTCGTCTCTCAGACGGAGGTGCCAGCACCCTCCCCGTGGCTGTTTCTTCAATACCTCCATTTTCCTTTATTGGAATTGCCCTTCTGGCATTCCCTTTTTGTTTTCGTTTTTCTTTTTTTGGAGACGGAGTCTCGCTCTGTTGCCCAGGCTGGAGTGCAATGGCGTGATCTTGGCTCACAGCAACTTCCAGCTCCTGGGTTTAAGCGATTCCCCTTAAGCGATTCTCCTGAGTAGCTGGGAGTACAGGTGCACACCACCACACCCAGTTAATTTTTCACCATGTCAGCCAGGCGAACTCCTGACCTCAGGTGATCCGCCTGCCTCGGCCTGCCAGAGTGCTGGGATGACAGGTGTGAGCCACCACACCTGGCCGTGTTCCCATTTTTTATTTCCATGCTGCTTTCATCTTCATTTCCCAGTTCTTTCTTTTGATTACCTACTTTTAAAAACTGTCGGCCGGGCGCGGTGGCTCACACCTGTAATCCGAGCACTTTGGGAGGCTGAGGCAGGCTAATCACGGGGTCAGGAGATCGAGACCATCCTGGCTAACGGTGAAACCCTGTCTCTACTAAAAAATACAAAAAAATTAGGCCGGCGTGGTGGCAGGCGCCTGTAGTCCCAGCTCCTCGGGAGACTGAGGCAGGAGAATGGCGTGAACCCGGGAGGCGGAGCTTGCAGTGAGCTGAGATTGCGCCACTGCACTCCAGCCTGGGTGACACAGCAAGACTCCATCTCAAAAAAAAAAAAAAAAAAAATACTGTCACCTGGGTCTGTCACTGGGAGAGGAGGTGACACAGCTTCACGCTTCGCAGTCTGTGCATGAACTGAGGGACGGGTGTGTGGTGCAGGTCACCGGTTGTGGCGTGACTGAGGCGTGGACAGGTGTGCAGTGCGGGTCACTGGTTGTGGTGTGGACTGAGGCGTGTGCAGCCATGTTTGCATGTCACAAGTTACAGTTCTTTCCATGTAACTTAATCATGTCCTTGAGGTCCTGCTGTTTATTGGACAAATTGCAGTAACCGCAGCTCCTCGTGTATAGCAGAGCTGTGCAAAGCCGGGACTGCCTGTGTGGCTCCTTGAGTGCGCGGAGGCCAAAGCTGAGATGACTTGCCTGGGATGCCACACGTGTTGGGCAGCAGACCGAGCCTCCCACCCCTCCCTCTTGCCCTCCAGGTACCACGGCCCACGTGGGCATCATGCTGTATGGGGTGGACAGCCGGAGCGGCCACCGGCACCTGGACGGCGACAGAGCCTTCCACCGCAACAGTCTGGACATCTTCCAGATCGCCACCCCGCACAGCCTGGGTAGCGTGTGGAAGATCCGAGTGTGGCACGACAACAAAGGTCTGTATGGACCCTGCCAAGCTCTGCCCCTCTGCCCCTGCATTGGGGCGCCCTGCGAACCTGACCTCCCTCCCGCGCCTCTGCAGGGCTCAGCCCTGCCCGGTTCCTGCAGCACATCATCGTCAGGGACCTGCAGACGGCACGCAGCACCTTCTTCCTGGTCAATGACTGGCTTTCGGTGGAGACGGAGGCCAACGGGGGCCTGGTGGAGAAGGAGGTGCTGGCCGCGAGTAAGGCCTCGTTCCGTGTTCCCACTCCGTGGGAGGTTGGGCAGGGTGGTCCTGCCCCGTGGCCTCCTGCAGTGCGGCCCTCCCTGCCTTCTAGGTCACGCAGCCCTGTTGCGCTTCCGGCGCCTGCTGGTGGCTGAGCTGCAGCGTGGCTTCTTTGACAAGCACATCTGGCTCTCCATATGGGACCGGCCGCCTCGTAGCTATTTCACTCACATCCAGAGGGCCACCTGCTGCGTTCTCCTCATCTGTCTCTTCCTGGGCGCCAACGCCGTGTGGTACGGGGCTGTTGGAGACTCTGCCTACAGGTGGGTGCCGTAGGGGTCGGGACAGCCTCTTCCTGCCCAGCCCTTCCTGCCCCTCAGCCTCACCTGTGTGGCCTCCTCTCCTCCACACAGCACGGGGCGTGTGTCCAGGCTGAACCCGCTGAGCGTCGACACAGTCGCTGTTGGCCTGGTGTCCAGCGTGGTTGTCTATCCCGTCTACCTGGCCATCCTCTTTCTCTTCCGGATGTCCCGGAGCAAGGTGGGCTGGGGCTGGGGACCCGGGAGTACTGGGAATGGAGCCTGGGCCTCGGCACCATGCCCAGGGCCGCCACTTTCCAGTGCTGCAGCCAGAGGGAAAGGCGTCCACCAAAGGCTGCTCGGGAAGGGTCAACACACTTGAGCAGCCTTAGCTAGACTGACCAGGGAGAAAGAGAGAAGACTCAGAAGCCAGAATCGTGAAAGAACGAGGGCACTTCGCTAAGCAGACGCCACGGACAACTGCACAGCAGCACGCCAGATAACTCAGAAGAAGCAAGCACGCGGCTGTGCACGCTTCCGAAATGCACTCCAGAAGAAAATCTCAGTACATCTATAGCAAGTGAAGAGGCCGAGTTAGTCCCTTAGAAACCTCCCAGTGGCCGGGCCGGGTGTGGTGGCTCACGCCTGTAATCCCAACACTTCAGGAGGCCGAGGTGGGCGGATCTGAGTCCAGGAGTTTGAGACCAGCCTGGGCAACATAGCAAGACCCCATCTATATAAAACATTAAAAAGGGCCAGGCACGGTGGCTCACGCCTGTAATCCCAACACTTTGGGAGGCCGAGGCGGGCAGATCAGTTGAGGTCAGGAGTTCGAGACCAGCCTGGCCAACACAATGAAACCCCATCTCTACTACAAATACAAAAACAGCTGGGCATGGTGGCGGGCGCCTGTAGTCCCAGCTACTCGAGAGGCTGAGGCAGGAGAATGGCATGAACCCAGGAGGCGGAGCTTGCAGTGAGCCGAGATTGCGCCACTGCACTCCATCCTGGGCAACGGAGCAAGACTCCGTCTCCAAAAAAAAAAAAAAAAAAAATCCCACAAAGAAAAGCCCAGGCTCAGAGCCTTCACGATAGAATTTTTCTAAGCAGTTAAGGAAGAATTAACACCAATCCTTCACAGACTCTTTCCAAGAATACAGCAGGTGGGAACTCTTCCCATTCATACGGAAACGGGAGGCCGCACCCCTTAGGAATGCACACGTGGGGTCCTCAAGAGGTTACATGCAAACTAACCCCAGCAGCACACAGAGAAGGCGCATAAGCCGCGACCAGGAGGGGTTGCTCCCGAGTCCGTGGCAGGAACCAGAGGCCACATGTGGCTGCTCGTATTTAAGTTAATTAAAATGGAACGATGGCCGGGTGTGGTGGCTCACACCTGTACTCCCAGCACTTTGGGAGGCGGAGGCGGGCAGATCACTTGAGGTCAGGAGTTCCAAGACCAGCCTGGCCAACACAGTGAAACCCCGTCTCTACTAAAAATACAAAAAATTAGCTGGGCATCGTGGCAGGCACCTGTAATCCCAGCTACTAAAGAGGCTGAGCCAGGACGGACAATCGCCTGAACGCGGGAGGTGGAGGTTGCAGTGAGCTGAGATTGCGCCAGTGCACTCCAGCCTGGGTGACAGAGCGAGACTCCATCTAAAAAAAAAAAAAATGAAATTTAAAACTCTGTTCCTTAGCTGCACCAGTCTGCTGTCAAGTGTTCAGTGGCACATGTCGCGAGGGGCTGCCATCACGGACGGTGCAGATGTCCCATATATCTAGCATTCTAGAACATTCTGTCAGATGGCACCGGGCTCTGTCCTGTCTGCTGAGGAGGTGGCTTCTCATCCCTGTCCTGAGCAGGTCTGAGCTGCTGCCCGCTGACCACTGCCCTTGTCCTGCAGGTGGCTGGGAGCCCGAGCCCCACACCTGCCGGGCAGCAGGTGCTGGACGTCGACAGCTGCCTGGACTCATCCGTGCTGGACAGCTCCTTCCTCACGTTCTGAGGCCTCCACGCTGAGGTGAGGGCTCTACTGGGGGTCCTGCCGCCTTGGCGCAGCTTGGACTCAAGACCCTGTGCACCTCTCAGCAGGCCTTTGCTGGACAGATGAAGAGTGACTTGTTTCTGGATGATTCTAAGAGGTGGGTTCCCTAGAGAAACCTCGAGCCCTGGTGCAGGTCACTGTGTCTGGAGTGCCGGGGGTGTGCGGGCTGCGTGTCCTTGCTGGGTGTCTGTGGCTCCATGTGGTCACACCACCTGGGAGCAGGTTTGCTCGGAAGCCCAGGGTGTCCGTGCGTGACTGGACGGGGGTGGGCTGTGTGTGTGACACATCCCCTGGTACCTTGCTGACCCGCGCCACCTGCAGTCTGGTGTGCTGGCCCTCCAGCGAGGGAACGCCCAGTTAGCCGGACCTGCTCAGTGACCCGTCCATTGTGGGTAGCAATCTGCGGCACGACCCCCACTTACTGGGTCTCTCCTTTTACAACCAACACAACCGAAATCTAGGGCTTCTTCTTTTTTTTTTTTTTTTTTTGAGACAGAGTCTCATTCCATTCTGTCACCCAGGCTGGAGTGCAATGGTACGATCTCGGCTCACTGCAACCTCCGCCTCCCAGGTTCAAGGGATTGTCCTGCCTCAGCCTCCTGAGTAGCTGGGATTACAGGCGTGTGCCACCATGCCTGGCTAATTTTTGTATTTTTGGTAGAGACGGGGTTTCAGCATGTTGGTGAGGCTGGTCTCGAACTCCTAACCTCGTGATCCGCCTGCCTCAGCCTCCCAAAGTGCTGGGATTACAGACGTGAGCCACCATGCCCAGCCAAATCTAGGGCTGGAACATGGCTGCAGCATATAAATAGAATTGAATTCCATAGTTTTGTTAACCCTGTTTTTTGTTTGTTTGTAGTTGTTGCTGTTTTTGAGACAGAGTCTCGCTCTGTCGCCTAGGCTGGAGTGCAGTGGTGCAATCTCGGCTCACTGCAGACTCTGCCTCCCAGGTTCAAACTGTTCTCCTGCCTCAGCCTCCCAAGTAGGTGGGACTACAGGCGCCCACCACCACACCCGGCTAATTTTTGTATTTTATTAGAGACAGGGTTTCACTATATTGGCCAGGCTGGTCTGGAACTCCTGACCTTGTGATCCGCCCACCTCGGCCTCCCAAAGTGCTGGGATTACAGGCGTGAGCCACCACCCCCAGCCCCTGTTTTGTTTTTGTTTTGCTTGTTTCTTAGGGTTGTTTTTCTATTTATGGTAAAGGCATTGGCTTTCCATTTGTAGCATCAATAGAATATTTCCTGTTTACAATAACCTTATGTCATAGTAAATGGTAAAGGGATTTAAAGCAGTGGTTTTCAGCTGCCAGAGGCCTGAGTTTGGGCACACTCTGTGTGATCGGGCAGAAGGCCTGTGGGAAGTTTAGCTGAGGACAGGGCCAGGAAAGGTGATGGACAGTGGGGGTCTGTCCTGGTCACCAGGCCCCTGGGTCCTGCCCACCTGCTTGGAGCTCCCCACCCATCACACATGATGCTGCCAAGCCCTCTGGGTATTGTGGGCAAATACCTTAGGAGAGAAGCTGATGAGCTTTGTTTCTTGAAATGCACAGATTCCTTGGACATCCCTGAGAGGCCAGTCATGAAAGTCAGCTTGGTTTTCTCCCCCTCATTTGGGTTCAGAATTTAAAGTCCACACACACGGGCAGTAAGATAATATAGATAAGGACATCATCACTCGGTTTCGGATGTTAAAATGTCTAGGTGGGTTAGGGGTGATTTGAGATCACGCAACCTTGTGCCACAAAGAGGAATTCCCAGGCCAGAGGGAGACATTTTATTGCCATGTTATGATCTCATCATTGAGTTGAAAGGCAATCTTGTTTCATTTTGGATTCTTTCTTATGTTTATGTCTTATAAGGGCACTTTGAATTTCCAAGCAAATAATAATTTTGAATTAGCTTTTAATCATTGACTTCTAGCACAGTTTTATGATCAGAAACATGCTGTGTGATTTGATTGCTCTCAAATATATTGAGATTTGCTGGAACAAAATAAGTCAGGTTAATTTTTGTAAATGTACCATGCATGCTTAAAATGAATGTATGTACATTTGTTCCTGAGATACAGGTTGATGGACGGATGGCTACATGGATGTGATGGAGATGGTTTACTATCGGGACCTTCCGCATCCTGCTGATGTTTTGTTGCTTAGGATATGAATGGCTGAGCGGAGGCTGTAAAACCTGGCACTCTGCTTGGGTATGAGGTTCTTCCTGCCATCCTGCCATCATTTGTTTTTTATGTTTTGTCGCCAAAAGTGACCTTGAGGAACCCTGGGAGCTCAGGAAGGAAGGAGCGCCCAGAAGCAGGGACAGGGAGCTGGTTGGGGAGGACCAGAAATCAGGTTTGTGAAGGTTCCAGAGAGGACCTGGCCTTGGGAGGAGCGTGGGGGACTGAGATGGGGGAGGGGTCATTGGGATGATGCGGGCACTACTTGGAATGTCCATTGTGAGGCACCACCGGGGTCATCAGGGATTGGTGGAGAGAGAGTCTAAAGCCCCAGGGTTGCTAAGGGAGGGCCCAGACCGAAGAAGGTTTGGTGGAAAGCAGAACCTTTGTCTCCTAATTGCTCCTAAGCCTCATGCTCCCTTGCCCCGCCTGTCCTGTTGCTTCCCTGATCTTCTCCGTGACCTGTAGCTAAACCTTCCACCAGCGCTTGAGAACTTAATTTGAACCGGATCCTTTCCCAGACCCCTTTCTTCTTCTCCTCCTCCTCCTCCCCAACAGCCCCCTTCTCCTCCTTTCCCTTCCCTTACTTCCCCCCTTCCCCTCCCCTTCCCCTCCCCCTCCCCTCCCCCTCCCCAACTCAGATCCGGCCCGGTCCCCGTCCCCTTCCCTCCCCCCTGCCCTAAGCCACCTCCACCTCTGTCCTGGCCACCTCCGGGTGCCCTGAAAGGACCAGGACATGCGGGTGCGGTGGCTGCTCTTTTGGCTCCTCTTTTGGCTCCTGCTGGGATTTATCAGCCATCAGTCCACCTGTGTGAGTAGATGGGTGCTGTGGCTGCTCTTTTGGCTCCTGCTGGGATTTATCAGCCATCAGTCCACCTGTGTGAGTAGACGCTGGACCCGCGGGGTTTCTTCCTTTTTACTGGGCTGTGTCACGCGGCATGAAATTACACAGCTCAGGCCTGTAATCCCAGCACTTTAGGGGGCCGAGGTGGGCAGATCACTTGAGTCCAGGAGTTGAAGACTAGCCAGGGCATCATAGCGAAACCCCATCTCTACAAAAAATTCCAAAAAAGATTAGTCGGGCCTGGTGGTGCGTACCTGTTATCCCAGTTACTGGAGAGGCTGAGGTGGGAGGATCGCTTGGGCCCAGGAGCTGGACGTTGCAGTGAGCCGAGATGGCCCCGCTGCACTCTTGTCTCTAACAAACAAAACGGACCAAAACAAAGTGAAATGTCATTTGATTTGTGTCATCTGGTTTGATGACTTTTTTTTTTTTTTAAGACAGAGTCTCATTCTGTCGCCCAGGCTGGAGTGCAGTGGCAAGATCTCGGCTCACTGCAACCTCCGCTTCCGGGGTTCAAGCAATTGTCCTGCCTCAGCCTCCTGAGCAGCTCAGATTACAACGCCTGGCTAATTTTTGTATTTTTAGTAGAGACTGGGTTTCACCGTGTTCGCCAGGATAGTCTCCATGTCTTGACCTCGTGATCTGCCTGCCTCGGCCTCCCAGTGCTGGGATTACAGGCGTGAGCCACCGCGCCTGGCCAAAATATATAACCTTAAGTGTAAGTTTACTAACTTTGGAAAGTACATACACCAGCATAAACCAACCCCCTTTCAAGATCTACATTATTTTATTTATTTATTTATTTTTTTGAGACAGTTTCTCCCTTGTTGCTGAGGCTGGAGTGCAATGGGGCAATATCAGCTCACCGCAACCTCTGCTTCCCAGGTTCGAGCGATTCTCCTGCCTCAGCCTCCCGAGTGGCTGGGATTACAGACATGTGCCACCACTCCCAGCTAATTTTGTATTTTTAGTAGAGATAGGGTTTCTCCATGTTGGTCAGGCTGGTTTTGAACTCCCGACCTCAGGTGATCCGCCTGCCTCGGCCTCCCAAAGTGTTGGGATTACAGGCGTGAACCACCGTGCCCAGCCAAGATCTACACTATTATGTCACCCCAGAAAGTGAACTCTCACTCTTCCCAGCCAGTCTCTTTCTTATCATAGGTTAGCTTGCTTATTCTGGAATTTCGCGTATACAGATGCATGCCATGCCATAGGTACTCTTTTGTGTCTGCTTTATTCTGCTCAACACCATGTTTCTGAAATCATTACCATTGTTGTACGGTTCTCTAACTCCATCATTTCCATTTCAGACTCAGCATATGCTGAGTTCAACCTGTTGAAGGGCTATCTCTGTTTAATTCACCATCTTGAAAGAAACATTTAAAATTGAGATGTTTTCAAGAATATATAGTTAAATCCTGAGGAATCGATGTAGAAATGTTATCAGAAGCTGTCTGAACTTACTCAGGGGAAGTCTTCGTCTTCACTCACATAAGAGTCTAATGGAATTAATATCAACAATCTTAGAGAAATCCCACACTATTCATGCCATTTTCATGATCTCCACCTTGGTAATTTTTTTTTTTTTTTTTTTGAGACAGAGTCTCGCTCTGTCACCCAGGCTGAAGTGCAGTGGTGCGATCTTGGCTCACTGCAACCTCTACCTCCCAGGTTCAAGTGATTCTTCTGCCTCAGCCTCCCAAGTAGCTGGAACTATAGGCGCGTGCCACCATGCCCTGCTAATTTTTTGTATTTTTAGTAGAGATGGGTTTCACCGTGTTAGCTAGGATGGTCTCAATCTCCTGATCTCGCGGTCCACCCACCTCGGCTTCCCAAAGTGCTGGGATTGCAGGCGTGAGCCACCACGCCCAGCCCACCTTGTTACTTTTTAAGAACTAAAATTCGATACTTATTTGTGAATGAAGTAATCTCTTCATTGTATTTTTTTTTTTTTTTACTTATGCTGAGCTTTAAATGACAAAGATTCATATAATCCAAGAGAGAAGTATTATTTAGAGGGATTCTTTTACCATGTGATATATAATAAATGCATGCAATGTTATACATCAATTTAAAAAACAAATAACTAAAGAAAAGATAACTACTGGCCAGGTGCAGTGGCTCACACCTGTATTGCCAGCACTTTGGGAGGCCGAGGCAGGTGGATCATGAGGTCAGGAGTTGGAGACCAGCCTGGCCAAGATGGTGAAACCCTGTTTCTACTAAAAAGACAAAAATTAGCCGAGCGTGGTGGCAGACGCCTGTAATCCCAGTTACTCAGTAGCTGAGGCAGGAGAATCGCTTGAACCCGGGAGGCGGAGGTTGCAGTGAGCTGAGATCATGCCACTGCAATCTAGCCTGGGTGACAGAGCAAGACTTTGTCTCAAAACAAAAATAAAAGATAAGATAATTACTTTATACTTAGCTTGTCTTACCCATGAGTGACGGGCTGCATGTGGCCCAGGACAGTTTTGAATGCAGTTCAACACAAATTTGTAAACTTTCTTAAAACATTAGGAGATTTTGGCCAGGTACAGTGGCTCATGCCTGTAATCCCAGCACTTTGGGAGGCTGAGGCGGGCAGATTACCTGAGGTCAGGAGTTCGAGACCACCCTGGCCAACATGGCAAAACCCCATCTCCACAAAAAATAGAAAAATTTGCTGAGTGCACTGTCAGGCACCTGTACTCCCAGCTACTCAGGAGGCTGAGGCAGGAGAATCACTTGAACCTGAGAGGCAGAGGTTGCAGTGAGCCGAGAGCACACCACTGCACTCCAGCCTGGGTGACAGAGTGAGACCCCATCTCAAAAACAACAAACAAAAACAAAAAAAATGGCCGGGCACGGTGGCTCACACCTGTAATCCCAGCACTTTGGGAGGCCGAGGCAGGCAGATCGCCTGTCAGGAGTTCAAGGCCAGACTGGCCAACATGGTGAAACCTCATCTCTACTAAAAATACAAAAATTAGTCGGGCATGGTGGCAGAGACCTGTAATCTCAGCTGCTCGGGAGGCTGAGGCAGGAGAATGGCTTGAGCCCAGGAGCTGGAGGTTGCAGTGAGCCGAGATTGCACCACTGCACTCCAGCCTGGGCGACTGAGTGGAGCGGAACTCTGTCTCAAAAAAAAAAAAAAAAAAATTTTTTTTTTTAGATCATCAGCTATTGTTAGTGTTAGTGTATGTTATGTGTGGCTCAAGACAACTTTGCTTCTTTTAATATAGGCAAGGAAGTCAAAAGATTGGATATCCCTGCTTTATACCAAGAAAGACAACACCCCACATTTGCAATGCCTAAAAACACTACCAGCCATCTGAAAAACATGAGACTTCTCTAACTTCTGTTCTTTTTTGTAGCAGTGGAATCCCACGGTGATATCTGAGGGATGTGGTTACCTTTTGGAGGAGGTTGACGGTTTCTAAGGATGATTCTTTCTGAGTGAAATATTGTCAGTGTCATTGACCTTTTCATTATTTCAACTATTATTATTCCAGGTTATCAATACTCTGGCTGACCATCGTCATCGTGGGACTGACTTTGGTGGAAGTCCTTGGTTACTTATCATTACTGTGTTTCTGAGAAGTTATAAATTTGCCATCTCCCTCTGCACAAGTTACCTTTGTGTGAGTATACTAACTTTCTGTAGAGGTATACTTGTAATCACAAATAAGAATAAATTATATGAAACAATTCACGTTTCTGGACTTCATTATGAATATGTGGTTTTACCCAAAAAATCAGGGAAATGATTTATTAGCATAAGAATTATGAAAATATCTGCCATTTACATTATGAAAATTAAATAGGTCGGTGTTTAATAGAATGTCAACAGAGCTTTTGGTCAAAAATAAGTTTTTTTAACCTTTGTGCTATTTGTCACAAATGGAGTATGAGATTTCGTCACTTAAATGGGAAAGTCTTTCTAAACTCTTCTGCTTTATAGTTCTATCGTATGGGTGGAAGGAAAGCTTCCAATCTCCTCTCTGAAGATTCACTGCAGAAATGAGCTGACAACAGACAGCTTAACAGGAAAAGAAAAACATAGAACAGGCATAAACATGGGAACCAGCTGAAAAATGAGACTGCTAGAAGGGCTGGATGGTTGATGCTTAAAGAGCACCCTCTTCTGAGGGTAGAGGGAGATAGATGGAGATGTAGGCCATTTAGAGGGTCAGCAAATGATTTTTAGGGGAAATGAAAGAGCCCAAGGAACAAACAGTTGGCCTGAGACAAAGTTCCTCTGAGGTCATAGGGACGAGGTGACAAACTGCCGGAAGGTGAAGGGCAGAACTGCACTGCGTCTCATGATGCAGAGAAAGCCCCAGAGAATCTCTTAGAACTGCCCTCCAAGAGAATCAATGAAAAGTGTGTCTGGGCAGGGTAATTTTGAATGACATCATTCAAAGTGCATGTTCCCACTTGCAACTGGAGAGAGATCCGTATGTCAAAAGTCTGTACTTGGTAAGAATTTGGCTGCTAAGTTGTGGCATAATTTGTCTTTTGAGCCTTTTTTCCTTTGGGTAAGTTGAGCTCTACATTTTGTCTTGCCATTCATGACAGTAAAAATGTGGTTGTGTGGGGGCTGAACCTCCTTCTGAACAATGATCCAAGATAAAAGTACTAATACCACAATGCTTTTTGATATTCAAGGGAAGAGGAAGTATGTTTCAGTTTTACCGCCTAGATAATTACACGTCATTTGGCACTGCCTTTCAAGATATGTGGAAAACAGAAAATATATGAGTTATGAAGATATCTAGGCACATTTAACATTCTCTATGCCACTTAGTCCTGAACAGAGAATTTTTGGTATAAATTGGAGGAAGCTTTTTTTTTTTTTTTTTCTTTTCTCACCCCCAAAAGGAGTCTCCCTCTGTTGCCCAGGCTGGAGTATAATGGTGTGATCTCGGCTCACTGCAACCTCCACCTCCTGGCTTCAAGTGATTCCCCTGCCTCAGCCTCTCAAGTAGCTGGGATTACAGGTGCCCACCACCATGCCCAGCTAATTTGTGTATTTTTAGTAGAGTCGGGGTTTTACCATGTTGGCCAGGCTAGTCTCAAAACCCGACCTCAAATGATCCACCCGCCTCAGCCTCCCAAAGTGCTGGGATTACAAGCGTGAGCCACCACGTGAGCCAGGGGAAGTTTTTAAATTTACCACTTTTTAACAATTCCATTTAGGAAAGTTCAGTTGAGCTGTTGGACTTGGACAACTTTGTACCTCTCATCTTTGTCCTTGTCATCTAGTCATCTATACCATTACCTCCTAAGCAGGGACATCATGGGTGCCATGAAGCATTCATGTGTGATGGCATTTCTTTGCTTCTCATTTCTTCATGTGTTTGACATTTCTCCTAGCTCCAAACTGGGCCAGCTACCTTTCCTATGAAATCTAGCAGTAGCTGTGGGATAGACGTGGTTGCTCTTTTCATCTTTTTAGATTACCCATTGCTTCTCTTGAAATCCTAGTACATGATTTTTTTTTTTATCCTATGTGCAGAAATCAGGAAAAAACAAATTCTACAAAGAATTTGAAAGATATTATTTCAGGCCAGGTGTGGTGGCTCATGCCTGTAATCCCAGCACTTTGGGAGGCTGAGGCAGGTGGATCACTTGAGGTCAGGAGTTCAAGACCAGATGGGCCAACATAGTGAAATCCCATCTCTACTAAAAAGACAAAAATTAGCCAGGCATGGTAGCAGGCACCTGTAATCCCAGCTACTTGGGAGGCCGAGGCACAAGAATCGCTTGAATCTGGGAGGTGGAGGTTGCCGTGAGCCAAGGTAGCGCCACTGCACTTCAGCATGGTTGAGTGACACTCCGTCTCAAGAAAAAAGTCATTTCAATGACTACCTCAGGAGATTCATAGGTATCTGACCCACATCTGAGATGGGATTTGCATTGCATTTTAGCTATGATGAGAACAAATATTTAATATCTTCGAAGATTAAAAGCATACTGTGATAATATGGAAATCTTGGTGGGAATTCAGTCATTAGTGAGAATGTTTTGCATTAAGTTCAAACCAGCCTCAACGAAGCTGATGTGAGGGAAGGGAAAGTGAACTCTGAGTAGAGCAGGGACAGAAGAAAGATGCTCCAGTGCAGATCAGGAAGGAGCAGGGGGTGAAATGTTACAAATTCTAGAACTCAGAGAGCTGAAGGTAATTAATTACTTCCTTTTCAAGTTGTGAAACATGTTAACCTGTGGTAAAATACTTACAAGATGATAATTACCATCTAACCGTGTTGAAGTGTACAGTTCAGTTGTGTGAAGTATATTCATGTCATTTTTTTTTTTTTTTTTTGAGACGGAGTCTCACTCTGTCACCAGGCTGGAGTGCAGTGGTGGGATCTTGGCTCACTGCAACCTCTGCCTCTTGGGTTCAAGCAGTTCTCCTGCCTCAGCCTCCGGAGTAGCTGGGACTACAGGCGTGCGCCACCATGCTCAGCTAATTTTTGTATTTTTAGTAGAGACGGGGTTTCACCATGTTGCCCAGGATGGTCTCCATCTCTTGACCTTGTGATTCACCCGCCTCGGCCTCCCAAAGTGCTGGGATTACAGGCGTGAGCTACCGCACCTGGCCTATATTTTTTTTTTTTTTTTTTTTTTGAGACAGAGTTTGAATTTTGTTGCCCATGTTGGAGTGCAATGGCACAATCTCAGCTCAACACAACCTTTTCCTGCTGGGTTCAAGTGATTCTCCTGCCTCAGCCTCCCGACTAGCTGGGATTACAGGCATGCACCACCATGCCTGGCTAATTTTGTATTTTTAGCAGAGACAGCGTTTCTCCATGTTGGTGAGGCTGGTCTCAAACTCCCGACCTCAGGTGATCCGCCTGCCTCGGCCTCCCAAAGTGCTGGGATTACAGGAGTGAGCCACCATGCCAGCCTCATGTCATTCTTGTGTGTTGTGTGTGTGTGTGTGTGTGTGTGTGTGTGTGTGTGTGTGTGTGACAGAGTCTCATTCTGTCACTCAGGCTGGAGTGCAGTGGTGTGATCTCGGCTCACTGCAACCTCCACCTCCCAGCTTCAAACGGTTCTCTGCCTCAGCCTCCCGAGTAGCTCGGATTACAGGCGCCCACTGCCATGCCCGGCTAATTTTTGTATTTTTAGTAGAGATGGGGTTTCACCATCTTGGCCAGGCTGGTCTTGAACTCCTGACCCCGTGATCCACCCTGCCTCGGCCTCCCAAAGTACTGGGATTATACGCATGAGCCACCGTGCCCAGCCGTCATTCTTATATTATTATTTCCTAGGTGTCTTTCCTGAAGACTATCTTCCCGTCTCAAAATGGACATGATGGATCCACGGATGTACAGCAGAGAGCCAGGAGGTCCAACCGCCGTAGACAGGAAGGTATGGCTCTGTTGGAGTCCCCATAGTGTGGAAATGAGTTTGCCCTGGAAAGGGAAAGAACAGCTTCTTGCCCTCAGGTTTCTCACCTTCTCCTCTCCTCACTCTCACCAAGGGCTGAGGTCCGTTTGTATGCACACAAAGAAAAGAGTTTCTTCCTTTCCAGGAATTAAAATTGTCCTGGAAGACATCTTTACTTTATGGAGACAGGTGGAAACCAAAGTTCGAGCTAAAATCCGTAAGATGAAGGTGACAACAAAAGTCAACCGTCATGACAAAATCAATGGAAAGAGGAAGACCGCCAAAGAACAGTAAGATGTGCCTTGACACAAATACTGTTGTATGAACCATGTGCCAATCAAAGTAGACAACTGTAAAGTCCTTGAGAATATTTTCTACAATATTTGTGGCAAATTCAGTGGGTTCAAAATTGAGCTTGTCCTTTCTGCTTCATTAGTTTAAGCTGTATAATTCCTTTCCCTTCCTACATTCTTGTTTGTCATTTTTTCAGGGGAAGAGGAGTTGCTAGTACTGGCATTGGTTTTCCTTTCTCTCTCTCTTTTTTTTTTTTTTTCCTGAAATGGAGCTTTGCTCTTGTTGCCCAGGCCGTAGTGCAATGGCACAATCTCAGCTCACTGCCTTTTGGGTTCAAGCAATTCTCCTGCCTCAGCCTCCCAAGTAGCTGGGATTACAGGTGCCCACCACCACGCCCAGCTAATTTTTGTATTTTTACTAGAGATGGGGTTTCACCATGTTGTCCAGACTGGTCTCGAACTTCTGACCTCAGGTAATCCACCCGCCTCAGCCTCCCAAAGTGCTGGGATTAGAGGCGTGAGCCACCACACCCAGGCTTTTTTTTTTTTTTTAATTTTGAGATAGAGTCTCGCTCTGTCGCCCAGGCTGGAGTGCTATGGTGCAATCTTGGCTCACTGCAACCTCTGCCTCCCAGTTTGAAGCAATTCTGCCTTGGCTTCCCGAGTAGCTTGGATTACAGGTGTGTGCCACCACATTCGGCCAATTTTTTTTTTTTTTTTTTTTTTTTGAGACAGAGTCTCACTCTGTCACCCAGGCTAGAGTGCAGTGGCATGATCTTGGCTCACTGCAACCTCCGCCTCCCAGGTTCAAACGATTCTTATCCCTCAGCCTCTTGAGTAGCTGGGACTACAGGCATATGCCACCATGCCCAGATAATTTTTGTATTTTTAGTAGAGGCGGGGTTTCACCATATTGGCCAAGCTGGTCTAGAACTCCTGACATCATGATCCGCACAACTCGGCCTCCCAATGTGCTGGGATTACAGGCGTGAGCCACCGTGCCCAGCCCAATTTTTGTATTTTTAGTAGAGACGGGTTCACCATGTTGGCCAGGCTAGTCTTGAACTCCTGACCTCAGGTGATCTGCCTACCTCAGCCTCCCAGTGTGAGCCACCGCACCCAGCCTGGATTGTTGAACTCAATGCTTGGGTCACCTCCAGATTCATTTTCACAGTCTTTCATGTTTTGGTCATACTACATTGTATTTTGCTGCCATATGACTGATCTTTTTTTGTTAAATGTGAGATACTTGTTAAAAAATATTTAACAATGAATTGAGGCCTAGTAGCATGTTATCTTGCTGCAGAAGAGATGGGAGTCTACTTCTGGGGGATGGTCAGGGGTCCTCCGTACAGGCTGCAATTGAGGTCGTCTCTGCAGGCTCAGTCCCTACAAAGGCCAGGGTATTTCCTGTCCACCTCTATTCTGATGCATGACTCTTCTGGGTCTCAACCAGAGCCAGTGGACTTCAGTATGGATCGCTTTCATTGGCAGACCCTCAATCCACTTGTTTTCCATCTAACCCCACGCATGTGTGCAAAAGCTGCTGTGCTTCTTTGCATCTCAGTAGTTCCTTCTGGAATTCAGCAATGAAACTCAGGGAAATGGGTTCCAAATGCGAGGCTGACTTTCGTCCTGGGTTTCCTTCTTCTCCATCTTCACCTCATGTCTGTTTACTGCCATGTTAGCAATTTGATGTATTCAATCATGGGTTTTATATTCTGTTTGGTGTCCCCCATTGTTCTCATCTGAGATCAGAAGCTTCAGATGCACTTATGTCAACTCAAGAGTAGAATGCTTCCTTAGCCTCCCTCCAGAGTCAGGTTTTGTGTTTCTAGTTCCCAAGTGCACAGCAGGAGTAGTGATGTCCTCACTGGCTTCTCATTTGCATTAAACTGTGAGCTTCTTTAGCGTGGGGACAGGACCCTGCTCCCATTGCATTGTCAGCACCTCACCACACACACCTTGTTTGAGGCCACTCCAGACAGCATGTGCTGAAGGATGCCCTGTGGTCAGAAACAAGTTCATTAACTTTCTCTTTGAAGTGTTTTCGTCCCTGTTTCCTAGCGTTCTGGGAATTTTACACATCCTTCCTATAAAACCAAGTATCAGGTGAGATCCTTAGGATCAGGACCATGAATCAAGTGGTGTGAGGGCAACACAGCAAACTTACCCTTTTGAGGCCGTTTCCTTTTTCTGCCCTCAATCTCTGTGAACTGAACCTTGTTAAAGTCAGTCAACACCAGGGTGGATGGTTTGCCGTTGTCACCTATTTTCAGGACATAACATCCTGACTTAGGAGCCATTCCGATCATTTCTAATTCAATAGATGCACCCAGCATTCAGATTGCCTTTTCAGGATCTTTAAAGTCGATGACAAGAGTTCCAGTCCTGAATCATGGCAAAGTGCAGTAGTGAACTGCGGGGTTAATGACACCATATTCTGGAAGGATCTCTCTATGGCTGATGGTCTCAGTTCCGGCATCAGCCTCTGACTGAGAATCAGGTCTCACACAGGAGAAGTCAGATGAGGAGCAATCCTCTGCTTCCGATGGAGTTAGTTGTGATGAATTGGTGAGGTCTGGTTTTTCACACTGAACTAAAATGAGCTTTCGCTGTGTCAAGCACAAGACTGACCCCAGAGACGCACATAGTGCACCTCATAGAAGCTTTTAATAGTCTTTATATTTACTAAAGAATAGGACTAACTATGGAACTATGAAGATGAGCTGGAAATGACAGGTGACTTGCCAGCAGGCCAGAGTGTGATTTTTTTTTGTCCCTCAATGGGAGGTGTCCATTCTTCCTTCGGTTGTGAGAATCAGTTGGTTCATTTGTGGGAAGGTTGCAGGGGGGATCTTTGAATCAGCCTTCAGATGCCAGAAGGGCAGAGGGAATCCCACACGTGCTGGTGGATCATGTGTGTGCATTTCTCTCCCTTCTAGTCTGAGGAAACTAAGCATGAAAGAACGTGAGCACGGAGAAAAGGAGAGGCAGGTGTCAGAGGCAGAGGAAAATGGGAAATTGGATATGAAAGAAATACACACCTACATGTGAGTTCAGAAACTGAACCCCACCCTCTTGGGAAACGCCCATTGGAGTGTTGTTTTTAACCTTTGTACAATGTTTAGACCCAGTAAATGCAGAAATAGAAACAAATGGTCAGAAGACATATCGTGAGAGAGAGAGAGTTCACAAAACAGAAAACAAAGTACCTTAATATTTACCAGTGACCAAAAGATGTGAAGTAGCAAAACGGCTCCTGACCCCATTGCCAGCTAGACTGTGTGGAAACTCGGTTCATACCAGCCATTCTAGGGGTGGGGTGAGTTGTTGTCATCCTTAGGAAAGTGTGTTGTTGTAGGATCAACCACATCCTTCAAAAGGACTATGCCTGTTTATAAGCCCAGCTGTTTCTGCCCTGTGAAACACGGTAAAGATATTAATACAAAGAGAATACAGCTTTATGATAAAAGATGCTCAATGAAGGATGAATTAGGGATATACTGAGAATGGGGAAGGAAACTATCATCTCAGAAGTCAGCAGGCAGTAAGCAAGAGGAGGAATCAATATAGCAACAGTTTGGATCAGACTGTACAGTTTTTTTGTTTTTGTTTTTGTTTTTGTTTTTCTGAGATGGAGTCTTGCTGTGTCACCCAGGCTGGAGTGCAATGACGTGATCTTGGCTCACTGCAACCTCTGCCTCCCAGGTTCAAGTGATTCCCCTGCCTCAGCCTCCCGAGTAGCTGGGATTACAGGCGCCTGCCACCACCCCCGCCTAATTTTTTGTATTTTTAGTAGAGACGGGGTTTCACCGTATTAGCCAGGATGGTCTCAATCTCCTGACCTCGTGATCCATCCGCCTCGCCCTCCCAGAGTGCTGGGATTACAGGCGTCAGCCACCGTGACCGGCTCAGACTGTACTCTTCTAGCCATCTGAAATACGTTTTCTAGGTAGAGATAGATTGTGTAAGGGTACAGTTGTGAGGATAACAGAAACATGGCAGATTATTTAAAATCATCCTGAAAGTGGTGCTTTATCTGATGAAAGTGATTGTAATCCATAGGGAAATGTTTCAACGTGCGCAAGCGTTGCGGCGGCGGGCAGAGGACTACTACAGATGCAAAGTAAGGAGCTTCCTCCCCGCAGTTGCAGGATAGTTCAGTGCTGATGCAGATGATGCCACGGCCCTTAGACTCTCTCAACATTCAATTTCTCATGTGTTGGCTTTTTCAGATCACCCCTTCTGCAAGAAAGCCTCTTTGCAACCGGGTAAGTTTGCTTGTTTTCCTTGCTTTTGGACATAGTCTGCCAGGTCAGGACATGGATACATTTTTCTCCCTACGGCTCTGTGCTCAAGCCCTGCAGAGGGAGATGGCAGAGAGGAAGGCTGCCTACAAGCATCACAGTCCCATCCCTGTTGGTAACCGTGTTGCGCAAAAACACCTTCATCCCCACCCAGTGGGGCCCCCATCTAATATTCTAAGTGTCAGAGGTTCCGTATTTGTAATAGCAAATGGGCCCTGACTGTAAATTAGTGAAGAGTGAATGTAACTTATTACCCACAGGGACAATTCCAAATGAGGGCCTTAAATGATGCTCAGCTAAGCTGGTTCTTGTGTGGCCTCTGTACCTTCAAAAGCTGCCGAGTCCTATGATTGCACGCGATGGGACTTGTACACTTGAAGTGAAACACAGTTTTAAAACTTGCTTTGTTTAGAATTCCCACCTCATTTTTCCATGGACAAAAGTATTCTTTATGTCCTAGTGCACTTACAATTTGGTATTACCTGGGAGTGAAAAGAAATATTACAGCCATGCCTAACTGACTTCTTGAGGTAAGATTGTTCTGTCAGAAAACCCTCTCCCAGTTCCCCTGCAGCTCTTCAGGAATCCACATCTCTCCAGAGCTCTTTGTTCTCATGGGTGGCACCTCCAGAGTGAAGAAGATCCTTTGTCAAGAAGGGAAACAGAGGGGAAATGAGAGGGTCCTGCAGGCAGAGCTGGAATCAACTTCCACTCTGCCTCTTGCAAGCTGTGTGACCCTGGGCACAATTTCTCCTTCCTCTGGAAACCTCTGTTTTCTTAGATTTGGAGCAGGATGGTCACACTGACCTTGCAGAGTTCTGAGAATCAGAGACAGAACATAAAAGGCCTGGAAAACATTCTCCAAAAAGAAGCTGCAACATGTGTGGACAATGGGCTTTTCATGCCTCTCTTACTGTCTCTTACTGTCTATTGACCTGGTGCAAGAAACATGCTCTGGTGATGGCTGTGAGGGAGGAATGAGGATAGACATAGACACTCCTGTGTCTCAAACATGCTTCTTTATTACTCTGTTATGACTCTGTCTTCCCTGGGGCAGGACCCCAGCCTGCCTACATTTGCAGACAGACACAGTGGCATGTGGAGACAACAGTGTGTCCCAAAGACTTTTCTTTACCCCCTAGCTGTCGGCAGTACTCAGTGGAAGGGTGATATTATGACACTGACACTGCTATTTTGAAACCTGGAGGATGGAAAGGTGCAAAAATCTATCACCAGCAACAGAAGGTGCAGACTGTGTTGGTGGCGGTAATTTTGTCCATCAAATGAATATGTGTGAAAACATTCCCTCCTTTGGCCCTACAGGTCAGAATGGCGGCAGTGGAGCATCGTCATTCTTCAGGATTGCCCTACTGGCCCTACCTCACAGCTGAAACTTTAAAAAACAGGATGGGCCACCAGCCACCTCCTCCAACTCAACAACATTCTATAATTGATAACTCCCTGAGCCTCAAGACACCTTCCGAGCGTCTGCTCTATCCCCTTCCACCCTCAGCGGATGATAATCTCAAGACACCTCCCGAGTGTCTGCTCACTCCCCTTCCACCCTCAGCTCTACCCTCAGCGGATGATAATCTCAAGACACCTGCGGAGTGTCTGCTCTATCCCCTTCCACCCTCAGCGGATGATAATCTCAAGACACCTCCCGAGTGTCTGTTCACTCCCCTTCCACCCTCAGCTCCACCCTCAGTGGATGATAATCTCAAGACACCTCCCGAGTGTGTCTGCTCACTCCCCTTCCACCCTCAGCGGATGATAATCTCAAGAAACTAAGGAAGAATAAATAAATAATATAAAAATAAAATGAATACTGCAGTCCTTATGTTATTGCTTTGTTTCAATATCTGGTATGATTGCCTGAGGGACCTGAGGTTTTTAATCGTAGGGGTTTTTTTAATCTTTAGAAGTGGTTGGTTATGTAAAATATTATTATTTGTTTTTTTTTTTGAGACTGGAGTTTGCTCTGTCACCCAGGCTGGAGTGCAGTGGCTCGATCACAGCTCACTGCAGCCTCAACCTCCTGGGCTTCAAGCAATCCTCCTGCCCCAGCCTCCCAAGTAGCTGGGATCACAGATGTGTGCCACCACGCCTGGCCAATGTTAAAAAATCCTTTAACTTTTTTGTAGAGATGCACTCCTGGACTCAAGCAATCCTCCTACTTGTCCCGACCACCAGCCTCTTTCTGATAAACATTTACACTGTTTATTATCTGATGCCATTTCTATCTTCTTCCTTGTCATCCAGACATCAAAGAATTAGGTTTCTTCAGGGTTTTCTTTTTCAAGTGCTCAGTGTTAAAGATCACTCACATTAGGGCCAGACACCACGGCTCATGCCTGTAATCCCAGCACTTTGGGAGGCCGAGGCGGGCAGAGCACTTGAGGTGGGGAGTTTGAGACCAGCCTGGCCAACTTGGTGAAACCCCACCTCTACTGAAAAAATACAAAAATTAGCTGGGCGTGATGGTGCATGCCTGTAGTCCCAGCCACTTGGGAGGCTGAGGCATGAGAATCGCTTGAACCCAGGAGGCAGAGGTTGTAGTGAGCCGAGATCACATCAGCACACTCTAGCCTGGGTGACAGAGCGAGACTGACTCAAAAAATAAATAAAATAAATATCACTTACATTAGATATACCCAAGGGGTGGTCTATAGAGACTTGGAAGCAGTGGTTATTGCAACAGGGGCACGGAAGTCATCTGGCTATGCCAGGGTGCCCAGGGGATACTCGGGGTGGGTGGCATGGTGCTGCTGGGGACTCACCGCACAGGACGCTCTGATTGACGCACTGCCAGGAGTAGCGCTCTGTCTTGGGGCTGCAGCCGGCCTCCTCAGCTCGAGTGTAACAACAGTCGTGGCCATGGCAGCACCTGCGGATGTCACATGGGCAGGACAGCAGGTGGGTGAAGCTCTCTCCTGGCCCTCCTCTCTTGCCAGGACTATGGGTGACTGAAGACCCCCAGGGAGGCACAGCATCCTCTTATCTAAGATTTTTTTTTTTTTAAGAGACAGGGTCTTTCTCTGTCGCCCAGGCTGGACTGCAGAGGCACAATCATAGCTCACGGCAGCCTTGAACTCCTGGGCTCAAGCGATCCTCCCACTTCAGCGTCCCAAGTAGCTGAGACTACAGGCACACGCCAGCATGCCCGGCTGGTTTTTTAATTTGTATTTCCTTTGAGACAGCGTATCTCTCTGTTGCTCAGGCTGGAGTGCAGTGGCTCAATCAGCTCACTTTAGCCTTGAACTCCCGGGCTCAAGTGATACTGCTACCTCAACCTCCCAAGTCTGCTACTACAGGAACACAAACTCCTTTTTTAAATTTTTTATGGATATGGGGTCTCACTATGTTGCCTAGGCTGGTCTCGAACTCCCAGGCTCAAGCAGTCCTCCTACCTCAGCCTCCCCAAATGCTGGGATTACAGGTGGGAGCTACTGTACGCCTGGCCTTATCTAAGCTGTTTCCCTGAAAATCTCCGTCTTGGGTAATGATTCCATTGGCCCCACCATGCCCTGTCCTGCCTTCCTGGCTGTGCCCAAGCTTGGTCCCTGCCTGCCTGCCTGCCTCCCTCTCTGGGTCTCGAGCTCCTGTGACACATGACTCCTCTCTCTTCCTAGTGATCCAAGCCCTGCCACTTCCTGACTTTGCCCACACTGTACCCTCTGCCTGGGGCAACTTCATGTCTGCCCATTGACCCTTAGGCCTCAGCCCAGGCACAAGCCCCTGCCTCCGGAGGTCATCCAGGCCTCACCAGGCTACACCCTCTCGTAAAATTGGATTCCCTCCCTTCAGGGCAGCTTTATAATGAAATCCTCCTCAGAGGCCAGGTGCGGTGACACCCATCTGTAATCCCAGCACTTTGGGAGGCTGAGGTGGGAGGATCACTTGAGGCCAGGGGGTCGAGACCAGCCTGGGCAACATAAGAGAGACTCTTGTCTCTATAACAAATTTAAAAATTAGCTCACCAGGCCAGGCCCAGTGGCTCATGCCTGTAATCCCAACACTTTGAGAGGCCGAGGCAGGTGGATCACGAGGTCAGGAGTTCAAGAGCAGCCTGACCAACATGGCGAAACCCTGTCTCTACTAAGGAGAATCGCTTGAACCCAGGAGGTGGAGGTTGCGGTGAGCCAAGATCACGCCATTGCAGTCCAGCCTGAGCAACAGAGCAAGACTCTGTCTCGAGACAATAAAAACACATAAAAAATTAACTCGCCATGATGGCACATGCCTGTAGTCCTAGCTACTTGGGAGGCTGAGGTGGGAGGATTCCCTTCAGCCCAGGAGTTTGAGGCTGCAGTGAGCCACTATGATTGTGCCACTGCACTCTAACCTGGGCAAAAGCGAGACCCCAGGCTAGAGTGCATGATTTTGGGTCACTGCAACCTCCACCTCCCAGGTTCAAGTGATTCCCCTGCCTCAGCCTCTTGAGTACCTGGGACTACAGGCATGTGCCACCACGCCTGGGTAATTTTTGTATTTTTAGTAGAGACAGGGTTTAGTAGAGACCATGGTGAAACCCCATCTCTATTAAACAAATCTTTACTGAAGATTTGCTGTACTGAAGGGATAGCAAAACTCAGTTACCAAAATGGCAATGTGTTTGAACTGTTTACAGGCCAAGAATTCACATTTGCAACCCACGCAATACACTACTGATTGTGTGACTTCCTCTAGAGAGAATGTCAAAAGTTACAATGTGATGGCTTTTATGAATGTGAGATGAGGCCCAGTGTGCCTTCTCCTCTTCGGTTTGTGCCTCAATGATCATCACCTCCCAAAACATATGCTGAGCTCCCAGCTTCCAGGCACTGTCCCAAAAGTGGGGTGTCAGTGGGAACCCAAGCAACAGACAATATAGAGTCTCGCACCTCATAGAACTCATTTTCTCCTTGCTTCTTTTTCTCACCTTTTTTTTTTTTTTTTTTTTTTTGAGATAGGGTCTTACCCTGTTTCCCAGGCTGGAGTGCAGTGGCACAATCATAGCTCACTGCAACCTCAAATGCCTGGGCTCAACGTAGCTTCCTGCCTCAGCCTCCTGAGTAGCTGGGACTACAGGCACCCGCCACCATGTCCGGCTAATTTTTCTTTCTTTCTTTTTTTTTTTTGTATTTTTAGTAGAGATGGGGTTTCATCATGTTAGCCAAGATGGTCTCGATCTCCTGACCTTGTGATCCACACACCTTGGCCTCCCAAAGTGCTGGGATTACAGGCATGATCCACCGCACCTGGCCCTGATTTTAACTTCTCTTTTTTCTTTTTTTTTTTTTTTTTTTTTGAGACAGACTCCTGTTGCCCAGGCTCTGGAGTACAGTGGTGCGATCTTGGCTCACTGCAACTTCTCCCTCCCAAGTTCAAGCGATTCTCCTGGCTCAGCCTCTCCAGTAGCTGGGAATAAAGGCATGCGCTACCATGCCTGGATCATTTTGGTATTTTTAGTACAGACGGGGTTTCGCCATGTGGGCCAGGCTCGTCTCCAACTCTTGTCCTCAGGTGATCCGCCGGCCTCGGCCTCCCAAAGTGCTGGGATTATAGCCATGAGCCACCGTGCCTGGCCTTGATTTTTAGCTTTTAACTTTGAAATAACTACAGACTTTGAAAGAAGTTGCAAAAATAGTACAAAGAGTTACCACATACTCTTCATCCAAGCTTCCTGAAATATTGATATCTTACATGACCATAGTACAATGATCAAAACAAGGAAATAAGCACGGAAATCATACACGTACCTAATCTACAGATCTTATTCAAATGATCACCGATCGTCACCCTAAGGTTCTTTGTTCCCAGTCTGGCCTCCAATCCCAGATTGCTTCACATTGTGTTGAACTGTCAAATGGCCTTAGTCTCCAAGTGAGATCACTAACCGGCTATTCTGTAGGCTGTCCCTCAGTTTATCAACCCAGTTGTTATGGGCTAAATGATGCCCTCCAAAATTCATATATTGGAGCCCTAATTTCCAGTACCTCAGAAGGCGACTGTGTTTGAAGATAAGGCCTTTAAAATGGCAATTAAGTTAAAGTGAGACCTTTAGGATGGGCTCTAATCCAATCTGTCTGGTGTCCTTATAAGAAGAGGAAATTTGGGGGCATGGTTGGTGGCTCACACCTGTAATCCCAGCACTTTAGGAGGCTAAAGTAGGAGGATCACTTGAGGTACGAAGATCACTTGAGACCAGCCTGGCCAACATGGTGAAACCCCATCTCTACTAAAAATTAGCTGGGTGTGGTGGCACATGTCTGTAATCCCAACTACTTGGGAGGCTGAGGCAGGAGAATCGCTTGAACCTGGGAGAGGGAGGTTGCAGTGAGAGGAGATCGAGCCACTGCACTACAGCCTGGGTGACAGAGCAAGATTCCGTCTTTAAAAATAAAATAAAATAAAAAAAAAATTTGGACACACAAACAGGCACCAGGGGCCGGGCATGGTGGCTCATGCCTGTAATCCCAGCCCTTTAGGAGGCCAAGGCAGGAGGATTGCCTGAGCTCAGGAGTTCAAAACCAGCCTGGGCAACGTAGTGAGACCCTGTCACTCTCTCTCTCTTTTTTTTTATTTAAAAAATAAATAAATAAAACGAGGCACCAGGGATGTTTTCACACCAAGGAAAGACCATGTGAAGACACAGCAAGAAGGCAGCCGTGTGAAACTAACCCAGCAGGCACCCTGGTCTTGGACTTCTTGCCTCCAGAAGGGTGAGCAAATAAGTTTCTATTGTCTAAGCCACGCTGTGTGCGCTATTTTGTTATGGCAGCCCCAGCAAACTAATATATCCATTCTCTTCAGTTCTTGGAAATCTGCCCATTTCTATGTTCTCTGACCCTTTTTATCTGCCCGTTTATTGATTTATAGCCTTCTCCGGCTCCTTATCCTTGTTACTGGTCCGGAGTAAACTTCTGTTAGATTTCTCCCAGCTGGGCAGGCTTCCAGCTCACCAAAACATCTCCTTCTTTGCTTTTTACTTATATCCCCCTTGTATCATTTTCCCATGGCTGAGGTAACAAATTACCACGAATTTAATGGCTTAAAAGAACACAAACTTCTTGTCTTAGAATTTGGGGGGTCAGAGTCTAAAATGGGTCTGCAGGACTGCATTCCTCCTGGAGGTCCTAAAGGAGAGTTCATTTTCTTGCCTCTTCCAAGCTTCTAGATGCTCCCTGCACTCCTTGGCTCCCCATCCAACATCTTCAAAGTCAGCAGCATAAATCTTCCCATCTCCCTTTCTCTCTCTTTTTTTTAGACAAAGTCTTACTCTGTCACCTAGGCTGGAACGCAGTGGTACAGTCATAGCTCACTGCAGCCTCAAACCCCGAGGCTGAAGTGATCCTCCCGCCTCAGCCTCACGAGTAGCTGGGACCACAGGCATGCACCACCATGCCTGGCTGATTTTTAATTTTTTATAGAGACAGGCTCTTGCTATGTCACCAGGGCTGTCTTGAATTTGGGAGCCCGCGATCAGAAGCCAGCATGGTCGGCAGCTCCCTACACCACGTCCGGGCTTCCCGGGCCTCCAGCTGCCCCCTGCGCCGCCGCCGCCTCCCGCACCTGCACGTGGCCACTCCAGATGCTCCGGAGGGATTGAGCACCCCGCGCACACCCAGCTCGCACCATCCAATCCGGAGGCCATGGGCCGACATGGGGGCTGAGCGTTTGAAATGAGCCCGGACCACCAGATGCATGGGTCCGTTCACACGAAATACCCAGAACAGGCAAAGCCACAGAGGCAGAAAGTATGGGGTTATTTATTTTAATTAATTAATTAATTGTTTTGAGACGTAGTCTCCTCTGTCGCCCAGGCTAGAGTGCCGATCCCTATGTTAGCTTGATGTGGTGGCTCATATCTGTAATCACAGCACTTTGGTAAGCTGAGGCGGGAGGATCGCTTGTCAGGCCAAGAGTTCAAGACCAGTCTGGGCAAAATAGTGAGACCCCCCTGCTATGGTTTGGATTTGGGTCCCTGCCCAAATCTCATGCCGAATTATAATCCCCAGTGTTAGGGGAGGGACCTGGTGGGAGGTGATTGGATCATGGGGGGAGAGTGCCTCCTTGCTGTTCTCCTGATAGTGAGTGAGTTCTTATGAGATCTGGTTGGTTTAAAAGCATGTAGCGCTTCCCCCTTCTCTCCCTTCCTCCTGCTCCAGCTATGTAAGATGTGCGTGCTTCCCCTTTGCCTTCCGCCATGATTCAAAGTTTCCTGAGGCCTCCCAGCCATGCCTCCTGCACAGCCTGTGGAACTGTGAGTCAATTAAACCTCTTTTCTTTATAAATTACCCAGTCTCAGGGAGTTCTTTATAGCAATGCAAGAACGGACTGATACAACCTCCATATCTACAAAAAAAAAAAAAAATTGTTTTAATTACCTGAGCATGGTGGTGCACACCTGTAGTCCCAGCTACTCTGGAGGCCAAGGCAGGAGGATCACTCCAGCCTGGGCAACAAGAGCGAAATTCCGTCTCAGAAAAAAAAAAAAAATTAAAAAATTTAAAAAACGTAAAGAAAAAAATTATTTTGCTAAATCTGGCAAAGCCAAAGGGATGAAACTGACATTTACTGGGCACCTTCTGCACAAGTCAGTTCTCCTAGGAACCCAGAGAGGCAAGGGATTGGTAGCAATCTCTAGAGGCAAATATCCTCTAATATCCATGGTGTTCTTTGTGGAGCAGCTCAATGGATTTACTTAATGGGAAATGAAAGAAGGAAAAATGAAGACTTAGAAGGCTTCGATGATTTCCAATGCATTACTGTATACTTGTCTCTTCTTAGAAGCAATAGAAAAAAAAATCAGGAATTAAAGACAATCTATTACTCAAGCAAATGCTAAAGGCCTCCCATGGTCTTCAAACAAGAAGAGATGCTCTAAGATAAATTACTTCATTACGTTGATGCTTCATCATCCGTGGAAGCTGTGACTCAGAGCCCTGCAGCAATAATTAGGCAGTGCGTTCATGTCCCGTTAATGTCCCCAAACAGTGGGAGATGAATGGAGAACATAGGGCTGTGTTCGAATGAAAAAAGGGTTTTGTTCGGCGCTCTTTCAGCAGGGAATAAGTACTGATGTGGGAACTGAGCTTCTGTTTACAACTAAGGATCACATTAAAAATATATTAAGATGACTACAGTAAAGCTTATTGTAGCTATTATTATTTCATTTAAATGAATCCCAGTTTCATAAGAACCACCAAGGGGGCTACCATGTCTAAAATGTAACTTCTCTTGCGAATCCTGAAATTTCTACTGACAAACAAAAGACTACGATGCACAATTAATTAATTAATTAATTAATTAATTTGAGATGGAGTCCCACTCTGTCACCCAGGCTGGAGTGCAGTGGCACGATCTCAGCTTGCTGCAACCTTTGCCTCCCGGGTTCAAGCGATTCTCTTGCCTCAGCCTCCTGAGTAGCTGGGATTACAGGCATGCGCCACCACGCCTGGCTAAATTTTTTCGTATTTTTAGTAGAGATGGGGTTTCGCCATGTTGGCCAGGCTGGTCTAGAACTCCTAACCTCAGGAGATCTGCCTGCCTCGGCCTCTCAAAGTGCTGGGATTACAGGCGTGAGCCACCATGCCCGGCCAACACGCAACATGTTTAAGACCAAAAGGACTGTTTTGCAATGAAGCAGATGAATCAACCAGTAAGGCCAACCCCTCAAAAAATGTAGCACTGAAGTTTCTTCAACATCTGCCTCTGAGACTTGTTCATATGTGCAGACACAGAGCAGGAAACTAAAGCAACTGCCTTCCTCTTTGTCACCTGAAATGAGAATGGAGAGAGGCTGGCAAGGAAATGATATGTAATCTTCCCTCCTTCCTGATTTTCTTTTCTATCCTTTTTTTTTTGAGTTGGAGTCTCGCTCTGTCACCCAGGCTGGAGTGCAGTGGCACAATCCCAGCACTTTGGGAGGCTGACGGGGGTAGATTACTTGAAGCCAGGAGTTTGATACCAGCCTGGCCAACATGGTGAAACCCCATCTCTACTAAAAATACAAAAAATTAGCCAGGCGTGGTGGCATGTGCCTGTAATCCCAGCTACTTGGGAGGCTGAGCATGAGAACTGCTTGAGCCCGGGAGGTGGAGATTGCGGTGATCTGAGATCGTGTCACTGCATTCCAGCCTGGGCGACAGAGTGAGACTACATCTCAAAAAAAGAGAAAAAAAAGAAAAGAAACATTTACAATCTATTCACTCTGAAATTTACAGTCTATTTACTCTGAAGCCTGCTACCTGAATGCTTCATCTATGAGATAAAACTTTAGTCTCTGCAACCTCTTATTGTAACCCATATATCCCTTTCTATTAATAATAACTCTTTCAACCAATTGCCCATCAGAAATCTTTTTTTCTTTTTTTTCTTTTTTTTTGTTTTTTTTGTTTTTTGAGACGGAACCTCGCTCTGTCGCCCAGGCTGGAGTGCAGTGGTGCGATCTTGGCTCACTGCAAGCTCTGCCTCCTGGGTTCACGCCACTCTCCTGCCTCAGGCTCCTGAGTAGCTGGGACTACAGGCGCCCGCCACCACACACCACTAATATTTTGTATCTTTAGTAGAGATGAGGTTTCACCGTGTTAGCCAGGATGGTCTCGATCTCCTGACCTTGTGATCCGCCTGCCTCGGCCTCCCAAAGTGCTGGGATTACCGGCATGAGCCACCGCGCCCAGCCCAGAAAATTTTTAATCTATCTATAACCCAGACCAAACCAATGTAAATCTTTAAATGTATTTGACTAATGTTTCATGCTTCCCTAAAATGTATAAAATCAAGCTGCGCCCGGATCACCTTGGGGATGTGCTCTCTTGCTGCTACGCTTTCTGCAAATTTTCCATACAATTTTTCTTTTTCTTTTTTTTTTTTCACACAGAGTCTCACTCCATTGCCCAGGCTGGAGTGGAGTGGCACGATCTTGGCTCACTGCGACCTCTGCTTCCCAGGCTCAAGTGATTCTCCCACCTCCGCCTCCAAAGTAGCTGGGACTACACGCCCAGCTAATTTTTGTGTTTTTTGTAGACAGGGTTTCGCCATGTTGCCCAGACTAGTCTTAAACTCCTGGACTCAAGCAATCTGCCCTCCTCAGCCTCCCAAAGTGCTGGGATTACAGGCAGGAGCCACTGCACCCAGCTAGAAGAGGGAAAGTTTAATATAGTTGATTCTCATTATTCAAGATAGTTACATTCAAAAAAGTCACCAAGGACACTGAATTGGTGAATATTGAATCATTTGCTCTAAAGGAAATGCAGGATTGGGTGTCTCCAAGCCTCTGGTCGCAACATTTTTATAAAGCAATCAATACATAATCTTCTTTTATGTGTGTGTGTTAAAGGACGCCTTATCTAATACATATTGTTGATTCATTGACATTGAACTCACGGCCAACAGCATTGTAACTCATGCCTGAACAAAGCTTATCTAACAAATGTACCTTCTCCATTAGGTACTTCACAGCCTTCTTGCACTCAGAGACACTGGATAGCACTTCAGGAGGACACTTAGGGGCCTTCTGTTGTTGTTGATGTTGAGATGAAGTCTCGCTCTATTCCCCAGTCTGGAGTGCAGTGGCGTGATCTCGGCTCACTACAACCTCCACCTCCAAGATTCAATCGATTCTCCTGCCTCAGCCTCTGGAGTAGCTGGGATTCCAGGTATGCGCCACCATGCCCGGCTAATTTTTTTAATTTTTAGTAGAGACAGGGTTTCACTATGTTGGCCAGGCTGGTCTCCAACTCCTGACCTCAGGTGATCCACCAGCCGTGGCTTTCCAAAGTGCTGGGATTACAGGTGAGAGCCACCGCACCTGGCTGGGGGCCATTTTAAGCAGCAAAATCACAAAAAGCACAGAACTGTGAAAGATGTGACACTGAATACACTGCAGAGAGGACACTTGTTTGCAGTCTGAAAGCTGAGACAAGAAGGCAGAGTGTGGCCAGGTGCAGTGGCTCATGCTTGTGACCCTAGCATTTTGGGAGACTGAGGCAGGACGATCACTTGAGGTCAGGAGTTCAAGACCAGCCTGGCCAACATGGTGAAGCCCTGTCTCTACTAAAAATACAGAAATTGGCCGGGCGTGGTGGCTCACGCGTGTAATCCCAGCACTTTGGGAGACCAAGGCGGGTGGATCAAGAGGTCAAGAGATCGAGACCATCCTGGCCGACATGGTGAAACCCCATCTCTACTAAAAATACAAAAATTAGCCAGGCATGGTGGCACCCGCCTGTAGTCCCAGCTACTCAGGAGGCTGAGGCAGGAGAATCGCTTGAACCTGGAAGGCAGAGGTTGCACTGAGCTGAGATTGCGCCACTGCACTCCAGTCTGAAGACAGAGCAAGACTCTGTCTCAATAAATAAATAAATAAAAATAAAAATACAGAAATTAGCCGGGCATGGTGGCACGTGTGTGGCCCCAGCTACTCGTTGAGGCAGGAGAATTGCTTGAACCTCAGAGGTGGAGGCTGCAGTGAACCAAGATCATGCCACTGCACTCCAGTCTGGGCGACAGAGCAAGACTCTGTCTTAAAAAAAAAAAAAAAAAAAAAAAAAAAAAGAAGGCAGAGTGTCACCTTGTTGGACCTCAGCTGGGAATGGGTGCATCATGTGACTTAAATATTTTGCTGCTCTCTGCATGTACATGTCTTCAGATAATAGCAAAAGCACCAGAGGTATTGATTTGGGGTCCAAATACATTTTAGAAAGGTAGACACATTTATAAATATGGAACCCATGAATAATGAGGATGGACTGTATGAAGAATTGTTAATAGGAGACTGGAATAATGAGGGTTTGAGTAGTAAGAAGGGAACTCTGAAGAGTATACAGGCAGATGCAGGGGGCTCATGTCTGTAATCCCAGCTCTTTGGGAGGCTGAGGCAGGTGATTAGCTTGAGCTCAGGATTTGGAGACCAGCCTGGGTAATACAGCAAGACTCCATTTCTAAAAAAAAAAAATTTTTTTTTTAATTAGCTAGGCATGGGGGCTCATGTCCGTAGTCCCAGCTACTCGGGAGGCTAAGGTGGGAGGATTGCTTGAGCCAGGGAAGCAGAGGTTGCAGTCAGCCGAGATTGTACCACTGCACTCCAGTCTGGGCAACAGAGTGAGACCCTGTCTCAAAAAAAAACCAAAAAGTATACAAGTAGTAGATACAAGGAACAGCTACTACCCCTAGGACTGAGATATGACACTTACGGAAACAATCACCCCTGGAGGGCTGAGATCTTGACCAGGTAGAGAGGGTACAGCCCTGGGTCACTGAATAGCAAAGAAGACAGTTGACGTGATGCCCTGCTGGTTGGTGGAACTTGCTGGAAATCTACCCTCAGGGTAAACTTTTCATGGCAAGGTGTCTCACTGAAGGTACTCTGCTGCAAGACCACCAGAGGGGAGTGCCAGGGGAAGCTGCCTGCCAATGAGTGGTATAGGAGCTGGGCACTGGAGAAGCCATCAGCAGGAACCAATAAGCAAAACCCTTTCCTCCTGCAGTGTCTCTCCAGCACCCTGTACTGACAAAACTTAAAATAACATTGTGCCTCCTGGCAAAGGAAAGCTATTTAAAGGGCCCAGATCCATTTTTACCCAGAAGGCAAAAAGGATGGATTTGGAGCTGGAAGGCAATAGATCAAAAACTGACTGTTTTGATGTTTTTTATTTTCTTTTTTTAGAGATGGGATCTTGCTGTGTTGCCCAGGCTGGCCTCAAACTCTTGGGTTCAAGTGATCCTCCCAACTCGATCTCCTGAGTAGCTGGGACCATGGGCTCCTGGCATTGTGCCTGGCTGTTTAGTGGTTTTAAAAAATAATTCTACAAGTATGAAAAACAAAAAAGTGTAATTAAGAAAATTAACATCTTGGCTGGGCGCGGTGGCTCACACCTGTAATCTCAGCACTTTGAGAGGCCAAGGTGGATCACCTGAGGCCAGGAGTTCGAGACCAGCCTGGCCAACATGGCACAACCCCATCTCTACTAAAAATACAAAATTAGCCAGGAGTGATGGTGGGTGCCTGTAATCCCAGCTATTTGGGAGGCTGAGGCAGGAGAATCCTTTGTGCCTGGGAGGTGTAGGCTGCAATGAGCCGAAATTGTACCACTGCACTCCAGCCTGGGCAACAGAGACAGACTCCATCTCCAAAAAAAAAAAAAACAAAATTAACATCTCTAGTGTTAACCACTCTTTTCATTTTTTATGAATTTTTTATAGTCTTTTCTATGCATGTAGTTTTTCATTTAAAAAAAAATTAGGTTCATATTACACATGCTGTGTTCTTACCAGCCCTTTTGAGTTAACAGTGTCAACTTTCCATATTAACAACTGTGTACCTGCATCACTTTTTTTTTTTTTTTTTTTTGAGAAGGAGTCTCACTCTGTCTCCCAGGCTAGAGAGCAGTGGCGTGATGTCAGCACACTGCAACCTCTGCCTCCCAGGTTCCAGTGATTCTCCTGCCTCAGCCTCCCAAGTAGGTGGGATTCCAGGTGTCCACCACCATGTCCGGCTAATTTTTTTGTACTTTTATTAGAGACGGGGTTTCACCATGTCAGCCAGGCTGGTCTCAAACTTCTGACCTTAAGTGATCCTCCCACATCGGCATCCCAAAGTGCTAGGATTACAGGCGAGAGCCACCGCACCTGGCACTTTTTTTTTTTACAGCTTGTGTCTTAACCAGTTTTATGGAAGTACCACTATTTAGCCAATTCCCTGTTATTTTGTTGTATATATAGTTTGTTTTCAATTTTGTTTCATTATAAGCAGCGCTACTGTGGACGGTCTTATAGTTAAACCTCTAACATATTTATGTATTTAGTTTACACTTTGGGAGTAGAATTTTAAGTACAAAACCTAGGTATATTTTAAGTGTTTTTGTTACTGAATGCCCAGTTCCATTCAGTTCAACACAAATGAAATACGTCAAAGGTTTTATAACAATCTGAAATTCTACCAGCAATCCATAAGAATACTTATTTTCTTCTATTTTTTTTTGAGACGGAGTTTCGCTCTTATTGCCCAGGCTGGAGTGCAATGGTACTGTCTCGGCTCACCACAACCTCTGCCTCCTGGGTTCAAGCGATTCTCCTGCCTCAGCCTCCCAAGTAGCTGGGATTACAGGCATGCACCACCACGCCTGGCTAATTTTGTACTTTTACTAGAGACAGGAATTTCTCCATGTTGCTCAGGCTGGTCTCAAACTTCCAACCTCAGGTGATCGACCCGCCTGTGCCTCCCATAGTGCTGGGATTACAGGCGTGAGTCACCGGGCCCGGCCGAGAATACTTATTTCCGTCTACACTAACACGGGATGTTATTTTATTTTATTTTTTGAGACAAAGTCTCGCTCTGTCGCCCAGGCCGGAGTTCATTGGCACGATCTCCACTCACTGCAACCTCCGCCTCCTGGTTTCAAGCAATTCTCCTGCCTCAGCCTCCTGAATAGCTGGGACTACAAGGCATGCGTCACCACACCCGGCCAATTTTTTATTTTTAGTAGAGATGGGGTTTCACTATGTTGGTCAGGCTGGTCTCGAACTCCTGACCTCACGTGATCCGCCTGCCTCGGCTTCCCAATGTGCTGGGAGTACAGGTGTGAGCCACCATGCCCAGCCGGATGTTATTATTTTTTAAAAAAACTTTGCTAATTATAGGCAAAAATGCTATTTGATCCATTTCTGCATTTTTTTGGTCACTAGTAATGTTGAACTTTTTGTCATGTTGACTATTTGCATGTTTTTCCTTTTTATATTGTCGGTTAATGTCTTTGCCCATTTGCCTTCTGGGCACACAGTTTTAGAGAAGCCTGTTCACTTTCATGAAATGTAAATAAATCTGAAACAAATTAAACATCAATTATAGTTTAAAATGCTAATAAAAATTCTTATTTTCAGCCAGGTGTGGTGGCTTATGCCTGTAATCCCAGCACTTTGGGAGGCCAAGGTGAATGGATGCTTGAGCTCAGGAGTTTGAGACCAGCCTGGACAACATGGTGAAACCCCATCTCTACCAAAAATACAAAAATTAGCCAGCGGTGGTTGTGTCCTAGCCACTGTGGAGGCTGAGGTGGGAGGATGGCTTGAGCCCATGAGGCAGAGGTTGCAGTGAGCTGAAACACCACTGCACTCCAGCGTGAGAGACAGGAGTGAGAGCCTAGCTCAAAAAAACAAAAACAAAAACAAAAACAAAAAGGTCCTTTGAGTACCAGAAAAATTGTCAATGGGAATACTTTCCTCAAGGTCTTGAAAATTAATAATAAATCAACAAATCATTGATGGTAGTGGCTGGTGTTGCTTTCTTCTATATCTAGCTAGTTATCACTGAACAAACATTTTCTAAAACATTTTCGATGTTTCAGAGCAGAGATTTCAAATTGACAGCCAAGGGACGGATTCATGCATAATTTACTCTCTTTTATTTTGCTTTATTTTTCTTATGGTATTTACAAGTAATTAACATACATTATATAGCTACTTATCTCTCTGTTACAATAGGATATAAGATCCACAAAAATAGCCAGACACAATGGCTTATGCCTGTAATCCCAGCACTTTGGGAGGCCAGGGCAGGAGGATCACTTGAACCCAGGTGCTCAAAGACCAGCCAGAGCAACATAGGGAGATCCCACCTCTTCAAAAATTAAAAAATTAGCTGGGCGTGGTGGTGCATGCCTGTAGTCCCAGCAGTTTGGGAGGCTGAGGTAGAAGGATCACTTGAACCCAGGAGGTTGAGGCTGCAGTGAGCCAGGATCATGCCACTGCATTCCAGCCTGAGGGACAAAGTGAGACCTACCTACCTCAAGTTAAAAAAAAAAAATCCGCAAAAGGCAAAGACTTAATCCCTTTTAATGATTATTGTATCTCCAATTTCTAAAATACTGTGTGGTATATAATGCACCTTCAGAAAATATTTGTTGAATTCACGCATTTAGTAATTATTTATTGAACTCCCACTGCATCCTAGGCACTGGATTAGCTAGACTTGGGAGGTAAATGCCTCTGCCTCCATGTAGTGTCTTTAAAATATGATTCTCGGCCGGGCATGGTGGCTCACACCTGTAATCCCAGAGCTTTCAGAGGCTGAGGCGGGCAGATCACCTGAGGTCACAAGATCGAGACCAGCCTGGCCAACATGGTCAAACCCGGTCTCTAATAAAACTCCAAAAATTAGCCAGGCATGGTGGTGGGCACCTGTAATCCCAGCTACTCAGGACGCTGAGGCAGGAGAATTGCTCAAACCCAGGAGGCAGAGGTTGCAGTGAGCTGAAATCAAGCCACTGCACTCCAGCCTGGGTGACAGAACAAGACTCTGTCTCAAAAAATAAATAAATAAAATAAAGTATGATGCTCATTAAAACCAGATTGAAAACAATGGAAATGTTTTGGAAATAAAATATACACACTGTGCCAGTATGTGGATTCATTACTCATTAATTCTATGACTATTTTTTGAGAGCCTATTTGCAGTCACTTGGGGACACAATAATATTAAAGACAGATTCTGTCCCTGCGGATATGGCATTGATAATCTATCAAGGGAGGTAGACATTAAGCAACTAATTAATCGTGATTGTGCCAAGTACATAAAGGAGAAAGACAGGTGCCTATAAGCACTCATGAGATTTCCCTGAGAAAATGATACTTACACTTCTACCAAAGGGATTAGAAGTTACACAAGACAAAAGGGAAGGGAAAAAAAGAACAGTCTCATCGAAGAAAACAGCTTGTCAGGAAAGATCTTGCTGTACAGAAAGACCAAGGGGGGCACTGTGGCTCGCGCCTGTAATCCCAGCACTTTGGGAGGCCGAGGCAGGTGGATCATTTGCGCTCAGGAGTTGGAGACCAGCCTAGGCAACATGGTGAAACCCACAAAAATACAAAAAAATTAGCCAGGCATGATGGTGTACACCTGTGGTCCCAGCTACTCGGGAGGCTGAGGTGGGAGGATCACTTGAGCCTGGGAAGTGGAGGTTGCAGTGAGCTGTGTTCACACCACTGCACTCCAGCCTGGGTAACCAAGTGAGACCCTGTCTCAAAACAAAAACAAAAAGAAACAACAACAACAACAAAAAGACCAAGAGAATAATCAAGGGAATAATGACAGCCAGAGACCAAAGAGGTAGGCAGGGGCCATATTCTATACTCATGGGCCAAGTGAAGGATGCTCGCTTTATTCCATGGACAGCTGAAGGTTTGTAAGCAGATGATCTGATTTCTACATTAAATAGATGACTCTGGTTTCTGTATTGAGAATGGTTTGGCTACACAGACTGCTTAGATATGGCAGTAGTCAAGGCGGTAGCAACGGAAATAGAGATGCAGACAGCTTTGAGAGATATTTAGGAGGTGGAAGTGGCAACACTGATTGGAAGGGGTTAGGGAAGGGAAAGTGTGAGAGAGAGGAAGACACCCTGGTTCCTGGCGTGAACAGCTGGGTGGATGATGGGGAGCTTTTATGGGATGTGGAGTGCGAGAATCCGTGGTTTAGGGTAGAAGACGAGTTCAGTGCAATCAAGGCACAGCTATAAATGTGTACAACTGAGGCAGAAGTTTCAGAAGCAATGAGTACCCTTACTACCATAGAAGATGCTCTGATTTTTTTTCTTTTTTCTTTTTTTTTAAGAAATTTTTGGCTAGGCATGGTGGCTCACACCTGTAATCCCAGCACTCTGGGAGGCTGAGTTGGATCATTTGAGGTCAGGAGCTCGAGACCAGTCTGGCCAACATGGTGAAACCCTGTCTCTACTAAAAATACAAAAATTAGTTGGACATGGTGGCTCACACCTGTAGTCCCAGCTACTTGGGAGGCTGAGGCATAAGAATCGCTTGAACCTGGGAGGCAGACATTGCAGTGAGCTGAGATCACACCACTGCACTCCAGCCTGGGCAACAGAGTGAGACTCGGTCTCAAAAAAAAAAAGAAAAGAATTTTTTTACCCAATAGTAAAATAACCAACCAATGCGCTGATATTTTTTAATCAACTTTGTTGAAGTATGTTTTACATAATAGATTTTCATATGTTTTACATAATATAATAAAATTCACCCATATTACATGTACAGTTCAACAGGTTTTGACAAATGTATATACCTGTGTAACCACCACGATTAAAATACAGAGCTCTTCTGTCATTTCCAAAAACTCCCCAGCACCCCTTGGCAGTCAATTCCCCCTCCATCTCAGCCCCAGGCTTTCTGTCATTATAGTTTGCATTTTCTAGAATTCCATATAAATGAAACCATAGAGCATATATACAGTATACATATGAAATAGGTATTCACTTGTATCTGGCTTTTTTATTTCCTTGGAGACAGGGTCTTGCTGTGTCACCCAGGCTAGAGTGCAGTGGTGCAATCACAGCTCACTGCAGCCTCAACCTCCCAGGCTTGAGAAATCCTCCATTCCCAGCTAATTTTTGTTTTTTTTTTTTTGGTAGAGACTGGGTCTCTCTTTGTTGCCTAGGCTGGCCTCAGATTCCTGGGCTCAAGCAAACCTCACACCTCGGCCTCCCAAAGTACTGGGATTACAGGCTCCAGGCCATGTATCTGGCTTCTTTCACTCAGCATAATGTTTTTAAGATTCATCTATGACAGGGACCAGCAAACTAGGGCCTGTGGGCCAAATCTGGCCCAGTACCTGATTATGCAAAGGCCTAAGAGCTCAGCATGACTTTATATTTTTAAGAGATTGAAAAAAAACTCAAAGAAGAATATTTTGTGACACATGTAAATTAAATGAAATCCAAAATTCAATGTCTATAAATAAAGCTTTATTGGAACACAGCAACGCTCACTTGTTTACATACTGTCTGTGGCTGTTTCCATGCTACAGAATCAAATACTTGAGACCGAGATCGCAAGAACCTAAACTACAGCTTGCAAAGCCTGAAATATTTACAACCAGGCCCTTTACAGAAAAAGTCTGCCAACTCCTAATCTGTGGTGTCCCATGGATCAATAATGTACTCCCTTTACTTGCAGTACAGTACTCCATTCCATTGTAGGGATAGGCCACAAGTTGTTTACCTGTTTGTCTGTTGATGGACATTTGGGTTACTGCCCAATTATCCTTAATCCACGTGATATGCTCTGATGTTTTGCATCCTATTTCATTTTTTAAAAAATTGCTACTCATGACCCAATGGTTGATATCACAACCCACTGATGAACTACTCTCAGTTTGATATAGATGTTAATTGAAATAATGGAGGATGAAATTATGTAGAAGAAGAAATCAAAAGGACTTTCCAGGCTGGGCACAGTGGCTCACGCCTGTAATCCCAGCACTTTGGGAGGCTGAGGTGGGTAGATCACCTAAGGTCAGGAGTTTCAGACCAGCCTGACCAATATGATGAAACCCCGTTTCTACTAAAAATAAAAAATTAGCTGGGCATGGTGGCACGTGCCTGTAATCCCAGCTACTCAGGAGTCTGAGGCAGGAAAATCGCTTGAACCTGGGAGGTGGAGGTTGCAGTGAGTCAGCGAGACTCTGTCTCAAAAAAAAAAAAAAAAAAAAAAAAGCCTTGCCAGCTGAGTGCTGAGGAAATCCAACAATGAAACATTGGGTGGAGGAGGAGGAAACTCCAAAAGACATTGAGAAGGAACAGGCAGAAAGGGAAGGTGACGATCCGGAGAATTTGATATTGTGGGAAGCATGGAAAGTCAGTTTCAAGAAGAAAGTGATCATCTGGTTCTAGGGCTGCTGAGAGGTCAGGTGTGATGGACTGAGATGGTTTTAGTGACACTGGTTTGGGTGGAGGGAACAAGGCCGAAGCTAGATTCAGATGAGTTGGTGGTGCTTGTGTGATGAGAAAATTGAGACCATTAGGTGTAACCAGAAGGGGATGTGGATGAAGATAAGGAGTTTTTATTTGCTTGTTTTTTGAGCATAAGAATGTTTAACAAACACTAAAAGGCAAGCATAACCAGAATTTTACAGATGAGGAAACTAATATACCAAGAGGTTAAGTAACTTGCCCAAGTAGTTTTCACTTATACAGCTTAAAAAAAAAAAAAAAAAAAAGAATCCAGTTCTACTTGTAGCCACAGTCTGAACTCTAACCAATGGGCTATACCATCGACAAGGGAAAAAACTGGCCCAGACATAATCCAATTTTTGTACCTTTGAGTTAAAAGTCTACAGTTGAGGCTGGGCCTGGTGTCTCACGCCTGTAATCCCAGCACTTTGGGAGGCCGAGGTGGGTGGACCACCTGAGATCAGGAGTTGGAGACTAGCCTGTCCAACTAGTGAAACCCCGTCTCTACTAAAAATACAAAAATTAGCCAGGCTTGGTGGCACGCACCTGTAATCCCAGCTACTCAGGAGGCTGAGGCAGGAGAATTGCTTGAACCCGGGAGGCGGAGCTTGCAGTGAGCAGAGATGGTGCCACTGCACTCCAGCCTGGCGACAGAACGAGACTCCATCTCAAAAAAAAGGAAAAAAGAGAAGTGTTTGAGGCCAGGCTCGGTGGCTCAGGCCTGTAATCCAAACACTTTGGGAGGCCGAGGCAGGAGGATCACTTGAGGTTGGGAGTTTGAGACCAGCCTGGCCAACATGGTAAGACCCTGTCTCTACTAAAAATACAGTGTGTGCGATGGCGCACGCCTCCAGTCGAAGCTACTCCGGGAGGCTGAGGCAGCAGAATCACTTGAACCGGGGAGGCAGAGGTTGCAGTGAGCCAAGACTGCGCCGTTACACTTCAGCCTGGACAACAGAGTGAGACTCGTCTGGAAAAAGAAAAAGAAAGAAAAAGACAGGTCTGTTAGCAGCACATAAAGCCATATGTCAGTAGAGATTAAACCTCCCCACAACTGATGGCTTCATGCTCCAAACTGTACAATATTCTGCTTATCTCTCTTCACTAGTCCATAGAATGTTGCATTATAATGTATCAGTTTTCCTATCTGTGCATCCACAAGCCAAATGGTTTCAACTTTTTTTTTTTTTTTCGGGGATGGGGGAATCACAGACTTGAGTATATAATGAAGACAATGGATGTTTTCCCCAGAAAAATGCACTCACTCACACACAAAATGTTGAGTATAGTTTCAGAGACCTCCATCTGCATCCCAAAGTAAAAACTTCTACCCAAAATAGTGTTTTTCTTCAGGGCAGAGAGCTTGTCTTTGTTTTGTGTGTGTGTGTGTGTGTGTGTGTGTGTGTGTGTGTGTGTGTAGACGGAGTCTTGCTCTTGTCGTCCAGGCTGGAATGCAGTGGTGCAATCTTGGCTCACTGCAACCTCCGCCTCCCAGGTTGAAGCGATTCTGCTGCCTCAGCCTCCCGAGTAGCTGGGATTACAGGCGCACACCACCACACCCACTAATTTTTCTATTTTTAGTACAGACGAGGGTTTCACCATGTTGGCCACGCTGTTCTCCAACTCCTGACCTCAGGTGATCCGCCCACCTCGGCCTCTCAAAGTGCTGGGATTACAGGCATGAGCCACCGCGCCCAGCCTTTTTTAAATTTTTAAATTTTTTATTATATTTTGTTTTTGAGACAGAGTCTCGCTTTGTCGCCCAGGCTGGAGTGCAGTGGTGCGATCTCTGCTCACTGCAAGCTCCGCCTCCCGGGTTCACGCCATTCTCCTGCCTCAGCCTCCAGAATAGCTGGGACTACAGGCGCCCGCCACCATGCCCGGCTAATTTCTTTTTGTATTTTTGGTAGACACGGGGTTTCACCGTGTTAGCCAGGATGGTCTCGATCTCCTGACCTCGTGATCCGCCCGCCTCGGCCTCCCAAAGTGCTGGGATTACAGGCGTGAGCCACCGCGCCCGGCCCAGCCTCTTATTTGTATTTTTATTGTTTTTTGAGATGGAGTCTCGTCTTATTGCCCAGGCTGGAGCGCAGTGGCACAATCTCGGCTCACTGCAACCTCTGCCCCCGGGGTTCAAGTGATTCCCCTGCCTCAGCCTCCCAGGTAGCTGGGATTACAGGTGTTTGCCACCACGCCCAGCTAATTTTTTGTATTTTTAGTAGAGACGGAGTTTCACTCTGTTGGCCAGGCTGCTCTTGAACCAGCCTCTTATTCTTTTACATACTATTTCCAGCACAACTGTCCAAGATGGCAGTCAATAAATGTTTGGCTAAATATAATAAATAATACGGTTGATTATTTCCACTTTTTCATGTTGGGTTTTCAAAGTCTACTTTTAAAACAGTAAAGTTAACTTTTCTCTCTAGTATTTGTTTTGTAGAATCTATTATACTTTGTAATGTAATCCACAGAAACTTGGAGGTGACTTTAGTAAAATTTACTAGTTTTGAATGATACCCATGCTGAGGTGCTCAGAGGTGAAATGTACTAACATATATCGATGGATGGATATATGGATGCATATGTGATTAAAGCAAATATAGGGAAAATTAACTGTAGAATCTAGGTAGTGGGTATATGGTTGTTCACTGTACAACTGTTTAAACTTTTCTACGTTTGAAAAATTTCATAACACGTTGGAAAAGTGACTTGTTTTGCTCAAGCAGGGGTACATTCAATCTTCAATTCTTGAAAGACATAAATCTATCTTTCCTTCTGTTTGGAAAGCTCTTTAGAGAGTCAGAATAATCCCCACAGTACAGTCTAAACCAGCACACAAGGGTTTTTTGGTAGAAAATAATTTTATTAACATAACCAGGCAATTTACCAAATACAACGTAGATAGCTCAAAACATGGAGTTACTGCGCTGAAAATGTGACCCTGTTTACACAGATTTCGGGACGAAGAGTATAAAACAGGAGAGAAAAGGAGTAAGATTGTGGTTGTAGCGTCATCGCAGAGGTGAAGTGTTCCATTGATTGCCACTGTGGTAGTCTATATCAGTTTCCCACATTAAGGTGGGAGGAATCTACTAAGCAAATGTACGCCCTCCCCATTCGTTCGAAACACATTGCAGTAAAATTGCAAAAGTGGCCGGGCGTGGTAGCTCATGCCTGTAATCCCAGCACTTGGGGAAGCTGAGACGGGAAGATCGCCTGAGGCCAGGAGTTTGAAGCCAGCTTGGGTAACATAGTGAGACACCCCTACCTTCTCTATTAAAATGAGATTTTAATTTTTTTTCTCTTCAGTTCATCGGTTAACAAGATAAAAAAATTAATAAAAAATTAACTTTTTAAAACATTTAAAGTAAAGTAGGAGTGGAAGCAGTATGTGGACTCATGGGGCTTGGGTCTGAATCCTACCTAGATCGGCACTGCGAAATGGGGATAATGATCTCCTAGAGCTGCTGAAATAGGAAAATGGAAGAACAGCAGCTGATGTATTAATATTATCATTATTACTACTACCCATTACCTGACAAGTGATAATTGTGACATGAAAGAGGCTGGACCGGTTGTTACAACAATTTTTTCCGTCTAGAATTCGGCGGTAAGGTCTGAGACAACACCTCAGCTTAGATCAGTGCCTTCTCTGAACAGCGTTCACTAAGCAGCCCCCAACCCCAAAACCCCCAAGTCCCCGGGCGCCGAGGACGCTGCGAGTCCTGCGCATGCGCAAGGTTGCCCACTCGCTCACCGCCTCCTTGGCGAATGGCCTGTTCCATTCTCGAGGGATGCCGGCGGGAGGTGAGGCGGGAGACTTGGAAGCCTGGGCCCGGAAGTGAGGTGCGTCACTAGTATTTCCAGCCTTTCACTCCATGAATAGTACTTTGTGATTATTATACTTCTACCTTGATGATTGCAACAGGCTGCTGGAAAGAGTTTGGTGAACAATCCACCGGGCATCCTCCCCCCTTCACCTGCGCACGTTAGGGAGGGCCGGCGTGGCGCCCAGGTACGGAATCCCAGAGGGCTCCGCCCAGCGCTACGGGGCCCCGCCCCGCCGCCTCTCAACCATCAGGTTCGGCAGCCCGCGGCGCCGCCTGGCAGCTCCTCCTCTTCTCCGCCCCGCCGGCCGCGGGCGCGGGGGACGTCAGCGCTGCCAGCGTGGAAGGAGCTGCGGGGCGCGGGAGGAGGAAGTAGAGCCCGGGACCGCCAGGCCACCACCGGCCGCCTCAGCCATGGACGCGTCCCTGGAGAAGGTCCGTGCCGGGAGGGGGCGATGGGGACGGTGCTGCGGCCCGGGGCTCCCGCTTCCGAGGCAACTGTTTCCCAGTCGCGAGCTGCCATTGTGACCCGGACAGGGGGACGCGGGCTGACAGGCCCTGCCTGAGGAGGCCTCGCCGGGAGGGCGGCTGGGGCCCGGGCGCGTCACGGGGCCGGGTGTCTCTTGGGTCCCCGTGGGCCGAAGAGGCTGGGCGGGGTTCGGTGGGGGCCGCGACGGGCCCGGAGCCCAGGACTGGGACCGCGGGGCCGACCTTGGGCCCTGCCGAGGTTCCGCGAGTGGCCGGCCTGAGCTCGGCTGGCCCTTTCGGAGGACCGGGAGCTCTCCGTTGGCGGCCCCAGATGCTCCCGGAAAGAAGCCGCAGTTATTTCAGAGCCAGCTGCAAACCTGTAGGTTTTTCTTGGTCTCCGAGTTAGGAATGAAAATTGCCAAAGCAGTGGTTTTCCAACTTCAGCCTGAGTGGGAATCACCTGGGGCCTTTGGTAAAATGCGGAGGTTCAGTCCCGGGGTCAGAACCTCTGGGGGCGGGACCGGGAACTGCGTGTTTAACCGCCACCGCCCCGCTCCCACTCCGCCCCACGCAGGTGATTCTGATGCTGAGCCTGCGATCACCGGGCGAGAACCTCTGAGTTCCAGAAAGGGGTGGGTGTTGCGTAGATTGCGAATTGAGTTTTGGGGATCGCAGCTGCTCCACAACTTCCTGGCTCCCCCATTCCAGTGGCGAGGAGGGATCCCCGAGTCAACTCGAAATCCACTGGTAACAGAGCCTACCTCTGGTTTCCCCTTGGGGGAACGGCAGCGTGGTGTACCAGGCTGACTGCTCTACCATGTGAAACGGATTCTCATTGTCCCAGTGTTAGGGCTTGTAAATGGAAACCAGTTTGGGTTTCTTCACGGATTCCTGCTTTCGGTACCTGACATTCTGCCCTCCCTCAAAGCCCTTCTGTCTGTTCCAGCTTGGGAGTCTGCTTGTCCAATCCAGTGCATACCCGGTTTTTCATGCATGTGGCATTCAGGAGCAATGCTCGTGTTTTAAGACGGCTACATTTTAATTTTGAGCTGGTAGGAATAATATATTTTGTCTTTTTTCAAGGCAGCAGCTGCTGTAGATTTTGTTCACTTGTCACTGGAGAGTTGAAGGCAATAATTGTAAAGGTTGGGCCAGATGTCTTCATGTGCTCACAGTGGTATAGCCTACTCCTGGGTTGCTTAGCATAAATTGGGTGGAAGACAAGAAAAAGATAATATGGTTTTCTTGTGCCATCTCTGGGGTGAATGTTACGTGTTTTCCTGGCTGGGAATAAAGTCTTTCCGGTCGTCTGATTAGCAGGGTGTCTACCTTTTGGTACTTTGAGTTTGTCCAGATGAGTGGTTCTTAAAGCAGGGGGCAATTTATTTCCCCAGGAGACATTTGGCTATCTCTGGACATAGTTTTGATTGTCACAATGGGGGCAGGGAGGTGCTGCCGGTACCTAGTGGGTAGAGGCCAGGGACGCCTCTAAACATCCTACGTTGCACAGGACAGCCCCCCACGCTGAAGAATTCTCTGGCCCAAAATGTCAGCAGTGTTGAGGCTGAGAAATCCTGGTCAAGATCATGTTTATAACACCAGCAGTTGAGTACAAAACGATGCAAAGTGGTGTTATCAATTTCCTAAGAAGGTGGGTGGGCTTCATGTGATTGTAATTGGAATCCTGAAGAACTGGGGTGATCTTTCCTCCAGGAATAATTAGCCTTTATAGGAAAATCTGCAGGGTGGGTCAGAATCCTGCTTTAAATATTACTTTTCTGGCATTTGATCAGTAGGTTACAGTAGTTGCTCCCTAAGTGTTAATTGATGATAAAAGATCTTAAACTCTCTCAATGAGGATCGCAAGAGGGACTGAAATTCCAGTGTGTTTAATATTGGAGCATTCACAAAAATTGTAGTGATCTTTTAGGAATTCAGAACGTGTGGGCTGGAGGTTTCTGCCTTAGGTCAATGTGAAAATTCTGAGTGTAAGTTTTTCAGAACTATGGGACTTACTTTTTTTTTTTTTTTTTTTTTTTTTTTGAGAGGGAGTCTCGGTCTCTTGCCCAGGCTGGAGTGCAGTGAGGCGATCTCGGATCCCTGCAACCTCCGCCTCCCGGATTCAAGTGATTCTCCTGCCTCAGCCTCCCGAGCAGCTGTGACTACAGGCGTGTGACACCACACCCGACTAATTTTTGTATTCCCAGTAGAGATGGGGTTTCACCACGTTGGTCAGGATGGTCTCAAACGCCTGACCTTGTGATCCTTCAGCCTCAGCCTCCCACGGTGCTGGGATTACAGGCGTAAGCCACTGCACCTGGCCGGGACTTAGATTTATATTCCCTGAAGTAATACAGGGCCTTAGATGGAATAAACGATTTATATTGGTGCTAATTGGGCAGAAAAGAAAAAGCATTGCTGTAATATGAATGTTGATGACTTTATGTTCTGAAAAATAGTCTGGGTCAAAGTGAAACATTTAATTGTGTTCATTATTCCTGTTTCTTTGAGGAATAGACTATCCTGCGTTAAATTCTACATTGTTAATATAAACTCAAGAGCTATGTGAGCAGTTGTAAATGATCCCATTTAAACTGATTGTTGCATAATTTATACTGATTACAGAAACCACAATGTTATTTGATGCTCACCCTCTAAAATTTAAAATAATATCTCTCACTTTAAAATGTATGTGAAAAAACAAAAACAAAATGTAGTATGCGATCATCATTTAGTAGAATCACTCAGTGATTTGGATTTGGTCCAAATATAATTCTGTCCCTTGCTTTTTCTGTTATGTAAACGTGCAGACCTGTGATAACAGAGCCATTTTCTCGTCACGATTTGCTTTTCTTCCACAACAGTATCAGTTTTCTTGTATCTGAGATCAGTGATGTCCCAATAAATCAGATGGGTTAATTGAGGAGGCAAAGGAAATTCAAACTTAGGAGAGTAGGAGTAGGGGCTTTGCCCCTGCCCCCCACTGTATGTCCAAGGCATAAGGAACAAGGCCCTGTAGCAGAGTCTCACAGTGTGTACTTATGTTAATATTCAATAAGGAAAATGCCACAGGAAGTAATCACTATAATGATGAAGATTTTAAGTTATTAAACACACCTTCCAGTAAAAACCTGTTATATTATTATTATTTTTGAGACAGGATCTCTCTCTGTCACCCAGGCTGGAGAGCCGTGGTACAATCTCGGCTCACTGCAACGTCCGTCTCCAGGGCTCAAGTGATCCTCGCGCCTCAGCCTCCTGAGTAGCTGGGACTACAGGCACTCACCCCCACACTGAGCTAATTAAAACAATTTTTTTGTTCTCGAGACAAGGTCTCACTATATTGCCCAGGCTGGTCCCAACCTCCTGGGCTGAAGCCATCCTCTTGCCTTAGCCTCCCAAAGTGCTGGGATTATAAGCGTGAGCCACCGTGCCAGGCCAAAACCTGCTACTCTAAACTTGTAGAATAGCCCAGACCTTTTTCTGTTGGTTAAAAGATCTCATTCTTCCTGGGTATTATGTTTAGGCAAGGTATACTGCAGTTTGTTTGCATTTACTTTAATTCTGTCCTTGAGCAAACTTAAAGCAGTTTCTCAGCGTCAGCACTAGTGATATTTTGGGTCAGATAATTTGCTGTTATGGGGGCTGGCCTGTGCATGGCAGCATGCTTAGCAGTGTCCCAGACCTCTGCTCAGTAGATGCTAGTCGCACTCCCTACACCCAGTTGTAACAATAAGAAATGTCTCAAGATGGGGGCAGTTGTCCCCCAAGGGGTAGAGGGAATTGCCTGTCATTGAAAGTCCCTAATTTAGGGAATCTAGAGCTACAGTTCCGGTTTGGTCACCACTAGCCATATTTGGCAGTTTACATTGAGATTAAAATTAAACACAATTTAAAATTCATTTCCTCAGTCATGCTAGCCACATTTCAAGTGCTCAGCAGCCACATGTGGCTGATGTCTGCTACACTGGGCAGCACAGATGTGGAACATTTCCATCGCAAAGAAGGTTCCACTGGACAGTGCTAAGAGCTGGCAATTCGTGTTTTTTTTTTGAGATGGAGTCTCCCTCTGACGCCCAGGCTAGAGTGCAGTGGCACAGTCTCTGCTCACTGCAACCTCTGCTTTCCGGGTTCAAGCGATTCTCCTGCCTCAGCCTCTCAAGTAGCTGGGATTACAGGCACCCACCACCACACCTGGCTAATTTTTGTATTTTTAGTAGGGATGGGATTTCACCATATTGACCAGGCTGGTCTCAAGCTCCTGACCTCAAGTGATCCACCCGCCTCGGCCTCCCAAAGTGCTGGGGTTACAGGCATGAGCTACTGTGCCCAGCCAATTACTTGTTATATCTAATTCTCATCTCTGAAAGAGGCAACTTTGACCCTGTTTCTGACCTAAATCAGCACAACTCAGCCCATTTTTGGTTCTTGAACTCATCCTGAGCTAAGTGTTTCTTTCCTGCTATTTGGGACTGATTTTAGAAAATTCTTTGTCACCTTGCTGTTATGCTAGAGGTTTATAGCAGCATCAATGGAACATTCCTGATCATTACTTACTGATAAGGACTCCGAGAATTTCTATTCCTGCTCCTTCCTTAAAAAGCATGAGAAAAGAACCCCTGTTAGGCAAGGTTGAAATGACCAGTTTCCGTGTATGGCTTTGTAGATCCCACTCTTTTATATAGAATGAGAGGAGATGAGAGGCTGTAATTGTAGCTTTCATATAAAGCCAATTCCAATGTTACAATGTGAGGGTTTTGCATACAGATGCATGGTGGCTATGGCTGTAAATGATTATCTAATACTGGCTGTCAGGGAAAACTGATGGGACTCGGCCATAGTACAAAGTTCCTGATCCTAGATATTTATGGCTTTGTTCATTCTTGATTTATTCAATTTTGCAGGGGAAGTCAGTGGCAGAGCTATTGATGGTCCCATTTCCGTCTTTGCTCCACTATATCTAGGATTATATGAGTTATAGGTAGAAGTTGGTTGAGCTTGATTTCATCTGTTGTCACCTAAAGCAGAAACCTGTTTTGATTTATAATTTTTTTTTTTTGAGACGGAATCTTGCTCTGTCACCCAGGCTGGAGTGCAGTGGTGCGATCTCAGCTCTATGCGACCTCTGCCCCACTGCAACCTCTGCCCCCTGGGTTCAAGCAATTCTCCTGCCTCAGCTTCCCGAGTAGATGGGATTATTTTTGTGCCACGCCCGGCTAATTTTTGTTTTTTTTATTTTTTATTTTTTTGAGATGGAGTCTCGCCCTGTGGCCTAGGCTGGAGTGCAGTGGCACAGTCTCGGCTCACTGCAAGCTCCACCTCCCAGGTTCACGCCATTCTTCTGCCTCAGCTGGGACTACAGGCGCCCACCACCACACCCAGCTAATTTTTTGTATTTTTAGTAGAGATGTGGTTTCACCAAGTGTTAGCCAGGATGGTCTCGATCTCCTGACCTCCACCTCAGCCTCCCAAAGTTCTGGGATTACAGGCGTGAGCCACCGCGCCTGGCCAATTTTTGTATTTTTAATAGAGACGGGGTTTCGCCATGTTGGCCAGGCTGGTCTCCAACTCCTGACCTCAAGTAATCTGCCCACCTTGGCCTCCCAAAGTGCTGGGATTACAGATGTAAGCCACTGCACCCGGCCTTGATTTATAATTTTTATTAATCGAAGGTGAGCTGTGGTCAAAGCCCAATGCTGAGTGCTGACAGAGACACAAGGTGAGTAAGATGTGGCCCCTGCAGGAGGTTGCGTTCTGGTAAGGGAGTATACTTTTTTTTGGACAAATCCTTGTATAGAAAGGGATAAAAAGCATAGGAATTAAGAAACAAATTGTGAGTGCAAGGAGCAAGTGACCAGGAAGGATTATGTGAAAGAGATTCTTTAGGCAGAATATTTAGCTCAGAATTATGCTTTTCTAGAGTTTAATTGTAAATATAATGCAAACCTTTACTTTACGAGTGTGCCTCATATTATTGCTGGTAGATAAAAATCAAGAAACAGGAAAAGCATTTCATCTTTACCTTTCCGATTTGATCGCTCCCTAACAATCCCTGAACAAGGTAAATCCTGAATGGTGATAATCATTCAACCTTCATCTCTGCTAAAAGCATTTCTTTTCCTCCCAGGCAAAAACAAACAGTGCCTGCTGTCTAGCACTAGTTAAACTAGTTAAACACTGCCTATAAAGCTTATCTTAAGGAAGAGTTATAACAGTATCTGCTTCTGTTTAGCAGTTTTCTTTTTGTTCCAGAATAAAGGTGTGATTCCAGGTAAACAGTAAAGTTTTTAGAAATAGAGCTTCCCTATTGTATGCTATTTTTCCATCAGTGTCATTATCTGGAAGTGTTTACTCGTGTTATAAGATCTGTGTGAACTGACACTGCAGTAGTGGTCTCTGGGAACACAGGTTTTTGGAACACGGAGTTGGATCTCTAGCATCTCCAACGTATATCTGAGTCAAGTGATTAGAGGCTTTTTCCCTCCTTCACATACTGCTCTCTGACTGAGATGTGATCTGTGCAGTTAACTTTGCTGCCTCCTTTCCACTGTTGGGTATTTTTGTCCTTTTCTTTTGTTTCTTTTTTTTTTTTGAGATGGAGTTTTGCTCTTGTTGCCCAGGCTGGACTGCAGTGGTGCGATCTTGGTTCACTGTAACCTCTGCCTCTGGGTTCAAGCAATTCTCCTGTCTTAGCCTCCTGAGTAGCTGGGATTACAGGCGCCCACCACCACGCCCAGCTAATTTTTTGTATTTTTAGTAGAGACAGGGTTTCATCATGTTGGCCAGGCTGGTCTTGAACTCTGTACCTCAGGTGGGCCACTGCACCCGGCCTATTTTTGCCCTTTTCTTTCCTATTTTCTGCCTATCTTCTTGAGGAATTTGTAAGGTTAAATACTTATAGTTACACCTTATACAGTACTTGGCTAACCCTTTTCAACTAGGAAGATTATGATGCTTAATCTTAATGAGCCAGTAATTACAGTATGTCTTCATATTCTCACAGACACACTCAAGCGTAGAGACCATGATGGTTAAAAATAAGACTTTCAAATGACAATATCCAGTTCTTAGAAGATGAGAGGAGACGGCTGAGCATGGTGGCTCATGCCTGTACTCCCAGCACTTTGGGAGGCCGAGGTGGGTGGATCACCTGAGGTCAGGAGTTCGAGACCAGCCTGGCCCACGTGGTGAAACCCCATCTCTACTAAAAATACAAAAATTAGCCAGGTGTGGTGGCTCACGCCTGTAGTCCCAGCTACTCAGGAGATTGTGCCACTGCAACAGAGTGAGACTCCATCTCAAAAAAAAAAGAAGATGGGAGGAGACAAAAGTTCTGGTTCTTAAATACTGTACTGTTGAATCAGGCCAAAATACTTACAAATGTAGAAACTGAGACTCCAATAAGATAAACCAGGTTTACAAGTCACTGTATCAGCTTGGAGGATTCCTGTCCTCTTCTCTCATCCTTGGCCCATAAGGAACATTATGTTCTTGCTGTGGCTTCTCAGTGGTATGTATTATAATAGACGTGTGTGGTGTTTGGGGAACTTGTTTAACTAGTGCTAGACAGCAGGCACTGTTTGTTTTCGCCTGGGAGGAAAAGAAATGCTTTTTGCAGAGATGAAGGTTGAATGATGATCACTATTCAGGATTTACCTTGTTCAGAAAGCTGTGGGAGGCAAGAGTAGTTAAGTTAGGAACAGCTGTCTGGAGCTTTACCTCTTGCTTTTTATCTCAGCCGAAGGTAGGTAGTGATTTTTTTTATGTCTAATGCATATGGTATAAACTAGCATCTCATAACTCCAAGGTCTTCTAATATGAGCAGCTGGTTTCTCTTTAGTTAGCCCTAAGAGGCCTCCGAAATAAGTCCTAAAAGTCCCCCAAATAAGAACATTCCTCTCCTGAAAAAAAAACTTTGTTGAAACGAAAGTATTATATACTTCTAGCATTGATGAATGTTACAATTAATATACTTTTAAAAATAAATTTTAGACTTTCTTTGTTATAGAGGCTGCTTCTCTTAAAAGCCTTCTCTTGGCCGGGTATGGTGGCTCATGCCTGTAATCTCATCACTTTGGGAGGCCGAGGCGGGCAGATCATGAGGTCAGGAGATCGAGGCCATCATGGCTAACATGGTGAAACCCCGTCTCTACTAAAAATACAAAAAAACTAGCCGGGTGTCGTGGCATGTGCCTGTGGTCCCAGCTAATTGGGAGGCTGAGGCAGGAGAATCGCTTGAACCCGGGAGGCGGAGGTTGCAGTGAGCCGAGATCATGCCACTGTACTCCAGCCTAGGCGACAGAGCAAGACTCCGTCTCAAAAAAAAAAAAAAAAAAAAAAAAAAGCCTTCTCTTTGAAGGCTTAGCTCTGTATGTCTTAAACAGCAGTTATTCATGTCAGTTATTCATGTACCATCTGTGAATTTGGCCACATCACTGTACCACCTATACTATTATTTGCTTAGTATTTTCTTTTAAATCTACTTTACATCAATTTACTCCCCCTTTATGAAAAATTGAGGAACCGTTTACTTACAACAAATAGACCCATTTTAATTATATAGTTTGTGTTTTGGAAGTTGTATATAGTGATATTACCACCAGCATGATCAAGATACAAAGCATTGACCTGGTGCAGTGGCTCACACCTGTAATTTCAACACTTTGGGAGGCCAAGGAAGGAGGATCTCTTGAGCCCAGGAGTTTGAGGGCAGCCAGGGCAACACAGTGAGACTCCTATCTCTATAAAAAATAAAAACTTAGCCAGGCTTGGTGGCATGCACCTGTAGTCCCAGCTACTTGGGAGGCTGAGGTGAGAGGATCGCTTGAGCCCAGGAGGGTGAGGCTGCAGGGAGCCACGATAGTGCCGCTGCACTTGGCCTGGGTGACAGAGTGAGACCCTGTCTCAGAAAATAAGTCCCCTACCCACCCACCCCAAAAAAGGTACAGAGCATTTCTGTCTCCCTGAAAATGTCCCTATGTCCCTTTGCAGTGGATCCCTGCCCTGCTTTCTGTCACTCTAGACCTCTTTACCCACCCATCCCATCCCTGCACCCCCGCCTTTTTTTTTTTTTTTTTTTTTTAACTTAGATTTGTCCTCAACTGTAATGTCTCTAAATTCTGGGATTTGAGGTGTGTGTTTGTGTGGGTTTTTTTTTTTTTCCAAATCACATAAAAGTGAGAGAGAGAGAGAGAGTGTGTGTGTGTGTGTGTGTATACATATATATATATATATATATATTTTTTTTTTTTTTTTTTTCTGAGACGGACTCTCACCCTGTCGCCCAGGCTGGAGTGCAATGGCGCCATCTCGGTTCACTGCAACCTCCGCCTCCCGGGTTCAAACGATTCTCCTGCCTCAGCCTCCTGAGTAGCTGGGGTTACAGGCACACCACCACGCCCAGGTAATTTTTTGTATCTTTAGTAGAGACGAGATTTCACCATGTTGGACAGGCTGGTCTCAAACTCCTATCGTGATCCGCCCGCCTCTGCCTCCCAAAGTGCCAGAATTACAGGCATGAGCCACCGCTGCCAGCCAAATGTATAATTTTTTAAATTCACACTTTGGTGAACTGGTTTAACTGAGGAAAAGTGTTGATTCGTGTGTTTTCAAAAGATGAAATTTTTTTTTTTCCCCTGAAACAGAGTCTTGCTCTGTCACCTAGGCTGGAGTGCAGTGGTGCATTCTTGGCTCACTGCAACCTCTACCTCCTGGGTTCAAGCGATTCTCCTGCCTCAGCTTCCTGAGTAGCTGGGATTACAGGTGCCCGCCATTGCACACGACTAGTTTTTGTATTTTTAGTAGAGATGGATGGGGTTTTACCATCTTGGCCAGGCTGGTCTCGAACTCCTGACTTCGTGATCTGCCCACCCCGGCCTCCCAAAGTGCTGGGATTACAGGTGTGAGCCACTGCCTAAGATGAAAAAATTTTTAAAGTGACTAGTTCATTAATTCCCAAATCTTAGGCTCTAAAGACACCTTTTATTTCTATTGTAGTTACCAGTTTTGGAAGATATGATAAACAACTTTTTTTTTTTTTTTTTTTTTTTTTGAGACGGAGTCTTGGTCTGTCGCCCAGGCTGGAGTGCAGTGGCACAATCTCGGCTTACTGCAAGCTCCGCCTCCCGGGTTCACGCCATTCTCCTGCCTCAGCCTCCCTAGTAGCTGGGACTACAGGCGCCCGCCAGCACACCTGGCTAATTTTTTGTATTTCTAGTAGAGACGGGGTTTCTACTGTGTTAGCCAGGATGGTCTCCATCTGACCTCGTGATCCACCTGCCTCGGCCTCCCAAAGTGCTGGGATTACAGGTGTGAGCCACCGCGCCTGGCCTTGCCAATTTATAATTTTCCGTTAGCTTTTTTGAAAAGTTGAGAGTTGCTCCTTGACCTCCTTTACCATCTTACCTTGCATTTGATTCTTGACTTTTCCTCCAACATTTAAATTGTCAGAACTTTTAAGCAATTTTAACATTACATATGTAATATTTCTTCTGGTAGTGAGGGAGTATTTTAATATCCCATACTGTCTGATAAAAATCGCCTAGCATAAAAACGATTCTTGGCCAGGCACTGTGGCCCACATTTCTAATCTCAGCACTTTGGGAGGCCAAGGCAGGAGGATTGCTCGTGAAGCCAGGAGTTTGAGATCAGCCTGGGTGACATAGTAGGACCATGTCTCTCCAAAAAATTTTTAAAAATTAGCTAAGTGTGGTGGCATGTGCCTGTAGCCATGTCTGCTCAGGGGGCTGAGGTTAGAGGATCACTTGAGCCCAGGAACTCAAGGCTGCAGCCAGCTATGATCACGCCACTGTGACAGCCTGGACAATAGAGCGAGGTTATGTCTCAAAAAAAAAAAAAGTTTGTAAAAAATGCTCACGAAGGTATGAATAGTAGGGCTTGTTTTATAAAATGAGCTAACTATTAAAGTCTCAGTTCTGGCTGGGTGCAGAGGCTCACGCCTGTAATCCCAGCACTTTGGGAGGCCAAGGCAGGCAGATTATCTGAGGGCAGGAGTTTGACCCGGCCAACATGGTAAGATCCCGTCTCTACTAAAAATACAAAAAAATTAGCTGGGCGTGATGGCGGGCACCTGGAATCCCAGCTACTCAGGAGGCTGAGGCAGCAGAATCACTTGAACCCGGGAGGCGGAGGTTGCAGTGAGCCGAGATCAAGCCACTGCACTCCAGCCTGGGAGACAGAATGAGACTGCATCTCGAAAAAAGTCTCAGTTTTGTGACAGTGAGCATGCAATTGAATGGCTCTTCTTAGGAAAGGAGAATTAAATCATACCTATCATGCAACTGTGTTAGATAAAATTGTAGCAAAAATATTGAACCCACGTCATTTATACAACAGAATTAACTGTACTTGAAATATAATTTATGAATTTGTAGAGAGGTAAAACTGTGTCTAAATTCTCAGCAATTAGTATCTATCAGAAAATGTGCATGTAGATATACCCACTCTGTAAATGCTTTGTTGCACTTTTTTTGGTTTTGGGATTTTTGTTTGAGACAGAGTCTTGCTCTGCTGCCCAGGCTAGAGTGCAGTGGCGCGTTCTTGGCTAACTGCAAGCTCCGCCTCCCAGGTTCGAGTGATTCTTGTGCCTCAGCCTCCTGAGTAGCTGGGACTACAGGCGCACACCGCCACGTCCAGCTAATATTTGTATTTTTAGTAGAGACGGGGTTTCACCATGTTGGCCAGGCTGGTCTCAAACTCTTGACATTGGGTGATCTGCCCTGCTTTGGCCTCCCAAAGTGCTGGTTTTACAGGTGTGAGCCACCATGCGTGGCCATGCTTTCACTCTTAAAAATGCTTGGGTTTAAGAGTTGGTGGAAAAAGGAAAAAAAAAAAATGCCCTGATCTGGATGATGAGTTTACGGCCATCTGGTTGAGACTGTTGTAAAGTAGAAATTTTCCCTGTAAAGTGTCACTTTCTTCCCAGGTGAAAACATTAATCAAGCAAGGATAATCTTTAAAATTAAACCTTAGTTCTAAATATGATTTTTGAGTACAAGCTTTTTTAAAGTGTTGAGTTGCTTCATTTACTTACTTGATAAAATTGAGAAGCAGTATTGCCCAGTGGTTAAGAGCACTGGTCCTAGAATTTTACTTAGTTTTAAATTCTGGCTCTAAAATGTACTATGATTTGGGGCTTGTGAGGAAGTAATGTGTGTAGAGGCGTTAATTATTAGCACAATGCCTGGAATATAGTAAGCAACCCAGTAAGTATTAGTAATTATAAGGATCATAAATCTGATTGAATATTTACTCTGTGTCTGACCCTGCACTCAGTGCTAAGGGATTCAGAAATTATTTGACATTCTTCCGAGGAACTTGACATAGAATACTGTTTTTCCTTTGTTTTTTTGTTTTTTGAGATGGAATTTTGCTGTCGCCTAGGCTGGAGTGCAGTGGCACCATCTCTGCTCACTGCAGCCTCCGCCTCCCAGGTTCAAGCAGTTCTCCTGCCTCAGTCTCCCGAATAGCTGGGATTACAGGCACCCCCCACCACGCCTGGCTAATTTCTGTATTTTTAGTAGAGACGGGGTTTTGCTATGTTGGCCAGGCTGGTCTCAAGCACCTGGCCTCAGGTGATCCACCAACCTTGGTCTCCCAAAGTGCTGGGATTACAGGTGTGAGCCACTGCGCCTGGCCTGTTTTTTTTTTCTGCCAACATTATCAAACATTTTCCTATGTACTAACTAATAGACATCTTTATACATCTTTATACAATTCTTTTTTTTTTTTTTTTTGCCATACAGGTTCATTTTATTGAGTGGAAAGCTTACAAAAGGTCCACTGGCCCCTTCCCTCCCCACGTGACACTCATTCCTTCCAATGCAAACTCTGGTGTATCCACACTCGCTTCTGCGTCACTGGTTTCCCCCAACAAGGCACAAAGGGCGGGTGCTTCCAAAGGATCCCTTGCTCCTGGCAGTGGGACTTTCAGTGCTGGGTGTCTTGTGCAAATGGTGGCTGAAAGCAGGACTGTTAGTTCACTCAGACACTGGGATCTTCCTTACTCCTGCAGAGGGGCTTGGCTCCAGGCCCACAGTACTCGTTGTAGATGAGCTTGAAGAGGAAGAGGTGGAAGAGGGTGATGAGGGAGGCCAAGCTGAACCAGAAGAGGAAGGGCAGCCCGGGGTCCTGCTGAGCCATGTGCTCATCATGGGCCAGGATGGCCTTGAGGTGCAGCGTGTGCCGCAGGTCCTGCAGGTGTGTGAGGTCGGTGGAGATGTAGAGCAGTGGCGTGATGGGCTGTGTCACCATGACCGAGAAGGTGTGGCCCGTGGGCGCCGAGGTCAGCTCCACTGGCTCGTCCAGGCAGCCTGCCTTGCAGGCATAGATCTTGACAGGCTGGCCACGGGACTCCACGGACTCGTGTAGGTAGGGCTTGCCCTCGGCATCCGCCAGCACGGCCAGGTTGATATGGTCGTTCTTGTAGCGGATGCCATGCAATGCATAGCTGTTCTGCAGCACGTCGGGGTCGGCCTGGAACTGGAGGTGGTTCTCTGTGAACTGCAGCCCCCCGAAGCTGAGCACCATGCCCTGCAGGATGCCTGGGGCACCCACCTTCACCAGCCCCTTGCAGCCACTCTTCTGGAGGGTCAGCCTCCACAGGTCAGAGAGCTGCAGGATCTGCTGGACGGAGGACAGCAGCCCCGGCCACAGGTTCTCGGCGTGCATGGTGGCGTGCCCGCTGAAGCGGTGATCTTCATAGTTGAGCGTCGACTCCATCTGGTCTCGCTCCCTGTGGCTCAGGGAGGGGCTGAGCAGCGGGGCTGGCGAGCAGGAGAGCATGTAATAGAGCGTCAGGTTCACGGTGAGGCCAGACGGCCTGTGGGTGTCAGTGATCTTCATTTCCACTCCTGGGCTGAAGAGCTGAGCCCAGAGGAGCTGGTGGTCTTGAAGCAGCTCCGCCGCTGGCATCTCCAAGAGCTCCAGCATTTCCTTCCGTGCCAAGTCCTGCAGCGCCTTGAGCTCCTTGGCTGCTTTGCTTTTGGGCACCTGGGGGATAATGGGGCCAGAGACGTGCACCACCCACAGCACCGTCTCATCCAGCTGCGTCTTGGGAGCCACTTGGAGGCGGTTCACCAGCTTCTTGGCGGCCACCACCACCAGGTGCACCAACCCAGTGGGCGTAGGCGGGGACCGGCCTGAGTAGAGGAGGAACTGATGGTCTCCGACCTTCTCCAGGGTACTGGTGAAGGCCTTGGGGGCTGGGCCGGCAGTGGGCCCCACAGTCTGCAGCGCGGTCACGCGCTCCGTGGGGTTGTTGAGCTGGATGCGCTGCAGGTAGACGTGGGGTCGGCCCCTGTGCGCCAGAAAGCCCTCTTGCAGCAGCACGCAGTCGCGGCCGGACCCCGCGGCAAGGCCAGAGACGGAGGCGGGCCCGGGGCCGGCGGCCACGGGGCCAGGACCTGGGGACCCCAGCTGCAGGCAACGCACGCGGCGCAGCAGCCCCTCCCGCAGCAGCAGCACCGCCTCTCCAGCTTCAGCCAGCGCGCTCAGCGGGCGCAGCTGCACGAAGGGCACAAAGTCCGGCGCCACGGCGGGCTCCCGCTCCCCGGGAGTCACCCACAGCCGATTGGCAGCCACGTCCAGGGCCAGGAAGCCGTTGGCCACCAGGGCCGGCACTCCAGGGCCCAGCGGTACCGCCTCGCCGCGCTCCCGCAGGCCGCGCCAGGCGCGGGTGGCCGCCTCCAGGCAGGCAGACGGCTCGGTGGCGCCCGGCTCACCCCAGGACCAGGGAAGCAGGTGCAGGCCGCCCGCCGCCCGCTGCGCGCCGGACCCCCCAAACCACAGAAGCAGCAGTAGGAGGCCAAGCAGGCAGAGGAGGCGGCGGGCCCAGCTGCTCGACAGCAGTCCCGGCAGCCCCTTGAGCCCCTGCTGTAGCCACATCGGGCCGCCAGGCGCGGGCAAGGGCGCGAGGGCGGCCGCCGGGCCCGCCGCCCAGCCCACCGGCCCGGCCGCCCGTGCCTCACTGCCCGGCCCAGACCGCGGCGCCCACCCCGGCCCCCGCCGCAACCGCCGCAGCAGCCGCCATCGCTGCTTCCTCCTCCTTCTCCTACAATTTAATTCTTCATTTAGGTTTGTGTCTGGCTGTTGCCCTGGTGTTGTTTATTAATGTTGATCATACAGCTATTTTGGCATTGCCCACAGCTATTGAGGATAAGAAATGTGATGAAGAAAGTGGTAGCTGCCCCCAGTAGAAGCTTATGAAGACGCTGTTTTTAGTTTTAAGGGATCAGTTAATCTACAACTTTTCATAGAGCATTCATTGGTTTAGATCTTAATATTATCCTGAAACTGGATAATACTTTATATTTTGAATTATCCAATTAATGCAACAAACACGTGAGGGTCTATGGCATTGGAGTCATTGTTCACATTTATTCACCCAAACTTAACTATCAGTGCTGCTTTTCCTACCCACCCACTCCCCCCTGGGCTTACTCCCTGAAGAGCAAGAATGATTTATTTATTTTTATTTAATTTTTTGAGACAATCTTGGTCTGGCGCCAAGGCTGAAGTGCAGTGTCGCAATTTCAGCTCGCTGCAGCCTCCGCCTCCTGGGTTCAAGCGATTCTCCTGCCTCAGCCTTCCGAGTACCTAGGACTACAGGCATACGTGACCATGCCCAGCTAATTTTTGTATTTTTAGTAGAGACGGGATTTTGCCGTGTTGGCCAAGCTGGTCTCGAACTCCTGGGCCTCAGGTGATCCGTCAACCTCGGCCTCCCAACGTGCTGGGATTATAGTCGTGAGCCACTGCGCCCGGCCAGCAAGAACAATTTAAACATAAGCCAGTTTACGTTTACGTAAACTGCATGTACACTCCAGAGTCAGAGATTCACCTGGGGATTGTGAATCTGTATTTCCCTCCTGCCTTTCAGTTTAAGCATCTTGTCATTACACGGGATTTTAGTGTTTATAAATGCATGTTCACACAATGTGGCTTCTAAACTATTTTGTGTGTATATATATGTATTATATATGTATATAGATATGTGTGTGTGTGTGTGTGTGTGTGTGTATTTGTTGTTGTCGAGACAGGTTCTCACTCTGTTGACCAGGCTGGAGTGCAGTGGTGTGATCATGGCTCACCACCAGAGCCTCAACCTCCCAGGCTCAAGTGATCATCCCACCTAAACCTCCCAAGTAGTTGGGACTACAGGCGTGCACCACCACACCTGGCTGATTTTTGTACTTTTTGCAGATATGGGGTTTTGTCATATTGCCTAAGCTGTATTTTGTCTATTTTTTTTTTTTTTTTTTTTGGTGACAGGTTGTTGCTCTGTCACCCAGGCAGTGGCACAATCTTGTCTCACTGTAGCCTTGACCTCCTGGGCTCAAGCAATCCTCTTGCCTCAGCCTCCTGAGTAGCTGAGACCAGAGGCATGCACTACCATGCCCGGCTTACTTTTTTTGTATTTTTTGTAGAGACGAGGTTTTGCCATGTTGCCCAGGCTCATCTCAAACTCCCGGACTCAACTGATCCTCCTTCCTTGACCTCTCAAAAGTGCTGGGATTACAGGCATGAGCCACCACACCTGGCGTATTTTATCTATTCTTAACAGAAATATTCATTATAATTCTATTGAAAGAAATAGCTGTGTTGCACTTAGAGAACAGTATGTTGATATCCACTCTGGCATGCCTTCCTAAGGGATTTTCAGGTTAATATGACAATTGGAGAATTGAGCCAACTTTAGACCCGTGGTCTAAAGAGAAGTCAAAATTAGTAGGAGTCTGAATCCTTGCCTTCAAGAAGCTTGTAATCTAATTGGAGAGCACATTTATACTGGAAAGCACATCTATAAAACAATTCACAGTAAAGGGTGTAAGGAATCATGAGGATAAATGGCAGCCGCAACAACTGCAAGCATTCTGTCCCATTGTCCCCATAAATACAACCAACATTGTCAAGCAACAAGTCTAGATTTTTGGTTTAGGAAAAAAGGCATCAGTATCATTAGAGGGGATGGGAAAGAGCAAAAGTGGCTTTATCTGTAAAGGCTTCCTGGAATTATTGACTTGTAATTGAATAGGTGCTAGGAGAGAGATAGATAAAAGTCATGAGGATATTTCAGACACTATGGTCGTTGGGAGCATGAAGGTGTGAATCAAGCCAAACTGTTTATCATTTGGCTAGGTGGTAGGGGACACACGGGAGTGTCACAGCAGTGAGGATCGTCAGGAGCATCACCAGCTGACTCAGGGGTGAAGATAAATTCTCTTGACCATCATATTCCTCATTCTCTTCACTGTCTGCACTGAGGCCTTTTTCGAGTGCTTTCTGAGCCTTCTCATAGTTAAAGTGGTGAATTTTATTGAAAACACTTGTTTTAAAATTTGTCTATTTTATCTAAAAATTTGGTCATGGCTAAATGATTACCTTGTAAGCCCTTGTGGGAGCCAGTGTGATATAATAGAGGTCAGAAACAGGAGTCAGGGACCCTAGGTTTTGGCACCTCATTGTCGTTTATTAGCTCTATGGCCATAGGCAAGTCGCTTAACCTCTCTGCATCTTAGTTTCCTCACCTCCAAAATGTTAGACCAGAATCAGACGTTTTTATGCTATACTTTTTTTTTTTTTCTTTTTTTGAGACAGGGTTTTACTCTGTTCCAGGCTGGAGCGCAGTGACACAATCATAGCTTACTGTAGCCTCAAACTCCCAGGCTCAAGTGATCCTCCTACCTCTGCCTCCCAAGTAGCTAGGTCTACAGGTGTGCACCACCACACCCAGCTAATTTATTTCTCACTATGTTGCCCAAGCTGATCTGAAACTCCTGGCCTCAAGTGATTCTTCTGCCTTGGCCTCCCAAAGAATTTTTTTTTTCTTTTCAATGACACTTTAAAAAAAAATTTTTTTTTTAATTTTTTAAAATTATACTTTAATTTTTAGGGTACGTGTGCACAACATGCAGGTTTGTTACATATGTATACATGTGCCATGTTGGTGTGCCGCACCCATTAACTCTTCATTTAACATTAGTTATATCTCCTAATGCTATCCCTCCTCCCTCCCCCCACCCCACAACAAGCAGCAGTGTATGATGTTCCCCTTCCTGTGTCCATGTATTCTCATTGTTCATTTCCCACCTATGAGTGAGAACACGCGGTGTTTGGTGTTTTGTCCTTGAGATAGTTTGCTGAGAATGATGGTTTCAAACTTCATCCATGTCCCTACAAAGGACATGAACTCACCATTTTTTATGGCTGCATAGTATTCCATGGTGTATATGTGCCACATTTTCTTAATCCAGTCTATCATTGATGGACATTTGGGTTGGTTCCAAGTCTTTGCTATTGTGAATAGTGCCACAATAAACATACGTGTGCATGTGTCTTTATAGCGGCATGATTTATAATCCTTTGGGTATATACCCAGTAATGGGATGGCTGGATCAAATGGTATTTGTAGTTCTAGATCCCTGAGGAATCGCCACACTGACTTCCACAATGGTTGAACTAGTTTAGAGTCCCGCCAACAGTGTAAAAGTGTTCCTATTTCTCCACATCCTCTCCAGCACCTGTTGTTTCCTGACTTTTTAATGATTGCCATTCTAACTGGTGTGAGATGGTATCTCATTGTGGTTTTGATTTGCATTTCTCTGATGGCCAGTGGTGATGAGCATTTTTTCATGTGTCTTTTGGCTGCATAAATGTCTTCTTTTGAGAAGTGTCTGTTCATATCCTTCGCCCACTTTTTGATGGGGTTGTTTTTTTCTTGTAAATTTGTTTGAGTTCATTGTAGATTCTGGATATTAGCCCTTTGTCAGGTGAGTAGACTGCAAAAATTTTCTCCCATTCTGTAGATTGCCTGTTCACTCTGATGGTAGTTTCTTTTGCTTTGCAGAAGCTCTTTAGTTTAATTAGATCCCATTTGTCAGTTTTGGCTTTTGTTGCCATTGCTTTTGGTGTTTTAGACATGAAGTCCTTGCCCATGCCTATGTCCTGAATGGTATTGCCTAGGTTTTCTTCTAGGGTTTTTATGGTTTTAGGTCTAACATTTAAGTCTTTAATCCATCTTGAATTAATTTTTGTATAAGATGTAAGGAAGGGATCCAGTTTCAGCTTTCTACATATGGCTGGCCAGTTTTCCCAGCACCATTTATTAACAAGGGAATCCTTTCCCCATTTCTTGTTTTTGTCAGGTTTGCCAAAGATCAGATAGTTGTAGATATGCGGCATTATTTCTGAGGGCTCTATTGTGTTCCATTGGTCTATATCTCTGTATTGGTACCAGTACCATGCTGTTTTGGTTACTGTAGCCTTGTAGTATAGTTTGAAGTCAGGTAGCATGATGCCTCCGGCTTTGTTTTTCTGGCTTAGGAGTGACTTGGCAATGTGGGCTCTTTTTTGGTTCCATATGAACTTTAAAGTAGTTTTTTCCAATTCTGTGAAGAAAGTCATTGGTAGGTTGATGGGGATGGCATTGAATCTATAAATTACCTTGGGCAGTGTGGCCGTTTTCACGATATTGATTCTTCCTACCCATGAGTGTGGAATGTTCTTCCATTTGTTTGTATCCTCTTTTATTTCATTGAGCAGTGGTTTGTAGTTTTCCTTGAAGAGGTCGTTCACATCCCTTGTAAGTTGGATTCCTAGGTATTTTATTCTCTTTGAAGCAATTGTGAATGGGAGTTCACTCATGATTTGGCTCTCTGTTTGTCTGTTATTGGTGTATAAGAATGCTTGTGATTTTTGCACATTGATTCTGTATCCTGAGACTTTGCTGAAGTTGCCTATCAGTTTAAGGAGATTTTGGGCTGAGACGATGGGGTTTTCTAGATATACAATCATGTCATCTGCAAACAGGGACAATTTGACTTCCTCTTTTCCTAATTGAATACCCTTTATTTCCTTCTCCTGCCTCATTGCCCTGGCCAGAACTTCCCACACCGTGTTGAATAGGAGTGGTGAGAAGAGGGCATCCCTGTCTTGTGCCAGTTTTCAAAGGGAATGCTTCCAGTTTTTGCCCATTCAGTATGATATTGGCTGTGGGTTTGTCATAGATAGCTCTTATTATTTTGAGATATGGTCCGTCAATACCCAGTTTATTGAGAGTTTTTAGCATGAAGGGTTGTTGAATTTTGTCAAAGGCCGTTCTGCATGTATTGAGATAATCGTATGGTTTTTGTTGTTGGTTCTGTTTATATGCTGGATTACATTTATTGATTTGCGTATGTTGAACCAGCCTTGCATCCCAGGGATGAAGCCCACTTGATCATGCTGGATAAGCTTTTTCATGTGCTGCTGGATTCAGTTTGCCAGTGTTTTATTGAGGATTTTTGCATCGATGTTCATCAGGGATATTGGTCTAAAATTCTCTTTTTTTGTTGTGTCTCTGCCAGGCTTTGGTATCAGAATAATGTTGGCCTCATAAAATGAGTTAGGGAGGATTTCCTCTTTTTCTATTGATTGGAATAGTTTCAGAAGGAATGGTACCAGCTCCTCCTTTTACCTCTGGTAGAATTTGGCTGTGAATCCCTCTGGTCCCGGACCTTTTTTGGTTGGTAAGCTCTTAATTATTGCCACAATTTCAGAGCCTGTTATTGGTCTATTCAGAGATTCAACTTCTTCCTGGTTTAGTCTTGGGAGGGTGTATGTGTTGAGGAATGTATCCATTTCTTCTAGATTTTCTAGTGTATTTGCGTAGAGGTGTTTATAGTATTCTGTGATGGTAGTTTGTATTTCTGTGGGATTGGTGGTGATATCCCCTTTATCATTCAATGAAACTTTTTACAAATAAAAACTTTACTACTTTACTCAAAACCCTGTTATACAAAACAGAGCTGATCTGCTAGGGAGTTAGAAGCCCCAACTGCTTACCTAACCCTTCCTTCTCAGAGTCCTCCCAGGGACCTTAAAGCTCAGGAGAACACAGCTGGAAAATCCCTGGACTAGATCCCTTAGGTCCCTTCTAGAATGTAACAATTTCTGAATCTTATATTGATAAATGGAGTGGAATTTCTTAAAAACAATTTTGAGGAGGCAATGCAGTTTTAAATACGTACGTATTGTATGCCATGCTGTAACATATTGCTAGATACAGTGAGCAATAGGAAAAGGTAAACACAGCTCTTCCTTTAAGCAGCACACTTAGAAGAGTAAGAGGGGAACAAAAGAGCTATAACTTATATATGATATTATATGTATTATATGTAATATAATATATAATATATAATTTATTGTTATAACACAACTCATACTACATAGAGATTGAAGTCAACAAGAATTTTCTCCCTAAACATAACTACAGAGATTAAGAATAGAGAAAGGAAAAGGAAAGGAATGCGTATGTTTTAATTCTGCAAAAAGTTCGGGCACAGTGGCTCAGCCTGTAATCCCAGCAGAAGGATAACTTGAGCTCAGGAGTTTGAGACCAGCCTGTGCAGCATAATGAGACCTTGTATCTACAAAAAAATTTTGAAAATTAGCCAGGCATGGTGGCGAGCACTTGTATTCCCAGGTACTCAGGAGGCTGAGGTGGGAGGATCACTTGATCCCTGGAGGTCAAGGCTGCAGTGAGCCACGATCAAACCACTGTACCCCAGCCTGTGTAACAGAGCGACTGCCTCAAAAATAATATTTGTCAAAATAGCTTGTCTTTGTATCACTGCCACATTGCTTGTTTGAAACGAAGCTGACTCACTTTGTTATCATAAGTGATCTTACCAAAGACCAAGTTGTCCAGTTGCCTTGGAGTGTAGGTCATGCGTTGCCGGTACCCTGGGGCTGTGTACAATGGCCAGGCTGAGGGGACCTTGTGGTTACCCCCATGGGACTTGTAACTTGTCAAGTGGGAAGGTGGTACCAAGTGAAGAAGGGTAGGGTCCTTGGTTTTGGCCTCACGTGGTTCTTCCCAGAATGAATGGTGAAAAAATTATAATTCTGCAGAAAAATTTAAATTCTATTTTGTTTACTTTTTGGATGGGAGATAGGTGTACACATGGCACTAAAATTCAAAAGGAACTTAAGGAGGCCAGGCACGGTGGCTCACACCTGCAATCCCAGCACTTTGGGAAGCCAAGGCGGGCAGATCACTTGAGGTCAAGAGTTCGAGACTAGCATGGCCAACATGGTGAAACCCCCCCGTCTCTACTAAAAATACAAAAATTAGCTGGGCATGGTGGTGTGTGCCTGTAATCCCAGCTACTTGGGAGGCTGAGGCAAGAGAATCACTTGAACCCAGGAGGCAGAGGTTGCAGTGAGCAAGGTCATGCCATTGCACTCTAGTCTGGGCAACAGAGTAAGACTCCAACTCAAAAAATAAAAATAAAAACAGCGGCTTCCTCTAGGAAGTGGGGCTGGAAGATTTTTACTTTTTCTGTTATACTTTTGTACTATTGCAAGTTTTAAAATCATGTATTTCACAGTAAATCCAGAAGAAATTATGCACTTAATTTTTCTGGGTGAATTGTGTTATAGAGGTAATAGAGGATTATTAAAATTTCTTTCTTTTTTTTTTTTGTTTCCCAGATAGCAGACCCCACGTTAGCTGAAATGGGAAAAAACTTGAAGGAGGCAGTGAAGATGCTGGAGGACAGTCAGAGGTGAGTAGGACAGAGGTGACCCTGTTCAACGAGTTCAGCCTGCTGTGAAGCCAGTGGCTCTGGGTCCTTTCTGTTAAAGGTGCCTCTTGGCTTCACAGTGTCACACACAGCTTTGGCTGACTTGAAAATTGGTATTTGTCTTGGGTAAAAGGTGCCTTGTAATTAAAGGATTTTGAAATTGAGAGGAAAGACTTATACTATTTAATTCTGTCTATTAAGAGTTTCATTTACTTAATATATTGATTTGACTCTATAAATACTTATTATATATTCAGGTCATATAGAGCACCAAGTAAACAAGAAGTGGGTGGAACTTTTTTGTTGCATATTCTTGTCTTTTCCAGAAATTCAAACGATACCTGAAACTGGAGGCAGGGAGATGTGATAAATGTGTTTGAAATCCTGCCTCAGTCACTGGGAGGTTATAGGCAACATGGTCATGTTTGCATATTCAGGAGTTAGAAATTTGGTATGATGAAACAAATGAACAGCTTTTTCTTTTCTTTAAATTAGAAGAACAGAAGAGGAAAATGGAAAGAAGCTCATATCCGGAGATATTCCAGGCCCACTCCAGGGCAGGTAGGTGGCACTGAGGATCCATACCTTTAGTTAAGGTGTAAATTTTTGTTTGTTTCTGAGATGGAGTCGTGCTCTGTTGCCCAGGATGGTGTGCAGTGGCACAATCTGGGCTCGCTGCAACCTCCGCCTCCCGGGTTCAAGCAGTTCTTTCTTGTGCCTCAGCCTCCCGAGTAGCTGGGATTACAGGCGTGCACCACCATATCTGGCTAATTTTTGTATTTTCAGTAGAGATGGGATTTTGCCATGTTGGCCAGGCTGGTTTCTAACTCCTGACCTTCACCTCAGGTGATCTGCCCACCTCAGCCTCCCAAAGTGCTGGGATTACAGGTGTGAGCCACTGTGCCCGGCCTACATTTTTCTTAAACCAGTGTCTTATCATCATTGATTTATGGTTTTAGTTTTAATGAACACATAGCAAATTTAAATAGACTTATGTGCAGTATAACATTAGAAAACTGAAGTGTCGTTGGCTGGTTGGTGATATTGCTGCACCTGCTGGCTTCTCTCCCTCTCCCATTTGGAATTTAATAGATGCTAAGTACAGTGGGTCACATCTGTAATCCCAGCACTTTGGGAGGCCAAGGACAGAGGATCACTTGAGCCCAGGAGTTCAAGGTTACAGCGATCTGTGATTGTACCACTGCACTCCAGCCTGAGTGATAGAGACACTCTCTAATTTTGAGACAGAGTCTCGCTCTGTCGCCAGGCTGAAGTGCAGTGGTGTGATCTCGGCTCACTGCAACCTCTGCCTCCCAGGTTCAAGTGATTCTCCTGCCTCAGCCTCCCGAGTGGCTGGGATTATAGGCACCCACCACCACGCCCAGCTAATTTTTGTATTTTTAGTAGAGACGGGGTTTCACCATGTTGGCCAGGACGGTCTCCATCTCCTGACCTCAGGTGATCCGCCTGCCTTAGCCTCTCAAAGTGCTGGGACTACAGGCATAAGCCACCGCACCTGGCCAAAAATTTTTTAGAAAACCAACAATTTAATACAACCTCATGAGTCAAAAGTGATACATGGAGCTAGGCACCGTGGTGCACACCTGTAGTCCCAGCTGCTTGGGAGCCTGAGGCAGGAGGATGGCTTGAGTCAAGGAGTTCGAGGCCACCCTGAACAACATGGCGAGACCCTATCAAATAAAATAAAAGTGATATACAAATTCATCATTATAACTGGTGTGTCATACTTAGTTCACTCTTGAAACCTGTCATCTATTTGGTAGACTGAGTTTTATTCTAAGAGGTATTTTAATTTGATAAGATTTATTGTTTTCATAATGTAAATGAAAGGAAAATGTCAAATTACTTATTTTTTGGCAACTGAAGCAAATCTGTCATGTTTGAGTAGGAGGAAAAATAGCAAAAAAGTAAGTAGCTGACTAAAATTTTCACAAGACATTAGCAGTTAATCTGGGATTAGTATCCCAGCCCAGCTTCCCTGAGACAAACTTTTTTTTTTTTCCTGTTATAACCAGGAAACTGCACATAAGTAAACAGTACAACTCCCTTAAATATCCTTTGACTTGAATATAAATTGAACCAGGTTGCAAAAGAAAAGTATGGAGGAAGGATCACAGTGTGCCAATAACACGCTGAGATACTAATACTTTAAAAGTCACTCCTATTCGTAGCATGAATAATGCTGATGTGAAGCTAGGTGTGAAGTGCATTCTCAGCTCAGAACAGGAGGCAGGCCCTATAAAATCTCCTCATTCCAGGCCTACTGATGGAAACCAAAGGTTTTAAGGTTTAGTCTCCTAATTCCACGGAAGTTTTCCCAGGGGAGATACTCCCAGCAGCATCTGTAATTCTCAGCCTTAAGCCACTGACTAGGAGGATTCACACTTAGGAGTGCTACCACCCAGCATTCAAGACTAGTAACATGCCAGGCACAGCTAAGTGCCATACCTTCACTGTCTGAAGCCTCCCAAATCCATAACGTCCGGCTTGGCAAGTTGGAATAGCTTGCTCGAGGTCATGTGGCAGGCAGCCAGTGTGCCTCAAGGGCCCCTGCCTGCTCTGATCTCTACAGTGTCCAAGGCCCAGAGCCCCTCTCACTTGAAGGGCAGCACCTTGGGGACAATTGGTTTGGGGACACTGTTTTGATGGCGCTTCCTTTGTTGAAAGAGGAAACCTCTTTTTAGTCTATTCTCATTAACAGACGAATAGCCCTGCGTTATTCCTGTTGCAAGTTGCCTTGCCATTGCTTGCTACTTCAGCCGTTCGAATTCTTTTCGTAACTTTCCATCTCCTCATGTAATGAGCATTTCATAGCAACACATCTTGGATAGAAGTAAAATGTTTTTATACTCTAAGCAGATCTCAAGGTTCCCAGCTTGGGGAAGAGCTGGTAATAAATGAAGCTTGCATTGTTAGAGGCTGTTAGTCCAAACGGACAAGATCCCTATGGAGGAAAATTAGATATACCAGTGGCATTGGAGTGTTCTGTGACTGTCTAGCATTATACTATACTAAGGATGATTATATATTATATTTTATATAATATATTTTATATTTTATATAATGTATAGTATATAATACACTTATATATTATAAGTACATATTATAAGGCCTTTTTGCTCTTATTACATGCTTATTAAATATTCTCTGTCTTGTACTCCAAGATTCAAATGAAATGTATAGAAATGTTGCTAGAGCAAGACTGGTGGCTGGGCAAGGTGGCTCAGGCCTGTAATCCCAGCACTATTGGAGGCTGAGGCAGGAGGATTGCTTGAGCTTGGTGGTTTGAGACCAGGCTGGGCAACATGGCAAAACCCTGTTTCTACCAAAAATAAAAAAACGGCTGGGCGTGGTGGCTCATGCCTGTAATCCCAGCACTTTGGGAGGCCGAGGAGGGTGGATCACTTGAAGCCAGGAGTTGAAGACCAGTCTGGCCAACATGGTGAAACCCCATCTCTACTAAAAATACAAAAATTAGCCGAGCGTGGTGGCGCAAGCTTGTAATCTCAGCTACTCAGGAGGCTGAGGCAGGAGGATCGCTTAAACCCGGGAGGCAGAGGTTGCAGTGAGCCCAGATTATGCCACTTCCCTCCAGCTTGGGTGACAAAGTGAGACCCTGTCTCAAAATAAATAAATAAAAATAAAAAGACTGGTGACATTTATTAAAATGAAACTCATAATTAGGTAGAAGATTTATTTAACCACAAGTAAATTTATATCGGAATTCAGTTTATAATTTGAGCTTTGTTTTTTAAAAAGCATAAACTATATACCACGTTCTTTCTCTTATAGTTGCTTAAGAAAGAAAAAAAAAACTTGAAGCAACGCTAGTTGAATGAGGGAAGTAGCGGGAGAGTGGCGGGGGATGTGTGCTGTTCCCATCAGCCCATCAACTCTTTTTATTCTGCAGTGGGCAAGATATGGTGAGCATCCTCCAGTTAGTTCAGAATCTCATGCATGGAGATGAAGATGAGGAGCCCCAGAGCCCCAGGTAATGAACCTGGCAGCTTCTCTTTTCAAGTGTATGTGTTCTTGATTTCAGTAGTGATTGCGCTCTGACAAGTTGCTCAAATAAGAAGCTATATTTCATTGAGTTACATATGATATTAAAATAATCCTTTTTATTTTCAGAAAGACATTTATATTAATATATATTTTGTGAAATGAAGGCATTTATTGAAATTAGATCCCATAGTTTTTATGGTATCATGCCTTAGAGAGGCGCTGGCAGAAGGACTGAAGAGTGAGTGTCGGATGTCTTTCTGCTGCTGTGCTTCTGCTTCCTAAGAATTGCTGTAGTTGTATTCATTAGGTATTTAGTTAGTTTTCTCTTCAATTATTTTAAATTTAATGTTTTGAAATAAGTAAAATTATTCTCTTGGTTCAAAATTCAGACAATGAAAAATGATATACAAAGGGAATTTTCCTTCCTACCTCTATCTCCCTACCATGTTTTCTTCTCTAGAGACAGACATTACCAGTTTCTTGTGTATTCTTCCAGAGAGATTTTATATGTATTATACACCAGCAAAATGTCTATGCCCACCCTCTCTAATACATAATTACTATGCATATGCTGTGCATCTTGCATTTTTTCACTTATGTCTTGGAGTTCACTGCATATTAATGCACAGGAACTTTCTCCTTTGTCAGAGCTATGTGTTTTACTTTGAACAGATGAACCATATTTTATTTTATTGGTCCCCTGTCATGTTGCACTGTTACAAACATTGCTGCAGCAAACAACTTTCGACATGTGTCACTTCTCATAGAAGCAGGTGTCTGGAGGACAAAGTCCTGAAAGTGGAGTTGCTGTCTCAGACAGTGTGTGCTTTTGTAATTTTGATAGATCCTGCCAAATTTCCCTCCATGGAGTTGCGGCATTTAGCAGTCCCACCAGCAATGTATGAGAGTACTTTATTTCCACACTTTTCACCTGCAAAGGCGTTATCAGACTGAAGGATCATTGATAAGTGATATTCTGATGAGAAATCTGATAAGTGAGAAATGGTGTTTCAGCATAATTCGAATTTGCAGGTTTTTTAAATTATGAACCAAGTGACGTGTCTTTTTGTATGTTTTAAGACCCATTTATATTTCTAGGAACTGTCTGTTGCCCATGATCCTATTAGGTGATTTGTCTTTTTCTTATTATTCACAGTTAACAATTGTAAACTTTTTCCTTCTTTTTTACAGTTATTCTTTATAAGGAAAATTAGTTTTAATTCTATATAAAACATTTTATATAATCAATTTTAATTATATATAAAATAATACCTAGTCCCCCATGAATTTGCTGTATTATTGCAATAAATAATTCTTATTTGATGCATAGACCTGAGATTTAATTCTTTTTTTTTTTTTTTTTTGAGATGGAGTCTTACTCTATTGCCCAGGCTGGAGTGCAGTGGTGCCATTTCGGCTCACTTCAAGCTCTGCCTCCCGGGTTCACTCCATTCTCCTGCCTCAGCCTCCTGAGTAGCTGGGATTACAGGTGCCCACCACCAGGCCCGGCTAATTTTTTGTATTTTTAGTAGAGATGGGGTTTCACCATGTTAGCCAGGATGGTCTCAATCTCCTGACCTCGTGATCCGCCCGCCTTGGCCTCCCAAAGTGCTGGGATTACAGGCATGAGCCACTGCGCCTGGACAGGATTTAGTTCTTTAAAAAATGCTTTCAGCTCATTTTACCTTAGCTCTACCCTCCACAATTCTTAAGGCTGGTATTTAATTTTTAAAATACTTTAATAGGAAATTATTTTAAAACAGTTTGTAGGTACTCAATTTAAAAAGGGCTATTTATCTCCTGGAACTCAAATTATAAAAATATTTTTCTGGCCAGGAGTAGTGGCTCATGCCTGTAATCCCAGCACTTTGGGAGGCCGAGGCAGGTGAATCACCTGAAGTCAGGAGTTCAAGAGCAGCCTGGCCAACATGGTGAAACCCCGTCTCTACTAAAAATACAAAAAATTAGCCGGGCTTGGTGGTGCGCGCCTGTAATTCCAGCTACTCGGGAGGCTGAGACAGGAGAATCACGTGAACCCAGGAGGTGGAGGTTGTAGTGAGCTGAGATCGCACCACTGCACCCCAGCTTGGGCATCAAGAGGGAGACTCCATCTCAGAAAAAAAAATATATTTTTTTCTCCATCTCAAAAAATAGAAAAAATTCTCACCAAACTATCACTACTGTTTATGCATTGATTTGCCTTCTGGGCCATTAAGTAGATTTCGAGTCTGACAGATATTTCTGTGGAATTCTGTGTCTCTAAGTTCTATGTCCTTTTTTATGGTTTGACTCTAATACTTTAATTTTGCTTAACAGAATCCAAAATATTGGAGAACAAGGTCATATGGCTTTGTTGGGACATAGTCTGGGAGCTTATATTTCAACTCTGGACAAAGAGAAGCTGAGAAAACTTACAACTAGGATACTTTCAGATACCACCTTATGGCTATGCAGAATTTTCAGGTAAAGACATGATGAGTTTCCAGTGAAGACTTTTATGAGTCGGGTGTAGACTGAAAGATCTTTTTTCTGGAGCTGTACTACTTGGGTTCAGATTTCCTTCTCCTTGAAAGGGGTGTTTAACCTCTCAATGCCTGTTTCATCATCTGTTAGATGGGGATAGTATTAATACCTATTTCATAGAAGCGTTGTGAGGATTAAATGAGCTAATGGACTAATACATGTGAAGGGTGGAGAATAGAAGCACATATGTGTTTGATAGGGTCAGCAGTTATTTATTTGTGGGGTATCTAATTGGCACATGTCGGTAGAAGATAGAGCAATGATCTGGATTCAAATACAGTTGTCCCTTATCCTTGGGTGTCCTTGGGGGATTGGTTCTTGACCTCCCATCCTCACCCTATGGATAAAAAAATTCATGGATGCTCAAATCCCTTATATAAAATAGCACAGTATTTTCATGTAACTGAGGCACATCTTCCCATATACTTTAATCTCTTGATTACATATAATACCTAATACGATGTAAATGCTGTGTAAATAGTTGTTACACTGTATTGTTTAGGGAATAATGACAAGGAAAAAAAGTCTGTAGATATTCAGTACAGAGGCACCCATCTTTTTAAATTTCTGAAGATTTTTTACTCATGCTTGGTTGAATCCACAGATGCAGAACCCATAGGTTCAGAGGGCCAGCTGTGCTTTGAAAATATTAGCTTGTGTTTTTATTAGAAAGAAAACTCTGAGGCCAGGCACGGTGGCTCACGCCTGTAATCCCAGCACTTTGGGAGGCTGAGGTGGGCGGATCACAAGGTGAGGAGATCGAGACCATTCTGGCTAACATGGTGAAACCCTGTCTCTACTAAAAATACAAAAAAATTAGCCGGGCGTGGTAGTGAGCACCTGTAGTCCCAGCTCCTCTGGACGCTGAGGCACTGCACTCCAGCCTGGGCGACAGAGTGAGACTCTGTCTCAAAAAAAAAAAAAAAAGAAAACTCTGTCATAAGGAAGATGAAAATGTGCTATGAAACTGAAATTTGTTTTATTCTGTGATAATCCTGGCAGTACTAAGGAATTACAACAGGTGAAGGATTCAGTAGGAGACATAGGACTAGTGGCATTGGGTTTATGCTGTTACTTTTATGGAGAAGGAATGTTTGCCTAACTTGAGACATTTATCTTGAGAGACCCTGACTTTCAGTGTTGGGAAAGAACTTGGCCAAGCAGGAGTATAAGTTTGCCCAACTTTATTAAAGGAGCAGTGTTCTGTTGTTCTAGTAAAAATCTACTGCCTGTAATTGAAATTGTCCATCCTCCTCTAGGAGATGGAGCCTCAGCAGATTATAGTAAAACCAAAAGCTAGCCTGACTAGCTTTTTTATTTTTTTGAGATGGAGTCTTACTCTGTCACCCAGGCTGGAGTGCAGTGGCACAATCTCGGCTCACTGCACCCTCCACCTCCTGGGTTCAAGCGATTCTCCTGCCTCAGTCTCCTGAGTAGCTGGGACTACAGGCACTCACCACCACACCTCGCAATTAGTAGAGACAGTTGTTTCACCATGTTAGCTAGGCTAGTCTCAAAACTCCTGGTCAGGTGATCCACCCGCCTTGGCCTCCCAAAGTGCTGAGATTACAGGCGTGAGCCACCACACCCAGCCTCTAACTAGCATTTTTGACAGTTTTATTTACTTTGGATGTTTTAGGGCTGAAACTCTGCTATGAACTATGCCTGTGTTATCCAGTGCTGGCCTTAGTTCATAATAAGCCAGAACCATGATCTTCAGGCTTTTTATATCTGAGAATTCCTGGTCTCTACTTGTTTTCATAGTTTCTGCTCTTTATGGAATTGGGTATGGATGGAGGGTTATTGTCTCGCTGCTTGGTAACCTCAGCTGTAATGAGGTGTCAGCCATCTATGATGAGGATGTTTCACATTCCTGTCCTCTCTGCCTGATAAAAGTGACAATTCCTAGCTTGAGAAAAGAATTGTCTCCATGATTATAAGGTTGACTTATACAATCCTTAACTAGAAATAAGAGCATATTAATATGTATCTCTTAACAGATATGAAAATGGGTGTGCTTATTTCCACGAAGAGGAAAGAGAAGGACTTGCAAAGATATGTAGGCTTGCCATTCATTCTCGATATGAAGACTTCGTAGTGGATGGCTTCAATGTGTTATATAACAAGAAGCCTGTCATATATCTTAGTGCTGCTGCTAGACCTGGCCTGGGCCAATACCTTTGTAATCAGGTAATGTGGTATCAGGTGGCTATTTTAAAGAAATAATGTCTTATTTTGTTCTGAAAGTTTTAAAGTTGACCCGTTTGTCTAGTTGCTGTTCTTGCTGAGTGAAAAGAAAGATGGTCTTATATGCTTTTGTCATATTTGTAAAAATTACTGAATTTAGAAATAAGGAATATGGGATAGATTACCCAGGGGCATCCACAGTCAACATTTTCTCTTTTTTCCCAGACTTTAATCGAAGGGGGTGTGTTTGTGTTTATATGGTTGTATCTGGCTCTTTTCACTTATTGTTAAAACAGGAATATATCATTTTAATAATAATTTTTCAAAGTATAGTTTATTTTTAATGTCTTCATGGTATTCCTTCAAGTGAATATATAGTAATTAACTGTTGCCCTTTTGGACAACTAAGAGTGTTTGCATTCTCTTGCTTTCTGTGACCATTTTCAGGTAATGTTCTTTGTGTAGTGCTGTTAAGGACTTCTCTGTGCATAAAGCTCTTCCTGTATTTTATTTAGGGTTATGGTCCTCAGATGGATTTTCAGAGTCAGTCTAGAATTGCTGGATCAAAGAGCATGACTTTTTTTTTTTTTTTTTTTTTTTTTTTTTGAGACAGAGTCTTGCTCTGTCGCCCAGGCCGGAGTGCAGTGGCGTGATCTCGGCTCACTGCAAGCTCCGCCTCCCGGATTCATGCCATTCTCCTGCCTCAGCCTCCCAAGTAGCTGGGACTACAGGTGCCCGCCACCACGCCCAGATAATTTTTTTGTATTTTTTTTAGTAGAGATGGGGTTTCACCGTGTTAGCCAGGATGGTGTCGATCTCCTGGCCTCGTGATCTGCCCACCTCAGCCTCCCAAAGTGCTGGGATTACAGGTGTGAGCCACTGCGCCCAGCCGAGCATGACTATTTTTAAAGTTCATGGTGCTTCTAGCCCAACTGGGAGGACTACATCGAGATAAGACATTGTTAACCGTCTTTGCCAAGAACGTTTGAAAGCAAAACCATAGGGTTGGAGGGTTCCTCTTTTGTAAGCTGTAGGAGTCCCAGGGGGATGTATGGGAGACACTTAGTGACTTTTAAATTGATTCTGAGCTGTGATCACTGGTGTTAAGAAATTATGTCCTCTTCTTGAGGGGTGTACAAAATGGGGAGTTTAATAATAATCCTCTGAAACGTGAAATGAATTACTTAGTGTCTACTGCAAGCCAGGCTCTTGCAGACACAAGGCTGTTTGGGGACAACAGTCTAACCTTCAAAAGATGTGTAAGAGTGTTCTGTTGGGAATGGCAGCTGGCAGAGCAGCATATATAAGATGGTTATGTTCACGTTTTTTAAAGTGTGTGTATCCTTTATACCTATGTTTTTGTACCTAGAAAAATACGTAAATTTATACCTAGAAAATATCTGAAAGGTTATGTATTAAACTGTTAACGGGGTGGATTGGTGGCTTATAGGGTAGGGGGCTAGGCATTTTCACTTTTAATACCTGTATTTTTTTTGAGGATTTGTTTTACTTGGGTGTCACATTCATAATTTTTAATCCTTTAAGGAGAAAAATGTGCTTATTAAATTTTTGGTCTCTGAATGCTACCAAGTCTTAGTCATACAGAACAATATGCTGCAACTGTTTACAATTCCTAAAACTGTAAACTCCTCAAGGACTTGGAGGCTAAACATGAAGAATATAAAATTAAGTTGACAATCACTGTCTCCTGCATAACACTGACTTCACTTCTCTTGAGAAATGTGCATCTGCTAATCCATATTTATTACTTTTTAGGGGTGGGTGAACCCATAAATAAGATACTGTTCTTTGAATGCCTTTAGCTGGTGTTATTTACCAGTAATGCTTGGAGAAAGAATCCAAAATTACCCCCACTAAAATGCTCACGACCCAGTTGTTTCTGTGTTTGTCAAAGTGTTTCTGGTATATTCTAGAATATACCAAAGATAATTACTTGAATCATTTAGAAAATTTTACATTATATCCTCTTATAAGGCACTTGGAAATTCACCCTTTTTTTTTTTCGGCTTGGCTTTCTAAATGTACTTTAACATCAATTTATAATATTAAGAGTTCCTAAGGAGAGAGATTTCTTAGAAGAATAATCGTGTCTTGTCTTAGAGCCACAGCCTTTCACAATCTGAAGTGAATGGTGCAGAGAGCTTTCTTGTCAAGTCATATGTTTCTTCCTGCAGCTCGGCTTGCCCTTCCCCTGCTTGTGCCGTGTACCCTGTAACACTGTGTTTGGATCCCAGCATCAGATGGTGAGTTCTACTTTTGGTTTGTAAAATCATGTGGGATTGTGTTTTGAAACTGCCTTTCAAATGAAGTTCTTTTTGCTGGCCTCCAGATAATTAGTAACTTACTCATGTATTGCTTGGATCCTTACATTGTGTAATATATGCTTCTGTTAATATGTGAATGTCCATGAAGGTTGGTTGGTATATAGGTCAGGAGCACCTGGCTTTTAAGGAGTCTTGTAATTACTGTATCACCTGCTTTAAGTAGAAACATGGCAGCTCAATTAAGCACCAGAAATTTCTTCTGAAGCTCCTACTTTTAATGAGTTAGCACTGTTGCCTGGATTTATGAATGGGCAGATTTTGAAAATGAGGTTCTTCATTGTCATCATGGAATTGAGTTCTGCTTATTTTCAGACATGCAGGTGATAAATCTCTCCTTAATGATTCCAGAAGGAAAAGGAAGGGATGGATTTTAGAGTTTTTTATTTCTTTTGTCAAGGTAGTTTTATTTTCTAGTTCAGGTACATCAGTGAGTAATAGTAGAGATACATTCTTGGCTGTTTTAGGAGAGTTAAGAGAACATTTCATTTAAATGTAAATGTTTAAAATCAAAGAAATGTTCCTGCATATGTACAGTTTTTACCTTTAATTTTGTTTAACTGATTTTTCTAGTCTTCAAGGAAAACTATTTGATTTTCACATCTATGATGAGAGAAAACAGAAAAATTGTCAAGAGTAAGAATTGATTTGACATTACTTTTGAGAGTTATCTGCTTCTTTTGTAAGTCATAATTTTTCATTTTATAGCTTTTATACTGGGCACCTCATTTTTTAATGATTTGTTTTGGTTCCAGGATGTTGCCTTCCTGGAGAAACTGATTAAAGATGATATAGAGCGAGGAAGACTGCCCCTGTTGCTTGTCGCAAATGCAGGTAGGTAGCATGATGCTGAATCTACCATTTTGAATATATAGGAGCGAGGCTACGTCCTCAGCCTATAAAAGATAAAGTCTTAAGAAATGTGTGTGTACCACATGTTTAAGATAGTCCATATCCACATTGTAGCAAAAACTGTAATAGTAAGGTTGGCTCGTTAGATTTTTCTTTAATCGTTGGTTTGTTTTGGAAGTTATTTTATGTGTGTGTATACTTTTTCATTTAGATGGTAAATGCTTCTCTATCTTCTCCTTCATGTACTTCTTTTCCCTGTTCTAAACTGAATTTTATTTTATTTTTTTGAGATAGAGTCTCACTCTGTTGCCCAGGCTGGAGTGCAGTAGCACAATCTCACCTCACTGCAATCTCTGCCTCCCGGGTTCAAGTGTTTCTCCTGCCTCAACCTCCTGAATTGCTGGGATTACAGGTGCATGCCACCACATCTGGCTAATTTCTTGTATTTTTAGTAGAGACAGGGTTTCACTATGTTGGCCAGGCTGGTCTCGAACTCCTGACCTCAGGTGATCCGCCTGCCTCAGCCTCCCAAATTGCTGGGATTACAGGCATGAGCCACTGTGCCTGGCCTGAATTTTTAAATGACACATTTAAGCCAGGTGTGGTGGCACATGCCTATAGTCCCTCTACTCAGGAGACAAGCAAGATGTTGGCTTAAGCTCAGAAGTTCAATACCAGTCTGGGTAACATAGCAAGACCCCATCTCAATAAATAAATAAAAATAATTGTACTGACGTTGTAAGATTGTTGTAAAAATTAAACAAGAAAATTCATAAGATGTCACACTTAAATATCTACCTTATAGGCGGCAGAGCAACTACCACTTGCTGCTCCATTTATCTCATTCAGCATCATACTTGAAATCTAAGACAGTGCAATAAGGCAAAAAAAATAACTGACAGATTAGAAAGGAAGAAATAAAACTTTGTTTGCAGGCATGATTGTATAGATAGAAAACTAAAGAAAAGCTACTGGAACTAATGATCAAATCTAAACCATTTTCTGGATTTTTACATACTAGCAAAGAAGAATTGGAAATTGAATTTTAAATGTCATTTATAATAGGATCAAAAAAGATGAAAAATTTATGGATAAATTTAACAAAATATATGCAAGATCTGTACATTGAGAACTAAGAATGTTACTGAGAGAAATTCAAGAAGACCCAAGAATGATATGCCATACACACGGGTTGGAAGACTAAGTATTAAGTCAGTTCTTCCCAAACTAATCTGTAGATTCAACTTGATCCATCTTAAAATCTCAGCAGGCTACAATTTCTTAATAGAACTTGATGAGCTAATTCTAAAGTTTATATAGAAATACAAGGGATCTAGGAACAGCCCAAGGGATTTTGAAAAAGAACAAAATTGGAAGACTTACCTTGTCATACTTCAAGACTTCTGTAAAGTAGCAAGTAAGACTGTGTGAGATTAACCAAAGAAAATAGAGAATTCAGAAATAGACTCATGTGAAGTATATGGACACTTCAGGTTTTTACAGATGCCTGAGTAATTCGAGGGAGAAAGGACCATCTTTTCCATCAGTGGTCTTAGAGCTTGGATATCCATATGGAAAAAAACTGAATCTTAACCCTTATCTTATTCTCTGTATATATAAATATTAACTATAAATGGTTCATCAACCTAAGCATAGATCTAAGACAATAAAATGTCTCAAAGAAAATACAGGAGATCTTTGTGACCTTAGGTTACATTTCTTAGGATACAAAATATGTGAACCATAAATTGTACTTTATCAAAAATTAAAAGCATTAGCTGTTTGAAAGCCCCTATTAAGAAGATGAAAGGCAAGTTACAGACTGGGAGAAATATTTGCAAAACATTTTTTTCTTTTTTTTTTTTTTTTTTTGTCTTTTTCTATTTTTATTTTTTATGTTTTTGAGATGGAGTTTTGCTGTGCTGCCCAGGCTGGAGTGCAGTGGTGCGACCTTGGCTCACTGCAACCTCCGCCTCCCAGGTTCAAGCGATTCGCCTGCCTCAGCCTCCCGAGTAGCTGGGATTACAGGCGCACGCCACCATGCCGGGCTAATTTTTGTATTTTTAGTAGAGACGAGATTTCGCCATGTTGGCCAGGCTGGTCTCAAACTCCTGACCTCAGGTGGTCCACCTGCCTTGGCCTCCCAAAGTGATGGGATTACAGGCGTGAGCCGCCACACTCAGCCAGCCACTGTCCCAGTCCTGTCTTCTTTTAAAATTTCTTTTTCATTCTTTTCCCCAGAAGCTACAAAACATTTGTTTGACAAAGAACTTGTATCTAAAATATATAAAGAACTGTTACAACTCAATAAGGACACAAGCAATACAATTTTTTTTTTTTTTTGGAGATGGAGTCTCATTCTGTTGCCCAGACTAGAGTGCAGTGGTGCGATCTTGGCTCACTGCAACCTCTGCCTCCCGGGTTCCAGTGATTCTTCTGCCTTAGCCTCCCGAGTACCTGGGATTACAGGCATGTGCCACCACACCTAGCTAGTTTTTTGTATTTTTAGTAGAGATGGGGTTTCACCGTGTTGGCCAGGCTGGTCTTGAACTCCTGACCTTAGGTGATCTGCCTGCCTTGGCCTCCCAAAGTGCTGGGATTACAGGTGTGAGCCACTGTGCCCGGCCCACAATACAATTTTTTAAATGAACAACAGATTTGAGCAGATACTTCATCAAAGAAAATGAAAATGTATAGCACTTGAAAAGATGTTTAACATCATTAGTCATTAGTGAAATGCAAATTAAGATCACCATGAGACATTACTACATGTCTGTTAGAATGGAGAAATTACAGGTGGCTCACACTTGTAATCCCAACACTTGGGAAGGCTGAGACTGCGAGATCAATTGCCCTCAGGTGTTCGAGACCAGCCTGGGCAACATGGCGAAACCCCTAGGAAATCTCTACAAAAAATACTAAACATTAGCCAGGTGTGGTGGTGTGTACCTGTAGTCCCAGCTACTCCAGAGGCTTTGGTGGGAGGTTGGCTTGAACCCAGGAGAGAGAGGTTGCAGTGAGCCAAGATTGTGCTACCATACCCCAGCCTGGGTGACAGAGCCAGATCCTTTCTTAAAAAAAAAAAAAAAAAATTCTTTAAAATATAATGTCAGGCCAGGCACAGTGACTCAAGCCTGTAATCCCAGCACTTTGGGAGGCCGAGGCGGGCAGATTACGAGGTCAGGAGATCAAGACATCCTGGCTAACATGGTGAAACCCCGTTTCCACTAAAAATACAAAAAAATAGCTGGGTGTGGTGGTGGGCACCTGTAGTCCTAGCTACTTGGGAGGCCGAGGCAGGAGAATGGCATGAACTCGGGAGGCAGAGGTTGCAGTGAGGTGAGATCGCACCACTGCACTCCAGCCTTGGTGACAGAGTGAGACTCTGTTTCTGTAAAAAATAAATAAGTAAATAAATAAAACTTGCCAGGTGTGGTGGTGGGCACCTGTAGTCCCAGCTACTTGAGAGGCTGAGGCAGGAGAATGGCTTGAACCCGGGAGGCGGAGCTTGCAATGAGCCGAGATTGTGCTACTGCACTTCAGCCTGGGCGACAGAGTGAGACCCTATCTCAAAAAAAAAAGAAAAAAAAAAAAAAAGGCAAAAAACTACAGTGACAGAAGCAGATCAGGATTTTCCAGGGCCAGTGAGGAGTCAGGGAAAGGGTAATTATATTGGGGTTGATGGGATTTGGGGGTTGATGGAAGTATTCTGAATCTTGATTGTGTTGATGGTTACATGCTCTATATATTTGTCAAAACTCATTGGACCGTATACTTACATGAGTGAGTTTTGTTGCATGTAAATCATACTACAATAGGCCGAGCATGAGAGCTCATGCCTGTAGTCCCAGCACTTTGGGAGGCTGAGGCAGGCAGATCACAAGGTCAGGAGTTCAAGACCAGCCTGACCAATGTGGTAAAACCCCATCTCTACTAAAAATGCAAAAATTAGCCAGGTGTGGTGGTGTGCACCTGTAGTCCCAGCTACTTGGGAGGCTGAGGCAGGAAAATCGCTTGAACCTGGGAGGTGGAGGTTGCAGTGAGCCAAGATCGCACCACCGCACTGTAGCCTGGGCGACAGAAAGGGACTCTGTCTCAAAAAAAAAAAAAAAAAAAAAAATCATACTACAATAAAACTGCTTATTTAGGCCGGGTGCGGTGGCTCATGCATGTAATTCCAGCACTTTGAGAGGCCAAGGCGGGAAGATCACCTGAGGTCAGGAGTTCAAGACCAGCCTGGCCAAAATGGCGAAACCCTGTCTCTACTAAAAATATAAAAATTAGCTGGTTGTGGTGGCAGGCACCTGTAATCCCAGCTACTTAGGAGGCCGAGGCAGGAGAATAGCTTGAACCCAGGAGGCTGAGATTGCAGTGAGCCGAGATTGCGCTGCTGCACTCCGGCCTGGGCAACAGGGTGAGACTCTGTCTCAAAAAAAAAAAAAAAAGACAAAATAGAAAAACCACATAAATATTCACTTTATTGCCAACAGGAAAACCATCACTTCCTGCCTTATTGTTTAAAAACACAAATTCACCCATATTCAATCACATGATAAACTGGAGGGGCTGCAGTTTGCATGTGACTGAGTGACTTGCCAGTGTGATTATGTTGCAGATGTCAGCAGACACATGTCAAGGGTTAGTCACCAGACATTGCCAAGAAATACGAAAAGAGAATCTGCATGCGATCCAGGCACTAACACAGCAGTACGCTTTTATTTTGCTGGAAGAGCCTGTGGCACAGCCCATGCATTGACATTTGATCTTGTTTCAGCTAAACTAAATGTGTCTGTTAAGATTTTTTTTTTTTAATTTGAGGTAGATTTAGGTATGAGGGGAAAAAGTTTTCAGCCCTTTTCCTGGCATAGACCTTACAAAAGAACTACTTTCTTTAGCTGTGTTTGTTGAGGCCGTTGGTGAGTGTTTGAAATCTTTTTAGTTGGCTTACTGCTAACTGGAAATTTAGGACGGTTGGGGGAATGCCTGACTCAACGTTTTAACTAAGCTCTCTCTGAAAAGGGATCTCCCCAGCAAAATCTGTAGTGCAATCAATTACCAAGGGAGCGGCTGAAAGTGCTTAATATGCTTAAGCTGGCTTCAGAATGCATGTTCTGTATTACAAGGAACCTGGGTGGAAACAAAACAAATTCATCTATATGTTTTGTTTGTTTGTTTTTTGAGCTGGAGTCTTGCTTTGTTGCCCAGGCTGGAGTGCAGTGGCACGATCTCGGCTCACTACAAGCTCTGCCTCCCAGGTTCACGCCATTCTCCCGCCTCGGCCCCGCGAGTACCTGGGACTATAGGCGCCCACCACTACACCCGGCTAATTTTGTTTTTGTATTTTTAGTAGAGACGGGATTTCACCGTGTTAGCCAGGATGGTCTCCATCTCCTGACCTTGTGATCCACCCGCCTGGGCCTCCCAGAGTGCTGGGATTACAGATGTGAGCCACTGTGCCCAGCCCACCTATATGATTTTTATAAAGGGCATATCTAAATCAAAATAATCCAGGAAGTGACAATAAAATAAAAAGGTGGAAAAGTTTATCTTGGACAAATGCTGACAAAATGAAAGTACCATAGCCATATTAGTGTGGGATAAAATAGACTTCATATTGATGAAAGATGTAATCTCCTAAAAGAAATAACAGTTATACCTGCTGGGCACGGTGGCTCATGCTTATAATCCCAGCACTTTGGAAGGCCGAGGCAGGTGGATCACGAGGTCAGGAGTTCGAGACCAGCCTGGCCAACGTAGTGAAACCCCGTCTCTACTAAAAATACAAAAAAATTAGCCGGGCGTGGTGGCCACCGCCTGTAATCCCACCTACTTGGGAGGCTGAGGCAAGGAGAATTGCTTGAACCTGGGAGGTGGAGGTTGCAGAGTTGAGATCATGCCACTGCACTCTAGCCTGGGCGACAGTGTGAGACTCCGTCTCAAAAAAAAAAAAAACAGTTATGAATGCTTGTGAACATAACTTTAAAATATATAAAGGAAAGCTAAAGGAAAAGTCTGATGTAACACAAGTATATATTGACAAACCACAATCTTGGTGGGAGATTTGAATATATTTCTCATGAGTCAGCAGATCAAGTAGATAGAAAATAAGTATATAAAAGAATTCAATGACACAATTAGATACATGTAATAGAGATTACATACTCTTCAAAGCTTGTAATAAGTCAACTCACAAACACTGATTTTAAGTCCTTCCACAAAGAAAATCTCAATAAAATAGGGATATAATAAGTCACTTCCCTCCTAGGGCGATAATGTGTATAAAAGTGTTTAAGGTATAAAGCCTTAGAAAACATTTGTTCCTTTTAATGCCCTGATGTGTTTTATCCTAGGAACGGCAGCAGTAGGACACACAGACAAGATTGGGAGATTGAAAGAACTCTGTGAGCAGTATGGCATATGGCTTCATGTGGAGGGGTAAGCCGGCGGTGAGGCTGGTGGCTCCATTCGGGCCTGCACAGAGTCCTTATGAGGACTGGACATCCAGGCTCTCACTTTGGTGACATTTATCACGAAGGGCTCTTTGGGTCACAGATCACAAAATAACCCAAATTGGCTTAAGCCCAAAGAGATCTTACTGGCTCACATAACTACAAAGAGCAGTGTTATGACTGCCTCAGGCACGACATCAACCAGGATCCAGTGTGTTACTCCCACCTCTGCTCCCCCAGTCACAGGCACTGGGCTTGGTTTCCTCTATCTGTGGACAGATCTTCCTGTTACAGTGCAAAGTAGCTGCAGAAACTCCAGCCTTCTTTCCAGCTTCGTGGTCAGCTGGAAGTCCTAACAGAAGTCTCGTATTGAACCAGCCACTGTGGCCAGGGAGAAGTAATCCTCTGATAGTTGAGGTTCTTTGCTCTCCTCTGGAGCAGATAGTGGTGTCTCCTCCCCACAAAGCTCATGTTCTGCTGGAAGAAATGGAGATGGCGCCCTGGAAGGCTATTGTAGGGCCATTAAGAGAAGCAGGGGGAACGGACGTGGGCAGCCAGAGTAGCCCATATCCACCACATCATACAGGGAGGTTTCTTTTTGATCCCTAAGTAAAGAATGATAACTGGAAAATAAGATCCATGAAAGAGAAGAATACTCCCATTATATTAAATGAGCGGGGATAGTTCCTGAGACACATTTTTATTAAAGTGCATTTTCAGGATTTTCCTTCATATGTATAAAGCACACCTTCTGTTGCTGTTAATGAAAGCTAATAACATTAAAAATATACTTAAGTGTCAACTTGCAACAGCACAGCCTTTATTTTTTTAAGTACATGGTGAGTAAGCAACATTAAATAATTAGTTCTTGGACTGGTGTTTTTTCTTCCAGTGTGAATCTGGCAACATTGGCTCTGGGTTATGTCTCCTCATCAGTGCTGGTATGTTGTTGATTTACTGAATATTGGTGTTTTTAAGAATGAATTTAAAGTCACTCAGTCCCTCATGGCTCTTCACAGTTTTTATGAATGGAGGAGGGTGTTAGGTTTGTGTATTCTGATAATCTAACAAAGAGTTGTTCTTGTTTTGGTAGGCTGCAGCCAAATGTGATAGCATGACGATGACTCCTGGCCCGTGGCTGGGTTTGCCAGCTGTTCCTGCGGTGACACTGTATAAACACGATGACCCTGCCTTGGTAAGTTTCCACTCACTGGGGAGGGAGTGGGTGTGGCTAATACACATTATTGGCTTTGGGGGCAAAATCCAGAAAAATACAGGAAAAAGTGAAAAATACCCATAATTTCACTTCTATTTCATTTTTTTAAAGAGAAACTTGTGAGACTTTTTTTAATGACATTTTATGATTGTATAATATTCTGTCACAATTTAATTATTCTCCATTTATGAACTTATAGGATGTTTTCAGAGTTTTGTTACTGAAATAATGAAGCAGTGAACGTCTTTCTGTGTTTCTAATTATTTCCTTAGAATAGGTTCCCAGATGTGGAATGACTGAGTGGGGGAGTTTTAAGCCTCCTGATCCACATTGCCCAATAGGTTTTAACTTTTTTTTTTTTTTTTTGATATGGAGTCTCGCTCTGTCACCCAGGCTGGAGTGCAATGGTGAGATGATCTTGGCTCACTGCAACCTCCACCTCCTGGGTTCAAGTGATTCTCTTGCCTCAGCCTCCCAAGTAGCTGGGATTACAGGCATGCGCCACCACGCCCGGCTTATTTTGTATTTTTAGTAGAGGCAGTGTTTCACCAAGTTGGTCATGTTGAACTCGCGATCTCAGGTGATCTGCCTGCCTCGGCCTCCCAAAGTGCTGGGATTACAGGCATGAGCCATCACACCTGGCCACATTTTTTTTTTTTTTAATCGTAGTTGTGGGCCAGGCATGGTGGCTCATGCCTGTAATCCCAGCACTTTGGAAGGTTGAGGCAGGCAGATCGCTTGAGCCTAGGAGTTTGAGACCAGCCTGGGCAACATGGTGAAACCTCATCTCTATAAGAAAAAACAACAACAAAGAATTAGCTGGGCATGGTGGTGTGAGCCTGTAGTCCCAGCTACTCATGAGGCTAATGTGGGAGGGCTGATTGAGCCCTGGAGATCAAGGCTGCAGTGAGCTATGATCACACCACTGCACTGCAGCCTGGGCGACAGAATGAAAACGAAACCTGTCACAAAAAATAATAATAATAATGTGGTTCTTGATAATATAGGTCAGCGTGCAAAATAAGGTTTAAGTGATTTCTGCTAAAACACTGCTGTCTTGCTCAGCTAATAATGGCCAGGTGTTTGAGGATGCTCAGAGCTACCTTCGAAGTGGGGAGTCTCCTAGGTTCTGGGATGTGACCCATCTGGGTTTTCCACTGGCTTTTCCTGGCTTTGCCACTCCTGAGCTGTGAACCCTTGGACAAACCGAGGTCTCTGAGTGAAGTTACCTAGAATACTTAGCTCACAGAGTTGTTGGAAGATCACATGGATAATGCAAGCCTAGTGACTAGTATGGCATCTAGCCCACACTAAGTGGGTAGCAAATGGTAGCTGGTTAGTTCTATTATGAGATTGCAATGGCTTTGATTAATAAACCTCTTTTGGCTTTTTTAGACTTTAGTTGCTGGTCTTACATCAAATAAGCCCACAGACAAACTCCGTGCCCTGCCTCTGTGGTTATCTTTACAATACTTGGGACTTGATGGGTTTGTGGAGAGGATCAAGCATGCCTGTCAACTGGTGAGTAGAAGCCTGACATTTAAATGAAAGACTCCTTGGCCACAGCAGAGACAGAAAAACATCTCATTTCTGTACCTTCCATCCAGAGTGGTGTTGTCTGGATTGACTGTCTCGTGAGCCAGAGACTAATCGCCCTGCATGTAAATATTTCTTGTTCAAAGTTCTGGGAGAAAGTGCTGGGTTGTCTGTCCCAGCATTTGTGTGCAGATGAAATCAGATGAAAAGGAACACCACTGTCAGCATGGGATCAGAAAAGAAGTCACAGATGACTTCCAAGGAGTGGAGAAGGGTGCAAAAGGTGGAGGGGTGGGGAGCGAGTGTTCCCCTTGATTGACTGACTACGGTGAGGGAATAGGAAGGTTACAAGGTGGTTATGGAGGGCATGGATATTTTATAAACCAGCTGGCTTGGGTTTCCAAATTGCAGGGCTCTTGGGGACAATTCTAATTCTCTCTCCATTTTAGGTGTGTTCTAATTGTGAAAAATATATAATTATGCTATATTTCAGTGTTTTAGAGCATTCAGGCTTCTATAACAAAATACCTTAGAGTGGGTAATTTATAAACAACAGACATTTATTGCTTACAGTTCTGGACGTGAGAAGTCTCAGATCAAGGTGCCAGGAGATTCCATGTCGGGCCCGTTCCTCATAGATAGTGCCTTGCATGTGGCCTCACATGGCAGAAGGGGTGAGCACAGTCCCTTGAGCCTCTTTCAGAAGGTCACTAGTCCTGTTTGTGAGGGTTCCATCCTCATGCCCTAATGACCTCCCAAAGGCCTCAACTCATTTGCGATTAGGTTTCCACATAGGAATTTTGTGGGGACATAAATATTCAGATCATAGCATTTAGAAAGCAAAAAAACAGGCTGGGCATGGTGGCTCACGCCTGTAATTCCAGCACTTTGGGAGGCTGAAGCGGGTGGATCACAAGGTCATGAGATCAAGACCATCCTGGCTAACACGGTGAAACCCCGTCTCTACTAAAAATACAAAAAATTAGCTGGGCGTGGTGGCGGGCGCCTGTAGTCCCAGCTGCTCAGGAGGCTGAGGCCGGAGAATGGTGTGAACCCGGGAGGCAGAGCTTGCAGTGAGCCGAGATCGCGCCACTGCACTCCAGCCTGGGTGACAGAGCGAGGCTCCGTCTCAAAAAAAAAAAAAAAAAAAAAAGCCAAAAAACAGGGTCATGTTTACTCAGGGTTAGAGCTGAGCCCTCCCTAAGCTCAGAAGTGCGTCACCTCCATTTTCTTACCTGTGAAATATAAATTATATGACAAGGATTGCCAGGATGGCTCGAGGAACGAATACAGGTAGAGCTCTTGCAGTAGTGTCTGTTCATATAGTAAGTTATGCACGTGGGTTGAAATCTTTGTTTTAAATATATTCTTGGGGAGTTAGCACTTCCTCAAGTATCATTTCTATATTTAAGAAACATAGGTGGCCGGGTGCAGTGGCTCACGCCTGTAATCCCAGCACTTTGGGAGGCCGAGGTGGGCAGATCATGAGGTCAGGAGATCAAGACCATCCTGGCTAACACGGTGAAACCCTGTCTCTAATAAAAATACAAAAATTAGCCAGGCATGGTGGCGGGTGCCTGTAGTCCCAGCTACTTGGGAGGCTGAGGCAGGAGAATGGCGTGAACCCAGAAGGCGGAGCTTGCAGTGAGCCGAGATTGCGCCACTGCACTCCAGCCAGAGCGAAACTCAGTCTTTTAAAAAAAGAAAGAAAAATAGGCCGGGCGTGGTGGCTCATGCCTGTAATCCCAGCACTTTGGGAGGCCGAGGCGGGTGGATCACCTGAGGTCAGGAGTTTGAGACCGGCCTGGCCAACATGGTGAGACTCCGTCTCTATTAAATATACAAAAATTAGCCAGGTATGGTGGCAGGCGCCTGTAGTCCCAGCTACTCAGGAGGCTGAGGCAGGGAGAATTGCTTGAACTTGGGAGGCAGAGGTTGCAGTAAGCCAAGATCGTGCCACTGCACTCCAGCCTGGGTGGCACCATCTAAACACACACACACACACACACACACACACACACACACACGAAAAGTATTTGCGTAGTGCTCTAGCAGTAGTCCCTTCGTTCATCATATGTTAGGATAGTTCAACAGTTTTAAGTATGCTCTGGGCTGGGTGCAGTGGCTCATGCCTATAATCCCAGCACTTTGGGAGGCCAAGGCAGGTGGATCACTTAAACCTCAGAGTTCAACACCAGCCTGGGCAATGTGGTCAAACCCTGTCTCTACAAAAAATACAAAAATTAGCCAGGTGTAGTGGCACACACCTGTGATCCCAGCTACTCAGGAGGCTGAGGTGGGAAGATCACTTGAGCCCAGGAGGTCAAGGTTGCCGTGAGCCCAAATAGCACTACTGCACTACTCCACTCCAGCCTGGGCGACAGAGTAGGACCCTGTCTCAAAAAAAAAAAAGAAAAAAAGATTGATGCTCATTATGTTTACAAAAGCACTGCATTTTTTGAAAAGTGTCTCACTGTGCTATTAGCTCACTTCTTGAGATGTGGTTCTTAGGAAAGAGAAGCCTTAGTAACTTAGTTTAGAGACGACTTGGGCACTCGGGAGATTTTTTCAATATCCCGTGGCTATGGAGTGCGGGAGAATGATGCCATTAACTACCAGACCCTTGAGGTCAGCACAGCTCTGGCATCTTCCTGCAGGCAGAACCGTATACTCCTGAGGATTTGAATGCTGTCCTGCTGCTGACTCACAGGCTAATAAATGCATGTGTTAAATTACTTGGACATTTAGCAGACATGGTGATCTGTATATAGCCATGCCTTATAGTCCACAGTGGAGCATACATTTCCTGAGAGCGTAAATCAGCATTCGCCTCCTCATCCTCCTCTTCCTTCTCTTCTCCCTCTCTTCTTTCTCGTCTTCAGTAGTTATTGAGCATTCACCTCAGTGTCAGGCACCATGAAGTACTTTCATGCATCATCTCATTTGATCCCTGCAACTTCACTAGAATGTCAGTTCCACTGATGACAGTGTATTCAGAATTAATTTTCTTTAAGAAAACAAAAAGGAATTTCTTGAGGGGCTTTCTACTGTCCAGTACTCAGTGAATATCTGTTGAATTAATATACTCCAATCCCATGAGTTAGATATGATTAGTGATGAGGGACCTGGGATTGAGACATTAGTCTAATGACACTACATTCTAGACCCTGTTTCTAAGCACTTCCTGTATTGCATATCAACTCATTTAATCCTCACAGCAATGTGAGATACATACTATCCTCCCCATTTTATAATTGAGGGAACTGAAGCATAGACAGGTTACATAGCTGGTGACTGGCAGATGAATTGACTTAGCCGTGGTCCTGCAGGTGATGAGTGGCAGCACTGTGCTCTTATCACCAGCTCTTGAGCGTGCTGCATCCTCTCATTTGTCGTTGGTCTCCCCTAGTGTTCAGTACTGTGCCTTGCACGTGTTTATACTCAGTAGCTTTTGAATGACAGACTTACATTGCAAATACAACAGATTTCCATGTCTTATTAGAAACTGCTTTTCTTGAATTACTACATGTAACTTGAAGGATTGGTGAATATTTACAGTTGTTGAAATACAAAAACAGGTGGCTGAACTTAGAAACCACCAAGTGGCAGGTGACTTTGCCTGACATCCGTGTTCACAGACCTCCACAGCCCCTGGTGAAAACCACTTCTTCATGTCCCACGTCCATCTAATTACATGTGTTATTTTTTGTCATTTGCAGAGTCAACGGTTGCAGGAAAGTTTGAAGAAAGTGAATTACATCAAAATCTTGGTATAGTATATAAGTTCATCTGTTTTCAAAATATAACTTTTTTTGAACCTCAGCAACTTTGAATGATTTTAGAACTTTAGAATGATTTTCTCCACATTTCAGTGGAATTGTGGCAGCTCCAGTAAAAAAACAAAACAAAAAAACGAAACAAAAAACAAAAACAAAAAAACCTGCTTATATTTATACAGTGAGTCTGAAGCGAAGAAATTTGAACCATACAATGTTTAATTCCTATGGTGCTTTTCATGTACTTCATTTATTGTGTTAAAGTTCAGAATTGCACAAAGATAAACACCATTGACTTCAGCTGCCCAAGGCCTTGGGCACACTCTTCTTCCCAAAATGAAAAGTCACTTTGTGCCTCAGAATGCTTTGGGGTTCTCTTTCTGCAACCTTCTGCCATCAGTTTTCATTTGCATGAAGTGGGAGAAAGAGAAAAGCAAATGGCCCTGCTCTTGTCTTCTGATATCTTCCTGAAGTGAATCCAACAGATTGTTCCCTAGGCATAACTAGACAAGGAAATAAGGACTTAGGAGAGAATGGGGATCAGTTCAGGTTTGAAAGTTTTTGTGTTTTGCTTCATGGTATTTTAGAACTTCAGGAAATATATGTCAAATTCTGATTTAAATAGGTTCATTGAGTGTTTCTTTGACAATTCTGCAAGGTATGCTTAAGTTTAACATTTGAGTGTATTTGGGGTTCAAGTCAGTAGGTTTATTTTTCTTTTAGAACATGGTTTGGTTTAAATACAAAAAGTAGCCGCGCATGGTGGCACACGCCTGTAGTCCCAGCTACTGGGGAGGCTGAAGTGAAAGAATTGCTTGAACCCGGGAGGCGGAGGTTGCAGTGAGCCGAGATTGCGCCTCTGCACTCCAGCCTGGGTGACAGAGACCCTGTCTCAAGGAAGAAAAAAAAATGCATGGTTTGGTTGAAGGGGGTGTGGCTACTCTGCCTTCTGAGTGGGAGTCTGGAGCCAGTTGACCCGAGTTCTAGCTCAGTGGGAGTTCTATCCTTGGACGAGGAAGTGGACCACTGGAGAAGCAGAAGGGATGAATCTAAGTTCAGAGGCCTGGGCTCTGCTCTGAGCAGTGCCACAGGGTGGCCCTGTGACATTGAGTCATTTTCTTTCCAAGCTTGACTGTCAAATGAAAGTATGCCGGTTGGTCTCCTCTGATTGCAAACAGAGAAGCAAATTATGGCCTAGATTGAGCAAGCTGTTAAGAATCCAGGCGGTGCTGGGCCCATCTGCTTTCCTGCCCCTGCCATGTTGAGCGCACTTGGCTTTTCCTCAGTCATCGCTGCTCCCTTATTCTCAAATTGGGGGACCCAGTGGTGCTAGTTAATCACCAGTTGTTTTGGAGCATCTCTGTAGGCCACACTGGCCCAGGCAGAAAGCCTGCTCTGTCCCTTCTTCCAATGGCTGTTTTTTCAGTAGAGGATACAATAATTGGCTAATACCATGAGGCATTATGGCCTGTGAGTCCTCATCATCACCATCACCATCACCACCATTCCAGCTGCTGCTTGTGAAATTCATGTGTGGTACTAAGTACCTTACATGAATTATTTCATTTAACCCTCCCAACAGTCTCCTTTGTATGTGCTGTTCTCTCTGCCTGGAAACACTGTTTCCCACCCCCCGTCCCCAATTCTTCTGTTTATTTTTTTTTGAGACAGAGTCTCACTATGTAGCCCAGACTGGAGTGCAGTGGTGCGATCTTGGCTCACTCTAACCTCCGCCTCCTGGGTCCCTGTTCAAGCAGTTCTCCTGCCTCAGCCTCCCGAGTAGCTGGGGTTACAGGCACATGCCACCATGTCCAGCTAATTTCTGTATTTTTAGTAGAGATGGGGTTTCACCATGTTGGCCAGGCTGGTCTTGAACTCTTGACCTCGTGATCCACCCGCCTCAGCCTCCCAAAGTGCTGGGATTACAGGCATGAGCCAAAGCGCCCAGCCTCCCCAGTCCCAATTCTTCTCATGACTGGTTTCTTATCTTTCAGATCTTAATTCAAATCTCACCTCTTCAGAAAGGCCTTTCCTGGCCACCCTAAGATCATCTCCCACCGTCAGACATCACTCCATCCCCCTGGGTCGTCTTCATCACTCTTACTACTATCTGAAATCAAATCTGTTTGTTTTTTCCTATAGAAGGTTTGTAAAGGCCTTATACAGACTCACCACTGTGCCTCACCTGGGCATTAACACCCAAGACCCTAGCCCTGAAAGCCCAGTGCCAGGCCCCAGACATGCTCCCATCCCCTGCCACTCAGCTTACAGTCATCTTTCTGTTTCCTCTTCTTTGTGGATTCACCTTTTTTTGGGTGTGAGCCCAGCCATGGTTTAACCTTTTTTTGGTTCTTGGTTATATTTAATCCAGTATTTCAGATATTCAGAATTGACAACTTCAGTGTTCACTCAGTCTATCACGTTACTAGAACCAGAAGTGTCTCCAACCCTGTATACTATTTCTTACACACATTGACATTTGAGACCACTGAGTTCAAAGAAAGAAAAGATGATCATAATATTCATAGCAGTCTTGGCACTCACCTCATTCTGCCATCTCCTAGCTGAGGATGGGAGAATGGGCGGATTATTTTGTTGCCTTTTTGTTCCTCCTTGCTTATTGGGCGTGCGCCCCTATTTAAATATTAAGCACCGCCCCCCTGCCGCCCGCCGCCGTACCTTTAAAAGTATCACGTTTTATTTGTCTCTGTGAAAGTTAAAGATGATAGATGTGAAGGCACTTAGCACAGGACTGGCCCCCTAAATAATTGGCAGATTTGAATTCACATCCTGCTTGGTATGAATACTGTCCACACGGTCCTTTGAAAAGTTAGTAGAAAAGATCTTGGGCCACTGCTTCTTGTCTTTCCAAGTTAGCATTTCCTGTTGCGGCCCTACCAGTGAGTCATCACACTCAGAGCCTTGGAACATAAGTTTTATTACTAGAGCTATAGTACTGGGATTGTTGGATGCTTAGAGATCTTCCCCCTCCAGGGCCACCCACACTCCCCTACAGTACCACAGAGCCTGCCAAGGACATGGATGCTTACGGTACCCTGACCCCATGGCTTGACCAAGTCAGGGTATACTGTTTGATGCAAAACAGGAACTCGCTGCTGGATTATCATAATACATAATGCAGTGGATGTTTTCAACTGTTAGGAAACCCACTAATGAAGTTAGTCGTCTTCGACCTGTCTTTAATAATAATTAAATATATTAGAAAATACACAGATCCAGTTCTCAGCTGTGCTTGTCTACATCACCAGCAGGACTTGCATCTTGTTCTGAAAGTTTTGCAAAGGGGAGGAAAGTACTTGTTGCCCCCTCTTTTTTTCTATGAGTATGAAAAATTCTAGTTGGCCAGGCACGGTGTCTCACGTCTGTAATCCCAACACTTGGAAAGCCAAAGTAGGAGGATTAATTGAGGCCAAGAGTTCAAGGCCAGCCTGGACAACATAGCAAGACCCCATCTCTAAAAAAACCGTTTAAGTTTCAATAAATCCTGCATAATTTCTGGGATTCTTGAAAGCATGGGCTCTCTCCGCACTGAGTCTAGTTTCACTGCTTCTTACTGGTTTTAATCTTTAATGTTAGACCTATGTTTATCCCTTATTAAAATTTCCCCCTGCTTTAATTTCAATGTACCAGTGTCAAACATCTTATAATTCACAGTGTACTCTCAAGGCTGGCTCATAGTTATTTTTTAAAATTTTACTAAACATTTGATTTTTCTCTAGCAACTGAAATTAACCTCTGAACTTTTTAGTGTGTTTATTTACAAATAGAGCATTTCTAAGCGAGTTTTTGAACTCAGCATTTCATTTTGAAGGCGTCTGGAGTTTAATGTTACTTGGTGATATGAGACTTCCATTCTTCCAGGTGGAAGATGAGCTCAGCTCCCCAGTGGTGGTGTTCAGATTTTTCCAGGAATTACCAGGCTCAGGTCGGTGAATTTTAAAAGAGGGTTATTTTCATATCTGTGTTAAAGGCTTTGAATTTGATACCATTTCAAGTTAAATAGTTCAAAATATTTTTATTGCTGACAATCTTCAGTCAGCATTTCAGAAAAATGTAATAATTTTCATGAAAACTACAGTCCGAAACGCCTTAGCAATTTGCTGATAGTTTGCGGTGATTAAACCAGGGGTTCCCAAATGCCAGTCCCTGGACCAGTGCTGGAATGGCTAAGAAAGAGTTGCTTGAACATAAAGATTTGTGGGTCTTACTTCCCACATATTTTGAGTCAATAGGTTGTGCCCAGGAATCTGTATCTTAAAGAATGACCCAAGTGCCACCAGTCTAGTCCAGGGCACCACTCTTTTTTTACCTGGTTGGCCATTGTCCCCTGTCAACTGACCTCTGACTTTCATACATTCTACACAGCCCATTCCAGACCATTCTCCACCTGGCAGAGAGGGTTATAAGTGGAAGTCACATGGTGTTGAAACCGGAAAGGTTCCCTTGTCCCCCTCGCAGGGCATGTGATGGGGGTGTGGCTCGCTTCTTCAGTGCCCCGCTGCTGCTCAGACCTCTAGGAGAGCATACAGACGGGCAGGCTGTGGGGCTCCGACCCCATGGCAGCATCTGGGGGTGAATGTTTTACAGCTCCTAAGGCTCCAGCGGGCATGTGTTACAGTGTGCTCTTTTAATTTAGCCGTCTGTAGGCAGCTTGTTTTAGCTCACTTAGACCCCCTTCCTTATCACAAGGACAGAGGGATTAATGTATCCCAGGTTCTTGTCTTGGTGTACCGGAAGAATGGGATCACATGTGGGCTTGGAGAATGAGTGCAAGGTTTTATTGAATGAAAGTAGCTCTCCGCTGATGGGGGAGCCAGAAGGGAGACAGATTTCCCTTGGAGTTGGGCCGCTCAGCGGCCCTGGCCAAACTCCGCCTCGTCCCCGTGGTTGATGGCCTGCTGGCTTGCCGGGGCCTGTCGGGGTGCTCTTCTGCCGGCCTGCTCTCCATGACCAGCCGCTTGTGTCTTTTTCCACCAATGTGTTCCTCTGGCCATCCAGCCACTTCTGTCTGCCCACTAGGGTCTCAGGTTTTTATAGGCCCAGGATGGTGGTGTGGTGGGCCAGCGTGGTCTTGGGAAATGCAACATTTGGGGGAAGGCAGGAGTGCTTGTCCTCACCTAGGTCCGTGGGGGTAGAGTCCTAGCCAGGGACCCGCCTTTCTCTCCCCAGCACTTCCCTTCCCCGCTTCTGTGTCATTTAAAGGGACCACGCTCTTCCCTTCCCAGCACTCCCGTATCAGTGTCACTTCCCTGCCCAGAGCCCCTGGGTATCTTACCATTTCGGTCGAACAAAGGCCAGGCTCTCCCATGCCCCATGAGGCCTGCACACTCTGCCCCGAATTCGCTTCTGCCTTCCCCCCTTCCACTCTCCCTCTTGTTCGTTGTGCCTCAGTCAGACCAGTCTTCTCCGCGCTCCAGAACACTCTGCCCTTTCCTACCGCAAGGGCTTAACACTCGGCGTTCCCTCTGTCTTACACACATTTCTCTCTTCTGGTGCCAGCTCCTCCTCACCATTTCGGTCTCCACTAAGTATCCACATCCTCAGCCTTCCCTGCCTATCGTGCCTGAGGGGACTCCATCATTTTCTATCAGAGCCCCCAGCTTCACTTGTGACACTAACAACCACATGGAGTGATTTTCTTTCTTTATGGTCTGTTTCCTCAACTAAAATGTAAGCTCCAAGATGACAGAAACCTTACCTGCCTTCTGTCCCAAGTGTCGGGCTCTGTGCCTGGCACGGGTTGGCACCCACTGTGAGGCCTAGTTAGATGATCGTGGCACTCACAGACCTCGCACGGTGCTTGGTAAACTAGTTAGTAACTTAAAACAATTGCTGTTTCCCCTTGAAATCCCTTGAAAGCAAACCTTTTCAAAAATGAAATTAATAATTCTGTCTTATGTGAATGTATTCAAGTGTTACATAGATCACGAGGAAAAAGAAATGTAGCCCTTCTGTCAGATAATACATGAGAATTCAGTAATACGAGTCAGTGCCCTGGGGCTAATATTGGGATGGGAATGATGTGGGGTTTGGAGGGTGTTTTTTTTGGTCAGCCGTGTTTCTGGGAGTGACTCCCTTTCTGTGTTTTGGTGTCAGATCCGGTGTTTAAAGCCGTCCCAGTGCCCAACATGACACCTTCAGGAGTCGGCCGGGAGAGGCACTCGTGTGACGCGCTGAATCGCTGGGTGAGAATGGCAGTCACCCCCCTTTCCTTTCAGGTCCCCGTCCATCACCATCCGACCTGCTGGTGAGGGTGACGCGTGCTCGTGTATGGGAACTGAGGCCCACAGGAGGAGCCGCCCTGCCAGTGCTGGGCCTGCTCTGGAGTTCTGTTCCCCATTGCGTTACCACCTCACGAGCTGGGTCACCTCTGGCAAGTCCTTCTGGCATTGCTCCCTCACTTTCCTTGCTGCTGTATAAGGCTGTGAGACAACAGGCAAAAGGTGGGCTGCAGGGCAGCTGCGGTGGGTTCTGGTGAGCCTGGGCAGCACAGCCGGGAGCCCCAGGCAGAGTCTGCCGAGCATCTGCAGCTGGCAGTGTGGAGCCAGGCCTGCACTTTGATAGCGTTTTGGGCACTGAATAGCAGCTCTAGGATTTGAGTCTGAAGGGTCTTGTGAACAGTGTGGGATGGCGGCAGCAGCAGTTCTAGCCAATGCTGGACACGCCCAGCCTAGCAGGGTTGGCAGATAAGTCCTGGTACATCCATGCTGGGGCTCAGCACAGCTGTGAGAGACCACAGAGCTGAGTGTCTCAAGCAGAAAGGAACTGGTCATAAACGAAATGAATCAATGCAGGTTACTAAGCAGTGTCAAGTAGCATGTTTTATGACAACAACTACAACTCCCTGCCCGCCACTAGGAGAAAAGACGCTGGGGGCAGACCACATGTCAGCAGTGGGTGTCGCTTAGTAATATATTGTGGGTCATTGTTATTTTCTTCTTTTTGTTTACTTGTATTTCCTAAATTTTTCTACAATGAACTTGTATTAATAAGAAAAAACCATAAAATTTACTGTTTTTAAAAAGCTGCTCTAAGTAATCAGACAGTCAAAAGAGCAGGAATCAGCTCTCCAGGAGGCTCTTTGGTCTGGGGCCGAGGGGATGAGGGTGGGTCCTGAAGACGTCTGAGTCCCTTGTTACAGGAGGGTGTTCATTGTGTCCTCCTCACAGCTGGGAGAACAGCTGAAGCAGCTGGTGCCTGCAAGCGGCCTCACAGTCATGGATCTGGAAGCTGAGGGCACGTGTTTGCGGTTCAGCCCTTTGATGACCGCAGCAGGTAAACCAGGCTTGGTGGACATCCCTTGCTTTTGTTCTGGGGCTGCTGGGTAGATTAGCTTGCCCTTATGATACTCCATTCTCCTAGAGTTATTAGCAGCTCTTTTTGGAGGGGCATTTTCTTTTCTTTTGGGCTAAATTTAGGTAGATTAGCATTCCCATGTAACTTACCAGAATCAGAATGAGAATTCAGAAGTCACCTGAATTGGCCGGGCATGGTGGCTCACACCTGTAATCCCAGCACCTTGGGAGGCCAAGGCAGGCAGATCATCTGAGGTCAGGAGTTCGAGACCAGCCTGGCCAACATAGTGAAATCCCGCCCCTACTAAGAATACAAAAAATTAGCCAGGCATGGTGGTACACACCTGCAGTCCCAGCTACTTGGGAGGCTGAGGCAGGAGAATCACTTGAACCTGGGAGGCCGAGGTTGCAGTGAGCTGAGATTACACCACTGCACTCCAGCCTGGGGGACAGAGGAGACTCCATCTCAAAAAAAAAAAAAAAAAAAAAAAAAAAGTCATCACATGAATTCCTTTTTTGTTGTTGTTGAGACAGGGTCTTGCTCTGTCACCCAGGCTGGAGTGCAGTGGTGCGATCATGGCTCACTGCAGCCTTGACCTCCTGGGCTCAAGTGATCTTCCCACCTCAGCCCCCGAGGAGTTGGGACCACAGGCATGAGCCACCACACTGGACTAATTTTTGCATTTTTTGTAGAAATGGGGTTTTGCCACGTTGGCCAGGCTGGAATTCCTATATTTTGATGTCTTGTGACTCTCGATTTTCCACTACAAGGGTTCTCACTCCCCACTGCACATTAGAGTCATCCGGGAGCTTTACACACAACCAGTGGCCGCCCACCCCCAGAGATTCTAGAATGGAGCCTGGGGATCTGTGTTTTGGTTTTTATTTTTTTTTTAGAAACAGGGTCTCATTTGTCACCCTGGCTGGAATGCAGTGTCTTCACCATAGCTCATTGCAACCTCGACCTCCTGGGCTCAAGCAATCCCCTGCCTCAGCCTCCCAAGGAGCTGGGACTACAGGCGAGCACCACCACATCTATTTTTTTTTTTTTTTTTTTTTTCCATAGAGACGTGGTCTCACTCTGTCACCCAGGCTGCTCTTGAACTCCTGGCCTTAAGTGATCCTCCTGGCTCAGATTCCCAAAGCACTGGCCACTATAAGGATTGCCTGGCCACAGCTCTAGATACTTAGTCTCTAAAACTGCAAAAGTAAGCCAGTGAGCCCTGAGGCCCGGCGCTGTCACCATCTCCCTGTCCTTCCTGTGTGGGGACAGCAGCCCACCACAGTACTTCCCTTTCTCTCAGTCATAGGAATGTACAGAATCTGTGGTTGCCTTTTTGTGCTGAACCTATGGTGTGATGTCTCCAGCCTGCCTGAAGTAGGCTTGCTGTGGGAAGAGTGATTTCTAACACTGGAGTATGTCATTGTGGGCCACATCTGTGAGAGAAACACTCCACACCTGCTACAGCCAGCTGTGTCTGTTTCTAACCCTAATTCTTCCATATCTGTGTTGAGGGCCTTTTTTTGTTTAAATCTCCATGGCTCCCGGTAACTGGAGTACCTCGAGCTTTTGACCTTCCCAGTAGTGGAAGAGGGAGCCCTGCCCTCTTGTCATTGGCCATCTCGTGAGCATTTCTCTGACATTGTGAACATCTTCAGTTTTAGGAACTCGGGGAGAGGATGTGGATCAGCTCGTAGCCTGCATAGAAAGCAAACTGCCAGTGCTGTGCTGTACGCTCCAGTTGCGTGAAGAGTTCAAGCAGGAAGTGGAAGCAACAGCAGGTCTCCTATATGTTGATGACCCTAACTGGTCTGGAATAGGGGTTGTCAGGTAAAGTCTTGGCCTGCCGCTTGATGTTGGAGACTTTTCTGTATAAAGAACATGAGTGGGTCATTTTCTGAACCACCTTAGAAATCCAAGATGAACGTGTAGTCACAATATGCTTAACGAAAATGCAACTCGGTTTTCTGGGCATTTACAAAAGCACAGTGCAAGCAGGCAATTTGGCCAGCGTGGCGCTCAGGGAGGGGAGTTGCTGAATGTTCTGTCTGTAGGTGCCGACTCTCAGCTACCTAGGAGAAGATGCCAACAGGTATATATCACTCACTGAGAATGGTTACTATCCAGGGCATATAGAGAATTGCAAATCAGTAAGAAAAAGAACCCAGCTCTCGGGGAGAGAACTGGGTGCAGTCCTATGGCTGCTTTCTCGCCTTCAGAGGTGAGGCAAACCTCTTTTTGTATTGCCCATGAGACTTCCAGACCTTGTATGGAACTAAAGACTTAGGCTTTCAGCTGGGCACGGTGGCTCATGCCTGTAATCCCAGCACTTTGGGAGGCCAACAGGAGCATAGATGACTTGAGGCCAGGAGCTTGAGTCCAGCCTGGACAACATGGCGAAACCCCATCTCTAGAAAAAATACAAAAATTAGCCAGAGGTGGTGGTGCACACCTGTAGTCCCAGCTACTCGGGAAGCTTAGATGGAAGGATCAACTGAGCCCAGGAGGTGGAGGTTGCAGTGAGCCAAGATCATGCCACTGCACCCCAGCCTGGGCCACCAAGTGAGACCCTGCTTTAAAAAAAAAAAAAAAAGGCTTTCCTGTGACTTTCTCTTTACTCCTGGCACACTTCCAGAAAGTTTGTGGTCTGGAGACACTCGCAGTAGCTCTTTTGCCCACTGGTTCCACTGCATTGTCTTGCTAATATTTAGAGGTTTCTAATCCTGTATCAGAAGAGACATTTGATCTTTTAAGCTGAAATGCTGTGGTTTGATGTTGTTTTAGGTATGAACATGCTAATGATGATAAGAGCAGTTTGAAATCAGATCCCGAAGGGGAAAACATCCATGCTGGACTCCTGAAGAAGTTAAATGAACTGGAATCTGACCTAACCTTTAAAATAGGTAACTGCTTACTTTGTAAGTCAGCTGTGGGGTTTGGAAGGACACTTGGTAACCGGCTTTGAAGACGACGGCTCATCCCTTAGCGGGCTAGCGCCTCTCGGGCTGGGTTCCAGGCGAAGATGCGGTTCTGAGACCTCCCTCCCCTTCTGCAGCCTTGCCAGGCCTTTCTCTCCGCCCTTAGAATCTCCATGGAGGAGACCCCTTTGTGTGTGGTCAGGACCCTGAACAGGAGAGTAGGTCCACGTCTCACCCATGACAGAGGACTGAGAAACTCAAGTTTGTCTCGTTACCTTTGCAGGCCCTGAGTATAAGAGCATGAAGAGCTGCCTTTATGTCGGCATGGCGAGCGACAACGTCGATGCTGCTGAGCTCGTGGAGACCATTGCGGCCACAGCCCGGGAGATAGAGGAGAACTCGAGGGTCCGTAGCACCCATCAGTGTTCATTCCTCTTCTGAGTTTTGTCCCACCAAACAGCAGGGGCCACGAGGAAAGCAGCTGCCCTTGGGATGTCTGTTCGTTGTCTCTCAAAGTCTGTCAATGTTTCCTGTAAGCTGGGCCTTGTGCCAGGTGTCAGAGATGCCAAGTAGGTTTGACACAGCCCATGCCCCAGTGATCTCACAAGCTCAGGGGGAAAGATCCACATAGCCACGCTGTGTAGTAACCCTGCCTTAGAGAAGAGGGCGGGTAGCTGGACACTCAGGCAGACACATTCACCCCTGCCACCAAGGTCAGGGAGGACTTCTGCTCTGGAGCTGTGTCCTGAGGGTGAATGAAATGGGCTGTTGTATGTGTGGTTCCCCCTACACCCCTTCCCTATAGCACTTCCCACCAGGAATAGACCTACTGCTGTGGGTCCCTTAGCATGGAGGACCAGGATACAAGGCTGATAAGGTATCCTCCAAACAGATGATTACTTCCCTAAAAATCACTCAAAAGGAGAGAAGAGGGACCAAGGTAAGACTGCTCTGAAAGGAGAGAGACACGAGCCATTGGACATGCGGCCGAGAAGCCAGCTTCATTCCTTTCTGGGTGGACTCCTTAAGGTTTCTTTCCAGCCTGACTTTATGACTTCTCTGTTTTCAAGAATACGTAGCAAATGAGGCTGGTCACCAAGGTGTGTCTGCCTAGGCCTCTATGAGCATGTTATCCGCTTGTCTTTGAGTTTCTGTTCGTTTTACGCCGGCTTTTCAATGCAGGATTTCATTGACCTGCTTTTGAAAAATTCCCTCAGTGCTGTGTTACTAGCTCTTCTGGGCCCCAGGTGAGAACCTTAAACAAGTAATGTCTTTCTTGGTCTTGCCACAGCTTCTGGAAAACATGACAGAAGTGGTTCGGAAAGGCATTCAGGAAGCTCAAGTGGAGCTGCAGAAGGCAAGTGAAGAACGGCTTCTGGAAGAGGTGAGGCCCCCGATGGGCAGCAGGCTGGGGGAGCCGCCGTGAGGCCAGGTGGCCCTGAACTCTGGTCCTGTCTTGCAGGGGGTGTTGCGGCAGATCCCTGTAGTGGGCTCCGTGCTGAATTGGTTTTCTCCGGTCCAGGCTTTACAGAAGGGAAGAACTTTTAACTTGACAGCAGGTAGGACGGCATAGCCTCTTCCCAGGTCTTGCTGACCTTGGGAGGTTTCACCAAATGCCCTTGGGTCCCAACACTTCCCACTGAGAATCCCGCCCTGGTTCCCGTTCTTCATCACTGGGTGTGGGCCGGACATCTGAGGAGACAAGTTCTGGTGTGCCCTGTCCTCCTCCCCACCGCACCCTGGCGGCTGAAACAGCAAGGAAGCAGCTACCCACTCTCCACAGCTGTCACCACCGCAAGGCCATGAGGACACGCCCACTCAGCCGTGCAGACTCTCAGGGTGCTGTGTCTTGGGCATTTTGGTTCAGGGTTAATACTTCTTGTCTTCATGTGTGTTCTGCCCCAGCAGAGGACAGCTTTTGCAAGTGGCAATGCAGAGACTGAAGCATGGAGTGCTGGCACGGTTTATTTTGAACCAGGCAGCCAGCAAGCGTTTCAGCCGCTGGAATGTGGGGAGGGTGTTAACAGTCCGTGACTCCTTTCCTGTTCTACCAAGGAAATAATTTCCTACACTCGAGCCCCTTCCTTCATTCTTTCCCAGGAAACGATGACTCCATTGTCATGAAAGCAAAAGATAATCTGATTTCTAATCTGCCAAGCCTTAGCCTTCAGCAAAAAGGCACCCACTTCTTGTGGCTACAGTACGTTTCCCTGTTGGGCCTGGCTCCCTGGGTGTGCTTATGCCATACTGCTGGCGGATGCTGGCGGTACTGGCCCTGTGAGGTGGCTTTCTCTAGCTCACGGCACGTTCGTAAGTGCCCTTCTCTCCACCAGTCTGTGGCAGGCTCAGTGGCTGGAAGGAGGTTATTGGGGAGCAAGGCTGTGTGAGGGCAGGTGGTGTCTTCAAGGGCAGCCTGTGCCTGTAGCTTCTACCCAGCCCTCTCCTCTCCCGCAGGCTCTCTGGAGTCCACAGAACCCATATATGTCTACAAAGCACAAGGTGCAGGAGTCACGCTGCCTCCAACGCCCTCGGGCAGTCGCACCAAGCAGAGGCTTCCAGGTAAGTGACGCCTCTGCACCGAGTTCAGGTAACAGGTTTCCCCTGTTGACTGTTACTTGCGTTTGTTTTCTGGGTTCTTGAACTCCAGAGGTCTATTTCTCTTAAGACCAACTACTACCATCTCTTTAACCATCTTGGTAGCCGTGGGATTCAGCCTTGAAGAAATCCCACGGTAGTGCGCTAAGGGGAAGTTGGGGTCTTGAAAGATGACATTGTCACTGTGGTGTTTACCCTCCTGGGCGTTTCCTAATGAAGATGACCTTAGAGTTCCCCGGCCTGGGGAGCATGTTGGTGTCAAGCTAGCAGCTCTCGGTTTTCTCATCTCCTAAAACACCTCAGAGCCAGTAAAGGTTTCTGCTGAAGCTGTGTTGTGAAATAAAGCAATTATCTGTTGCAGAGACAGCCTGTGTTGCAGAAGTATCCTCACTGAGTTTCAGCGCAGTCTGTCTGCCCTTTCTGTAGGCCAGAAGCCTTTTAAAAGGTCCCTGCGAGGTTCAGATGCTTTGAGTGAGACCAGCTCAGTCAGTCATATTGAAGACTTAGAAAAGGTGGAGCGCCTATCCAGTGGGCCGGAGCAGATCACCCTCGAGGCCAGCAGCACTGAGGGACACCCAGGGGCTCCCAGCCCTCAGCACACCGACCAGACCGAGGCCTTCCAGAAAGGGGTCCCACACCCAGAAGATGACCACTCACAGGTAGAAGGACCGGAGAGCTTAAGATGAGACTCATTGTGTGGTTTGAGACTGTACTGAGTATTGTTTCAGGGAAGATGAAGTTCTATTGGAAATGTGAACTGTGCCACATACTAATATAAATTACTGTTGTTTGTGCTTCACTGGGATTTTGGCACAAATATGTGCCTGAAAGGTAGGCTTTCTAGGAGGGGAGTCAGCTTGTCTAACTTCATGTACATGTAGAACCACATGTTTGCTGTCCTACTACGACTTTTCCCTAAGTTACCATAAACACATTTTATTCACAAAAAACACTTCGAATTTCAAGTGTCTACCAGTAGCACCCTTGCTCTTTCTAAACATAAGCCTAAGTATATGAGGTTGCCCGTGGCAACTTTTTGGTAAAACAGCTTTTCATTAGCACTCTCCAGGTTCTCTGCAACACTTCACAGAGGCGAGACTGGCTGTATCCTTTGCTGTCGGTCTTTAGTACGATCAAGTTGCAATATACAGTGGGACTGCTAGACTTGAAGGAGAGCAGTGATTGTGGGATTGTAAATAAGAGCATCAGAAGCCCTCCCCAGCTACTGCTCTTCGTGGAGACTTAGTAAGGACTGTGTCTACTTGAGCTGTGGCAAGGCTGCTGTCTGGGACTGTCCTCTGCCACAAGGCCATTTCTCCCATTATATACCGTTTGTAAAGAGAAACTGTAAAGTCTCCTCCTGACCATATATTTTTAAATACTGGCAAAGCTTTTAAAATTGGCACACAAGTACAGACTGTGCTCATTTCTGTTTAGTATCTGAAAACCTGATAGATGCTACCCTTAAGAGCTTGCTCTTCCGTGTGCTACGTAGCACCCACCTGGTTAAAATCTGAAAACAAGTACCCCTTTGACCTGTCTCCCACTGAAGCTTCTACTGCCCTGGCAGCTCGCCTGGGCCCAACTCAGAAACAGGAGCCAGCAGAGCACTCTCTCACGCTGATCCAGCCGGGCACCCTGCTTAAGTCAGTAGAAGCTCGCTGGCACTGCCCGTTCCTACTTTTCCGAAGTACTGCGTCACTTTGTCGTAAGTAATGGCCCCTGTGCCTTCTTAATCCAGCAGTCAAGCTTTTGGGAGACCTGAAAATGGGAAAATTCACACTGGGTTTCTGGACTGTAGTATTGGAAGCCTTAGTTATAGTATATTAAGCCTATAATTATACTCTGATTTGATGGGATTTTTGACATTTACACTTGTCAAAATGCAGGGGGTTTTTTTTGGTGCAGATGATTAAACAGTCTTCCCTATTTGGTGCAATGAAGTATAGCAGATAAAATGGGGGAGGGGTAAATTATCACCTTCAAGAAAATTACATGTTTTTATATATATTTGGAATTGTTAAATTGGTTTTGCTGAAACATTTCACCCTTGAGATATTATTTGAATGTTGGTTTCAATAAAGGTTCTTGAAATTGTTACCAGTGAATTCAGTTTATAAATCTTATTACAAAAGACTTACCCACGTACCTGAAATAGCTGCCGATAGACCAGTGAGAGGTAGGTTCTCCTCTGCCCGTTATTACCGACCAAAAAAAAAACTGGACATCAATTTTTTAGTAAACCAAAAAATAAGTCTCAACAAATGCCTTTGCCAAAATAAGGTTTTATTTTGAAAGTCATTTGATGAAAGTCATTTGAAAGACACTGAGGAGGGAAGGAGGCCTAAGACCCAACAGATGTAGGATCCAGATCTGGATTCGTGCCAGCCCCACCAATGGTCTGTCAGGCCAAGAAGGTGCTTTCTTTGGTAATTCATGTTTTTTAACTTCCTGGAGAAGAGATCTTTTCCCACAAGCCATCTTCATTTTTTTTGTAGAGTAGGGCTTTATTTCCAGAAAACAGTGTGTGAGCTGGAGATGGGTGTTTTTTTAAAAACATCAAGGTAGATCTAATATGTTCAACAAAGTGGGGTGGCTCAGCCAGAGGCGAAGTGGAAAGATTCTGAAAACACAAGATGGTGGGCATTAGAGAAGCCAACCTTACTGTCCCCTGCTGTGATAAAGATGTCAAAGTATCTTTGTTCTTGGACACAAATATATATAATAAAATACGTTAAGAAATGAGGTGGCCTGAATTAGTAAGAAAAAAGTTGATTGCTTACTGCTTTACCCACACACATTTCCATCTAGGACTTGACATATCCCCATTTGATATACAAGTTAAATGGGGTCTGTCAATGGCATCCAAAAAGTTACTACCCGCCAAAGGGAAAGCAGCTATGACCTGGTCTAAACCCTTTTTTTCTTACAGATGGGGAAACCAGGGTGCAGAGATTTAAGACTTACCCAGCCTGTAAACTCTCACCTCTAGTATTTGCTTGTCATCTTGGTGCAACCAGAAATCCACATGTGGAAATGGTGTCCAGGAGTACGGTCCTATACGAAGTTGTTCTGTCTCTGCATCATAAATGCTAATCATCTAAAAAAGAACGTGTCAAGGATAGAATTTCAGGAATGTCACCCACTTTTCAAACCCTCCCAGTAACGCAAGCTCCAGTGTAGTCCTTTCATGCATTTATCTGCCTAAGCTTCTTAAAACCTGTCTCAAATAACAAAAGCTGCCAGCTACTGAACACGTCCAGTGTGTCTGCTTCTGCACACTGTGGGGCACGCACGACTGCTGAGCGCCAACAGCAGTCCCACAGGACGAGGGTGTTTTTTCCCATTTGGGGTGAAAACTTGAGGCTCAGAGAAACAAGGCCCATTTCCCAGGTCACGTGTCCAGTAAGCCTCAGAGCTGGACCTCAAACCCAGGCGCTTCTGACTAAAGTCTGTGTTCCCATTGCCTCATTATTTATACCCCAAACAACTGATCACCTTGCAATTTAAAAGCATACAGTGCCTGCTGCCCCATCAAAAGAAGAAGCTAATTTGCCAAATGATCCAGTCCCTGAATTCCCAAATTTGCCAATGGCAGCCTCAGCTTACCTAGCAATATTCACTTTGGTAACTGACACTGAAATATGTTCTGAATATCAACTAAACTAGGCCTGTTACACTCCTTGAGAAGTCCTAAAAATGTTAAAAGGGTTGGCTCCGAATCCAAACACATTTCCCAGTGAAAACATCAGCATTTCATAAATGAGAAGATTTCTTTGGGGTGGCCTGAATGTGATTTCCGTTTTTTCACACTTTGAGCATTTTTAAAGAATTCTTTCACCCATTCCTCAAATGGCATATAAACCTTGGGTTTTCAGTTTTCTAACTTTTAAAATTACAGTGTAATTTAATTAAGCACCCTAAGGGAATCAGACTTTAAATTAATTTGATCATTATTTTGGGTTAATTAAATTGTTCCAGCAAATTGCTCTTCAGTGACCCGGTCCAAAAGAATGCATAGTCCTGAGTGCAGAGGGGAGAAACCTCTCTCCTGCGTCCCAGTTCTCCTCTCTTTGTAGAACTTTATAGAAAAGCTCTTACAAAGTAACAGAAGTTTGTTCTCTTTGAATTCGGATGCTGGGGTTCACACTTACCTCCCACACCTTTTAGGCAGAGAACTGGAGCTGATGACCTAAAGATGTTCATTACTATTTTGAGACAGCAAGTGTGGGGAGGGGTATATGTATGTGCTGGTCCCTGATAATGTACGGCTATAAAGAAGCTGACAGCATAAACTTTTCTAAGATCCCAAAAACTTAAGGCCTTGACATTTGATGCCTTTTTTTTTTTAACCCCTTAACAAAGATGATTTGAAACTCACTGGTCCTCCTGCTAAAGTTCGCGCAGCACGAAGCTGCTCCTCCGGACCCCGATCTTGAAAGGATGCTCTGTAAATCTCTGCAGTCTTAATGTTGACAGCTGTGAGGGACAACAGGATGACTCTGAATTGACAAAAGACCAAAGCGGAAAGTCTGCACAGTCTTACATTTCTACCACCACTCCTAAGAGAAAGATAGGAAAGTGAACAGAATGGCTCCTAAGTATCTGGACTTCCCCCTCCCTGGAGGGGGAAAATGCAACCTTTACCCCAAGCATCTCGGTGAAAATCGCTGAGGCTCGAGCTGGACTCGGTGAGATTTTGTTCTAAACCAAGAGCTGCTTTCCACATGGGAGGCAGCCATTCCTTCAGTCGGACATGTAGCAAAACCTCTGGTCATCCCTACTGGTGTACGGCCAGGGGTGGCTGGGTGAACTGTGATCGTTCTGTTTGAATCTTCACAATTTAGTATTTTATACATACACGAAGTTACAGAGAATAGAACAGTGAACACTGTGTACCTACCACCCAGCTAAATCAATCAAGTATCACCGCTACAGCAGAAGCCCTCGGAAATAGAGCCGATTCCATGATGCCTTTTCCGCGGGAGTCCTGGGGCTGCCAAGCAGGGAGGATGGTTCTAGGTTTTCTCTAGCCTAAGAGTTTTACACTTTGGAGGATTTCTGTTCTCAAGCAAAACCTTCCTCAGTTCCTGATGTATAAAAGGATTCCAGTGCCTGCCTTCCTCCCCCAGAGCACTGGCAGGAGAAAAGCACGCCGGGCCTGGGGTGCTGGGGGGAGAGGGAAACAAAACCAGGCACTTTCCCAGCTCCTGGGAAGGGTGGGCATGGCCTGTCCTTTCTATTTGCTACCACGTTGCTTCTTCAAAGTCTTAAGAAGTGAATGTTATCTCAGTTTTATAGGTAAAGCTTAGAGAAGTTAAGCTACTTGCCCAAGGCCTCACAGCAGATGTTCGGAGTAGCTGGGATCTGAACCCAAAGCTGTCCCATCCTGACAGCAGTGGGGTCATTGGTTTGCTGAATTAGACTTTAACTGCACATGTGACCAAGACTCCAACCCACAAAAGATGCACACTACTTACCAATGCCATATATTACTGGAAAGTGGTTTTCGTTTTCTTCCCGGTCATTTAATTCTACAAAATAAGAATGTTTAAGATACACTTTTTAAAGAAATACCAAATGATTATTTTTACTTTGTATAATAAAGGCGAAGGAGGAGCTCCTCAATGCAGAAAGGGAGGAAAATTCCAGAAAATGAAAGGGATTGTGGCCCTGTTTCCCTACCCTGTCCCAAGGCAGGGGGGTTTATACTGAACAAACTGGCAGCTGCAGAATCGGTCCCCACTCCCACCCCACCTTCTCTGTGCACCCTGTCTGCCACACGGGTGGCAGCTCCTCTGAGATCCAGTGCCCTCCTTCCTGGGAGACGAGGGGGCTGCACTGGAACTGAGGCTCGGCAGATGGTGGACGAGGGCAAGGGGAAGGGGAAGGCCATCCCACCACAGGAAGAGCCGGAACAGATGGTGGCCAAGCAGTGACAGCAGTGTGTGCCGGTGCTTGGGCCCACTGCAAGACTGGGGACAAAACGGTCCTGAGACCCACATCTTTGCTTTGGGGCAAATGGCAGGACTTACCTGTCACACATAATGTCACTAAGTGAATGTCATCTTCTTGCCTGTCAAATTCACCTATGATGAGAATTTTAAGACCAGAAGTCAGAAAAGTTCCTCTAGTTACCAGAACAAACTGCTGAGCAAGCCAACGACAGGGAGGGACGGCAGCCAACTGAGTGTGCTCCGCCCTACAGCCCGCGCCCACACTGCCACAGCCTGGCCTATGGGGCCAGACACTAGGGAGCTGACACCACAGAACCCTGACCGCCAGGAGATGGCCACATTCTCAGCCTCAGGCCCGAAGGAGCCTGGGCTGAGCCTTCCCATTTTTCTCTTCATTCTGAGAGTTTTGCGGGGACCCATGGATTTATAAGATTTTTACTTTTCTCCTAACTAAACTGTTTTCCTGATTATCAGAATTACAAAAACAAAAATCTGGCCACTGTAACAGATCTGAAAAATACAAGAGAACATAAGGAAGTCGGTTTTTAATGTCCATAATCCTAACACTGTTAATAATTAGTGTATTTTCTTCCATATTTTTCTAAGCTCAGCAGAGCTGACTATAAAGACAATTTTATATCTTTTTTTTTTTTTTTTTTGAGATGGAGTCTTGCTCTGTCACCCAGGCTGGAGTGCAGTGGAGCGATCTCTGCTCATCGCAGTCTCCACCTCCCAGGTTCAAGCGATTTTCCTGCCTCAGCCTCCCAAGTAGCTGGGATTACAGACTTGCGCCACCATGCCTGGCTAATTTTTGTATTTTCAGTAGAGACAGATGGGGTTTCACCATGTTGGCCAGGCTGGTCTCGAACTCGTGACCTAAAGTGATCCACCTGCCTCGGCTGCCCAAAGTTCTGGGATTACAGGAATGAGCCACTGCGCCCAGTCGACAATTTTATATCCTGATTTGCTTGTGCATAGGTATTTTCCCATGTAATTCTCACCCTTTCATGTGTTATTTTTTAGCGACTACATAATTATTATTCTGATGACACCAGATTTCCTGTTATAAGTAATGTTCTACCGCTCATCTTCAGGTTCAAATCTCTATGCACATTTCAGATTATTTTCTTAGCATATATTTCCACAAGGGGAATTACTGGGTCAAAGGATGAACTATTTATTTATTTATTTATTTATTTATTTATTTATTTATTGAGACGAAGTCTCGCTCTGTCACCCAGGCTGGAGTGCAGTGGTGTGATCTCAGCTCACTGCAACCTCCACCTCCTAGATTCAAGCGATTCTCCTGCCTCAGCCTCCTGAATAGCTGGGATTACAGGCGTGCGCCACCATGCCCAGCTAATTTTTTTTTTTTTTTTTTTGAGATGGAGTTTAGCTCTTGATGCCCATGCTGGAGTGCAATGGTGTGATCTCAGCTCACCGCAACCTATACCTCCCGGGTTCAAGCGGTTCTCCTGCCTCAGCCTCCCAAGTAGCTGGGATTACAGGCATGCACCACCATGCCTGGCTAATTTTGTATTTTTAGTAGAGACGGGGTTTCTCCATGTTGGTCAGGCTGGTCTTGAACTTCTGACCTCAAGTGATCGGCCTGCCTTGAACTCCCAAAGTGCTGGGATTACAGGCATGAGCCACCGCACCCGGCCTAATTTTTGTAATTTTAGTAGAGACAGAGTTTCACCATGTTGCCCAGGCTGGTGTCGAACTCCTGACCTTAGGTGATCCACCTGCCTTGGCCTCCCAAAGTGCTGGGATTACAGGCATGAGCCACCGTGCCCGGCCGGATATGAACCTTTTTTAAGAGTTATGGCGAGACCCTGTCTCCACAAAAAATTTAAAAATCAGCTGGGCATGGTGGCATGCACCTAGTCACAGCTACTTGGGAGGCTGAGGAGGGAGGATCACTTGAGCCCAGTAGGTTGAGGCTGCAGTGAGCCATGATGGCGCCACTGCACTACAGCCTGAGTGGCAGAGTGAGGCCTTCAGTCATGATGCCAAATTGCTTCCCAGACAGGCTGTACCATCATATGAGTAAGCTTGCTTCATGGCCTGGTGGTTAGTCAACACACGACAATGTTTTCTTTCTTTCTTTTTTGAAAATATTTGCTAATTTAGGCCAGGTGTGGTGACTCACACCTGTAATCCCAGCACTTTAAGAGGCCGAGGCAGGTGCATCACCAGGTCGGGAGTTCACAACCAGCCTGGCCAACATGGTGAAACCCCATTTCTACCAAAAATACAAAAATTAGGTGGGTGTGGTGGCGCACGCCTGTGATCCCAGCTACTCAGGAGGGTGAGGCAAGAGAATTGCTTGAACCCAGGAGGCAGAGCTTGCAGTGAGCCGAGATCATGCTACTGCACTCCAACTTGGGCAACAGAGCAAGACTACATCTCAAAAAAAGAAAAAAAAAGAAAAAATTTGCTAATAGGGAAAAAATGGTATCATCAGTGTTTTAATTTTCTGCAGATTAAAATGGACATTTTTGCCAGGAGGGAGGGTGGCTCTGCTTTCACACAATTCAGAGCACTTACTATTTTGGAATGTGTTCACTGCTGTTTTAGTAGAAAATCTTGTCCCCAGCCCTGCTACCCCTCCCTACACATGAGCTCCACGCATTCAGTCTTTCTGTGAAATTCCAAGCTGGGCAGTCTGTTTCTCTGTGCTGCTCCAAGTGGGTGTGCCCTTCTTGGGTTTTGTACCAATTGGGATTTTTAACCCAAGCAAATATGGGTACATATTTATGTCCAATTTGGGGGAAAGAAAAAAAAAATGAACTTACTAAGAAGTTGATGAGTGAGTTTTTGTGACAACTGCCTGTCGTCACTGAAGCCTCCAACAAGGTGTACTTCCAGCCTGGCAAAGAGATGAGACGGGTCAGAGGCCAGAAGAAGACACCGGTGCGTGCGCTGGTCTCACTTTGAACTTTCATTCTCAGTTTCCATGAACACTTGCTCTACAGCAGAGCTGCAGGTCATCTTCGTGCCACCGCAAAAGAAAGTATCGGCAGCACACTGCCAAGGCCAGTGGCGAGCTTCTGGGGACCCTGCCCAGGGGCCCTGATGACTGAGGGGATCCGTATCTGAACACAAATGTGATGCCGCCTCCATGCACCAGTGGGGAACTTTGCTCTGGAAGAGCACAGGCACAGGACAGGTGCAGTGGCTCACATCTGTAATCCTAGCACTTTGGGAGGCTGAGGTGGGCGGATCACTTGAGGTTAGGAGTCTTGAGACCAGCCTGGCCAACATGGTAAAACCCCATCTCTACTAAAAATACAAAAATTAGGCCGGGCGCAGTGGCTCACGCCTGTAATCCCAGCACTTTGGGAGGCTGAGGCGGGCAGATTGCTTGAGCTCAGGAGTTTGCAACCAGCCTGGGCAACAAGGTAAAACTCCATCTCTACTAAAATACAAAAAAAAATTAGCTGGACATTATGGCATGTGCCTGTAGTCCCAGCTACTTGGGAGGCTAAGGCAGGAGAACTGCTTGACCCTGGGAGGCAGAGGTTGCAGTGAGTCAAGATCGTGCCACTGCACTCCAGCTTGGGCTACAGAGTAAGACTCTATCTCAAAAAAAAAAAAAAAAAGAAAAGAAATTAGCCGGGCATGGTGGCACACCTGTAATCCCAGCTACTCGGGAAGCTGAGGCAGGAGAATTGCTTGAACCTGGGAGGCAGAGGTTGCAGTGAGCTGAGATCGCGCCACTGCACTCCAGCTCTGGGCAATCGAGCAAGACTCCGTCTCAGGGGGAAAAAATAAATAAGTAAGTTGGGCGTGGTGGTGGGCGTCTGTAATCCCGGCTACTCGGGAGGCTGAGGCAGGAGAATCACTTGGACCCAGGAGGCAGAGGTTGCAGTGAGCCAAGATTGCATCACTGCATGCCAGCCTGGGTGACAGAGCCAGACTCTGTCTCAAAAAAAAAAAAAAAAGGTTTGAGGCCAGGTGTGCTGGCATATACCTCTATTCCCAGCTACGCGGGAGGCAGAGGTGGAAGGAATGCTTCAGCCCAGAAGTTTGAGACTAGCCTGGGTGACAGGGTGAAACCCCGGCTCTAAAACAAAAACAAAACAAAACAAAAAGACTGGGCAACTGCCTGCTGGAAGCCCTCCTTAGGAGTCACACTGCGCATTGCACAGTGAAGCTCTTGAGAAGTCCTGCGACTGAAAAATCCAACTAACTTTCTTGAACCCAGTGTTTCCCACACTCATCTACTAACCCCCTTTTCCACAGCCCGTCAAGTGGGCGAATTCACGCTCGGCAAAGTGTTGCCAGACTTTACGCTGCCTTCTCAGACACAAAATCTTCCTAAGGGATGAACCAGAAGCTTGGATGTACCCAACATAGGGCACAGCCTCAAGGGGCCTCATAATAAACTCCAAGTAGTAGCAGTAAGGAGAGCTGCGACCACCATGGCTTTGCCACTGGGCCACCAGGTTTGCCTCTGACTCCCTGAGCGATCACAGTTCTACAACAGATCAGGAAGAGCTGACAAGCACGTTCTGAGAACCACGGAGCAGAGTGTGTGGCAACATAATGGCATTGATTACGTCCCCCTGCGGGGGCCAAGATGATAGGAAAATGAAAATACCATTTTGGGCCTGCATGGGTCACGTGTCCATGAAGCCAGCCCAGCCTTGGCACAGACCACAGAGGGAGAATTTAGAATCGACCAGTATTGACTAGCAAATCTCTCCCAGAGAACTCTCTCTTTCCTTTTTAGACTCCTAGGATTAAGCCTTCGTATATGATGGGAGTAGTTCACTCAATGGCTGCCTTAGACTTCCAGTAAAATGAGAGCAACACCTGCCAGGTCTCCACAAAGAGCAAGGAGAGGGGACAGGTGTGTGAACAGTGGTCTTGACAGCAGGCCTGTGTCGTCGGCCTCCACCTAGCTCCTGTGTGCTCCAGCACATCGAGCCTCAGTTGCCCGTCTCTGTCAAATGGAGGCAGCGGCTACTTTACTGCAGTGAGAGAGGATGAGGTGCTGTGGGGGCACCCAGGCTAGAGGCCGCTTCTTATCCAGCAATCCTTGGGGAAACTACCAATCTGCTGGAATTTAAAACTATACCCCTCAGCTGGGAGGATCACTTGAGCCCAAGAGTTTAAGACCGGCCTGGGCAACTTGGCAAAACCCTGTCTCTACCAAAAAAAAAAAAAAAAAAAAAAAAAAGCTAGCTGGGTATGGTGGTGTACACCTGTGGTCCCAGCTACTTGGGAGGCTGAGGTCGGAGAATCACCTGAGTCCACAAAGTCAAGGCTGCAGTAAGCTGAGATCACACAACTGTGCTCCAGACAGGGCGACACAGCAAGACCCTATCTCAACAACAAAAAGAGAACAAGAAAAAAAACTACATGCCTCGCCCCCTAGCGGTCCCCACATCTTCCTGGCCTCGTTTTCTCCACAGCCCCGCCTCACCACCCAACACCCCATCTTGTGTACAGTCTCTCGGCTTCGGAATACAAACACCTTGGGCCGGGCTTTCTGTCTACTCTTCACTGCTGTGTCCCTAGAAACTACAAGGTGTAGGTGAGAGGAAGCATTTAACAAGCAACTGCGGGAGGAATGACTGCATGGAGAGCTACCACACCCGGGGGAGAGCAAAACGATGTGAAAATCGCAACCTCGACGTTCCTGAGACGACATCAAGTTCAAAGTCAAGCCTTCCATCTCAAATCCAGCACAGACTCCTTGCCTGTGCCCAGCACCCACTCATTCACTCAACCACTGCTGACGCAGTGCCCACGTCGTGCCAGGTTCTGTTCCAGGGGAACGAGGCAGACACGGCAGTGGTGGCATCCTGTGTTCCCCTAACAGCTTCCACAGCCACGTCCTGTATGCGACGGTTCCAAGATCTCAATTCACCTATGAGAGCAGCGTAGATCTCACCTTCCACATTGAGCGTGGTCAGAAAAGGATTTTATGGAGTTCATGATCAAGGGGACCTCAGCTTTGGTGTCGGTTCCGTCACAATGTGTCAAGCAGGTGGCCCCATTACCTGAAGAACAAGGGTGAAAGGACTCAAGTTATTCCCTGATGCGAGTGCAGTGCGCAGGCCGAGACTCCGCCTGTCCCTCCGGACCGCCTCATCTTTGAATATCCTGTAGGGGAAAAACGGACAGGTCTGTGCTCCCCAGCCAACCCATTCTGACCAGGACACCAGGGAGACACCATGCAGACCAGAAAAAAGGTAAGCGGAGTCCGCTTCCAACAAGACACCAGGAAACTCAACACGAGAAATTCAATGGTCCCAAAGGTTGGGTCAGTTTAAGTAATGGTTTCCTTCACCTCTCTCATCATACCTGTGTGCCTCAGGACCACAATGTGACAAGTAGTGGCATCATCAGAACCCAGAATGGAGATGGAGCCTGTTTAAAAAAGAAATAAAATAAAATATCCAATAGCCTTTTGGGATAACGCCCAATTCACTGCTTCCTAACCTACCATCCTTTGGGGAGGTCACTGCAAGCTCTCTTTGCTGAACATACAGAAGGCCCTGGGGTCCCACTTGTTGAACAGACTGACCTCTGAGAAGTCTGGCTCTTTCCTGTTTAATTAAAAAAAAAATAAAATAGTGATGTAAATTAGTGAGGATGGAAAAACTAAAGATGTGGAGAGAGCCAAAGTGGGCTCTGCGTGGGCAGCACGCTAGTGTGTGGGGAGTGTGTTAGTGGACAGAGAGGCTCAAAGAAAAAGGCAGCAGCCACGGTCATTCAGAACAATGCAGAGAAAACGATGCGGTTCTGCGCGGTGGTTTTTTTAACCTATGAAATCGGATGTCATAGTAACCTATGAAATGAGATGCAAAAATCCTTTATTATAGTTTTTTGTTTGTTTGTTTGTTTTTTAAAGACACAGGGCCTCACTATGTTGCCCAGGCTGGTCTTGAACTCCTGGGCTCAAGCAATCTTCCTGCCTTGGCCTCCCAAAGTGCTGGGATTACAGGCATGACCCACCACACCCAGCTATCACAGTTCTTTACTAAAGAGTGTGAGACTCTTAACAATTTTACCATTGTAAAGAGAATCAGATTACACAGGAATAGTGGATGGATGGCTCTGAAATCACATCCCCTCTTTTTTATTTTTTGAGACAGTCTCTCACTCTGTCACCCAAGCTGGAGTATAGTGGTACAATTTCAACTCACTGCAGCCTCCACCTCCCAGGCTCAAGCGATCCTACCACCTTAGCCTCCCAAATAGCTGGGACTACAGGCTTGCACCACCACACCTGGCTGAGTTTTATACTTTTTGTAGCGACGGGGTCTCCCTATGCTCCCCAGGCTGGTCTCAAACTCCTGGGCTCAAGCAATCCACCCACCCTGGCCTCCTAAAGTGCTGGGAGTACAGGCACACACCACCACACCTGGCTGATTTTTATACTTTTTGTAGAGATGAGGCCTCCCTATGCTGCCCAGGCTGGTCTCAAACTCCTGGGCTCAAGCAATCCACCCACCCTGGCCTCCCAAAGTGCTGGGAGTACAGGCACACACCGCCACACCTGGCTGAGTTTTATACTTTTTGTAGCGACGGGGTCTCCCTATGCTCCCCAGGCTGGTCTCAAACTCCTGGGCTCAAGCAATCCACCCACCCTGGCCTCCCAAAGTGCTGGGAGTACAGGCACACACCGCCACACCTGGCTGATTTTTATACTTTTTGTAGAGATGGGGCCTCCCTATGCTGCCCAGGCTGGTCTCAAACTCTTGGACTCAAGTGATCCACCCACCTTGGCCTCCTACAGTGCTGGGATTACATGCATAAGCCACCATACCTGGCCTCCGCTTTTTTACCTTAGTCCCTAACCTAGTAATTTCACTTCTGGAAATCTGTCCTAAGGAAATAACTCAAAATATGTTCATCCCTGTGTTATTTCTTTTATCTTATTTTTTTTTTTTGAGACAGAGTCTCGCTCTGTTGCCCAGGCTGGAGTGCAGTGGCGTGATCTCAGTTCACTGCAATCTCCACCTCCCAGGTTCAAGCGATTCTCGTGCCTCAGCCTCCCCAGTAGCTGGGATTACAGGTGTGCGCCACCATGCCCAGCTTTTCGTATTTTTAGTAGAAACTGGGTTTCGCCATGTTGGCCACACTGGTATCAAACTCCTGGCCTCAAGTGATCCACCTGCCTTGGCCTCCCAAGGTGCTGGGATTATAGCATGAGCCACCATGCCCAGCCCCCTGTGTAATTTGTAATGGCAAAAAGCTGGGAGCAGCAATGGAAAAGGTAAGTAAATTGGGCACAGAACCAAGTCACAGCCACTAACTGCACAGTCATGAGAAATGAAAACTATGGGAAAAAGAGTTTTGAAATGCTAATTGAAAAGCAAGATACAAAAGTATAAAAAATGTTTTAAAGAGCTATAAATGTGCCATAATACAACAATGATTAAATGCTTATACCCATAGAGAAAAATACTGGAAGGAAATTTCACCAGTACAACCATGGCTGTGCCAAAAAAGCAAACATGAGTGATTTCCTGTTGCTGTTGTCCTCTCTTCTCTCAATGTTCTATCACATAGTTATTGTTAGAATACAAAAACAAAATGGATAAGGCAAATTTACGAAAGGTATGTTAATACTAAGTGTCAATAATCTGAGTGTTTGTACACACTTATTTAGTAAGCTTGTAAAAAAAATTCAGTGGTTAAAAATTCAGTGGTTATTTAACAAAAACTTTTTCAAAATATTAAATTGATACAACACTACAATGTATCATAATTTCCTTCTTACTTGCAACAAACTCCTGGATGAACAAAATCTTCCTCAAATGTCTAGACAACGTATGTATGTATTGCCTACACAGGAAGACAGTTTTGCAGTCTTAGTCTTCTATCAGCTTCTTGCCATTTCGCATGACTGGTGCTAATTTAGGTTAGCGCTCACTTAATAAAACATAAGAGCAGCTGGGTGTGATGGCTCCCAACTGTAATTCCAGCACTTTGGGAGGCTGAGGAGGGAGGACTGCTTGAGCCTAAGAGTTCAAAACCAGCCTGGGCAACAAGGAAGATCCTGTCTCTACAAAAATTACAAAAATTAGCTGGGTGTGGTGGCATGTGCCTGTAGTCCCAGCTACTCTGGAGGCTCAGGTAGGAGGATCACTTGCAGCCAGGAGGTGGAGGCTGCAGCGAGCCATGATTGCACCACTGCACTCCAGCCTGGGTGACAGACCAAGACCCTGCCTCAAAAAAAAAAAAATTAAGATTAAACTAAAAGAAGAGATGTAATAAACATAATGATCAGCTTGATTACTTACATGGTGTTTTCTTCTGTTTATAAACTTCCATTAACTGGAAGCAAGGTATCAATGAAAATGAGACAAGCCCCTTAATTTAAGAAACAAACTAAAGATTAAATGAACTGCAGTGTAAAATTAGATGGGCAAGACAGCCTTGCTTGCTCCAGAAGTCAGTGAGAAACAGGTGTGACTGCTCTAAAACTCAGAACACCTGTACAGGTGACAGCCTCTCATTTTCTCATTCCACTTCTTGCCTCATCTTAGTTCAGAATAACAGGGGAGAATTCAGAATTCCCTCTTGATTACTCCTGAGATACTTACCTTCTGCTTTGTTCTTTGAGGGAAGGGAAGAGAAGGGAGGGCGCAAAGGCGAATTTTTAACACTCATGTTCACAATTGGGTCACCACTCAAAAGCAAAGCTATTTGTGAGAAATTAATTACTGCTTTCACAAAGACCAAAAATCATGTCTCTCTTCAACACAGCTCCTACGATTTCCCAAAGAAATAAAAGCAAAAATTATCAGAAGAGAGAATGCCAGAAAACTAAAACAGTAGACTGCTTTGCTCTATTTTTTAATTTCTTTTTTTAAACAGGGTCTTACTGTCTCCCAGGCTGGAGTGCAGCGGCGAGATCGTGGCTCACTGCAGCCTCTGGCCTCAAGCAATCCTCCCACCTCAGCCTCCCAAGGAGCTGGGAACTACAGGCATGAGCCGACACACCTGGCTAGTTTTTGTACTGTTTGTAGAGATGGGGTCTCCCTGTGTTGCCCAGGCTGGTCTCGAACTCCTGGCCTCAGGTGATCCTCCTGCTTCAGCCTCCTTTGCAGTAGCTGGAACCACAGGCGCACGCCACCACACTTGTGCTAGGATTATAGGCATGAGCCACTGTGCCCAGCCTCTACTTTATTTTTAATTTTTTTTTTTTTTTTTTTAGAGACAAGGCCTCACTCTGTTGCCCAGGCTGAAGTGCTGTGGCCAGATCATAGCTCACTGCAACCTCAAACTCCTGGGCTCAAGCAATCCTCCCACCTCAGCCTCCTTTGCAGTAGCTGGAACCACAGGCGCACGCCACCACACTTGGCTAATTTTTGCTCTTTTAAGTAGTAAAAAGAGTTTAGCCAAACTTCCCTTCTTTGGAAAACCACACAGTCCTACTTTATAAATTCATATGCAAGTAGTCCCAGTTTTCTTAACCTCTAATATGCTCTAGACACTAATATTTGCTTAAAAAAAAAAAAGCTTTTCCCTCAGTCCCTCATCCCTATTTCCCAGTTCCTATTCAATGGCAGTATTCTCTTAACCCAGTGACCAGCAGATTTTCTGAAAAAGGCCAGACAGTAAATATTTGGGGTTCTACAAGGCCGCAGTCTCTGTCACAATTGCTCAACTCTGCTGTTATTATGAAGTGAAAGCAGCCATAGACAATACAGATGTGGCTGTGTTCCAATAAAACTTTATTTATAGGTGACACCGAAGTTTTAATTTCAATACCATTTCCCATGTTACAAAATATTATTTTGATTTTTCTCAACCTTTGAGAAATATAAAGACCATTCTTGGCCTATAGGCTATACATAAGCAGGGTCCGGCCCATGAGCTGTGGCTTGTTGACCTGTGTCTTAGCCAATCACCTAGCTGTGACCTGGGGGATGATCATGTGACCCTCACCCCTGCTGTCCTGTTTATCAATTCTTCCTTTATAAACAGGAGAGGGGCATGAAGGTGATCTGTGAACTGTAAAGCACAATGCTATATAAGAAATTATGAGGCCCAACACACTGGCTCACGCCTGTAATCCCAGCACTTTGGAGGCCGAGGCGAGATGATCGCTTGAGGTCAGGAGTTTCAGACCAGCCTGGCCAACATGTTGAAGCCCCATCTCTACTAAAAATACAAAAATTAGCCGGGCATGGTGGCAGATGTCTGATACTCAGGAGGCTGTGGCAGGAGAATCACTTGAACCTGGGAGGCAGAGGTTGTAGTGAGCCAAGATCGTGCCATTGCACTCCAGCCTGGGTGACAGAGCAAGGCTCTGTCTCTCAAAAAAAAAATAAATAAATAAATAATAAAAGCAGGAACTAAGCTACGCTGCGAGCATCTTGTAGACTCTGTGGAACCGTATTACCCAAGATGTTGCAGGACTGGTTACCGAGTACCCAGTGACTGGTTAAGAGTGACTAAGGGAGGGCTCTAAACAGCTCTGGCCAAAGGAACTTCATGCTGGGATGGCCACCGTCTATATTCACACTGTCTCATTAGTAGCCATGCTGTCTGCTCGGCACTTGAAATGTGGCTACTGCAACTGAGGAACTGAGTTTCAATTTTATCTAATTTTAATTGATTTTTAAGTTAAATCCTAAGTAACCAGATGGCTCGTGGCTACTGTACTGAATAGCGCAGCTCCAGAGTCAAGGGCAGGCTGCCAGGGTTCCAATCCTGGCTTCACCACTCCCAGGATGTGGGGCCTGGGGCCAGTTTCCCAGCCTCTCTGTGCCCCACAGTCCTCATCTGTAAAATGGGAATAGCAGTAACTCTTGCTGTGGTGCTTGGCAGCTTCCACTGTATGACTTATTGTTATTATTTGCTAGTCATAGCTACACACAGGCTTCTAACTGTTGGTACTCCATACTCAGAACACATCGTTACATGAAAAAGACACATTATAAAACAACATATAGTAAGCTATCATTTTTTTAAAAAAAGTAAATTATATACAAAGAAAAACCTTCATTAGGACTTTCACCAAACTAAAGAATGGTTGTAGTCATACTTTTTTTTCTGTATTATTATATTTTGCTTTCCTACAAAGAGGACACCCTGTTTTATTATATAAAAATAATCCAGGCCAGGTGGAGTGGCTCACACCGGTAATCCCAGCACTTTGGGAGGCCGAGACGGGCAGATCACTTGAGGTCAGGAGTTCAAGAACAGCCTGGCCAACATGGTGAAAACCCGTCTCTACTAAAAATAAAAAAATTAGCTGGGTGTGGTGGCATGCACCTGTAATCCCAGCTACTTGGGAGGCTGAGGCATGAGAATCGCTTGAACCTTGGGAGACAGAGGTTGCAGTGAGCCGAGATTGCGCCACAGCAATCCAGCCTGGGCCACAGAACAAAACTAAGTCTCAAAAAAACCAACCAACCAAACAAACAAACAAAAAACCCAACCTTTAATGTCTCCCTGTTGCTAAGTAGGTGAAAGGTCCATCTAAGCCCCTTGGTCATTTGGTCATCTGGGTACAATCCACCCCTGTAAGGTTACTTTCCATGCTTCCCCTCCTCACCCGGGCTGCTCCGGAGAAACTGGCCAGGACACCCACCCACTGGGCCCTTCCCCTCCTGCCCGCCGCGCCCCAGGCGGCTTGCCCAGCTGCGATGCCCTCACCCTTCTTCTCCTTTTCAAATCTCTCTCGTGCCTGCATCCTTCTTCACTTACACTGCCGCAAATCAAAGTGATCGCCCCCTTCCAAAGTTCCTGTAACACAAACTGGTCCCCAGTACACAGCCTTTCTAGGACATGTCTTCTTAAATAGGCCAAAACCTTCCTTCGAGAGAAGCAGCCCCGGTATGTCACCAAATCTCCCTCCACACTTAAGTGTGCAGCCCGGGACACCCATCTAACTTTCTATCACGGACATTTTCAAACAGACATAAAAGTAGAGCATCCCCTAAATTCTTCAGGCGGCTGAAATTATTTTTCCTTGGTGAGTCCTACTCTTGACTTCGCTAGCTAACAGGACAGTAACACAACGCAAGGATAAAGTGACACGCCACCACGCCTAGCTCGGTGCATGTTGGCTAACAGACGATGGTCGGTCCTGAAATGCAAGCTGAGAATCACACAGAGCTGTCTGCCTTCTCCCCGTCAGTAAGTCCTTGTCACCCTTCAGAACACGTTCAGGGGTCATTTTGTGACCTCATTTATGCAGCAAATCTTTACTGAGCGCCAATTCTATGCCAGGGACCGTCCTACACTCTGAGGATACAAAAGTGAGGACACTACTATTATCTGCCTTCAGGAGGCTTACATTCTGGCGACAGACCAATAGAGAACAAACAAGCAAACAAAATAATCACAAACTGTACAGCTGTGACAGATGAAACCTCTAAATGCCTTCCCCAACCCAACACACTTGGTCAGGTTCCTGTGCTTCCCATCTCAGAGTGAAAGGGGACGCTTTTTCTTTATGGTACTTAACAGTTTATAGTATCTGAGCCTTCTTCATCAGAAACCATTCTCCCTTCTAGACTATAAACACTCCGAGGGCAGGGACAGTGATCAGTACGTTGCCCAACAGATATTAGGGGCTCGATATTTGACTCTCAAATCAAGGAACTGATTGATTCCCCTTTAACAGGATCTATGGCAAATAGGACGTCTGCCCCCGCCGCCACGCCCCGCTCTTTTTAAAACCTGAGAACCCCCTTGCCAACAGTCCCTGCATAAGCGTGGACAAGAGTTCAGAGATCTATTTGAGCACAAAAGCAGAAAAAACAAAAACAAAACCCGTGCATCAGGGCGTGGTCCTATGGCCCAGCTGCGGAAAGCAGGGCTCTCTCTCCCGGCTAAAAATAACTCGGCGCCCTACGCCCCGGGGGTAGGGGAGAGAGAGGAGGAAGGACTGGGGGTCCCCGCCAAGATCCCCCAGGCCAAACGCTCTCCGAAGCCCACCCTGGAATAACCTCCTGCTTCACGGGGACGCAAGGACGAAGCAACGTTCACCGCAGGCTGCGGGTCCCCGAAGGCGGGCGGCCGGATTTGCCTAAACGGACCCAGCCCTATGGGGGCTGCAGCCGCCCCGTCGGGGAATGGGGGTCCCGGCGTGTCCCCGAGCCGCAGTGCTGTGCGACCTTGGGCAAGTCACCTAACCTCTCTGGGCCCCCGTCCCCTCCCTTGTCAGAGAGTGGCCTCCGGGGCAGCCCGCTGAAGTCTAAAGAAGGCAAAAACTCCCCGACCCCTCAAGGGGAAGACGCGAGCCGACGGCCGGGGCTCCGGATGTGCCAACAGCGCCAAGTTTCAAGTCTGTGTCGCGTGAGGGGGGCGCTAGCCCGCCCTGCAGCTTCCCCTCGGGCCCGCCCCGAAGCCCCGCGCCGCGCCCCACTCACCTCCAAAGGCGGGTGGGCTCGGACGAGGTCCCCGGCTGACTGCGGCAGCCGCACTCGCCGCCCCTCGACGAGCAGCGGCATCGCGGAGGCGGCCGCCCAGGCAGGCCCAGGGAGGCGGCGGCCCCCCGCTTTGCAGCCCCGGGCCGCCCGCCGCCCCCGCCCCTCGGGCCGCGCGTCCCGCCTCGTCCTGCCCCGCCCCACCGCGGGCGCTGCCGGGAAGTGGAGTCCAGGCGGAGGCGGTGCCGGCCGAAGAGACTGGAGAAATCCAGGACATGGCCGCAAGGCCTCACGGGAAATGTAGTCCAAAGCCAGGAAGTGGCCCTGGAAGCAGCGCGCGGCCCGCCTCCTCCGCAAGGGGCGCTGGGAAGTGTAGTCCCAAAAGCGTGGGAGTGAAGGAGCGGGGAAAGGAGAGCTGCCAGGGAGCAGCTGCACCAGCCAAGAGAGCCTCCGGGCGAGTTCCTGGGGCGGGTTCTGGCTCCGACTGCTGCGCTTTAGGTCATTGCTCCACGCTTCCCAGGTGTGTGACCTTCCACAAGCTTGAGTTTGGGACCCTGCTGTGCAGCTCCGTAGGATTGCATTCAATGAGTAATAATAAACCTAATCAGGCGGGCACGGTGGCTCACGCCTGTAATCCCAGCACTTTGGGGGGCCGAGGCAGGAGGATCGCTTGAGGCCAGGAGTTCGAGACCAGCCTGGGCAACATAGTGAGACCCACCCTCCCCCATACCCTCGTCTCTGCCAAAAATTTAAAAATTAAATGGGCACGGTGGCATGCACCTGTGATCCCAGCCACTCTGTAGGCTGAGGCGGGAGGATCTCTTGACCCCAGGAGTGGGAGGCTGCAATGAGCTATGTTTGGGCACTGCAGAGGGACACTCTGTTTCTGAAAATAATAAAAATAAATGTAAACGGTCTTAAACTGAGAAAATAGATCCTGAACTGTGCTAGCCCCACGTACTAAAGAGATCATCGATTAACACGTCGTGATTGGAATGCAATAGGCCACTCACAGGTGGGCTGGGAACGGTGGGGGAAGGATTTGCGGATACTGACTGCAGAGCCCCTAATCTGAGGACAGGTCCCCACGGTGAGAGGCGTCTCACCGTGGAGCTCTCTTCTAAAACTTGGAAATATTGCTCAAATTCATCCAACTCTGCAGCACATTAACAAAAAGTAATTTTACAAAAGATACAGAGGAGCCACATGATACAGCAGAAACTTTATTAGAATTTTATCATCTGTATTCATCGTCTTCTTTCATAAATCTCCCCCTCAGCTTACACACCCCGTTCAACAAAAATACCAGGAAATTTACTAAAGAAATGACTGTAGAAGATGGTGTTCCCATCGCCAGGTTACCCAACTTCTCACCCAAAATAACTCTATTTCTAGCTACCAGGAAATTATTTCTCTGTATTATTACACCTACATTTCTCATTTGTCCTTACAAATGTAGGAGCTACTATCAACACCTCATTTGTCATTTGTCCTCACAAATGTAGGAGCTACTATCAACACCTCCGTTATAACAGATACAGTAACTTGCTCAAAGTGGTAGAAATAAGTAGTAGAACGAAGACTGAACCTAGCTTTGCATGATTCCAAAGGCAGTGTTCTCCATCACTATAAGATGCTCCTAGACTGTACTGTAAACAACTCATTCTAATGCAGGTGACATTAAGTAAGTCCCAACTAGGAAGCTCGGAGCTAAAAACAGGGTTTGAAACCAGGGTGATCAATGACCAGCAGGCTGGCCTGGAGCAAGTTACTTAACTTCCCTGAACTGGTTTTGTAGAATAGCATGTTTGTTTCACCTGGTACATACTAAACACTAAAGATAGCTATTATTGGAATTGCAGAGCAAAGAGTAGTCAATCAAAGTGAGGCATTTGGAAGTGCAAAGGTGAAGAACAAGGTTCTGTGGGTTCTGCCTGGGGCTGGTGCAGTTTGCCTAACTGGTTTTTCACTTTTGGGTGATCTTTTTTCAAGTAATCTCAGGTTATCAATCTCCTAGGCTGAGTACTGTGTTAAAGGACTAAATGAGCCAGATAACAAGCAGGAAACCACTCCCCTACCTCTCTTCCCACCCAGCTCCACAAATTTTGGTCTACAGGCAATGAGGAAGCAATAGCAGGTGTGTGGCCAGCACTGCGGCTCATGCCTGTAACCCCAGCACTTTGAAAGGCCGAAGGAGGACTCACTTGAGCCCAGAAGTTCGAGACGAGCCTGGACAACACAGGGATCCCTGCTTCTCCAACAAATACAAAAATTAGCTGGGCATGGTGGCAGGCCTGTAGTCCCAGCTACTCGGGAGGATCAATCAAGCCCTAGAGGTCAAGGCTGCAATGAGGCACGACTGTGCCACTGCACTCCTGCCTGGGTGATTACAGCAAGACCGTCTCAAAAAAAAAAGAAAAAGAAAAAGAAAGCACTAATTACAATGTTGGAAAGCCTGTTTCTTTAAGATAGGAAACCAACCTGCCTCACAAGATGGCTGATGGCAAAGTTCAAAGAATATATACAGGGAAATATTTTTTAAATTACACTTTTTTGAGGCCAGACATGGTGGCTCACGCCTGTAATCCCAGCACTTTGGGAGGCCGAGGCGGACAGATTGCTTGAGGTTAGGAGTTCAAGACCAGCCTGGCCAACATAGTGAAACTCCATCTCTACTAAAAATACAAAAATTAGCCAGGCATGGTGGTGCGTACCTGTAGTCCCAGCTACTCAGGAGACTGAGGTGGGCGGATCACTTGAGCCCAGGAGGCGGAGGTTGCAGTTGTTGAGCTGTGATTGCACCACTGCACTCCAGCCTGGGTGACAGAGTGAGACTCTTGTCTCAAAAAAAAGAATGATGAACATTATACAGAACCTTAGTAAATATTTAGTGAAAGGATCCCAATTTGTGTTTCAAATTTTTTAATGTAGAGATGGGGGTCTCACTATGTTGCCCCAGCTGATCTCAAACTCCTGGCTTCAAGAGATCCTTTTGCTGGCCTCCCCAAGTGCTCAGATTACAGGCATGAGCTACCACACCTGGCCCCAAATTATTAGATACATTATAAATCCTACTCAACCATCCAGAGTCAGACTGAAACACACAAAAGCATTTGATGGAAGAAAACATGGTGGAGCTTTGGATGTTCAATTAGTTGAAACAAGAAAAGTATGCAGTTGTAAACCAATGAACAGTTCTCAAGGCAGCCTGCACCTTCGAATCACCAGGGGGCTTTAAAAACCATCCATGTCCAGACCCCTCTTCTGGAGACTGATTCAATCAAAGGTTGAGTTGGTGTGTGACGTGAGCCTGGGCATCCTTAGTTTCTCAGCACTCCAAGGGACTGATTCTAGGGCACAGCCAGGGTTAAGAACCACCATCGTAAGCACTGCCCGGCAAGGGAAACACGCTGGTTCCTCCTCTCCAGTTCAGATCTAAGTTGGTACCAGGGAGGTAGGTATTATGGAAGAAATAGAAGTTATCTTTAACCAAAAAAAACTTCCCATGGAAGTGCTTCCTTTCTTGCAAGAAAACAACAGCCATTAACTTGTACATGCATCGAATCCTTAAAGCCTTACACTAGTATCTTATTCCCATTTTACAGTTTAATTAGCGCTCAGAGAGGTTAGGTAACTTGCTCAACTTCAAACAGCTAGCTAGGAAAGGAAGCCCATGGCACTTGGTAAGTTGACTTGTAAAAATTCAGCCACTTCTCATCAAGGAAGACCAAACCAGAGCACACAGACAAAAGGACAGACCCTGGAGACTCCTACAACTGACAGCTTTTTAGTGAAAGGAAAAATTCCCATTGTTGGCATGTAATTTATAAGGAGATTTCACAGTATTTTTCCCCATAGATGTCCCTTCAAAGCATGTAACTTTTTGAAAGAAGTGTCTGCTTCCCTTGGACCTGCTCAAGCCTCAATCACTCTTTGCTGGGTGTGATTAAGGAGAGTCGCGGATACTTCATACAGTGCACACGGAAACCATCCTCACCCCGGCATGCAATGAATTCCATCAAGCTCCCCGCCACACCAGCACTATTTCTCCCTCTTCAACAGCAATGCCTCAGGAGTTTTCCACTGCAAAATGCTTTAATACATTAAATTAAAAAAAAAAAACAAAACAGAAATTGAAAGAACATGTATTGAGGTACCTTTTATTGGTATAAGAACGTAAGTTCCAGATTAACCATGTCATTGTTTCATTTTCACCATGGATTTTTTTTCACAAACTCCTTTGAAATTAAACAGACTTATATGTAAATGTCTTTCTACATTAAAACTACTTCCCAACCCACAAAGACCCCACTTACTACTAATTTCTGGGGAATTTCGTTTACTCGTTTTATCTAATATTAAAAAATCAACATTTTGCCAGCAGTTAAAAAGACAACCTTAAAGTTCTCAAATTACTTTCCACCAAACCCGGAAAAGAAAACCACCCATATCCAAAACTTTAAAGCAATAAAAATTTCTATTTTCCAAAAAAGTATTTACAGACTGAAATTCAAACTCTACATTGCCATCAATGTAATTATACAAGTGCATACAAAGCCCTGGAAAAGAGGAAGTATTTCATTACAAAATATTTATGATCAAGAAAATATTGCTTGCCTTTAAATAAAGTGGCAGAAAATAAATATGCTTAAAGATGGCCATTTTCACAAGTAAACAAAAAAGTACACATGTAAGAAACAAAGTGAAAATGCTTGAGCTTCAAAATGACTCTAGCAGTGTTTGCACAAATTTGTTTTAAAGCGAGGTCTTCTGAAGACTTCCTCTGTTTAGTTATAAAAATACAAAAAGAGGCTTTAGAGAAGGATTTCACCAAGCCGAATGTGCGATGCACACAGCCATCAGACCAAGACTGCACTAGCAACTTCCACCTATTGTTGTGAGCAAAACCGTACACCAAATAATCTAAAAAAATTTTCCTGTTTCCAACAAAGAAATTCCCAATAACTAAGTGATGCAGATCAAAACTGACTCGATCTAATGGCCACCAAGGAGCAGTTCTAGATCTAAGGGGACACTTGAGAGCCAAGGGGTCAAATCCAATCTCATGTGTTTTACACAAGCCCGAACTCACTTTCAGTCTGTGTGAATTACATCTACCTGGACCTCCATTTTTGTCTTTTAAATCCATTTTTTCGCTGTGCCAAGTATATTACACATCTGATTCTGTTTCCCTATATCCTCTCTCTCTTCCCTATGGGCTTTTATTGGTCTCTGAAGTCCCTGGAGATCTTCAGTGCCAGCTCCAACTCTGTGTCCCAGACCATGTCGGGCCAGCTCTCAGCTTTCCTTCTGTCTTCTCTACACTCCCTTGAAATCCCAACAGACAAATACCAATACAGCAGAAGGTGAACAATGTAGCCAAAATAAACACTTTCTAGTTAAAGTCTTTAAATAGAAGTTTTATCTTAGAGGATTCTTCACTGAAAGCTCATCAGTCAAGTCCTAAGACCATGGATCTGACAAAAACCCATGTTAAAACAGCAACCCGTAAAACAGTCTGCTGCCTATATTAGAAATTACCCAGTAATTGTGTCAAAAAGCTGTTAACACAAAAAATGTACATATTAAACAAGCAAATCCTTCCAAATGTATCATCAACCCCACTGTAAAAGATTGCACATGATAGTCTTCATTTTGTCTGTAAGGGGAACAACAACAACAAAAAAACCCAGTCTTCAGATGCTTGATTCAGTCGAACCTGGAAGTGCCACAGCCGAGGCAGGCACTCGCTCTAGTTCAATGCCATCAATGCCCAATGGCACAAGCTGGGTGCTGAGGGCATGACAAGTGATGGGGAATCCCAAATGTCACATCTCAGTCACAAATTTCTGCCGTCAGAGGGGACTGGGTTGCATGTACAACACGGGTGGGGAGCCCACACTACTTGAAGGACTTCGGAAATGCGTGTCAAAGGAGCTTGGTGTGATCCCAATCACGGTATCATTCTGGGGCACTTCGCCTTTCAGAAAGTCATCATCTTCATCTTCCACTATGTCCTGCAGAAACATCAGAAATCATCAGTAACATCACCAGTGCTGACTGAAAAGCTTTCAACAATTCCTTCCTCAGGAAGGTGTTAACGTTTGTAAAGATGGTGAAGAAAATATCTTAATTTCAAAAGAAAGCCAGTGCAGTGGCACACGCCTGTAGTCCCAGCTACTCAGGAGGTGGAGGTGGGAGGACTGCTTGAGCTCAAGAGTTCCGAATCCAGCCTGGGCAACATAGCGAGACCATGTCTCTAGAAAAACAGAACAGAACAAAAGCTCCCTCTGATAAGCACTTCCTTCTTACCAACATACCCACATAACTGCTCATCACACATTGTAATCATTTGTTTCAAGTCTGACTTGCAAACAGATTTGAAGCTCAATGGGGACAGGAAACATGACGAGTCATTCTTGCCCAGTGTTAGGAACTCTTGTACCTAACACAATGTGAATGAATTACACGCCCCTCAACAAATGAAACATAAAGAAAAAGATGAAAGGGGCTTTCCAATGATTACTTATTAAAAACAACAACAAAAAAGCCATCTTGAAGCTGCTTTTAATGAGAAAACAAATGTGCTCCCAAGCAACAGAGCAGCGAAATTCTTTATTACTGGATTCTAACTTTCCTCTCTAACTGTAACTGTCTCAGCTCCACCTCATGTGACCTGGAGGGTATGTTGCAACCTGCGTCTTCACCACCCATTCATGAAGATCTATAAAACTAATGTAAACTGCTGGGGCAATTTCAACATGAGTCAACTGGAGATTGTTACTTGGTAAGAATGCGCAAGTGGCAAAGATCTAAATTCATTCAGCTAATTTGTCATTAACCTTCGCTTCTCACATGTCAGTATGTGAAGTGTCTGGTTTAAGCAATTTATCCAAAAAAGCCATAGACTCTTTAAATAACAACAAAACCTGGGCCTGGAATTTTATAAAGGCAGAATGAGTAAGACACGGTTTTGGTGTGCTTTTTTAAAGAAAACAGGGTCTTGCTCTGTTGCCCAGGATGAAGTGCCATGCTGCATTTACAGCTCACTGCAGCCTTGACCTCCCACCTCAGCTTCCAGAGGAGCTGGGATTACAGGTGTGCACCACCACGCCCAGCTAATTAAAAAAATTTTTGTAGAAACAGGGTGTCACTGTGTTGCCCAGGCTGGTCTCCAGCAATCCTCTGGCCTTGACCCCCTAAAGTGCGGGGATTACACGCACGAGCGACTTGCCACTTACTATCTCACTGTGACCTGGAACCAGAAAGGAGATTCCGAGAGTGTGCTCAATCAATCACAAACTGACCTTTTTCATGGGTTTCTTGAACTCCTGTAGCTCTTCAGCACTCATGTCTTCCCACACCTGATAAATAGGATCAATGAATTTCTTTGACCTGTCAACAAAGATCACATTTCAAAGTCAAGTTAAATACTTCGGCAGAAGTCAAAATTGGTTTGGATCTTTTCTCACAAGATCTATTACCCAAAACCAAGAAGTGAAAACTACAGCTTAAATAATTACATTTAAAAAAAACCTGGCTGGGTGCAGTGGCTCACGCCTGTAATCCCAGCACTTTGGGAGGCTGAGGTGGGCAGATCATGAGGTCAGGAGATCGAGACCATCCTGGCTAACACGGTGAAACCCCATCTCTACTAAAAATACAAAAAATTAGCCGGGTGTGGTGGCGGACACCTGTAGTCCCAGCTACTCGGGAGGCTGAGGCAGAATGGCCTGAACCTGGGAGACGGAGCTTGCAGCGAGCCGAGATCGCGCCACTGCACTCCAGCCTGGGAGACAGAGCAAGACTCTGTCTCAAAAAAAAAAAAAAAAAAAGAAAAAAACAAAACAAAAAAACAACCCTCTATGTAAATGCTGTAACTAATGTGGCTCTTTCTGTATAAGAGTTCATTCACTCATGTCGATGGAGTATTGAACTACCGTTTTTCATCTTTCCATTTTCATGTGAAATTGTTTCTAAACTTTACAAAGACTCACAAGTCAGTTAGATACAGTATATCCAAATGGAAATGAAACCGTAATATTCTGGAACTCTCTTTTTTATATTTCTGTAGTAATTTGCTGAAAAGTAAGTCTAGGAAAAACAACTAATCTGGTTTCAGTCAACCAAGACTTCAGGGACCAGACAATCCCAGATGGTCATGATGCTGCTAGTTATTTTAGAAACCATAATAAGCAAAAATCCTGCTTCCTTATACAAGTGCCAAGTTAAGGCTGGCCCAGTGGTTTTCTAGAACAACTCATCTAGATAAATCGCTTTTTGTTTTTTTTTTGTTTTGTTTTTCTGAGACAGAGTCTCACTCTCTCGCCCAGGCTGGAGTGCATTGGTGCAATCTCGGCTCACTGCAACCTCCACCTCCCGGGTTCAAGAGATTCTCCTGCCTCAGCCTCCCGAGTAGCTGGAATTACAGGCGCCACCACCACACCCAGCTAATTTTTGTATTTTTAGTAAAGACAGCGTTTCACCATCTTGGCTAGGCTGGTCTTGAACTCCTGACTTCAAGTGATCCGCCCGCCTCAGCCTCCCAAAGTGCTGGGATTACAGGCATGAGCCATTACGCCCAGCCAATCGTTTGTTTTTTGTTTATCCTGTGCAACAGAATGGTATGTGGTCTCTAGAGGAAGGAACAAGACACTTGGCAGAAAATTATGAAGCAAGAAAAGACAGCACCCTCCCCTATCCTGGCACCATTATCCCCATTAACCTTACATGTTTAAATAACAGTTTAAAGAAAAACAAAAAACAAAAAACCCTTGATGTCAGTCTGGCTCCTAGTGAGGCAAAGATCTACCCACTCTGGGGTGCCTGCGCCACTCGGCAAGTCCTGCTAGGCATCCTCTACTTTGCATCTGGTGAAATATACGCAGGGAGACCACGAGATGCTCATCAACAGCGAGGAAGGGCCACTTCTGGTGAAGAGCCCTAAATCCCAATTTTGGGAAAAGCAAACATGTATCACGTTTAAATCCACCTCCTGGCCGGGCGCGGTGGCTCACGCCTGTAATCCCAGCACTTTGGGAGGCCGAGGCGGGCGGATCACGAGGTCAGGAGATCGAGAACATCCCGGCTAACACAGTCAAACCCCGTCTCTACTAAAAATACAAAAAATTAGCCAGGCGTGGCAGTGGGTGCCTGTAGTCCCAGCTACTCGGGAGGCTGAGTCAGGAGAATGGTGTGAACCCGGGAGGCGGAGCTTGCGGTAAGCCGAGATCACACCACCGCACTCCAGCCTGGGCGACAGAGTGAGACTCCGTCTCAAAAAAAAAAAAAAAATCCACCTCCTCCAGCGTCAATGTTTAAAAGTACCTACCTCTTCAGCACACAGGGATCAAAGGGGAAGAAGGTGTCCAGCGGGTTTGTGCAGATCTGCACTGAGTCTCCTCCAGCGGTACTCCTAATGACTGGCAGCATCTGGCGATTGTTCCTCTCAATGATGGTGTAGCAGAAGACGAGCTGGTACTTACTGTGGAACAAAAAAACAACACAGACAGAGGCATTAACATGCTGGAGTGACTCGGTGCAGATGTGAGCTGCGTGTGACAACTGTACCTACCACAGAGAAATTGCTGAATATAACAAGTGCTAGTAAAAATAACAATATAAAGCAGAAAGTAACACTTTTAGGGTACCGTTCTATGGGTCTTCTATTTGCAAGTTTGCTAAGGAGAAAGAAAACGTGGCTATCACTCAGAATGTGAAACTGGGCTTATATTTTAATGAGTAATAGATATTATTCATTATATTTTAATGAGTAATAGATACTATTCATTAAAAATAAATGTTTGCAAGGCAAAACTCTTAGATTACGTAACTATAGGTGTCTTTATTTTTACTGTTTGCAAAAGAATTAGAAGGTTGGTGGTAAAGGGATTCAGGAGTTACTCAGGAGGAAATAGTGGTTGGTGAAGAGACTTGCTGAAGAAGCACTGAAAAAGAAATAAGCCTTTACTGAAGGAGGGACACGGGGTTGACTAAGTCATGACCTCAAAAACAGGCACAGAAAGGACTAGGCATGCCGAGTGAGAACAGTTAAATGCATAGAAGAAAACATAAAATAAAGACAATTATGTTTTTAATTTTTCCAGTAGTTGTCTCTAAATGATTGAGCAACTTGAAAAATTATCTATTGGACAGCTTCTCCAAGATGAGGACTCAGATCTCACTTCTGTCACTCTCCATCTCAGGTTCTCAGGTCACCATGGCAACTTCAAGCCACATACTTTGATTTCTGTCCTGTTAGCCAAGGCTCACAGCACTTGACCCCTCCTCCTGGTGGAGGACACATCAGCAAAACCACACTGGAGGGTGGTTTGCACTATCAGGTAAAGTTGAAGATCTGCATCTCCTACAACCCCGCAGCTGACCGCACTTCCGGGTGTGTGACAAGGAAGCATGTGCCCACACACAAGAATGTTCCTGAGCACTAAAACACTAACACAGCCGGCTGGGCACGGTGGCTCACACCTGTAATCCCAGCACTTTGGGAGGTTGAGGCAGGCGGTTCACTTGAGCTCAGGAGTTTGAGACCAGCCTGGTCAACATGATGAAACCCCATCTCTACTAAAAATACAAAAATTAGCTGGGTGTGGTGGCAGGCGCCTGTAGTCCCAGCTATTCGGGAGGCTGAGGCAGGAGAACTGCATGAGCCTCGGAGGTGGTGGTTGTAGTGAGCTAAGATCACGCCACTGTACTCCAGCCTGGGTGACAGAGCAAGACCTTGTCTCAAATAAAAAAAAAAAAAAGACAAAAACTAACAGATGAAATCCCAACAAAGACTCAATAAAAAAGATTCCCAGAACATAACACAGCAGTTAAAATCAAAATAAAGCTTTGTGTCAATATGGTTCAATCTCAAAAGCATCAAGCAGGCAAAAGCAACAGCTACAGAATGGTACACGCCTTTATTTACCATATCTGTACCTAGGCAGAGACTTTTATTTCAATCCCCTGCTCTTAGCCTCACATCGCATCACACTCTGTGCCTCCAATGCGCATGCCAACCCCAAATCGAGAGCCCCTGGACCAGATGGTTCACAAATGCAGTCCTCTGTCCCCACCCCGAGAACATACCAGGGGCAGCGGCCTCTGCTTTGCTTCATCCATCCTCACTCTTTGAGCTGCTCACCATCTTAACCAACGTGCTGAAGCCTCCACCCACTCACCGCCGTTGCTTATTGGTCTCTTTATGCCTTTTCCTAATCCTTTACTATCACTGAGACTCAGAAGAGAGGACACCTTGAACCAGACGCCTAGCAAAGGAGAACTAAAGAGGCTGACGGAGCTCAGCAAGCTGTTGGCTCTTATCTGTTGAAGATTTTAAGCTATGATCCGGCCTAAATATCCTCATTGAATATTCAATTCTCCAATTCGCTTTCTCCATAAAGCAGAATAACTTAGTGAAAGCTTACAAAGGAGCCAGACTACATTTAAATCTGTGCTGCCAGTCTAGCTCTATGACTTTAGGCAAGTGATTTCACCTCTCTGTACCTCCACCTCCCTGTTGATAAACAGGGTTTCATCCTAGAGGGTTGTTTGAGGATCAAATGAGTTCTATGTAAAGTGCTTAGAACTGCCTGGCACAGAGGAAAGGCTATGGATTAGCCATAGCTACCAGACCTGAGAGAACAGAACTCTCTAAACCAATCTCTTACAGGTCAACATTTGCCTCATGTCCAGTTTATTTCTATTACTATTACAGGAGTCACTCTAATAAGCATCTATGGCTTTGCCCCTCTCAGCTTACTGGTTGCCATACTTATTTCAAAGTGCTGCCCTTTGGATAAGAAGTAGTAGTAATTTCCAACGCCATCAAAGTATAAAAACAATAGCTGTATCACAGTATTTCCTGCAAGGACTGGGTTGTTTTTGTTTGTTTAAGAGACAGGGTCTCATTCTGGAGCCCAGACTGGAGTGCAGTGGTACAATCAGGGCTCACTGCATCCTTGACTTCCTGGGCTCAAGTGATCCTCCTACCTCAGCCTCCTGAGTAGTTGGGACTACAGGCACAGGCAACCACACCCAGCTAATTTTTAAAATTTTTTTGTAGAGATAGGGTCTCACTATGTTGCTCAGGCTGGTCTTTTAACTCCTGGCCTCAAGCAATCCTCCCACCTCAGCCTCCCAAAATGTTGAGATTACAGGTGTCAGCCACCATGCCTGGCCTTTTATAATGTTACTAATTTCATAGAAATTTAACACTCTTACAATACTAGATAAACATAAATAAAAATATTTTAAATAACTCCCATCAAGAAAGCGTAAATAACTTACTTTGTGATTGCAGCAAAAAAGTTAACCACTGAGGGCAGGCAAATCTTCAGGGGATTTAGCTGGCTCATCACTATCCGCTCAAAATTCAGACTCTGAAGATACTGCAAACCTTTGGTTTAAAAAAAAAAAAGATTTTTTTAAAGGTACAAATAAGTGAAAAGTGTAAGATACTTTTAAAAGCACAAATTATCACACATTTAAAAAAAACTTTAAAAAATTATTTGCAGAAATGCTTTAAATAAAGGTCCATGCAGATAGTCACACAGTATATGGCCCAGAAGAGTATCACTAGGCTAACCACATTCATTGGTCACCAAGGCAGCTTGTCTAAAGAAAACTTAGGAAGTAGCAGGCTGTAAGATTCCACGACAATGTGAAATTCATATGTTTGCAAGCTCAGTGTATGCTGAGATAATACAGAGGGAGAAAAGACCTTGTGATTTGGTTTCAGCTAACAATCATGACAGGCAACAAAACAAAACAGCAATTTGATTCTAGCTTGCATGTCTTGTTAGTGAAGCTGAGTGCTGTTTTCAGGTGCACAGTAGTCATCTGTAGTTTTTTTTCTAAACAAGAAAACTCCAAATTTGCCTTCTACCTCAACGGACGGCAAATTTAGACAGAAACCACTTTCTTAGACTTAATGAATATAATTCTTTTCTACATGAGTAAAATAAAGACATCACATTTATTTTAAGAGGCAAGCTGACCAACTTGTACTTAAGTATATTTTCTTAGGAGTTTCTTTGATACGTATTTCAATAAAAATTACCTAAATGGGATGTCACAGCTTACAAAAACAAGATATTTAATCCAGATTCCTGGCATTAATTTATACAAAGAAAAGCAGAGCTTGTATTTACTTACCTTGTGATAAAACCTCATCCTACTAGTTCATACAACATCTTTTAGAAGCATGTAGGATGTAGGTAAACATATATAATGCAACACATACAACTTTCAGTTTAGAGCTGTGGCTGTTAACCCAAGGAGACTGCGACCCCCGCAGAGGACACCTGGCAGTATCTGGAGACACTTTTAGTTGTCACAGCTGGGGGTGGTCGGGGACTGCTGTTGGCAGCTAGTAGGTGGAGGCTGTTAAACATCCTACAGTGCAGAGGACAGCCCCCGACGATGAAGGATGATGCAGCCCAAATGGCAATCGTGCAGGGTTCAGAGACCCCGGTTTAGAGGAAGTGACCCACAAAACCATAAGAATTATTCATAAACATAAACAGAACAATTTACAATGACTTATAAACACTGTTCTTGGAGACTCTCTTCAACTAAAATACACTAATCTAATAAGTTTCAACTGACAGATTTGAATTATAAGTAACTCTTAGAAATTAGCAAAACAATACTGGTCAATTAAGTCTCAAGGCTTCAGGCAGAGTTTAATCTATATAAACTCAAACTTTAGGGTCAGCCAAACCTGGCTTCAGTTTTCTAATCCTGCCACTAACCATGTGATCTTGGGAAAATGACTTTCCTGTGCTTTAGTGCTGTCTGTAAAGGGAGAATACCTGCCATTTACTGGGCTGTTACAAGGACAACAAAGAGAAGGTGCATCCAACTGAAGCTTTGTACAGGGCGCTGGCACAGCCCAGGGCTCAGCCTCACCTCTGGAGACATCTTCACATTTCAAACTTTCAAAGGCAGAAACCTCTTTCTTAACCTCAAATCCATCTTAAGGGGTTTGTAGGGTTCTCAAGCTCAAATCTATCTTAAGGGGTTTGTAGGGGCCTATGAGCTGCTTGAAATTATTATTAAAAGTTTGAGTGCACATGCAGTTTTCTGAATCCAGTTTTTATAAAAATCTCAAAAAAGTAATGAATCACCATTCTGAAGGGTGACAAGAACACAAGGAAAATCCAGTCCAGCACTCCCACAACACTGACCTTCTTTCAGGTTTCCGCTCAAAAGCTGCTTGTGTCTAAAAACAAAGGTGTAGAACACAGCTTGGCAGGCTGAGTAAAATGGTCCATGGAGAGCAACATCGCAGAATGCCTTTGTTCCCGAATCCTGGTTATTAAGGTATATGTGCAGCCAGTTAACCAAAAGATCTAGGCATGATTTTACAGTACTAGAGAAAAGAAAAATTCAAGTCAACTTTACACATCATAAAAAAACCAGAATAACATAAAAACACACAACTGCCTTTCATTACAAACCATGCTAAGTAAGTTCATAGGTTTCTTTAAATAATACCCATGGGTACAGAGGAAAAGCAAAGAAAGGAAGGATAAGGATGGGTGCGTAGGAAGACAACCTTCCAATTACAAGGCAGAGTAGCTCTGACCTTCTAGGAACAGGTGAGCCCCTAAGAACGTCCCAAGGGATGGAAAGCAGGTTCTCCTAACCATCTCAAAGGCACCCCTCTTAAGGTGATTGGCCAAACAGGACACGTTCACCAACACCTCTCAAGAGAAAGACAGTCTGGTGGACTTCAGTATTCCCTGATGCATCCTAGTCAAGTCCTATGGTGAATAATTTTGTGGTTGGGGAAGGGTTTCAACAGCATCCTTGTCCAAAGGTATCTTTATGGGCCACTGGAAGAAACTGGCCTCCTAGATAGGTCTATTACCTTTAAAAGGGTTTTTCTTCAGCTTTAACAGATACAATAGATTTGGAATGCAAATGAAAATATGACAAACCTACAAAAAGAATCAAAACAGTATACAACACTGTCCTCTATCCACAAAACAAATGGATCTTTAAGTGCAACCAAAAGAGATGACAAAAGCCTTACATACAGGGTTTTATATATAAAAAAGGAGACACTTTATTCTAAAATCACCACTTAGAAATATAAACATCTTGCACAGAGTAGGGATTTTATTCACTTTAAAAACATGCCAAAAAAAATGGGAGATATTTCTGACTTGAGACAATGCTATACTCTTTTTAAAGCATGATATTAAAAAGTATTCGGAAAATTAGGCTACTTACATAAGAGGAATAAATTTAGCTCTTGCCAAAAAGCTTCCAATATAATTTCCAGCAGCCTGCCTGATGATGGCAGGATTACTTGGGTCCTGCAATTTTTTCCAGAGATGTTCCAAAAATGCCTCTGCGAATCCCTATAAAAAGAGAGGGCGTCGGTGTGATCTTTTTTAATGCCTAAGATAATCTGGCTATCAAAATCCCAAGATTTTTACTTCACCAATGTAGGGAAAAGTTCTACTATCTCATAACTATCTCATGGGCTTCATTTTTAAAACACATTGAGAGAATATCATTAAAAACAAAAGGCACCTCGGGTGTTAAATAATCCAGTGGATCCCAAACCTAGCTAAGCATCACAATCAACCCGGGGCCAGGCACAGTGGCTCACGCCTGTAATCCCAGCACTTTGGGAGGCCGAGGCGGGTGGATCACCCAAGGTCAGGAGCTCGAGACCAGCCTGGCCAACATGGAGAAACCCTGTCTCTACTAAAAATACAAAAATTAGCCAGGCATGGTGGCAGGTGCCTGTAATCCCAGCTACTTGGGAGGCTGAGGCAGGAGAATCGCTTGAACCCAGGAGGCAGAGGTTGCAGTGAGCTGAGATCATGCCACTACACTCCAGCCTGGGTGACAGAGTGAGACTCCATCTCAAAAAACAAACAAACAAAAAACAACAAAAAATTCAACCTGGGAGGTACAAATTCAATAGGTTTGTGACAGGGCTTTGGAATCCACATATTACAAAAACTCTTCAAGTGATTCCAATGTCAGCCAGAACTGGTGACCAACAATAATTCACATCCCATGGAGCTCCACATGGGCACTCCTGTGAGTGCAAAGCACCTTCCGGTCTCTGGACACACTGAACTCAACCACGAACAGAAATACGGACTAACGCACAGCTGGTATTTGAGTTAATTATGCCAATCATGGAAAAAAACAGACACAGCTTCTCACCAAAGGGTGTAACTTCCAACTTCTCCTAAATAGCGCTGTTCTAAAGCTAGGCACACCCATGTGGGCAGACTGAATTCAACCTTCTTTCCCATGACCAACACTCTCCTGATCTCTAGGAAGCCACAAAATCGTTGCAGAGAAGGAAAAGCCTTCTACATTCTTTCCCCCACCAAAAAAAAAAAAAAAGAAGAAGAAGAAGAAAAGACAAAGCCTAAAGTTTTTAAAATTCTAGATTAATAAGTTGGTTTGGGCTAGTTACAACTCAACCCTTGGAAAGAATAAAGGAAATACAGTTAATTGCCCCATATGAGATTTTAATAGAGAAAGGCTTAAGGGAAGAGCACCACCTAGTGACCAAAAGGCAGGATGACATTTTCGGAGCACCTAGCTGGGCTGGCAGGCAGCAATCTGTTTTCTCTCCAAGTGTACTGAGAAGGGAACGTGGGCCAGGCACAGTTGTTCACACCTGTAATCCCAACGCTTTGCGGGGCAGGAGGCGGGCAGATCACTTGCGGTCAGGAGTTCAAGACCAGTATGGCCAACGTGGCGAAACCCCACCTCTTCTAAAAATACAAAAATTAGCCAGGCATGGTAACCTGTGGTCCCAGCTATCGAGAGGGTAAGGACTGAGAGTCCGTTGAGCCCAAGAGGTGGAGGTTGCAGCAGTGGGCAGCAGAGCGAGACTGTGTCTCAAAAAAGAAAGGAAAAGAAAACAAAAAAAGAAAGGAGAATGCGATTTTATTAAGCAGACTAGCAAGTAAGCTCAAAGAAAAGAATTATTTACTTCATGGTCTCCGTCCACCCCAGTTTTTAGGGAAAATTTTTGGGCAAAAACAAAGTAAGCTAAGATAATGTTAATCACATTCTTACTCACCAATTTGAAACTACAGAGGTAAAACATGAAAAACTGTACATGGCAGGAGGCATGGGTGGGCAACAGGAGTTTGTCAAAGATGTTTATCAGGTCGCGATATAGATCCTTTGTTTTGCCGTTATCAACCTTACCTATGGAGAAAATCTGGCATCTCAGTTTTTATAAAGACATATTTTCAAGTTTCATCTGCCATATTTTTTATAAACACAACACCATTAAAAAACAACATTATCCAGCCAAGCACAGTGGCTCCTGCCTGCAATCCCAGCACTTTGGGAGGCCAAAGTGAGAGGGAGCCCGGGAGTTCAAGGGCAGCCTGGGGAACACAGGGAAGCTCTGTCTCTACAAAAAATCAAAAAATTAGCCAGGCATGGTGGCACGCCTGTGATCCCAGCTACATGGGAGGCTGAGGCGGATGAACCGCTTGAGCCCAGGAGGTCAAGGCTGCAGTAAGCCATGTTTGTGCGACTGCATTCCAGCCTGGGTTAGAGTAAGACCGTGGCTATTTAAAAAAAAAAGAAAGACAGACATTATCCATTAAAATACCATTAAAACAAAATGCTACTTTTAGTATACACAGATTTTCCTCTGAATATAATAATCTAACACCTGCAAGGAAGCAGGCCCTCACCTCACACACTGTGGCAAGGTCAGAAATGCAAACCCTTCTGAAGAGCAATTCTATCATTCGTGTAGCAAAAGACCTCTAATCCGATCATTTTACTGTTAGTAAACAGCTGAATATATAGGCACAAGTATGTTCATTATAACTGTTACTTATCATGGTGAAAACAGTAAAAGACAGTTAAACCCATGTGACCAACAACATTTATTATTACGACTTTTTTTTTTAGAGATGGGGTCTTGTTATGTTGCCCAGGATAGTTAGTCTTGAACTCCTGGCCTCAGTGATCCTCCCACCTTGGCCTAAGTGCTGGGATTCAATAACAATTATTTTAAAACAGGCAATGATATGAGAAAATGTTTATCTTCAGCATCCATGTAAAGGGCAGATTATGAAACACTTGTGTTTAGTGTGACACCCAAATTCACTAAAAAATACTCTCCTACATATACAGACGCTAACAGAAAAGGGAAAAAAGTCAAACTTCAAAATGCTCACAATGGTTCTCTGAAGAGTAGAAATGTGGCCATTTAAATTGTTTTTATCCTTTCCTGTAGTTTCCAAATTCTCTAATCAACATGTATTATTTTTATAACAGCAAGACCGTTAAAACAGTAATGCAGTCAACTCAGATTCCAGTTCTATTATTCTGACTCACTGAGCTCATCTTAAATCTTAGCAATGTGAATGGAAAAAAATTCTGTTTTCGCCTGGCAAAGCCTTTAAAGTTCCATGAAGTCAAGAAGCACATATAGTACTAACACTGGCACAACAATGGTGCCAGGCAAAGACCCTCTAAACTCAATACATAACGGAGCACCATATATTAGTGCACCCTACATCATTCTTCAGTGCATTCAGCAACTTGAGCGTAATTTGATCTAAAACTGGCCAAACTCCATATATAATCTTTCAATACAACAATCAGTGAAAAGACAGAAGACAAATATAACTCAGCCAGAATCCCAGTCCCATTTTCAAGCTATGTGACTGGCAAGTAACTTGACCTCTTTAAATCATCTTAAACTCATACTCAATAGATATTTTTACAGGATTTTTAGTATTACTAGAGATAATGGATGGAAAATGCCCAGCACAAAGCCAGGTACACTGCAGGTGTTCAATAAACAGTAGCTACTGTGATTTACCATCTACATAGCAGACATCCTTCATGTAGGACAAAACCAAAGACATCAGGATGTCCAGGCGCTCGGCTACAGGATGCACCATCTGGTCGAGCCGTTCAGGACCAGCCTTTGTTTCATGTTCAGTTTCTTCATCTTCATCCTTTGAAGACAAAAAGTAAATACTAACATTAAAAAATTCAACGTCAAAGTGGTTTAGTAGGAAAACTGTCATAAGTGATTATTTCCCTTAAAAGATAAAACAAAGAGGCTGGGGAAAGCGGCTCACATCTATAAGCCCAGCACTTTGGGAAGCAGAGGTGGGGGGATCACTTGAGGTCAGGAGTTTGAGACCAGCCTGGCCAACATGGTAAAACTCTGTCTCTACTAAAAATACAAGAATTAGCCAGGTATGGTGGTGCACGCCTGTAATTCCAGTTACTCAGGAGGCAGAGGCAGGAAAATAGCTTGAACTGGGAGGTGGAGGAGGCTACAGTGAGCCGAGTTCGTGTGCTCCAGCCTGGGCAACAGAGGAAGACTCTGTGCCCCACCAAAAAAAAAAAAAAAAAACTAAACTAAAACAAAGAAATGGACCACGCACAGTGGCTCACGCCTATAATTACCAACACTTTGGGAGGCCAAGGCAGGAGGATCACTTGAGCTCAGGAACTTGAGACCAGCCTGGGCAACACAGTGAGACCTGTCTCTACAAAAATAGAAAAAAAGTAGCTGGGTGCGGTGGTACACTGTAGTCCCAGCTACTCGGGGAGGCTGAGGTGGGCAGATCACTTGGGCCCAGGAGGTCGAGGCTGGAGTGGGCCAAGATCACACACTGCCACACTCCAGCCTGGGCAACAGAGTGAGACCCTGTCTCAAATTAAAAAAGAAAGAAAAGAAAGAAATGCAGACACCTTTCCAGGCAGGGGTCTCATTCAGGGATGTGAATCAGAACCACCAGTGAAATTTAAAATAAAAGCCAAGACTCACAGCACCAGCTTCTGATTCTCATTGAGAAGACCCAATGAGACCTATCCATGCAAAAATCACAGATGCCCCCTACCTCTGCTCCTGGTGCCCACCATGGCGGGTGCTTTTGGTGCCGGGCCCCCTTTTGCAGGTCGGGATATCCACCTCCCCACTGCTGTGAGTACTGGCGGCCAATAGCTCACAGCCGCCTACTTTCTCCAGAGCTGCCCTGAGCAGAAAGGAGCCAGGACCACCCTTGCACTCTTTCCAGCCCCTCCCCCTTAGAACCAATGACTGATTGACAAGGCATCAGAAAAGGACATCTCCTTGGTCTCAAGCTGGGAACAAACTCTGTAGACCAATCCATGCCCCAGAATGCCTGGTGGGAGCAGGCTGTAGCGACCTCCCAAGTGAGACCCGGCCCCCGTTTAGCTCCCCTGCCCTCTTCTGCTCCCTGACACCCTCTGTCCCAAGGGCACCTGAATCCCTGTCTCAGACTCTCCTTCCACTGAACCCAACTTCAGATACCACCCAAAAGAAGTAATGCTATAAAGTGTACAAGTGGTAAAATGCAGAAATTAAACAGGTATGCTTTTCTATTAACCACGCCCTCACAGACAGCATCTGGCTTACAAAAACAAACACTGAAAGTTACAAGAACAAAAGTGAAACATACTTCACCAAACCCAAATTCAAAGCCTTGGAAATAGACCAACTATGCTAAGTGCTAAATGACATGGCAGCAAATTACTCATATAAGGAATCGTTTTCAAGTTTGCTGAACTATTTTAATTCTTTCAATCTAAAGCCTTAACAAAGATGAGCAGCACTAGCTGTTTCCACCCTTTATGATAAACTTCATCTCCACTTTCATTAATAAACTGCTAACCATATTAAACAATCCTTCCGTGGAATCTGTCCCACCACAAGTTTGAGTTGCTGTTTCTTCAGCATCTTCAATACCCTGCCGGGATGCATTCACCTATAACAAAGGGAGAAAAAAAAAGAATAAAAGGATTTAAAAAATACAACTATGTTATTTTGGGATGGAAATTCATCTGATATACGCATGTTCAAGGTGTCCAGATTAGTGCCTTATATCACACCCCAACACAATACACAATTATGGTGCAAGCCTGTAAACTGACCTAGGTCATGAAGGAATTTAAATATAATAAACCAAGCCCCTTTTACTACATACTTATATAAAATCGACAACTATCACATGATGCTCTATGCCAGGCAGCCTCAACAAATTCAACATTTATTCTAGCTCTGATATGGTCTGGCTCTGTGTCCCCACCCAAATCTCTTTTTTTTTTTTTTTTTGAGGCAGAGTTTTGCTCTTGTTGCCCAGGCTGGAATACAATGGCAAGATCTCAGCTCACCGCAAACTCCGCCCCCCAGGTTCAAGAGATTCTCCTGCCTCAGCCTCCCGAGTAGCTGGGATTACAGGCATGTGCCACTGTGCCCAGCTAATTTTGTATTTTTAGTAGAGATGGGGTTACTCCATGTTAGTCAGGCTGGTCTCGAACTCCTGACCTCAGGTGATCCACCGGCCTCAGCTTCCCAAAGTGCTGGAATTACAGGCATGAGCCACCGCGCCTGGCCCCAAATCTCATCTTGAATCGTACTCCTCCTGTAAGTCACACATGTTGCTGGGGGGGGACTGGTGGGAGATAATTTGAATCATAGGGTAGGTTTCCCCCATACTGTTCTCGTGATAGTGAGTAAGTCTCACGAGATCTGATGGTTTTATCAGGGGTTTCCACTTTTACATCTTCCTCATTTTCTCTTGCCGCCACCATGTAAGAAGTGCCTTTCACCTCCCGCCATGATTCTGAGGCCTCCCCAGCCATGTGGAACTGTAAGTCCAATTAAACCTCTTTTTTGGCCAGGTGCAGTGGCTCACGCCTGTAATCCGAGCTCTTTGGGAGGCCGAGGTGGACGGATCATGAGGTCAGGAGATTGAGACCATCCTGGCTAACACGGTGAAACCCCATCTCTACTAAAAATACAAAAAATTAGCCGGGCATGGTGGCATGTGCCTGTAATCCCAGCTAATCAGGAGGCTGAGGCAGGAGAACTGCTTGAACCCCGGAGGTGGAGGTTGCAGTGAGCCGAGATCGCACCACTGCACTCCAGCCTGGGCAAGAAGCGAGACACCATCTCAAACAAACAAACAAAAACATCTCTTTTTCTTCCCAGGCTCAGCTATGTCTTTATCAGCAGTGTGAAAATGGACTAATACAATCTCTATGCACAAGACACTCACAGACACATTGTGTAATAAACATATCGTCAATCAACTGAGCAGAAAAATGATGAACTGCCAGCCAAATGTGCATGATGCAATATTTATTTTGGTATATCACCATTCAAATATCTTAACATACCACTCAAACCATGCCATTTTTTATTATCTATGCTTGACCTTCTTTGTAAACATTCTAAAATGTTCCTTAAGTATATACCAGAGAAAGACTATAAAGAGTACATATACAGTTGGCCAGAGAGGTGCAACTCCAAGTGAGCACTGCACCAGTGAGCCCAAGCTCCAGCTCTTCTGAGACCTTGTTCCATCTTCCTGCTTCCCTATAGCATCAATGTTTTCCTCCACCAAAGCTCCTCTCCCCTCAGTCCACAAACCTGCTCACGTCTCTCCACTCCTAAACCACGCCTCTTAGCCCTGCTCCATCCCCTCCTTCCACCACAACCCTGCACCAAGGTCTCTAACAGCCCCAATTCTGCTTCCCCACCATCCACATCCTCTCCCGAAATGCAGTTTCTGCGTCTTCACTGACATGGTCCTCCAGAAAGCAACAAAGACTACCTTCTAACCACTAAATCCAAGGACTGTTGCTCTTTTCATCTTTCTAAAAAATGACAGCAGTATCTGATGCTGCTGACCAAACTCCTCCTTCCGGCGGATCCTTCCTGAGCATCCAGGCTCTTGGTTTTCCCCATACTTCTGATCACCCTTCTCCTCCCCTGTCCTAAACTGCATCTTTCCAAAGGTTTATGCTCAGGTCCCCATCTGCAGCCACGACTGCCTGTGAGTATTCTCTGGTAGGCTGCCCACCAGCAACTGAACCTGGCCAAGATGGAACTACTCTTCCAACTGCCTCCTCTTCGTATTTTTTTCTTTTTTTTTTTTTTTTGAGACAGAGTCTTGCTCTGTCACCCAGGCTGGAGCGGAGTGGCGCAATCTCGGCTCACTGCAAGCTCCACCTCCCGGATTCACACCATTCTCCTGCCTCAGCCTCCCGAGTAGCTGGGACTATAGGTGCCCACCACCATACCCGGCCAATTTTTTGTATTTTTAGTGAGACAGAGTTTCACCATGTTAGCCAGGATGGTCTCGATCTCCTGACCTCGTGATCCGCCCGCCTCGGCCTCCCAAAGTGCTGGGATTACATGCGTGAGCCACCACGCCCGGCCTCCTCTTCATATTTCTAACTACCATTAATGGCAACACCAAGATTCAATTCCACAGGGAGCAACCGTTGAAGGATTCCTTTCCCTTACTGTCTGCCTCCCCTCCTCCAAACCAGTCTCAAGCACCAGTTCATCTTTCCTGACAATGTCACTAGAATCTACTACTTCCTTTCATTCCCACTGCACCTTAGTGCGGGCCTCCTTAAACAAAGTTTTAACTGTTTATAATTATAATCTGCCCTTAAGAAAGGCCAAACAGGAAAAATCACTTCCGTAAGAATCCCTTCCTGACCCCACTGTGATTCTATCAGGTTCTCTAACTCATAATGTATGTTTCATTCATAGCATTTTCCACAACCATACTTTTACATTTGGATAACTATGTATTTAACGCCTTGTTCTCCAATCATGAGAAGGAACTGTCTACAACTCCCAGCACATGCACACATTCAAAGAAAGGAAGCAAAGAATGGTGCTAGTGGTTTCTTTTCTTTTTTTTTTTTTGAGATGGAGTCTCGCTCTGTTGCCCAGGCTGGAGTGCAGTGGCACGATCTCAGCTCACTGCAAGATCTGCCTCCCAGATTCAAGCAATTCTCCCACCTCAGCCTCCTGAGTAGCTGGGATTACAGGCACCCACCATCATGCCTGGCTAATTTTTTATTTGTATTTTTATAGAGACGGGGTTTCGCCATGTTGGCCAGGCTGGTCTCGAACTCCTGACCTCAGGTGATCTGCCTGCCTCGGCCTCCCAAAGTGCTGGGAATACAGGCGTGAGTCACCACACCTGGCCAAGTGGATTCTTTTCTATCACTGACTATTGTTTCCACATACTGTGATTATAACAAATTCAAGTCAGTAAATGAAAATAAAAATAGATTACTCAATACTTACATCCAACTTGAGTAGTTTTTCAATAATAAGCTCCAGAATTTCATGCCTCAAGGTTGGAAAATATACACTAATCCTTAGTAAGTTATGAACGTAACATTCCTAAAGGAGAAAATGTAAGATAAAACATTTCAACAGAGAATAAACGTTTCACAGTTATGTAAGCAAAACATCAATTACATGACCTTTAGTTTCAAATATTTAAAAAGAAAAAAACAGACTATCCAGCAATACAAAAACTATACTGTTTCTACATGTATTATGTTCGGTATAATCATTTCAATTATTCCCAGTAAATGAAATTTTTAATTTGCATAACTATAGGTTTTTAAGTAGCTGTATTGATAAAACTCATATATCATACAATCACCAACTTAAAGTATACAATTTAAGTTTTTAATATATTCAGTTATGAGACCATCAACATAATCAATTTCAGAACATTTATTTTTCTTTTAGAGACAGGGTCTTGCTCTCTCTCTCAGGATGGCGTACAGTGGTGCAATCATAGCTCACTGCAACCCTGAATTCCCAGGATAAGCAATCCTTCCTCCTCAGCCTCCCTAGTAGCTAGAACTACAGGTGCACACCACCACATGAGGTTAATTTTTCCTTTTAGAGAGACATTTTCTCACTATGTTGCCCAGGCTGGTCTTCAACTCCTGGATCTTCCCACTTCAGCCTCCTGAAGTGCTGTGATTATGGGCATAAGCCACTGCACCCAGCCAGCAATTTTGTAACATTTTAATCACGCTAAAAAGAAATCCTACATCCATTAGTGCACCCCTAAAAAATGAAGACCTTGGCAACCACTAGTCTTTCTATGAATCTGCCTCTTTGAGACATTTCATATAAATGGAGTCATATAATACATGTTTTTAGGGTTCAATCATGTTGTAACATGTAAACCATTCCTCTCATATCAATGGAGTCATACACAGTTTGTGGCATGTTTTTAGGGTTCAATCATGTTGTAACATGTAAACCATTCCTTTCATATCAATGGAGTCATATAATACACAGTCTTTTGGCATGTTTTTAGGGTCCAATCATGTTGTAACATATAAAGCATTCCTTTTCATTGCTGAGTAATATTCCATTGTACCATGTTTTGTCTGTTCATCAGTTGACAGACATTTGAGTTGCTTCTACTTGAGGCTATTATGGATGATGCTGCTATGACCATCCATGTACAAGTTTTTCTGTGGACATATATTTTCATTTCTCTTGGGTATAAACCCAGAAATGGAACTGCTGAGTCACGTGTTAATTCTACATTTAACCTTGAAGAAATGCCAGGCTATTTTCCAAAATGGCTGCACCATTTTACATTCTCACAGCAACATATGACAGTTCCAACTTCCCATTTCTCCATATCCTTGTGAACACTTGTTACTGTCTTCTCGTTCTGATTATAGCCATCCTTGTGGGCATGAAGTGAAATCATTTCCCTGATGGCTAATGATGTTGAGCTTCTTTTCATGTGCTTTTTTTGCAGAAATGCCTATTCAGATCCTTTGCCCACTTCAGTTGGGCTATTTGCCCTTTTATTATTCAATTATAAGAGTTCTTTACATATACAAGTCCATTACCAGACATAAAATTTAGAAATATTTCCTCCCATTATTTGGGGATCCTTTTCATCTTCTTGAAGATGTCCTATGAAGCATAACAACGTTTAATTTTGAAGTACAATTGATGCATTTTTTTCTTTGGTTGCTTGTGCTTAGGCATCAAATCTGGAAATTACTGCCTAAACCAACATCATGAAAATGTACTCGTTTTCTTCTCAGAGTTTTACAGTTTTTACTCTTCATGTAGGGCTTTTATTGAGTTCATTTTTAAATATGGATATCCATATGCTTCATTCTTTTGCATGTTCATATCCACTTCTGCCAGCAGCATTTGTTGAAATGACTATTCTCCCCTATTCAATTGTCTTGAACAACTGGTTAGTGTATGTTAGTCTTCTGTCCCGTAACCATGCTGAACTCATTTATTATCTCTAAAATTTCTTGTGTGTGTGTAAACTCCTTAGAATGACATATAAAATCACCTTGCAAAAGAGAGTTTACGCCTTCCTTTCCATCTGGATGCTTTTAATTCTTTTTCTTGCCTAACTGCCTTGGCTAGACAAGCAGCAAGAGCGGACATCCTTGTTTTGTTCTTTGTCTTAGGAAAAAACTTTTGGTCTTTCACCAATGAATATGATGTTAGCTGTGGGTTTTTCAGATGCCCTTTATCAGGTTGAGAAAATTTCCTTCTGTTTTTCTCGTAAAAGGATATTGGTGTTTGTCACACACTTCTGCATCTACTGAGATGATTATGTGGTTTTTGTCCTTTGTTCTATTGCTACAAAATATTTTATTAATTCATTTTCAGGTACTAACTCAATCTCGGCCGGTCACGGTGGTTCACGCCTCTAATCCCAACACTTTGCGAGGTGGAGACGGGTAGATCGCTTGAGGTCAGGAGTTCAAGACCAGTCTGGCCAACGCGGCAAAATCCCATCTCTACCAAAAACACAAAAATTAGCGGGGTGTGGTGCCCCATGTCTATAGTCCCACCTACTCGGGAGGCTGAGGTGGGAGAGTCACTTGAACCCTGGAGGCAGAGGCTGCAGCGAGCTGAGATGGTGCCACTGCACTCCAGCCTGGGTGACAGACGGAGACTGTCCCCCCACCCCTGAAAAAAAAAAAATCAATCTTGCATTCTTAACATCAGTCGCACTTGGTCATGGTACATAATTCTTTTTGTATGCTACTAGATTCGGTTTTCTACTAAGGCAACCACTATTAATTATTAAAAACTGCACAGATGATCTGAACATTGTACAAAAACTTAAGCAGAATTCTTCTATGGAAGGCTTTGTCTTCAGGTTAAAATAAGGCATGTTCACAATTAGTAATACATGAACTATTATCTTCTAGTAATTCTTGTCCATATGAGCATAAAGCCACTACAGATATTCCTGAAATGAACTCAGACCTTGACTTGCACATAGTAATAACAGAAAAAGGCACTGGGAATCCCCAATAGCCGCTTTATAAGAAAGGAATCTGAGTCAAATTCTTAGACGTCAGTTTAAAGTCTAGAAGACAAAGTAACCTTTAAGAAAAAGACCTAACATTAGCTGGGCACAGTGGTTCACTAATCCCAGCACTTTGGGAGGCCGAGGCAGGCAGATCACAAGGTCAGGCGTTCGATACCAGTGTGGCCAATATGGTGAAACCTTGTCTCTACTAAAAATACAAAAATTAGCTGGGCATGGTGGTAGGCGCCTGCAGTCCCAGCTAATGGGGAGGCTGAGGCAGGAGAATCGCTTGAACCCGAGAGGCAGAGGTTGCAGTGAGCCAAGATGACGCCATTGCACTCCAGCTTGGGCGACAGAGTGAGACTCGGTCTCAAAAAAGAAAAAGAAAAAGAAAGACTGGAAAAGAAAGAAAAAGACCTAATATCATCTAAAATGAAATCGTACAAACAACTTTTCCATGATGTTCTCAATGAAAAGATTTCTTACCAGTGTTCTCTCTGATTTTCGAACAAATGGAAATTTTTCCACCAGTATTGGCATGAGAAACCACGGTGTCCTATTTTTAAAAAATTAAATCAATCCATGTTAACTTTACTTTCTAGAAAAGGAATAAAAAGGAAAACTACCATTCTAAAAGCAAATATTGATAGACATAGGAGGCAAACAGGAACCCCTACCTCAAAGAACTGGAACTTTTTTTGTTTTTTGAGACGGAGTTTCGCTCTTGTTGCCCAGGCTGGAGTGCAGTGGCGCAATCTCGGCTCACTGCAACCTCCGCCTCCCAGGTTCAAGCGATTCTCCTGCCTCAACCACCCAAACAGCTGGGATTACAGGCATGCGCCACCATGCCCAGCTAATTTTGTATTTTTAGTAGAGACGGGGTTTCTCCATGTTGGTCAGGCTGGTCTCGAACTCCCGACCTCAGGTGATCCGCCCGCCTCAGCCTCCCAAAGTGCTGGGATTACAGGCGTGAGCCACCGCGCCCGGCCAGAACTGGAACTTACAATGTATAGCTTCTGAGAAAATCTATAACGACTTAGAGAAAATAAGGTTCTGTTAACTCTGATATCAACAGCAAATCAAAGAGGGAGCTTCTCTCCCACAGAAACATAACAGCACTTTTGCTGACATTTCCCACTACACATGTATATTATTTTTAAAAGAAGAAAAAATCATCAAGTTGGATTTTTTTTAAGTTAACAAATAATCAACGGACAGAGGGAACTAGAGGTCCACCCCTCCAAAAGAAACCCACAAACCTGAAAAGCTTTTCTTAGAAGTGCAATTTTTATTCATTATGGCATGACACAAACACACCCAGGGGTTTCTCACTGAAAAATTTTGGATAGCATATCTGTTGAAGATAAAAGCAAAATTCCAACCACCATACAAAATTGGGGGAGGATCTGCATACAAACTTTGAAAAACAATTAAAGAGAATAAATAGAAAATGGAAATGCCACTTTTTGTAGAATGTAATGTTTCCTCAAGTGGATACAAAAAAAACATGCAATGTAAGACTCAAGCTTTAATACTATTAACATTTTATAATTTTTACTAATTGATTACAATTTTCTTGAGAATTAAACATTCAAAATAAGGAAAAGTATACTCACGATGGTACATATCTTGCTATTATTTGCAAGGCTCTGTGACATGTGTCAAAATTTGCAGGAAGATCTGAAAGGAGAAAAGTTCAGAGTATGAGCATCAAAACAAAACTGAAGGGCGACACGCTTGAAGCTAAAAATAAATGCTGGCTGGGCACAGTGGCTCACGCCTGTAATCCCAGCACTTTGGGAGGCAGAGGTGGGTGGATCACCTGAGGTCAGGAGTTCGAGACCAGCCTGACCAATATGGTGAAACCCCATCTCTACTAAAAATACAAAAATTAGCCAGGCATGGTGGCAAATGCCTGTAGTCCCATCTACTCAGGAGGCTGAAGCAGGAGAACCACTTGAACCTGGGAGGTGAAGGCTGCAGCGAACCGAGATCACACCACTATACTCCAGCCTGGGCAACAGAGCGAGACTCTGTCTCAAAAAACAAACAAACAAAAAGTGACATACTTGAAGCTAAAAACACATGCTAACCAAAACGGAATAATTTATCAGAGAAATAATAATTTCAAGATTTTTCTCCACCAGCATCAACGAAAATTAAATGGACTAATTATATAAATAATGCATTCAGGACAAATGACTGCATATCAATGGTAAATATAACAAAAAGATTACATCAAAGGTTGTCATTTGTTGCAGTCTACTTATTAGAATAGGTGCCAGGTATTCTGTGCTTTACTTTTTTTTTTTAAAGAAGACAGTGTCTTGCCACCAAGCAGGGCTTGAACTCCTGGGCTCAAGCAATCCACCCACTTAAGCCTCCCAGGTAGCTGTGACTAAAGACACACACTACCCTGCCTAGTTCTACTTTAAGCCTTTTTTAAGAAAATATTTGAAAAAAAATGTTTTTTTGCAGAGACAAGGTCTCACTATGTTGCCCAGGCTGGTCTCAAACTCTTGGCCTCAAGTGATCCTCCCGTCTTGGCTTCCCAAAGTGCTGGGATTATGGGTGAAAGCTACTGTGCCCAGGCTTTAAACCTTTTTATACTTACTATCATCTTCATCATCAGAATCTGAAACATCTACATCGCCTTCCTTAATGATCACTCGGGCTTTTGAGGGAAAAAGAAAATATGTTATTCTGTCATTGATCTAGACAATGAATGGCTATACAAAAAAAGTTACTGACCTAGACAATGAACAGCTATAAAAAAAGTTATTTTTCCATAATCCAAAGTTAGCTCAATGATTAATTAAACGCACAATCTGAAAAAAAGTAAAGCAACTTTATAGTTTTTAAACGGCTAAAAATTCCTAGATTTCACCAGGAGTTCAATAAAGCAAGTAAATTCATAAAACTCACAGCAACAAATGAATCTAGACACCTCCATAGGGGTCATTACGGGGAATATATGTCTACCAGACCTGGTGCCAATATGCATCTGGAATCTTCCATGGTAGCAGTCTCTCATATATAAGGGGAAGGTAGTATTTTAATAAAGAAGTATTAAAAAGAAAATAAAATTCCAAGCAATGACTTACGAGGCACAAAATGGGAAGCAATCATGCTGAGACACGGTCTGAGGAAAACAGTCTGTGCTGATACAAGATTACCAAGAAAAGCCAAATACTCTTCCACTACTGTTTGACTTCTATTCAACCAAGGCAATCTCTAGAGTGGGGGAAGAAAGATAAAAGCAGCATGTTATTAATATAACATATACTATTACCAAAGTTCTGAATTACATACTTTACAGTAAAATAAATGGTGAACTTACTAATATAATACTGATAAGTTGCTCAAAGTCTTTTGTCAAGTACATGATAGAAGAACGGAATTCTAGCAGCCAGTTGATGATCTGGTCATCCTTAAGTTAAACAAAGAGTACTTTCAAAATCACAAATCCTCTAACATAACAGAAATTTACAGCTATCTTATATCAATCATTTATCAAGAATAGGTTGGGGGGAAAAGGTCACAAACTTGGAAGGAACTCAAAACTGGGTATTAAAACAGAAAAAGATGTCACAATAAATTACTTAACTGTTTTAAGAAAGTAATCTAGTAACTCTAATACACAGGAGAAAGACTTAAATGCAATACTTCAGCCTGATCACTTCTGTTTGCCCTGAAAAAGCGAAATCACCTCAAATGTTGACACCTGGGACTTTTAAAAACTGCAGCATTCTAGCAGACTGAAATATTAGAAGATCACAAAGGAACAATAGCTACCTCTATTTCCTCTATATTCAAGCTGACCAGGAAGCATGCTGATAAAACTCAGTCGAGGCTGATCAATTGGGGTCATGAATAAACATAACTTTTCTAAACCAAACCTGTGGCTGAGTTTAAATATATTATGATGTGATTGTTCTGTATAAATGATAGCCCCATTCCTCCATGAAATATTTTTCGGGCAATCAAATTACTGTTCATAGTAATTGTTAGTGACATGAGAAGAACTGCTAAATTTGAAACGCAATGTATAAAATACAGTGTCAATTATGTAAAATATTACTATATTAATTATATTCATGCATATATACTGCACAGGAAAAAAACCATTAAGAAAAAGCCCCTAATTTGTGGAAGGCTTAGACATATAAATAAAAGCAACACAAGGTCATACCTACAGGGATATTCATATGGAGTTATCATTTAGTGAGAATACACCATATGCCAGGCATGGTGCCTGACACTCCACATATATATCTTCTTCTAATCCTAAAAACTCTGCAAGATGTTTAGTTATTCCCATTTTGCTGTTCAGGAAGCTGAGGCTAAGAACGATTAATAAGCAATCTGCCCAACCAAGAGGCCAGTAAAGAAGCAGGTCCAAACCCGTCTGTCTCGGTCAAGGCTATCCTCTGTCCACCGTCCCACACGCCTCCCTATATGCGGAGAAGAAGCTGTCCCCTTTTCCCCACCTTAATTCAGCTACTGAGTGCTTACTATGCCATATCCATGTGTCAAACTCCCACAGATCAACCATTTTCTGATGAAATCCCAAGTAGCCTGGCAGTAAAATAAAGTAAAACCACAACTCATTTGTACTATGGTAATTTCATATGTCCACAACTGTCAAGGATAACATTAACGGTAGCTCACTAAGGCCAAAGGCATGTAGAAAACAAGCTAAGTTAGTGTACAAATAAAATAAACTATCCTATCTCTTTTCCACTAAAAAGACTGCAACAAAACTATAAGGATAACATTTAAACTGTACCATTTTTAAAAGTAAATCAGGCTGGGCGTGGTGGCTCATGTCTGTAATCCCAACACTTTGGGAGGCCGAGGTGGGTGGATCACCTGAGGTTGGGAGTTCGAGATGAGCCTAACCAACATGGAGAAACCCCGTCTCTACTAAAAATACAAAATTAGCTGGGCGTGGTGGTGCATGCCCGTAATCCCAGCTACTCGGGAGGCTGAGGCAGGAGAATTGCTTAAAAAACTCGGAGGCAGAGGTTGCAGTGAGCCAAGATCATGCCACTGCACTCCAGCCTGGGCAACAAGAGCAAAACTCCGTCTCAAAAAGAAAAAAAAAAAGTAAATCAGTTGCAGACTTTGATGCTTTAGTACTGAACTATTATTATTTCTACTAGCAGGCAGGAACAGTGGCTCATGCCTGTAATCCCAGCACTTTTGGGAGGCCAAGGCAGGAGGAGACTGCTTGAGCCCAGGAATTTGAGACCAGCCTGGGCAACATGGGGAGACCTCATCTCCAGAAAAATTAGCCAGGCATGGTAGCACATGCTTGTGGTCCCAGATGCTCGGGAGCCTGAGGTGGGAAGATTGCTTGAGCCTGGGAGGTTGAGGCTGCAGTGAGCCATGATCGGGCCCATTACACTCCAGCCCGGGTGACAGAGCAAGACCCTGTCTCAAGATGGAAAAAAGTTCTACTTGCAACACTCCACACAACTAGTGCAATTCTTGGTATGTCAAAATACCAAGAATGAGAACTGCTGATACAAAATACAGTGGAACACAAAGAAAATGTCCCTTTGTATCTGGGAAAGAAGGCAGGGGTCAGGAAAAGCTTTAAAGAGAAAGTGATGCTTCAGCTGTCTTTAAACAGTAACACAGTTGAGTCTTTTCTGGAAGTTCTGCTTCTTACAGAAGGAAAAGTATGTTTTCAGAAAACTGAAAAACGTTCAGTATGGCAGGCATGTATAGTGACCAAGCCAACAGATAATAAATCTGGGGAACAAAGAAGCACCAAATAGACCATGGGGGGCCTTGTAAACCAGATCTGTAACTAGAGAGATCTGGAAGTGTGGGAAATGGACTCAATGAAGGAACAACCATGTGCTTAGAGAGAACCAGGGAAAGCTCCATGAAAGATGGAGCCCAGCCAAGAGTGGACATGCTAAGTTTGGAGCATCTATGATGATTCTGGGTAAATGCATCTAACAGACAGTTAAGAAACAAGTCTAGGCCGGGTGGAGTGGCTCACGTCTATAATCCCAGCACTTTGGGAGGCTGAGGCGGGTGGATCACTTGAGGTCAGGAGTTCGAGAGCAGCCTGGCCAGCATGGTGAAACCCCAAATCTACTGAAAATACAAAAAAATTAGCTGGGCATGGTGGCACAGCTACTCGGGAGGCTGAGGTGGGAGGATGGCTTGAACCCAGGAGGCAGAGGTTGCAGTGAGCCAAGATCATCCCACTACACTACAGCCTAGGTGACAGAGCAAGACTCTGTTCTGCCCGTCCCCAAAAACGAAAATGAAATAAGTCTGGAGCCCACAAGAGCAATCTTGGCTACAGACACAAATATATTAGGACACAGGTAGATTTCAAAGCCATGAAGGGAGATGAGGAGATCACACAGAAGAATCAACAGAGTGAGAAAAGAGTCAAGTTTTGAAGCCCAATCAACACCAAATTTAAGATCAAGAAACTATCAAGAAATACTAGCGATTAAAGGATCACTGGCCGGGCGTGGTTACTCACGCCTCTAATCCCAGCACTTTGGGAGGCCAAGGCGGGCGGATCACGAGGTCAGAAGATCGAGACCATTCTGGCTAACATGGTGAAACCCCACCTCTACTAAAAATACAAAAAATTAGCTGGCGGTGGTGGCGGGCGAGTGTAGTCTCAGCTACTTGGGAGGCTGAGGCAGGAGAATCGCTTGAACCCGGGAGGCGGAGCTTGCAGTGAGCCAAGATTGCGCCACTGCACTCCAGCCTGGGCGACAGAGCAAAAAAAAAAAAAAAAAAAACAGATTAAAGGATCAGGAGACAGGAGGATCAGAAACGCTGAAGTTTTAAGAAGTGGGTGGCCAACAGTGTCGGCTGATACAAGGAATACAAGGCTTAAAAAAGTAAGTCCACTGAGGCTGGGCTCAGTGGCTCACACTTGTAATCCCAGCACTTTGGGAGGCCAAGGCGGGCAGGTCACCTGAGGTCAGGAGTTCAAGACCAGCCTGGCCAACATGGTGAAACCCCGTTTCTACTAAAAATAAAAAAAATTAACCAGGCATGGTGGCGGGTGCCTGTAATCTCAGCTATTTGGGAGGCTGAGGCAGGAGAATTGCTTGAACCCAGGAGGCAAAGGTTGCAGTGAGCCCAGATCACACCACTGCACTCCAGCCTGCGTGGTAAGAAGGAGACTTTGTCTTAAAAAAAAAGTCCACTGAAATCAGCATGTAAAAAAAAAACATGGGTAACCTGTCAGGGTAATTACTACAGTGATAAGAACAGTGGACTTAAATGTGAGTGAGAAATGATACAGCGCAGTCAGCTGGAACAAAAACAACAGATGACAATTATTGCCCTTACTTTGAGTCAGAGACTGTTCTAAGTGCTTCTTGCATATTAGCTCATTGAATCCTTGTTAAGTATTTCCATGTTTAAAGCCAGGCACTTTAAACATGGCATGCACCTATAGTCCCAGCTTTTTAGAAGGCTGAAGAGAAAGGATCATTTGAGGCCAGGAGTTCAAGGCTGTAGTGCACTATGATCACACCTGTGAATAGCCAGAGCAACACAGCAAGACCACATCTCTTAAAAACAAAACACTCCATATTTTTTAAATCTCTATTGTTTTCTTGGTTTCACACAGTGGAAAATAGAGGCAGAGAGGTTAAAACAATTTGCTCAAGATCACACACTGGATAATAAAATTGGAATTTCATTCCAGGCAATCTAACTACCACTGCCATAGTAATAAACCATTCTCTTCAAAACTGGGCAGTAAAGGAAGAATGGTGAAACAAAATGCATTCAGCTTTTACTACATGATAGGTGTATCTCGAACCTGGAAATGCTGAATCAGTGGTTTGTTTTTTTTTTTTTTTGCTTTGTTTTAGCTTTAAAGAGACAAGAGAGTTGCATGCAGCATGGAGGAAAGAGGTAGTAATCTAATAGAAAGGAAGCATTAGAGCAGGGTTTCCCAGCCTCAACACTGTTGTCATTTGGGGCTGGATCACTCTTGGTTCTGGGAGGCTGTCCTGTGCACTGTGAGATGTTTAGCAGCATCTCTGTCATTCACCCACTAGATGCCAGTAGCACCCTTTCCTCCCAGTTGTGACAAAAATATCTGCAGCCATCACCAAATGTCTTCTAGGGGGTAAAACTGTCCCTGGTTGAGAACCACCAGATTAAAATAAGGGAGGACCATGGAGAGAGCAAGTTCTGGAGGACAGAATGGGACCCAAAGAGCAAACTATGTCTGTATACAGTGGCAATAATTTTGCTAATGATCAAACACAAAATTAATTACCTTTATGTCTGGATCTAACAGCTGGTTCTTCAACAACTCAAAGTCATTTGTTTCACCCTTAACAAGAAGGGGAAAGAATTAAGTTATGCTTTTGTTTCCTGTTTAGTATCAACAGCAAGACTTTTAACCGTACTTTAACATCAGATGAAATTATAAAAGGAACACTAACTTTCACATGTCAATTGCGGATTATAAAATCATGACTACAAAAATTTAAACACTCATGTTAGTGCAGCCAGAGGGCTTGGAAAAAGGAAAATGATAAACTACATTTAGCTATACTTCTGTATTGACATTTGAATATAATAGTTGATACTCCTGCGAATTCTCAAAAAGCATGAGGGAAAAAAACAGCCAGCTATAATGATCTAATTCAGGAGGATCTAAAAAAGTATTCACTCAAATATGGATACAAATGGATATTACATATAAACATATGGTTACTTAACATTTTCCCTCTACTGCTGAGATACAGTAGAAATGCTTCTAAACTACCACAAAAACAAAAATCCCTACTCAGAGAACTGGTTTACTGTCCCAAAGTAATGCTTAGGTAAGTTCCTCAAAAAATAAAATGCTGTAGGCCAGGCATGGTGGCTCACGTCTGTAATCCCAGCACTTTGGGAGGCCAAGGCGGGTGGATCACAAGGTCAGGAGTTCGAGACCAGCCTGGCCAACATGGTGAAACCCTGCCTCTACTAAAAAAATAAAAAAATTAGCCAGGTGTGGTGGTGTGTGCCTGTAACCCCACCTATTCGGAAGACTGAGGCAGGAGAATTGCTTGAACCTGGGAGGTGGAGGATGCAGTGAGCCGAGGTCACGCCACTGCACTCCAGCCTGGGTGACAGAGGAAGACTCCAGCACAAATAAATAAATAAATAAAATGGTGTAATTGTTTTTAATTCTGGCACTTGCTAAAGTTAAAAGATGCTTCGTAAATAAAGCATTTGAAGAGGTGAAACCTCAGTAAAGACATTATTACTCTCTCATTATTACCTGTGAAATGGGCCAAGGTGGGGGAAAAAAAGGACACTATTACTCTAATTTTGCACTGACGGCATCATGCTATTATTAAATATTTGATTTCAACTGGTATCTTAATTAATCTTGCTATTTCTATTGGTCTTTAGTATAACAGCAATAGTTGTATTCTGACCTAACCAAAAGCAAACCTCACACATTATCTCCCCTTACCTTTTTGTACTTCAGCAAGACTTCTGTCACAGTTCCACCAAACCGAACAGTTTTTCTTGGGGGAGAATTGAAAAAGTCATTCTCTAATGCACGCATATTTGAAATCCTGTGGAACCAAGATTAACAAGCTATTAAGTTCATGAAAATAATAAAAATTATAATAGCCAACATTTATTGAACCAACATAATTCAGTGGAACTATTGTTAAGGCCTCTTTACTGGTCTCCCTGCTTCCACTCTTAACCAACAATCCTTCCTTTGCTCAGCAACCAATAACTGTCTTCCCACTGCACTTACAGTAAAAATCCAAATCTCTCAGTGTGGTCTTTAAGATCCTACATTAATCTGGCCCCTGCCTACCTCTCTCACCTCATCTCCAACAACTTGTTTTACTACAGCCATAACGTCTTTTCTGCTCTTCAAACAAGCCAAGCTGTTTTTCATTTCACTTACTGTTCACTCTATTGGAAATACTCTTTTCCCAAATCTCTACGTGGCTGGATTTTTTTTTTTGAGATGGAGTCTTGCTCTGCTGCCCAGGCTGGAGTGCAGTGGTGTGATCTTGGCTTAACTGCAACCTCCATCTCCCGGGTTCAAGCAATTATCCTGCCTCAGCCTCCTGAGTAGCTGGGATTACAGGCACCTGCCACCATGCCCGGCTGATTTTTGTATTTTCAGTAGAGACGAGGTTTCGCACGTTGGCCAGGCTGGTCTCCAACTCCTGACTTCAGATGATCCGCCCGCCTCGGCCTCCCAAAGTGCTGGGATTACAGGCGTGAGCAACCGCGCCCGGCCTAGATTTTTGTCTTCATTCAAGTGGAAGCTCAAATGACAGATGTCTTCCCAATGAGAAATCTCAAAAGCTCCTTCTCTCCCTTCTCCCTCCCCCATTACCTTGTTGTATAACTGAAATCATCGTGTTCGTTTATTTATTGGCCTATGTACTGCCTTTCCCCCCTATGCTGTAAGCTCTGTAGAAAGCAGGGACATTAGTGTCTTTGGATAAACCACTGTCCCCAGTGTTTAACACAGTAAGCAGGAGCTCGATAATTATTATGAATCATATTACGCTAATTGTTTTACAAGGTTTGCTTCACTTACACGTAGTAAATTAATGAAAAAACATAGCATCCTAATGACTCTGAAAGTTAAACGCCAAGAGTGCTACGGGGGTTAGGGATTTTAAAAGTGGAGCAAAATAAAGACTGCGAAACAAATACGTGTGTCGAAACAAATTCCAAACAAAAAAGATGTAATATTCAATTTGCCATGAGTGACGACGTTCGGCTGATAACCCACATAGCCCAGGGAAATCCCTTCCAAATTTGGACGAAGAAGAGGGAAGGAAGAGGGGTCAAGGCGCAGAAGGCAGTACCCAGGCCTGGGAAATCACGAAGAGACACAGTCGGGAAAGGGGGCCTCCAGAACAGAGAACATACTCACTTTTCCAGGCCCCACCCATGTCTATTACCCAGTTAGGAGGAATGAGCTCATTTCTGTGAACGTGAGATGACCCTCCACCCCGTGCTCCTATCACACGCCATGACCTTTGTCCCACATCCTTTCAATCCGCTCCTCTAAGCGCCGTCCTGAGCTTTCGTCCCAGATACGCAGAAGGAAGCGGCCTGAATCTTACCCAGTCCTCGACGCGCCCAGCTTCTTAACTGCAGAGGACGAAGCGGCCGCATCTCCCGGCAAACGCGTGTGAAGCAGCGGTGCCGCCATTGGGCCGAACTAACGCGACCGCTGCGCCTCAGGCCGGATGCCCAGCTCCTTCCAGCCACAGCCTCTGTCCCGGAAGTTGCGCGTGCCAGCGCAACCTTCAGCCAATCAGCGGCCCCGCGTGGGGAGGGCGTATGCTCTCGGCGGGCTAGAGCGCCGCTGAAACCCGCTCCTCGTTCTACTTGGAGGACTTGTTCCAGCCAGCGCTAGTGCGTGAGTATAAGGAGAGACGGGAAGGACCGGCTCCATCCAGCCCTGAGGATCCCGAAGAAAGGGTGGAAACACCCTGGATGTGCTAAGCTGTGGCCGGGTACACTCAAGTGTTAATTTTTTGGAGTCAAAGCCTCCCTCAGTCAAATCGAAGAAACTGAAGCACTTGTGACTGACCCAGATCTTCACGGAGGAAAGGGGATTCGAACCCGGCTGACCCAGGAGCCTGGGCTCTATACTCAGTGCAGCAGTCTCACAGACACCCAAGATAACGTTATCCTCACGGAAACGAGCTCGACGAAGTGACCTACCTCAGAGCCTCAAGGCTATGGTGATGCTGGCATGAGAAACAACAGGAGAGTTACGAAGAGGTGTTACCCCCTTGACTTTATTTATTTATTTATTTATTTTCTTTTGAGGCCGAGTCTTGCCCTTTTGCCCAGGTGGAGTGCAGTGGTGTGATCTCAGCTCACTGCAACCTCCGCCTCCCCAGTTCCAGCAATTCTCGTGCCTCAGCCTCCCAAGTAGCTGGGATTACAGGCGCATGCCACCACACCCGGCTAATTTTCGTATTTTTAGTGGAGACGGGGTTGCACTGTGTTGGCCAGGCTGGTCTCGAACTCATGACCTCAGGTCATCCGCCCGCCTCGGCCTCCCAAAGTGCTGGGATTACAAGCATGAGCCACCACGCCCGGCCAAACTTAAATTTTTAAAAGAGGAACAGGAGTCAGCCAGACCAACAAAAGAGCCACTGGCGTTCCAAGCATAGGAAACGGAGGAAACAGAGGCCAAAACCTCGGGACTGTGGAGGATGTAGAGGGAGAGCAGGGGCTGCCCCTACTCTCAGGGAGGGGAAAAGGTTGCAACTTTGGAAACTGTACAGGCCTATCAAAAATACAAAAATATCCAGCCTGGGTGACACGGTGAAACTCCATCTCTACAAAAAATTTAAAAAATAAAAATAATAAAAATTATCTGGGTGTGGTGGCACACACCTGTAGTCCCAGCTACTCGGGAGGCTGAGGATTGCTTGAGCCTGGGAGATAGCACCACTGCACTCCTGCTTGGGCAACAGAGTGAGACCCTGTCTCGAAATAAATAAATAAGTTTTTAAAAATGCATATGTATGGGCCCGGCGCAGTGGCTCACGCCTGTTATCCCAACACTTTGGGAGGCCGAGGCAAGTGGATCACCTGAGGCCAGAAGTTTGAGACCAGCCTGGCCAACATGACAAAACCCTGTCTCTACTAAAAATACAAAATTAGCCAGGCATGGTGGCAGTGCCTGTAATCCCAGCTACTTGGGAGGCCGAGGCAGGAGAATAGTTTGAACCCAGGAGGCAGAGGTTGCAGTGAGCCAAGATCGTGCCATTGCACTCCAGCCTGGGTGACGAGTGAAACTGTGTCTCAAAAAAAAAAAAGGTGTGTGTGTGTGTGTGTGTGTGTGTGTGTGTGTTTATATGTATCTCTCTCCAGGAGTTCAAGACCAGCCTGGGCAACATATGGTGGTGCATACCTGTAGTCCCAGCTACTTGAAAACTGAGGAGGGAGGATCACTTGAGCCCTGGAGGTCAAGGCTGCAGTGAGCTGTGATTGTACCCCTGCACTCCAGCCTGGACAACACAGCAAGACCCTATTTCACAACATAAAATACAGCAATTTGGTTTTTTTGTTTTTTGTTTTTTTTTTGAGACAGAGTCTCGCTCTGTCACCCAGGCTGGAGTACAGTGTCATGATCTTGGCTCACTGCATCCTCTGCTTCCCAGGTTCAAGCGATTCTTGTGCCTCAGCCTCCCCAGTAGCTAGGATTACAGGCATGCGCCACCATGCCCAGCTAATTTTTGTATTTTTAGTAGAGACAGGGTTTCACCATGTTGGCCAGGCTGGTCTCAAACTCTTGACCTCAAGTGATCCGCCCGCCTTGGCATCCCAAAGTGCTGGGATTACAGGCATGAGCCACCACGCCCCGCCAGCAGTTTGTTAAACATAAACCATAGCTCTGTTTTGCAACAGTGTAAAATCAGTAACTGTCTTTCCTGAGTCTCTATTTGGTCCTTACTGAGTTCCTTGGGAATGTTGGACAGGAATCATCTGTGTCTCAAGGACAGAGGAAATAATTGCACCGTAGCTCACAAAGATACTTCAAGATAACTGTTTAAATGAGAATCTCTTCTTCACTTCCAAGGGAAAGCAAAGCAAAAACAAAAAGCAACAATAGCAAAACAGCAATCTGACAATTATCTGTTTTGTTTTGTTTTGGTTTGAGACAGGATCTCATTGTCTAGCCCAAGTTAGAGCGCAATGGCGCGATCATGGCTCGTTGCAGCCTCGGGCTCCTACAGCTTATGCAATCCTCTCACCTCAGCCGCCCGAACCCACACCACCAAGCCCAGCTAATTTTTTGTATTTTTGGTAAATACGAGGTCTCACTTTGTTGCCCAGGCTGGTCTTGAACCCCCGGCCCAAGTGATCCTCCCACCTTGGCCTCCCAAAGTGTGTCTCCCCACCTACACTCCCATTCTTTCCCTTAAAAAAAGTCTGAGTCTGGGTGCAGTGACTCACACCTGTAATGCCAGAGCTTTGGGAGGCTGAGGCAGGAGGATAACTTGAAGCCAGGAGTTTGAGACCAGCCCAGGCAACACAGCCAGACTCCGTCTCTACAAATAACACTTTTAAAAAACTTACCCAGGCATGGTGGCACGTGCCTGTAGTTCCAATTATTTGGGAGACAGAGGTGGGAGAATCACTTGAACCCAGGAGTTGGAAGCTGCAGTGAGCTATGACTACACCACGACACTCTCTGGCCTGGGTGACAAAGCAAAATCTCATCTCTTAAAAAAAAAAAGGGAAAAAAAGCTTGATATGTACAAAATAATATGTTAATGTAAGTTATAAGAACATAATGGGCCAGACACAGCGGCTCCTGCCTGTAATCCCAGCACTTTGGGAGGCCGAGGCAGGCGGATCACGAGGTCAGGAGATCGAGACCATCCTGGCTAATGCGGTGAAACCCCGTCTCTACTAAAAATACAAAAAAAAAAAAAAAAAAAAAAAAAATGTGCCGGGCGTGGTGGCAGGCACTTGTAATCCCAGCTACTTGGGAAGCTGAGGCAGGAGAATGGCATGAACCCGAGAGGTGGAGCTTGCAGTGAGCCGAGATCGCGCCACTGCACCCCAGCCTGGGTGACAGAGTGAGACTCCGTCTCCAAAAAAAAAAAAAAGAACATAATGAACACCTGTGAACATATCGCCCAATTTAAGAAGCCGAACATTAACTAGGACAATTGACACTTACTCTGTGCTGCTCTCGGATCCCACCTTCTACCTGCTTTCCTCCCAAAAATAGTCACCATCATGATTTTTAAAAGTCATTTTAGTTTTCTTTGAATAATTATCATATTTATACTCCTAAACAATGCACTATATTTACTTTTATTTGTCTTTGCATTTTATAAAGTTATCTCCATGCTGTATTATACTGCTGTTTGTTTTCAACATTATGCTTTTTTTTTTTTTTTTTTTTTTGAGACGGAGTCTCCCTCTGTTGCCCAGGCTGGAGTGCAGTGGCATGATCTCCCGCCGTCCTCCCACCTCGGCCTCCCAAAATGCTGAGATTATAGGCATGAGCCACCGCGACCAGCCTGAATATTCTTGTATCATGTCCTGATGTATGTGTACAAGTGTTTTTCTAGGGTGGAACTGTTGGGTTGGAGGGGGCACCAAAAGCTTTTAGGAAAGGAGAAAGGAACAAATTGGATATCTATGATTTTTTTTTTTTTTTTTGAGACAGAGTCTCACTCTGTTGCCCAGGCTGGGGTACAGTGGCACAAGCTCAGCTCACTGCAACCTCTGCCTCCCGGGTTCAAGCGATTCTCCTGCCTCAGCCTCCTGAGTAGCTGGGACTACATGTGCCCGCCACCACACCTGGCTAATTTTTGTATTTTTAGTAGAGATGGGGTTTCTCCATGTTGCCCAGGCTGGTCTCAAATGCCTGACCTCAGGTGATCTGCCTACCTTGACCTCCTAAAATGCTGGGATTACAGGTGTGAGCCATCGTGTCTGGCTACTATTAGTTTTTCTATTTAGAAATTGTTCATCTGGATCCTCCCTACCTTTCAGCCATTTGCAATACATTTGTTGAGCATAAAGAGTGACCTTCTTGGCCGGGCATGGTGGCTCACGCCTGTAATCCCAGCACTTTTGGAGGCCAAGGTGGGTGGATCACCTGAGGTCGGGAGTTCGAGACCAGCCTGACCAACATGGAAAAACCCTGTCTCTACTAAAAATACAAAATTAGCCTGGCATGGTGGCACATGCCTGTAATCCCAGCTACTTGGGAGGCTGAGGCAGGAGAATCACTTGAACCTGGGAGGCAGAGGTTGCAGTGAGCCGAGATCACTGCCATTGCACTCCAGCCTAGGCATCAAAACTCCCTCTCAAAAAAAAAGAGCAACTTTCTTGTCCACAGCAAAGAATCACTGGAAGCCATTTGATGCAATATGACCTCATCTCTCTAGCCAGTGTCGATTGGGTTACAGGAGGGCACCAAGAAGCTTTTTGAAGGCTGTGCCAATGTACACTTCCAGCAATATCTTCTTAAGCTTGAGTGCAGCTCCTTATTTTCCCAAAGCACAGCTAAGACTAAGGCTGCCAAGTTTTTAAAAAGATTTAAAGGAAACTCTGAGCATTATACAAGAAAAATACTGGCCGGGCCCTGTGGCTCATGCCTGTAATCCCTGTACTTTGGGAGGCTGAGGCAGGTGGCTCACTTGAGATCAGGAGTTCAAGACCAGCTGGGCCAACATGGTGAAACCCCATCTCTACTAAAAATACGAATTAGCAGGTGTGGTGGCAGGTGCCTGTAATCCCAGCTACTTGAGAGGCTGAGGCTGGAGAATTGCTTGAACCCAGGAGGCAGAGGTTGCAGTGAGCCAAGATCGCAACACTGCACTCCAGCCTGGGCAACAGAGCAAGACTTGGTCTCAAAAAAAAAAAAAAAAAAAAAAAAAGGAGAAAAAGAAAACCTTAAAACTAAATGCATAATTTCTGTTGTAATTCTTTGACCATGTCCGTTCTTTGTGGAGCCTCTATTCAGTCAAATTGTCCTGTGGGCCAACTCATCTTGGCAGGATAAAAGCCTCCTTATCCAGTCTTGCCTTCCCCAGAGAAAATAAAGGGGGTGGGGGAGGGATAAAGAAAATTAAGACCCTCCCCCTCCAAAAAGAGAAACAACAAAAAGCATGCAAGGATTAACATGCTATCTGCAAAGTCACCACCCTGCCCACAGTGTGGCCTTTCACTTCACTGAGTAATATATTGTTTGTAATACAACAATGTAATCAGCTTCTTCATTCCAGAACAAAATTTTGCTTTACTATCATCATATACCCAGAAGACCCATTAAACTGTTATTTCAAAACAGCAGCCTTTCCTTAGAGATAAATTTTACAGCTACCCCTAGAGTAGTTCTGTTGGCCAAAGCCTCTTAGCTTGCTAGTGAAAGAAACAAAGTCAAGCCAGCTTAAGCAGAAAAGGAGAATTTGTTCTGAGGATACAAATATATAGTAAGGTACCAAAAAAGAATTTATCATTGGCCAATTTGGATAAGGTGCCCTCCTGTAACCCTCCTGTAATCTAATCAACACTGTTAGAGAGATGAGGTGACAGTATACCAAATGGCTTTTGATGAATCTTTGCTGTGAACTAGAAGGGATTAAGTTATGCTCAACTAATGGTTTGCAAATGGCTGAATGGTAGGGCGGATCCACACGAAAAATTTCTAAATAACAAAACCAATAGCATGTATCTCATTTGTCCTTTTTCCTTTCCAAAGAGTCAACAATTATTGTATGAGTCAATTATCTTTATAAAAACTACATTCATTAACACAAATGCAAGATCTCAACTATATATCTTTAGTTATATACATGTATACACATATATGTGTATGTATACATACATTATCCTCAAAGACAACTAATTTAGAGCGTTCCTCATCCCAGTATCTCAGAGAAATACAAAGCAGTTTCTTAGATTTGGCATCATTGAGATTTTGGGCCAACCAGATACTTCTCTGTTGGGTGGGGAGGAGGCTGTTCTGTGAACTGTGGGATGTTCAGCAGCATCCCTGGCCTCTACCCAGTAGATGACAGTAGCACTCCTCTCCTCCCCACAGTAACATTCAAAAATATCTCCAGATGTTGCCAAATGTCCCTGGGGTACAAAACTCTTCCAATTAAGAACCACTGGTATAAACAAGTCAGCTGGGAGTGGTGGCACACACCTGTGGTCCCAGCTATATGGGAGGGTGAGGCAGGAGAATTGCTTGAGCCAGGAGCTTGAGACCAGCCTAGCCAGAATCTCTGCCTAGCCTAGGCAGATCTCTACAGAAAAATACAAAAATCAGCCATAGTGTTGGTGTGCACCTGTAGTCCCGGCTACTCAGGAGGCTGAGACGTGAGGATCAATTGAGCCCAGGAGGTCGAGACTGCAGTGAGCTATGATCTCCCCACTGCATCCTGCAACAGGGACGCTATCTCAAATAGTTAATTAATTAATGGAAGAAAGAAAGAAATCCTAGCTTTGTAATTTACTCTATTACTTTGGGCAATTGCCTTATGTTTCCAGAACTTCAATTTTCTTATGTACAAAATGGGAATAACTTTTTGAGCTATTTTAGAGCTATCGTAAGGATTAGAGCACATAACCACAAACCACAAAATATGTCACGGTGTACAGGACAGGGCAGGTTCTCCGTAAATGACAGTATTTGCCCATTTATTTTCCTGTAAATATGAAATATACTAGGATACTTGATGTGGTTACACTCAGGTGGAAACTGACCTATGAGGGAGATAGACAGATAGGCACGGTCTTTTTTGTTTGTTTGTTTGTTTTTTGAGACGGAGTCTCGCTCTTTCACCCAGGACGGACTGCAGTGGCACGATCTCGGCTCACTGCAAACTCTGCCTCCAAGATGCAAATGATTGTCGTGCCTCAGCCTCCCAAGTAGCTGGAATTACAGGTGTGCACTACCATGCCCAGCTGTTTTTTGTAGAGATGGGGTTAGTAGAGATTTGTTTAATAGAGACGGGGTTTCACCATGGTCTCTACTAAACCCTGTCTCTACTAAAAATACAAAAATTACCCAGGCGTGGTGGCACATGCCTGTAGTCCCAGGTACTCAAGAGGCTGAGGCAGGGGAATCACTTGAACCTGGGAGGTGGAGGTTGCAGTGACCCAAAATCATGCACTCTAGCCTGGGGTCTCGCTTTTGCCCAGGTTAGAGTGCAGTGGCACAATCATAGTGGCTCACTGCAGCCTCAAACTCCTGGGCTGAAGGGAATCCTCCCACCTCAGCCTCCCAAGTAGCTAGGACTATAGGCATGTGCCATCATGGCGAGTTAATTTTTTGTGTGTTTTTATTGTCTCGAGACAGAGTCTTGCTCTGTTGCTCAGGCTGGACTGCAATGGCGTGATCTTGGCTCACCGCAACCTCCACCTCCTGGGTTCAAGCGATTCTCCTGCCTCAGCCTCCCGAGTAGCTGGGATTACAGGTGCGTGCCACCATGCCTGGCTAATTTTGTATTTTTGGTAGAGACAGGGTTTCGCCATGTTGGTCAGGCTGCTCTTGAACGCCTGACCTTGTGATCCACCTGCCTCGGCCTCTCAAAGTGTTGGGATTACAGGCATGAGCCACTGAGCCTGGCCTGGTGAGCTAATTTTTAAATTTGTTATAGAGACAAGAGTCTCTCTTATGTTGCCCAGGCTGGTCTCGACCCCCTGGCCTCAAGTGATCCTCCCACCTCAGCCTCCCAAAGTGCTGGGATTACAGATGGGTGTCACCGCACCTGGCCTCTGAGGAGGATTTCATTATAAACCTGCCCTGAAGGGAGGAAATCCAATTTTACGAGAGGGTGTAGCCTGGTGAGGCCTGGATGACCTCCGGAGGCAGGGGCTTGTGCCTGGGCTGAGGCCTAAGGGTCAATGGGCAGACATGAAGTTGCCCCAGGCAGAGGGTACAGTGTGGGCAAAGTCAGGAAGTGGCAGGGCTTGGATCACTCCAGGAAGAGAGAGGAGTCATGTGTCACAGGAGCTCGAGACCCAGAGAGGGAGGCAGGCAGGCAGGCAGGGACCAAGCTTGGGCACAGCCAGGAAGGCAGGACAGGGCATGGTGGGGCCAAAGGAATCATTACCCAAGACGGGGATTTTCAGGGAAACAGCTTAGATAAGGCCAGGTGTACAGTAGCTCCCACCTGTAATCCCAGCATTTGGGGAGGCTGAGGTAGGAGGACTGCTTGAGCCTGGGAGTTCAAGACCAGCCTAGGCAACATAGTGAGACCCCATATCCACAAAAAATTTAAAAAAGGAGTTTGTGTTCCTGTAGTAGCAGACTTGGGAGGTTGAGGTGGCAGTATCACTTGAGCCCGGAAGTTCAAGGCTAAAGTGAGCTGATTGAGCCATTGCACTCCAGCCTGAGCAACAGAGAGATACGCTGTCTCAAAGGAAATACAAATTAAAAAACCAGCCGGGCATGCTGGCGTGTGCCTGTAGTCTCAGCTACTTGGGACGCTGAAGTGGGAGGATCGCTTGAGCCCAGGAGTTCAAGGCTGCCGTGAGCTATGATTGTGCCTCTGCAGTCCAGCCTGGGCGACAGAGAAAGACCCTGTCTCTTAAAAAAAAAAAAAAAAAAATCTTAGATAAGAGGATGCTGTGCCTCCCTGGGGGTCTTCAGTCACCCATGGTCCTGGCAAGAGAGGAGGGCCAGGAGAGAGCTTCACCCACCTGCTGTCCTGCCCATGTGACATCCGCAGGTGCTGCCATGGCCACGACTGTTGTTACACTCGAGCTGAGGAGGCCGGCTGCAGCCCCAAGACAGAGCGCTACTCCTGGCAGTGCGTCAATCAGAGCGTCCTGTGCGGTGAGTCCCCAGCAGCACCATGCCACCCACCCCGAGTATCCCCTGGGCACCCTGGCATAGCCAGATGACTTCCGTGCCCCTGTGGCAATAACCACTGCTTCCAAGTCTCTATAGACCACCCCTTGGGTATATCTAATGTAAGTGATATTTATTTTATTTATTTTTTGAGTCAGAGTCTCGCTCTGTCACCCAGGCTAGAGTGTGCTGATGTGATCTCGGCTCACTACAACCTCTGCCTCCTGGGTTCAAGCGATTCTCATGCCTCAGCCTCCCAAGTGGCTGGGACTACAGGCATGCACCATCACGCCCAGCTAATTTTTGTATTTTTTCAGTAGAGGTGGGGTTTCACCAAGTTGGCCGGGCTGGTCTCAAACTCCCCACCTCAAGTGCTCTGCCCGCCTCGGCCTCCCAAAGTGCTGGGATTACAGGCATGAGCCGTGGTGTCTGGCCCTAATGTGAGTGATCTTTAACACTGAGCACTTGAAAAAGAAAACCCTGAAGAAACCTAATTCTTTGATGTCTGGATGACAAGGAAGAAGATAGAAATGGCATCAGATAATAAACAGTGTAAATGTTTATCAGAAAGAGGCTGGTGGTCGGGACAAGTAGGAGGATTGCTTGAGTCCAGGAGTGCATCTCTACAAAAAAGTTAAAGGATTTTTTAACATTGGCCAGGCGTGGTGGCACACATCTGTGATCCCAGCTACTTGGGAGGCTGGGGCAGGAGGATTGCTTGAAGCCCAGGAGGTTGAGGCTGCAGTGAGCTGTGATCGAGCCACTGCACTCCAGCCTGGGTGACAGAGCAAACTCCAGTCTCAAAAAAAAAAACAAATAATAATATTTTACATAACCAACCACTTCTAAAGATTAAAAAAACCCCTACGATTAAAAACCTCAGGTCCCTCAGGCAATCATACCAGATATTGAAACAAAGCAATAACATAAGGACTGCAGTATTCATTTTATTTTTATATTATTTATTTATTCTTCGTTAGTTTCTTCAGATTATCATCCACTGAGGGTGGAAGGGGAGTGAGCAGACACACTTGGGAGGTGTCTTGAGATTATCATCCGCTGAGGGTGGAGCTGAGGGTGGAAGGGGAGTGAGCAGACACTCGGAGGTGTCTTGAGATTATCATCCGCTGAGGGTGGAAGGGGATAGAGCAGACACTCCGCAGGTGTCTTGAGGCTCAGGGAGTTATCAGTTATAGAATGTTGTTGAGTTGGAGGAGGTGGCTGGTGGCCCATCCTGTTTTTTAAAGTTTCAGCTGTGAGGTAGGGCCAGCAGGGCAATCCTGAAGAATGACGATGCTCTGCTGCCGCCATTCTGACCTGTAGGGCCAAAGGAGGGAATGTTTTCACACATATTCATTTGATGGACAAAATTACCGCCACCAACACAGTCTGCACCTTCTGTTGCTGGTGATAGATTTTTGCACCTTTCCATCCTCCAGGTTTCAAAATAGCAGTATCAGTGTCATATCACCCTTCCACTGAGTACTGCCGACAGCTGGGGGGTAAAGAAAAGTCACTGGGACACACTGTTGTCTCCACATGCCACTGTGTCTGTCTGCAAATGTAGGCAGGCTGGGGTCCTGCCCCAGGGAAGACAGAGTCATAACAGAGTAATAAAGAAGCATGTTTGAGACACAGGAGTGTCTATGTCTATCCTCATTCCTCCCTCACAGCCATCACCAGAGCATGTTTCTTGCACCAGGTCAATAGACAGTAAGAGACAGTAAGAGAGGCATGAAAAGCCCATTGTCCACACATGTTGCAGCTTCTTTTTGGAGAATGTTTTCCAGGCCCTTTATGTTCTGTCTCTGATTCTCAGAACTCTGCAAGGTCAGTGTGACCACCCTGCTCCAAATCTAAGAAAACAGAGGTTTCCAGAGGAAGGAGAAATTGTGCCCAGGGTCACACAGCTTGCAAGAGGCAGAGTGGAAGTTGATTCCAGCTCTGCCTGCAGGACCCTCTCATTTCCCCTCTGTTTCCCTTCTTGACAAAGGATCTTCTTCACTCTGGAGGTGCCACCCATGAGAACAAAGAGCTCTGGAGAGATGTGGATTCCTGAAGAGCTGCAGGGGAACTGGGAGAGGGTTTTCTGACAGAACAATCTTACCTCAAGAAGTCAGTTAGGCATGGCTGTAATATTTCTTTTCACTCCCAGGTAATACCAAATTGTAAGTGCACTAGGACATAAAGAATACTTTTGTCCATGGAAAAATGAGGTGGGAATTCTAAACAAAGCAAGTTTTAAAACTGTGTTTCACTTCAAGTGTACAAGTCCCATCGCGTGTAATCATAGGACTCGGCAGCTTTTGAAGGTACAGAGGCCACACAAGAACCAGCTTAGCTGAGCATCATTTAAGGCCCTCATTTGGAATTGTCCCTGTGGGTAATAAGTTACATTCACTCTTCACTAATTTACAGTCAGGGCCCATTTGTTATTACAAATACGGAACCTCTGACACTTAGAATATTAGATGGGGGCCCCACTGGGTGGGGATGAAGGTGTTTTTGCGCAACACGGTTACCAACAGGGATGGGACTGTGATGCTTGTAGGCAGCCTTCCTCTCTGCCATCTCCCTCTGCAGGGCTTGAGCACAGAGCCGTAGGGAGAAAAATGTATCCATGTCCTGACCTGGCAGACTATGTCCAAAAGCAAGGAAAACAAGCAAACTTACCCGGTTGCAAAGAGGCTTTCTTGCAGAAGGGGTGATCTGAAAAAGCCAACACATGAGAAATTGAATGTTGAGAGAGTCTAAGGGCCGTGGCATCATCTGCATCAGCACTGAACTATCCTGCAACTGCGGGGAGGAAGCTCCTTACTTTGCATCTGTAGTAGTCCTCTGCCCGCCGCCGCAACGCTTGCGCACGTTGAAACATTTCCCTATGGATTACAATCACTTTCATCAGATAAAGCACCACTTTCAGGATGATTTTAAATAATCTGCCATGTTTCTGTTATCCTCACAACTGTACCCTTACACAATCTATCTCTACCTAGAAAACGTATTTCAGATGGCTGTAAGAGTACAGTCTGAGCCGGTCACGGTGGCTGATGCCTGTAATCCCAGCACTCTGGGAGGGCGAGGTGGATGGATCACGAGGTCAGGAGATTGAGACCATCCTGGCTAATACAGTGAAACCCTGTCTCTACTAAAAATACAAAAAATTAGGCGGGCGTGGTGGCAGGCACCTGTAAGCCCAGCTACTCGGGAGGCTGAGGCAGGGGAATCACTTGAACCTGGGAGGCGGAGGTTGCAGTGAGCCAAGATCACGTCATTGCACTCCAGCCTGGGTGACACAGCGAGACTCCATCTCAGAAAAACAAAAACAAAAACAAAAACAAAAAAAACTGTACAGTCTGATCCAAACTGTTGCTGTATTGATTCCTCCTCTTGCTTACTGCCTGCTGACTTCTGAGATGATAGCTTCCTTCCCCATTCTCAGTATATCCCTAATTCATCCTTCATTGAGCATCTTTTATCATAAAGCTGTATTCTCTTTGTATTAATATCTTTACCGTGTTTCACAGGGCAGAAACAGCTGGGCTTATAAACAGGCATAGTCCTTTTGAAGGATGTGGTTGATCCTACAACAACACACTTTCCTAAGGATGACAACAACTCACCCCACCCCTAGAATGGCTGGTATGAACCGAGTTTCCACACAGTCTAGCTGGCAATGGGGTCAGGAGCCGTTTTGCTACTTCACATCTTTTGGTCACTGGTAAATATTAAGGTACTTTGTTTTCTGTTTTGTGAACTCTCTCTCTCTCTCACGATATGTCTTCTGACCATTTGTTTCTATTTCTGCATTTACTGGGTCTAAACATTGTACAAAGGTTAAAAACAACACTCCAATGGGCGTTTCCCAAGAGGGTGGGGTTCAGTTTCTGAACTCACATGTAGGTGTGTATTTCTTTCATATCCAATTTCCCGTTTTCCTCTGCCTCTGACACCTGCCTCTCCTTTTCTCCGTGCTCACGTTCTTTCATGCTTAGTTTCCTCAGACTAGAAGGGAGAGAAATGCACACACATGATCCACCAGCCCGTGTGGGATTCCCTCTGCCCTTCTGGCATCTGAAGGCTGATTCAAAGATCCCCCCTGCAACCTTCCCACAAATGAACCAACTGATTCTCACAAGCAAAGGGAGAATGGACACCTCCCATTGAGGGACAAAAAAAAAATCACACTCTGGCCTGCTGGCAAGTCACCTGTCATTTCCAGCTCATCTTCATAGTTCCATAGTTAGTCCTATTCTTTAGTAAATATAAAGACTATTAAAAGCTTCTATGAGGTGCACTATGTGTGTCTCTGGGGTCAGTCTTGTGCTTGACACAGCGAAAGCTCATTTTAGTTCAGTGTGAAAAACCAGACCTCACCAATTCATCACAACTAACTCCATCGGAAGCAGAGGATTGCTCCTCATCTGACTCCTCCTGTGTGAGACCTGATTCTCAGTCAGAGGCTGATGCTGGAACTGAGACCATCAGCCATAGAGAGATCCTTCCAGAATATGGTGTCATTAACCCCGCAGTTCACTACTGCACTTTGCCATGATTCAGGACTGGAACTCTTGTCATCGACTTTAAAGATCCTGAAAAGGCAATCTGAATGCTGGGCGCATCTATTGAATTAGAAATGATCGGAATGGCTCCTAAGTCAGGGTGTCATGTCCTGAAAATAGGTGACAACTGCAAACCATCCACCCTGGTGTTGACTGACTTTAACAAGGTTCAGTTCACAGAGATTGAGGGCAGAAAAAGGAAATGGCCTCAAAAGGGTAAGTTTGCTGTGTTGCCCTCACACCACTTGATTCATGGTCCTGATCCTAAGGATCTCACCTGATACTTGGTTTTATAGGAAGGATGTATAAAATTCCCAGAACGCTAGGAAACAGGGACGAAAACACTTCAAAGAGAAAGTTAATGAACTTGTTTCTGACCACAGGGCATCCTTCAGCACATGCTGTCTGGAGTGGCCTCAAACAAGGAGTGTGTGGTGAGGTGCTGACAATGCAATGGGAGCAGGGTCCTGTCCCCACGCTAAAGAAGCTCACAGTTTAATGCAAATGAGAAGCCAGTGAGGACATCACTACTCCTGCTGTGCACTTGGGAACTAGAAACACAAAACCTGACTCTGGAGGGAAGCTAAGGAAGCATTCTACTCTTGAGTTGACATAAGTGCATCTGAAGCTTCTGATCTCCGATGAGAACAATGGGGGACACCAAACAGAATATAAAACCCATGATTGAATACATCAAATTGCTCACATGGCAGTAAACAGACATGAGGTGAAGATGGAGAAGAAGGAAACCCAGGACGAAAGTCAGCCTCGCATTTGGAACCCATTTCCCTGAGTTTCATTGCTGAATTCCAGAAGGAACTACTGAGATGCAAAGAAGCACAGCAGCTTTTGCACACATGCGTGGGGTTAGATGGAAAACAAGTGGATTGAGGGTCTGCCAATGAAAGCGACCCATACTGAAGTCCACTGGCTCTGGTTGAGACCCAGAAGAGTCATGCATCAGAATAGAGGTGGACAGGAAATACCCTGGCCTTTGTAGGGACTGAGCCTGCACCGACGACCTCAATTGCAGCCTGTATGGAGGACCCCTGACCATCCCCCAGAAGTAGACTCCCATCTCTTCTGCAGCAAGATAACATGCTACTAGGCCTCAATTCATTGCTAAATATTTTTTAACAAGTATCTCACATTTAACAAAAAAAGATCAGTCATATGGGCAGCAAAATACAATGTAATATGACCAAAACATGAAAGACTGTGAAAATGAATCTGGAGGTGACCCAAGCATTGAATTCAACAATCCAGGCTGGGTGCGGTGGCTCACACCGGGAGGCTGAGGTAGGCAGATCACCTGAGGTCAGGAGTTCAAGACTAGCCTGGCCAACATGGTGAACCCGTCTCTACTAAAAATACAAAAATTGGGCTGGGCACGGTGGCTCACGCCTGTAATCCCAGCACATTGGGAGGCCGAGGTGTGCGGATCATGATGTCAGGAGTTCTAGACCAGCTTGGCCAATATGGTGAAACCCCGCCTCTACTAAAAATACAAAAATTATCTGGGCATGGTGGCATATGCCTGTAGTCCCAGCTACTCAAGAGGCTGAGGGATAAGAATCGTTTGAACCTGGGAGGCGGAGGTTGCAGTGAGCCAAGATCATGCCACTGCACTCTAGCCTGGGTGACAGAGTGAGACTCTGTCTCAAAAAAAAAAAAAAAAAAAAAAAAAAAAAAAAATTGGCCGAATGTGGCGGCACACACCTGTAATCCAAGCTACTCGGGAAGCTGAGGCAGAATTGCTTCAAACTGGGAGGCAGAGGTTGCAGTGAGCCAAGATTGCACCACAGCACTCCAGCCTGGGCGACAGAGCGAGACTCTATCTCAAAATTTAAAAAAAAAAAAAAAAGGCTGGGTGTGGTGGCTCACGCCTCTAATCCCAGCACTTTGGGAGGCTGAGGCGGGTGGATTACCTGAGGTCAGAAGTTCGAGACCAGCCTGGACAACATGGTGAAACCCCATCTCTAGTAAAAATACAAAAATTAGCTGGGCGTGGTGGTGGGCACCTGTAATCCCAGCTACTTGGGAGGCTGAGGCAGGAGAATTGCTTGAACCCAAAAGACAGTGAGCTGAGATTGTGCCATTGCACTACAGCCTGGGCAACACGAGCAAAGCCCCATCTCAGGAAAAAAAAAAAAAGAGAGAGAGAGACAAAGGAAAACCAATGCCAGTACTAGCAACTCCTCTTCCCCTGAAAAAATGACAAACAAGAATGTAGGAAGGGAAAGGAATTATACAGCTTAAACTAATGAAGCAGAAAGGACAAACTCAATTTTGAACCCACTGAATTTGCCACAAATATTGTAGAAAATATTCTCAAGGACTTTACAGTTGTCTACTTTGATTGGCACATGGTTCATACAACAGTATTTGTGTCAAGGCACATCTTACTGTTCTTTGGCGGTCTTCTTCTTTCCATTGATTTTGTCATGACGGTTGACTTTTGTTGTCACCTTCATCTTACGGATTTTAGCTCGAACCTTGGTTTCCACCTGTCTCCATAAAGTAAAGATGTCTTCCAGGACAATTTTAATTCCTGGAAAGGAAGAAACTCTTTTCTTTGTGTGCATACAAATGGACTTCAGCCCTTGGTGAGAGTGAGGAGAGGAGAAGGTGAGAAACCTGAGGGCAAGAAGCTGTTCTTTCCCTTTCCAGGGCAAACTCATTTCCACACTATGGGGACTCCAACAGAACCATACCTTCCTGTCTACGGCGGTTGGACCTCCTGGCTCTCTGCTGTACATCCGTGGATCCATCATGTCCATTTTGAGACGGGAAGATAGTCTTCAGGAAAGACACCTAGGAAATAATAATATAAGAATGACGGCTGGGCACGGTGGCTCATGCGTATAATCCCAGTACTTTGGGAGGCCGAGGCAGGGTGGATCACGGGGTCAGGAGTTCAAGACCAGCCTGGCCAAGATGGTGAAACCCCATCTCTACTAAAAATACAAAAATTAGCCGGGCATGGCAGTGGGCGCCTGTAATCCGAGCTACTCGGGAGGCTGAGGCAGAGAACCGTTTGAAGCTGGGAGGCGGAGGTTGCAGTGAGCGGAGATCACACCACTGCACTCCAGCCTGAGCGACAGAATGAGACTCTGTCACACACACACACACACACACACACACAAAACACACAAGAATGACGAGGCTGGCATGTTGGCTCACTCCCGTAATCCCAGCACTTTGGGAGGCCGAGGCAGGCGGATCACCTGAGGTCGGGAGTTTGAGACCAGCCTCACCAACATGGAGAAACGCTGTCTCTGCTAAAAATACAAAATTAGCCAGGCATGGTGGTGCATGCCTGTAATCCCAGCTAGTCGGGAGGCTGAGGCAGGAGAATCACTTGAACCCAGCAGGAAAAAGTTGTGTTGAGCTGAGATTGTGCCATTGCACTCCAACCTGGGCAACAAAATTCAAACTCTGTCTCAAAAAAAAAAAAAAAAAAAATAGGCCAGGTGTGGTAGCTCACGCCTGTAATCCTAGCACTTTGGGAGGCCGAGGCGGGTGAATCACAAGGTCAAGAGATGGAGACCATCCTGGGCAACATGGTGAAACCCCGTCTCTACTAAAAATACAAAAATTAGCTGAGCATGGTGGCGCACGCCTGTAGTCCCAGCTACTCCGGAGGCTGAGGCAGGAGAACTGCTTGAACCCAAGAGGCAGAGGTTGCAGTGAGCCAAGATCCCACCACTGCACTCCAGCCTGGTGACAGAGTGAGACTCCGTCTCAAAAAAAAAAAAAAAAAAAAAAAATGACATGAATATACTTCACACAACTGAACTGTACACTTCAACACGGTTAGATGGTAATTATCATCTTGTAAGTATTTTACCACAGGTTAACATGTTTCACAACTTGAAAAGGAAGGAATTAATTACCTTCAGCTCTCTGAGTTCTAGAATTTGTAACATTTCACCCCCTGCTCCTTCCTGATCTGCACTGGAGCATCTTTCTTCTGTCCCTGCTCTACTCAGAGTTCACTTTCCCTTCCCTCACATCAGCTTCGTTGAGGCTGGTTTGAACTTTACGCAAAACATTCTCACTAATGACTGAATTCCCACCAAATTTCCATATTATCACAGTATGCTTTTAATCTTCTAAGATATTAAATATTTGTTCTCATCATAGCTAAAATGCAAAGCAAATCCCATCTCAGATGTGGGTCAGATACCTATGAATCTCCTGAGGTAGTCATTGAAATGACTTTTTTCTTGAGACGGAGTGTCAGTCAACCATGCTGAAGTGCAGTGGCGCTACCTTGGCTCACAGCAACCTCCACCTCCCAGATTCAAGCGATTCTTGTGCCTCGGCCTCCCAAGTAGCTGGGATTACAGGTGCCTGCTACCATGCCTGGCTAATTTTTGTCTTTTTAGTAGAGATGGGATTTCACTATGTTGGCCCATCTGGTCTTGAACTCCTGACCTCAAGTGATCCACCTGCCTCAGCCTCCCAAAGTGCTGGGATTACAGGCATGAGCCACCACACCTGGCCTGAAATAATATCTTTCAAATTCTTTGTAGAATTTGTTTTTTCCTGATTTCTGCACATAGGATAAAAAAAAAATCATGTACTAGGATTTCGAGAGAAGCAATGGGTAATCTAAAAAGATGAAAAGAGCAACCACGTCTATCCCACAGCTACTGCTAGATTTCATAGGAAAGGTAGCTGGCCCAGTTTGGAGCTAGGAGAAATGTCAAACACATGAAGAAATGAGAAGCAAAGAAATGCCATCACACATGAATGCTTCATGGCACCCATGATGTCCCTGCTTAGGAGGTAATGGTATAGATGACTAGATGACAAGGACAAAGATGAGAGGTACAAAGTTGTCCAAGTCCAACAGCTCAACTGAACTTTCCTAAATGGAATTGTTAAAAAGTGGTAAATTTAAAAACTTCCCCTGGCTCACGTGGTGGCTCACGCTTGTAATCCCAGCACTTTGGGAGGCTGAGGCGGGTGGATCATTTGAGGTCGGGTTTTGAGACTAGCCTGGCCAACATGGTAAAACCCCGACTCTACTAAAAATACACAAATTAGCTGGGCATGGTGGTGGGCACCTGTAATCCCAGCTACTTGAGAGGCTGAGGCAGGGGAATCACTTGAAGCCAGGAGGTGGAGGTTGCAGTGAGCCGAGATCACACCATTATACTCCAGCCTGGGCAACAGAGGGAGACTCGTCTTGGGGGTGAGAAAAGAAAAAAAAAAAAAAAAAGCTTCCTCCAATTTATACCAAAAATTCTCTGTTCAGGACTAAGTGGCATAGAGAATGTTAAATGTGCCTAGATATCTTCATAACTCATATATTTTCTGTTTTCCACATATCTTGAAAGGCAGTGCCAAATGACGTGTAATTATCTAGGCGGTAAAACTGAAACATACTTCCTCTTCCCTTGAATATCAAAAAGCATTGTGGTATTAGTACTTTTATCTTGGATCATTGTTCAGAAGGAGGTTCAGCCCCCACACAACCACATTTTTACTGTCATGAGTGGCAAGACAAAATGTAGAGCTCAACTTACCCAAAGGAAAAAAGGCTCAAAAGACAAATTATGGCACAACTTAGCAGCCAAATTCTTACCAAGTACAGACTTTTGACATACTGATCTCTCTCCAGTTGCAAGTGGGAACATGCACTTTGAATGATGTCATTCAAAATTACCCTGCCCAGACACACTTTTCATTGATTCTCTTGGAGGGCAGTTCTAAGAGATTCTCTGGGGCTTTCTCTGCATCATGAGACGCAGTGCAGTTCTGCCCTTCACCTTCCGGCAGTTTGTCACCTCGTCCCTATGACCTCAGAGGAACTTTGTCTCAGGCCAACTGTTTGTTCCTTGGGCTCTTTCATTTCCCCTAAAAATCATTTGCTGCCCCTCTAAATGGCCTACATCTCCATCTATCTCCCTCTCCCCTCAGAAGAGGGTGCTCTTTAAGCATCAACCATCCAGCCCTTCTAGCAGTCTCATTTTTCAGCTGGTTCCCATGTTTATGCCTGTTCTATGTTTTTCTTTTCCTGTTAAGCTGTCTGTTGTCAGCTCATTTCTGCAGTGAATCTTCAGAGAGGAGATTGGAAGCTTTCCTTCCACCCATACGATAGAACTATAAAGCAGAATAGTTTAGAAAGACTTTCCCATTTAAGTGACGAAACCTCATACTCCATTTGTGACAAATAGCACAAAGGTTAAAAAAACTTATTTTTGACCAAAAGCTCTGTTGACACTCTATTAAACACCGACCTATTTAATTTTCATAATGTAAATGGCAGATATTTTCATAATTCTTATGCTAATAAATCATTTCCCTGATTTTTTGGGTAAAACCACATATTCATAATGAAGTCCAGAAACGTGAAGTGTTTCATATAATTTATTCTTATTTGTGATTACAAGTATACCTCTACAGAAAGTTAGTATACTCACACAAAGGTAAGTTGTGCAGAGGGAGATGGCAAATTTATAACTTCTCAGAAACACAGTAATGATAAGTAACCAAGGACTTCCACCAAAGTCAGTCCCACGATGACGATGGTCAGCCAGAGTATTGATAACCTGGAATAATAATAGTTGAAATAATGAAAAGGTCAATGACACTGACAATATTTCACTCAGAAAGAATCATCCTTAGAAACCGTCAACCTCCTCCAAAAGGTAACCACATCCCTCAGATATCACCGTGGGATTCCACTGCTACAAAAAAGAACAGAAGTTAGAGAAGTCTCATGTTTTTCAGATGGCTGGTAGTGTTTTTAGGCATTGCAAATGTGGGGTGTTGTCTTTCTTGGTATAAAGCAGGGATATCCAATCTTTTGACTTCCCTGCCTATATTAAAAGAAGCAAAGTTGTCTTGAGCCACACATAACATACACTAACACTAACAATAGCTGATGATCTAAAAAAAAAAAAATTTTTTTTTTTTTTTTTTTTGAGACAGAGTTCTGCTCCACTCAGTCGCCCAGGCTGGAGTGCAGTGGTGCAATCTCGGCTCGCTACAACCTCCAGCTCCTGGGCTCAAGCCATTCTCCTGCCTCAGCCTCCCGAGCAGCTGAGATTACAGGTCTCTGCCACCATGCCCGACTAATTTTTGTATTTTTAGTAGAGATGAGGTTTCACCATGTTGCCCAGTCTGGCCTTGAACTCCTGACAGGCGATCTGCCTGCCTCAGCCTCCCAAAGTGCTGGGATTACAGGTGTGAGCCACCGTGCCCAGCCATTTTTTTTCTTTTTGTTTGTTGTTTGTTTTTGAGATGGGGTCTCACTCTGTCACCCAGGCTAGAGTGCAGTGGTGTGCTCTTGGCTCACTGCAACCTCTGCCTCTCAGGTTCAAGTGATTCTCCTGCCTCAGCCTCCTGAGTAGCTGGGAGTACAGGTGCCTGACAGTGCACTCAGCAAATTTTTGTATTTTTTGTGGAGATGGGGTTTTGCCATGTTAGCCAGGGTGGTCTCGAACTCCTGACCTCAGGTAATCTGCCCGCCTCAGCCTCCCAAAGTGCTGGGATTACAGGCATGAGCCACTGTACCTGGCCAAAATCTCCTAATGTTTTAAGAAAGTTTACAAATTTGTGTTGAACTGCATTCAAAACTGTCCTGGGCCACATGCAGCCCGTCACTCATGGGTAAGACAAGCTAAGTATAAAGTAATTATCTTATCTTTTCTTTTTGTTTTGAGACAAAGTCTTGCTCTGTCACCCAGGCTAGATTGCAGTGGCATGATCTCAGCTCACTGCAACCTCCGCCTCCCGGGTTCAAGCGATTCTCCTGCCTCAGCTACTGAGTAACTGGGATTACAGGCGCCTGCCACCACGCTCGGCTAATTTTTGTCTTTTTAGTAGAAACGGTTTCACCATCTTGGCCAGGCTGGTCTCCAACTCCTGACCTCATGATCCACCTGCCTCGGCCTCCCAAAGTCCTGGGAATACACGTGTGAGCCACTGCACCTGGCCAGTAGTTATCTTTTCTTTAGTTATTTACTTGTTTTTTAAATTGATGTATAACATTGGATGCATTTATTATATATCACATGGTAAAAGAATCCCTCTAAATAATACTTCTCTCTTGGATTATATGAATCTTTGTCATTTAAAGCTCAGCATAAGTAAAAAAAAAAAAAAAATACAATGAAGAGATTACTTCATTCACAAATAAGTATCGAATTTTAGTGCTTAAAAATTAACAAGGTGGGCCGGGCGTGGTGGCTCACGCCTGCAATCCCAGCACTTTGGGAAGCCAAGGTGGGTGGACCATGAGATCAGGAGATTGAGACCATCCTAGCTAACACGGTGACACCCATCTCTACTAAAAATACAAAAAATTAGCAGGGCATGGTGGCACGCGCCTATAGTTCCAGCTACTTGGGAGGCTGAGGCAGAAGAATCACTTGAACCCGTGAGGCAGAGGTTGCAGTGAGCCGAGATCGCACCACTGCACTTCAGCCTGGGTGACAGAGCGAGACTCTGTCTCAAAAAAAAAAAAAAAAAAAAAAATTACCAAGGTGGAGATCATGAAAATGGCATGAATAGTGTGGGATTTCTCTAAGATTGTTGATATTAATTCCATTAGACTCTTATGTGAGTGAAGACGAAGACTTCCCCTGAGTAAGTTCAGACAGCTTCTGATAACATTTCTACATCGATTCCTCAGGATTTAACTATATATTCTTGAAAACATCTCAATTTTAAATGTTTCTTTCAAGATGGTGAATTAAACAGAGATAGCCCTTCAACAGGTTGAACTCAGCATATGCTGAGTCTGAAATGGAAATGATGGAGTTAGAGAACCATACAACAATGGTAATGATTTCAGAAATATGGTGTTGAGCAGAACAAAGCAGACACAAAAGAGTACCTATGGCATGGCATGCATCTGTATACGTGAAATTCCAGAATAAGCAAGCTAACCTATGATAAGAAAGAGACTGGCTGGGAAGAGTGAGAGTTCACTTTCTGGGGTGACATAATAGTGTAGATCTTGGCTGGGCACGGTGGTTCACGCCTGTAATCCCAACACTTTGGGAGGCCGAGGCGGGCGGATCACCTGAGGTCGGGAGTTCAAAACCAGCCTGACCAACATGGAGAAACCCTATCTCTACTAAAAATACAAAATTAGCTGGGAGTGGTGGCACATGTCTGTAATCCCAGCCACTCGGGAGGCTGAGGCAGGAGAATCGCTCGAACCTGGGAAGCAGAGGTTGCGGTGAGCTGATATTGGCCCATTGCACTCCAGCCTCAGCAACAAGGGAGAAACTGTCTCAAATAAATAAATAAATAAATAAAATAATGTAGATCTTGAAAGGGGGTTGGTTTATGCTGGTGTATGTACTTTCCAAAGTTAGTAAACTTACACTTAAGGTTATGTATTTTGGCCAGGCGCGGTGGCTCACGCCTGTAATCCCAGCACTGGGAGGCCGAGGCAGGCGGATCACGAGGTCAAGAGATGGAGACTATCCTGGCGAACATGGTGAAACCCAGTCTCTACTAAAAATACAAAAATTAGCCAGGCGTGGTGGTCTACTAAAAATACACAAATTAGCTGGGCATGGTGGTGGGCACCTGTAATCCCAGCTACTTGAGAGGCTGAGGCAGGGGAATCACTTGAAGCCAGGAGGTGGAGGTTGCAGTGAGCCGAGATCACACCATTATACTCCAGCCTGGGCAACAGAGGGAGACTCGTCTTGGGGGTGAGAAAAGAAAAAAAAAAAAAAAAGCTTCCTCCAATTTATACCAAAAATTCTCTGTTCAGGACTAAGTGGCATAGAGAATGTTAAATGTGCCTAGATATCTTCATAACTCATATATTTTCTGTTTTCCACATATCTTGAAAGGCAGTGCCAAATGACGTGTAATTATCTAGGTGGTAAAACTGAAACATACTTCCTCTTCCCTTGAAGATCAAAAAGCATTGTGGTATTAGTACTTTTATCTTGGATCATTGTTCAGAAGGAGGTTCAGCCCCCACACAACCACATTTTTACTGTCATGAGTGGCAAGACAAAATGTAGAGCTCAACTTACCCAAAGGAAAAAAGGCTCAAAAGACAAATTATGGCACAACTTAGCAGCCAAATTCTTACCAAGTACAGACTTTTGACATACTGATCTCTCTCCAGTTGCAAGTGGGAACATGCACTTTGAATGATGTCATTCAAAATTACCCTGCCCAGACACACTTTTCATTGATTCTCTTGGAGGGCAGTTCTAAGAGATTCTCTGGGGCTTTCTCTGCATCATGAGACGCAGTGCAGTTCTGCCCTTCACCTTCCGGCAGTTTGTCACCTCGTCCCTATGACCTCAGAGGAACTTTGTCTCAGGCCAACTGTTTGTTCCTTGGGCTCTTTCATTTCCCCTAAAAATCATTTGCTGCCCCTCTAAATGGCCTACATCTCCATCTATCTCCCTCTCCCCTCAGAAGAGGGTGCTCTTTAAGCATCAACCATCCAGCCCTTCTAGCAGTCTCATTTTTCAGCTGGTTCCCATGTTTATGCCTGTTCTATGTTTTTCTTTTCCTGTTAAGCTGTCTGTTGTCAGCTCATTTCTGCAGTGAATCTTCAGAGAGGAGATTGGAAGCTTTCCTTCCACCCATACGATAGAACTATAAAGCAGAATAGTTTAGAAAGACTTTCTCATTTAAGTGACGAAACCTCATACTCCATTTGTGACAAATAGCACAAAGGTTAAAAAAACTTATTTTTGACCAAAAGCTCTGTTGACATTCTATTAAACACCGACCTATTTAATTTTCATAATGTAAATGGCAGATATTTTCATAATTCTTATGCTAATAAATCATTTCCCTGATTTTTTGGGTAAAACCACATATTCATAATGAAGTCCAGAAACGTGAAGTGTTTCATATAATTTATTCTTATTTGTGATTACAAGTATACCTCTACAGAAAGTTAGTATACTCACCCAAAGGTAAGTTGTGCAGAGGGAGATGGCAAATTTATAACTTCTCAGAAACACAGTAATGATAAGTAACCAAGGACTTCCACCAAAGTCAGTCCCACGATGACGATGGTCAGCCAGAGTATTGATAACCTGGAATAATAATAGTTGAAATAATGAAAAGGTCAATGACACTGACAATATTTCACTCAGAAAGAATCATCCTTAGAAACCGTCAACCTCCTCCAAAAGGTAACCACATCCCTCAGATATCACCGTGGGATTCCACTGCTACAAAAAAGAACAGAAGTTAGAGAAGTCTCATGTTTTTCAGATGGCTGGTAGTGTTTTTAGGCATTGCAAATGTGGGGTGTTGTCTTTCTTGGTATAAAGCAGGGATATCCAATCTTTTGACTTCCCTGCCTATATTAAAAGAAGCAAAGTTGTCTTGAGCCACACATAACATACACTAACACTAACAATAGCTGATGATCTAAAAAAAAAAAATTTTTTTTTTTTTTTTTTTTTTTGAGACAGAGTTCTGCTCCACTCAGTCGCCCAGGCTGGAGTGCAGTGGTGCAATCTCGGCTCGCTGCAACCTCCAGCTCCTGGGCTCAAGCCATTCTCCTGCCTCAGCCTCCCGAGCAGCTGAGATTACAGGTCTCTGCCACCATGCCCGACTAATTTTTGTATTTTTAGTAGAGATGAGGTTTCACCATGTTGCCCAGTCTGGCCTTGAACTCCTGACAGGCGATCTGCCTGCCTCAGCCTCCCAAAGTGCTGGGATTACAGGTGTGAGCCACCGTGCCCAGCCATTTTTTTTCTTTTTGTTTGTTGTTTGTTTTTGAGATGGGGTCTCACTCTGTCACCCAGGCTAGAGTGCAGTGGTGTGCTCTTGGCTCACTGCAACCTCTGCCTCTCAGGTTCAAGTGATTCTCCTGCCTCAGCCTCCTGAGTAGCTGGGAGTATAGGTGCCTGACAGTGCACTCAGCAAATTTTTGTATTTTTTGTGGAGATGGGGTTTTGCCATGTTAGCCAGGGTGGTCTCGAACTCCTGACCTCAGGTAATCTGCCCGCCTCAGCCTCCCAAAGTGCTGGGATTACAGGCATGAGCCACTGTACCTGGCCAAAATCTCCTAATGTTTTAAGAAAGTTTACAAATTTGTGTTGAACTGCATTCAAAACTGTCCTGGGCCACATGCAGCCCGTCACTCATGGGTAAGACAAGCTAAGTATAAAGTAATTATCTTATCTTTTCTTTTTGTTTTGAGACAAAGTCTTGCTCTGTCACCCAGGCTAGATTGCAGTGGCATGATCTCAGCTCACTGCAACCTCCGCCTCCCGGGTTCAAGCGATTCTCCTGCCTCAGCTACTGAGTAACTGGGATTACAGGCGCCTGCCACCACGCTCGGCTAATTTTTGTCTTTTTAGTAGAAACGGTTTCACCATCTTGGCCAGGCTGGTCTCCAACTCCTGACCTCATGATCCACCTGCCTCGGCCTCCCAAAGTCCTGGGAATACACGTGTGAGCCACTGCACCTGGCCAGTAGTTATCTTTTCTTTAGTTATTTACTTGTTTTTTAAATTGATGTATAACATTGGATGCATTTATTATATATCACATGGTAAAAGAATCCCTCTAAATAATACTTCTCTCTTGGATTATATGAATCTTTGTCATTTAAAGCTCAGCATAAGTAAAAAAAAAAAAAAAATACAATGAAGAGATTACTTCATTCACAAATAAGTATCGAATTTTAGTGCTTAAAAATTAACAAGGTGGGCCGGGCGTGGTGGCTCACGCCTGCAATCCCAGCACTTTGGGAAGCCAAGGTGGGTGGACCATGAGATCAGGAGATTGAGACCATCCTAGCTAACACGGTGACACCCATCTCTACTAAAAATACAAAAAATTAGCAGGGCATGGTGGCACGCGCCTATAGTTCCAGCTACTTGGGAGGCTGAGGCAGAAGAATCACTTGAACCCGTGAGGCAGAGGTTGCAGTGAGCCGAGATCGCACCACTGCACTTCAGCCTGGGTGACAGAGCGAGACTCTGTCTCAAAAAAAAAAAAAAAAAAAAAAATTACCAAGGTGGAGATCATGAAAATGGCATGAATAGTGTGGGATTTCTCTAAGATTGTTGATATTAATTCCATTAGACTCTTATGTGAGTGAAGACGAAGACTTCCCCTGAGTAAGTTCAGACAGCTTCTGATAACATTTCTACATCGATTCCTCAGGATTTAACTATATATTCTTGAAAACATCTCAATTTTAAATGTTTCTTTCAAGATGGTGAATTAAACAGAGATAGCCCTTCAACAGGTTGAACTCAGCATATGCTGAGTCTGAAATGGAAATGATGGAGTTAGAGAACCATACAACAATGGTAATGATTTCAGAAATATGGTGTTGAGCAGAACAAAGCAGACACAAAAGAGTACCTATGGCATGGCATGCATCTGTATACGTGAAATTCCAGAATAAGCAAGCTAACCTATGATAAGAAAGAGACTGGCTGGGAAGAGTGAGAGTTCACTTTCTGGGGTGACATAATAGTGTAGATCTTGGCTGGGCACGGTGGTTCACGCCTGTAATCCCAACACTTTGGGAGGCCGAGGCGGGCGGATCACCTGAGGTCGGGAGTTCAAAACCAGCCTGACCAACATGGAGAAACCCTATCTCTACTAAAAATACAAAATTAGCTGGGAGTGGTGGCACATGTCTGTAATCCCAGCCACTCGGGAGGCTGAGGCAGGAGAATCGCTCGAACCTGGGAAGCAGAGGTTGCGGTGAGCTGATATTGGCCCATTGCACTCCAGCCTCAGCAACAAGGGAGAAACTGTCTCAAATAAATAAATAAATAAATAAAATAATGTAGATCTTGAAAGGGGGTTGGTTTATGCTGGTGTATGTACTTTCCAAAGTTAGTAAACTTACACTTAAGGTTATGTATTTTGGCCAGGCGCGGTGGCTCACGCCTGTAATCCCAGCACTGGGAGGCCGAGGCAGGCGGATCACGAGGTCAAGAGATGGAGACTATCCTGGCGAACATGGTGAAACCCAGTCTCTACTAAAAATACAAAAATTAGCCAGGCGTGGTGGTCTACTAAAAATACACAAATTAGCTGGGCATGGTGGTGGGCACCTGTAATCCCAGCTACTTGAGAGGCTGAGGCAGGGGAATCACTTGAAGCCAGGAGGTGGAGGTTGCAGTGAGCCGAGATCACACCATTATACTCCAGCCTGGGCAACAGAGGGAGACTCGTCTTGGGGGTGAGAAAAGAAAAAAAAAAAAAAAAGCTTCCTCCAATTTATACCAAAAATTCTCTGTTCAGGACTAAGTGGCATAGAGAATGTTAAATGTGCCTAGATATCTTCATAACTCATATATTTTCTGTTTTCCACATATCTTGAAAGGCAGTGCCAAATGACGTGTAATTATCTAGGTGGTAAAACTGAAACATACTTCCTCTTCCCTTGAAGATCAAAAAGCATTGTGGTATTAGTACTTTTATCTTGGATCATTGTTCAGAAGGAGGTTCAGCCCCCACACAACCACATTTTTACTGTCATGAGTGGCAAGACAAAATGTAGAGCTCAACTTACCCAAAGGAAAAAAGGCTCAAAAGACAAATTATGGCACAACTTAGCAGCCAAATTCTTACCAAGTACAGACTTTTGACATACTGATCTCTCTCCAGTTGCAAGTGGGAACATGCACTTTGAATGATGTCATTCAAAATTACCCTGCCCAGACACACTTTTCATTGATTCTCTTGGAGGGCAGTTCTAAGAGATTCTCTGGGGCTTTCTCTGCATCATGAGACGCAGTGCAGTTCTGCCCTTCACCTTCCGGCAGTTTGTCACCTCGTCCCTATGACCTCAGAGGAACTTTGTCTCAGGCCAACTGTTTGTTCCTTGGGCTCTTTCATTTCCCCTAAAAATCATTTGCTGCCCCTCTAAATGGCCTACATCTCCATCTATCTCCCTCTCCCCTCAGAAGAGGGTGCTCTTTAAGCATCAACCATCCAGCCCTTCTAGCAGTCTCATTTTTCAGCTGGTTCCCATGTTTATGCCTGTTCTATGTTTTTCTTTTCCTGTTAAGCTGTCTGTTGTCAGCTCATTTCTGCAGTGAATCTTCAGAGAGGAGATTGGAAGCTTTCCTTCCACCCATACGATAGAACTATAAAGCAGAATAGTTTAGAAAGACTTTCTCATTTAAGTGACGAAACCTCATACTCCATTTGTGACAAATAGCACAAAGGTTAAAAAAACTTATTTTTGACCAAAAGCTCTGTTGACATTCTATTAAACACCGACCTATTTAATTTTCATAATGTAAATGGCAGATATTTTCATAATTCTTATGCTAATAAATCATTTCCCTGATTTTTTGGGTAAAACCACATATTCATAATGAAGTCCAGAAACGTGAAGTGTTTCATATAATTTATTCTTATTTGTGATTACAAGTATACCTCTACAGAAAGTTAGTATACTCACCCAAAGGTAAGTTGTGCAGAGGGAGATGGCAAATTTATAACTTCTCAGAAACACAGTAATGATAAGTAACCAAGGACTTCCACCAAAGTCAGTCCCACGATGACGATGGTCAGCCAGAGTATTGATAACCTGGAATAATAATAGTTGAAATAATGAAAAGGTCAATGACACTGACAATATTTCACTCAGAAAGAATCATCCTTAGAAACCGTCAACCTCCTCCAAAAGGTAACCACATCCCTCAGATATCACCGTGGGATTCCACTGCTACAAAAAAGAACAGAAGTTAGAGAAGTCTCATGTTTTTCAGATGGCTGGTAGTGTTTTTAGGCATTGCAAATGTGGGGTGTTGTCTTTCTTGGTATAAAGCAGGGATATCCAATCTTTTGACTTCCCTGCCTATATTAAAAGAAGCAAAGTTGTCTTGAGCCACACATAACATACACTAACACTAACAATAGCTGATGATCTAAAAAAAAAAAATTTTTTTTTTTTTTTTTTTTTTTGAGACAGAGTTCTGCTCCACTCAGTCGCCCAGGCTGGAGTGCAGTGGTGCAATCTCGGCTCGCTGCAACCTCCAGCTCCTGGGCTCAAGCCATTCTCCTGCCTCAGCCTCCCGAGCAGCTGAGATTACAGGTCTCTGCCACCATGCCCGACTAATTTTTGTATTTTTAGTAGAGATGAGGTTTCACCATGTTGCCCAGTCTGGCCTTGAACTCCTGACAGGCGATCTGCCTGCCTCAGCCTCCCAAAGTGCTGGGATTACAGGTGTGAGCCACCGTGCCCAGCCATTTTTTTTCTTTTTGTTTGTTGTTTGTTTTTGAGATGGGGTCTCACTCTGTCACCCAGGCTAGAGTGCAGTGGTGTGCTCTTGGCTCACTGCAACCTCTGCCTCTCAGGTTCAAGTGATTCTCCTGCCTCAGCCTCCTGAGTAGCTGGGAGTATAGGTGCCTGACAGTGCACTCAGCAAATTTTTGTATTTTTTGTGGAGATGGGGTTTTGCCATGTTAGCCAGGGTGGTCTCGAACTCCTGACCTCAGGTAATCTGCCCGCCTCAGCCTCCCAAAGTGCTGGGATTACAGGCATGAGCCACTGTACCTGGCCAAAATCTCCTAATGTTTTAAGAAAGTTTACAAATTTGTGTTGAACTGCATTCAAAACTGTCCTGGGCCACATGCAGCCCGTCACTCATGGGTAAGACAAGCTAAGTATAAAGTAATTATCTTATCTTTTCTTTTTGTTTTGAGACAAAGTCTTGCTCTGTCACCCAGGCTAGATTGCAGTGGCATGATCTCAGCTCACTGCAACCTCCGCCTCCCGGGTTCAAGCGATTCTCCTGCCTCAGCTACTGAGTAACTGGGATTACAGGCGCCTGCCACCACGCTCGGCTAATTTTTGTCTTTTTAGTAGAAACGGTTTCACCATCTTGGCCAGGCTGGTCTCCAACTCCTGACCTCATGATCCACCTGCCTCGGCCTCCCAAAGTCCTGGGAATACACGTGTGAGCCACTGCACCTGGCCAGTAGTTATCTTTTCTTTAGTTATTTACTTGTTTTTTAAATTGATGTATAACATTGGATGCATTTATTATATATCACATGGTAAAAGAATCCCTCTAAATAATACTTCTCTCTTGGATTATATGAATCTTTGTCATTTAAAGCTCAGCATAAGTAAAAAAAAAAAAAAATACAATGAAGAGATTACTTCATTCACAAATAAGTATCGAATTTTAGTGCTTAAAAATTAACAAGGTGGGCCGGGCGTGGTGGCTCACGCCTGCAATCCCAGCACTTTGGGAAGCCAAGGTGGGTGGACCATGAGATCAGGAGATTGAGACCATCCTAGCTAACACGGTGAAACCCATCTCTACTAAAAATACAAAAAATTAGCAGGGCATGGTGGCACGCGCCTATAGTTCCAGCTACTTGGGAGGCTGAGGCAGAAGAATCACTTGAACCTGGGAGGTAGAGGTTGCAGTGAGCCGAGATCGCACCACTGCACTTCAGCCTGGGTGACAGAGCGAGACTCTGTCTCAAAAAAAAAAAAAAAAAAAAAAAATTACCGAGGTGGAGATCATGAAAATGGCATGAATAGTGTGGGATTTCTCTAAGATTGTTGATATTAATTCCATTAGACTCTTATGTGAGTGAAGACGAAGACTTCCCCTGAGTAAGTTCAGACAGCTTCTGATAACATTTCTACATCGATTCCTCAGGATTTAACTATATATTCTTGAAAACATCTCAATTTTAAATGTTTCTTTCAAGATGGTGAATTAAACAGAGATAGCCCTTCAACAGGTTGAACTCAGCATATGCTGAGTCTGAAATGGAAATGATGGAGTTAGAGAACCATACAACAATGGTAATGATTTCAGAAATATGGTGTTGAGCAGAACAAAGCAGACACAAAAGAGTACCTATGGCATGGCATGCATCTGTATACGTGAAATTCCAGAATAAGCAAGCTAACCTATGATAAGAAAGAGACTGGCTGGGAAGAGTGAGAGTTCACTTTCTGGGGTGACATAATAGTGTAGATCTTGGCTGGGCACGGTGGTTCACGCCTGTAATCCCAACACTTTGGGAGGCCGAGGCGGGCGGATCACCTGAGGTCGGGAGTTCAAAACCAGCCTGACCAACATGGAGAAACCCTATCTCTACTAAAAATACAAAATTAGCTGGGAGTGGTGGCACATGTCTGTAATCCCAGCCACTCGGGAGGCTGAGGCAGGAGAATCGCTCGAACCTGGGAAGCAGAGGTTGCGGTGAGCTGATATTGGCCCATTGCACTCCAGCCTCAGCAACAAGGGAGAAACTGTCTCAAATAAATAAATAAATAAATAAAATAATGTAGATCTTGAAAGGGGGTTGGTTTATGCTGGTGTATGTACTTTCCAAAGTTAGTAAACTTACACTTAAGGTTATATATTTTGGCCAGGCGCGGTGGCTCACGCCTGTAATCCCAGCACTGGGAGGCCGAGGCAGGCGGATCACGAGGTCAAGAGATGGAGACTATCCTGGCGAACATGGTGAAACCCAGTCTCTACTAAAAATACAAAAATTAGCCAGGCGTGGTGGTCTACTAAAAATACAAAAATTAGCCAGGCGTTGTAATCTGAGCTACTCAGGAGGCTGAGGCAGGACAATTGCTTGAACCCCGGAAGCGGAGGTTGCAGTGAGCCGAGATCTTGCCACTGCACTCCAGCCTGGGCGACAGAGTGAGACTCTGTCTAAAAAACAAACAAACAAACAAAAAAGTCATCAAACCAGATGACACAAATCAAATGACATTTCACTTTGTTTTGGTCCGTTTTGTTTGTTAGAGACAAGAGTGCAGCGGGGCCATCTCGGCTCACTGCAACGTCCAGCTCCTGGGCCCAAGCGATCCTCCCACCTCAGCCTCTCCAGTAACTGGGATAACAGGTACGCACCACCAGGCCCGACTAATCTTTTTTGGAATTTTTTGTAGAGATGGGGTTTCGCTATGATGCCCTGGCTAGTCTTCAACTCCTGGACTCAAGTGATCTGCCCACCTCGGCCCCCTAAAGTGCTGGGATTACAGGCCTGAGCTGTGTAATTTCATGCCGCGTGACACAGCCCAGTAAAAAGGAAGAAACCCCGCGGGTCCAGCGTCTACTCACACAGGTGGACTGATGGCTGATAAATCCCAGCAGGAGCCGAAAGAGCAGCCACAGCACCCATCTACTCACACAGGTGGACTGATGGCTGATAAATCCCAGCAGGAGCCAAAAGAGAAGCCAAAAGAGCAGCCACCGCACCCGCATGTCCTGGTCCTTTCAGGGCGCCCGGAGGTGGCCAGGACAGAGGTGGAGGTGGCTTAGGGCAGGGGGGAGGGAAGGGGACGGGGACTGGGCGGGATCTGAGTTGGGGAGGGGGAGGGGAAGGGGAGGGGAAGGGGAGGGGAAGGGGAGGGGAAGGGGGGAGTAAGGGAAGGGAAAGGAGAAGGGGGCTGTTGGGTACCTGGAGGAGGTGGAGGAGGAGGAGGAGAAGAAGAAAGGGGTCTGGGAAAGGATCCGGTTCAAATTAAGTTCTCAAGCGCTGGTGGAAGGTTTAGCTACAGGTCACGGAGAAGATCAGGGAAGCAACAGGACACGCGGGGCAAGGGAGCGTGAGGCTTAGGAGCAATTAGAGGGAGACAAAGGTTCTGCTTTCCACCAAACCTTCTTCGGTCTGGGCCCTCCCTTAGCAACCCTGGGGCTTTAGACTCTCTCTCCACCAATCCCTGATGACCCCGGTGGTGCCTCACAATGGACATTCCAAGTAGCGCCCGCATCATCCCAATGACCCCTCCCCCATCTCAGTCCCCCACGCTCCTCCCAAGACCAGGTCCTCTCTGGAACCTTCACAAACCTGATTTCTGGTCCACCCCAACCAGCTCCCTGTCCCTGCTTCTGGGCGCTCCTTCCTTCCTGAGCTCCCAGGGTTCCTCAAGGTCACTTTTGGTGACAAAACATAAAAAACAAATGATGGCAGGATGGCAGGAAGAACCTCATACCCAAGCAGAGTGCCAGGTTTTACAGCCTCCGCTCAGCCATTCATATCCTAAGCAACAAAACATCAGCAGGATGCGGAAGGTCCCGATAGTAAACCATCTCCATCACATCCATGTAGCCATCCGTCCATCAACCTGTATCTCAGGAACAAATGTACATACATTCATTTTAAGCATGCATGGTACATTTACAAAAATTAACCTGACTTATTTTGTTCCAGCAAATCTCAATATATTTGAGAGCAATCAAATCACACAGCATGTTTCTGATCATATAACTGTGCTAGAAGTCAATGATTAAAAGCTAATTCAAAATTATTATTTGCTTGGAAATTCAAAGTGCCCTTATAAGACATAAACATAAGAAAGAATCCAAAATGAAACAAGATTGCCTTTCAACTCAATGATGAGATCATAACATGGCAATAAAATGTCTCCCTCTGGCCTGGGAATTCCTCTTTGTGGCACAAGGTTGTGTGATCTCAAATCACCCCTAACCCACCTAGACATTTTAACATCCGAAACCGAGTGATGATGTCCTTATCTATATCATCTTACTGCCCGTGTGTGTGGACTTTAAATTCTGAACCCAAATGAGGGGGAGAAAACCAAGCTGACTTTCATGACTGGCCTCTCAGGGACGTCCAAGGAATCTATGCATTTCAAGAAACAAAGTTCATCAGCTTCTCTCCTAAGGTGTTTGCCCACAATACCCAGAGGGCTTGGCCGCATCATGTGTGATGGGTGGGGAGCTCCAAGCAGGTGGGCAGGACCCAGGGGCCTGGTGACCAGGACAGACCCCCACTGTCCATCACCTTTCCTGGCCCTGTCCTCAGCTAAACTTCCCACAGGCCTTCTGCCCAATCACACAGAGTGTGCCCAAACTCTCTCAGGCCTCTGGCAGCTGAAAACCACTGCTTTAAATCCCTTTACCATTTACTATGACATAAGGTTATTGTAAACAGGAAATATTCTATTGATGCTACAAATAGAAAGCCAATGCCTTTACCATAAATAGAAAAACAACCCTAAGAAACAAGCAAAACAAAAACAAAACAGGGGCTGGGGGTGGTGGCTCACGCCTGTAATCCCAGCACTTTGGGAGGCCGAGGTGGGCGGATCACAAGGTCAGGAGTTCCAGACCAGCCTGGCCAATATGGTGAAACCCTGTCTCTAATAAAATACAAAAATTAGCCGGGTGTGGTGGTGGGCGCCTGTAGTCCCACCTACTTGGGAGGCTGAGGCAGGAGAACAGTTTGAACCCGGGAGGCAGAGTCTGCAGTGAGCCGAGATTGCACCACTGCACTCCAGCCTAGGCGACAGAGCGAGACTCTGTCTCAAAAACAGCAACAACTACAAACAAAAAACAGGGTTAACAAAAGTATGGAATTCAATTCTTTTTATATGCTGCAGCCATGTTCCAGCCCTAGATTTGGCTGGGCATGGTGGCTCACGCCTGTAATCCCAGCACTTTGGGAGGCTGAGGCAGGCGGATCACGAGGTTAGGAGTTCGAGACCAGCCTCACCAACATGCTGAAACCCCGTCTCTACCAAAAATACAAAAATTAGCCAGGCATGGTGGCACACGCCTGTAACCCCAGCTACTCAGGAGGCTGAGGCAGGACAATCCCTTGAACCCGGGAGGCGGAGGTTGCAGTGAGCCGAGATCGTACCATTGCACTCCAGCCTGGGTGACAGAATGGAATGAGACTCTGTCTCAAAAAAAAAAAAAAAAAAAAAAAAAAAGAAGCCCTAGATTTCGGTTGTGTTGGTTGTAAAAGGAGAGACCCAGTAAGTGGGGGTTGTGCCGCAGATTGCTACCCACAATGGACGGGTCACTGAGCAGGTCCGGCCAACTGGGCGTTCCCTCGCTGGAGGGCCAGCACACCAGACTGCAGGTGGCGCGGGTCAGCAAGGTACCAGGGGATGTGTCACACACACAGCCCACCCCCGTCCAGTCACGCACGGACACCCTGGGCTTCCGAGCAAACCTGCTCCCACGTGGTGTGACCACATGGAGCCACAGACACCCAGCAAGGACACGCAGCCCGCACACCCCCGGTACTCCAGACACAGTGACCTGCACCAGGGCTCGAGGTTTCTCTAGGGGAACCCACCTCTTAGAATCATCCAGAAACAAGTCACTCTTCACCTGTCCAGCAAAGGCCTGCTGAGAGGTGCACAGTGTCTGGAGTCCAAGCTGCGCCAAGGCGGCAGGACCCCCAGCCCAGCCCAGGACCCCCAGTAGAGCCCTCACCTCAGCGTGGAGGCCTGAGAACGTGAGGAAGGAGCTGTCCAGCACGGACGAGTCCAGGCAGCTGTCGATGTCCAGCACCTGCTGCCCGGCAGGTGTGGGGCTCGGGCTCCCAGCCACCTGCAGGACGACGGCAGTGGTCAGCGGGCGGCAGCTCAGACCTGCTCAGGACCTGGATGAGAAGCCACCTCCTCAGCAGACAGGACAGAGCCCGGTGCCATCTGACAGAATGTCCTAGAATGCTGGATATATGGGACATCTGCACCGTCCGTGATGGCAGCCCCTCGCGACGTGTGCCACTGAACACTTGACAGCAGACTGGTGCAGCTAAGGAACAGAGTTTTCAATTTCATTTTTTTTTTTCTTAGATGGAGTCTCGCTCTGTCACCCAGGCTGGAGTGCACTGGCGCAATCTCAGCTCACTGCAACCTCCACCTCCCGCGTTCAGGCGATTGTCCTGGCTCAGCCTCCTGAGTAGCTGGGATTACAGGTGCCTGCCACGATGCCCAGCTGATTTTTTGTATTTTTAGTAGAGACGGGGTTTCACTGTGTTGGCCAGGCTGGTCTTGGAACTCCTGACATCAAGTGATCTGCCCGCCTCCGCCTCCCAAAGTGCTGGGATTACAGGTGTGAGCCACCACGCCCGGCCAACGTTCCATTTTAATTAACTTAAATACGAGCAGCCACATGTGGCCTCTGGTTCCTGCCACGGACTCGGGAGCAACCCCTCCTGGTCGCGGCTTATGCGCCTTCTCTGTGTGCTGCTGGGGTTAGTTTGCATGTAACCTCTTGAGGACCCCACGTGTGCATTCCTAAGGGGTGCGGCCTCCCGTTTCCGTATGAATGGGAAGAGTTCCCACCTGCTGTATTCTTGGAAAGAGTCTGTGAAGGATTGGTGTTAATTCTTCCTTAACTGCTTAGAAAAATTCTATCGTGAAGGCTCTGAGCCTGAGCTTTTCTTTGTGGGATTTTTTTTTTTTTTTTTTGGAGATGGAGTCTTGCTCCGTTGCCCAGGATGGAGTGCAGTGGCGCAATCTCGGCTCACTGCAAGCTCCGCCTCCTGGGTTCATGCCATTCTCCTGCCTCAGCCTCTCGAGTAGCTGGGACTACAGGCGCCCGCCACCATGCCCAGCTAAGTTTTTGTATTTGTAGTAGAGACGGGGTTTCATTGTGTTGGCCAGGCTGGTCTCGAACTCCTGACCTCAACTCATCTGCCCGCCTCGGCCTCCCAAAGTGTTGGGATTACAGGCGTGAGCCACCGTGCCTGGTCCTTTTTAATGTTTTATATAGATGTGGTCTTGCTATGTTGCCCAGGCTGGTCTCAAACTCCTGGACTCAGATCCGCCCACCTCGGCCTCCTGAAGTGTTGGGATTATAGGCGTGAGCCACCACACCCGGCCCGGCCACTGGGAGGTTTCTAAGGGACTAACTCGGCCTCTTCACTTGCTATAGACGTACTGAGATTTTCTTCTGGAGTGCATTTCGGAAGCGTGCACAGCCGCGTGCTTGCTTCTTCTGAGTTATCTGGCGTGCTGCTGTGCAGTTGTCCGTGGCGTCTGCTTAGCGAAGTGCCCTCGTTCTTTCACGATTCTGGCTTCTGAGTCTTCTCTCTTTCTCCCTGGTCAGTCTAGCTAAGGCTGCTCAAGTGTGTTGACCCTTCCCGAGCAGCCTTTGGTGGACGCCTTTCCCTCTGGCTGCAGCACTGGAAAGTGGCGGCTCTGGGCATGGTGCCGAGGCCCAGGCTCCATTCCCAGTACTCCCCGGTCCCCAGCCCCAGCCCACCTTGCTCCGGGACATCCAGAAGAGAAAGAGGATGGCCAGGTAGACGGGATAGACAACCACGCTGGACACCAGGCCAACAGCGACTGTGTCGACGCTCAGCGGGCTCAGCCTGGACACATGCCCCGTGCTGTGTGGAGGAGAGGAGGCCACACAGGTGAGGCTGAGGGGCAGGAAGGGCTGGGCAGGAAGAGGCTGTCCCGACCCCTACGGCACCCACCTGTAGGCAGAGTCACCAACAGCCCCGTACCACACGGCGTTGGCGCCCAGGAAGAGGCAGATGAGGAGAACGCAGCAGGTGGCCCTCTGGATGCGAGTGAAACAGCTACGAGGCGGCCGGTCCCATATGGAGAGCCAGATGTGCTTGTCAAAGAAGCCGCACTGCAGCTCAGCCACCAGCAGGCGCCGGAAGCGCAACAGGGCTGCGTGACCTAGAAGGCAGGGAGGGCCGCACTGCAGGAGGCCACGGGGCAGGACCACCCTGCCCAACCTCCCACGGAGTGGGAACATGGAACGAGGCCTTACTCGCGGCCAGCACCTCCTTCTCCACCAGGCCCCCGTTGGCCTCCGTCTCCACCGAAAGCCAGTCATTGACCAGGAAGAAGGTGCTGTGTGCCGTCTGCAGGTCCCTGACGATGACGTGCTGCAGGAACCAGGCAGGGCTGAGCCCTGCAGAGGCGCGGGAGGGAGGTCAGGCTCGCAGGGCGCCCCAACGCGGGGGCAGAGGGGCAGAGCTTGGCAGGGTCCGCACAGACCTTTGTCGTGCCACACTCGGATCTTCCACACGCTACCCAGGCTGTGCGGGGTGGCGATCCGGAAGATGTCCAGGCTGTTGCGGTGGAAGGCTCTGTCGCCATCCAGGTGCCGGTGGCCGCTCCGGCTGTCCACCCCATACAGCATGATGCCCACGTGGGCCGTGGTACCTGGAGGGCAAGAGGGAGGGGTGGGAGGCTCGGTCTGCTGCCCAACACGTGTGGCATCCCAGGCAAGTCATCTCAGCTTTGGCCTCCGCGCACTCAAGGAGCCACACAGGCAGTCCCGGCTTTGCACGGCTCTGCCATACACGAGGAGCTGAGGTTACTGCAATTTGTCCAATAAACAGCAGGACCTCAAGGACATGATTAAGTTACATGGAAAGAACTGTAACTTGTGACATGCAAACATGGCTGCACACGCCTCAGTCCACACCACAACCAGTGACCCGCACTGCACACCTGTCCACGCCTCAGTCACGCCACAACCAGTGACCCGCACCACACACCCGTCCCTCAGTTCATGCATAGACTGCAAAGCGTGAAGCTGTGTCACCTCCTCTCCCAGTGACAGACCCAGGTGACAGTATTTTTTTTTTTTTTTTGAGATGGAGTCTTGCTGTGTCACCCAGGCTGGAGTGCAGTGGCGCAATCTCAGCTCACTGCAAGCTCCGCCTCCCGGGTTCACGCCATTCTCCTGCCTCAGTCTCCCGAGGAGCTGGGACTACAGGCGCCTGCCACCACGCCGGCCTAATTTTTTTGTATTTTTTAGTAGAGACAGGGTTTCACCGTTAGCCAGGATGGTCTCGATCTCCTGACCCCGTGATTTGCCTGCCTCGGCCTCCCAAAGTGCTCGGATTACAGGTGTGAGCCACCGCGCCCGGCCGACAGTTTTTAAAAGTAGGTAATCAAAAGAAAGAACTGGGAAATGAAGATAAAAGCAGCACGGAAATAAAAAATGGGAACACGGCCAGGTGTGGTGGCTCACACCTGTCATCCCAGCACTCTGGCAGGCCGAGGCAGGCGGATCACCTGAGGTCAGGAGTTCGCCTGGCTGACATGGTGAAAAATTAACTGGGTGTGGTGGCGTGCACCTGTACTCCCAGCTACTCAGGAGAATCGCTTAAGGGGAATCGCTTAAACCCAGGAGCTGGAAGTTGCTGTGAGCCAAGATCACGCCACTGCACTCCAGCCTGGGCAACAGAGCGAGACTCCGTCTCCAAAAAAAGAAAAACGAAAACAAAAAGGGAATGCCAGAAGGGCAATTCCAATGAAAGGAAAATAGAGGTATTGAAGAAACAGCCACGGGGAGGGTGCTGGCGCCTCCGTCTGAGAGACGAGCTATGCAGTCAGGATCGCGGGTGGATGCACGGTCTCCCACAGTGGTAGCGATGCTCATGTCACTTGTGGGGCCACGCTACTGTGCAGAATGTGGGCTGCCCACCCTGACTGACTGGCACCTACTTCCAGCTAGGAGCTGTCCTAGTCCTCAGGGACAGTGAGTGCTCACGAGGTCATTCCCAGGATGAACACACGAGCCCTTCACACAGCACTGCAAAAACTGCCTTGTTCTGACGCCTGCGATGAGACTCACTCCCAGAGGGTGCAACCAGCACAGCCAGTGAGAGCAGGGGAGGCCCTGCCACCCCGCCGCGCCCCTCACCTGAGCCCCGGCCCCAGCCTGTCTTGACGAGGATCTCGTACTTGAAGCGGCCCCGCTGCCCACAGAAGGGGATGGCGCGGCCCCGGCTGGCATCCAACTGGTCCAGCTTGTGCAGGATGGCGGCCATGACCATGTAGGTCACCAGGCACACAGCACATGTCAGCATGACGATGTAGTTTACATCCGCTGTCGGCTCCTGTGAGGACACAGCCGCCGGGCCCAGGAGGTCACGTGCAAGCTGTGCCTTCTCAGGATAGAGCCGAGCCCACCCAGGCCCTCCTCGACTCTGCAGAGGCTCCCAGGAGCACAGGGTCACTCACAGGAAACACAAAGCGTACATGGCTTGGGGGCACGAAGAGGCTGGCGCCGAAGGCGGTGAGGTGGCGGGTGAGGCAGACGGCCTGGCGGGGCGAGGTCTCCTCCAGGGGCAGCAGCCCCTCTGTCCGCCACACCACGTCCTCCTCGCTGAAGTACTGGCACAGGGACGTGTACAGGCCCACGGACACCTCCAGCGCCGACAGGCGGAAGTGGCTGGAGAGGTTCAGACGGTAACTCCCCACTGGGTCTCTGGTCCTGGGCAGGGAAGGGGCAGTGGACGTGAGCCCAGGCTCCGCCAGGTTGGATATCGGAGTCCCAGAGCCCATACCCGGTCCAGTCCCCTCGCTGCCTGCCGTCCCCACAGGGCCTGTAACCCGGGCAATGCTGACCCATGATGCCCTGCCCTGCCCTGCCAGGCCGGCCCGCAGAGCTCACCCCGGGGAAATGAAGAAGGTGTAGGGCCGGTGGTCGGCACCCTGGAGGGACTCTGGGCGGATCCTCCTGCTAGCCGAGCAGTTGTGCTCATTGGGCCGGGGCTCCGAGTGCAGGTAGACTGCCAGGTAGGGCTCGGGTTCCTCAGACAGGTAGCGGCCTGGGGCAGAACGCGCAGGTCACACGCCTGCCGGGAAGCTCAACCACCCGGGGGACACCCACGATGGCCCTCCTGAGCCCACCCTCTGCCACGGGCCTGAAAGGCCATAGGAGCCTCTGCACCAGAGCTGGCACCTGCTTCTCCGTGGCCCCCAGCTCCTCTCCAGCCAGGCCCCCAGCAGCCCATGAAACAGAAAGCAAATTTCACCAGAGACACCCATGGAAGCCCTACGAGAAACGCCTTCCCCCCAAGAACAAGGCCAGGGGGCCGCGTGTGCCTCACCCGCTGCACGCACCGTCCAGCAGCGTATAGTTGAGCTGCAGATGCAGCACGGCCGCAGGGTTGCTGCTGTCCAGGGTGACCACAGCACCGACGGAGGCCTGGGGCTGGACCACAACGGAGTTGGCAGAGCTGCGGTGGCCCCGGGCAGCCCAGTCCGAGTTGTTGGGCACCTTCACGGTGATGGCGCGCTCTGAGGCCAGCCGCTCGATGGGGATCTGGGCGCCGGCCTGTGTCTGGAACGCCATCGAGGCCACCTTGGTGGAGACGGTGTAGTTGCTGATATAGCCAAAGGGAAAGGGATTGGAGTCCACCAGAAAGATGAGCTGCACCACGTCACTGAGGTTAGCCGGGGCCCTGCTGAAAGCCTAGGGGATGGAGAAGTGGCAGCCAGGCCCTGGGGCGCCGCCATAGCACAGCAGGCTCCGCGGGTCCGAGCGCTTGCCCTGGGCCACGATCTCCTCGCCCGCCAGTGTCAGGGGCTCCTCGTTGAGCACGCGGGAGCGCGTGAGGATGCGCATGAGGGCAGAGGTCAGGTTGTAGGCCTGGGACGCCACCATCCGCGATGGTGACTCGGCTCCCAGCTCTGAGCGCTGTGGTGCCCGCACGTCTGAGCTGGCCAGGTGGATGAGGTCTCCTGCAGACAGACGTGAGGTCAGTGCAGAGACAGGGAGGCAGAGGGAGGGTGGGGGCAGGCAAAAAGGGGGAGCCGGAGGGTGGGGGCTGGGAGAAAGGGGGAACCTGAGGGGGCAGAGAGCGAGGTGCAGGCAGAAGAAAGGGGGAAGCTGGAGAGAGAGTGGTGGAGGGGGGAGGGGGAAGGGGATGGGGATGAGGACGAAGATGAGGGGGATGATGGGGAGAGGGAGGAAAAAGGAAGGAAAAGGGTAGAGAAAAGAGAAAGGGGAGAAGAGGAGGAGCAGGGGGAAGGGAGGGGAAGGGGGATAAGGGGATAAGGGAGGGGAAGGAGGATAAGGGGGATAAGAAAGATGAGGGGAATGGACAAAAGGACGGGGAGGATCGGGGGGGGAAATGGAGAAAAGGGGAGAGAGATGGAGAAAAGGGATGGTAATAGGGAAGGGGGAGGGGGAGGAGAATGGGAATTGGGGGAGGGGGATAAGGATGGGAATTGGGGGAGGGGGATAAGGATGGGAATTGGGGGAGCGGGATGAGGATGGGAATTGGGGGAGGGGGATGAGGATGGGAATTGGGGGAGCGGGATGAGGATGGGAATTGGGGGAGCGGGATGAGGATGGGAATTGGGGGAGGGGGATGAGGATGGGAATTGGGGGGAGGGGAGGGGGACGAAGATGGGATGGGGCAAAGGCGAGGCGGTTGTGGGGAGGAGGGAGGCAGAGGAAAGGGCGGCATGGGGCGGACGGGCCACGTGGGGCGGGCGGGTGGCGTGGGGCACGGGCCGCGGCACCTGTGATGTTGAGGATGCTGTCTCCGATGGCGGTGGGCGTCACGGTGCCCGCGGTGGTCTCTGCCTGCAGGATGCGCATCATGGCCTCCAGCTTGTGCAGCGTCTGCTTCAGGCACGAGCGGCATACGAGCTCCCTGCTGGGCCCCTGTGTGGAGCCAGCAGTGTCCAGCCCCGCTCCTGGCCCCACTCCTTGCACACGCCCTCCTCTCTACACGGGTCCTCACCTGGCTCCCACCCCCAGCCCTGCAGCTGGAGAGCCCACTTGACTGGACCCCCCCAGTCTCCTCACTAAGCATTTTCTGTGGCTCTGCATGACCCACGGCCTCCACTTGGGGACCACGTGATGCAGCCCACCGACCACACAAGGCACCTCTTCACATGAGAGGAGAAGGAGGGGAGAGGGGAGAGAGGAGAGGGGAGTGGAGAAAAGGGGGAGAGGAGAGGGGAGGGGAGAGAAGGGGGGAGGGGACAGGGAAGAGGAGAGGGGAGAGAAAGGGGGAGAGGGGAGGGGAGAGAAGGGGGAGAGGGGAGGGGAGAGAAGGGGGAGAGGGGAGGGGAGAGAAGGGGGGAGAGGGGAGGGGAGAGAAGGGGGGAGAGGGGAGGGGAGAGAAGGGGGAGAGGGGAGGGGAGAGAAGGGGGGAGAGGGGAGGGGAGAGAAGGGGGAGGGGAGAGAAGGGGGGAGAGGGGAGGGGAGAGAAGGGGGAGAGGGGAGGGGAGAGAAGGGGGAGAGGGGAGGGGAGAGAAGGGGGGAGAGGGGAGGGGAGAGAAGGGGGGAGAGGGGAGGGGAGAGAAGGGGGAGAGAGGAGAGGGGAGTGGAGAAAAGGGGGAGAGGAGAGGGGAGGGGAGAGAAGGGGGGAGGGGACAGGGAAGAGGAGAGGGGAGAGAAAGGGGGAGAGGGGAGGGGAGAGAAGGGGGAGAGGGGAGGGGAGAGAAGGGGGAGAGGGGAGGGGAGAGAAGGGGGGAGAGGGGAGGGGAGAGAAGGGGGGAGAGGGGAGGGGAGAGAAGGGGGAGAGGGGAGGGGAGAGAAGGGGGGAGAGGGGAGGGGAGAGAAGGGGGAGGGGAGAGAAGGGGGGAGAAGGGAGGGGAGAGAAGGGGGAGGGGAGAGGGGAGGGGAGAGAAGGGGAGAGGGGAGGGGACAGGGGAGGGGAAAGGGGGAGAGAAGGGGAGAGGGGAGGGGACAGGGGAGGGGAAAGGGGGAGAGAAGGGGGAGAAGGGAGGGGAGAGAGGAGGGGAGAGAAGAGGGAGGGGAGAGAAGAGGGAGAGGGGAAGGGAGAGAAGGCAGAGAGAAAAGGAGGGGAGGGGTAGAGGGGAGGGAAAGAGGAGGGGAGGGGAAGAGGAGGGGAGGGGAAGAGGATGGGAGGGGAAGAGGAGGGGAGGGGAAGAGGAGGGGAGGGGAAGAGAGAAAAGAAAAGGAGAGAGGAAAAGGAAGAGGAGGGGAGAGGAAAGAAAGGGGAAAGGAAGAAGAAAGGGGAGGAGAAAGGAAGGGGAAAGTGGAAGGGAAAAGAAGAGAAAAAGAAAAAAGGAGGAGGGGAGGAAAGGAGGAGGAAGGAAAAGAGGGGAGAAGGGAAGGGAGGAAAACCGGGGAGAAGGGAAGGGAGGAAAGAAGGAGAGAAAGGGAGGGAAGAGAGGGAGAGAAGGGGTAGAAGTGAGGGGAGAGAAGGGGGAGGGGAGAGGGGAGGGGAGAGAAGGGGAGAGGGGAGGGGTCCGGGGAGGGGAAAGGGGGAGAGAAGGGGAGAGGGGAGGGGACAGGGGAGGGGAAAGGGGGAGAGAAGGGGGAGAAGGGAGGGGAGAGAGGAGGGGAGAGAAGAGGGAGGGGAGAGAAGAGGGAGAGGGGAAGGGAGAGAAGGCAGAGAGAAGGGGGAGACAGGGGAGGGGAGAGAAGGGGGAGAGAGGGGAGGGGAGAGAAGGGGGAGAGAGGGGAGGGGAGAGAAGGGGGGAGAGGGAAGGGGAGAGAAGGGGGAGAAAGGAGAGGGAAGAGGAGGGGAGGGGAAGAGGGGAAAGGGGAGGGATGAGGAGGGGAGGGGAAGAGGAAAGGGGAAGAGGGGAGGGAAGAGGAGGGGAGGGGAAGAGGAGGGGAGGGGAAGAAGAGGGGAGGGGAAGAGGAGAGGGAAGAGGAGGGGAGAAGAGGAGGGAAAAAGAGGGGAGGGGAAGAAGAGGGGAGGTCAAGTCAAGAGGGAAGAGGAGGGGAGAAGAGGAGGGGAGAAGAGGAGGGGAGGGGAGGAGGGGAGGGAAAGAGAAGGGGAGGGGAGGAGGGTAGGGAAAGAGGAGGGGAGGGGAGGAGGGTAGGGAAACAGGAGGGGAGAGGAGGAGGGGAGAGGAAGAAGGGAGGGAAGAGGTGGGGAGAAGAAGAGGGGAGGGAAGAGGTGGGGAGAGGAAGAGGGGAGGGAAGATGTGGGGAGAGGAAGAGGGGAGGGAAGAAGAAGGGGAGGGGAGGAGGGTAGGGAAAGAGGAGGGGAGGGGAGGAGGGTAGGGAAACAGGAGGGGAGAGGAGGAGGGGAGAGGAAGAAGGGAGGGAAGAGGAGGGGAGAAGAAGGGGGCAAGGGGAGGGAAGGGGGAGGGGAGGGGTTAGGGGAGGGAAGGGGCAGGGGAGGGGCTAGGGGAGGGAAGGGGGAGGGGCAAGGGGAGGGAAGGGGGAGGGGAGGGGTTAGGGGAGGGAAGGGGCAGGGGAGGGGCTAGGGGAGGGAAGGGGGAGGGGAGGGGAGAGTGGAAGGCACAGAACAGCATCTTCTTAGTCCCTCCCCACATCTGGGCCCCTCTTTACACCCTGGGTCCCCCGAGAGGCACCCTGCGTTCACACAGGACAGCAGAAAGGCTGAGGCTACTGAAGCAGGTCAGAGACCGAGGAACGCCATGGCATGAAGGAGCCCAGGCTGGAGGCTCAGCTCCTCGGCCAAGCTGCCCGTCTGCCCTGGGGGGCTGAACCCAGTACCCTGGCAGGCATGCGGGGCGGGGTGAGCATGTGGGGCCATCCTACCATGCACTGGGCCAGCGCAGCAGCGATCTGCTGGATGTCATCCACAGTGTGGACCCTCAGGGACACCAGAGTCTCCGTGATGTTCTTGCGTATCTGGGCTCGGCGCTGCCGCTCGTGCTTGGGCTCTGCCGCCACGTCCAGGGCCCGCTCGTACTGGGGCAGGCAGGCGGCACAGCAAGCTGTCAGCAGGGCAGGAGACCGGCAGGAGGCCAGCAGATGCCCACGACTCCCGGGGTGCAGTTACGTGCTAGATGCTGTGTGATGTGGGCATTGACCCGCAACACTGAGCTGTTTCTTCATGGGCAAAACAGGGTAAGCACATGGGCCCTCCTGGGCGGGGGCTGCATTGTGGAAAGCAGACGCCGGAGAGGGCCCGGTGGGTGTGGCTGCTGGGAGCGGAACGTCGGGGTGCTGCTTCAGGGTCACTGGGATTTATCTCTGGGGCCCGGGATAAGCCCTCCGCAAAGCTCCAGGCAGGGGTACAGGTCTTGGTCCCCAGCACGCATGCAGCAGATGTGAGGTCCCCTGCCAGGCTGCACTCACCTCGTTCAGGACGGTGACCAGGGCCAGCGAGTACTCGATGACGTGCTGGGGATCGGCCTGCCGCAGCAGCCCCGGGAGCACACTAGCGGTGAGCCCGTGCAGCCAGACTGTGAGCCCCATTGCGCTGCCGTTGGGCTCTGGGAGGGTGATGGCCAGAGACCTACGAGCAGAGGGGGGTGGTGAGCAGGTGGCAGTCTCGGGGGCGCCCTCCCACGGCCTGGCTCACCTGTTGAGGGCGACCACAGCGGCTCCCAGCTGGTCCTGCACCACCACGGCCAGGCCCACCTCGAAGTGTGGCCTGAAACCCGGGGGCAGCACGGCTCCGTAGCCGGAGAGGCTGCCCTTGTAGACACAGAACTCCTCGCAGTGGCCCTGGCGACAGCGCTGCAGCAGCAGGGCGTACACCAGCGGGGCGCCAGCATCCTCCGCGTCATGCCAGCCTGAGGGACGGTCCCCATGGCATCACGGGAGGGCTCCGTGACGTCACAGTCGGGGGATCCCGCTGCTCCCCCTAAGCAGGCCTGTACTCACCCGTGCATTCGAAGTGCACCTTGGTGGTGAGGGCGTGCACAGCGCCCAGTGGGAAGAGGCGGCAAGAGCCCCCCAGCGGCGGGCGGTTGGGGGACAGGGGGATGGAGGCGCAGCCCTCCTCCTCGCCAGAGCGGCCCAGCACCGTCAGCGTGAAGGTGTATCCCTCGCCGTCCCGCAGCACGCCCCGCCGCAGCACCAGTCACATGCCTGCGCTGCCCGTGGATGTGGTGGTCTCATCCAGCACCAGTGTCTTGTTGCTGAACGTACGTGCAGCCCACCGCTGCAGGCAGAAGGGGTGGTGAGGGGGCGCAACCCTCTGCCCTGTCAGCCCCACTTCTGCCTGCAGGCCCCGTCCCCTCGGCCATGGGACCCATCCCCAGCCCGCCCACACCCCGCTCAACACTCACCCCTCGCTTGGAGCCGCTGCTGCAATTGAGGCAGCGGCCCTCCAGGTACACGTAGGAGCTGCGGCTCACTTCGTACACGGCCTGTGCCTTGCAGGACACACACTCCAAGGACACAATGGGCACCCGGCCACTGCGGATCAGCACCTGGCGTGGGAGTGGGGTTACCTCCAACACAGGTCTATTTGGCCTGCTGGAAGGTCTGGGGGACCCGTGGAGGATGCTGCTCCCAAACTCCAGGTTTCCCAGGGGCCTGGCCACTGCCGGTGAGCTCACCCCCTCCCAGGATACTCATCCGGTTTGCCACCTTCCAACCTGGGCGGCGGAAGGGCATACACAGGGCAGAGGACACTGGGGTGTGCGTTCTGGTGTACTGGACCCAGCTGGACCCTGGCAGGAGGCAGGCAATGCTCACTGAGGGCCCCTGGGGGGATGCGTGTGGGAACAGACGTATGTGTGGGTGTGAGGACCGCAGTTGCCACGTAGGCCTGACTCACAGACTCCTGCAGCCCTTAGCCAGGGCCTGGGTCAGGAGGCTGAGCCGGGATGGAACCTGCTCCCACACCCTCCCCTCAGACGACCCCTCTGGGCAGACCCCCAATCAGGCCCGTTGAGGGAAGCAGGGACTGGGGAACAGACACCCACTCTGGGGCACCAGCAGGCCCCGCCTGACAGCAGCAGGAGCAGCCACCACGGGCTCAGGGTCACCAAGCCTCCTGGCCGGTCCAGAGTGGGGAGCGTGAGGGTGAGAACCGGCCCACCACATCCAGCAACAGGGACATGGGCTGGGGACAGTGGCTGCCTCTGGGGTGGGAAGGGGCTCTTCCTCACTGTTGGTATTGCTGGGGGACTGTGTAGCTTTTGTCACTAGAGCATATGTGGCTTGAAGACTGTATGTGGAACTGTGGCAGGTTTGGAAGGAAGCAAAGCTGAAGCAGGCTGTCGTGTTACGTAGAATTTGCATCAGAAACAGAGAGGGAAGAGCGCGCGGCCTCCACCAGCACTAAAACACGGAAAACAGTAGATGAGCAGGGAGGCTGGGCTGTCCAAGGCAAGTGGCCGAGGGGCGGGCGGCACCCACCGTCTGGTTGGTGGCCTCCTCCTTGCGGCCGGCCTTCCACACGGTGAGGCTGAAGGTGTACTCCACGCCAGCCGCCAGCCGTTCCCGTGGAATGGTGACCGTGCTGCTCCCGCGGGGCCCAAAGTTCAGCGCACACCCGCCAGCCTCCCTCTGCAGGCCGAGAACAAGGGGCGACGTGGCCCGAGAACCCCATCCAGTTTTAAAGCAGAGCCCGGCCCAGGAGACAGCGCGGGAGACCCCCTCCCCATGCTGGGACGGGGCCCACCAGGCACTGAGGACGGGCCAGCCCTGGTGGCAAGCTGGGTGTTCTCTGGGCTCATGGGTGTGGACGGGTGAGGGGCATGGAGGACGGCCCTGCCACGCACTGACCTGTGTCGAAGCCACACAGGCCCACTGGAAACTGAGCGGCGTCTGGTCGCCATCCTCCAGGTTGGGGTCGTAGGACTCGCTCCCATCCAGCACCAGGTCCTGTGTGTCTGACCACACGCGGTATGAGCCACCCTCAGTGATGGGCACCAGGCGCTCGGGGGCCACCGTCACATTGGCCTGGATGCTCCGTGCCAGTGGCGTGTCCCCAAATGACACGACAAACACAAAGCAGTAGTGCCCCACAGGCAGCGCCAGCCGCGGCAGCACCAGCTGAGGCCGGCTCACGTCCACGCCGGGCAGGGCCACACGCGCCGGGCACCCCGGCTGGTGGGCCCGAGCCAGATGCAGTGCTCGGCTGTGGCTGGGTGTGGCTCCCCGGGCAGCCAGTTCTGGCAGCTCTCCAGGCTGAAGGCCTCGCCCTGCGGCGCTGGGCCCACCTCCACCCGCTGCACAGTCGAGAAGCCGATCCACACGTCTAGGCTCCTGGGGGCGGGTGTGGGATGCCAGGGGGCTCAGGGCACTCCTCCATCCTCCCACCCTCACAGCAGCCCGCTGGGAGCCCCATCACTGTCCCCCTTTCCAGATGGGGAAACTGAGGCTCAGAGCCTGGAGAGCAGGGCCCACCACCCCAGGCTCACAGCAGCACCCACCCACGGGGCCTGTGGGCACCGGCAGGGATCCCCGCGCAGGCCACCTCCCGTATGGCGTGCCCAGGAGTGTCCGGAGGCTGCCCCCAGCTCGCGTCCACCTCTGCATCTGCAGAGCTGACAGGAACGGCCCCACCGGCCGGCGCCACCTGCTCACCAGGGCCGGCCCAGCTCCCACCTCCCTCCTCCTGAGACTCCCCAGCCGCAGGCTCTGCCCCACTGCTTCAGAGATCTCCCAACCTATGGCCCCTCGGGGGGTGGGGGCAGGCACCTGGTGACCCGGGAGACCAGGAAGCGCTGCACGGCGGGACTGTCCACCATTGCCAGGGCGGCCCCGGCCCAGGCCCGACACTGCTCCTGCGCCTGCAGCCAGGCCGCCTTCTCCACCACCAGGCGGTAGCAGTGCCCGTTGCCAGAGAAGATCTCCGTGTCCGAGGGGCAGAGCGGGTGCACCGCTGGAGACCGGTGGGAATGAGGGTGTCAACGGTCAGTGTGGGCCCAAGACGGGGGTACCAGGCTCTGCCCCATCTGGATGGCCCTGGGGAGGAAGGGGAGTGGGCAGCAGACACTCACCTCGGGCCGGCTCCTCGCCCAGGGCCACGATGCTGTAGGCAGCCTCCAGGCCTGAACCACCGCGGTTCTGGATGCTGAGGTCGAGGCTCTCGTCACTCTGCACCGAGGACGGGCACACGAGCTCCAGGGCGGCAGGTGCCGCTTCCACCTGCACGTCTGTCCCCAGCAGGGCTGAGCCGGCCCCCAGGGCCAGCACGGCCGTCACATGATAGCGCCCAGGCAGCACATAGCGATGCGAGGCAGCCGGCCCAGCGGCATCCACCTCGGGGGAGCCGTCTCCGAAGTCCCAGCGTGTGGCAGTGACAGGGAGCGGGGCAGCGATGTGGAAGGCTGCTAGCTGGCCGGAGGCCAGGGGTCCGTGGGGCCCCACCAGGGCGGCCCCTGGGGAGGCAGGGAAGACGTGCTGGAGGAGGGTGGGGCCCCTACAGGTGGGGGCAGGAGGCGGCGGGGGGCCGGAGCAGAGGGACAGGCAGGCGAAGGAGGCACTAGAGGGCTGGGCCGCCCCACACAGGCACCAGCCCTGCTCCGAGAGGGCTGCGAGGCCCTGGCCGGTGGAGAAGCAGAAGGCGCTGCAGGCCTCTGGCTGAAGCAGGCCTTCGTGGGCAGCTGAAAAGGACACTGCTGCCACGGTGCCTGAGCTGTTGTCAGGGAGGCAGGCGACATACTCCTCACCTAGAAGAGGCAGCCACTGGACCCCGGGTTCTGCTCCTCCTGGCTCCACCCCACACACCCCCATCCGCCCGCCGCACTCACAGGCTCCCATGCTGTTCCCTTGGCCCGGAGCCCCCCCCCAGAGAGGCCTTCCTGAGCCCTGCCCAGTGTCTGCAGGGCCCAGGTCCCACCTGGCTGGGAAGGACAGAGCTGGCCCCACCCACCGGCACTCACCACAGCCACTGTCCAGCAAGGGGATGCCAAGCAGAGGCTGGCCAGCCAGGGAGTCAGGCCCAGCACACGTGGCTGCCTCGGGCTGCACCACCCGCACCTGCTGCTCCTCCGCCCATCGCGGCAGCCACGCCAGGCCACAGTCACACTCAAACGGGTTCCCACTCAGGTTTCTGCGGGGCAGGGGCAGGTGTTGGGGACCAGGTCTGGTGGGAAGGGTCTATGCCAGCCCCCCACTGGCAACCAGGCCCTGGAGCCACCCTGACAGCACTGCCTCCCCTGCCCCAACCAAGCCGGCACTGGGGGGCTCCAAGCAGGTAGTGAACTGCCCCCAGGATCTGGTCTCAAGCCTGGAAGGGGACACGGACCAACTGGGAGGGCAGAAGGGATACTGGGGGCCTGGGGTCCAGCCAGGACCCCACCCAAAGAACCACAACTTACATTTCACTTAAATTAAATAAATTAGCAAATATTCCTTCTTCTAACGTAGAAATCTTGTTGTTGCTTATATCCCTGGAAGAGAGGGGGGATTCGGCAAAGCTGACGGAAGCCCCCACAGCTGAGCAGCAAGAGGCGGTGCCGCCAGCCCACCCGGAGTGAGCCCCGCATGCTGGCACGACTGGGGGACACTCACAGCTCTGCCAGCGCCGAGAGGTTCGCCAGGAGCCCAACGTCCAGCGCCCGGAGCAGGTTGTGGGAGACGTCTCTGAGGAGTGAATGGCCGTGGGTCAGGGCCAGAGCCCTTAGTAGGCCAGAGGCCATCCCTGGGCCCATCCCACACATTTCCAGCATCCCCAAGCTAAGGCCTCCCACCCTTGAGCTCCCCACTCCCAGAGGTCAGGAGGGGCCTTTCTGATGGAAGACCCAAATGAACACTCACCTGGGGAAACCAAGCCAGGAGAGGCCTGGGGGCCTCAGCCCTCTGCACCCATCTCAGCCCTATGCCGAGTGCCACCTGGACCTGTCCACCCAGGGCCAGGAAGGGCACGGACCCCCAACCCATCCCACGCAGGGCCAAGGCCCCCCATCCCCTGTCCACAGTCCCCCACAGAGCCAAGGTCTCCCAACCCTGTCCACAGCCCCCACACAGACTCGAGGGGCCCCCATCTCCTGTTCTGAACCCAACAGGGTGGTCCCACTGTGGGACCACAACCAGGTATGACTGTGTGAGAAGCAGGCTCACTACCAGGCTACCAGGGAGCACAGGGGAGCAGGCGCCACCTTGAGGCATAAACCCAGAGAAACAAGACCTCCAAGACGGCCAGGCACTGGGGCACACGCCGGTAACACAGCACCGTGGGAGCTGAGACGGAAGGATCGCCTGAGCCCAGGATTTTGAAACCACCCTGGGCAACACAGTGAGACCCCGTATCTACAAAAAAATACACATTAGCCAGGCATGGCGGCATGCGCCTGGGGTCCCAAGTACTCGGGAGGTAGAGGAGAGAAAAATCACTTGAGCCCAGAGAGGTCAAGGCTACAGGGAGCTGAGATCGCATCACTGTACTCCAGCTGGGGTGAAACGGCGAGACTCTACCTCAAAAATAAATAAATACATACATAATTAATAAATAAAACATCAAAGACCAGCCGACCTAACTCCATCTAAAATACACAACTTCTACGCAAAATATAAATAAAATTAGAAAACAAACTACAATCTCAGAAAAGCACTAGCAACTTAGACGACATACTAAAGGCCAAAAATACCCTCCTGACACACAGCTAATAAAGAAAAAGTCAACTATTCCAGTTAAAAAGAAGAAAAGGAAACTGGCTGTGGTGGCTTATGCCTGTAATCCCAGTGCTTTGGGAAGGCCAGGAGTTTGAGACCAGGATGGACAGCATAGCAAGACCCCATCTCTACAAGGAAAAAAAGAATCAGCCAGGCATGGTGGTGTGGAGCTGTAGTTCCAACTACTCGGGGGGCTGAGGAAGAAGGATCGCTTGAGCCAGGGAGGTCGAGGCTGCAGTGAGCTATGACTGTGCCACTGCAGTCCAGCCTGGGCGACAGAGCAAGACCCGGTCTCGAAAGAAAAGAAAGAGAAAGCAAGAAAAGAAAGATGGCTGGGCACGGTGGCTCACTCCTGTAATCCCAGAACTTTGGGAGGCCAAGGTGGGTGGATTATGAGATCAAGAGATCGAGACCATCCTGGCCAACAGGGTGAAACCCCATCTCTACTAAAAATGCAAAAATTAGGTGGGCGTGGTGGCGGGAGCCTGTTAGTGCCAGCCACTCTGGAGGCTGAGGCAGGAGAATCACGTGAACCCGGGAGGCGAAGGTTGCAGTGAGCCAAGATCACGCCACTGCAATCCAGCCTGGTGACATAGCGAGACTCCATCTCAAAAAAAAAAAAAAAAAAAAAAAAAAAGAAAAGAAAGGGAGGAGAGAGAGAAGAAAAGGAGAAGGGGAAAGAGCCGGGTGCAATGGCTCCTGCCTGTAATCCCAGCACTTTGGGAGGCTGAGGCGGGCGGATCACCTGAGGTCAGGAGTTCAAGACCAGACTGACCAACACGGAGACACCCTGTCTCTACCAAAACTACAGAATTAGTTGGGCGTGGTGGCAAGCACCTGTAATTCCAGCTACTCAGGAGGCTTAGGCAGGAGAATCACTTGAACCCGGGAGGCAGAGGTTGCAGTGAGCTGAGATCGCGCCCCTGCACTCCAGCACCCCATCCTGCAAGAGTGAAGCTCCATCTCAAAAAAAAAAAAAAAAAAAAGAAAAAGGACGGAGGGCGAGAGGGAGGGAGGAAAGAAAGAGAAAACTCCAAAAACAAAAAAAGAAAAACCAGGCAATTAAAAGAAGCACAATTGGTCACAGCCATGGGAAAGACATCCCATGTCAGCAGTCAGTGAAGAAAAGGCAACAGAAACCAAAGGGCGGCAGCATGTCTCTCTTTTCAGAGCTGCCCGAGTTACAAACCAGGTCCTGGAGCTGGTGATGTGGAGGTGAGAAGCCAGAGAGCTGGGGCAAACCGAGAACTCCACCTCCCCTCGGCCTCAAGCACCTCGGGGGTCACCCTGCCGCCCACCCTGGGCACCCCTCCTGGTCCCACGCACTCCCAGTAGTGCTCCTGGCACAGGGACTGTGGCTCCGCAGGTCTGCACACCACCCCCCTGCTCCCCAGGACCCCGAGACCTCACCTCCTGCCACGGGCCTCTACTTCCCCAGGTGTCACCCTCCCCACGAGTGACCCAGCAGGTGCCTCTGCCTAGACTTGCTCTTCCCAGCAATGACCACCCGGCAGCCAGGCCCAAGCCGGGGTGGCCTCCATCCCTGAGCACCCGCCCAGCCCCTACCGGCCTCCATCCCTGAGCACCCGCCCAGCCCCTGCCAGTCCCTGCCACCCTCCATCCCTGAGCACCCGCCCAGCCCCTGCCGGCCTCCAGCCCTGAGCACCCGCCCAGCCCTGCCAGCCTCCAGCCAGCCCTGCTCCTCCCACCGGAGCTCCGCTCCCGCAGCAGCCTACCCGGCGCAGGAGAGACGCACACACAGGCTGCCTGGTGGGGCCCGGGGCCAGGGCAAGGGCTTGAAAAGGGAACCAACAAAGAAGGGGACCAGAGGCCACCCCAGCTGAGGGGACAGAGCAGCCGAGGCCTTCTCCGTGCCAGGAAGCAGCCCCAGCCACGGACGGTGGAGCCGAGCCCTCACCTGGGCTGGGCGCCCAGACAGATGAGACGCTGGGCACTGGCTCCCGGAGCTTCTCGTTCCATCTGCGGATGGAGGGCACGGTTGGGGGTGCAGTTCCCTTCCCCCAGGGGCTGTGGGACACTCAGAGAGCCTATGCCTGTGCCCTGGGCTCCGGGAGGGGAGAGGATCTGGGGGCCAGGCACACAGGGAACGGCCCCTCCGGCAGGGCCACCGCTTCCCCCCTAACTGAACCCTGCTTCTCTGCCGTCCCCTCCTCTACACCAAGGTAGGGACACAGGCTGAGGTGCTCCCCACTGCCCATAAGGATGGGTGGGCCCACAGCCACGCTGCTAGGCATCCACACCATCCCCGCCGTGGGGTGGGACAGGGTGGCGGCTGGGAGAACAGCAAGAGGCCATTCACGAGACAGGGTGAGGCAGCTGGACTCACACCCGCTGCCCAAGCACCATGCCCGAGGGGGAACACTGTGCTGTAAGGAACTGCAGTTAGACCTGAGGAGGGACTTTTCAGCGGCTGCGGCGGCAGCAGAACCAATGCTTTAGGGAGAATGAGGCACCAGGACCCGAGGCGCAGCAGCCCTAAGGGGCGAGAGGTGCTGCAGAGGCCACGGTGAACACAGGCAGGCCCCCTGGAAGGGACACAGCTGTGAAACTGCCCCGGGGAGGGGCACAGGCATGGGGAGCAGCTCCCACCCAGGCCACGGGAGAAAGGAAAGAAGGAAAAGCCTGAAGATGTTTGGCCACACCTCATTTTCTGGAAAATCCATCAAGAGTGGCTGCTGCTGGGAGCTGACAAGCCAGGGCAGGGGTGGGGGCAGGTCAGCCGAGGACCCCAGAGCCCCCCCGCTCCCCACCCATCCCACTGTGAACCAGGCCTGGGGGTGCCATGGACACTTCTTCCATGCCAGCAGGCAGCCCCGCCTGTCACCGGTTCTGGCCATGCACTCCCTGCGTGCCAGGCTCCAGGCTGGCTCCTTCTCCCGGCCCTCACCCCAGCCCAAGGCCCACAAATGCAGCAAGGTCTTGGGGACCCCGCTCGGCCGAGCTCCCAGGGCCCAGGGCAGTGGAATGAAGCTGGGGCCCAGACAGGAGCCAGGTGCAGTCCCCCAGCCCCCAGGGTGTGGAAGCGTCTGCCCTGGGTAGGACTCAGGTGCCCCCTGGGTGTGGAAGCATCTGCCCTGGGCAGGACTCAGGTGTGGGCTTCAGGGACAGGGACCAGTACAGGGATCCCCGTGGAGTCCTCACCCCGCTTGCTCCCGTACTTTTCCACGTCTGCATCTGCTTTTGCCATCGCCGTTCTGGGGGAACGCCAAGGCCTAGCCAGGCAGCCTCGCGCCAGCCCCCCCACCCCGCCCCTCGGGCTTCCTCTGCACCCGCCAGGTGACATCATCGCCGCTGTCTGATGCCCTGCCCCCACGTTCTGGTTCCCTGCAAGGATGGGGGACACAGCAGGGCCCAGGCATCTGGCAGCAGGACCACCGAGCGGCCCTAAGCCCAGGCAAGAGCACAGAGCAGAGTGCAGGGTCCTCTGGGGTCCCAAGCCCTTGCTGCCCCACGCACTCCTCACCCCAGTTCCTGCTATAAGCTGGAAGGGTGGGAGCCAGGTGCACAGGGACAGCCTGATGGGTGCCCGAGGGCCAGGATGTGCTCCCAGGGAAGCTGAAGCCAAGCTTGTTGGGAGGAGTACACCCCCATGGGGGGCAGGACGGTGCCCCAGCCCCGGGACACAAGGGGCCCCCAGCGCCGAGCGTCCGATCTGGAAGGCAGGAGGAGTTAGGACCATCCTAGCGTGGGACCCAGCGGGCTCCTTAGCGGCTGCTGGGGCACCACTGGGTGGAGAAGGAAGTCCCAGGTGTGTGGCCACAGTACGGGTCTTCACCCCTTCCCAGCACCCTTGCCAATCCTGGAGCAGGAGCAGCAACAGCAGAGGGTGTGGCCAGGCCTGGAGGCTGCCCCTCCACACCCCTGTCACAGGTGGGGCCACGTCCCAGGGCTGTGGGCAGCAGGGCCAGCCTGCCGGCCCGAGGTATCTGACACGTGTCTCATGCTGCAGCGGGTCTGCCCGCCACCCGGGCGTGTGAACCCCAGGTCGGGCCCCCTCGCCCTGGAGCCTCGGCCCCTCAGGGGTGTTCCCAGCCAGGCGCTGGCTCTCCTGCCCTCCCCCTGGGCTCTGCCCACAGTTGGCGCGAGGGTGGGTGAAGCCTGAGGCTGGCAGGGCCCGGGAAGTCTTGGGGCTGGGCCTTCTGCCCCACAGGCGCTCCTGGGCCGGGGGAGCCGGGGTCGGGGCGTGCAACAGTGGGACTGAGAACTTCCCTGGGTGTGGGGCAGCTCCCGGGGCCCTCCCAATCCACAACAGAGGGAATGGCCCCAGACAAACCAGACCTGCCTCAGAGCCTCACACTCAGAGCTGAGTGCCCCAGGCGCCCATTTCCCAGACCAGATGCTGAGTGGGGTCTGGGGGCCGGACGGAGCCCCCAAAGAAACATCTGCACATTCCAGACGCGTGTGGTCAGCGGCGGGCGTGTGCCAGGCCCGGCACCCCTGCCCGCGCTGGCCGCCTCACTGGAAACTGGGCTGGGGGGACCGGCTCGGAGGGGCCACCTGCGGAGCTTATGTAACCGCTCCTCCCTCGGCAGGGGCAGGACAGGACGCCAGACCCAGGGAGGCCCCATGCCCCCTGCCAGGCCCCGTCCTCTCCTGGAGGAGCCGGTTCCCCTCCGCCCAGCAAGAGGACCCCCAGGCCCGTCCCTCCCGAGAGCAGGCCCAGGGTGAGGAAATGGGGTGCAGTGTGGGCGCTGGAGAGGACAGGGGACAGGCAGCAGTGCCACCCCCACTGTGGCCCCTTCCTCGCTGGGCCAGCCGAGCCATGACCTCTTCTGTTTCCCTCTGCGCTGTGCTCCTTTCTATTTAAGGAGAGTGAGGCGGCTTCCAGGGCCGGAAATGATCCTGTTTAAATTAACAGGCTGCAGTTTGGGACGGTGCTCATTTGAAAAAAAACAGTGCAGCCCCGGGCTGGGCAGACGGCTGCTGGCTCCGCCTACCACTTCCATGGGGAGGGCCAGGGAGGCCGGCCACAACCCTGGCCCCACGAGGGGTGGGGGTTGCAGCCTCTGATAGAGGACGAGGCTGCCAGGCCCCAGGCAACAGAGCCCTGCACGAGGTTCTCTGGGTCCCGGACACGGGGTGTGAGACTAGCCGGGGAGCCCCAGGCTCAGCGGCATTCTGTCCTTACAGATCCCTCCCATGGCTCAACTGTTCCCAGGATGAGACGCCGGGGGTGACATGGGCAGCCTCAGGTCCTCCAGGGACCCACAGGCAGGCACAGGGATGGAGACTCCGGCCTCGGAGGCTGAACGAGGGAGATGAGAAAGGGGAGTCTGCGATGTCCTTGCCTACACGGATGGAAAAACACAGCCAGCTCAAAAAGGGCCGTTTGGAGACAAGCCCACCTGTGGGTGTAGGAAGGAGAGCGCTTCATACGTATGCCACCTGCCGCTGGGGTCGGGGCCACCCTTCCAGTTCAAGGGGAGAATGAGGGCCGGCTCCTGGTGCCCCTGCACACAGCTGACATGGAGCCAGGCGTTGTGACCCCCTTGCATCCCTCTCCACTCCCACCCTTCACAGCCTGGGTGGGCAGGTGCTGCACTGACCTTATGCTCCTGATGGGCACAGAGGCTCAAGAGGCCCTCCTCCTCCCCCAACACCATCCCCCAAACACCTCCCCGGGCAGCCAGCAGGGTCCAGAGTGTCAATGGAGGAAGCCAAGGTAGGAAGAGGGTGGTGGGGGGGGCCAAGCAAACTGGCCATCTGCGCCCGGCTGTGCGGGCACAGCAGTGCCCTGGAGAGGGCAGCAGCACAGATCCAGCGGGGCAGCCGGAATCCCATCACCCACTCGGCTGTGGGCACAGCCAATGATGGCACGAGCCATCCTGAGGCCAGGGCCACGATGCACAGTGGACGGGCTCACAACCCGGAGCCCCTGTACTCCCACAGCTGTGACGTTCCCTGGGCATGGGCTTGCCCCAGCGCTGGCCTCATTCCTGCCTCAACCAGAAGGAAGAGCTGGCTTCCGCCTCTGCCTGGGCACAAAGCCCTTTCCGAGGTGGCCTGACAGAAGCCAGCCTGTCTTCAGATCATGGCGCTGCTAAGGTCAGGAACGCCAGGCTGGGCCAGGGCTGGGCCTTGGGAGCTGCAGGGAGAAAAGGACCCAGCCCGCCTCAGCCCCAGATGTAGCCCTTCTCCTGCCACCAGTGCCTGGGCACCCCGGCCCCTAGGCGAGGACAGCTGCCAAGCCATGAAGAGCGAGGTGTTCTGGGAAAGGGCGTGAGCTGCATTTTCCAGCTGCGCTCACTCTGCAGGGAGACTGTGACGCCCCCGCCGCTGTGCCCGCAGACGTGCCCGGCCTCAGCCAGCTGGAGCGCAGGCAGCAGAGTGCAGGCCAGGCCCAGACGGCAGCGGGCTGTTTTCATTCCAGGGTGCTTGGCGGGCTGGGCTGCCGTGGCCACTGCAGAGCTCCAGAAAAGAACACGTGTGTCTCCCTCCAAAGTATGTTCCTCGCTGGAAAGCAGATCCCAGGCAGGGTCTCCCCCACGAGCAGGGGGAGAGGCACCCCAAGGTGGGGGAGCGAGGGCAGTGGCAGAACCACCCCATACCCTAGGGGACCCAGGGAGGGGCTTGCAGATGCGGGACCCACATTTGGCAGCGGTGCCCGGCCACTGTCACGAGATGGTGGCCAGCGCATCACCCACACGTGGGCCAGGATGGCAGAGGAGATCCACAGAGATGGCTCCAGCAGGAGGCCCTCACAGAGATGCCCTGGCCTCAGAAGAGCCAACAGAAAGCCGGGAAGGGGGACGTCGAGGCTCAAGCTTGGCACAACCTCCCCAAAGCTCCCAAAGGCTCTTGGTGCCCACCAGCGACAGCGCACACCGCCACCACCTAACAGCAAGGATGCAGCAGGGTCCGCACGTCAGGGCGGGCACTGAGCGGAACTCAGGCAGTGCCACTCGCCAGCTTACGTCAAAAGAACAAAAGGAGTGAGGACGATACTCGCGGCTCTGCCAATACTTCCCAGCCCCGCACGTCTCACACACACCAGAACGCGTCAAAAGGCACCAATGGGCAAACACCCAGAGGTAGGCACAAGCAGGAGTAGGCCGGGTCTTGTGAGCCCCTACAGCCACGCGGCCCTGCGCTGAAGGCACCGAGGCTGGGTGCTGAGGGGTCCATAAGAGTCCACCCGCCCAGGCTGCACTGGCTCCCGTCGTCCAGTGTCCGGTCTAAGCACAGGCACAGTGTCTGGCTCTCACCCTCAGGCTGTTACACTCTGCTCTGTGGCAGGGCAGGTCTCACAGTGCATGGAGGACAGGGGAATGGGCCCCCGGAACCCCTGAGGGAACCGACAGAGCTACTTTAACAAGGTATGATTGTTGGGGCTGCCAGTGGCTGAGCCAGGTCACTGCTACACTGCCCTGCAGGGTGCATCTAATCATGGAGCCCACTTTACAGGTGAGGAAACTGAGGCTGAGAGACTGGACCAAGGTCACACCAGAAGTGGAGGCGCTGGGACGTGAACCCAAGTCTGACTCCAGGGCGCAAATTCCCTACATCTGGGTTCCCAGCCTCCTTCCTGAAACTGAACAGGAAACTACAGGGAAGGGACACAGCAGGGATGAGCCAGGGAGGGAGAGGTGGGAGGGGCTGGCAGGGAGGGAGAGGTGGGAGGGGCTGGCAGGGAGGGAGAGGTGGGAGGGGCTGGCAGGGAGGGAGAGGTGGGAGGGGCTGGCAGCACCCAAGCAGCTGCACCTGGGTGCAGGGCCCCTCAGCCCCTCGGGGAGTGCAAGCACATCCCAGCCCGACTCGGAAGCGCCACTGCCACCTCTGTCTGTCTATAAACCAGGGCACTAGTGTGGGCCCCAGGCACCCTGTGCGGCTGCAGGGGTCTGCCCCAGAGCATGCTGATGAAATCATCACCACGGCTTCTCAGAGCCTCAATTTCCTGGTCTGTAAAATGAGACCAGGAGTGGCTGCAACCCTGCAGTGCCGTGATGAGCTATGGAGAGACAAGAACACAGAGGGCTCAGCGCAGGGCCCGGCGTGGCCACCGCGGGGAGAGGGTGCGGACTCTTCCTAGACCTTTTCTTTTTGAGACAGAGTTTCACTCTGTCTCCCAGGCTGGAGTGCAATGGTGCAATCTTGCCTCACTGCAACCTCTGCCTCCCAGGTTCAAGCGATTCTCCTGCCTCAGCCCCCAAAGTAGCTGAGACTACAGGCATGCGCCACCATGCTCAGCATTTTTTTGTTTTTTTGAGACAGAGTCTCGCTCTGTTGACCAGGCTAGAGTGCAGTGGTGTGATATTGGCTCACTGCAACCTCCGCCTCCCGGGTTCAAGTGATTCTCCTGCCTCAGCCTCCTAATTAGCTGGGATTACAGGCGCCCACCACCACACCTCGCTAATTTTTGTATTTTTAGTAGAACGGGTTTCACCATGTTGGTCAGGCTGGTCACAAATTCCTGACCTTGTGATCCCCCCACCTTGGCCTCCCAAAGTGCTGAGATTACAGGCGTGAACCACCGCGCCCACCCTGTTTTTTTGTTTTGTTTTTTTTTTAAAGACCGTTTCCTAGTCACCCAGGCTGGAGTGCAGTGGCACCATCACAGCTAACTGCAGTCTCAACCTCATAGACTCAGGGAATCCTCCCCCCTCAGCCTCCCAACTAGCTGGGACTACAGGCGCCACCACTAATATCTATTTATTGGTCTCGCTATGTTGCCCAGGCTGGCCTCAAACTCCTGGCCTCAAGCCATCTGCTCTCCTAAAGTGCTGGGATTACAGGCGTGAGGCACCGCGCCCGGCTGGACAGTGGTTTTGATTTCCGTTTCCCTCATGACTAATGAGGCCGACCATCTTCTCACACGCTGTTGGCCATCTGTGCATCTTCTTTGGAGAAATCTCTGTTCAGATCCTGTGATTTTTTTTTTTTTTTTTTTTTTTTTTTTTTGAGACAGGGTCTTGCTCTGTGACCCAGCCTGGAGTGCAGTGGTGTGATCACAGCTCACTGCAGCCTTGACCTCCTCGGCTCAAGTGATGTCCCACCTCAGTCTCTTGAATAGCTGGGACCACAGATGCACACCACCACGCCCGGCCAATGTTCTTTTATTTTTTAGAGACCGGGGTCTCACCCTGTTGCCCAGGCTGGTGTCAAACTCCTGGGCTCAAGCGATCCACCCACCCTGGCCTCCCAAACTGCTGGGATTCCAGGCGTGAGTGACCCCTTGTCCATGTTTAAACGGGGTCCCTGTCTGTTGTTGAATCATAGTGTTCCCTGTATGATCTGGATGCAAGCCGATACTGCATGGATGACCTGCAGGTGCTCTCTGTCTCCACAGTCGCCTCTGCAGTGGGCGCTCGGGTGCCCCACATTCCCAACTGCTACAGACACAACCAAAGCCTCCCCATCCCTTCCCCCACCCCTGCCGGCAATCGCGTACAGGAGTGAGCGTGTGACTTCTTGTCCACATTTTTGTCCACAAGTTTGGCGAGTTTGCATCCGTGTCTAATAAAGAAACTACCGTTTCTCACGCAGGCACGTTCTGAACGCCCGAGTGCGGGAGCCACGTAAGACCCGGCTCAGGGACCCCGGGTGAGGCCAGCTGCACATGCAGGATGCAGGTCCTCACCACTGCCTCCGCTCGGCTGCCAGGGCTCTTCCTAGAAGACACGGGCCTCTCCTAGGCTCTCCTGACTGAGGCCCTACCCCTGCCCCCGAGTCACCTTGCCCCTTGGGGACTCTCTCTGGGCAGCTCCCTGTGGGAGCTTTGAAACCTGGCTTCAATGTCACCTGCACTGGGGGTCCTTCCAGGCCAGCCCCCTCCCCATCATCCATCTCTGTCCTTGGAGAATCATCTGCGTGTTTGTTGAACGCGGGCTCCAGTGATAACGGAGCCCTCGAGGGTGGCCCTCCTTCTGCTGAGGGCTCATGGAGGCCTTGGTGACAATCCCTAGTCCTTGCTCTCAGGATCCAGGGACCAGAAATGGGAGCCAGGGGCCCCTCCGTGGCCTGGCCAGCCCCCCAAGGAAGCTGTGTCTGTGGCAGTTGCGCTCTAAGGCATCAGGCCTAGGGGTCGCTCCAGAATGACTGTCTTCCCCGACGCCAATCCCAGGCAGGGGCCCCGGGGTCTGCGCCTGCTGTCCCTACACTCTCCCACACTCTCCTGTCATTCAGGGATGCAGGTGGGAAAGGGCAAGGCCCTGGGTGCTCCTATATTTTACATCAGTGAACCAAGCACCTACCAAGTCCCTCGATGTGCCCAGTCCTGGACCCCAGCATTTGCGAGACAGCAGCAGACCCAGGTGACCCCCAGCCAGGGTGAGTGGCAACCAGCACCAGAAGTGGCCTTTAGAGCAGGGGGCCCTGAGCTGATGACATCTACACCTAGGTCAGTGCCAGCCAGGACAACCTCTGGGACAATGGGATGTCGGCTCCAACGACCAATTTACAAGAAACACAAAGGACACACTCACAGCACCACGGAGGAGACACCATGGAGGTGGCACCCCCAAGACACAGCGAGAAATCCAGGCTGCAGGAGCCAGTTTCTTCAACAAATTGCACAAGGAAAAAGAGAGGAAGGGAAGCTCCTAGACATCATCGGACATTTAAAAGACAGGCGGTGGCTCAAGCCTGTAATCCCAGCACTTTGGGAGGCTGAGGCGGGTGGATCACGAGGTCAGGAGATCCAGACCATCCTGGCTAACACGGTGAAACCCCGTCTCTACTAAAAATACAAAAAATTAGCTGGGCATGGTGGCGGGCACCAGTCCAGGCTACTCAGGAGGCTGAGGCAGGAGAATGGCGTGAACCCAGGCGGCGGAGCTTGCAGTGAGCCGAGATGGCACTGCTGCACTCCAGCCTGGGCAACAGAGTGAGACTCCATCTCAAATAACAATAAATAAATAAATAAATAAATAAATAAATAAATAAATAAAAGACATCACTCACACCTGTAATCCCAGCACTTCGGGAGGCCGAGGCAAGCAGATCACCTAAGGCCAAGAGTTCAAGACCAGCCTGACCAACATGGTGAAACCCCATCTCTACTAAAAATATTTTTAAAAATTAGCCGGGCGTGGTGGCGCGCGCCTGTAATCCCAGCTACTCAGGAGGCTGAGGCAGGAGAATCGCTTGAACCCGGGAGGTGGAGGCTGCAGTGAGCCGAGATCACACCATTGTCCTCCAGCCTGGGTGACAGAGCCAGACTCCGTCTCAAACAAAACAAAACAAAAGACATCAGCTAGCTGGTCCAAGCACAGTGGTGTTCACAACGAATTGATCACAGCCAGGTAGAATTCTTCATTCTTTCTCCAGTTCCACTGCTTTGCTTGACCAGCCTTAAAGACACACATATACATTTTTGTCTGGGCGCGCTGGCTCACACCTGTAATCCCAACACTTTGGGAGGCCAAGGCAGGCGGATCACTTGAGGTCAGGAGTTTGAGACCAGCCTGACCAACGTGGAGAAACCCCGTCTCTCCTAAAAATACAAAATTAGCCAGGCATGGTGGCACACGCCTGTAATCCCAGCTACTGGAGAGGCTGAGGCAGGAGAATCGCTTGAACCCGGGAGGCGGAGGTTGCCGTGAGCTGAGATCGCGCCACTGCACTCCAGCCTGGGCAACAAGAGCGAAACTCTGTCTCAAAAAAAAAAAAAAAAAAGTATATATTTTTAAAAGACATTGGCCGGGTGCGGTGGCTCACGCCTGTAATCCCAGCACTTTGGGAGGCCGAGGTGGGCAGATCACGAGGTCAGGAGATCGAGACCATCCTGGCCAACACGGTAAAACCCCGTCTCTACTAAAAATACAAAAATTAGCTGGGCACGGTGGTGCATGCCTGTAAACCCAGCTACCAGGTACTCGGGAGGCTGAGGCAGGAGAATCGCTTGCACCAGGGAGTCGGAGGTTGCGGCGAGCTGAGATCATGCCACTGCACTGCGGCCTGGAGACAAGAGCAAGACTCCGTCTCAAAAAAAAAAAAAAAAAAAAAAAAAAGACATCAACTAATTGCAGTGTGTGGACCTTATTTGGCTCTTAATTCAAACTATTAAAAATGTGAACACACCAGGCCTTCGGTGGCATGAAGGAATTGTCTGTTGTGTTAGGTGGGTCTGCAGTATTGCGATGCCCTCCAAAATGCTTGCAGATAAAAGGGTGGCTGGAATTTGGTTCAAAACATGGGTCAGGGCTGGGCGTGGTGGCTCATGCCTGTAATCCCAGCACTTTGGGAGGCCGAGGCGGGCGGATCATCTGAGGTCAGGAGTTCAAGACCAGCCTGACCAATATGGAGAAACCCTGTCTCTACTAAAAATACAAAATTAGCCAGGCATGGTGGTGCACGCCTGTAATCCCAGCTACTCGGGAGGCTGAGGCAGGAAAAGCGCTTGAACCCAGGAGGCGGAGGTTGCCATGAGCCGAGATCGTGCCATTGCACTCCAGCCTTGGCAACAAGAGTGAACTCTGTCTCAAAAAAAAAAAAAAAAAACACATGGGTCAGGAGGGGAAGGGTCGGGGCAGGGAGGGCAGGGCAGGCTCTGGGGTGGGGGGTCTGTGAGTCAGCCACGGCTCTGCCCACGTCTCCCCACGAAGCTTCGAGCCACGCAGAGCAGCACGTTTTGCAGTACGCCATCTTTTCCAAAAGCCACCACCTCTCGGCAGCATCATTAACCCAAGGCAGGCTGTGGCCTCAGAAGCCCCGGCTGTCCTCCACCTGGAACTGGACACAGCTGTCCCTGCTGAGCTTCAGCAGCCAGGGAGCCACAAGTGGAGAGGCACCTGCGTGAGCCCCCCAGGAAGGCTACTGGTGACACCCAGACAGCAACGCTCCTGGACCCTTGAACACCTGCCAGCAGCTGTGATCTGTGTCCTTCACCTCTCCCAGCTTGACCCCTCTTCCCTGGGGAAAACCCAGCCGTCTCCCCGAGGAGGAGTTTGCAGGGTAGACAGCAAAATGGCTGGGCTGCCCCACAGCACAGAGGGTGGCCTGGGGGGCCAGCCAGGGCCTTCACATCCTTCCTAGGGCCCTAGTTTCCCATGGGTCCCCTCACCCCACCTTCCAGAACTCTCCCAGCGGCGGCCCCAGGTGTGTACAGAACAGCACCCACCTGCCCACGAGGTCACCCTGTGCCCTGTTGCACACTTGAGGGGCCTGGCATTCGGAATCTTGCCAGCTCAGGCTGGGACAGGCCACCAACCCCCAGGGTCCCCCTCCTCCAAACCCCAGGACCAGAGCCTAAGAGGACAACACAAGGCAGGGGCGGGGGCTCCACTGCTGTGCCAAGGGCCTGGAGAACACGGGCCTTGCTCTCCGCTCAGCAGCCACCAGCGCCCTTCTCTCCCGGACAGCTCCCGAGGGGCTGCTCTCATGGACACCATCAGGTGCTGGGAAGCAGGAACCACCAGGACCTGGACAGAGTCCCCAGTGACCGGCCTGGCAGACAGAGGAGCCCTCAGCTACAGCATCACAAACAACGGGTGGGGTAGGTCTGATGCAATTCTGTGGGTGCTGTTGCCAGGCAGGAGGAGGCCATCTCCACAGAGACAGCCGCGAGACACACGCGTCCGCAGTCAGGGAGCGCAGGAGCAATGTGGCCCCGAGGGGCACGGGCTCCATTGGTCCAGGAGAACCCATTCTTCTCCCACCCTCGAGACCACCCAGCAAAGCCCCAAGGACACACGGCTCCCCTAAGGAAGGGTGGCCACAGGCGGGAGTGACCCAGAAACGTTACAAAACCAAATGCCAGAACCCACCCAATGTTTAGCAAGCCTGGGGATGTGCCACGTCCCCCAGGGATCCAGCACGCACCCAAGGAGACACTGTCCCGGCGAGGAGCCTGGAGCCTGGGAAATACAAGGCATCAGACTGGTCCCAAGACTCTCCCCAGCGCTGGGGACAACTGTCTGCTTATCTTAGTCCCCTGCGCCCTTTTCAATCCAACCCTGGGTCCTGGGCACCTCATAGTTCCAAATCCCTGCTATGCACATCCCGGCTGTGATGCCTGGGACAGGTCCTGTCCTGGCTGTGATGCCTGGGACAGGTCGTGTCACCTCTCCAAACCTGTTTCCTCATCTGTGAAATACAAATCTCCACGGTCCCTATGCCTCGGATGGTCAGAGTCAGGATTCCGCATGACGACCCCCAACAGGAGCCTGGCACAGACCTGGCTCTGGGCAGCGTCTCCATAAAGGCCACCTGTTGTTTTTATCTCCCGAAAGCGAACATGACAAGGCTTTAACCCCCCACGGCAATCCGCCCTCACCCCTGTTCTCAGGATAGCCTTGGAACCCAATAGCAGAGCGCCTGAGGCCCTTCATGACCCCAGCCCACCCGCGACCCCACCTCCCACCCTGCCCCTACCCCTCACACCTCCCGTGGCCAGCCTCCAGCCTCATGGTCTTTGCTCACACCGTTCACCCCCCTTCTTCTGGACCCACCTCATCGCCCCTTCCTAAGCATCAGCCCAATTCTTGCACATCCATCAAATCCTTGTCCAGACACCTCCTGGAACTCTTCCCTGCAGCCCCCTACAACCATCCCCACCTCTCCGGGTACCCCGCAGCCCCAGGCCGCATCCCAATTCCTCTCCAATTAGCGACTGTTTGTCCTCCCAGCTGAGCGCGGCCTCCGGGCCCCGCCCCCGCTGGCGTCTGCACAGCCCCCGGGTGGGACGTCTGTCTCCAGACCCGGGGTTTTTCGGCTCCCCCGGGCCGTGCCAACCGCGGCTCCAGGCGTTCCTTATTTAGCAGGGCCGCTGTGCCGCGCCGGAGCCTCGCCCTGGGAGCGTCCTGGCCCGCGTCCTGCTTCCCGTCCCGGGCCAGGGAACGCGCCCACACCCGCCCGTCCCGCGGCCTCTCCCGGGTGCCGCTGGGCCCGCTACTCACAGCGCTGTGGCGTCCGCGGGGATGCGCAGCGCGGGACCGAGCGTCCGCAGCCCGCGGCCCGAGCAGTTGACGCGGCAGGCGGCGCCGGGCGCTAGGCCGCAGAGGCAGGGGGGCTCGCAAGGCCCGCAGCCGCGCCCGGGGCCCCCCGCCAGCGCCCCGAGCCACAGGCCCAGGCCCAGGGCCAGCGCCAGGCGGGCGGGCGCGGCGGGCGGCATCGTTAGGGCAGCGCGCGCATGGCCCCGCCGTCCCCAGGCCCGCCCGCGCGCGGAGGCCGCGGCTCAGGCGGGGCCGGCAGACGGCATGGCGGGCGCGGGGCTGGATGGGGCTGCGGCCGCGACCTGCTGCTGAGCGACGCCCGCTCGAGGCTCGGGGCCAGGCCGCTCCGGGAGCTTGGCCGCCCGCTCGGACGCTGGCGCTGCAGTGCGAGCCCCGCCGCGGCTCCTCCTCCTCCCCGCGCCGCGCGGGGCGGACGGGGCGCGGTGGGGGCGGGGCGGGTTCAGGCTCCGCCCCCTTAGCCACAGCGCGACCAGGCCAGCGATGAGGGACTGGCATCCGGAGGCTTCACCCTCCGCTCCACAGGGTCGGCAGCAGGGCGGGGCCTCCGGAAGCTCCGCCCCACGCGTTCCCGGGGCGCATGCGACGTGGGGCGGAGCGTCTGGAAGCTCCGCCCGTCGCACTGGAGAGTCGGCCGAGGCGCACGAGGTATTTTTCACGCTCCGCCCCACTGCAGGCTAAAGTGCGTGGGCGGGAAGCGGTGGGCAGGGTGCCATCTGGCTCCGCCCTTCTCCTGTGGTGTGGGCCAGGCGGCGGGTTCCTCCTCCTGCAGCAGCCACAGGCTCCACCCTGATCCTTCTCCCGCGGCATGGATCCTTCTCCCGCGGCGTGGATCCTTCTCCCGCAATCTCCGTGCGCGTCCCCAGTCAGTACCCGCAGCCTCCCGACGCACCCGCTGGCTCCAAGCCTCCCTACCCCAGGTTTCCTGGCTAAGAGAGAGACAGAAGGAGAGAGGGGGAAGAGAGAGAACAGGCAATGGGAGGTTGATGGTGAGAGCTTATTGAAAGACAAGAGGGAGGAAACCCACATCCTCCATTCCCCATCCATTCATTTATTGCCTTATTTATTCCATTGAATCTTCACAGCTCTAGAAAAAGTGTGCTACAATTATTCCCTTTATTAAATGAGGTCACTGAGGCACAGTTTAAGAAATTTGCCAGCAGGGCACAGTGGGTCACTCCGGTAATCCCAGAACTTTGAGAGGGGGAGGAAGGTGGATCCCTTGAGCCCAGGAGTTGGAGACCAGCCTGGCCAACATGGCGAGACCCCGTTTCTACAAAAATTAGCCAAAATTAGCCAAACTGGCTCACACTTGTAGTCCCAGGTACTCGAGAGGCTGAGGCCGGAGGAGCGTGTGAGCCCAGGAGGCAGTGGCTGCGCTGAGCCGTGATTGTGCCACTGCACTCCAGCCTGGGCAACAGAGTAAGACCCTGTCTCGAAAAAAAAAAAAATGGAAAAAAGAAAAAAAGAACTGGCTGGGAGTGGTGGCTCATGCCTGTAATCCCAGCACTTTGGGAGGCCGAGGTGGGTGGATCACCTGAGGTCAGGAGTTTGAGACCAACCTGACCAACAAGGTGAAATCCCATTTCTACTAAAAATACAAAAATTAGCCAGGCGTGGTGGCAGGTGCCTGTAGTCCCAGCTACTAGGGAGGCTGAGACAGGAGAATAGCTTGAACCTGGGAGGCAGAGGTTGCAGTGAGCCGAGATTGCACCACTGCACTCCAGACTGGGCAATACAGTGAGACTCCGTCTCAAAAACAAAAAAAGTCCTACCACATGTGCTCCACCAAGCTCTGTCTCCAAGGTGGCCTTGGAAGCCACATGGGGAAGGTGGCAGAGACTCTAGGAGCCTAAGCAGAGACCCAGATGATTATGAAAAATGCAGACCTACCCATCCTTATTCACCTGGGACCACCGTGAACTATATCATAAGAAATAAACCCCTATTGTACATACATGCACCATTCGAGTTGGGTCTATTTGTTACAGCAGTTTAGCCAACCCTAATCCACATATACAGTGTCAACAGTGGCTGAGATGACATGTTGCACAGACATGAGAGTCAGAAAGACCTGAGTTCAAGTCCCAGTGATGACATTTACTATCTGTGTGACCTTGAAAAGCTGCCTAACTACTCTCAGACCGTTTCCTCATCAGTTTGTTTTGAGAATCAAATGAGAAAATTACTAAAAAGCCCTTAGCACTGCATCTAAGATGGGGAAGAGACAGTCAATGAATTCAAGTTTCCTGAAGCCCAGTTGCATCCCTGCCCTGTCCTGGGCTCTGAGAGACAGTTGCCGAAGCTAGTGTTAAAGTGAACTAAATATGGCCTGAGTGGGACTTCGTACTTCTATAGTTGAGTCCTTGTGGACAAATTGCAACCTAGCTTAATAGGTAGACAAGATTGAAAACCTAACTTAGGAGTATGCGTCTGTAACAATAGCTGAGTCTTGGCCAATCCCAGAGGCCGTAGTTCAACCGCTCATACGCTGCTGAGTGTTCAAACTGTACTCAAATAAGGCAAACGCCAACTTGTAACAATCCAGCCATTCTGTACTTCACTTCTGATTTCTGTACATCATTTCCCTTCTTTTGTCCATAAATCTTCTTCCACCACGTGGCTGCGCTGGAGTCTCTATGAATCTGCTGTGATTCTGGGGTCTGCCCAATTCGCAAATCATTCATTGCTCAATTAAACTACTTTAAATTTAATTCAGCTGAGATTTTCTTTTATCACTAATTTGAGCTGGTTTTCTAATGTTTGCAAATGGGAGGGCTGACTAATATAACACTGCTCCAAATATTAACGTCTTTCTCCCAACCCATCACCCAGGCAGAAGTGGTCCAGCCTGGGGAACCCTAGGAGGAGGCTAGCTCTCCTCTAGGAAGGCTTAGGATGCAGCCAGTGGGCAGTAACTGGCTCACTGTCCCCTGCAACTGAAATCAGAACTGGTTCCAGAAACCAAGTTGACCCCCAACCAGTCTTTCCCAAAATATGGCTCTATGCCCATCTCTGGTCAGGCTGGGCTGTTTTCCTGGACAGAGAAGTCTCAGACAAGCAGGCAGTGGTTAGTGGGCTGTGCCCAGGCTGAGAACATTTCCCAGAGCAGATGGCATCTCTGGCAGTCCCTTAAAGCCAGCAGAGGCCAAGTCATGTCCAAGAGGCCAAAAGACCCAATATGGTGGAGACAGTCTACAGTCCCCATGAATAAGGGATGCCGATGCCTTCCCTATGTACCAGGTAGTCACTGCCTGAGGGGCCCAGAGCAGCAGGAGGGCAGAGCCAGCCTGGGCAGGGGCACTGGGCCGGAAGTGGGGCTCACATCCTCAGCGCGCACACACACACACACACACACACACACACACACACACACGAATGCACGCATGCACACACAAATGCACGCACGCACAGGTGCATTCAAACATCACATACACGTGTACATTCCTTGCAAAGTCAACTTCTGCTGATAGCACAACAAACAATGGGGCCACAGTGTGGCATGGAGGAAACCCTGGAGTCTGATCTCATTTTTTTTTTTTTTTGCATCTGTCAGGAGATAAAGATATTTGATAAAAATCCTTGAGTCACATCCCCACCAGGTCCCTGCCTACCTGTAGACCCCATCAAGCCAGCTCCATGGCCCCTCAGATACCGCCTCACTGGGTCCCCAGGGATTGACCTCAGTCCTGGAAATGCAGAAATATCTGTATCTGTCACAGCTGAGACTGGCGGCCTTCCGCCGGCTTTCCTGGAGGCAGAGGTGGAGACAGGGACTTGGGTGGATGTGGTTTTTGTTTTTGTTTTGAAAGGGGCTTTCAGGAGAAGGGAGGTGAGGACTACAGGATGCAGAAGGGGACAGAGCAGAGTGAGAATGTGGTCCCTTAAAGTCCCGCCTTGACCTATCCCACGAGCAGCAGAGAGCACGCCACAGGATCGTCCCCACCGTGGGGCAGGGACCAGCCATTCACGTTGCTGTATCAGTTAGTCACTGGGCCATTACTGGGCATGGCATCCCATCCCAGGCAACGTGGCTCCCATCTGAGGGTGATTCTCTAGAGAAGGACAGCTGTGAGCTCTCAGCAGGTGAGGCTCCAAAAGCAGCTATGCCAGTCTAGACCTCAGGGGAAGGGGGAATTCATCTCTAGGCAGGGATGATTTTCATAACATTGAACTCTTGACATGCAGGAGCACCGACCAATCAGAACAGACACGGTGACCAAACAGGCACAGCCACACCAGTGGATACCAGCGGAATGTCCACGCTGCCTCTGCGAAGGGACAGTCCCATGAGCCAAGCCCTAGACCAGCTGTTCTGGGAGCACTGCATCATTGCACTGAATTCTCACAACCGCCCCATAATGCTGGGACCATCCCCATTTTCCTGCCCAACAGCCTCCGTCTCATAGACACTAGGCGGCTCTCCCAGGGTCACACGGTCCAGTCAATAACGGGCAGAACTCGCACTCCGATCTGTCTGGCTCCAAAGCTGCTAAAAATTTTCTACTTGGCCTCACTGGCTTGACAAAGATTAAAAAAGAAGGCAAGTCCTTCTTTCCAAGAGATGCTGAGGTCCCTCGGCGACACTAGGTCATGATTTTATCATGTTCAGAGGGCAATGAAAGGGACAGAAAACAAGCGATGTGTGATCTCCTGTCATGTCAAGAGACGCTGATTTCAAAGAAACGTACGTTTCGCAGAATCAATACGCTGTGGGGCCTCAGAAAGCTGAGGCAGACACACGGCCCCGACCCGTGCACGTGGGAGCCCTGTTACAAGAGACGGCAGAAATTAAACTGAATCACCTGGAGCAAGTACATTGTAAATGTTCAATATTAATGACCCACCTCGGCCCCAAAGAAGAGAGCGTTGGGCTTTGTCCAGCTGTGTGCTCTGTTGTTAAAAGACCACCTTGTGGCCAGGCACGGTGGCTCGCACCTGTAATCCCAGCGCTTTGGGAGGCCAAAGCAGGTGGATCACCTGCGGTCAGGAGTTCGAGACCAGCCTGGCCAACATAGTGAAACCCCGTTGCTACTAAAAATACAAAAATTTGCTGGATGTGGTGGCTGGCGCCTGTAATCCTAGCTACTCGGGAGGTTGAGGCAGGAGAATCGCTTGAACCTGGGAGGCGGAGGTTGCAGTGAGCCAAGATCACGCCATTGCACTCCAGCCTGGGCGACAAGAGTGAAACTCCGTCTCAAAAACAAACAAACAAACAAACAACAACAGAAAACAATTTGTGCCTTAATGGGCATTCCTTTCCCTTCTTGCTAAGGGATGAGATGATGGCAGAACTTGTGGCCACTGTCCTGGAGGTTGACAAGCTTTTTCTGTAAAGTGCTAGATAATAAATATTTTGTGGGCCACACGATCTCTGGTGCAACTACACAACGCTGCCATTGTCATGCAAATGTAGCCATAGATGATGATAAATGAATGGGTGTGACTGTGTTCCAATAAAACTTTATTTATAAAACAGACAGCAGGCCAGAGTTGGGCAATGGGCAGTAGTTTGCCCCACACTCCCCGCCCATCCGTCCTATTCCTTGGCTTTTTTGGGTACATCAAGGAGTGCAATCTGGATGCTGGGCTATTTTATGGCCACTGGGCATAACCTTAACCTGGGCCTTTTGTCTGTTAACCTGGGTCAGTGGCTACGGTGAAGGTCGGGCAACCAAGGTTTAGATGGCTCAGTACACATTCACGCCCACAAACCAAACCAGGAAAAAGATGTGCTAAGTTGAGCATATGACACTGTTGGTACTCAAATGGTTTGTTTTTTTTTTTAAATAAATGTTTAAGTAAATTTTTTATTTTAGAACAGTTTTAGAAAAATGGTGAAAGCAGTACAGAGAGTTTCCATGTACCCCATAGCTTGATGCATTATGAACTAAAGTCCATACTTTTTTTGGGGGGGTGGGGACAGGGTCTTGCTCGTCACCTAGGCTGGAGTGTGGTGGTGTGATCATAGTTCATGGCAGCCTCAACCCTCGACCTCCCCTGGCTCAAGTGATCCTCCATCTCAGCCTCCCAAGTAGCTGGAAATACAGGTGCCTGCCACCATCCCCAGAGAATTTGTTTTTGTTTGTTTGTTTGTTTGTTGTTTGTTTGTTGAGACAGGGTCTCACTCTCATTGCCCATGCTGGTATACAGTGGCACAATCACGGGTCACTTGCAGCCTTGACTTCCCGGACTCAAGTGATCCTCCCATCTCAGCCTCCCGAGTAGCTAGGACTACAGGTGCACACCACAAGCCTGGCTAATTTTTTGTATTTTTTGTAGAGATGGGGTTTCGCCATGTCGCCCAGGCTGGTCTTGAACTCCTGGGCTCAACCCATCCGCCGGCCTCGGCCCCACAAAGTGCTAGGGTTACAGGCGCGAGCCACCGTGCCTGGCCACCTGAAGTCCATAGTTGATTCTGATTGCCTTAGTTTTTGCTTAATGTCCTTTTTCTGTTCCAGGATACCACATGGAGCATTTTGAGGAGTGCTGGTCAGGTATTTTGTAGAATGTTCCTCAACTGGGATTTGGCAGATGCTTTTCTCATCCTTAGTCTTGGCTTGTGTGTGTTTTGAGGAGAAGGACCACAGAGCTTAAGAATCATTCTCAGCACTCTGTATCAGGCACGCATTCTCTCAAGATGACTTGCCGCTATTGATGTTGACTTTGATCACCTGGCTGAGGTAGTGTCTGTCCGTGTTCTCCACTGTAAAGTTACTCTCTCCTCTCTTTTCACACTGTACTCTTTGGAAGAGAGTCACTATGCACAGCCCACACTTAGGATGTGGGAAGTCCGCTCCACCTCCTTGACGATGGAATAGCTATATAAATTACCTGGGGCCGGGCACGGCGGCTCACACCTGTCATCCCAGCACTTGAATGGGAGGCCGAGGAGGGTGATCGCTTGAGGTCAGGAGTTTGAGACCAACCTGGTCAACATGGTGAAACCCCGCCTCTACTAAAAATACAAAAAATTAGCCGAGTGTGGCAGCGCATGCCTGTGATCCCAGCTACTCGGGAGGCTGAGGCACAAGAATCGCTTGAACCTGGGAGGTGGAGGTTGCAGTAAGCCAAGATTACATCACTGCACTCCAACCTGGGCAACAGAGCAAGACCCTGTGTAAAAAAAAAAATTAAATAAAAATAAATAAATAAATAATCTGGAATTCTTCTGCCTGGGAGATTTGTCTCTTCTCTCTTATCTGATCATTTATAGCAGTATGGAATCATGGTATTTATTCTTTGAATTCTAATCTGTTACGTATTTATGACAGTATCAGTAAAAGCCTCCCTTGAAATTTACCAATGGCATGAACATTTCAGATGAGTCTGCCATCTTTGGTGCTCCTGGGACACGAGAGAGACCTGTCTTGCTTGCTGATCACAAAGGTGGCTTTTTCTGTGGCCAAAGCTAAGGCTGTAGGGTCTGGTAAGAAGAAAAGATGGTCATGTTCCTCGTCAAGTTTCCAGTTGGCTACTGGAGAGATCAGTCAAAAGAGTACAACAATCAATCATTCGTTCATTCAAAACTTAAGTGCCTCCTATATGCCAGGTCCTGTGCTATGGAAGCAGGATTTTGATTAGACCTTTTAAAATGGGAAGCAACAAGAAAAGGGAGAAAGTCTTATCTTTGATTTCAGCCTAACCAAGGGAGGCATCACTGTTTCCTTCTTCTTTTTTCTTTTTCAGAACGACGTCCTATATTACTCCCTGACAGGGGTGAGGAGTGTTTCCTACAGTTCACAGGAAAGATTATGCATCCATGATTCCAGTCCCTAGGCTTGGAAGAGAGGTATGCATAATTGAGATACAGCTTGGTATGTTCTCCAGTGATACTGAGAAAAGAGTGAGGAGAGTCAAAAGGAAAAAATAATAATAGCAGCAGTTGTAAAACCTAACACATTAAACACTTACTATGTGCCGAGCACTGATCTCAGTGCTGAATAAGAATAAACAAACAAACAAGTAACTGAGTTCTCTTACTAGAAAATAATTGTAAAGTAACGTACAAGTTTGATATTTTCTACACATGGAGTTTTAAATATGAAGCAGATATGAAGGTATAGTAAATAGATCAAATTATTTAAAGCAACATGTTTAAACTTTCAAATAAAACTTAAACAGAATCAGTAGTGTTCAATCAGTTCTAAGTTATTAATACTAAGTTACTCAGTCACTCCATTAAGATTCAACAAAATGGTTTTGTTAATCAGTGGTACCAAAAATTAAATTTTGGTTTTAACCTTAGTCCTTGTTGTTAGCTCTCCTGGAATTTTTCTGAAATTTCATGAAAAGAATAAAAGAATGATTTCAGAAAAAATAAAAAATAAAAATAAACAAACAGAGCCCTTTCATTTTCTCCTGGAGGAAGTAGCAAAAACAGCAGCCCTATGGAGAGAGAATTTCAGAACGGTATCAATGGCCTCCAAAATATCCCTGCCATTTGACTATATTCTTTGTTTTCAGAGAATCCTTTGGAACTAGCACCAAAGCTTCATGCAAAAAGCTGTGCAGCACTGGTTACAATGACCTAAAACCTGGAAGCAAACTGTGTTCCAATAGTAGGGGCTGGCTTAAATAATCTCTCGTACATACATATAAAAGAAGAATGAGGACACTCTCTACTGACATAGAACCATTTCCAAGATTAACCGTTAAGTGAATAATGCAAGGTACAGTTTTGAAATACACATTAACTATAGTCACCATAGTGTGCAATAGATCACTAAAACTTATTCCTTCTGTACCCTTTGGCCAACATCTTTCTTTCCCCATCTACCACATCCTCACCCTCTGATCACCACCACTGCTAAAAGTAGATTTTAAATGTTCTCACCACAAAGAAATGTTAAGTATGTGAGGGGATGAGTATGTTAATTGACCTGATTTAATTATTCCACAATGTATGCACATATCATAACATCCCATTGTACCCCATAAATATATGTACTTATTTGCCGATTGAAAATGTTTTTAAATATAAGATGCAGAAGAATGTGTGCTATCTTTTAAATTTTATGGCATATGGATGTATTAACTTTTTAAAAATTTAAAAGCAATATGTCAAACTATTTATAGAGTAGAATCCAATGATCTATGTGGGAATAAGAAAGTGTGGGAAAGAATTTTTGGGAAATGTTCACTAGTTTTGTTTGGGTAGAAGATCACTGGGTAATTCTTTCCTCCCATTTTTCTCTATTTCTAAATTTAGATGTGTGGTACAATGAAATACTTTTATCATGAAAAAAAGACATTTTAAAATGAAAGAAATCCTGGATCCAGGCTAGGGGTTTGCTTAGATATTTAAAATCCTAGAACGCATATAAAAAGGGACTCGTGATCACAAAAGGACATCAGAGAATGACAAAAATGTCAAAGATGTGGTCAGGAAGGCATAAACCCTACACTAATTTGCCAAAACCCAAAAAGCCAATGGGCTCTCAAAATCAAGCCTTAAAGCAACTTTCAGAGGTTTGCTGTTTTAAGTGTTTGGTTAGGACTTTGCTGCAATTAACAAGAACCTCAAATCAAACTGGGTTAAGCAAAAGAAGGAATTTATTGGCTTAAATAATCAAAAAGTTCAGGGGAAAGAAAAGACTGTCTTTAGAATAGCTTGGTCCTGTTCACTCATATTTTTTCTTTTCTTTTTTTTTTTCTTAGAGATGGGGTCTTACTCTGTCACCCAGACTGGGGTCCAGAGGCATGATCATAGCTCACTGCAGCCTTGAACCCTGGGCTGCAGCAATCTTTTTACCCCAGCCTTCCAAGTAGCTGGGACTACAGACATGTGCTACCATGCCCAGCTAATTTTTTTTTTTTTTTTTTTTTTTTTTTTTTGGTCTACAGACAGGGTCTCACCATATCGCCCAGGCTGGTCTTGAACTCCTAGCCTCAAGCAATACTCCCATGTCAGCCTCCCAAAGTGTTGTGATAAGAGGCATGAGCCAATGGGCCTAGACTCACTTACATCTTGACTTTTTTCCTCTTGACTCAGCTCTCTACCTGGGGCACCATATTGGGGCATTCTAAATATCAGGCCCTAGGTAGTGGCTCCTAGAAGGCCATGTTCACTGTAGCTTTTTTTTTTTAAGCAGTTCTAGAAGAAAAGAGCCAAAGGTGCCTCTTCCCCAGCAGAGGCAACAGTATGCATTGCATACCAACTGAGTCACCTGCTCATTTCTGAAACAATCCCTAGAGACCTGAGAATGCAATGCCCTGAGTGGCGGGGTGGAACCAACACCATCAGAAGCGCACTATTCTAGAGGAAAAGCAGGTACCAGGAAAACAGACTGAGCATTCAGCAGCAAAACAGCAGGCAGCAGAGAAAATTGCAAATTCATGTGTGCCCATCTCTTCAAGTAAAATGAATAAATAAGCAAAATGAAAAAATATATATGTATATCATTAAGAAGAACATGAAATCTGAAATAGATGGACAGCAAGTAAGAGAACATTGCTTTAAATGAATTCAAATTTCTAGGCCACATGCACAAGTCTCAGAACCCATGTTCATATCCATGGAGCTACCTCCAAAGACCTGAACTGTGATCCCTTTCAGAGAAACCAAACCGGAGAGAGGCCGCTGGGGTCTCTCTTTTCACAAAGGGGATGGGTTGGAAGTTGACATCCGAGAACCAGATACAGGCATTGACTTCTGAGGAAACTTTTTTATTAATCAGTTTTATAATTGACAAATAAAAATTGTGTATATTGTATTTATTGTGTGCAACATATTTTGAAATATATATACATTTTAAAATGCCAAATCAAGCTAATTAACATGCATGACCTCACACATTACTCTCTTAGCAAATTTCAAGAATACATTGTTGTTAACTATAGTCACCATGTTGAACCACAGATCTCTTGAACTGATTATCTGAGGAAATTACTGAACAAATTCTAAAATAGCAGATTTATGAAGGCTTAGAGAAGATTGATCAATAAAACCTACTGTAAACTTACCAAGATCGTGTGGTACCAAAACACACTCCACAGGATTACGAGATTGGGAGCTCTAGGGAAGCCCGATAAAATCCAATTTTAAAATAGCACAAAAATTAACTAACTATTGGGTACTAAGCTTAGTATCTGGATGATGGGATCAGCAGAGCCCCAAACCTCAACATCAGAGAATACACCTAGGTAACAAATCTGCACATATACCCCCCGAATCTAAAAATATTTTTAAGGAAAAAAATATTTAAACAATCTGTTGGCCAGGTGAGATGGCTCATGCCTATAATCTCAGCACTTCAGAAGGCTGAGGTGGGAAGATCGCTGGAGACCAGGAATTCAATACCAGCCTGGGCAACATAGTGAGACTTTGTCTCTATGAAAAATACAAAAATTAGCCAGATACAGTGGTGTACACCTGTAGTCCCAGCTACTCAGGAGGCTGAAGCAGGAGGATCGTTTCAGCCCAGGAGGTCACGGCTACAGTGAGCCATGATCCCACCACTGCACTCCAGCCTGAGTGAGACCTTGTCACTTAAAGAAGAAGAAAAAAAAGCATATGCTATTTTCAGAAACGCATTTGAAAATTTGAAAACATCCATGTTTGTGTTCTGAGGATAAAGACAGGTAGAAGAAACATGGGTGTGAATTAGTAGCTGATTGTCTATCCATACCAACTAAATGCCATCATCATCATCATCACCATAGGTATTTGAAGGTTTTTACTACCTTACTTAGTCCTCTAAGGCTGAAGTGCTAGCAGTTAGATATTTATTAGTCCCCTTTTAGAGATTAAAGCACTGATCTCAAGAGGTGAAATAACTTGTCCAGCTAGCAAATAATGGAGCTGGCATCCTGACCCAGATCTGTCCAGCTGCAAAAATCTTTCCTCTCATGAGTTGTTAGCATTATTCCAAACAAAACACTGCCCTAAAAGTGTGAAAATGTCCTCAGTTCACCCCTTCTCTGCAGTGGGACCCTGACATTTAAAGGCACACCAAGAGGAGACAGTGCTCCCTGCAGGGCTGGAGGGTAATATCTGAGGTCTGGGAGGGACAAAATTCACAACCAAGGGTTACTCCCTCCCACCTGTGCCTGACATTTTTCTTTCTAAAAAATCTGCTCATTTCTGTTCTTCTTTCCTCTTCATCTTCCCCCTCTCCCTTTTCAATATTTTATTTCTTTATCTTATTTGGTGTTTTCATTGCCAAAGTAATTCATGCTTACTATAAAAGCATCAAGCAATAGACAAGTGTATAATAAAAAGCAAGAGGTCCAACCCCCAGGAAACTGCTGGGGACAGTTTGGTACCTATCCTTCCACAGTGTTTACTGTGCGCACATCAGTAAATCAGACTTAATACAATGTTACAAGTTATATAGAAGTGCTGAAATATACACCTAAGAAGCCAGCAGCCTTGGCTATAGTCTCTGGTGCATGCATGTGGCATGATTGTGCATGGTTCTCAGAAACCTTGTTGCTGCTCCTATCATTCCTTCCTCTACCAGTCCACAAATGTCTAACTGCCCACCATGTGCGAGGTGCCATGCTCCGTGCTCAGAACACAGCTGTGAACCAGGTGGACATGGTGCCCTTCCTAGAAACAAAATCTAGGCTGCAAGAATGGTGGCTTTAACTCACTTCAAGAAATGCATTCACCAAGCACCTTCTCTGTGCCAGCTTTTGCAGGGGATGAGGCGATGTCACAGATATATCAGACACAGCACTGCTCTGAAATGCTCATGGAATAATAGAGGAGACAGGCTAGAAAATGAGGTCCATTATTTGTGTTTTAAAATTAGGCCAGGCACACTGTTCACAATAGCAAAGACTTGGAACCAACCCAATACCCATCAATGACAGACTGGATAAAGAAAATGTGGCACATATACACCACAGAATACTATGTAGCCATAAAAAAGGATTAGTTCATGTCCTTTGCAGGGACATGGATGAAGCTGGAAACCATCATTCTCAGCAAACTATCACAAGGACAGAAAACTAGACATTGCATGTTTTCACTCATAAGTGGGAATTGAACAATAAGAACACATGGACACAGGGAGGGGAACATCACATACTGGGGCCTGTCAGGGCGTGGGGGGCTAGGGGAGGGATAGCATTATGAGAAATATCTAATGTAGATGATGGGTTGATGGGTGCAGCAAACCACCATGGCACGTGTACACCTATGTTACAAACCTGCACATTCTGCACATGTACACCAGAACTTAAAGTATAATTTTAAAAATAAATAAATAAGGCCGGGCGTGGTGGCTCAAGCCTTTAATCCCAGCACTTTGGGAGGCTGAGGTGGGCGGATCAAGACCAGCCTGACCAACATGGAGAAATCCCATCTCTACTAAAAATACAAAAAATTAGCCGGATGTGGTGGCACATGCCTGTAATCCCAGCTACTCGGGAGGCTGAGGCAGGAGAATTTCTTGAACCCAGGAGGCGGAGGTTGTGATGAGTTGAGATGACACCATTGCACTCCAGCCTGGGCAACAAAAGCAAAACTCTGCCTCAAAAAAAAAAAATTAAATTAAAAAAACTAATAAAATAAAATAAATAAATAAATAATAAAATAAAATCAGGCCAGCTGCAGTGGAACACTCACGTCTTTAATCCCTTTGCACTGTAACCCCTAAGTACTTTGGTAAGCCAAGGCAGGAGGACCACATGAGGTCAGAAGTTCAAGACCAGCCTCGGCAACATAGAAGTTTAATTTAAAAAAAAAATTAAATTTAAAAATAGCCAGGTACAGTGGTGCACACCTGTAGCCCCAGCTACTCAGGGCTGAGGCAGGAGGATCACTTGAGCCCAGGAGTTTGAGGCTGCAGTGACCTATGATTGGAACCCGGGAGTTTGAGGCTGCAGTGACTGATTATCATGCCACTGCACTGCAACCTGGGTGACACAGCGAGATCCTGTCTCTAAGTAATAATGATGATGATAAATTAAAAAATAATAATTTTTATTATGTTGTTGTTACTAACAAAATTTATTGAGCCCTTCCTAGATGTCATACACTATACTAAGTACTTTACAAGCATTAAGTAATTTCATCCTTTTAAGGACCGTTTGAGGTAACTGTGATGATTATTCCCACCTCATAGATGCAGACACTAAAGCTCAAAGAAGATGAGTGCCTTGCCTGAGGTCTCACGGCTGGTGAATGACCGGGCTGTGACTCAAGCCAAGAGCTGTTTGTCTCCAAGACTCTTAAAGACTCTTTTTTAAAACCAGCATGCTATTCCATTTCATGGTATTCTCTTTTTCTCCCTCATTAGCAGATTCCTACAGAACCCACATGACTCTACTGTTCCTGCCCCAATTTATTTTTGCCTGAGTCTCCCCACTTTGGGCAAAAGCCTCGCTTGAACTATATCGATAGCTACAATGACTGAAAATTGTGTCACGTATCACATAGAATCTCTGTTCCCAAGGTACCCAGAGAGACTGAAATAGGTCCGTTAACAGTCGTGTGTTTTACATTCCACTTGGAGGGTTAACATTCAGGGTCACCCTTCTTCTGAGCCTTAAAAACCAGGGGTATCAAAGTAATGAGGGAGTGCGAGCATTCCATGGAGTTTGGATTAATGATCTGTGAGCCTCTGTTCAGCCCTGAATGCGTGTCATTTTTAGAGTTCAGCCTGGCAAGAAAACTTAACAAGAATCCTGGTCAAAAGAAGTCTCGGTCATTTAATGACAAAGGGTAACTGGACAACCTACCACCAGCAATTTATTTTTAGACCAAGTTAAGTCATACTTCTATGCATGACCTCATTCCCATGACTCTCCTGCCCTGCCCCCAGTTACTGTCCTCAGCTCTATGATGCAAATATTCTGCAGACGTGTCTCTGCCCTGCAAGATTCCCTAGACAGCTTTACCTTGACTACAGATATGTCAATGTCCGCCACCATAGAAAGGTCTTTCTGCAGACCGAACTGAACTGATGCTAGCTTGTTCCATCAGGACCCCTTCTTTCACTGTGCAAACTGTCCCCCAAGCTCCTGTGCTCCAATCAGACAATCAGAACTTTCCATTCATTTCAGCAAAGTTCTATTGAGCTTCCACTCTGGGTTGGGTAGTAGTCTAGGCTGGGGACAGAAAGATGAATGAGACCCATGCCTTATGAGACACATGATACTCACAGTGAGGAGGAGAGAGCAGATGACTTACACTGAAACAAAAACAATAATGTTTCACATCCAATAATATAATAATAAACAAGACACAGAGGAAGGGGTTATTTCTTCTCTTCTGAGAGAATAGGAAACAACAAAGATACATTTCTACAGAGAAGGGCTTTAAAGGATGAATAGGAGTTTTCCAGGGAGAAAAGGAGAAAAGGCCATTTCTGGCAGAGCCAACCAAAGCAGAAAATTCTGAAAGTGAATGTTTGACAGGAGCTGCGGAGAGGGAAGAAGAGGGTGACACATAATTCAGTAAAGTGATTGTGTTGAACATGGAACAGCAGAGGGGTGGGAGATGAGCATAAGAAGTTGTGATGGTTCCTTGACACCTTGCTTATTTTTGTAATTTTTTTTTTTTAGATTTTGAAATAATTTGATCCTAACAGGAAAGTTGTAAGCTTGGTATAAAGAGCGCTCATATACAGGCTGGGTGTGGTGGCTCACGCCTGTAGTGCCAGCATTTTGGGAGGCTGAGCTGAGAGCATTGCTTGAGGCCAGGAGGTCGAGACCAGCCTGGGCAACATATCAAGACCCCATCTCTACAAAAATAATAATAATAATGAAAGAATTAGCCAAGCATGGTGGTGCTCACCTGCAGTCCCAGTAACTTGGGAGGCTGAAGTGGGAGGATGGCTTGAGTCCAGGAGGTCGAGGCTGCAGTGAGCTGTGACTGTGCCACTGCACTCCAGCCTGGGCAATAGAGTGAGACACTGTCTTAAAAAAATTCTCATAAACCCGTTTTACCTAGTCTTCCTAAAATCGTCAATATTTTACCACACTTGCTTTATCATCTTTTCTTGATACATACATATTGCATTTGTATTTTTTTATGAATTGTTTAAGAATGAGTTGGGGTCATGATATTCCTTTACCCCTAATCACTTCAGTGTGTATTTCCTAAGACCATGGTCATTTTCTTAGGTAACTACCATATAAAGTCAGGAAATTGACATTGACTTAATACCATTATCTAATCCACAAACCTTATTAATATGTCACCAATTTTCCCAATAATTTCTTTCATAGTAACAAAAAGAAAATGTTGACCACCTGTATTAGTCCATTTTCACACTGCTATAAAGAGCTTCCTGAGACTGGGTGATTTATTAAAAAAAAGAGATTTAATTGGCCCACAGTTCTGCATGGCTGGGGAGTTCTCAGGGAATTTACAATCATGGCCGAAGGGGAAACAGGCATGTCTTACATGGCAGCAGGCAAGAGAGGAGAGCAGGGGAAACAGCCACTTATAAAACCATCGGCTTTCTTGAAAACTCACTCACTATCACAAGAACAGCATGGAGGAAAGAGCCCCCATGATCCAGTCACCTCCCACCAGGTCCTTCCCTTGACATGCGGAGATTACAGTTAGAGATGAGATTTGGGTGGGGACACAGAGTCAAACCTTATCACCACCCTATTTACAATTGGGACTCCAACCCTCTCAACATGCCCTGGGCCCTGGCTCTGCTTTTTCTTTGTAGCATTTTCTGACCTCTAACATGTAGCATTATTCCTATTTCTAAAATGTCTCTCCCTTCCCACCATCCCACTAGAATGTAGATCTATGAGGTCAAGAACTTTTGTCCATTTTGCTCACTGTCATATCAACACCCAGGAGAGTGACTGCCACATGAAAGTTATTCAATAAATAGTCTGAATGACTGAATGGCCAAACCTGGAGGTATCTCTTCCCAACCCCTCTTCCTCTTATTTTTTTAAGCAAAAAACAATAGGCTATTTTTTCATGCCAAGAAAACTGAGCCTCCGTGTTAGTGTTTTTCTCCCTTTAAGTTCTTGCTTGGGGTTTTCTTATTTTGCCTCCTGATAGGTACGTAGGGTATATTGCAAAGGAGAAGGTTATCCCCAGAACAGCTAGGGCTTCTTCTAAGAATAGCCCAAGTCAACTGAATCTCCCCTGGGTCTCCTATACAGATGTGAAAGTCCTTGACATGCAATGGTATCTATCCCTCTGCAAACAGAGTGAGCATCTTTAGATCTAATTGAAAGATTAAAAAGAAGATCCCCAGCTGGAAGGTCAATTTATAGATTCCACAGTTAAATCAAGCCACATTCTTAAGCACATGGGACACAAACCTTGCATTAAATCAAAGACTTAATCCAAGTTAAGCCACCCTGGATGAGGAGCTAGAGCTGGAGACATGTAATTAACACCAGCCAGTCAGCACCAACTGCTTCAGCTGACAGGTCCACAGCCTGGAAAACCTTGTTACAATTTCCAGGAGGGCTTTAGGGATGCTTGTTCTCAAGTTCCAGAGACGGTGGGCTTTGCTTCTTTCCATCTGATCTCAACTACTGACCACCAGGCTCCCTGCACTCCAGCCCCACCAACCTCCTTGCCACTTCTCAAACATGTCAAGGACGCTTCCATTTCAAGGTCATTTGCACCTGCTCTCTCCCTGAGCTCCCTCTGGACTTTGCTCAAATGTCACCTCTCTCTCACTCTATTTATTTCTGTAAGCCTCTCTCCTCCTTGTCACCTGCTATTCCCTCCTGCTGTATCCCTTCCCGCCACTCTTATCCCACCTGACACACTGCACATTGTACTTATCCATTTACTCTTTCTTCCCCTGAGAAACCCCATGAAGGCAGGACCTGTGCTTTTTCATTCAATGTTCCCTCACCAATCATCTAGAACAGTATGTAGCATATATCAGGCACTCAGTACCTAACTGCTGAGTTAATTTGTTGGCTAGTTATCTGATTGATTGACTGATTGATTGGGTGGTTAATTAAATGGTTAATTAATTTACCTCCTGAGGCTGGGCCCCCATATGGCCACCTAGCTAAGAAACACCATCAAACCGGGGGTGGGTATTTTGGTTACGAAGGCAAATAAGAGCTACCTAGAAATGCCCTGACGCCAGATGTCTTCAATATTCTGAGACCTGAGTCTCTGTTATAGGTTGGTGTCCTTGGGATAAAGTTCAAGTTCTCTGTCCCTTTGGTTCTTACCTTGAGGAACTCCATCTTCCACCCCTGAACTGCTCATCTACCCTCCAGTGAACTAGAACTTTTGTCAGCTCCTCAAAGTCACCAGGTTCTTGCCACATATGACGTCTCTTCCTAGAACAGTCCTCTCCATCATGCCATAGTCTTCAACTCTGGCCAGCGCCTGCTCCCCAGGTGTCCCCTGTCTGCACTCACCACACTCTTCTTGCAGTGAATCACCAGACTGTGGGTTCCACGAAGCGAGAGCCCTTGCCTTCTTCTTCCCCATGGTATCCCAGTGTCTAGGGCATTGCCAGACTCATGCTTGAATATTTGCTAATTTGGATAGGAGTTATCATCTTATTTCACAGATGGAAGTTATGAACTTTTTACACACCTAATGTACGGGAATTTTCACACTAAACAATCCTCCAATTCTCTGTGGATACCAATTGGGTATTCTATAATTAAATTAAACTTTGGCACTGCCTACCTGGTGTTACCGTCAGACCCTATGAGTGAAGGGTTCCAACCCACAAGAAGGCCCCCAACCTCTGAGGCCAGTTGCAAATCCCAGGTTGCTACCTGTACTCCTAAGCAACCAGCTATAAATCGGGGGTTCCTGCAACCCACTCTCAGGTTTGATAATTTGTTAAAATGACTCCCAGAAATCAGAAAAGTGTTTTAATTACTACTACTGGTTTATTATAAAGGATGAAAGTCAATAACAGCCCAATGGAAGGGAAGCATAGGGGAAGGATGGGAGAAGGGCCCCATGCACACCAGCCTCCCAGCTCCATGCACTCACCAACTCAGAAGCTCTCTGAACCCCATCCTTTAGTATTATGGAGGTTCCACTACATAGGTGTGATTAAACCATTGGCTATTTGGTGATTAGGTCAATGGTTGTTGACTTCAGCCTCTCTCCTCTCCTTGAGGTGGGAAGTAAGATTTGGGGTGGGCAATGAGCCTAATAGCTCCTCCAACCTTTTAATCATGAGGTTGGTTTCTCTATAGCCAGCCCCATCCTGAATCTATCTAGAGCTCACCAAGAGTCCCCTCATTTGCGAAAACTCAGGAATCGTTGAAAGGGACTTGTTATGAACAACAAAAGATGCTCCCCTAAACCCATCATTCAGGAAATTCCAAGGGTTTTAGAAGTTCTGTGTCAGGAACCAGGACAAAGACTAAATATATACTTCTTCCTTCATCGCAGAGGTTAAATATAGTATAGTGGTAAGACCACAGCTTTGAAGACCATGAGTTCAAATCCCAACTCTTCCACTTAATGGCTATGTGACCTTAAACAAGTTATCTCAGCTCTCTAAATCTTTTTCTCATTTATAAAATGACAATCATGGTAAATTTATAATTCATTCAACACCGTTCTCAAGGCTAGGAATATGGCAGTAAACAACAGATTGGCCCAAAGTGATATTCGAGCCAAAACCCAAATGGTGAGAAGAATTTCGCCACCTTGAGCCTAAAAGGAAGAACCTTCAAGGCAGAGGGAATATCATGCCTGAAGGTGTTGAGGCAGGAACAACCTCATAGTGTTCAGGAAAGATAAAAGAAGGCCAGGCCGCCAGGCACGGTGGCTCACACCTTTAATCCCAGCACTTTGGGAGGCCGAGGCAGGTGGATCACCTGAGGTCAGGAGTTCGAGACCAGCCTGACCAATATAAAGAAACCCTGTCTCTATTTAAAAAAATACAAAATCAGCCAGGCATGGTGGCACAGGCCTGTAATCCCAGCTACTCAGGAGGCTAAGGCAGGAGAATCGCTTGAACCCGGGAGGCAGAGGTTGCAGTGAGCTGAGATCGCGCCATTGCACTTCAGCCTGGGCAACAAGAGCAAAACTCTGTCTCAAAAAAAAAAGAAGAAGAAGGCCAGTGGTGCCTCTGGCATCCCCAAAAGCAAGCCTCCAATACCACAAAGGTACACAGGGCCACTTTCCCTGCACCTCTCGGCTCCTGATCTACCCAACTCCAGACCCCAAGGTTCACCTCTAGCTCTGAAAAGGAGCACAGCTTCTCCAGCCACATCTGCCTCATTTTGCCTCAACTGCAATTGGAATCGTTCTCTGATTGGCTCCCCTGGGTACGTCCCCTAGCCTGACCTTCTCAATCCCCCACTTCTGTGCCCTACCATCCCCTTAAGTGACACTGTCAGCCAGGTTTGCCTGGCTCTCAAGCTGCAAATCTCTAAGACAGAAGTCAATGGGTAATGAGAATAAGAAAATGTGAAGGACTAGAACTCCAGATCTTGATGCTACTGGTATTAGTTAGGTCAGAGAAGATAATAATTTGACATCCTAGGAACCCAAATTTCCATCCCCGTCTAACTCCACTATCCAATGCTAAATTCAATGGCTTATACCAATGCTATTTGATTCTTAATCAGTGTCTGCTCCATCTGGTCCCTTTACAGTACTGATTCTCAACCGGGGCAATTTTGCTCCCTAAGGGACATTTCGCAATATCGGGAGACACTTTTGGTTGTCACAACTGGGGTGGACGGTGCTACTGGTATTTGGTGGGTAGAGGCCAGGGATGCTGCAAAACATACAGCAGTGCACAGGACAGCCTGCCCCTGTCCCCAACAACAAATTTTCCTGCCCAAAATGCCAACAGTGCCAAGGTTGAAAAATGCTGCTTTTAAGTAACACAGCTCACCCTGCATAAACATTAAACATATATATAAAGAGATGTTAAAATGTATTTGTATGCAGATAAATGCAAATTAAAACATTAATGAGATATTTCACACCTCGCAAGCAGACAAATTTCAAAAAGGACAAATATTGGCAGAAAAGTGGGGACATAGGAACCCTCAGGCACAGCTGATGGAGGGTATGCTGGTGTGACCTGTTACTATTTAGTCAAAGGAAGATTCACAGACCCAAGGACCAGCAGTTCTATAAGAAAGTCTTACAAAGCTCCTTAGGAAGACACATACAGAAATAATCATTGCAAGGTTATTTGTGGAAGGTGGAGGTAACGAGGTTGTCTATCATTGGGGAACTAGGCAGATAAAAGTGGATGAGCAAATACCGTGGGGTATTAGAAGTGACCTTTTTTTTTTAATTTTTCTTTTTCTTCTTTTTTTTTTTTTTGAGACGGCGTTTCACTCCAGCCCAGGCTGGAGTGCAGTGGCATGATTTCAGCTCACTGCAACCTCCATCTCCTGGGTTCAAGTGATTCTCCTGCTTCAGCCTGCTGAATAGCTGGAATTACAGGTGCCTGCCACCACGCCCAGCTAATTTTTTGTATTTTAGTAGAGGGGGGTTTCACCATGTTGGCCAGGCTGGTCTTGAACTCCTGACCTCAGGTGACCCACCTGCCTCGGCCTCCCAAAGTGCTGGGATTATAGGCTTGAGCCACCGTGCCTGGCCAGAAGTAACATTTTAGATGTACAAATAGCAATAGAGATGGACCTTACAGCTTTAATGAGAGTGAGGAGGGGGAGTTAAAAAAAAAAAAACAAAAACAGCATGAGACGATTAATACAATTCCACATGCATCAATCTTTTTCAAAGTGTACACATTGGGAGAGTAAATTGGCACATGTACTTTGGAAATTTATTTGATAGTATTTACTAAAGCTCAATATAAATACTTTGAACCAGCAAATTCCACTCCTGGAATTATACTCAAGAGATATGAGTGTTTGTGTCCACCAAAAGACATGTACACATTTAATCCATAATAGCCCCAAACCAGAAACAGCCAGTTGTTAATAAAGAAATTGAGGTATATGCATACAATAGAATACAATACAACAATGAAAATACGGATGCATCTCATAGACATCCCATTAAGCAAAATAAGCCAGGCACAAAGAATAGACACAGAATGCCTCCTTTCATGAAGTTCAAAACCAGGCAAAACTAATCAACAGTGTTAGAGGTCATTACACTAATGTCCTTTGGAAAGGATAGACTTTTTTTTTTTTTTTTTTTTTTGAGACGGAGTCTCGCTCTGTCGCCCAGGCTGGAGTGCAATGGCGTGATCTCGGCTCACTGCAAGCTCCGCCTCCCAGGTTCACACCATTCTCCTGCCTCAGCCTCCCGAGTAGCTGGGACTACAGGTGCCCGCCACCACGCCCGGCTGGAAAGGATAGACTTTAAGGATTGACAGGGAGACTCCTGCAGGGTCAGAAATATTCTATATGTTCATCTAGGTGGTGATTACACAAGATCTATACGTATGTAAGAAAATATCATGCAGTCCACATAAGGTCTGTGCTCTTTATGTTAATTATACCTTAACTACAAATAAAACTTAGGATGGAGGACTTTCAAAAGATATGGATTCAATTGACAATACCAAGCACTGGCAAGCATGCAGAGTAATTAGGAATTTTCATATACTGCCAGTAGGAAAGCAAAATGACATAGCCCTTCTGGAAAACAGTTTGGCCGTTTTTTATAAAGTTAAATATACACTTATAATGTGACCCTGTAATCTCACCCCCAGGTGCCCTAAAGAAATAAAAACACGTTTGTACAAAAACCCATCCACAGGGCTGGGTACGGGTGGCTCAAACCTGTAGTCCTAGAACTTTGGGAGGCTAAGGCAGGCAGATCACCTGAGGTCAGGAGCTCGAGACCAGTCTAGCCAATATGGTGAAACCCCATCTGTACTAAAATTACAAAAATTAGCCGAGCGTGGTGGCAGGTGTCTGTAATCCCATCTACTCGGGAAGCTGAGGCAGGAGAATTGCTTGAACTTCGGAGGTGGAGGTTGCAGTGAGCCAAGATGGTGCCACTGAGCCGAATCCATCAAAAGAAAAGAAAAGGAGAAACAAAAGAAAAGAAAAGGAAAGAGAAAAAAGAAAAAGAAAAGAAAAGGAAGGGAAGGGAAGGGAAAGAAAAGGAAAAGGAAAAGGAAAGAGAGGGAGGGAGGAAGGAAGGAAGGAAGGAAAACCTATACACAGATACACAAATTTATAGACACTCTATTCATAGTTAGCAAAACCTGGAGAAAATCTAAATAGCCTCCAAAGAGGAAGTGGATAAACAAACATCCACACCATGGAATACTATTTGGCAATTAAACAACAAACAAACTCCTGATACATAATAACCAGAATGAATCTCACAGGCATTATCCTGAGTGAAATAAGTCAGCCTCAAAAGGTTATTATCTTAGTCCATTCAGGTTGCTATATACCAAAATACCATAAACTTGGTGGCTTATAAGCAAACGAAATTTATTTCACACAGTTGCGGAGGCTAAAAGTTCAAGATCAGGGGGCCAGCATGGTGAGGGCCTTCCTCTAGATTGAGGGCCCTCCTCCAGGTTGCAAATGGCCAACTTCCCATTATATCTTCAAGTGGTAGAAAGAGCATGAGAGACTTCTCTGGGGTCCCTTTTATAAGGGCACTAATCCCATTCATGAGGGCTCCACCCTCATGATCTAATTATCTTCCAAAAGCCTCACTTCTAAATAGCATCATATTGGGGATTATATTTCAGCATGGGAATTTGCAGGAGGACACAAACATTCAGCCCACAACATGACTTTCTTGAAAAGACAAAAGCATAATGATGGAAACAGATCAGTGGTTGCCAGGGACTATGGGTGGGGGAAGCATGCAACTATAAGGAATAACATGAAGGACTTCTTTGGAATGATGAAAGTGTTCGGTATCTTAATTGTGCTCAAAGTGGTTACATTAATCTATATATGTGTTAAAATTCATAGAACCATGCATCAAAAAAAGAGTCAACTTTACTATATGTACTTAAAGTATAAAATAAATGAGATATTGATTCAGAGTCATATTCCACAATTAATAACTATATTAGGAATAAACAAATACGCGCACACAATATTCTTCAAGAATATACACAAACAAAAGATATACATTAAGCACACACGATGGCCTATTAAGGGTAGGAAATGTAAGTAACTAGAGTGAGGTGGTGGGGATGAAAGGAAATGAACCCAGAGACAAATCAGTGAGAGACACATTTGATAATGCAACTAGGAAGACTTACAGGAGTGAGAAGCGATTGTACTCACAGCTATGGTTTATTACAGGATCGGCAAGGGGCAAGGGACACACAGCAGGTAGAATCTGGAAGAATCCATGCACAGACTCCCAGTGTTCTCCCCACCTCTCTCTAGCCCTAGGGATCACGGTGAATATGTTCTTTCGGCAACACCTCTTCAGTGTTTCTGCCTAGAGAAGCCCACGTTTAGGCTCAAAGTTTGGGTGTTTTATTGAGAGCTGGTCACATAAGCACAAAAACTAGAAACAACTATTGAAATTCCAGGCTCCTGGAAAGGAAGCAGGTATTCTGGGCGCGAAGCAGGTATTCTGGGAGCTAAGCGGGCAAAACAGTGTTTTACATAGTTAGATAACAATGCAAAAGCCAAGTTCCCAGATGCCAGTGAAGAGCCAAGCCTGAAAGCAAGCCTTTCTAAAGATGGCAACCTCATGCTGACTATGTTAATTCTCCCTTGCCCTGGGTCCTTGCAGAGACCCATGTGGATGTGCCACGAGCCTGTGATCCAAAAAAATAAAATAAAATAATTTTTTTAAAACTAGGATCTGCTTCTGGTTTTCAATTCTTCTATTATTTAAGTCATGCAACAGTGTTAACCAGGCAGGCTCACTAGCATGATGGATGGATAAATAAGTGGGTGGGTAGGCCGACGGATGAATGGATGGATAGACGAATGGACGGATGGATGAATGGACACATGGATGGATAGAAGCAAAATAAAATCAATACTGTATGAGCCAAACAAAACAATGGCTTGAGCATTCTGTTTCTAATGATGCTCTCAGGAATGCAGCCACAAGGAAACTCTGCCCTCACCTCCACCCCATGAGGCAGAAACTGGCCACCAGTGACAGGGAAACAAAGTGGATTCCTCGAATGTCATTGTTATTAAAACAAAACTAGTCCCAGAAAACTGACCTGAATGTATTTTTTCTCTCACTTTTGGCCTGACTGTCTAATAACCAAAAGTCACCAGAAAAAAAAAATTTTTTCTCAGCAAATGCTTAAAAACAGAGAAGACCCCCAAAGTACACAGGGGCAGAGAACAACTCACAAATCTCAAGAATAAAATAAAGATGGAAGATTCTCACCCTACTGCAATGACTCTCCCAGCCCACTGCCACCAAAGCTTCTGAGATTAAAAAGAGAAATTATTTAATATATGCAGTTTCAATTTTTAAAGTTTCAGGCATGAAAGAGCTTTTGCTCCCTAATGATGTCCCTCAGATGTAGCAAGACCTGGTCTCTCTTTCACTGAAGAATTGCCTTCATTTTCACCACAGACTTCCCTTGCCTCAAAGACAGATGCTCAGTCAGAGAAAGGAGCCTGAGGATCCACAGAAACTCTCTGATATTAATTGATCTGCTCCTAGTTTTCAGTTATTCTATTTTTTAAAACATGCGACAGTGTTAACTAGGCAGGCTCACTAGCATGATGGATGGATGAGTGAGTGGGTGGGTAGGTTGATGGATGAATGGATGGACAGATGAACAAATGGACAGATGGATGGATGGATGGATGGATGGATGGATGGATGGATGGATGGATGGACAGATGGACGGACAGATGAATGGATGGATGGATGGGTGGGTGGATGGATGGATGGATGGAAAAATGGATGGATGTATAGATGGAGATAGATATAGACAGAACTAGATACAGACAAATAGAGACATCGTTAAAGAGAGAGAGGTAATTATTTATTTTTGCAACAAGTATTTATTATCTACTTTAGGTCAGGCACTGCTCCAGCTTATAACTGTTTGTTATAACAGTAACCAAAACAAACAAACATCCACTACCTTCCCGGAGCTTAGAGAGAGACTATAAAAATTAAAAATAATATATAGAATTATAGATGGTGTTAAGTGCTATGGGGAGAGAAACATCAAGTAAAGGGGCTTGGGACCGGCTGGAAAGAGTTCCAGTTCTTAAAGAATAGGGTCAGGAAAGGACTCACCAGAAAAGTGACTTTTGAATGGAGACCTAAAACAGATGAGAGTGTTCAGGTTCAATATTACTTTTTAAATAGACAGACTTAACTACCTGAGAAAAAAACAGGCATATCCCAAAAATACTAGGACAAGGGAAAATTATAAAAGTTGATTTAACACCAACAGGTATGTAAAGGAGATGATGACATAATGCTTAGTTCCTGGCAAGATTTAGATTGGAGAAAAATAGCATGACATGGGCACACTTGGAAGAAACCAATGGGCTATCACCAAGAAGGACCTGCTCGAGCTCAAGATAACCAGGAAACATAACCACCCCTTATGTTATAATAATGTGGTAACACAAAAAGGTGGGATGGCATGTCACATATTGACTCGGAAGTAGGCAAAAACGTGAGACCAACTTGGGCTTAGATACACATACCTAGGAATATACTAGGTGAAGTCAAAGACAGCAGGAGATTGATATTCTACATAAATATGGAAATGCACTTTATGAGTTCTTGAGAATCTCTGGGGATTTTTCATAGGTCTCACCCATCACTGGTCATGTAAATATGTCATTTTTAGCAAAATCACATTCTCTTCACTTCTATCTGTTCTGTATTGCTGCAAGGACTGCTTTTTGAACTAGGGTATGACAATGATCCGTCTTGATAGTGTTTGTGAGTCAATTCAGAATTACAGTGATTACTAAAGTTGGTCACATATTCCCCCCATCTCTATATGCATTCCTCTTTGTGATGTCACTTTGCTGTCCTTTCCACTAAATAGTAGAACCTATTTCTCTACCCTCTTGAGTCCTTGTCATGTGATTTGCCTTGACCAAGAAAATCTCAAAGAAGTGATGTTATGGTAATTCACAGCCTACACCACAACAGGCCAGAAACGTCTACCTTATCCCTCTTGAAATGCTACCCTGAGACTGACATATGGGGAGTCTGGGCTAGACTCCTTGAGGGTGAGAAACTATGTGAAGCAAGGTCTGGCCAATAGACAGCCCCAAATGCCAGAATTGGGAGTGAAGTCATCATAGACAATCTGTCTCTAATGGAGTCCCCAGATGTGTGCAGAATAGGAATAGCCCCAGGAAAGACCAACAGAAGAACCACTCACCTGAGCTCAGCCCAAATTGTTGACTCACAGAATTGTAAGTAAACCAACAAGGTGGTTGTGTTAAGCCATTAAGTTTTGGATAATTTGTTATGCGGGAATAAATAACTAATACAGATGGTAGCTACAAGTCTCTTCCTATGCCTATGGTTGTCAAGTAGACAGGTGAAGCAATTAGTAGTGGAAACTATCCATTCATTAAACAAGTACTTATGGAGCTCCTACTCTATGCACACACAGCCTAGTGGCTCACAATAAGCAACCTTTACAGCCACTGCTTGATGAAATATCTCCAGACAAAAGTATTCCTCCACCATAGCATAAGGTGATGGTCTGCCCTTGTGTATCCATCCTTGTTTAAGAAACAAACTAATGTCCCTTAACTAAAGATTCTCCTTCCAGTGAGGACAAATGCAACTCCTCGTGACCACTGTTTCTCCTCTGGTGCCCTTCCAATAACTCAGAAAATCTAGATTATTGGTTGTTTATGACTTCACTGGATAGCACCTCTATTGTCATCAGGCCTTCAGGAGGTTGGGTCTTCTGAGAAATGCCTGCCCCTCACCCAGCCCTAGCAGGCCAATCCATTCCTCTTTGTGTGGTGGAGTCACGCCAGTGAAGTGGATGAGGAGTAGGATGGGAGTCAGAAAACTTAGGTTTCATTTGTGCATTCTCAGACTTGTGGGAAGATACTTCACCAGCCCCAGCCTTAGAAATGAGAGTAACAGAGCTGTACAATCTCTGAGGTGTTATGTATTCTTAAGGATACACTTACTGGCAGGGAGGAAATGCTCTAAGCCATTTACATACATTACCGACATCTTCTCTTTTAACCCTCCAGGGATCAGGCATCTCCACGGGGTAGGCACTCCCACCTTCCTGATTTTACAAATGGGAGTCTGAGGCTCAGAGGAATTGGGTGACTTACTCAATGTCACACAGCTAGTTGCAGGAGTCAGTCTTTTAACTCAGGCCCATCCAGTCTTAAAAACATGGACTGAACCAGTGTACATCCAACTGACAGATGAGTTTAGAAGCTATCTAGTCCAGACAAGCTTGAACTCAGCTAGTCCAGCCTTTCATGCACCTCACCTATTTAGTGACAGGGAAGTCATTACTTCTCCAAGCAACTTACATTACGTTAGGCTGAAAATTGCCTGCCTGAAATTCCTGCTCACTAATCCCTCTTGGCCCTCTGTTAACATCAATAATTCCACCGATAATTACAAAGCACCTACTAGGCACCAGACATTATCCTAAGTGCTTGGGATACACGTATGAAATTGCTCATTCCAACTTGGTTTGGCCCAGTTTTCAAGGGTTTCCTGCTCAAACTCACACCTCAGCCTGAATTCCCACTCCTGAAGATTTCTTACCTCTCTGTAGTGAGCTCTGTTGATGGCCTCTCTCCATCCTGCTGTAACTCACAATGGAACCTGTCTCTTCCTTCATTTCTCCCAATGATCTCTAAGACAGAGCTGTCTCATGCCGCTGACTTTACTGAAGCTCTCAGGATATGGAGGGGGATTACAGCATGCAATAAGCCATGACTTCCACAAAGTTACTTATCTCTGTCTTGAAGTTCTTCACTCACCCCTGCCGTAGGAAATTTCACTTCCCTAGCCTTTCCTCAGAGCCCAGCTGCTGTCATTTTTGGGGGGTCCTCTACCAAGTCTCTTGAATTCCACATTCCCTAGCCTTTCCTCAGAGTCCAACTGCTGTCATTTTGGGGGGATCCTCTACTAAGTCTCTTGAATCCTACATTCCCCAACCTTTCCTTAAAGCCCAACTGCTGTCATTTTGGTGGGGGGTGGGGGGGTCCTCCACCAAGTCTCTTCTCTATTTCCTTCTAATTTTTCGCAATGGTCAGTACACCCAAGACCCTCTTTCCCTGAGCTGGGAAAAGACCTCAAATTACTATTTTTTTGTCATGCATACCAATGCAACTCTTCTTAATCTAAGCTTTTCTCATCTCTACCGTACTCCAGAGGAAACCTCCCTGCAAATAAGAAAACCACACCAATTAAAGTATTTTTTCTGGGAAAAGAAAATATGCAGTTGTCTCAGAAGGATTCCTCATGATACTCCTAGGTCAACTAATTCAAATAGCAGCCAACTTTTGAAATAGAAGTTTTCTATTAAATAATAGTAATGTCAACTATTAAACCTGCACCTTGGCATATGATATGCTACATTCATTTCTTCATCTTCCAAATGAAGAAACTGAGGCTCAGAGAGAAACATTATCACTAGCTTTAAATCACTGAGCTAGAAAGTGGAAAAGTGAAGATTCAAACAGTCCCCAAACCAACACGCCTTTCCAGTGCTTGAACTATGATCAGGCAAGAAAGTGCAACACTTAAGGTGGCACTCACTCTCAGGGGCTGACTGCACAAGCATGACCCTAAGAATGGGTACTTCCTTAAGAGCAGGGTACCTAGAATCCAAGTTCAGGCAAGTGCAGGGTGAATGCAGCTTTAATTTGCATCCTAAGCACCCCGCTTGCCTCACCACAGCTGGGGCCCTGTACCTTCTCTTCCACAACCCTGAAATGCATGCTGGACAGTGACCATCCTGACTGGGACACTAGCCTGGCCCTCTGGGCTTGCATAGCAATTGATGCCTGGCTTTCCCTGTGCAGGTGGTGCTGATTAATGGTGCTGTTAAGAAGAGATCCAGCTGCTGCTTTCAGTTTCCTCTTCCTGCAGAGATCCTTAATTACTGGGCTTCACCTGTTGAGTTTCCTTAAATGACATGAGTGTGTATTTTTAAGTGGGAAAACAATTCATTAGGAAGTGCCAACATCTCAGAGGAGGTAAATCCTCCAGTTAATTTCAGAACCACACTGCTTCAGCCACATAAGAGAGCGGTCCAAGGGGGTACTGCTTTTTTCTGAACGTCACCAAGCCAAACAACCAACCTTCAGCAGATGGCAGGGAGCGGCCTTGAGAAACCACAGGGAGGGGTCATGAGATCAAACCACCCTTAGCCATCAACCTTTAGCATCCTCCCTGGTTGCCCCTTTAGTTCAGCACCCTGGGAATGATGGGTCCACACAGCCATTTAGGTACTGCTTCCACACGGCTGAAATTGCATTTGCATTTTATTAAATAAAAGCAATCTGTGCAAAAGCCTAGCCTAAAGTTACTAACAGATATTTGAGTCTAAGATAATACATCTTACAGTATTAGAATTCAGGTTCTAAGACAATCACCCTCAACCATTGTCAATCTTTACATTAGGGTAGATTTTTGAAACTTCAGGTCCCTACAATCTAGATTCTGATTTAATTAGTCTAGGGTGGGACCCTGGCCTTTAGTATTTTTTTAAAGCTGCAGCCCTCAGTGGTGACTCCAACGTGTAGCCAGAATTGGAAACCACTCTAATTTGTATTTTATTTTTTTTATTTTTATTTTTGGAAACAGGGTCTCACTCTGTCACCCAGGGTAGAATGCAGTGGCACGATCTCAGCTCATTGCAGCCTCTGCCTCCCAGATTCAAGTGATGCTCTTGCCTCAGCCTCCCCAGTAGCTAGGATTATAGGCATGTGCCACCATACCTGGCTAATTTTTTTGCATTTTTAGTAGAGACGGGGTTTAGCCATGTTGGCCAGGCTGGTCTCGAACTCCTGGCCTCAAGGGATCCACCTGCCTCGGCCTCCCAAAGTGCTGGGATTACAGGCATGAGCCACTGCACCCTGCTAGTTGTTTTATACATAGAGAGAGAGATTACAAAATACTTTCTAAAGGATAGATCCTGGGTCTTATCACTGTATTGCTCATACCAAGCAAAATGCCTGGCACAGAGTGTGCCACCGATACATGTTTTGTGCATAAAAATAAATAATGTCACTTGATGCTTACTAGAGGCAGGAGAAGGGACATAGAAGGAGCAATGGGGATAGGTCGGCCAAGGGGTACAAAGTTAATCAGGAAGAATAAGTTCCTGTGTTCTATTACGCAGTAGGGCGACTGGAGCTAATGACCATACATTGCATATTTCAAGATAGTCAGAGAAGAGGAGCTTGAAAATGATCACCACAAAGAAACGGTAAAGGTTTGAAGTGATGGACACACACTGGCTACCCTGTTTGATCATTATACAATGTATATATGTATCAAAATATTACACTATACTTATAAACATGTATAATTATATGTGTCAATTATAAATGAAATGTTAATATGTCCCTTGATTCTTGTTTGTACCTTTTTCCAATTATTTAGCCTTACATATATATCCATGTATATATAAATTTTACATAAATGCATAAAAAGTGAGCATTCCTTTGTGTGTGTGTGTGTGTGTGTGTGTGTGTGTGTGTGAGAAAAAGAGACAGAGACAAGCAGAGAGAGAGAGAGAGAGGCAGAAACAGAGAGAGAGGAGGAGACAGGGAGAGAGAGATGGCAAACTTTTTTTGCTACCAATTTTGGCTCATTTGCCCTGCCCCTCTATTCTCACCCCCATTGCCATCTCCCCACCTGCTCCAACACCTGCCCCACCAGAAAACCTGTACTGACAGTCCAGTCAGTGGTCTTCTATATAGTGTCCATCCTCATTTAATTCTAGACAGCCATACAGACACACGAGTGTGGGCAATCATTGTTTTATAGAAATGGGATCATATTCTACCAACCGTTCCCATGTATTCAACAATTCCTTGTTGTAAGCCCTCCAAGTTGATTTCTCAAAGAACTAAAAATGGAACTTTCACTGGACCCAGCAATCCCATCGTTGATATGTACCCAAAGGAAATAAGTCATTCTACCGAAAAGACACTTGTGCTCATATCTTTATAGCAGTGCTAGTCACAATAGCCAAGACATGGAATCAACCCAGCTGTCCATCAGTGGTGGACTGGATAAAGAAAATATGGTACATATATACCACAGAATACTAGACAGCCACAAAAAAAGAATAAAATGATGTTCTCTATAGCACCATGGATGCAGCTGGAGGCTGTTATCCTAAGCAAATTAACGCAGAAACAGAAAACCAAATACTGCACATTCTCACTTACATGCGGGAACTAAACACTGGGTACACAAAGACAGAAAGACGGGAACAAGAGACACTGAGGATTCCAAAAGGGGGAAGTGAAGGAGGGGGCAAGGGCTGAAATATTACCTATTGAGTACCAAGTTTGCTACTTGGGCAACGAGATCATCAGAAGCCCAAACCTCGGCATCATGCAAGATACCCATGTAAAAAACCTGCAGGTGTACCCCATTAAACTAAAAAAAAAGAAAAAGAAAAGAAAGCCCCCAATACCCCTGATATCACTCACCTTCACTGTCCTTATTGGGCACGTACCAGTCCATAGGTGGAAGCCCCATTGCTTAGTCAGCCACTCCCCCATGGATGAGCACTCACTTTGCTTCCCATTTCTGCCCGTCAGAAATAACTCAGCCACAAACAGGAGGTCATCTGATGCCTGCAACCACCCTATACAGCACAAATATCCATGTGAATCTTTCTTCCCATCCGCAGACACATAGCCAAATGCCTAGCAGGCCTTACCTGACCCCACTAAAACAGTCTTTCTGGCCAGGGAAAATTATAAAGAATTATATGAGATCACACATACAAAAAAAAAAAAACCTTCACAGTGTGCAGAAGGCTTTGTGTCAAAGTCGAGCTCGCACGTGGCCGTGGCCGGGTTCTCTGTGGCCAGCCCCATTCACAACACAGCTCTGGCAGAGCACTCTTCAATAGCATCATTAATAGCCCATTGATCCAATTACATTTCTTTCTGTTCCACTTCAGAATTACAATCTCCTGTTCCCCCTGAAAGAGCCCAGATAGATTCCCAGATGAGTATCGGAAGAGGTAGCTGCCATCAGGACTTGCTTGATGGACCCAAGCACTCATCTAATAGTGGCACTGGAAGAATTAATCTGGCTGATATATCAGACCTCTCTCCTCCGTGGGAACTTGCCATTTTCTCCAGCCTCTGAGTTTTTCTAGTGAGATTCAGAGATACAGCCAAATGTGAGTTAACCCAGGGACATCCTAACACTGCCCTCATTGTGTGTTCCCAGCATGGGGTAGGCACTCCATAAATAATCGTTGAATTGAAAAATGCCTAAGGAGGGGTATATTGGGGCTCAAAGCAGACCAGGTCGGCTGAAGAAATGGGCTTTATCCAGATTGTGACTTTGCAGGTTGGACCAGAATGAGAGTTTGAATCTGATTCCATAGGTAATGCATAAAATGAAAATATATACTATAAAAAGGCAAAGTCAAGACCTTGAATGATAGCTGAGAAAAAAGTAGAGAGAGCTAAATACATATTCCAAGTCTAATGGGCAGGATAATGAGGGACAGAGGTAGGCAGCAATAGGACCAAAATAGCATTCATTCACTTAGTAACTGTATAATGAAGACCTACCTTACGCCGGGCACCGTGCTAAGCACTGGGGAGGCGGTGGTGTAGAAGTCATTATCCCAGCCCTCAATTGCTCATGGTCTTAGGGAGGAGGCCAAGACACAATCACATTAGAGCCATGACCAGGACAGGACAGAGCTAAAGCCTATGACAAACATAAGCCCAGGGAAATTAAGGAGTATACAGGGAGGCGCCTAAGCCAACCTGGGGAAGTATCAAAGGCTTCCTGGAGGAGGAGGATGAGGAAGAATTAGTAATGTTGAATACTGGCAGGTGAACAATTCATACTGTGAGAGGCTGTGGCCCCAGTACCCTTGCATCTGCTTTAGACTTTGACTTCTACAGTGAGACTCCTGGCCAATGAGGATCTATGTCCACAGTCCCTGGGGGTCATCAGCCCTGCACTCTCCCACCTCCACATCTTTGTCCATGTTTTTTCCTCTGTATGGATAGCACTCTCTGGTTCCCTCTCCCCAGTCTGTAAAACCATCACCTTCACCTCCCATCAAGGCACAGCCCCAGTGCTACTTCTTGCATGCAGCTTTTCCAACTTCCTCTACCTGGAATTAATCTCTGTCTCTTTCTCTCTCTCTCTGAATTTCAATAACACTTTGCTTGTTTCTCTCTTATAGTACACAGCACTCTTGACATTGTATTATAATTATTTGTGTATTTGTCTTATCTCCTCTGCTAAACTATGAACTCCACAGGGGCAGAAAAAAACCTTGTCTTAACCACCTTTGTATTCCCTGCAGCGCCTTATACAAGGCAGGTGCTTGATACAGGTTGAATGAAGATTATGTTTACCAGGTTCCAGGTAAGTGGAAGGAAATTAAAAGACAGCCCAGCTGGAAACAGTGGGCAGGCATTACAGGCAGGCCCAGCTTTCTAACAGCTATCATAAAACTGGCTGCTTGCTGGAGCTGTGAATTTCCCATCGCTGGTTAGAGAAATTCTTTAAAAGGGAGATTCTTTTAAAAATGGCTGTCCTAGATGATGTCTAAGCTCATCTAATTTTCACTAGGTTACTACAATGGAGAATGGTTGATGAGTAAGCAAAGACAGCAGAAACCCACTACACAGTGAAATAGGAATAGATGTGTGTTATTGTCAATGTGATTGCTCTTGGTTGAATGATGAGATCAGGGGTATTTATTAGATTATTAAATTTTTAATCAATTAAACTAAAAGATCCATTCTCAGAGAAATAATGACAGTATGTCATGAGCAAGGATTATAACTAACCTAATTCTAAACATCCAAGGATTTTTTTTGTTTTTTTTAGAGATAGGGGTCTCATCATGTTGCCCACACTGGCCTCAAACTCCTGGGCTCAGGCCATTCTCCTGCCCCAGATTCCCGAAGTGCTGGGATTACAGGTGTGAGCCACTGTGTCTGGCTGAGAATCATTTTTAAAGTTTGATTTAAACAATCGCCCATCCCCAGATCTGATTTGGGGCATCAATGGGGCCAAATGACATGGGTTTCCTAGAGAGCAAATCTCCGGATGTCATACAGATACTTAAAACCTTCAATGGCTCCCCATTTCCCTACAACACATTCCTAGTCCTCAGCTTGATGTTTGAGGCTTTTAATAATATAGCTCTTGCCAGCTGTACCTTACACAACGCCAGACACACTCAGACCAGAGGTTTCAATCTCAAGGGCATATAGGGACTCAGTGGAGTGTGCTGGGCCAGGACAAAACCACAAGGGCATGCCCCAACTCAACAACTGAGCAACTTCACAGGTCCAGCCCCTTTGCCCAGCAGAAATGCAGACTCAGCATTGCAAGCTCTTCTGAGTTTTCAAAAGAATCAGGAAATTAAGATTTTTTTTTGTAGAACCTGCCATTTTTCAATGTTACCTTAAAAATGCTTAAACACTTTGTGAAAAATGCCCATCTGTGGCTCAGATCTCTATGATTTACTTAGACTCTATTTTTTAATTACTTAGATTTACTAAAAGGTGCTATGCTCGCACCCCTTCAAATATCCCTCCCCGATGTTTCCTCTCTCTAGGTTACTCCTCTCTGTCTCCTTTCCTGGATTTATTCCAGCCCAACCTTTAAGACTAGCTTCTAGTTGCAGTCATTCCTGCAGAATTACCAATTTCTTTTTACTCTTCCATATTGTCACAATGTTTTACAATGAACCTGAGCAGCAGATGCTGTCAGTGCCCTCCCACATCCCCTCAGCTCCCTTGATGATTTTGTGCACACCAGTTTCCCATGTGCTTTCACTCCCAACAGCCTCAGAATATTGGAATCCACTTTCTCTGAATGCACGGAGAGCTAGAAGCACCTGGGAATTTATGTTGCCCAAGAGCAGCCCTTAGCCAATGATTGACAGGTGGAGGAGTTTAAATACTTCACCTCCCTTGCTTCTTAACGGGAATTACTTCAAAATATGCTGCCTCCAGATCTCCCCTGCAGATTGAGCCACAGTTATCTTCTGCTAGACTTTGTTTGCTATCACACACCTGCTTGGGTTTTTCCTGGAAACACTTCCTATTAAACTGGTTTTAAATGAGCCCTCATTTCAGGATCTGCTTCTAGGACCTTTGATAGACAGCTTTTGACATGTTCTCCAATGATCTCCAGCATCTTCTCTGTTAATGCCCTTATACAATCCCCTCACCATGAGTGTGCCATGTTTCTAAATCCAAAAGTGATGAGTGTCACTTCCATGATTGGGATAGAAGAGATTGACTTCCATCTTGCCACCAGACTCTCTAGATTGTCTTCTCTCCTTGTGTGCTTTGATAATGCAAGCTGCCACATTGAAGAGACCCACATGGCAAAGAAATGAAGGTCATCTCTAGTCAACAGCCAACAAAGAGCTCAATGCTGCCAATAACTACTGAGTGAGCTTGGAAATGGATACTTCCCCAGTCAGACCTTCACGTGAGACCACAACCTTGCACCAACATTTGATTATAGCCTTGTGCAAAACCATGAAGCAGAGGACCTAGCTAACTCACATCCATATTCCTGGCCCACAACTATAAGATAATAAATGTGGGTCAGTCAAGCTGCTTAAGTCATGGGGTCACCTGGTATGTAGCAACAGATCCCAACATAAGACAATGTGTAATATTTCTATAATTAGAAAATATTCCATCCTAGATATCTCCTCCTGAAAGCCATTCCTGAGCTCCCAGACCAGGGTGTTTTTTTCACCTCTGTCATGGTCTTCATCATCCTGAATTTAATAATTAATATGCCCTGCCTCCCCATCTTTTTCTCCCCTACTGATCACCTTGAAGGCAGAGCTTTCAGAGAGAAAAGGTCTGATATATTTCTTTATTCATCATCTAAGCATAGTATCATATAGGAGATGCTTAACAAATGTATATTAAAGTAATTGATTTGTTAATTGTTTTCCATATGAGATTTTGGCCAAGTGCCTCCCTATATACCATTATTCTGCAGATGCCAAATCAAGGGTAAGGGAGGCCTTCAATATTCAGCAAAATCTCTACTCCATGCATCCCCCACATCATTTTCTAAGCAGTTTCTTCCTTTCCATCACCAGGGTGCTTATCAATTGTACATTGACAATTCCTCCCATCTGTTCAATTCATCTGTTGGATGGTCACTCTCTGCCACTTCAGAGCAATGGGGAGTTCACTCTGCCTTTCATACCCCTCTGGGAAGCCCAGGAAAATTATCTCTGATTAATGTCATTTCTTCTTTTGGGTCTAATGACAAAATTACAGCAAAATCCAGCCCTACTTTGCACCACACTTGGAAAAAAATCTGCTCAGCTTTTGTCTGCCAACCACAGCAAAAACTTGATTAACCAGGACTCAGTGCACATGGGCAGAGGGCTTTTTCCCCCCAGTTAGCAGAGGGATGAAACTGAAAATCCCATTTATTTCCTCCCTTATTAACAGAAAAAAAGAATCAATAGCTTAGCCCACATTGCTACCCACTGTCAATAAATTCCCCCAAAGAAATTGAGTCTCTCTTGGAAAGATGAGCATTCTTGCAGGCCTAAGAATTGTGTATTCTGGGACTAAAGATAGTGTTAGAAATTAGACTGAATCAGCAGAGATCTTTGGCATGTGGAATTTTTATTTAAAACACTATTTGCTATCACTTATATTCCCGTCTTTGCCCTTCTCCCAGAAGCAAAGTATAAAAAATGTGTGTTCTCATTTTTCAAGTGTTCCAGATTCCTAAAGTCCAGTTCATATAAATTGCAGCATATTCTTATTTATATGACAGAGACTGTCACAGGCATCTAAGCTCAAGCTTATTAAACTGAAGTTTCCTATTCTATCTACTCAATGGGTTCTCATAGTCTCCTAAGCATCTCATCATCTTCCTCCTCCCTCTGAGACATGAAACTCCTACTTGGAACCTTTTCAAGGTCTACGGCATTGTGCAAAAAGAAAAACCTTTCTTGTTATGCAACTAACAGATCCTTTCAGTTCCAGGGGAGGAAGGAGCCACCAGAATGGTCACTCAATAACTTAGCCAAGTTTCAACTCTGTTTTAAGGGAAAGGAATTGCAAAGAAAGGAAACATTCGATTATTGAGCACTGACTATGCCAGGCACTGAATTGAGAATGCATTTTTTACTCCTAATCATAGCCTGAGGCCCTGCACGATCTGGTCCCTGCCTGCCTTTTTGACTACACCTCTGACCATGCCCCCACATCACTTAATATGCTATACCCACACTGGCCCTTTTTATTTTCTAGAGCATGCCAAGCTCTTCCTACCCCAGGGCCTTTGCACTTGCTGGTCTCTCTGCTGAGAATGCTTTTGCCCAGATATGTGCGTGGCTCACTCCTTGTCATTCCTCATTTCTTAATTCAAGGCCACCTCCAAAAGGTAATCCCGAACTAAGCTGTCCACCTCCCATGCTAAGTCATTCTTTATCTTGTTCCTTTATTGTATTTTTTCCATAACACATCACCATTTTAAATTAACTTAGTTATTGCCTGCCTCCCCATGAATATATAAGCTTCATGAAAGCAAAGTGTGTTCCTGACTTACTCACTATTGTGAAACCAACATGCTAGCACATGCCTGCCATATAATAGAATCTAAAAACATTTCTGGAGTGGATGAATAAATAAGTTTCTCTCTGAATCCTGCCAAGATAAATATTGTTATTATCCCCGTTAGCAGATAAGGAAGTTGAGGTTCCAAGCAGATTAGGAAATCTCACAAGTTTGCACAGCTAGAAGGTGCTAGAGCAAATCTTACAACCACGGAACTGTCTAACTCCAGTGCATGCATTCTCCATCATTCCTAGACACTGTGTGGGAAGACAGGAGATTATAGCTTAATCAATTGTTTTCTAACTTCTGTTCATGAAAAATGTCTGGGCAGCTGTGACAAGGAAAAAAGTCTTTTATCAGCTCACAGTTGTGAGTGTGACAGAGCAGGGATATATCTTCTGCATCAAACATTGCCAGTTTGTCAAATATCAGAATAGAATTGAATTTTAGGAAGCCACTATTTCTGATGCAGCTGTTTCTTTTGGATCCTCTCAATGGGCAGAGAAGATCCCAGCAATAGAATGGGTGAGGCACGCATCTGTCTATTAGGATGGTTGGAATGCATGAATTTGATAAGCCCTATATTTGGTGAGGGATGTCTGTCCTCACCCCAAACCTTCTCACCAACGTGACCTCCCGCCAGCATGGAAGCCAGTGTTACAACATTGTGAGAACTGGGCCCTGCAACTGTGCTGGTGGCCATTTTTCTGGGACCCTCTTCTTTTACTGATACCTTTGGGAGTACTCCCATATTCATTTCCGTTGGGCATCTCATTCGTTGCTGTAATTCTTGTCTTCAGTTCAAAGCTCAAAAGCCTCACCATAAAGAACTGGGTTTTACTTTTTGGATCTTGATCCTTGGGGAAACCCCCTAAAAAAGTCTATATCTACTATATCCACTCCCCATCTTCCAGTCATCTCTGAGCATGGCTGATGTAGGGAATTGCTCAACACAGTTTCAAAGCCCCAAACAACAAGCTAGCTCTGGACATGCCTACCTGCTATGGTTTGAGTTCAGTTTGTGTCCCTCCCCAAAATTCATCTGTTAAAATCCTAATCCCCAAGGTGATGGTATTAGGAGGTGAGGCCTTTAGGAGATGACTGGGTCATAAGACAGGAGCCCTCATGAATCGGATTAGTGACTTTATAAGAGATCCCAGAGAGATCTTTGTCCCTCCTATCAGGTCAGATTATAGTGAAAAGTCATCCATGTAAGAACCAGGAAGCAGGTCCTCAGCAGACACTGAATCTGTAGATACCTTCATCTTGAACTTCCCAGACCTCAAAACAGTGAGAAATAAATTCCTGTTGTTTATAAGCTACCAAGTTTATGGTATTTTGTTACAGCAGTCCAAATGGACTAAGACACTACCCCCATTCTATTTAAAAGAAAATAATCTATTAGCTCACCACATTTACTGTGCTGAAAATTTCCAACCAGAAGAAAAAGCTTTATGGAGGTGACCCAACGATATGGAGGTGCTTACAACCCCATGGGTGGCTACAAGAATCAAAGAGAGAAATTATAGTTCAAAGGCAAAACGTATACTATCTCCTCATCCCTATTTTTTCTTGGTTTAAGTCATTTTTATTAAGAGAGTCATAATGTTCTTTATCTACATGACACTTTCCATCTTTAAACATTAACTAATTAATTGACTGAAATGGTATCTCGGGAGCATTTATCATCTATCACATTAGCCAGAGAGCCAGGGAACTGTCTATAAAAGCTGTTGAACACTCAGTGGAGGCTTCATCTTTCCGCTTCCTTTCCCAGAAATGTTTTTTTGTGTGTCTGCATATGAATGTGCAATGGGGAAAAAAATAAAAAGAGAGGATTTGACTTCCACCAACTGCTATAAAAATTTACCTCTGGGAGACATGGAATTTCAATTGTGAAATAATCAGTCTTGGAAATTGTCCTGTCCTCCAGGAAAAGAAAAAATATGTAGTTTAACAGCAATTGCCCTTCAAAACAATTACTAATTATAACATCTATAAAGAAAAATACCCTCGATACCATTACTCCTAATAAAGCCAGGCGAATCTATAGAAAGGAATTAGCTGGCATGTCTAAAATCTGACAGGAGAGCTGTTGGGGATGGGTCAGAAGAGGAGTGAGCTCCAACCAGCTTAAAAACCTGGATCCAAAGCTTTAGGAGGCTTACCACCTGGAGCAAGCCTCTCTTAGCAAATTGGCAAGATTAGCACAAGAAATCAGGCCAGGACAATTACAAATTGAGAACCCAAGTCATTTTTCCTGACTTTCCTTCCACTCTATCCCATCCCAGCTTTCTCCATGAACCTCTTAACCTCCTCTTCAAGCAGATGTCACGGTACCTGGAACTCATGCCTTACAGCTCACCATCTTCCCTTCACCACAGTCCTCTTAAAGACATATGCCCAGGTAGGGTTACACCAAGCCCCTGAGCCCTTGGATTGAATTTGACTGTCAGATCCTAACTGTTTGAAACAACATATGTCATGGAGGAAGGATCTTGGAGGAAAGAAAGAGAGAAAGGGGCCACAGAAAAGAGAAGTTGGTGGCAGTGCTGAAGATAGACAAATGGAAAAAGTCCATTCTGATTTCAAATTCTCCATCACTTCCCTGCTGTGAAGGCTGTGTCAAGTTGATTTGAACTCTCTGATCCTCTCACCTCAGTTTCTCAAAGTGAGGGGAAAATATACCTGAAAGCCTACTTTTTAAATGAGTGTTCAGTTGCAGACAATGGAAACCACTCCAGCTACCTTACGCAGAAGGGAAGTGATTACCAGATGTAAGCTGACTTAGGAAACCATTGGAAGGACCCAAAGAGTTGGAGCTTCCAAGAACAATTCCCTGGTCCCCCAAATCACTCTGCCTCTGCTATGATGGTGAAAACTGCTACCTGCACTACGAGAAGTCACCACATCAGGAAGCTAATGGCTGCAGAACTACCCAGACTCTGCAGAGATCCACAGGAGCAAAGTGAATGGCATTATGCCATTTTCCCCTCTTAACTCAGTTATAAATTCAAGACGCAAAGAGTATCTGATTTGCAGAACCTGAGTCATAGTCAGAATCCTAGCTGCAAGGGAGTCCAGTATATTGACCTTTTAGCAACCCAGCCTCTGCAGTATAGAATGACACAGTTGACAGAGGCTGGAATGGAAACTGAAGGAGCCCATGCACAAAGGGCACCACCCACATGATTCAGGGCTGTCAAGAGAATCAAATGAGATGGTGTTTACAAAGCACCTAATATGCTGCCTGATCATTAGTAGCTTCTCAATAAGCACTAGTTTTCCTTCACTTTCCCAAAATTTTGCTGCAGCTTGGCCCTCTGAATCATCCTAAAAGAACAGAAGAAAAAACCTGGAAGCAGCCAAATGACCTTCCTAACTTAAATGTGAGGGTTTTTTGGGCATCTTTCATTTAGCAACCTTACCAAACATCAGTTATCTCTATTTAAGGCATTCCCCTACCTCCACAGAAAGAATGAATCATTTTAAGCAGTAGTTTAAGCTTTTACTCTATCCAAACAAAATTGGCGAAAGATCCTCTCCCTGGATAATTACATTAACATTATTTATCTAACCACTATTTTTCTTTTTCTGAGATGGGGTCTCGTTCTGTTGCCCGGAACTGGAGTGCAGTAGTGTGATATCAGCTCACTGCAGCCTCCACCTCCCTGGCTCCAATAATCCTCCTGCCTCAGCCTCCTGAGTAGCTGGGGCCACAGGCATGCAACACCACATTTGGTTAACTTTTTGTATTTTTGGTAGAGACAGGGTTTGTCCATTTGCCCAGGCTGGTCTCGAACTCCTGACCTCAAACAATCCATGCACCTCGGCCTCCTGAAATTACAGGTGTGAGCCACTGCACCTGGCCAATCTAATCATTATTTACTGGTCACCTACTAGTTGCCTGGCAGATGTGATTCCTCTCCTTCAAGGAGTTAACAGTCTAGGCAGGGTAATTGTGCAAAACTTGTAAGATTAAAATTCTGATAAAACATTAAGAGAAGAGATCAGAGTGCCATAAGCCAGAATAAAGAGGGTGAAACTGATTCTACTCAGGGAGTCAGGAAAAATCTCCCTGAGGAAGTAATGTCTACACTAAAACCTGAAGGATAAGGAAAAGTTAACCTAGTAAAGAGTGGGAGGGAAGAGAATTTCTGGCAGAGAAAACAGCACATGCAAAGGCTGAGTATTTAGGAAACCAGAAGAATACCTGTGTGGCTGGAGTATGTTAAGTGAGAAGGAGAGAGAAACGATAATTACTTTGGCTATGGAACTCCAGGCTATTATCTGGGGTGACATTTTCCCTCAGGTTGGAATCCAGATATGTGAGACAATTAACATTTCATAAAAATAACTTTTGAAGCAATGTTTGTCCACCTTTCTGTATCTCAGTTGTCTCCTCTGTAGAATAGTGTTAACCCTTCACTGGATGATCATGAGTGTTAAATAGGATAACAAGTATACGATTATGACAAGAAGGCTGGGCCCTTTTGAGCACAGCAGCGACATCCTCATCATCTTCTTCAGTGTTTAGCCATACCACTCCAGAGAGCTCCACCAAGAACCAGAGAGGTGCTTCCCTACCTGCATGACTTCTCTGAGATGCTCTCTAGCCCACACACAGCAGAGGCACCCACCTGACACCTTCACCTGGCCACATCTGATTGGACCAGAGTGTACACCTCCTACTACCCGGACCTATCATATTCCTACACCTGGGAAACTCTTACATTCAGATAGAGGCGCAATTGATCAGAGTGCATTAGAAGCTGGAGCTGTAAGGTCATGAAGAAGAAGTCCCAGGGCCCTGGGCAAGTAGAAACTGGGAAACAGCAAACCCTGAGATTCCAACGGCAGGCGCCAGTCTGCAGAGAAGAGAATGGAGCAGATGTGCAGAGGTAAGCTCCAGAGAGTGAAATGGAGAAAGCGGCTGATTAACAACATTCCAAGTCCCATGAGGTCCAGCTGCATACGTCGGATTTCCAGAGAGCCTTGTGTGTCCAGACAGTAAAATTTCATATCCACTTTAATCTCTTTGAATGGGTTTCTATTCCTTGCAATTGAATTATCACTGTCTCAGAGGCCCATCAAAGTGGAGAGCTGAGGCCACCCTTCCTTAAATCAGACCTAAAATGTAACCCTATCTTGCTAACAGGACATAATACCGGAACTGAGGACCCCACCACCATCTCAAGGCCTTCACACAGGCTATTCCCTTTGCATAGAAAGCTCTTCCACCCGCTCCTTTTGCAAAACTAAATCTCACTTATCTTCCAGGCTGCCCCCTTTGAGCATCGCTTGTAAAGACTCCCACTCCAAAGTGGACCCTTGCTGTGGTTTCCATAGCTCTCAGGACTTCCCTTTGCATTGTGTAACTCACTTTGGATCACTCGTAAGATGGCTGCCACCCTACCATATGTGACATTCCACACTTGCATCCTGTTTCTTGCTTATTCCCCAGGGTTTGAGTGGGGGACACATAGTAGCTGCACAATAAACATCTGATTAATGCATGATGGATAGTCTAAAAGGATCAAATTGACATTCTACTGAAAAAGAAGAGTTTCACTTTAGCCTACTAGGTGCTCTACTCTATGCAAGGTGTTGGAAACACAAAGATGAATTAGACATCATCCCTGTGTTTAGGTCTTGAAAAGCCTAAGGGAACAGGTGGATAGGTAGATAAATACGTTTATGACAATGTAACAACGTGAGTGTTAGGAGAGAGAGAGACTACAATAGGTGTATTTCTGAAGGTTTTTTGGATGACAGGGGAAGAGAGAGAGATGTTGTAGAGGGTCCTAGTGGCCCCCACACCATCACTCCTCAGAATTTTTGCAGAAAACAAATGTAGTGAGCATCTGATTGTTGGCTGCTCAGCATCTACTCTCTAATTCTGAATATAGCACTTCATTTTTCCTTTTGGTAAAGCACCTTCCTGCCCTCTCAGCCCACCAGCACACTGGTGTAACTGGTATCAATTCAACACCTCTGTCCCCAGAGTCAAGGATGGATGTGTGTCCCAAGCCTAGTCAATCAGAATACTCCATCCTCACAAGGAGTGGTTCAGGGATGATCATGTGACAGTTTAGTTAAATGAGAGTCAATCTGGGAGTGTAAATTAGTTCAACTATTGTGGAAGACAGTGTAGTGATTCCTCTAAGACCTAGAGGCAGAAATGCCATTAGACCCAGCAATCCCATTACTGGGTATATATCCCAAAGGAATATAAATCATTCTATTATAAAGATACAGGCACTTGTATGTTCACTGCAGCACTATTCACAATAGCAAAGACACGGAATCCATCTAAATGCCCATCAATGATAGACTGGATAAAGAAAATGTGGTACATATACACCATGGAATACTATGCAGCCATAAAAATGGATGAGATCATGTTCTTTGCAGGGACATGAATGGAGTTGAAAGTCACTATCCTCAGCAAACTAATGTAAGAACAGAATATCAAACACTGCATTTTCTCACTTATAAGCAAGAGCTGAAAAATGAGAACACAAGGATACCTGGGGGGAAAAATGCACACTGGGGCCTGTCAGTCAGAGTGGTGGGGGACAGAGAGCATCAAGAAGAATAGCTAAGGGATGTTGGGCTTAATACTTAGGTGATGGGATAACCTGTGCAGCAAACCACCATGGCACATGTTTACCTATGTAACAAACCTACACAACCTGCACGTGTACCCCTGAACTTAAAAGGTGAAAAAAAAAAAGATAAGAGTATATCTCAGAATTCCTAGGGAGAAGCAAGGAGAAAGATAAGCTCTTCTGTCACTAGAACCCCTAACCTGGCAGCAGCCTTCAGCTGAGCTGCTGAAGCCTGTCTTGGGACTACAAGGGGAAAAAAACTCCCCAAAAATAAATCTTACAAGGAAAGTAGCAGGCCTGAGAGAAAAAGCCACTTCTGATGTCAGTTTGAACATCTGGATCCAAATAGATTCATCCTGGATTTTTCAGTTGTGAATCAACAAATTCTACTTTTTCTGTTTAAGCTTGAGTTCCTGAACCTCAACACTATTGATAGTGTTTGGCTGGATGGGGGCTGGCTTGTACATTGCAGGATGTTTAGCAATGTTCCTGGCTTCTAGAGCCATTCTCACCCACGAGTCATGGCCACCAAAAACAGCTGCAATCATTGCCAACTGTCCCAAGGGGCAAAATCACCTCCTATTGAGAACCACTGGTTTAAACCAGTTTTCAGGTTCCTATTGCTTGCAACCAAAAGTCACGAGCATACAGTAACCTATCAAATAATTCCCTACCCAATTTCCAGGAATAATTCTCACTCCTACATGCTTTTACTTTCCGTGGTACCTGGAACATCTTTCTATGGGCTTTGCTTTCCAAAGCCAGTCTGTTGATTTTACATTTTTTAAATATTGGTGTCAATGAAAGTAAGTCAATCAGATCAAGAACAGCTTAGCTCTCAGTCCCAGCAGTACTTGTACAAGTGACATATTTGGGGACATTGATTATACTTTTTCTTCCTCTTAAAAATTTAAACATCTTCCCTCATTTACTTTCTTTATTTTAGAATTCTCAGCAGTCAATTTTCTTTTATCTACAGGCCTTCCCTTCGATGGGAAACTAATCAATAAGAAATTAGATTTTTGCCAAGGTATTTTAAAGTAATGTAACCAGCATATTTTTCTCTCATTCATGACTTTATTATTGTGAAATGAAAACAGAAATACCACATCCTTGAAACCCTCATTTTATTAAGCTCCATCACAGCTACCTTCATTCATCGGAGCCATCTCTTCCAACGTCATTGTTTTGGGTGAAGCTTGTGTTTGATCACCAACCTCATATTTTAAATTGAAACTCAGCTGGAGTAGAGTTCTTCCCTCTGAATGAGGGATAGCAGTCTGGTAATTAGCAGCAAAGCTCAAGCAGACAGGCTGCATCCACTTATTCTATCTGAAATTCTTTTCCTTTTCTTTTTTTTTTTGGCCAGTAATTACTCTTATCTTGGTGAAGCTGACCCACCTCTTGGCCCCTCAATTGGAGTCTCCCTTTCAAGAAAATATCACATTGTGTTGAATAAGAAAATCAAAATGGAAATGAAGCTTCAAGAGGAGTCTAGCTACCATCTTTTCAATTGCCTTTTGAAACATCAGCTGGGTGGACTTTCAAGACGCAGGCACAGTTAGATATGTGGATCTGTTTCTTAGATTGCACTTGTGTATCTGAAGACATCCATTATGCCTAAGAGGGAAGGAAATGAGCAAGGACTTCCCAATGCATACAGGTGCTTCGTAACACCTGGTGATCTTGTTACTGAAACACCAGAGGTTCAGTCTAGGTTCTAATGCTTGCTGCACAGAAAGCCAATCACTGAGACAATGAGTATTGCCAGGGAAGAAGGCTTCAATTGGATCCTGCAGCCAAGAAGATGGGAGATCAGCATCAAATCCATTCCCCTAGCTGACTAAAATTAGGTATTTTTATAGCAGGGAAGAAATGTAACCATTTGTGAGAAAACAGGAATTAGGGAGAGGAAAGGAAGAGGAGTTTGTCAACAAGAAGCAAGTGGTTGCTTAGGCAGTCATGATGGATGAAGGGTCGGGTGCTTTCACTGTCCAGATTCAGAGATCTGGTGAGTTTCAGCTCCTTGATTCTATCTGGGAAGCCTGATGGTTGGAGGCCTGAGAAAGGAACTCAGATAAGACAAATGTAACTTTTGCAAGTTTCAAGACTGGGATGGCCAATTTCTATGTGTATTTAAAAGAAACCATAAACATCAGTTCTATGGGACAATTGGGCCAGTTTCAGTTCGGCTCAGTTTTTTGGCATGGAAAGGAGGAAGAGACTATCAATAATATTAACAGTATAGCTATATTGATCCTTTATTAGAGGGGGAGAAATCTATTTATTTGGGAGAGTAGCTTCAAAGTGTGCCAAGTCAGGGAATCAAAGGCACATTGGGAACAAGCTGACCAAACATCAACCAGCATGAACGGTCTTGAGCCCTCAAGACCAAGATGAGCCAAGAACCCACTTCAAGTTTGACCAAAGCAGACAGTAAATAAGACCTCCCTGTAGGAACTCCGCTCTTGTTGCCTAAGCTACATTCCACCTTCCACACTGATAATTTTATCACAAAAACAAGCAAATGCAAAGGAAGAAAGTAGTGATATGATAGGATGACACATGATCTAGCCAATTCCATCTAGAAGGCAAATAAAGGACGGAGGCTTGGTGAGATTAATGCATTTATTCTTTCCAGAAATTATAGAGCCCTTACTCTTTGTCTGGTACTGTTCTAGGCTTGGAATACAAGCAAAGATCCCTGCAGTTGTGGGGTATACCCTGTAACAGGTGAAGAGTGACATATCAGAGGAAGGTCAGTGACTACAGATGAAAGGGATTGCATTGTAGGACATTTCCCATGTCCTACAAGCCTCCTCCTGCCTTTGGTAGAGGTGAGTGTAAATAAACAAAATGTTTCCTGCACTCAAATGCCCTCCTCTATTTTATTTGTTATGGGAGCAAACTTCCATCTCCAGGACAGCAGAGTGTAGAGCATCTTCTGGTGTGGTAGCTGTGGTGAGTTAGCTTGAGCTGAAGCCAATGTGGGCAACTGTCTACTTAAATAACTCACCTATTCACCTATTCCTGGCTGCCATCAACAAAGTTGGAGCCTCCAAGAAGCAGTTAGGATTAACATATTAACACAGAAGATGGTCTTTTTTTTGTTTTTTTTTTTTTTTGAGACGGAGTCTCGCTCTGTCCCTCAGGCTGGAGTGCAGTGGCGCAAACTCGGCTCACTGCAAGCTCCGCCTCCTGGGTTCACGCCATTCTCCTGCCTCAGCCTCCCGAGTAGCTGGGACTACAGGCGCACACCACCACGCCCGGCTAATTTTTGTTGTATTTTTTAGTAGAGACAGGGTTTCACCATGTTAGCCAGGATGGTCTCAATCTCCTGACCTCATGATCAGAGGGCGGTGTCTTAGTCCATCTTGCGTTGCTATAAACAAATACCTGAGGTTGGGTAATTTATAAACAAACAAAGGTTTATTTAGCTACTGGTTCTGCAGGCTGTCCATGAAGCACGGTGCCAGTATCTGCATCTGGTGAGGGCCTCAGGCTGCTTCCACTCATGGTGGAAGGTGAAGAGGAGCTCGCATATGCAGAGATCACATGGCGAGAGGGGAAGCAAGAGAAAGAGGGGGAGGTATCAAGCCTTTTTAACAATCAGCTCTCACAGGAACTAATACAGCAGTAACTCACTTATAAACATGAGGAGGGCACCAAGCCATTCATGAGGGATCTGCCTCCATGACCCCAACCCCTCCCATGAGTCTGCCACCTCCAACATTGGGATCAAACTTCAACATGAGCTTTAGGGGGACAAATACTGAGACGATAGCAGGCAGTCAGCAAAAACAAGAACTAGCATGTGTTGAGTCTGCTTGATTCATCCTTTCACATATATCATGTCTCATTTCACTTCCACAACAATTCTATGAGGTATGTATGTATTAGCCCCATCTCACAGATGAAGAAACTGAGGCTGAGAGAGACTAAATGGCTTGCACAAGATCTGTCTGACTCCAAGTTCTACAGGCTTTCTGCATTGTTGTGCTGCCTATTTCACCCAATAAAGTCCAACCCATCCGCATGAGAGTGTTAATAAATCAATAACCTGAGTACTTCCTGGGGCTGGCTCTGTGTCTATCCCTAGATTGGGCACTGTGAGGGGTATGAAATTAAGGTACAGTCTTTGTTCTCCTGAGACTAAGTTAGCTAAGGAAACAAAGGGAAAAGCATTCATTCAATATTTAACGAACCATACCAACACTCCACCCACATTCACCCTATCTTACGCAAATACTTGTGGATCCCAAAACGTGCCATGCCTTTGCACAAGTCTGCAATGCCCTTTCCTCTCTCCTCTCTGCTTCAACCTACATCATCTTCATCTCGCAAGAGTTAGATCATCCAGAAAGCCCCTCTAAACCCACAGGCTAGTTGGTGGACTTTCTTCTATGAATTCCATGGACCCTGGTGCTCCTCTCCGCCATAAAACTCTCTGGAAAAAAAATCAGTGAGAGCTTCAGAAGTTAGGGAACCCTGTAAGTGAGATGACTGGGGAGAAAACAAAAGCCTGAGATGGGGAAATGGCTAAAGACAAAAGAGGAAGGAATATGTATGTGGCCCAAGGTGGTATCATCTACAACAGAAAACTGACAGCCAGGTAAGGGACTGTATAGAGCTAGGGATGTTGTCACAGTAAGAAATAGAAGATATCATTACTCAAAGCCAAGTTAATTACGATGTTCTGCTTTCACTTATTTTTTCTAAGTGCTTCCACCTCTGGAAGCATTTCTGATCAGCACAACTGTGAGGTTGGTAGTAGGTATTATCATTCCCATTTAGTGGAAGGAGAAACTGAGATGCTCAGAGAGGTTAGGTGAGCTGCCCAAGGACACACAGCATGAAGACACTAAGGCAGCAGAATGGTTGAGATCAGACTTTCTGGTGTCAGGCCTACAGCTCTCAACCACCTGGCCATGTGACCTTGGACAAGAGACTTAACTTCTCCAAGACTCAGTTTCCACACCTAATAAAAGGGGACTAAAGAATCTCTACTTCGTAGAGATGTTGTATGGTGACATAATCATACGAGACCTTTGTCAGTCCTTGACATATCTGTAACAATAAATCTTTGTTCCACTCATCACCACTGCTTTTGTTTCGCTGGGATCATCTGCAAAACCGCTTGTGTGAAACTCTGGTCCCAGCTGCTCTCCAGGGACACCAGGGCTTCCTTGCAAAATATAGCAGCCAAGATGGCTTTGGGCCCCCAAGTTTCTGAGCTCTTGTTTGACTGCACATCCCCTTCCTTAGAAAGCCAGCATCTTCACGTTTCCTTTCTAAGCTGCCAGGAATAAATGCCAGGTTCTGGCTTTATGGAACAGTTTGGGAAATAATTAGTTTGCCTTCCACAGAGGCCAGAGTTCACTTCTAAGATATTTAAAACTCTACTGATGGCTTAAAATAAATATCACAATGGAGATGTCAAAATATCTATGTGTTCTTACACATGACATTGGAGGGGAGGGGAGACTAAAAAAATGTAAATGGATTTACCAAAATAATCTCGAGGTAAGACCTTTGAGGCTTGATACCACAGAAGTGCCATATTGTTTTTAAGTTTCTTTTTTTTTCTTTTGTAAGTTTATTTTTCTCCTCGGAGGGCACTGAAAGTTTTGTTGTGAGAAGCAATAAAGTTCTGTTTTCCAAAAGAAAATAAAAGCATGATTGTATTTTTAAAAATCAATCTTAATAATTTCCAGCCATTACTTTATGAGCTTAATGCAACTCCCAAACACTGATAACTGATTTCTCCAACTGGAAGATGCGAAGCGCACCCAACGGATGCCAAGTTCCGGGCTGAGTACTTTAAATATTTATTGAATTATTAATCCTCATAAGTGCTCAGTGAGGCAGGAATGATATTCCTCATTCTGTAGGGGAGGTAATGGAGACCCTCAGGTACTTGCCTAAAAACATGGGGATAATAAAGCAGAAAGTCAGGATTGAAGCCTAAGTGTCCTTATCCTGACTCCATGCTCTTTCCAGTGAGTTCTTCACCCCATCCAGATCTAGGAGTGCTGAACACTCAACAACATTATCAGGCAAGACAACAAACACACCCGTGTCAACTGGAGTTTGTGGCTAGTATAAAGCAATATAGAGTAAATCTCAAAGAGAAGTAGGTCAAAGAAATACCTACAACCTCAAGAATGTGTCCTTTTCTGGCTGGGAGCAGTGCCTCATGCCCGTAATCCTAGCACTTTGGGAGGCCAAGGCAGGAGGATCACTTGAGCCCAGGAGTTCGAGACTGGCCTGGGCAGCACAGCGAGGTCTCGACTCTATTATTTTTTAAAAAATAGAATATGTCCTTTCCCCCTTGCCTGCCTGGATAAAACCTTCTTTTTTATCTCTTGCTGCTTCCCACTTCGCATTTTCTGCTCTGTTAAACATCAAACCGCTTCTGTTGCCCAGAACTATGTCTCAGGTTCCACGCAACTGTGCCTCTGCAATGCTGTGCCTTTTTCCCAAATGCTGTTCCTCTACAATCCACTTAGCAAACTCCTGTTCATCCATCAAAACCCTGATAAAACATAACCTTTTAAAAGAAGTCATCTTCATCCCTCTCCCACTTCTAGACCCAATGGAATTCACACGTTCCTCTTAGTCTTCTCTCCATAGCATGTACATGCTTACATTTTTATAATTATTGCAACGTCTGGGATTTGGGTCTCTGGGTTAGTTGATTGGTTTGGCTGATATATCAGTCTCCCTCACCCGACTGGCTTTCCTATAGGCAGGGGCTATGCCTGAATCCACCTTTGTATCCTCTATGCCCAGCCCTGTGCCCAAGTCAAAACAAGCATCGAATTGAATTGAATCAAAATTGAAAATGAAAACAAATATCTTGGAGAACTAGAATATAGGGAAACAAGTGTTAATGTTGTAAGAGTCTATTGCAGAGCAATCAACCAGACCATGTTTCCCTAATACCGATTACAAAGCTGGCACAGAGGCAAGACGGAGCAGCAGTGGGGATTTATGCTCTCTGGACATCTGTTGGGCGTCTCTTCTGATAAATCCTCGCCTTGCCCTGCTGACGATCTCATCTTTCAGAAGACAGAGGAAGCGACAGAGGAAACGGTTACTTGCCACTAAATCCTGGCAACGAGGAAACACTGGTTAATGAGAAAAGTGGAATCCTTAGGAGAAAAAAAAATGGGCACATAATCCTAGAGTTAATGATGGTGCAAGAAAGGAAGAAAGAAAATAAGCACCCATTAAAAACCTACAGTGTGCCGCCTACTTTACGTGTGTTACTACATTTAATTCTCACAACAACCCTGGGAGGTGGGTTTCAGTCACTTCCATTCACAGAAAAGAAAGCCAGAAAATGGAGAAAGTAACTTGCCCAAGCTCATAAAAGGCAAGTCTATCTGCCTGCAAACCCCCAGTTCTAACCTCACACCAGGCTGCTGAGCAAAAAAAGCAAGGCATTGCCTGACTTCAAACCTAGAGTTGATGAATAAGGCAGCGTCAATCTGTATAGGCTAGGTAATGATACAGTAACAAAACACACACACACACACACACACACACATATACATACACACACACTGAAATCCAAATCACGGTCATGTGACACGATCAAGCTATTTCTTCCAGCCTTGGCAGCTTTCTAGGACAGGCAGCCACCCTCCTTTGTGTGCTGGCTCAGTTCTCCACTTTGCTTCCACCTCATGAGGCTCCATCTCAACAGATGCTTCAGAGCTTGCCTCATTCAGGGGGAAAAAAAAAGCCCCGGAGGATCTCACCCCAGTAATTAAATGCTGCCACCCAGAAGTCACATATGCCACTTCCACTCGTGTGGCACAACTCAAGGCCAAGGGGCAGAGAAGTGCAATTCTCCACCCAGAAGGAAAACAAGCCAGAAATGGTTGTGCAACGAAAATTCCAACCACAGTAGCTTTTTGAAAGATGAGAAAGCAAGCTTCCATATGCAGCAATGAACACTGGCCAAGCCCGGCCTCTGTGTACTACCAGGGGAGAGAGGAGAAACATGAAAACAAAAATTAATATCTAGAAGGCAATGATCAAAAAGAGAGAGACAAAGGGAGTGATGTTGATGGGAGAACTGGGTTATGGAAAAGGATTTCACAAGAATCACCAAGCACATGTGGAAGGTCAGTGCCATGAACAAGGTCCCCGGACACAACCCAAGAAGGAAATATTGTGCAAAATAGATTGGAGTGCCTTCGTCAGTTCAGGCTCCTATAACAAAATACCACAGCCTGGGGCTTAAACAACAGAAGTTTCTTTCTCGGAGCTTTGGAAGCTGGAAGTCCAAGATCAGGGTGCCAGCATGGTTGGTTCCAGTGAGGGTTCATTTTACGGTGTGTAGACAGCAACTTTCTTGCTGTGTCCTCACTTGGCAGAGAGGGAGAGAGCACCAGCCTCTTTCTCTTCTTATAGGGACACTAATCCCATTGATAAGGGCTCCACCCTTGTGATTTAATTACCTCCCAAAGGCCCTACCTAATATCATCCCAGTGAGATATCATCCCGTTGGAGGTTAGGGTTTCAACACATGAATTTGTGTGGGGGACACAAACATAGCTCCATAGAAAAGAGTCTCAGAAATTGTGTCTACCCATTCAATTTTTACCATTCAATTCCATTCCCGGGAATTAGGAAGAAGCAATTAATAGGACTAATAAGAGCTGTCTGGAGGCTCTTATTGACAAGGCTGTGAGCAAAGGATACAAGGTGGGACACAAAACTGCTTTGAAAATGGAAGCAAGATAGCCTGATAGAAAAGGCACTGGGCCTTTGCCACTGTCCTCTGTGGCTTTATAAAGTTACTTAACCTCTCTGAGCCTTGGTTTGCTTCTATGTGCAACGGGAATAATATACTATCTGCCTCAAAAGGTAGTTGTGAGGATTGAGAAGATCCTGCAGGTAATATACACATCAAAGTGCCCAGCAAGATGTTAGAACAAGGAAAACAATCATAAGAAGGATGAGCATGACAATAAACTCTCCAATTGGATAAATTCAAGTTGGTTGTCTCAGGAACCATCTGTCTTGTAACTCTCTGACTTCATTTCCCACCACCCTATTATTGCCTGAATTTGCTGCATTGATCTTTTTTGTTCTTTTTTTTTTTTCTTTGAGACGGAGTCACTCTGTTACCCAGGCTGGAGTGCAGTGGCACAATCTCGGCTCACTGCAAGTTCCGCCTCCCGGGTTCACGCCATTCTCCTGCCTCAGCCTCCCGAGTAGCTGGGACTACAGGTGTCCGCCACCACGCCCGGCTAATTTTTTGTATTTTTTTAGTAGAGACGGGGTTTCACCGTGTTAGCCAGGATGGTCGTGATCTCCTGACCTCGTGATCCGCCCGCCTTGGCCTCCCAAAGTGCTGGAATTACAGGCGTGAGCCACCACGCCCGGCCGACCCTTTTTGTTCTTATTTGATCATTCCAGGAATGCTCATACCTTAGTGCCTAGGTACTGTGGGGTTCTCTCTTCCTAGAACACTTCTCAGAAAATGAGAGAATGTCTTGTTCAAGTGCTATTATATTTACTCATTGAAACCTTCCATAATTACCTACTTGAAATTATAGCATCCACTCCACTCCTCACACTCTCTATCCTCTTTCCTTCCTATATTTTCACATTGGTAATTATCATTTCCTAATATACAAAATCATATACACTTTTTTATTGTCTATCCCCCCTTCATTAGAATATATTCTGAAACTTAGATGAATTCTCCAGCCAAGAAAAACATCTGACACATAGTACGCATTTATCACTACGCATCGTTTTTGTTGTTGTTGTTAGAGCAACCCTGCATTTCTCTACTCTGATCCATTACATTTTAATTTTATATTTTAGCAACAGGGAATGCCTTATTTCTTTGTGGAGGTTTTTTTATTTTGTTGTTTGTTCTTCTGTTGTTTGTTTTTTTGTTTGTTTGTTTTTGAGACGGACTCTTCCTCTGTCGCCCAGGCTGGAGTGCAGTGGTACAATCTCGGCTCATTGCAAGCTCCGCCTCCCAGGTTCAGCCATTCTCCTGCCTCAGCCTCCTGAGTAGCTGGGATTACAGGTGCCCACCACCACTCCTGGCTAATTTTTTGTATTTTTAGTAGAGATGGGGTTTCACTGTGTTAGCCAGGATGGTCTCGATCTCCTGACATCATGATCTGCCTGCCTCGGTCTCTCAAAGTGCTGGGATTACAGGTTTGAGCCACCGTGCCCGGCCTACGGCATGTCTTATTTCTATATACTCCTTCTACACCTTTTACTCTGGCATTGCAAATTCCTAGCAAAACATCCTGAAGGGTTCATGCTGAAAGGGCAACCTACTCTTCCCATACTATCTTACTGAAACTTGTTCTTACTTCAGTCTTGGAGCTGCCCATTACATGAGCCTTGCAGTGGCTTGGACATCAACCTGTGAGAAGTCGCCAGCATCCAAAATATCTGAGACTCACAGAAGACTCAGCATAAGCTCCTGTAACGACTGTATTTCCTCAACTGCAGGATCAAGGTGTGGCTGTGAATGTCACTCTCATCAGTACTCATTTTGTACTGCTTATGGTTTGTTTGTTTGTTTGTTTTCAGGGAAATGAGGTTGAGATCAAAACCAGGACCCAGCTCATGTGATTCTGTATCATAAAGAATATGGAAGTACATGTATGGAGCTCTAGTGAAATTTGCTTGGACTCAGTTAAGATGCAATGGTTTGCAAGTAGTTATAACACCTGAATTCCTGGGACAACTTCCGATTACTTTTAGAACACAGAGACACAATATGGGCATCATTTCAATATCAGATCTTATTTGTCTGAAAATACCAGATCACTAGGGCAATGAAATAAACAACCAGCTACAAACCAGCTACAAATTATCTACAGCCTCCATTCTCTACAGGAAAAGAGATTCACATTCTTAGTACCAGGCCCAGCAATAAACACCTTAAATATTAATGTTATTCCATTTCATATCCACAATAAGCACTACGGCAAGGTAAATTCTATCGGCTCCATTTTATTTTTAATTGCCCAGGCTGGAATGTAGTAGTGCAATCACAACTCACTGCAGCCTCAACCTCCCAGGCTCAAGCCGTCCTCCCACCTCTCAGCCTCCCGAGTAGCTGGGATGACAGGTCCATGCCACCACACCTGGCTAATCTTTGTATTTTTTGTAGGGACAGGGTTTCACCATGTTGCCCAGTCTGCTCTCGAACTCCTGGGCTCAAGCGGTCCTCCCGCCTCGGCCTCCCAAAGTGCTAAGATTACAGGCGTGAGTCACTGTGCCCGGAGGCCCCATTTTTCAGGCAAGGAAATTAAGGCTCAGAAACACTAATATCATTGCCCAACTTCATGCATATAGCAAAAGACAGGGTTAGAAGTCACAGCTATGTCTTCCTGACTCTAGACTGTGCTTTTTCCACTACAAGGGATGAAACTGGGGAAAATAAACTGCTCAAATGAATAAAATGCTCAAATAAAAAAATACAAATAAATAAATAATTTTATATTTTAGCAACAGGGAATGCCTTCTTTGTGGGTTTTTTTTTTATTTTGTTGTTGTTTTTTTTTTTGAGACGGAGTCTTTCTCCATCTCAAAAATAAATAAATAAATAAATAAAAATAAAATGCTCAAATAAATAAAAACAAACCAATGAACAGGAGTGCTGGTAGACCTGCTTCTTTGCGACTGCTTAATGGCTTAAAGGGCCATTCATTTGGTTTTGAAGCCACCAAAGCCAGGGCAAGGTGAAACGTTTAGTCCAAATGGGTCCCTCACCCCATTTGGGAACCAATCACTGTCCCCTATAGACCTAGTTCATTGAAGGCATTTAACTGAATCCAATCATCCACATTACTAATTGACCTCCACAAGCCAACAAAAGAAAAGATCGGTTCATCCAATTAACCTTGGGACTAGCTCACCCTTGATCTCAATGCTCATCCAGATGGAGAGAAGTCCTCTGGGCCAAGATTGGGAAACTGAGCCCCCCTTTCTCAAAGCTGGCAGCTTTTTAAAGGCCACCAACTCCATTTCACAAGAGATGAGGAGAGACAGATGGTGAATAGAGTACCTGCAAAAACTCAAAGATACACAGGGCCAGTGTAGCAACTTGCACACTTGCAACTTGTATTTCCCCCTTTTTCCTCCCAAGTAGTCTCAGTCTCCCAACCTGATTGTCTTATAAGCCAAAACAGCTTTTGCGCAGCTTGATAGCCTCAGCCTTGATTTTTAAATGACTAGAAATTCAGGAGGCAAAAGAGCGATAGTCTTAGCTCAAAAGTCAACCGGACCTGGGTTTGAATCCCAGATCCACAGCACAACAGTTGCAAAACCTTGAGCAATTAGTGATATCTCTAAGCCTCGGTTTCTTCATCTCTAGAAGGGAAATACAAACATAGTGTCTCCCTTTCATTAGGTTGTGGCTGTGAAGTGAAGAAATTACAGGTAAAGCCTTCGACATGGGGCTCAGCACACAGCAAGTACTCAATAAATGTTGGTTATTTATTCTAAAAAGGAAAAAAGTTAGCTAGTCTATAAATTTTATAGGTCAACATCAGTACTGAAAATGACTATTCACCATACTCTGAATCTTCTCTTGATCTGTGTGCTTGTAATTTCTGAATTTTAAGCTTCTCTTAAGTCCTTATTGGGGAGTCCCTTGGGATAGTTAATGTTCTCCCAAGACTATCTGCATTGCACCCCGCCTATGTTCCTTCTAGAAATATAATCAGGATGAGCCTGGAAAATCTCATCCACATCATGGTTTTAGCCATCGAATCATTCCCTCAATAAATATGTATTAATCATCTATTGATCACCAATTACTGTGCTCTGTACACAGAGCTGGGCACTGCATATCCAGCTCATCTCCACTTTGGTGGCCAAGATACTGGAAACTCAAACTGTCCAAAGCTTGATGCCATGGGCTAAACTGTATCTCTAAAAATTCATATGTTGAAGCACTAACACATTGGAGAATGTGATGGTATTTGGAGACGGGGCTTTTGGGAGGTACGTAGGTTTAAGATGAGGCCATCAGGATGGGATCCTTATGATGGGATTAGTACCCTTGTAAGAAGGCACTAGACAGCTTGCTCACTCTCTCTTGACCACGTGAGGACACAGGAGAAAACTATCATCTGCAATCCAGGAAGAGCGCCCTCCCCAAGAACCGAATCAGCAGGCACCATGATCTCAGACTTCCCAGTCTCTAGAACTGTGAGAAATAAATGCTTGCTGTTTAAGCCATTTGATCCATGGTATTTTGTTAAAGCAGCCAGAACTAAAACACTTGGTTTCCAACTTCATCTTAAAACATGCTTCTCCCCTGTCTCCTTTCTTGGTTACCGGCTCCACTGACCAACCCAAATTGAAATCATTTGAGACTTTCCCTCCCTCACTCTCATATCCAGTCAGTCCCCAACTCTTATTTGTGGGTTCTAGATTTGAAAAAAAAATAAAAATAAGAAGCTCTTCCATCTTTATAAACAGAGCTTTTTCTCCATTCATGACTGATTTCTACTCATCCTCAGGGCTCATGGTGTCTCCTCTAAATCCTCCAGCAGTCTTCAAGACGGTCTTATTACTTTCACTCTTCCCCAATAGAGTCCCTGCTGAAAAGCCATTTTCTGAAACACAATCCTGAATCTGCCCCTTTTCTGCTTAAAAACCTTCAAGAATTCACAAAACCTCCAGGATATAGTCTCTGCTCCTCAGCTGGGAAATCCTACCATAACTGAGCCCTGGCCCCCGCCCAGCCATTTCTCAACAAGCCCCTTTCACTTTAGATTCCTCAGCCTAATTGCAACATCCCCAAATGGTCCAGGTGCTTTCAAACCTCCACGCCTTTGCAGGTGCTGTTCCTTCTGCTCCAACCCCCTCTCCATTCCTTGACTGCTGATCCTATACTTTATCCTCATCTTTCATAGGTTCAAATCCCCCCATGGGCCATTACTGAGCCCCCTTCCCAGGCTGTATAAGGCTACTACTTTCCTCTCTGTTCCAATATATTCCCACTATAATAAATATGACACAGTCTATTGTAACTTGTTCTTTCCCTCTTTCTCTGTCCCTCCTCCGCATAACCAGATGGTCACTCCTTTGAGAATAGAGAGATCCTGTCTTATTTATTTTCAATGCCATGCAGGTTTTAAGGATAAAAATCAAGAAAAAATAAAGTTTTGGCAACTGTGCTAAAGCCAGAAATTTCTGAAAATGACTGTTTAATGCATACCATGGGGATAATTATAACGATAATAACAATATCAACTATTTTAAGTGCTAAATATGACTAAACATTTTATAGGCATAGCTCATTTAATCCTTTTAACCACCCCAGGAAGAAGTATTATTTTTGCTCTCTTGTTTTTTGGATGGGGTAAATGAAGCACAGATCTCTCTTTCTCTCTCTCTCTCACAAACACACACACACACACACACACACACACACACAATGGGTTTGGGATTCAGAAAGGCACAGTTCCTAAACTGGCTCTGTCATTTATCATCTATGTGACCTGAAGGCAATTCACTTAATCTCCATTTGTTTCCTCATCTCTGGAATAAGAAAAGACTTGTTGTGGTAATTTAAAAAGACTATTTACAAAAGTATTGAACCAGGAGCAGTGGCATGCACTTGTAGTCCCAGCTACTCTGGAGGCTAAGGCAGGAGGATTGCCTGAGCCCAGGAGTTTGAATCCTGCCTGAGCAACATCATGAAACTGTCTCATAAAAAAAATAAAGTTTAAAAAAACAAAATTAAATTGACACATAGTAGGTACTCAGTGATATTGTCTCTTTCTCCAAACACTTACCCAGACCTGTATGCTTCAGGAATAGTATTAATGTCTTAAACCGGGTAACTAGTCCGCTGACTGGCTGAGATTCAGGCATGTCAGTATCACTTGGCTCCAGCTTACCTAATAGACTAGCTCTGAGTCTGTCTCCATCCATGTCTCCCACCCACACAACTCTAGCCTCATGGATAAGGTGAGGCTCAGGGAGTGTGACCTGGGACGAGGTTAGAATGAGCATGACTGCCATGCAGTTTGCTTGATAACTTCGAAAAAGCTGAAAGCTTAGCAGTTTGGTTTTGAGGTTGTGATGCAAACGTGTAAGTGTTCGATGTGTATTTCTGTCAACCACACCTGAAAGGCCGTGTGCAACACCACGTGCCCAGGTGCGGAAGCTCAGAGACTTGACGTAGGCGGGAATTTGCCGTGATAGCATTTAAGCAGCCATCTGTTTTCCAGGAGATTCTGGAGCCACCTTCCCAATCAAGCCCCCCTTTCCCGTCCTCACGCACCCCCAGCTCCTCACTCAGGAATACATTGACATTTCCAGATGTATTGATTACAGGGGCAGACTAGCTTTGGGCGGGAGAAGGGAGAGAAATGGATTGACTTTATTATTTGTGGGTGGAAAAAAAGAATAAACAAGGGTGCTTTTGTTTGAAGGACAAAACCAAAATTATCGGTTGAATGGGGCTGAATTAAGCACTTAAAGTTCAATCCTTCCAGAGTGCTGACAGTGCACAGGCGGAGATCAATACAGAAACTATTTGGGCCGTGGGGAACCTGGGCCCTGCTTATTAACCGCTAATTATACCAAGTTTTCTGCCGAAATGGGTTAGTTCCCTTCAAGATTACGATACAGCAGAACTGGTTGGCACTGTCGGACCCGGGTCTGGGATCCAACCCCTGGAGCAGGAAGTCCAAGGTTCAGGATAAACTCCCAAAGACCTTTTATTTATGGAGCCCACTTCCCAATTTGCCACTTGCAAATCAGGGTGTAGACAGCCCACCACTTTCTTATTGGAATTTTAAAATAAGACTGCCAACGGCAAGACGGATATTTCACTAGGGCTTTCAGTACGGCCACACCAGTTGTTCAAAACAGGGACACTCTCCCACGCCAGTCGCTCAGCAACCTCTCCTGCTACCTCACATGCCCCTCCCTCTCATTATCCAGGCTTAACACCTGGCCGAGCAAGGGCCTGCGGGGCCCGCTCCAGCATCCACTCTGGTGAATCTGTGCTCATGCCCTCCCGGTGCTCAAACATTTTGAGCATGACCCTGACCACAGGCAATAACTTTCCATAATCCGTTAGTCACCAGCCGGTCTACAAACCCAGATGCCTTCCCGTGGGGAGGGGGATGTTGATTGTACATACACAATGTCACACACACACACACACACACACACACACACACTATATAAATACACAACTGCATGTATATGTATGTAGTTATGTATATATACAGTTATATATAACCATATAAAATACGGAAATATTTATATTTCATATTATATTCCATTAACTATATATTAAATATGTATATATACTATATATAGTTTTATACACTTAATATTTAATGTACTAAACATTTAGGACTAAAACTAAATATGTACTATACGTATGTAACTATAGTTATAGTACATATTTAGTACTAAATATACTATATATACTAAGTATTTACATATCTAGTATACATAAATACTATATATACCATATATATTTATATATAATAATATATAAATATTGATATAGTTACATATAATATATATTTGGCACTAAATATACTATATATGTATAGATAGTATGTGTATATATAATATATACTATATATGTGTGTATATACGATATACTATATATAATACTATATATACTATAGATACTGTATTTAGTATATACTAAATTTACTAAATATATATTCAGTATATACTAAATTTACTAAATACATATTTAGTATATTTAGTATATATAAATATTTATAGTTACATATAGTACATATTTAGTACTAAATATATACTATATTTATATATTTAGTAAATATATAAATGAACATGTACTATATGTAAACACATGTAAATATATAAATGTATATATTAAATATATATAGTTACATATAGTACATAGTATATATGTAGTTATATAGAGTATATATAGACTATAAACTATAACTCTCTCTCTCTCTCTCTCTCTCTCTCTCTATATATATATATATATATATATATATATATATGAACTATACACAGCCATCCCTCGGTATACACAGGGGACTGGTTCCAGGACCCCCAGGTGTACCAAAATCTGTGCCTACCCGAGACCTGCAGTCAACCTTGCAGAACTCGAGGATAGGAAAAGTAACCCTTCATCTACACAGGGGTTTTGAAGCAGTTCACATCTGTATTGTTCAAGAGTCAAATATAGATAGATAGATAGGTAGATAGATAGATAGATAGATACACACACGTATACAGATGCACACACATAGTTTATGTAAAGTTGGTGTGTTTGGGAGATATTTCCATGTTGCCACTTATCAATTTATCTTATCTTTTTAACAGCTACATGGCGCCCAGTAGTACGGATATACCATAATTTAGCCACTCCCTAGTTGATGAATATTTAGGTTATCCCACATTTTCTCTATCACAAAACATACTGCAATGAACACCTTGAACATATATTATTCTGCACATATGTGAATATTTCCATAGGATGTATTCCAAGAAGTGGAATTGTTGCGTGTTTTTAATTTTGGCAGATCTTGACAAACCATTCCTACTTTCTCTCATACAAAAATGATGGTGACATGTGCCCCCATTTATCTGGATGGTTTGCAGGAATGAGCCCCCTCAAAGTGGTCTCTGGTCAACACGACGGGTCTCTGTGATGTGCCCACCTGCATTTAGCAATCAGAGTTCACAGAGCACTTTCCAGTCTGCTTGGCACACATTCGTTCACAAAGAAGCTGAGGGAAGCTTCATTGCTGCTTCTAAAAAGCAGATTATTCCAGATCCCCGCAAAGCTTCCAGTCTGTTGAGCTACCTGAAAATGACAAGCAGCAACTTCCCAGCAGAGACCTGGAGTCAGAGTTTGGCCATCAATTGCCACCCAGACCTTGAAGCCACTCTGCTTGTCTCTAGGGCAATGTGAACTCCTGGCCATCATGCCTTGCTTAGGATGTCACCAAGTGTCCCCTGAAAAACAGCTGTCAGTCTGTCCCTCTAATCATAGGACCTCAAACCCAGCACAGAGAGCCAAATAGAAAGCAGATCCTATTCCATTCCCTTTATCTCCCTGTTTCCATTAAAAATAAAAGCCTCGGAGCATGCAAGCAGGCAGAGGAGAGGGAAGTACTGTCCACAGTCAAAGCATCTCGACCTCCAGATCAGTCAGCCAAAATGTCCTGCTACACAAGCATTTTTATTCGTTCCAGGATGTTCTTGAGGCAGCTTCCAAAAATGCACATAACATAACAAAATTGGAAAGTGCAATTAACAGACAAAGTGAGAAAAATGAAAAATATATATGAGACAAGATATAAAGACCCAACCTAAATGCCTACCAATGATAGACTGGATTAAAAAAAAAAAGTGTTATATATACACCATGGAATACTGTGCAGCCATTAAGAAAGAACGAGCTCACATCCTTTGTGGGGACATAGATGGAGCTGGAGACCACTGTCCTTAGCAAACTAACACAGGAACAGAAAACCAAATACTGCATGTTCTCACTTAGAAGCGGGAGCTAAACGATGAGAATACATAGAGGGGAACAACACACACTGGGGCCTATCAAAGGGTGGAGGGTGGGAGGAGGAAGACTCAGGAAAAATAACTAATGGGTACTAGGTTTAACACCTGGATGATGAAATAATCTGAACGACAAACCCCCATGACACAAGTTTACCTATGGAACAAACCTTCACATGTACTCCTGAACTAAAAATAAAAGTTAAAAACAAAAAAAGAAGAAGAAGAAAGAAAGAAAGACCGAGGAGAAAGAAACCTATATGAGGCATTAAGCTCTGCACAATTTTTAGGCATTTGGACTCCAACAACAGCAACAAAAAAAGGCGGATAGAGGGTTCGGGAGATGGAATTACATTTAGTGTCTATATCTACAATGTGCATGAAAATAATTCCCACATTTTGACTTTAATCACAGAGGCTGGGCATGGTGGCTTACGCCTGTAATCCCAACACTTTGGGAGGCTGAGGCGGGTGAATCACCTGAGGTCAGGAGTTTGAGACCAGCCTGACCAACATGATGAAACCCTGTCTCTACTAAATTAAAAAAAATTAGCCAGGCATGGTGGTGCATGCCTGTAATCCCAGCTACTTGGGAGACTGTGGCAGGAGAATCGCTTGAACCTGGGAAGCAGAGGTTGCAGTGAGCTGAGATCGCACCACTGCACTCCAGCCTGGGCAACAAGAGTGAGACTCTGTCTTAAAAAAAAAAAAAAAAATCGCAGAGTGGAAAATAGGAAATAAAGATGGCACAACTTTCAATTTCTCAGAATGGGTCTGTTTCTCATTTGAACAGCATAAAATCCAGCCAGGCCTCCTCTCCAACCAGCAGGCCAAGACTCTTCCAAACTGACCTGACACCCCGCCATACCCAATCTTGGCACCCCACCCACTTCCCCCTCCTCAGGGTGCTGCCCAAACCAGACAAAAAGCAGGCGCCAAGATGCTCCCACAGGACTAAGGCTCATAGTGACCTTCTTAAAAAAAACAAAAACAAAAAAACTTAGTTGGCAACTGTTAAACTTTGGGAAATTGTACATACAAAATCCTGATCTCTCACTTTTTAAAAAAACAAGTGGAAAAGAAAAATAGGCAACATAACATCTCCCCATAGCTGGAGCTGGGACCGCCTTGGAGGAGAAAAGGTACCTCCCATTTTGTGCACTCAGCCCACTTTCCTGACTCATGCCCATGCAAACCCCAGCTAGGCAACAAATACTTAAATTTTTTGTTTTTATTATTATTTTTTTTTAGTAGAAACGGGGTTTCGCCATATTAGCCAGGCTGATCTCGAACTCCTCGCCTCAAACCATCCTCCCACGTAGGCTTCCAAAAGTGCTGGGGATGACAGGCGTGAGCCACCACCCCTGGCCTAACTTTTCAATTTTTTTAACAGAGAGAAAACTTAACGGGGTGAGTAAAATGGCACCAAAAGACCTGAACTTGAACCCATGACTCGGCCGTCCATTTTCTGAATCCACCAAATGAGGGTTCCGACACTGAATGACGATTCTTTGCACCTCTGACAATGTTCTTTCTTTTGACTGACGGAGGTCCCACTTTCCAGGGTAGGGGATTTTGCTGGTATCTACGAACCATGCCAACTTGGCTTAAACGGTCAAGAAAGAGGGGGGTCTCCATAATGGGGCCATTTCACTCTAATTTCTTCTTGAAATGCTTACCCGACTGGTCCCCTCCCTCGCCCCTTACCTATCCCTTTCCTCTCTAGGGTTTTGCTAGGATGTTAGCCGGATGTAAGGTACACGGACGAACTGCAAGCTTAGAGGTAGTGATTGGCTTTGCAAGCAGAAACAAAAACAAAACAATGACCAAAAAAAACCCCTCAAAACCAACAAAATAAAACAAAGCACCTCTTCCTTTCCTTAAAATACATTTTGCGTTAAACCAGTAGCCTACCAAAGGCAGCCTGGAGCCTTAAGTGTGTTCTGGAAGCTGAGCCTTGAGCGCCATCTGGGAGCAGAGGGCGGCACTGCAGCCTCCAGGTCCTTGCAGACTTTCCCCTTCATGATCCATCTCTTCTCCCGTTGCCCCAAGGTCTCAGAAGAGGGGATGTGCTACAATGGGGAGTTATGGGTTTTGCAATCAGACCCTGACACTTCACTAGCTGTGGGGTCTTGGGCAATTCATTGCCTTTCTGCAACATGAGGACAATCACACCCACCTTACTGGGAGACTGGAAGATTAAAAAAGAAAAATGACATAAACGGGCTTATAGCATGCAGTCAGCAAACTTATCCCCTTCCGTCACAGTGCCATAACTCAGTCTACAGACGAGTAACTCGGGGAGGGGGTTTGTTTGGCTCATCTGTAAAACAGGGCTGCTGGAAGCCGACATTGCATAACCCATATGTACAACAACTGGCACACAGTGAGTGCTCAGCTGTTAATAAAGGGAAGGAAAAGAAACTGTAAATCTGGCTCTGTTATAGGTCCTGAGGTTAAGCAAATAGAGAGTTATAAAGATAAGTAAGACAAGAGAGCCAAATGTAAATAATAATATCAGGTAATTAATTAGATGTATGAACAAAGTTCAAATCAGTGTAGCTTCCAGGCTATATCAATTACCTCGCTTAAGCCCTCTACGCCCTTTACAACACAGGACTGTCACCCCTGCCCAGTTTACGGGCCAGCCAAGGCGGGTTCAGAAACAGCAGGGAATGTCCTTTGGGCTTACGCTGTTTGTGACCCTGCTTCTTCTCGGATCCTAGTCCATCTTCATCTTTTTTTTCCCAAAATGGTTTTCTCATTTCTGCCACTGAAGTTGAACAAATTCAACATCTGATTTTTCCTTTCCCTGTCTCCCCTCTGCCCACACCCTCCCCCAGTACTTCATCTTCCTGAGGTCGGCTCGATCCCAACTTCATGTCTGTCCCATCCGCCCTCTTCAATTCCACTCTCCTCTCTCCAGTTATGACCCCTGGATGCCTGAAGAAGCCTTCTAACTGTGCTCTCCACTGTTCAGCTCTGCTCCCTCCAATCTGCCCTGCATGAGCCCCTGAGGGATCTCACCCTTTCAGCAGGTCCACCTACAAGTATAACCCCTCTAGGTGACATACCTTCCTTCGGGAAGCTTCTCCCAACAACCACTGACCCACAAGAATCTCTGCTTTCCTCAAACACAAGTAGACTTCGCAACTCCGCCTACCTGTTAGAATAACCTGAAGAAGCTTCATACCACACTGTTCACCAACAAGCACACAAAAAGATGCTCGATGTCATTAGCCATCAGGGAAATGCAAATTCAATCAACAATGAGAGACCACTCCACACCCACAAGGATAGCTATAATTAAAAAGATGAACAACGACAAGTATTGATGAAAATATGGAGAAATTGGAACCTTATAATACCGCTGGTAGAAATGTAAAATGGTACAGTCACTTGGGAAACAAGGCTGGCAGTTAGTTCCTCAAAGGGTTAAACAGAGTTATCATATGACCCAGCAACTCCACTCCTAGGTATATATATGTAAGAGAATTGATAGTTTCTGTATCCACACAAAAAACTTATATACAAATGTTCATAATAGCAGTATTCATGGATATCCAAAAAGTGGAAACCACCGAAGTGTCCATCAACTGATGAATGGATGAACAAAATGTGGTCTAGGAATGATGTGCTGATCCACACTGCAACACAGATGGGTCTTTAAAAGCTATGTAAGTGAAAGAAGCCAGTCACAAAGAAACATATGTTATTTCATTCCATTTATATGAAATGTCCAGACTAGGCAAATCCATAGACACGTAAAGTAGATTAATGGTTGCCAGGGGTTGGGGGAGGGGAAATGGGAGGAAATGGGGAGTTTCTGGTAGTGACTACAGGGTTTCTTTTCGAGGAAATGAAAATGTTCGGACTGTAGGCTGAGTGTGGTGGCTCATGCCTGTAATCTCAGCACTTTGGGAGGCTTAGGTGGGAGGGTCACTTGAGCTCAGGAGTTCAAGACCAGCCTGGGCAATGTAGCTAGATCCCATTTCTACAAACAAAATTTTTTTTAATTAGCTGGGTGTGATGGTGCATGCCTGTGGTCCCAACTACTCAGGAGGGTGAGGCAGGAGGATCCTTTGAGCCTAGGAATTTGAAGCGGCAGTGAGCCATGATCTCATCACTGCACTCCAGCCTGGGTGACAATGTGAGACCCTGTCTCTAAAAAATAAAAAAAGTCGATTGTGGTGATGGTTGCACAATTCTGTGAATATACGACAAACTATTAAATTGTGTACTTTAAATGGGTGAATTGTATGGAATGTGAATTATGTATCTGAATAAAACTTATATTTTTAAAAAAATAAACCTCCCATTCCTATCACTTCCTCATTGTTCAATATGGCTTCATATATTTCTTCATAAATAAATATACTGATTTAATACGTGTTTATTCGCTTATTGTCTACCACAACAGTAAAGGTAATTTCAATGAGAGCAGAGCCTGTGGCGCATTCACTTCTATATTCCCAGTGCTTTGAGCATGGCACAAAAGGCTACTGAATAAGTAAGTGCCAGTGTGTGAATATATGAGTACCTGTAAGAATCAGCAAAAATAAAATACTGTTTCCAGGGCCCCACCCCCAGAGATTCAGACGCAATTGATCTGAGGGAGAGCCTGACAAAGATCTGGCTCAAGACTCCTCGAGTGATACCATTGTACAAACCAAGACGAAGAGCCCTGATCCACAGCAGCTGTCATCTATAACCCTAACCCTGTGTCACCCCTGCAGATGAGGCTTCAGTAGCTCACCATTACCTCTACAGACATTCTAAATTCAAGTTAAATAACGCAGATGAAGGACTCAGGTGAGTCTGGGACTTTCTGTATCAGAATCGTCACAGATGCCTCAAAAAATCAGATTCCCAGACCCCGTTGGAGACATTCAGATCCTTGCAGACCCCTGCCAGGGAATTAATGAGTTCAGGTTCATTCCACATGCAGATTCTCGGGACTCCCTCCAGGAAATTAAATTGAGATTCCCGGATTTAACCCCCTGGAAGGGGTCCCAAGAATTCACGTGTTGAACAAGTGTCTTTTCTCAGACACGCTGAAGGTAGGGATCTACAGAGTCACATTCATGCAAGGTCTGTGGCACAAGGCCTGGCTCTGCCTGCATCTCTGGCTTCATCTCTCAACATTCATGCCCCCACCCTGTGCAGGTCCACCAACCCCGGCTACTCCACGTAACAGAAATGGCCTTTCCCTACTCCTTCTCTTGGCTTCTGCAACCAGCCTCCCAACCTTCACTCAGGTATCAAAGTGGCAAGCTTTTCTGGGTTCCGTGTCTATTCTGAGCTCCCAAGCCTCCTACAGTTGCACTTAACCAGGGATGATTGTGCTTTTCAAGGGACATGTGGCAATTCTGGGGATTTTAATTGTCATATTGGGGGGGTCACTACTGCCACCTACTGGGTAGAGGCTAGGAATGCTTAAACATCCTACAATGCGCAAGACAGCCCCCACCGCCCCCAACAAGAACTATCTGGCCCAAAATATCAGTGTAACTGAACTTGAAAAACTCTGCTATAGTCTATTGTCATGTGAGTTCCTCGAAGGCAGGGAATGTGTAACACTCACCTGCATAACCTCAGATACCACATACAGAGCCTGACACACAGTATTTGGTAAATACTAGTGGAATGAATTATCCGTACCTTACATCTGGCATTCAGGTGTGTTCATTTCTGCCCTATTTTATTCCAGAAAAGACGTGTAGATACTTAAAAAAACTTACTCAATGCAACAGGATAAAATCAGTGAAGGTATCGTAGAAGCAGCAGCTATGATGAAGCTATAGGTGGGTTGAGAGCAGTTATTAGGATTATTTTTATAGCCACAAGGTAGAGATAAGCTGAAATTTGACTCTGGGCTTCTGGTTGGCATCCATGCAATAAAAATGTCCCAGTTGCTCAAGGGAAGCACAGCTCTCTCTAAAGTTGAGAGGTGTGGGGCACTGGGCCATAGTGAGAGTGAAGTGGACAACCCTTTCTTTCTTTGTTTTTTTTTTCTTTTTGAGATGGAGTCTCACTCTCTTGCCCAGGCTGGAGTGCAGTGGCGCAATCTCGGCTCACTGCAACCTCCACCTCCCTGGTTCAAGTGATTCTCCTGCCTCAGCCTCCCAAGTAGCTGGGACCACAGGCGTGTGCCACCACGCCCGGCTAATTTTTATATTTTTAGTAGAGAAGGGGTTTCACCATGTTGGTCAGGCTAGTCTTGAACTCCTGAGCTCAAATGATCCACCCGCCTCAGCTTCCCAAAGTGCTGGGATTACAGGCATGAACCACCACACCCATCTGGACAACCCTTTCAACAGCACCAATACACCAGGAGTCTTTCACAACTAGTTGTTATAACTTCCTCTGAGTTCTTTTCCTCTTCCAGAACTCATTCTCTTTCTCTTTCCCATGTAATTTGATAGTTTCTTTCTATCTCTTAAGTTTGAGCTTGGCCACATGACTTGTTTTGGTGAATGAAATGATGATAGACATGATACAAGTAGGAGCTTTAGATGTGTTTGTGCAGCTGGATGTGAATTCCTGAATCTCTCCCATCACCATGAGAAGAGCATGCCCTGGCTAGCCCTCTGGTTCAAAGAAGGTAAAAAAATACCTGGAGTCAAGCTCATTCAACTTAACCCACAGACCTGTAGCCTACAGCAGAACCACACAGCTGAGCCCAGCCTAGCTCAGCACACCCCCTGCTGACCTGCAATTGCATAAGCAAGCCCAGCTGGGTTCAGCCACCCCCCAGTCGCAGATGCATGAGCTAAATATATGTTCACTGTTGCATGCCACAGAGTTTGGGGAAGATTCACTATGCCCCATTATTGACAATGGGTAACCAAAATATCTCCCAATAGCAAGTTAAAGAATTACGCCAAAGCGTGGCTAAATAAATAAATGAAAGCAATCTTCTGGGGGGCTAAGATAGACCAAATTATTCCATGTTACTTAAGATTCCTCCCAAACTAAGTAGTAACTCCTTGGTGATAGATCATATTCTTCCACCAAGTGACCACCACTGAGCTGGGCACATAAGAATGCTTGATGCCAATGTGTCAATCAGTATTTGATTGGGAATATAGCCAACCCATTTCAAGAGAAATGCTGTGAACTAAAGTCAAAATGTTGGCAACACTGAACAATCAATCGACTGAATTGGACAGTCAATAGATTCAGATGCTCTAAATGCCTTCCATTATATCAGATCTGCCAAAGGTCCAAAAACCAATGATGCAGTGGCAAATTTCCTGGTCTCATCTCCCACGCAGCATCCACTCTCCCCCAGATGGTTGAGTTCTTTCTGGTCATCTTAGATCCCTCCAGAATGGATTTTTTTTACCTCTCATGCTTGCGCAAGGCTCAACTTCAATTCGAAGAAAGCCTTCCCATACTTCCTTTTATGAAATTACAAGCCTGGGATCCCTACCTTGTCTGCTCAGAAATAAAACAGACTCAGCCCCATCTACACTTGAGTTAGAGTTGAGAGTTGCATACTCTCAACTCCTCATGTGGCTGAGTTGCTAAAGGTGTTGTATTAGTTCTTGCACTGCTATGAAGAAATATCTGAAGCTGGGAAATTTACAAAGAAAAGAGGTTTAATAGGCTCACGATTCCGCAGGCTGTACAGGAAGCATGGCTGGGGAGGTCTCAGGAAACTTACAATCATGGCAGAAGGCAGAGGAGAAGCAGGCATGTCTTACATCACCAGAGCAGAAGGAAGAGAGAGAAGAGGAAGGTGCTACACACTTTTAAACAACCAGATCTCATGAGAACTCACTCACTATCACAAGAACAGCAAGGGAGAAATCTGCCCCCATGATCCAATCACCTCCCACCTGGCCCCTTTTTCAACACTGGGAATTACAATTCGACATGAGATTTAGGCAGGGACACAAATCCAAACCATGTCAGGAGTGAACCATGGAGTCAAGCAGTCCTGGTTTCTATCACAGCTCTGCCACTTATATGCTGTGTGACCTTGGGAAAGCACTTAGCCTCTCTGAGCCTCGGTTGTTCTAACTATACAATGGACATAATATTTACCTACTTTAAGACTGTTCTTAGGACTGAGAAAGGTAAGGTCTATAAAGTACTTAGCACAGCCCCTGACACGTAGTTGGTGCTTAATTAATGCTCTTATCACTTGATTTTGAATTCAGAGAGTAGACCCATCACAGCAGAGCTACAGTGGGGTGGAAAGGGGAGGTAACGGAGGTAACAGGACCCACTATGAGCACCTACTGTGTGCTAGCAGCTGTGCTAAGCACTTTAAATACACTCTCTCATTTAATCCTCACCACCACCTACTTTGTCACCATTGCTTCTATAACAGGACATCAAGTAGGAATTCTCCAGTTGTTCTGGATCAATGACTACAGCAGACAGTTGGTACCTAGCTCAGGGTGAGAGATCCCCAAGAGAAATTGCTCCAAAAGAGGGTGATCACACATCCCCAGTTTGCCCTGAATGATCCCAATTTATACCTGTTGTCTTAACATATCTATTAATAACTTCTCATTCCCTTTCATACTCAGAACAGTCCAAATCTGAGCAACAAATTATATGGTCACCTGTCATGGTCACCAGCCAATTATATGGTCACCTGCCATGGAGCCATGGGGGCTGATTGCAAGAAGGAGGGGCTAGCATCTCTATCCCTGAGCTGCAGAGCCATGAGCCCCTCTAGTGCGATCATCTGAGTAAGATGGAGTGAGGACACTCTTGGAAAAGCTGACTCTAAGCAAAGCTTAATGTAGGAAAAGGACAGGGGCAGGCATCTCCCTCTCATTCCCTGTGCCCTAAGAGTGCGTCACAGATGCCTGTGATTTCATGGTAGAAGAGGAAGCCAGAGATACAGATGAGAGGCTATCCAAGGAGCCACTAAATGAGGGGCTTGGGGCCACAGATGATTGAAAGGGGCCAAAGGGAGGCAAGGCTGGCCTTCCCCTAAGGGTCTCAGTGACAGATGGGGCACATATGACATTGAAACCAAGCACACGATCTACACCAGAACCATCTCATTTGCAAAGGTTTTGAGCAGCAAAACCAGTGTTACACAGAACAAGATCAGAAATGCCACCCATAACTACGACCTTGCCAAGTTAAGTAGAAATAAGCCTAAACTCCCCGACCCACTTTCCTCCCCATCTCCACACACAAAGAGAGGAATGGGAGATGCATAAAGAGCTAAACATGCCCTTCGCACGCACCTCTTCAGGTCCCTGCCATGGGGAAGAGAGATAACGTTTGTTTGTTTGTTTGTTTGTTTGTTTTTTAGATGCAGTTTCGTTCTTTTTGCCCAGGCTGGAGTGCAATGGCCCGATCTGGGCTCACTGCAACCTCTGCCTCCTAGGTTCAAGTGATTCTCCTGCCTCAGCCTCCCAAGTAGCTGGGATTACAGGTGCCCGCCACCACGCCCAGCTAATTTTGTATTTTTAGTAGAGACGGGGTTTCACTATGTTGGCCAGGCTGGTCTTGAACTCCTGACCTCAGATGATCCGCCTGCCTCAGCCTCCCAAAATGCTGGAATTACAAGCATGAGCCACCGCATCTGGCCAGAAGTGAACTTTTCATTGGATCTGAAATTGGAGATTTAAGTCAGACTGAACTAAGTTTTTTAATAGCTGAAAGTGGCCAGAAAGTTAAGGGACCTAGCACCCACTGGGGTAGAAAGACTGAACATACAACTGATAATAATATTTAAGAAAAAAAACAAAACTAGTTCATGCTTGTACCCCATGGAGTTGAAACTTCTCCCCAAACTAATTACTGTCGTTTAATAGACACTTGGTGCTGAGTGCTTTACATATTTTCCTTTTAGGGAAAACTCTGAGACACATGGGCTCAGGGGAAATATTTGTTGACTTGGATGGAAAAGGCCCATCCTCAGCTTTTGTTTTGCCCTGTCCTGCTGTCTGTCTGTGTTAAGTTCAATGCCTGAGGCTTTGCCAACTTATATTCCCTGTAAGGGCAGAAATTCAGCTCATGTAAACCTCACAGCAATCCTTATGCCCATCTAACAGAGATGGAAATGGAGACTCAAAGAGGTAAAGAAACTCACCCAAAGAACCCCAGCTAAAACATTTAGCAGAGTAGGGATTTGAACCCAGGCCTGTCCACCTGCACATCCCTTGCTTGTTTGCCTTATTGAGCTGTCTCCTCAATTTCATCTTCACCAGCCCCAATTCTCAGATGTCCCCTGGGCCTCCTCAATACCATGTTGCAGGCCATAGCCCCAGGCTGCTAAATGGCACGCAGCCTCTGTGGGAGAAGACTCTAATTGTGCCTGACCACAAGGTCTGCAGGGAGTTAATAAATTATTCCAAGAGAATATTTGCACTGAAGGCCTTATTGACTGGAGTCCATTTCCTGAGTTGGCATAATTTTTTTTCTCCAGCAATTGTTATAAAGCAAGTGCAAGTCTTGAAGCCTCAACTGTAGAATCTCTTGATTATCACCAAGTATATGGGCTTCCAAGCCTACCTACCTTCAAAGTCAAGGTCATCACAAAGGGATAATCCCTCAGGCAAAAAGAAAGATGAGTTTTAGGGGTCCCCTGGTTTCCATAGAAAAGGCACTCCAGGCCAGGTGCCATGACTCACGCCTATAGTCGCAGCACTTTGGGAGGCTGAGTCAGGAGGATGGTTTGAACCTGGGAGTTCGAGACCAGTGTGGGCAATATGGTGAGATCCCATCTCTGCAAATAATACAAAACAAAACTCGTAAGCATAGTGGCACACACCTGTAATCTCAGCTATTCAGGAGACTGAGGTGGGAGGATAACTTGAGCCAGGAAAGTTGAGGCTGCAGTGAACTGAGATCACGCCATGGCACTCCAGCCTGAGCAGAGTGAGACCCTATCTCAAAAGAAAAAGAAAAAAGAAAGAAAGAAAAAGAAAAGGCACTCCAGTTCCATTCTATTCTTTATGGAACTATTCATAATTTACAGATTAATGTCACTTTTCTCCCTCCCACCCTCATCTTTCTCCCTAAGAAAACCACGACTGATTTGTTGCAGTATTATAACACCCAATGAGTAGAAACAACCCAAATGTCCATCAATAGGGGAATGGTTGAATAAAGCATGATATAGCCACCCAGCAGAGTACTATGAAACATACTAAAAGAATGAGAAGGACCTCTACATCCCCAGTATGGAGGAGTTTCCAGTTCATTCAAATGAAATTAGCAAGGTTTCAGAAAAGAGTATGTTGTTTTGTATAAGGAAGTGAAAGGGATTAGAATATATATTTGCTTATATTAGCGAAATAAAATAATAAAAGGCTAAAACCACAAAAAAAAAAAAGTTTCCTTTGGTGGAGAGAGAAGAAGAAGGGTAATAGGAATGAAAATGGGACCTCTCTAAGGCTGAGAAGAGGGGAGAACCAAGAAAGAGGAGTGTGGGAGTGCTTTGTTCTGCCAGGTGCAGTCAATAGGTGCCTTGTCTGTAGAGAATTTAAAAAACAGTAATACAATCAACTATTAAATGCAATTGGTATCTAAATCAAATTTTGGATCCAGGAAAAAAGGACATTGGTGGAAAAACTGATGAAATTTGAGTAAAGTCTATAGTTAATAGCATTATATTAATATTAATTTCTTTTGACAAATGTACCATGGTGATGTAAGATGCTAACATTAGGGGGAACTGGATGAAGGGTAACTACAAGAATTATCTGTGCTATTTTTGCAACTTCTGCAAATCTAAAATTATTCCAAAACAACGTGGTGATTTCTAAAAATATATGAATTTCATACACGAGTATTATGACATGAACAAAAAGCAATTAAAGGTCATCCATTTTTATTATTACTGGCAATTCTAAACAATATTGGTGATAGAACTCTCCCACTCCTCCAACCAGGGCAACTAACCACTCTGTACCTACTCTGAGGATGGCTTTTTTATTTAGTTATTAGTTTGGGACAATGTTAATGTTCTGTAAAGACAAATATAAAACAAAATTTGAAAACAAAAACAGAAAGAGCCACAATATTGGGCATGAATAACCCAAATCTGAGCACTGTCACCACGTGCTCCTCTCAAATTCAGGGTTTTAATTTTTTATTCTTTATTACAGACAGGATCTCCCTATGTTGCCCAGCCTAGCCTTGAACTCCTGAGTTCAAATGATCCTCCTGTCTCGGCCTCCCAAAGTGCTGAGATTACAGGCATGAACCACCAGGCCTGGCCTCAAGTTCAGGTTTGAGCAGCTCTCACCAAAATCCCACTGCAGTAAAATTCGCAGTGGGCTTCAAATTCAGGTCCATCTGAGTCCAGATCCCAAAAGCTTTCTGACAGATCTTCTTGAGGGTGACAAAACAGAAATAAAAGATCAGAATGGGAACTTGCAGTTCCTCTTCTGTCCTTTATAGAAGTGTCAACGGGGATGCAAAGATTTCATTATCAACGGGACTGGCACTGTGCCCTTCTATCAGGCGTCTGCTCTCACAGGGAAATCAACTTGGCACAGCCTCAAGCATTGAACCTAACACTGAGAGGCAGCCGGGCAGAGCAGAAAGAAAGCTGAAGACAGGCCCTTTCCATCCAAGTCAACAAATATTTCCTTTGAGTACGTGTACCTCAGGGTTTTTCCCAAAAAGAAAAATCCCTCCTCATATAAACCCCCTAGAAAGAAGTCATTGCTGCCTCAAATGCATGTATTCAGCTGCAAGGCTTCTATTGCTACATGCTTTCTGATTATAGCCACCATTTCTAAGCCCTGCAGGTGTTTGCCCATCTTGGATCCTTTGAAACAGCTCCTTCCCCTGCCCCATTTGCTTCCAGATATCTGCACGGCTCAGCCCCTCCATTTATTTGGGCGTTTGCTCAAAGCCACCTTTTCAGAGAGGCCTTCACTCACCACCCTATTGAAACGGGGTCACACCTCCCATCTCTCTCCATTCTCTATACCTACTTTATCTCCTTAATGCTCACTACCTCTTAACATTTATTCATGTGTTGACTTGTCTTCCCTCTCTGAAAGCTCCATAAAAGCAGGGTCTGTTGCATCTCCAGAGCCTACTATTTTTTTTCGGTGTAAACAGTAGGTGGCTCACGCCTGTAATCCCAGCACTTTGGGAGGCCGAGGTGGGCAGATCACGAGGTCAGGAGATTGAGACGATCTTGGCTAACACGGTGAAACCCCATCTCTACTAAAAAAATACAAAAAAATTAGCCGGGCACGGGGGCGGGCGCCTGTAGTCCCAGCTACTCGGGAGGCTGAGGCAGGAGCATGGTGTGAACTCTGGAGGCGGAGCATGCAGTGAGCCGAGATGGCGCCACTGCACACCAGGCTGGGTGACAGAGCGAGACTTCGTTTCAAAAAATAATAATAATAATAAAGAATTCCAAAATCAAGTACAAAATCAAAAGGCAGATTTTCAAACAAAATCTTTGAAAAGTGGTTCTGGCCGGGCACAGTGGCTCACGACTATAATCCCAGCACTTTCGGAGGCCAAAGCGGGCGGATCACGAGGTCAGGAGATGGAGACCACCCTGGCTAACACGGTGAAACCCCGTCTCTAGTAAAAATACAAAAAAAAAAAAAAAAAATCAGCGGGGCGTGGTGGCGGGCGCCTGTAGTCCCAGGTACTCGGGAGGCTGAGGCAGGAGAATGGCGTGACCCCGGGAGGCGGAGCTTGCAGTGAGCCGAGATGGTGCCACTGCACTCCAGCCTGGGCGACAGAGCGAGACTCCATCTCAAAAAAATATATAAATAAAAATAAAAGTGGTTCTGTCCTGCTTACACCCTCTTCTCACGCTTTTCAGGCACAAAGAAGGGCCAAGAGCAAGAGAGGATTTCTTTGGAGAGAGTCTGTTGAAGACACGCCTTCATGTTACAAGATCTTGAAACTCATGGGCACCATGGTCTGGGATCTGAATCCTGCAGCAAAGCTCTTCCAGGCTTCTTGCTATGCTGCCTGGGGTAACTGCACAAGGCCCCATAATTAGACGACCCCACTGTGATGCTGGCATTTTGAAATTCCTATAATTTTTTTTTTTTTTTTTTTTTTGAGACAAGGTCTTTCTCTGTCACCCAGGCTACAATGCAGTGGCATGAGGCTCACTGCAGCCTCAACCTCCTAGGCTCAAGCGGTCCTCCTGCCTTAGCCTCCCGAGTAACTAGGACCACAGATGTATACCACCATTCCCGGCTGATTTATTTATTTATTTTTTTTAATTTATTTATTTATTTTTTTTTGTAGAGATGCAGTTTTGCCATGTTGCCCAGGCTGGTCTCAAACTCCTGGACTCAAAGCAACTCCCCAGCCTCAGCCTCCGAAAGTATTGGGATTACAGGTGTGAGCCCCTGCACCCAGCCAGAATTCCTATAATTTTCATAACAAGAATCACCACATTTTCGTTTTGTGCTGGGCCCTGAAAACTATGCAGCCAGTTCTGCCCAAGATGCTTATTTTATTTCATTTTCCCAGCTTTACAGGGGTAAAATTGACAAATAAAAATGGAATACATTTACAGTGTACAATGTGATCTTTGGAGATATATGTATACACAAATTGTGAAATGATCACCATGAACCAGCTAATTACCCTATTCATTACCTCCCATAGTTGTCTTTGGATGTTTATGTGATGAGAACACCTAAGATCTGGTCTCTTAGTGAAAGGATGGTGATTACCAGAGGCTGGGAAGGGTAGTGGGCTGGGGAATGTAGGGATGGTTAATGGGTACAAGAAAAATAGTTACAAAGAATGAGTAACACTTACTACTTGGTCAGGTGTGGTGGCTCACACCTGTAAGCCCAGCTCTTTAGGAGGCCAAGGCGGACAGATCACTTAAGGCCAGGATTTCAAGACTAGCCGGGCAACATGGCAATACCCCATCTCTACTAAAAATACAAAAAATAGCCAGGCATTGTGGGGCACACCTGTAGTCCCAGCTACTCAGGAGGCTGAAGTGGGAGGATCACTTGAGCCCAGGAAGTCGAGGCTGCAGTGAGCTGTCATCATGCCACTGCACTCTAGCCTGGGTAACAGAAATGAGATCTTCACTCCAAAAAAAAAAAAAAAAAGACCTACTACTTGATAGCACAACAGAGTGACTATAGTCAATAATTTAATTGCACTTTTTTTTTTTTTTTTGAGACAGAGCCTTGCTCTGTCACCAGGCTGGAGTACAGTGGCGCGATCTGGGCTCACTGCAACCTCTGCCTCCTGGGTTCAAGCAATTCTCCTGCCTCAGCCTCCCGAGTAGCTGGGACTACAGGCATATGCCACCATGCCTGGCTCATTTTTTGTATTTTTAGTAGAGACGGGGTTTCATCATGTTGGCCAGGATGGTCTCAAACTCTAGACCTCGTGATCCACCTGCTTCGGCCTCCCAAAGTGTGGGGATTACAGGCGTGAGCCACCACGCCTGGCCTAATTGTACATTTTAAAATAACTGAAAGAGTGTATTTGGATTGCTTGTAACACAAAGGATAAATATTTGAGGGTATAGATACCCCATTCTTCATGATGTGATTATTACACACCACATACCTGTATCAGAACATCTCATGTACCCATAAATATATACATTTATTATATACCCACAAAAAGTAAAAAAAAAAATTTTAAGAGCTGCTCTCTTAACAAATTTCAAGTAAGCAATATGGTATTGTTAACCATAGTTACCGTGCCAAATATGAGATGCCCAGAACTTATTCATCTTATCACCGAAAGTCTGTACCCTTTGAGCAACATTTCCTCCTAGCCCCTGGCAACCATTCTAATTCGACTCTCTTTTCCTCTGAGTTCAACATTTTCAGATTCCACAGATAAGTGAGATCACACAGCATTTGTCTTTCTCTGTCTGAATTAGTTCACTTAGCTAATTCTACTCTTTTTGTATGAGTTCAACGTTTTTAAATTCCACAAATAAGTGAGATCACACAGCATTTGTCTTTCTCTAAGTCCACTTAGACAATCAGAGGTGCTTGTTTTAAACTCAGGTTCCTGGACCCCACTGTTTTTAACAGTTCAGCTTGATATCCAAGCCTGTAAGAGACACTTTGATTCTCTGGATTAAAATGAGAGACAGTGAGAGGAGAGGAAGAAGAATAGAGGAGGAGAGCTTTCTCTCTAAAAATCTAAGGGATTCCAATTAAAAATCACCTCTCATTGTACATGCAGAAAATGTACAGTGAGACACAAAGATGGGTTGGAAGACAAAACTCTGAAACTAGTCTGGGAGGGTTAAGTGACTTCATGGAAATAAATACTAAAATATCAAAATGCTCTAAACTTTCCATTTTTACTTCTAAATGTGCTGAGAAAAAAATCTGATTATTTGACAGGAATTTTAAAAAGAACAATTTTTATAAAACTAAAATCACATTCCTGAACACTCAAATGCTTAGCATAGGGGATGAAATTGACCTGGAATTTTCTTTGTGAGAGGAAGGACCAAGTTCCCAGTGTGGATACATTACCAGTTAGATTTTACAAGCACAGTTCATACTGCAGAATTCACCTAACTTGATTTAGGTTTCTCCTTTATAATCAGTTTCCACTTGAACTTCAACTACCACGAAAAAGTAAGTAAGTAAAGCAAAGACGTAAATTCTTGGGAACTTTGTTATGAGAGGAACTTTCTAGACTGCACTTAGTTGTCTTATTTAATTAGCTACCAGGGAAACAAAACATATAGTATGTCCAAGGAGTTGACTCAATGGAATGCTGTCATGCTAAACAGATCTAACGTCATGCTGGGTGAGACACACAGTCTATTTTAGAAAGCCAAACAGGGCCGGATGCGATAGCTCATGCCTGTAATCCCCAGCACTTTGGGAGGCCTAGGCGAGTAGATTACCTGAAGTCAGGAGTTTGAGACCAGCCTGACCAACATGGAGAAACCCCATCTCTACTAAAAATACAGAATTAGATGGGCGTGGCGACGCATGCCTGTAATCCCAGCTTCCCAGCTACTCTGGAGGCTGAAGCAGGAGAATCACTTGAACCTGGGAGATGGAGGTTGTGGTGAGCCGAGATCACGCCATTGCACTCCAGCCTGGGCAACAAGAACAAAACTCCATCTCAGAAAAAAAGAAAGAAAGAAAGCAAAACAGAAGCAAAGCATGCCAGAGGTTTATTCCAAGCCTCTGACAGTAGGAGTCCTGAAATCCACCTGGTGGATGAAGGAGGAAACAAAATTTAGAGGACTTGGCAGAATCACAGAATGTGGGGAGATGTTTCCAAAGGGGACCTCATCTCATGCTGCAAATGTTTTGTCTGGAGAATACCAAAAAAAAAAAAAAAAAAAAAGTTTTGTCTGTGTCTTGTGTCTTGGGTTGTTTTGTTGTTGTTGTTTTTTAACGTCATCAATGAGGCGTTCCTTGTTCTGCTGAGGCCCTAGAAGCATTCAGGAAAGGAAATGCAGAGGTGGGAACTGGAGAGAAATAATGTGCTCAATAAAAGGAGTAAGGTTTTGGAGCCAGACAAGAAAAAAAACGAGAAGCAGAGCTGGGGAAAGAATAGAGGGTTCTAGAAGCCTGAATGTGCCAGAAAATCATCCCCTCCAGAATCCCCCAGTCTTCAGTGAAGCCCTATGAACTCACTAGCTGAGTAGGTTTCCTGCAGGCAATGGGAGACGCAAAGTTCTGCACTTAAGCTCCTGTAGGGGAAAAAGCAGAGCCAGCGTGGGTTGGGGGCACCAGGGCCAGAGGCAGATACGACCTTGAGAAGGTCGCCCTCCCCAGATTAGCAGGAAGTAGCCTGCATAGAAGATCTTACCTAGATCTTTGAGGATTCAGGGGACCCCAGCTGACATGTCGGTTATTCTACTTAATTATAAAATGTTTGAGCAGGGCACAGTGACTCACACCTGTAATCCCAAGCACTTTGAGAGGCGGGGACAGGAGGAATGCTTCAGCCCAGGAGTTTGAGACCAGCCTGGGCAACACAGTGAGACTCTGTCTCTACACACTTTATTTTTTTTTTGTTTTTTTTTTTTTGTTTGTTTTTTAAATTAGCCAGGTAGGATGCTACAGGCCTGTGGTTCCAGCTACATGGGAGGCTGAAGTGGGAGGATCACTTGAGCACAGGATTTTGAGGCTGCAGTGAGCTATGACTGTGCCACTGTACTCCAGCCTGGGCAACAGAGTGAGACCCTGTCTCACAAAATAAAAATAAAGGCCAGGTGCGATTGCTCACACCTGTAATCCCAGCACTTTGGGAGGCTGAAGTGGGTGGATCACTTGAGATCAGGAGTTCAAAACCAGCCTGGCCAACATGGTGAAACCCCATCTCTATAAAAATGCAAAAAATTAGCCGGCATGATGGCAGGTCCCTGTAATCCCAGCTACTTGGGAGGCTGAGGAGGGAAAATCACTTGAACCTGGGAGGCGGAGGTTGCAGGGAGCCGAGATCATTCCATTGCACTCCAGCCTGGGTGACAGAGTGAGATTCCATCTCAAAAAAAATAAAAATAAAAATGTTTGGCCATTTCCAACCTTGCCTTCAGACTATGGGTTCCTGGAGGACAGGTGCACTTCTCAGCCATCTCTGGATGCACTGATGTGGCCATCTCTGTTAGTGTACTGGTATGGACCAGTAGGGTCCATACTTGCACAAATCCCAACAATCAGTATTTACATCTCTTTGCTTGGCCAGGGCCCACAATGCCTGTGCACAGGACAGGTCGGAAGTCCTGGAGAATTAACATACCTCCTGCATTAGGTCTTCACCAGTGACTAACAGGAGGGACGTATAAATATCCCAGCTCCTTCACTCCTCCAGGGGGTGATTCTGAGCTACATGCTCAACACTAGGGTTGGCAAACTTCTTGAAAAAGGGTCATATAGTAAATATTTTATGTTTTGCAGGTCATATTGTCTCTCACAGATGCTCAACTCTGCTGCTGTTGTATAAAAGCTGCCATGGGCTATACATAAATGAAAGGGTGTGACTGTATTCCAGGAACATTTTATTGAAATAACAGGTGGCAGAACAGGTTTGCCATGGGCCAATAGTTTGCAAATCCCTGCTCTGTGTCATTTTCCAGAGTTCCCCAGAGAGATTAAACTGTGATTCCCCACACTGGTAACTGACATGATAATGCATCTTTCTTGCCACTTCCCTCCCTTGCCTGTCCCCTTTCCCCCACCTCCTCAAGCTTAATAAACTATTGGCACTCAAATCCTTGCCTCAGAGTCTACTTCAGTGAGCATCCAAACTAAAACAGTTGATTAGGACTTTTTTTGTTTTTTTGCAAGAGATGGAGTCTCGCCCTGTCACCCAGGCTAGAGTGCAGTGGCGGGATCTTAGTTCACTGCAACCTCCGCTTCCCAGGTTCAAGCGATTCTCCTGCCTCAGCCTCCTGAGTAGCTGGGATTACAGGTACGTGTCACCACGCCTAGCTAATTTTTTATTTTTAGTAGAGACAGGGTTTCACTATATGTTGGCCAAGCTAGTCTCAAACTCCTGACCTCAGGTGATCCGCCTGTATCAGCCTCCCAAAATGCTGGGATTACAGGCGTGAGCCACTGTGCCCAGCCTGATAAGGATACTTTTGACTGCAAGCAACACAGAGTTGAACTACAGGTGATTTAAATATTAATTTTGCACCAACCTATAATCCAGATTTATTGTATCTCCCACACAAAATCCAGGCGTAGGTGGTCCAGACAGGTTAATTCAATAATGTCATGGCTTTGCGGTTTTTCTGATCCTTACTAGCTCACTACTGAGAACCAGGTCATGTGCCCAAGGCTAAACCAGTCAGCAGTGAGAGAAACAAGATGAGCATGCCTGGCTTGGGCCAACTGAGTTCCATGCCTAAGAGCATGAGGAAGGAAGGGGCTCCATTTCTCTGGGCATATTGCCAACTGATGCATGAATGAAAATGGGATGGTCTCAGCAAAGAAGAAGAGAAAAGGGTTGCTGGGCAGGTAACCAATACATACCCAGCAGCTGGTGCTTAGAAAATGCTGCTGCAGTCTATGAATGCATGAGCCACTGGATGTAAACAATGGATAGCAACTTTCTAGAAGAAAGATAAAGTTGAAGGAGTCATCCTGGACACACAAGAGTGGTGCAAAATAAGCACTGAGTGTCCAGGATGCTCAGGGGAAATCTCAGAGGCTTTAGGGAGCATGGTTACCTAACTCAGAACCATCAGTGCCAACTAAGGAAGACACAAGGTACATTGGTTAAAGTCAAGGACAATCATGTTCTTCCCCTAGTTAATAACAGACACGGCATTTTACAGTTCATAAAGCTCTTGTCCATTCATTAGTCTCACCATTCAGTCAATGAAATAAACCCAGGTAATAATCAGGTCAGGTATTATTCTTTTAAAATAATTTTATCCCCATTTACTGTGAAAAAAACTTCTTGAGACAGCTTGCAATAAAAGGTACACCCAAAGGGAAACCAAAAGAAAAATTATTTATTTATCAAATACATAAGAAAACTCATTTAATATGGTTATTTTGATTGCGTGTGCTCTTGGGTTTTAGCTCCCTAATAGCCAGAGCAAAAGAAAAAGAAAACATAAAGGACACATGAATATCATCATTTAACAAAGGGAAGTATAGCTGTTCACAGGAAAGGAAATGATTTTTCTTAGAATAGAATTCAAAAAAAATTCCACTTGGATCCTTACATAAGGCAAATGTAACTAAATGATGGATAATGTCTCCCATGATGGTTTTGCAGAAGATATGAGAATGTCCTCATTCATCATGACATTTGAAGTAGTCCATTCTCACACTGCTAATAAAGACATACCTGAAACTGGGTAATTTATAAAGAAAAAGAGGTGGACTCACAAATGGACTCACAATTCCACATGTCTAGGGAGGCCTCACAATCACGGCAGAAGGCAAAGGAGTAGCAAAGTCACATCTTACATGGCAGCAGGCAAGAGAGGGCTTATTATTTTTAGTAGAGACACGGTTTCACAATATGTTGGGCAGGCTGACAACTGGCCAAGAATAGCATGGAAAAGACCCCCCATCTTGATTCAATTACCTCCCACTGGGTCCCTCCCATGACACATGGGAATTATGGGAGCTACAATTCAAGTTGAGATTTGGGTGGGGACACAGACAAACCATATCAATATCCCTACCTATCAGCTTTTCATACAAAGCCAAAGGTTTCTCCCTGTGGATGGTATCATAGCACTGATACCCATAAGCCTCACTTCCATTCCACATTGTCCTGGATATCCTAGCTAGTGCAGTTAGACAGGGGGGAAATGTCCAGAAAGGAAGAAATGAAACAGTCATCATTCCTAGGTGACTTGATCGTATACATAAAAATCCAAGGAAAATTGTTATGGACTGAATGTCTTTGTCTTTCTCCACCAAATCCACACGTTGAAGCCCTAGCCCCCAGTGCAATGGCATTTGGAGGAGGTAATTTGGGTTAGACGAGGTCACGAGGGTATTACCCCCATGATGGGCCTAGTGTCTTTCCCCAGAAAAACAATATCCTTTACCATATCCCGAAAATTATAACAATACCAGTTTTAAGTACTTACTATGCATGCACCAAGTGTTTACAGGTTTTGATTTACTCATTGAAACCTCACAGCAGCCTATAAACCCAGCTAGTATGTGGCAGAGTTGAGACGCAAACAGAAAAGCAGTACTCCAGATCCCCTTGGATCCTTACATAAGGGAAATGTAACCAAATGATGGATAATGTCTTCCATGATGGTTTTGTGGAAGATATGAGAATGTCCTCATTCATCATAATATTTGTATTAGTCCATTCTCACACTGCTAATAAAGACATGCCTGAGACTGGGTAATTTGTAAAGAAAAAGAAGTTTAATGGATTCAAGTTCCACATGTTGTCATATGCCACACTTCTTAGGGATGAATGAACATCACCATGATGCCACACTTCCTAGGGATGAATCAACGTCAGAATTTTTTTTTTTTTTAAGTTCTGGGATACAAGTGCAGAATGTGTAGGTTTCTTACGTAGGTATACATGTGTCATGGTGGTTTGCTGCACCTATCAACCCATCATCTGGGTTTTAAGCACCACAAGCATTAGCTATTTGTCCTAATGCTCTCCCACCCCTCACCCCCCACTCTCCAACTGTCCCCAGTGTGTGTCGTTTCCCTCCGTGTGTCCATGTGTTCTCATTTGAACATCAGAGCTTAAAGAAGCATTCCTGCTTTCTTCTCTCCCAGCTGGGCTGGGCTTCAGGTGCCTCCTATATGCTTCCTCCATATCACCTCCACCCTTGCTTGTCATTGTCTGGGTTTGTATTCATTTCCTGAGACTTTTGTAACAATGATCTCAAACTAAATGGCTTCAAACAACAGGAATTTCTTCTCTCCCAGGTCTGGAGGTCAGAAGACTGAAATCGGTTGCAATAAACTGAAATCAAGGTGTCAGTAGGGCTCGTTCCCTATAGAAGTGCTAGGGGACAGTCTGTTCCTTGCCTCTTCCAGCTTCTGGTGGCTGCCAGCATTACCTTGCTTGGAGTGGCATCACCCCAATCTCTGCCTCCATCTGGATATATCACCTTCTTGTCTTCTGGGTGTAATATCTCTCCGCCTTTCTCTTATAAGACACTTGCAATCAAATTTAGGGCCCACCTAGATAATCCAGAATAATCTCCCCATGTCAACATCCTTAATTTAATCATACCTGCAAAGACTCCTTTTCCTTATAATTTAACATATACAGGTTCCGCGGACTAGAACCTGCTATCTTTGAGTGGCCATGATTCAGCCTACTATAGGTTTCATCACTATCTCTTTATCAACTCTGAAGTCCTTGACAGCAGAGACCACCTGTGGCCATTTTCAAATGGCTGTACATTTTTACATCAAAGCAATCCCTTAGGGCCAGGCACGGTGGCTCACATCAGTAATCTCAGCAATTTGGGAGGCCAAGGCAGGCAGATCACCTGAGGTCAGGAGTTCCAGACCCACCTGGCCAACACAGTGAAACCCCGTCTCCACTAAAAATACAAAAATTAGCTGATGTGGTGGTGGGCGCCTGTAGTCCCAGCTGCTCGGGAGGCTGAGGCACGAGAATCACTTGAATCCAGGAGGCGGAGGTTGCAGTCAGCCGAGGTCACACCACTGCACTCCAGCCTGGGTGACAGAGGCAGACTCCGTCTCAAAAAAAATACAAAAAACAAACAAACAAAAACACACAACAATCTCTTGGGATCTACACCCTCTCCCTTGACTTTAATGACCTCCATGATTGCTTTGACGTATTGAATATGGTGGAAATCATACTGTGCCCTTTTCCAGTCCATGTTTTAAAAGACTATCAAGCGCTACTTCCTATATCTTGGAATACTCACTTTTGGAACTCAGACACCACTATGCTACGAGAAGCCCAAACCACATAGAAAGGCCACATGAAAGTGCTCCAGGCGACAGCACCAACTGAGCTCCTAACCAGTAGCCAATATCATGCCAGCCATGTGTCTCAGCCATCTTGGATGGCCAGCCTAGTCAAGCCTTCAGATGACTCCAGCCCCAGTCATTATCTGACTACAACTGCATAGGACTTGAAATGAGAACCACGTAGGTGAGCCCAATCAACACAGAGTCATGAGCAATAATACCAAATATTTGTTTCCAGCCACTGTGGGATCAGGCTCTTTTTTTATGCAGCAAGAGATTATCTGAACATCCTATTTGTTGCTGCATACCAGGTGCCTGGAACTATGCCTGGAGGTCTTGATATTCAATGAAAGTGGAATAAATCAAATAAATAAAAATGGAATAAATAAACAAAACTCTAGAAGCTATGGATTCTAGGGAGTTGAGCTGGAGATCAGGAGGAATGGATATTAGGTCTCAAAGAAATGACAAGGTAATAAGGTAGAAGAAGAAGGCTGTGGATAAACAAATTTTCTGGAGCCTTAATGGTGGTGAGAAGTGGGCAAGTTCAATGTTGAGCAGGACCAAATTCAACAGACCCTCAGCAAATGTTTGCTGACTTAGCAGTACACAGATTCTGCATACATCTTCCTTCCTTTTAACCATTCCTTTAATTGTATAAGCAATATATTGAGTATCTACTGAGAGCCAGGCTTTGAGTTGGGTGAAGACTATTCAGCAGTTAAGTCCCTTTAACGCTTATACACTGTTGATGGGAATGTATATTAGTCCAGTCACTGGAAAGCAGTTTGGAGATTTCTCAAGTAACTTAAAATAGAACTAAGGTTGAATCCAGCAATCCCATTCATGGGTATAAATCCCAAAAGAATAATCATTCTACCTTAAAGATGCATGCACACATATGTTCATTGCAGCACTATTTACAATAGCAAAGACAGGGAATCAACCTAGATGCCCATCAATTGCAGACTAGATAAAGTATGGTACATATACACCATGGAATATACTATGCAGCCATAAAAAAGAATGAAATCATGACCTTTGCAGCAACATGGATGGAGCTGGATGCCATTATCTTAAGCAAATTAACACAGGAAAAGAAAACCAAATATTGCACATTCTCACTTAGGAGGTAAACACTGACTTCACATGAACACAAAGAAGGGAACAATAGACACTGGGTCCTACTTGAAGGTAGAGGATGGGAGGAGGGTGAGGATTGAAAAACTACTTACCAGGTACTACATTCATTACCTGGGTGATGAAATAATCTGGACACCAAGCCCCATAACATGCAATTTACCCATGAAACAAATCTGCGCACGTACCCCCCAAACCTAAAATAAAAGTTGGAAAGAAAATAAAAATGAAAAACAAGTCCCTTTCTTATGGAACTTAACAACCATAGAGTATTTGGGGAAACCTCAAAACCACAGGCAGGTGGTTCAAGCCCCCATCTCTGACCTTCATTACCCTGCTGTATAGCCATGATTACAAAAAAAAAAAAAAAAAGCCAGACCATTCAATGCTATTGCTTCTCTCTTCCAAATGGGATGAAGTACAGGCAGTAAACAAAGGAAGATGAACTTGGCCAAGTCCTTCTATTCATTTTGTGGCAGTGATGACAATTTCCCATTGTGGGGAGCTGGAGGGGCAGTCTCCTTCTGTTCAAATGACTCAGTACACTTTTGAGGGGGCATAAGAACCAGAAAGTGCAGGTGCTAGTAAAGCAGGCCTGTATTTACAGGGAGAATCAGTCCACAGACTTCAGCTTCTCAAAACCATTGTTAATGTGCTTTTACAAAATGCAAAATGCTGCTAGACAGTTCACTGGGTGGCCTTGGGCCTACCCAGTTCTTCCCTCTTTTCCCAACTCATGGTTCTTAAGAATAACTGAAGAATGTGCTAGAAATGCAACATCTTGAGATAGAGAGGGACTGGCCAGAACGACCCAACCTCTGTTTCAGTCCACCCCTAGAAACAAAATGTCTTAAACACTTTAGCCCAGCAAATCACACATCCTGGGGTATAAAACACAGAACCAGCTGCTTTCTGGGGTATCTGAGCTTCTGTGCAAGTAAGGCATGCACAGATATGACTCTACTTACCCTCAGCAGGTTTCCGGGGACTTGGAGGAATAGCTCACAATGAATCCTAGGCTTCTACCATCTCTTGCTGCCTATCTGTAAGTAATAAACCTACCTCAGGTAACTTGTTGTGTGGGAGTGTTCTGTCTCACTGGACAAGTTGGTAGCCAGTGAACAGTGAACCTGCTTCACAAATTCCTCTGCTGTAAAGTGCACCAGAAGCTCTCAGTCATGGAAGTTCTGTGCTCAAATCTTCCTTCAAGGTGAACTGCTCTGGAAGCAGAGCTAACTGACAACCTCTAGCTGCTGTACCTTTTGACCCACCGAGGTGTTCATGCTAGGCTGCACTTCCCTGGGGATTTTCCCAGCCAGTGACTGGGCACAGTGGAAGTAACGGAATTAGGTGATTCTAACCCAACTGGGAGTTGTCCAACAGAGAGAGTTGCCTTAGGAACTATTACACTGGCTGATACATTCTCAGAGTTGTGCCGAAGCCTTTCTCTTTCTAACTATCTCTCTTCCTTCCCACTCTGCTTTCAGAGGTGTCAGACCTGCATTACGGTCTGAAATCTCTCCCTGCTCCCTCCCCATTTCCCTTCACAGGCATTTTCTTCAATGAATTTCCTGCACAATTAATACTTGGTTTTCTTTCATGTTGTAAACCACTGTAGGATGACTACAGTTAACAATATGTAGTTTTGGCCAGGCGCAGTGGCTCGTGCCTGTGATCCCAGCACTTTGGGACTCTGAAGTGAGCAGACCACTTGAGGTCAGGAGTTCGAAACCAGCCTGGCAAACATGGTGAAACCCCATCTCTACTAAAAAAATATTAGTCGGGCGTGGTGGAGCATGCGTGTAATCCCAGCTACTCGGCAGGCTGAGGCAGAAGAATCGCTTGAACCTGAGAGGCAGAGGTTGCATTGAGCAGAGATCATGCTACTACAAATCAGTCTGGGTGACAGAGCAAGATTCTGTCTAAATAAAATAAAATGATAATGGTAATAATAATGCAGTTTCAAATAGCTAGAAGGAAGATACTGAATGTTACCATCACAAAGAAATGAGAAACGTTTGAGATGATGGATATGCTAATTACCCTGATCAAATCACTATACATTATATATATCAAAACATCACTACGTACTCCATCAATAGGTACCATTATTTTTCAATTAAAAAATAATTTTTTTAAAAAAAAGAAATATAGAATGTTATACTTGTAAAAAGAAGAAAATGGAAACTGAGGAATCAAATTATGTAAGAGTGATCTTCCTTCTCATCAGCTATCATTTTAGAAATTTGTAGGAAAAGAAAAGGAGATAAAGGAAGACAGCAAGAGGAAGCAAATAAGCAGAGGGAGGAAAAGAGCAGAAAGTAAAGAAAGAATTAGAAAGTAAGGAGACACAACAGATCAGATCAGCTACCATAATTCAAATGCTCGCCAAAATCACTTCCTATATTTGCAATACAGAAGCTGCAGGAGACATGTTATTTAAAATTAGTAAGAGGGCCGGGCACAGTGGCTCATGCCTGTAATCCCAGCACTTTGGGAGGCCGAGGTGGGTGGATCACAAGATCAAGAGATCGAGACCATCCTGGCTAACATGGTGAAACCCCATCTCTACTAAAAATACAAAAATTAGCTGGACATGGTGGCATGCGCCTGTAATCCCAGCTACCTGGGAGGCTGAGGCAGGAAATCACTTGAACCCGGGAGGCGTAGGTTACGGTGAGCCGAGATCGCGCCACTACACTCAAGCCTGACAACAGAGTGAGACTCCGCCTCAAAAAAAAAAAAAAAAATTAGTAAGAGAATGAGAACTTCATACAGAAGTTGAAAAGTGGATTTGAAATCAGTGGAGACTGGGACCTTGTACAATTAATTCTGTTTTGCCTTCTGCTACTCAGAGGACCTGAACTGACTCACCTACCGTCTAGAGACAGCTACTATTTTGTATTTCTTTTTTAGTTTCATGCATTTAATTTGCATGATTATCATTTTGCTTTATTTCTCCATTTTACATTATAATATGTGCCACCTCATGTTACTGTGCTTCATGTCTATTATCGATGCCCCATAACATTCTATTGTATGGAAGTATCATAAATATCAACTATTTCCCTTTAGTTGGACATTCAGGGTCTTTCCAGATTTTTTTCCTAATTAAATGATGCTGCAATAAATGCCTTGTTTCGCTCCTTCAGAACAGGTCATTGCAGTAAGGGCCTCTCCATTGGAGTGGTGGATTTTAGTTGTCTGGGACTTAGGGTTTTGGTTCTGATTCTGCTACATCCTAACAGCATGACCCTGAGCAAGTTACTTGGTTTCTCAGGACTCCTGTTTCCTCACCCATCAAATGGAGATAACACCAGACAAGGATCCTTTGTGACTATCAGATTTAATCCATGGCATCATTTTGAAAATATTTTCTTTTTTCTTTCTTTTCTGTTTTTTTTTTTTTTTTTTTTTTGACACAGAGTCTTACTCCATCACCCAGGCTGGAGTGCAGTGGCATGATCTCAGTTCACTGCAACCTTCACTTCATGGGTTCAAGCAATTCTCATGCCTCAGCCTCCCAAAAGATTTCCATGGAAGGTGCTTGCAAAGGGAAAAATAACTTGTGTGGTCAAAAAGTTTAGAAACCCCTGGTCTAAATGGCGCTAGCAGGACTTATCAGAGCCTTTATTATAACAGCACACAGTCCCAAAGGTAGATCCTTATGGTATTATCTTAGTCTATTCAGACTGCTATAAGAGAATGCCATAGGTTGTGTGGCTTACAAACAGCAGACATTTATTTCTCACGGTTCTCTCCAGAAGATCTGGGAAGTCCCAGGCAGATTCAGTGTCTGGGGAAGGCCTTCTTCCTAGTTCATAGACAGCCCTCTTTTCACTGTGTCTTCCCATCATGGAAGGGCAAAGGGGCTCTCTGGGACCCCTTTTAAAAGGGCATTGGCCAGGCGCAGTGGCTCACGCCTGTAAACCTAGCACTTTGGGAGGCCAAGATGGGCAGATCACTTGGATCAGGAGTTCAAGACAGCCTGGCCAACGTGGTGGAACCTCATCTCTCTAAAAATACAAAAAAAAAAAAAATTATCCAGGTGTGGTAGATAATTATCCAGTAGTCTCAGCTACTCAGAGGATGAGGCAGGAGAATCACTTAAACCCAGAGGCAGAGGTTGCAGTGAGCCTAGATGGTACTACTGCACTCTAGCCTGGGAACAGGGTGAGACTCTTGTCTCAAATAAATAAATAAATAGGCATGAATCCCACTTGTGGAGTCCCCACCATCATGTCCTAATCACCTCCCAAAGGCCCCACCCCCTAATACCATCCATCACACTGGGGATTAGGTTTCAACACATGGTGGGAACACATTTAGTGGATAGCAAGCATGAAGCATTAATCAAGCTTATTTGCCCATCATGCCCATGAAATTCTGAAGTCTGACAAGCAGCCTGTGAGAAGAAAGACATACAACAAGGAGGTAGGACTATGGTGCTTTGGGGTGGAGGCCACTGATGAAAAACTCACCCCTCGAAAGCATCTCCTACTTTGATACCTACGGATGCAACATCCAGGTAGAACCAGCCTCGATGTCTTCTGGAGCCCAGGACCTGATCTCCAAGCTGGCCCAAGACAACGCTCAGAGTGCCACTGTTCAAGCTCCTCTTGCTCCATAATCACTTTAAAGAGGCTGCCCCCACCCCCGGGGCTCAGAGGGCTTCCTGTGACCTGACACTATGATCGTGAGCGAGTGCCGCGCTCTGTTCCCAACTATGCTTCCTCATCTGTCATCCACGGCTTTTCTTTTAAGGAGTTATTTACGAAGAGGTGAAGCAATTTGCTTTTAAAAATGAAAAACAACAGAACTAGTATTTTTTGTAAGTCAGCTTGATAGGCAGTAAACAATCCTGCCAAAGCAAAGCAGAAAATGCTGAAAAGGTTCATGTCTCTTCAACGACTCTGACCAAGACTTCAGAGGATGCTCCAAGGGGAGAAACATGCTCAGGGCTACAGAAGCGACAATCATGGATACCCTAAGCTGGTCTTTCCCAGGAGCAATTTTACCATGCAATTTTCCCTGGATCCTTTCTCTATCGCCCCATAACACCTCTCCCATTTGGAAACAAAAATATAATCTTTGAAAGAAAAATAGAAATCACTGTCTAAATAAAAATAATACATTCCTAGCATTCATTCACCCTCTTCATCCTCCTCCCTGCCCCTGCGGGGGGGAAAAATCTCATGTATCATGTTGAATTTCTCATCTCTTGTGAATGCCATGCAATTGGGTAAATAAGTTCTGTGTTCAATCTTTTGTTTTTTTGTTTGTTTATTGCTTTATTCATTCACAATGGAAAGAAAGACTAAACTTCAGGTAGAGATAAAAGAATATAAGATGTATTTTTAACTGTCCAAGATCATGGGATCCCCGAATTCTATTCATGATAGAATGTTTGAGCATCTGTGGACCCGTTTGTGAACTCTTGCCCTGAAACAAAGCCTGCCAGTTATCTGTGTTCAGTCTTTTAACAGGGGTTATTCAATTTACTCAAGCCAACATGAGAGGTTTCCATGACAACCTCTCAGCACATTCAGTCTTCATATAAATGAGTTATTGCTTTTATGTTCTCATACTCTAAGACAATGGGGAAATTAACATAATGTGGTCATACAAAAAAAAAAAAAATCAAAACAATCAAAATCCTCATATCCTCCCCAGAAACTCACAGATAGCATTCGGTGAAAAAGAACCAAAGAGAAATGAAGCCTTCACATCTGACAACACTGTTAACATTAGAGATTTCATTTCAGATGCATTTAAATGAAGCCAGACCATAATGGGGTTCAAAAAAAAGTGTATAGACATAACTAAACTGCAGAGGAAAGAGATGTAAAGTCAGGGACCCAAATTCACTTTCAGGCCATATATCCTCCAAAGATAACCACCATTCTCTGCCTCTCTTTCTGCAACCCATCCACACTAGCATTCCTGCCCCAGGACCTTCGCACATGCTCTTCCCTATGCTTGGAATGTTCTTCCCCTGCTGTTCTTCCAGTGCTGCTTTGCTTAGCTAACTCCTACCCATCCTCAGGTCTCAGCTCAGCAAAGTCACTTCCTCAGGGCAGTCAAGCTTTGCCACTCATCAAGACTAGGTAAAATTTTCTTGTTAAATCTATTTATGGATTTTCCTGGTTCTTTGTATTTTTCATCATCTTAGATAGGTTAGGTTTCCCCAGAAACAAATCCTAAGAGAAGGTGAGATGGTTTGGCTGCGTCCCTACCCAGATCTCACCTTGAATTGTAACAATCTCCATGTGTCAAGGGCGGGGGCAGGTGGAGATAATTGAATCATAGGGGTGGTTTCCCCCATACTGTTCTCCTGATAGTGAGTAAGTCTCATGAGATCTGATGGTTTTATAAATGGGAGTTCCCCTGCACAAGCCTCTTGCCTGCTGCCGTGTAAGATGTGGCTTTGCTCCTTCTTGTCTTCCACCATGATTGTGAGGCCTTTCCAGCCATGCAGAACTGTGAGTCCATTAAACCTCTTTCCTTTATAAATGACCCAGTCTCAGGCATGTCTTTATTAGCAGCATGAGAACAGACTAATACAGAAGGACTTGAAGATAAGTGGGTTGATTTGGAAAGTGAGCCCAGGAAACACTGGGATGACAATAGGGAAATGAGACAGAGAAGGGAAAGGAGCTAATCCAGGTCATGTTTATAAGCAGGCTGCTACTATGGGCAACTGGGGTTCAATCCCACTGGGGACATCTGGGAGACAGCATAGCGCCTGCCTCACCCTAAGGTATGGAAGGCAGGGCAACTGCCCTCAGCAGCTGGCTGGGGGAGATGTGCCTGTGTTGGTTTCTCTGCACTTCCAGCCTGCCCCACAAGAGCCTAGGTTATGGCAGTGAGACAAAGCCCCAGGCAGTATTGCAGATGCTTGCAGTAGGAATGGTGAGTTCCTATGCCAGAGGACATAGGCAAGGCAACAACTACATCTGCCACCTTCCCCAATGCAAACAGCATAATTATTGCTGGAGACTGGAGATCAGTGGAATAGAAGACAGAAGATTTAATTCAAAGCCATTAGACAAAAAATAATAGTCCCATTGAAGACAAAGGCATGGGAATACGGGGAAGGTATAAATCCACATGAATAGACAATTTTCAAAAGAAGATAAACAAATGGCCAACAAACATGTGAAAAAATGCTCAACATCACTAATGATCAGGGAAATGCAAATCAAAACCACAATGCGATACCACCTTACTCCTGCAAGAATGACCAGAATCAAAAAATCAAAAACTAATAGATGTTGGCATGGAGGTGGTGAAAAGGGAACACTTCTACACTGCTGGCGGGAATGTAAACTAGTACAACCACCTTGGAAGACAGTGTGGAGATTCCTTAAAGAAAAGTAGCACCACCATTTGATCTGGCAATCCCACTACTGGGTATCTACCCTGAGGAAAAGAAATCATTATATGAGAAAGATACTTGCACATGCATGTTTATAGCAGCACAATTCACAACTGCAAAAATATGAAACCAGCTCAAATGCCTATCAATCAACGAGTGGATAAAGAAACTGTGGTATATATATGCCATATACCAGCAGTATATTTATACTACTCAGCCATAATAAGGAATGAATTAATGGCATTCACAGCAACCTGGATGGAACTGGAGATTATTATTCTAGGTGCAGTAACTCAGGAATGGAAAACCAAACGTCGTATGTTCTCACTCACAAGTGGGAGCTAAGCTATGAGGATGCAAAGGCATAAGAATGATACAATGGACTCTGGGGACTCGGGGGAAAGGGTGGGAGGGGGTGAGGGATAAAAGACTACAAATTGGGTTCAGTGTGTACTGCTCAGATAATGGCTGCACCAAAATCTCACAAATCACTATTAAAGAACTTACTCACATAACCAAATACCACCTGTTCCCCAAAACCCTATGGAAATAAAAAATTTTAAAAATAAAAAATAAATTTACATGATATAAAAGACCTTGACTCTAGGCCTGGGTGACTGATTATATACTGGGGTACAGGTTTTAGTCAAAGAGCTGGAGACTATATGGAAGAGGGGTGTCTAAGGCCCTCTCTGACATTCTAACAACCCCCATCATCTCTTTTGCTGGCCAGGGGCCCACCTGGTAGGACAGTCCAATCCAGGGTAATTCTGGCTCACAGGTCACGCAATACCAATCTTTGGTCCCAAGGTTAGGAGTGGCTGCTCTCACAATGGACTTTATAATAACCTCTCCAACCTCTGTTTGTTGAGCTTAGATTCTTAAGCCTCTAAGCTTCTGATGACTCTTACTAGAGAAAGTAATATAATTACCCATCAATAGAGAAATGGCTCATTCAGCAAGGATATATCTGTTCAATCAAATATATTTGTTCAATCAAATCACTAAAAACAATGGCCGTTTAAGAGTACATATACAAAAGGTACGTGTGCAACAGTATAATAAGAGCAAACCTAAATTATGCTTGTTGTTCACTGATTGTCTCCCCACAGTAGCATGGAAGTTCAGCAAGAGCAGGGATCTTTGTTTTTGTTCAATGCTAGGTCCTCAGCACCTAGGACTGTGCCAGGCACAAAAACATCCAGCACCCACCAAGGTAAAATTTACAATGTCTGACATCCCATAAAAGTTACTTTAAAAATAGAGGCTGGGCCAGGTGCCATGGCCCACGCCTGTAATCCCAGCACTTTGGGAGGCCAAGGTGGGTGGATCATGAGGTCAGGAGATCGAGACCATCCTGCCAACATGGTGAAACCTGTCTCTACTGAAAATACAAAAATTAGCTGGGCATGGCGGCGCGTGCCTGTAATCCCAGCTACTCGGGAGGCTGAGGCTGGAGAATCTCTTGAACTTGAGAGGTTGCAGTGAGCCGAGATCGCGCCACTGAACCCCAGCCTGGGCAACAAGAGCTAGACTCCATCTCAAAAAATAAAAAAATAGAAGCCAGTGGCCAGGAGCTGTGACCGACACCTGTTATCCTAGCACTTCGGGAGGCCGAGGCAGGTGGATACTTGAGGTCAGGAGTTCAAGACCAACCTGGCCAACATGGCGAAACCCCATCTCTACTAAAAACACAAAAATTAGCCAGTCATGATGGCACACACCTGTAGTCCCAGCTACTCGGAGGCTGAGGCACAAGAATTGTTTGAACCCAGGAGGCAGAGGTTGCAGTGAGCCAAGACTGCACCGATGTACTCCAGCCTGGGCAACAGAGTGAGACTCTGTCTCAAAATAATAATAATAGAGGCCAGGCATAGTGGCTTATGCCTGTAATCTCAGCAATTTGAGAGGCTGAAGCAGGAGGATCTCTTGAGGTCAAGAGTTTGAGACTAGCCTGGGAAACAAAGCAAAACCCCATCCCTCCAAAAAAACTTTTTAAAAACTAGCCATGCATGGTGGTGCATACCTGTAGTCCCAGCTACTCAGGAGGCTGAGGCAGGAGGATCACATGAGCCCAGTAGTTTGAGGTTGCAGTGAGCTATGACTGTGCCACTGTACTCCAGCCTGGGCAACAGAGCACGATCCTGTCTCAAAAAAAATTACCTTAAAATAATAAGTAAATAAATATCAATTTTACAATAAAATAAAAGTGACTCAGCCTACCCTGGGTGGGGTTAAGGGCTGGCCTCTATCACACCTATCAGCTCCCAGAGGTCCTGGATCCCCCAGAAGCTGCTAGGAGGGGCTGAGGGCCATTACTCAGAAGTGCAGAGTGGAGCAAGCTTTGACCAATAAGAGACAGGAAACAGCAGGAGCTGGCAGATGACTGACTCCAGAGTTATCCCATGCTTGTGTTTCTGGGAAACTGCAACTCCACTAGGCAATATGCACTTCTTTGGTTTTGCTCTTCCTCTTTCTCTCTTTCCCTTATCCCTGCTTTCTTGAGATTGCGTGACCCAATGAAACATTCACATATTTGTATCAGGCACTGTTGGTAGGCTAAGATAACCTCCATCCCCAAAACCTATGACACATGGGGTATCTCCTGAAGGATGCCATTCAAGTTAATCCCCAAACATTATGGCTTAAAGCCACAACTGTTTTTATTATAGATCATGATTTTGAGGGTCAGGAATTCAAGCAGGACCCAGCTGGGCAGTTCTTCTGCTCACACAGTATCATCTGAGGTCACTCAGTAGTATTCAGAGGGCTTCGGGGCTGCTCTGAAGGGTCTAGTGCAGTTTTAGTGATGTGCCAGGCACCTTGGTGGGTGTATTAGTCCATTTTCATGCTCTTAATAAAGACATACCTGAGACTGGGTCATTTTTACAGGAAAGAGGTTTAATGGACTCAGAGTTCCACATGGCTGGGGAGCCTCGCAATCATGGTGGAAGGCAAGGAGGAGCAAGTCACGTCTTACATGGATGGCAGCGGGCAAAAAGAGAGCTTGTGCAGGGAAACTCCGTGTTATAAAACCATCAGATCTCATGAGACTTACTATCATGAGAATAGCATGAGAAAGACCCACCCCCATGATTCAATTACCTCCCACCGGGTCCCTCTCACAACATGTGAGAATTCAAGATGAGATTTGGATGGGGACACAGCCAAACCATATCAGTGGGACAGGATGGAAGCTGGGCTCAGAGCAACTTCTCTCCCTTTCCATGTCATCTCAGAGTCTCTCCAGGTTTCCCTCCAGCAAAAGCCCTCAGATTTCTCACACAGTGGCTCAGGGGTTTAAAACCAAGAGTTCCAAGAGGTGTAAGGCGGAAACTGCATGATCCCTTAAATGCCAGGACCAGAACCATCATGGTGTCACTTCTATGGCAATCTATTCGTCAAAGCAGTCACAGGCCAGCCCAGGCTCAGGAAAAGGGAAATAGACCCCATTTCTGAATGCATGGGGTATCAAACAGTTTGCACTCATCTTTGACCTGCCACAGATACACAAGAAACTGGGAGGAGGGGTGGGTGGAAGACTGAAGCATTAGAGTAAGAGGTCATCCTCCGGTCATCATTTGCCATGTGCACGTCTGACTTTTTTCAAATAAAAACTGGGGAAGGACAAAAAGTGGGGAGGAACCATGTCAATAAGCTGAATCCTCACCTTCTATGGCACAGAGTCAATAGAAAATGTCTTAAATTAATAAATCAAGAAACAGCCGCATAAGCATCTTATTTGGAGTTACAGAGATAAATAACCGAAGACCTAAAAATGGAAACAACATTTCAAGCACTTGCCTCCGGGAAATAAGACTTAAGGAGGGGAGAGAGGAGAGAAGGGGCCAGGAACCGCTGCTTTCATTAGCAGCTCCTCTGTACTTTAACTTTGTACGATGTGCTCATATTACTATGATTTTTTTTTTAAATTCAAAAGGGAAAAAAATAAGAACAAAATGATGATGGTTATTTTTAAAACTATGTAATTAAACCTGGAAAAATCTCATTTTGCTAAACGGAAAAAAAGTAGCAGGATACTAAACTATATTAATAGTATGGTCATAAGTATGTTTAATAAAGAAAGAGAAAAACATATATGGGAGGAGAAAAATCTGAAGAAATTTACTACCAAATGATAGTGGGTGGGTTTCTCTACTTTTCTAGTTTCCCACATTTTCAGCAACGTGATTCTCATACTTTCCTAATGAAAAGAAATACATTCATTACATAAAATAAATTAACTGGGCCGGGCGTGGTGGCTCATGCCTGTAATCCCAGCACTTCGAGAGGCCAAGGTGGGCAGATCACCTGAGGTCAGGAGTTCAAAACTAGCCTGGGCAACATGGTGAAACCCCGTCTCTACCAAAAATACAAAAATTAGCCAGGTGTGGTGGTGTGTGGGTGTGTGCCTGTAGTTCCAGCTATTTGGGAGGCTGAGGCAGGAGAATCGTTTGAACCGGGGAGGTGGGGGCTGCAGTGAGCCGAGATTGCGCCACTGTACTCCAGCCTAGGTGACAGAGTGACATTCCATCTCAAAAAAAAAAATAAAAATGGCTGGGCGCCGTGGCTCACGCCTGTAATTCCAGCACTTTGGGAGGTCGAGGCAGGCAGATCACGAGGTCAGGAGTTCAAGACCAGCCTGGCCAAGATGGTGAAACCCCGTCTCTACTAAAAATACAAAAATTAGCTGGGCATGGTGGCACTTGCCTATAATCCCAGCTACTCGGGAGGCTGAGGCAGAGAATTGCTTGAACCTGGGAGGCAGAGGTTGCAGTGAGCCGAGATTGCGCCACTGCACTCCAGCCTGAGTGACAGAGCAAGACTCCGTCTCAAAAAAAAAATAAAAAAATTAAAAAATAAAAATAAAATAATAAAATAAATGAGCCGAGCATCAATTAAATAAAATGCCAGAAGGGTCTCTGAAGAACTTTCCACAATAGAAGTGTATTTTAAGTCCCTGAGCCTTCATCTCATGCCTATGGACAGGGGACTCTTTGCACTGGTTCTGGAATGCTCCAGTCCACCATGCCGACGGATTTAGTTAGGAAACCTTCCCAGAAAGAACTTAGTCCATGTCATTTCAAAATGAATTAATTCAACTCAACAGGAACTTTTGTAAGCCTCCAATGTATGCGGTTCTGAACTTTTGTAAGCCTCCAATGTTTCCAGTTCTGAATCTGGAATGCTCATTCAGCCACAAAATAAACATTTATTGAGTACCTACTATGTGCCAGACAAATGCTACTTGCAGGGGTGACAACGATAGAGACAGGCAAAATATTCAATTCTTTGGAGCCATAGACTAATGGGAGAGGCAGACAAGTGACTAGGCAAGTGTAATACATCCTAACAGACACTTTGGGGAACAGACAAGGGGCTGTGGAAGGAGGCAACCTGGAGGGCTTCCTGGAAAAGGCCAAACATGGGCCAAGCGCCGTGGCTCATACCTGTAATCCCAGCACTTTGGGAGGTTGAGGCAGGCAGATCACTTGATCCTGAGAGTTCGAGGCCAGCCTGGGTAATATGACGAAACCTCATCTCTACAAAAAGTACACAAGTTAGCTGGGCATGGTAGCATGCAACTGTAGTCCCAGCTACTCGGGAGGCTGAGGTGGGAGGATCACTTGAGCCTGGGAGGTTGAGGCTGCAGTGAGTCACGATTGCACCACTGCACTCCAGCCTGGGTGACAGGGTGAGACCTTGTCTCAAAAAAAAAAAAAAAAAAGGCCAAATATGAGCTCAGAGCTCAGTCTCAAGGGATGAACCAGGGCAGATCAGGTTAAAGGGGAAAAGCTGTTGCCAGCACAGAGAATAGAATATACAAAGACCCAGAAACAACAGAGAAGATGGATACATTCAAGGAACTGAGAGTGATCTCAAAAAAAAGATTTGTCATGATCAGAAGAGACAGTCCCAAACCAGCACTCACTTGGGGGCTCTGGGACTGGACTCCCTAAATTGGAATCTCAGCCCCATCATGTGAGCTCAAAGTGCTTCACCTCACTGTGCCTCAGTTTCCATGTCTGTAAAACAGGGTAGAAGTAGAACTTATCTCAGAAGAGTTATAAGAATTAAACTAGAGAAGAAGTGAGCATTGTTTATATGTGCTTGTTGCTATGGATCCAAAACTGCCAGTAATAACAATAATAATAATAATAATAATAGCTTATGCTTTCGTTGAGCCCTTGCTTTGCACCTGGCCAGTGACAGGCACATTATCAGTAACACAAATGCAAGTATCTCATCTAACCCTTGCATCAACGCTCAGAGATGGGTTTTATCAACATCCCCATTTTACAGATGAGGAAAACTGAGGCAGAGCAGTTGCACAACGTCGCAGCTGTTCCTGGTGCTTCACCCAGATCCTCATTGCCAGTAAACCACTCATCATTCAGCCTTTGCTGATCTGTGCCTAATGGCTTATACCAATACTTTCTCCGGAGAATTCCTTAGCTAGCAAAAGCCATTTCACCCAGGGAGTTATGCTCTCACATGCTGAACTGGCCAATGACTAAGCGATATGAGGCGAGAGGAGTCACACAAAAGTCCAGTCCTCCTGCTTCAAGGCAGAATACACTCCAGAGACCCACGTGAGATCAAGGCTAGCCTCAGCCTGAGAGCCCATTCTTGCTTGGCTCTGTCCCCTCCCCCATCATCCTCCTTCCCTCACTTTCCTTCTCCTGAGAACCCCCACCTTGAATAAACCGCACCTACCCAAATCTCATTCTCGGGCTTCCAAGGAACCCAACCCGTCACACAACTTGCAGGGATTCGGACCAGGTTTTCTCCTTCCAAAGGGCCCCACGTGAAACCACCAAGCTGCACCAGGCTCATCTCAAAATCAGAGTCATGGGATCAAAGAACAGTTGCTGATGCCAACCCCTGCCGGCATGAGCCCACCGCTGGGGAAACAAGGCGAACCAGACATCTCAGACTAGAGGAGTGAATCCAAGGAGAGAAGATGACAGGAGGTGTATTTGTTCTCACGCTGCTAATAAAGACCTACCCGAGACTGAGTAATTTACAAAGGAAAGAGGTTGAATGGACTCACAGTTCCACAAGGCTGAGGAGGTCTCACAATCATGGTGGAAGGCCAAAGAACAGCGAAGTCACATGCTACACAGCGGCAGGCAAGAGAGCTTGCGCAGCGGAACTCCCATTTATAAAACCATCAGATCTCGTGAGACTTACTCACTACCATGAGAACCGTATGCGGAAACTGCCCCCATGTTTTAATTATCTCCACCTGGCCCCGCCCTTGACACGTGGGGATTATTACAATTCAAGGTGAGTTTGGATGGGGATACAGCCAGACCATATCAGGAGAGGGCACAGCATTAGGACGCAGCCGGTGGTACTGTAATTCGGGTCGGGGGAGGTTGCTGAAATACACTCAAAAGGGTAGTTTAAAAAGAGCATCATCGGCCGGGCGCGGTGGCTCACGCCTGTAATCCCAGCACTTTGGGAGGCCGAGGCGGGCGGCTCACGAGGTCAGGAGTTGGAGACCAACCTGGCCAGCATGGTGAAACCTCGTCTATACAAAAAATATAAAAAATTAGCTGGGCATGGTGGCACGTGCCTGTAATCCCAAGCTGCTCCGGAGGCTGAGGCAGGAGAATTGCTTGAACCTGGCAGGCGGAGGTTGCAGTGAGCCAAGATCATTGCACTGTTGCACACCAGCCTGGGCAACATAGCAAGACTCCGTCTCAAACAAACAAAAAAAGGGGGAGGGGAGGGGCTTTAGACAGATCCAAGCTCAACCCTGCAAGTTGCCGAGACTCCGTTTCTTTATCTGTAACATGGAGATCACGATGTTCACCTCGCAGAGTAGATTAAGCAGCTGGCATGTGTGAAGTGCCCAGCACTGTGTCTAGCATATGCTAGGTACTTGGCATGTGTTTCTTTCTTTCCCTCCCTTGTTCAAGGCCACATAGTCCATGACTGGCAGAGCTAGAAGCCTTCTCATTTATCCAAAATCAAAGAACTTCTACAAAATAGAAACAGCCCCCTGCCCCCTCCTGCCCCCGCCCGCCTGCTACCTTAATAGGTTGTTTCCCAGTTATTCAATGCAAGAGACTTAGCCCAGCTAAAGTTATTCAAAATCGACCTTGAGATCAGGAACAAATTGGCTACAGCAGTCAGCGATTGGCAAATGCAATCTAAATGCCCCAGGCGGCATTAGAGCCTTCCACGTTGACAGGAAGAGTCAATGTGCATCTTGGAAAAATCTGAGAAAAAAAAATTAAAGGTCACCGCGTTTGTAGGCAGAATGGGTTTTCTTGAGACCATTACAAACAGACTGACTAAATTGCAAAGATTCCAGGCTTGACAGCTCCCGGAGGACTCCAGATGGAAAGAACACCACCCCCATCTCTTATACATCCAGGCTGCTGTCTGTGGACGTCCGAAGGTTCTCCCACCACCCATGCTATTGTTGAAATTCCACAATCAACCTGCAATGCCCCAGTGAACCATTTTGCTGGGATGGGAGGACCAACTTAGGGCCAGCCCTGTGTTCCAAGGGGCTGACCAGGCAGGACAGCCAAGGAGGCACAAGTCTGTAAGATGGGTCCAAACATTTCTGTAGGAAGGGGGTCTTGAGCCAAAGCAGGAAAAATCAAACCCCAACACAAAGTGTAGAGAGAGTCGGATCATAAATCACACACAGACAGGGTCCGAGAAACATGGGCTGGGGACCAGCAGACGACAGGCTAGGATAATTGATCATTAGAACATCTGTGCTGTTTTTGTTGTAAGAATAGTATCAATATTAATAACAACAGCAAATATATATTGAGTGGCTTCTGGAGCCAGGCACTGTGGTAAACTTTTGCACGTATCCTCTCACTTAATCCTCACAGTGCTCTACAAAGTGGGTACTGGTTTCATGCCCATTTCACAGAGAACATATCTGAGGCTCAGAGAGGCATCTACAAGGTCAACCAGGTAATCAGGAAAGCCAGATTTCAAGGGCTTGTCCACATCACTCTATGACATGTGGGGAACTCAAGTGTGTGTTGGCTTAACTCAAATAAATAGTACAAGTTAGGCTGGGCACGGTGGCTCATGCCTGTAATCCCAGCACTTTGGGAGGCCAAGGCAGGTGGATCACCTGAGGCCAGGAGTCTGAGACCAGTCTGGCCAAAGTGGCAAAACCCTGTCTCTACTAAAAATACAAAAAATTAGCCAGGTATGGTGGTGGGCATCTGTAATGCCAGCTACTCAGGAGGCTGAGACAGGAGAATTGCTTGAACCCCGGGAGACAGAAATTGCAGTAAGCCAAGATCGTGCCACTGCACTCCAGCCTGGGCAACAAGAGCGAAACTCCGTCTCAAAAAAAAAAAAACAAAAACCAACCAACCAACAAACAAAAAAACAAATAAATAGTAAAAGTTACTTCTCAACACGAGCCAGTCATTTTTTAAAGTATCTTACATTTTTCTTTTCCTTTACTTATTACTTTTTGAATTGACAAACAAAAATTGTCTATAATTATTGTGTACAACCTGATGTTTTGAAATATGTATACATTGCGGACTGGTGAAATCAAGCTAATTAACAAGTGGTGGGGATGCTTCAAATTTACTCTCTTAGCAATTTGCAAGAATACAAACACTTTTATTAATTATAGTCACTATTTTCCAAACAAGGAAACGAATGCCCAGTAAAAGTACAAAGTAACAGAACTCCTCACTGAAGCTGGGGTCATGGGTGAAAAAGATAAATATAGGCTGGGCGCCGAGGCTTATGCCTGTAATCCCAGCACTTTGGGAGGCAGAGGCAGGTGGATCACCTGAGGTCAGGAGTTCAAGACCAGCCTGGCCAACATGGTGAAACCTCATCTCTAGTAAAAAAAAAAAATACAAAAAAAAAAAAAAAAAAAAAAAGCTGGGTATGGTGGCAGGTGCCTGTAATCCCAGCTACTCGGGAGGCTGAGGCAGGAGAATTGCTTGAACCCAGGAGGTAGAGGTTGCAGTGAGCCGTGAACGTGCCATTGCACTCCAGCCTGGGTGACAAGTGCGAAACTCCATCTCAAAAAAAAAGATAAAATACAAATACATCCATATATAATTAAAATATGATAGTGGTATGTTTTCCTGTTTAACAAATATTTACTTCCCTCTCATTCCCTTCACCATGGGAAGAACAGAATCCTCTGCCCTGTTAGTGATGGGTTTGTTTTGGCCAATGGAACATGAGCAGAGCTGACGGTGCACCAGTTCCCAGCTTAGGCCTTAAAAGGCATTGAGTATTTCTGCTCACTCCTCTCTGGAAGCTGCCAACCTTCACCAGGTACCACTGCTTCTCCAATCTGGACCTCAGAAATAAATGTAAGAATCAGACTTGAACTCAACCCACAGCCTAAAGCAGAATCTCTCCAGCTAAACCACAGACCTATGAGCAAAAAATAAGTGTTTATTTTTATAACCATGAGGGTGGTGTTACTTGTTACACAGCTACAGGTAACTGATACATTTACACGTGAATATGTGCACATACTATACATGTGCATATTATATAGGATACATATGTGTGGCCGTGTTACATGGAAATAGATACGTATAAATCCTTAAAATGTATCTCCATATGTGGGATATTTATACATATCTATTTGGGAGATAGTAAATGGGGTAGAATTTGGAGACTGCTAAATTTGCATTCTTGCGTTGACACAAGCTGTGCATTTTGGGGGAAATTACTTGACATCTCTGAGCACATTTTCTCCTTTGTAACATGGAGATAAAGATGAAGCTTATCTCATAGGATTACTGTGAGAGTTGAGTAAAATAATACACGTAATGGGCTTAGCAGGGAGCCTAACACACACTCGCTCACACCCATTCATTCAATAAATGTTATTGAGTAACCACATTTGCCAGGCCCTCTTATTGGTGTTTAGAACACAGTTACTAGCTGTGGAGAAAAAAGCAAAAATAAAAAGGATAAGGAGAGCCAGCAGCCCCGGAGGAGGAGGGAGGGAGGCATAGGATGTGCCTGTGCCTGGCACGTAGTAAGTGCTCAATTATTGGTAGCCATTTTTATTCTCAAAGTGATTAACGTGAGAACAAGGGGGTCAACTGGAGATTTAAAAAATAATAATCAGTCTCTCTGCTCCGCAGCAGACCCCTGAGACCCTTGGCAAACCCCAGCAATAGATCAAGGACCTTCAGTAGGTGAATACAGTCGCAGGAACTGCTAGAGCTGACACATAGTCCCTGCAACTCCAGCCAGACGCCAGCACCAGCTGCCACTGGGAGATGTGAGCTTGGCTTCTCCATGAAAGAGAAAGATTCCTGGGGCCTCAGCCGTGCCTCAAACCCACTGATAACATCAAACACACATTGCTGGGGGGAGCCGGCCAGGTGCTCAGAAGCTGCAGGGTGACCCTGCGTGTAGGTGTCGGGAAGTCAGCAGCGACTCGGGGGTGGAGAAACACCCACACCTTTGCAAACACTCTTAATGTAATGCACTGCCCTTGAGGCCACCTCCCGTTTTTTTGGCCCTAATTGGCATGTTTTTCTATCTCCTCAGAAACAGCCACGGGAGACAACATTCCATAGCAGTTAAAAGTGTGGTCTCTGGGTTTGCAACCAGACTATTCCCCACCAGCTGCAACCTTGGGCGAGACACTTAACCCCAGGAGCTTCCCCTCCCGTGGTTGTGATGATTAAATGAGATAACCAGATAACCCCTTAGATGGCAAACACTCAGCACAGTGCCTGATGCTCATCATTGTGGCTTTTATTACGGACTCATTTTATAAACGAGGACATCAAGGCCCAGACAGCTTAAGCCATTTGCTCAAGGTCAGAAGGTCACTCTAACCTTGCCATCAAACCTTGGGATTTTCTTTTTCCTCCATCACACCATCCCCAACTGATCTACTCCTCAAGTGAATTTCAGAAATCCTCCAAAGATGAATTTTGATCTACCTAGAGCTGTGCTGACTTAACTGGAGCATAGCACATATTTTCAAAACAGGAGGAAACTTGACCACAGCTTTGAGCCATGTGGATGATAAAGTCATCGTAGGTGAACTTGAGACTGGGATTCGGCCCTTGTGTCGATTGTGATTAGCACAGAGTGAAGCAGCGTCATTCTCTCGGGGGTAATACCTGAGATTCGTTGCCTCATACCAAAAACATTAAGGACACAGACACACACAAAGAGTGAGTTTAAAAGCAGAGGTTTAATAGGCAAAAGAATGAGAAAGGAGAACACTGTCTCTCTTCCGAGAGGGGGGCACCCAGTGGGACTTCTGGCCCAAGTCAGAGTGCACCAGATTTTACACGGTTGGGGAGGCGGTGCCTGATTTACTAGGGCCCAAAGATTGGTTGCACCAGGTGTGACATTTACATAGCGCATGGGGAAGTTGGCCGCCCCACCCTAGTGTTATTATGCAAATGGGGTCTTTGCCTGGCTGGCTCCTTGTTGCCTGCTCCTTACTGTACACATGGCTGGCAAAGAGAAGGGAAGATGGAGCTGCCGTGTTGGACGTGCCTAGCCCCAGCTAGCCTTTTCTTATGGGCGGAGCTGCCGGCATTCACCCGTGCAAGCTTCCAGCTTGCTTGCCTATGTCTGCAGCTTGATTTTACAGGATGCTCTCCGTTAGAAAAGAAAAATGATTTGGGGACTGCTTTTCATTAAAAGGAAAACCTTACTGAGGACTTCCTTACCCTCACTATCTGCCTAAATAATTTCTTCTTAACTCTTACATCAGTAATATGAACTCAACAGACTGAAAGTAACAATCAGATCACAAACACAGATGTCTACAGAGTCTGGAGGTTTCTAGGGTGACTATCCATCCTGGCTTGAGCACTGCAAGTCCCACACTCTGGGAATCTGCTCGGGCCTGGGCAAACCAAGACAGCTGGTCACCCTCGCCGTAACATAAGTGAGTGAAGGTATAAAAAGCTGTGCCTGTCTCAGCGTTTTCCACTTCTGAGAAGCAATCATGTATGGTGGTTAAAAGCAAGGACTCTAGAGCCAGACTCACTTGGTCTATACCCCACCTCCGTTGCCTACCAGCTGCAGGACCTCACACAGGATTACCCAACCTCACCATGCTTCCGTTTCCTCACATATAAAATAGAGATATTAGAGCCCCCTACCCTAGGTCAGCCTCAACACCACTGACATTTTGGACCTGATCGTCCTTTACTGGGGAGTCTGGGGACAGCCCTGTGCCTTGTAGGATGTTTAGCAGCATCCATGGCCTCTACGTACTGGATGACAGTAGCACAGTATGCCCTAGTTGTGACAATCAAAAATGTCTCCAGACATTGCCAAATGTCCCTTATGGGGATAGAAGTGTCCCCAGTTGAGAACCAGTGTTGTAGGCAGTGTTGTGAGGATAAGGGAGGTGGTACATGCAAAATGCTGAGAAAAAGCCATGACTTGGAGAGTCTGTTTCTACAGGAACAGCCAATAAAGCCTTAGAGATGGAGCAGGAAGGTGGCAAGCCAAGAGCTGAGCAAGCAGGACCTTGGAGGGACCAAGGGCAGGGCAGCCAAGCCACTGTGAAATGGAACAAGCTCTGCAAACGGAGGCCAGCCCGGCCACCCTCCCCCTCACCTCTCACACAAGATTGGACTTCTATTTCACCCCAGGTGCGGAAAGTGGAGTGAATTACTCCTCAGTTTCTGGCATGGCACCACGGTGCAGTGCAAAACCCCCTCAGCTGAGGTATTCCTCTTCTCTTGAATGTGTGCGCATTCTTGTGAAGTGCATTTGCTCATCAAATATTGAGTGTTCAGAATGTGGCACGAAGACAGCGGTGAACAAAATAGACAGAAATCCCTGCCCTCTTGTAGCTTTAAGCATACTGTCTTGTGTACAAATACATTTTTAACCAATAAAAATTGTGTCATACTATGGTCTAGATATGGTTTGTTTTGGCCCCTGCCAAGTCTCATGTTGAAATGTGATCCCCAGTGTTGGAGGTGGGGCCTGGTGGGAGGTGTTTTGGTCGTGGGGGCAGATCCCTCAGGAATGGCTGGGTGCCATTCTCTCAAGAGTGAGTGATTTCCCACTCTTAGTTTCTGCAAGAACTGATTGTGTGTGCGTGTGTGTGTGTGTTTCAAGATGTAATCTCGCTCTGTTGCCCAGACTGGAGTGCAGTGGCACGATTTCAGCTCACTGCAACCTCTGCCTCCCGGATTCAAGAGATTCTCCTGCCTCAGCCTCCCGAGTAGCTGGGATTACAGGCACCCGCCACTACATCCAGCTAATTTTTGTGTTTTTATTTTTTTCTATTTATTTATTTATTTATTTATTTATTTTGGGACACAGTCTCGCTCTGTCAGCCAGGCTGGAGTGCAATGGCAAGATCTCGGCTCATTGCAACCTCCACCTCCTGGGTTCAAGTAATTCTCCCACCTCAGCCTCCCAAGTAGCTGGAGTTACAGGCAAGAGCCACCATGCCTGGCTAATGTTTGTATTTTTAGTGCAGAGAGGGTTTCGACATGTTGGCCAGGCTGGTCTCGAACTCCTGACCTCAAGTGATCCACCCACTTCGGCCTCCCAAAGTGCTGGGATTACAGGCATCCAGTCGAGAACTGATAGTTAAAAATAACCTGGAACCCTCCTCTGTCTCCTATTCTTCCCTGTCTCCTTCTTCCTTCTCTCATCCTCCTTCCTCATACCCCTCTTCTCTCCCTCTCTCTCTCTCTCTATCTTACCATGTGATCTACACACACCAGTTCCTCTTCACTTCTGCCATGAGTGGAAGCTTCCTGAAGCCCTCATCAGAAGCAGATATTGATGCCATGATTCTTGCAGAATGATGAGCCAAATAAACTTTTTTTCTTTGTAAATTATCCAGCCTCAGGTGTTCCTTTATAGCAGCACAAACAAAGACACTTGCTATAAATTGATTCTATTGCTCACTTTTTTTCCCCTTGTGCTTTGTTTTTAAGATCCATCCAGGCCGGGCACAGTGGCTCACGCATGTAATCCCAGCACTTTGGGAGGCTGCGGTGGGCGGATCACCTGTGGTCAGGAGTTCGAGACCAGCCTGGCCAGTATGGTGAAACCCTGTCTCTACTAAAAATACAACATTAGCCAGGTATGGTGGCGGGCGCCTGTAATCCCAGCTACTCGGGAGGCTGAGGCAGAATTGCTGGAACCCAGGAGGCGGAGGTTGCAGTGAGCCGAGATTGCACCATTGCACCCCAGCCTGGGCAACAGAGTGAGACTCCATCTCAAAATAAATAAATAAATAAATAAAATAAAAGATCCATCCATACTGGCATGTGAAGATCAGACCTGTTTTTCTAACTACCGCAGTCATATCCCACAGTGAGTATCTGTCATGCTTTGCTTATCTATCCCCTTCTGATGCGCACAGCAGTGGCTTCCAATACCCCGCTACCACAAACCCACCTCCTTGAACATGCTTGGGTGAAACTTTCTCTGGGGTATAAATCCAGGAGGGGAATTGCTGCTGCTCAGTCTTTAATATGCACAGGACTCACCCAGGGATCTTGTTAAAAGGCAGATTTTGACTCAAGAAGTCTGGAAGGAGACTCGAGAATTTCCATTTCTAACAAGCTCCCAGGTGATGCTGATGCTGCTGGTCTGGGACCACAGAGAATATGCAGCCTTCATTTGCTTTAGTATCAGATCTCTCTAGAATGACCGCGCCAGTCCACAGTCCCAGGGCTTGCTTTTAAAGGGGGCCAAACCCCACTGGCCCCCCTAACACGGTGTAGACTTGCAGGGCTCTGCTGAGAGCCACCATTAACCACAAGCATCATGTCTGTATTGCTACCGTTCGTCAATACCCTTGACCATCTTGCCTTAAGGAACCCTCAATTTCCAAGCACATCTCCAAATCAGAGCCCCACCCCCTCCACAATGCAAAGTGGGACAATCTAGGAGAACATCCAGCCCAACCTCCTGGCTTTATAAAGGGAGAAACCAAGACTGAGAGACTTGCAAGAAATCACAAGAAATTCCCGTTTCTTTGCATCTTACTCCTCCAGAGCCCTCTTTGAGTGATCAGTAATTCGTCCACAATTTATAGGACTTAGTTCACTTTACCCATCTTTTTCCATCTCCCTGCCCCACCCCACTCCACCCTCCCCATCCCATATCCCCCAGCCCACCCTGCTTTTTAATCCTTGCTAGAATCATCCATTTTGCGACCAAGTATTGACTTCAAATGATATATGAGACAATTGACATTTCAAATATTCCAGGCAGGATACAGAATTCTGATCACGGCCCAGTCTGAAACATCTCCTCCACATCTCTTTCCTTATTCCTTCTGGGCAATAATTGTCCCCCCACCAGCCCACCCCCCTCCCAACCTCGACATTAATTTCCCCTGATTCATTTTTCATGCCTTTGAATTCTGCCTTTTCAAAGCAGAATATGTTTCTGTAGCTGTTTCTCATACCTCCCTTCCCCTCATGAATATTTCAAATGCAATAGTGATATGATCGTTCAACCTTAAGAGGCACACCAACTTTATCTTATTTATCTTACCGAGCTGCTTCCGATCCCGGGATTAAGTCCAAAACATCCTTTGAGAGTTTGTTTGGGTTGTTTTCCCCCAGGCTGTTGCTGCTGTGTATGTAAATTACAAAGAGAAGCAGCCTCCCCCTCCCCTCAGCCCCAGCCCCGGGCACCAGCCCCCGGCCCGAGACGCCCGCCCTCCCTCTGCCAATCCTTCCTGGGAGATGCAAGACGCGCTCCTCTCAAAGCCAATTGGCAGGCCTCCGGACGGGTCCCTGCCAGGGCATGTCTCCCTGACTTCCTCCAGTGGTCTCTTAGAAGCCCAAAACTCACCATGCGACCTTGGGTAGGGCGTTCCGCCACTCAGGCAAGTTTCCCCATCTACAAACAAGGGGATTAGACACGGCGACCCTAAAGTCCTTTCAGCTCTGAGACTCCATGTGACGTGATGTAATGTAACAGACACAGCCCTACCTGGTTCCAATCCAAGCTCTACTACTAAACGAGTGATGAGATGGCTCATCAACTGTACCTACCACTGACTAGCTGTGTGACCCTTAACTAACTGTACCTACCACTGACTAGCCGTGTGACCCTTAACTAACTATACCTACCACTGACTAGCCGTGTGACCCTTAACTAACTACACCTACCACTGACTAGCCGTGTGACCCTTAACTAACTGTACCTACCACTGACTAGCCGTGTGACCCTTCACTAACTGTATCAACCACTAAACTATCCATGTGTCTTTTAATTGTGTCTACCATTGACTAGTCTTGTGACCCTTAACTGTCTGCCACTGACTAGCTGTGTAACCCCTAACTAACTGTACCTACCACTGACTAGCTTTGTGACCCTTAACTAGCTGTACCTACCACTGACTAGCTTTGTGACCTTTAACTAAATATACCTGCCTCTGACTAGATGTGTGGCCCTTAACTAACTGTATCTACCACTAAACTATCCATGTGTCTTAAACTATCCGTGTGTCTTTTAACTGTCTACCATTGACTAGCTGTGTGACCCTTAACTGTGTCTACCACTAACTAGCTGTGTAACCCTTAACTAACTGTATCTACCACTAACTAGCTGTGTAACCCTTAAATCTATCACTAACTGTGTGACCCTTAACTGTGTCCACCACTGACTACCTATGTGACCCTTAACTAACAGTATCTACCACTGACTAGCTGCACAACCCTTAACTATGTCAACCACTGACTAGCTGTGTGACTCTTAACTGTTTCTACAACTGACTGACTGTGGGACCCTTAATTGTGTCCACCACCGAGTCGGTATGTAACTTGTTTCTACCACTAACTAGCTGTGTGACCATGATGCGAGTTACAGAAGTTCTCAGGGTCTCAGTTTCCTCCCCTGCAGCATGCATTGGTTAATAGCAGCTGCCTCTGGGGCTGTAGTAGGGTGACCAGCCATCCTCTTTGGTTTATCTAGGACCGAAGTGGTTCCAGGTATAGGGAACGCTCAGTGTCAAATCCAGTAAAGTGCTAAAGCAAACACAAGTTTGTCACCCAAGGTTGTAGTGAGAACTAAAGGTGAATGAGGTGACATGGATAAAATCTAGCACATCAATATAAGTTAGTATCATTGCTATTGCTATTGCTATTGCTTTTTGTTTGTTTGTTTAGAGATAGAGTTTCACTCCTGTCACCCAGGCTGGAGTACAATGGAGCACTCTCGGCTCACTGCAACCTCCGCCTCCTGGATTCAAGTGTTTCTCCATACTCAGTCTCCTGAGTAGCTGGCATTACAGGCACCCACCACCACGCCTGGCAATTTTTGTATTTTTAGTAGAGACGGGGTTTTGCCATGTTGGCCAGGCTGGCCTTGAACTCCTGACCTCAGGTGATCCACCCACCTCGGCCTCCCAAAGTGCTGAGATTACAGGCGTGAGCCACCATACCCGGCTGCTATTGTTAACGGTTCTGCTCATGGCTATAAAGGAATTTTTTTTCACTTCTAATTTTTTCTAGAATTTCAGATTTCTCTTTATCAAAGCAGTACAAGCAAATGATACAAATGACTTGAAATGGAAAACAAAGCTGTCTTACCCCAGCCCTTCTCCCATCAAATCCCTCTCCCCAAAGGCAGGCAGTTGAAGTCCTTTTTAGCGACTGATCTTTTAAGGCTGACTCTGCCTCAGTCACGCTCTGTTCCCACTACTTCAGGCCCTCACCACATTGGCCAGGCTGGTCTTGAACTCCTGACCTCGTGATCCTCCCACCTCAGACTCCCAAAGTGTTAGGATTACAGGTGTTGAGCCACCGCACCAGGTCCATCGGTTTTCATTACCACCACCTGACAGGTGAGCAGGCTGGTTCACACTCTGGTCACCTGGCATGGCTTGTCACATACTGGTGAAGCTGTCACCCGCAAAATCCAGACCTGGGACTGAGGAAAGAGCTAAGCGATCCTAAAGAGATACAGTCTCTCAGGTGGCCCTTGATGGGGGCAAAGAGAGGAAGGGACAGTTCCTCTTTTATTTGTCCATTCACACATGTTGGGAGCCAGGCATTAAATTTGCAAGCCAGAAAAGGCAGGAAAAACCAAGTTTATGGCTTTTCAAGTTGGTTCAGAAATTACTGTACGGGCCCTCCAAAAGGTTTAATGTCTCTGTGGTGTCATCCCAAAGAGAAGCACAGAGAAGCAAGAGGATCTGCAGCTGGAGAGCCCAGAGGCAATGAACACTCACCTTGACTCTCTTCTCATTTCTGAGGCTCTATCAGTTAAGGTTCTTAGTTTGCAAGCAACAGAACCAAATCTTTTTTTTTTTTTTTTTTTTTTTTTGAGACAAAGTCTCACTCTGTCGCCCAGGCTGGAGAGTAGTGCATGATCTCGGCTCACTGCAAGCTCTGCCTCTTGGGTTCAAGCGATTCTTCTCCCTCAGCCTCCTGAGTAGCTGGGAGTACAGGCACACGCCACCATGCCCAGCTAATTTTTGTATTTTTAGTAGAGACAGAGTTTCACCATATTGGCCAGGCTGGTCTCAAACTCCTGACCTCGTGATCTGCCCACCTTGGCCTCCCAAAGTGCTGGGATTACAGGCGTGAGCCACCATGCCCAGCCAACAGAACCAAATCTTTACATTAAAAAGCGGGGAGCTTATAGGATCAGAGAAAGAATAGAGTTCCCAGACTTGAGGGGGTTCCAGTTGGACCATCTTTGTATGGTGGTGGATCTCAACCCTCACTGCAGCCAACAGTCAACCAAAGAGACTTTTAGAAACCACTGATGCTGGGCCCTCACCCTCAGAAATTGAGATTTAAGCCGGGCACGGTGGCTTATGCCTGTAATTCCAACAGTGTGGGAGGCCAAGGCAGGCAGATCACTTGAGCCCGGGAGTTCAAGACCAGCCTGGGAAACATGGCGAAACCTCGTCTCTACTAAAAATACAAAAATTAGCTGGATGTGGTGGCGCATGCCTGTAGTCCCAGCTACTCAGGAGACTGATGCAAAAGGATAGCTTGAGCCCAGGAGGTGGAGATTGCAGTGAGCCGAGATTGTACCACTGCACTCCAGCCTAGATGACAGAGTGAGACCCTGGCAGGGCAAGGCAGGGCAAGGCAGAGCAAGGCAAGGCAAAAAGGAAAGAAACTGAGATTTAACTGGCTCAGGTCTGTCTTGTTTCACACCTCCCCTAGGTGATTCTAAGATGAGGTTGAAAAATGAGATTCACTACTCTCGGGATGCAACTGCACCGTGAGTCCAGAAACCAGCAGTACTGGCATCACCATCTCCAGTAGAGCTCGTCAGAAATGCAGACTCTCTCTCAGAACCACCCCAGACCTTTCGAGTCAGAATCTGCCCGCGAACAAGATCCTCCAGTTAGCGTTAAGCAGATTAAAGGTTGAGAAGCACTAGGCTGCAGGGTCGTGGAATGACTGGACTCTAATCACTCTACATCCTTGATGATCTCTCCTTAAGATGCAAATTCCCAGAAGGCAAGCATTTGATGGGCCATGCTTTTGTCACACCATGATAGAAGATCTGGGCATAAGAAATTCTGCAGAGTGGTCCCACCAGACCCACAGGCAGGAGAAGGGCCATCCCTGAACGGAGTGGGATGCGGGGCTGATAAATACTACATAGGTTAAGCACAGCGACCTTCACAGTTCAGAGATAGTGATGCCAACTACCACTTATTAAGCACCTACTGTATGCCAAGCACAGTGCCAAGGACTCAAATTACTCATGGAATTCCCCCTATAACCATGAAGCCAATATTATTATTACTGCTACAGCTACTACTACTATTATTTTATAAAGGAAGAAACTAAGGTTTAGAGCAGTAGATCCAAGTTTAGCACGGATCAGAATCACCTGGAAGATTTGTAAACTCACAGACTTCTGGAACCTACCCTCAGAGTTGCCGGTTCTGTAAGTCTAGGGTAAAGCCTGAGAATTTTTATTTCTAGCAAGTTCCCAGATGATGCTGATGCTGTTTGTCCATTCACACATGTTGGGAGCCAGGCATTAAATTTGCAAGCCAGAAAAGGCAGTAAAAACCAAGTTAATGGCCTTTCAAGTCAGTTCAGAAATCACTGTACGTGCCCCCAAAAAGGGAATGCCAAACATTAGGGAAGTCCCCATCTTCACAATGAGAACTTACCCACCTCAGAGAGATGGTTTCCCCAGGAAACAAGTGCAGATGGCATTTTGCAGAAAGTGCACATTGAAAGAAAGCAAACTGGCTTAGAAATATGGTTAATGGGAATTCTTTGGAATTCATAGCATCAGGAGAGAGTCGTTTCCTTCTACCACACACCTGGCTGGGAGGGTGACAATGTCTTTAGGAGGGAGAGACTGGGAAACATTAATACCAGAGCCCTGGCTATTATTTGCAATGTATAGCAATGTTTTTCCTCAAGGTAGATCTTTGGTGAGCCGTACACAGTAAAGCTAGCCATTCAGGTGGAATTACATCCAACTAGTCATCTCTGTCATACTAAAAACAGTAAACAATGCTTGAAGAAGTCAGATGCCTGGCATCAAATCTAAGATCCACCATTTACTGGCTGTGGTCATTAGGCAAGATGCTTAACGTCTTTGTACCTTATTATCCTATTTTGTAAATGGGGGAATTATAATAATACCTAATCTCTAGGTTACTGGATGGACTAAATGAAATAATGTGTGAAATTTTTAGTAACATAGCTAGAATATTACAAGCTCCCAATAAGTCTATTGTATTAGTCCATCCTCACACTGCTATAAACAACTGGCCAAGAATGGGTAATTGATAAAGAAAAGGGGTTTAATTGACTCACAACAGGTCTGCATGGCTGGGGAGGCCTCAGGAAACTTACAATCATGACAGAAGGAGAAGCAGACATCTTCACAAGGCGATAGGAGGGAGAAGTGAGAGCACGGGAAAAAACTGCCACGTTTAAAACCATCAGATCTCATGAGAACTCACTCACTATCATGAGACCAGCATGGGAGAAGCCGCCCCCATGAGCCAATCACATCCCTCCTTCGACACGTGGGGCTTACAGCTCCCTCCCTCGACGCAACACCTGGTGATTATAATTCAAGATGAGATTTGGGTGGAGACACACAGCCAAACCATATCACCTATTTTATTTATCATACCATTAGTGTTATTATTATTATTGGTGGATGTGCTGGTGGCGTTAATATTGTTGGCAAAACTGGAACTAGCTGGATCTTTATCAATAATTGCAATCATGATTCTGACATCTGACCCTTCCATGCCACTGGTAGGCATGTAAACAGGCACAATTTTTCTGGAAGGTCATTTGGCAATATGTATCAAGAGCCTTACAAATACTCACCCATTTTGACCCAGAAGGTCCACTCCTAGAAATTTATTTTAGGGGAGTACATCCAGTTGAGGACAAAGATGTATGCCCAAGGAAGCCATCACATTATTGCAAATGGTAAAAAATGAAGTGTCAACCAACAGAAAAATGTTTTTGAAATTACACTATGTTCGTACAATGAAATCTTCTTCCAATTATTAAAATAATGTTCATGCCTTTTAATTGGGGTGATTGTATAATTTTATATCTTTATAAAAATATATGTATGTAAGACTTCATATAGATGATGAACTCAATTATGTAAACATATGATAGAAAAAGAGAAGGGAATAATCCAAAAGCCATCTGCTCTGGGTCTTGGAATGGGAATTCTTATGGTTTTGTGCATTTTTGCAGCTATTTCTCAATAGTCCCCTTTATAATCAGAGCAGGCTGGGTAGAATCTGGTACAGGAGATTGTGGCAAACTAGATAATTAACCCAGAGAACATTATTTCTGTCTGGGTATGCCATTAAGTTACAAAGACCTTTTGTAAATGTGGGTAATAATGAAAAGAGGGCTATAGTGTTGGAAAGGAAGACAGGAGATAAGGAGGAATGAAAAGGAGTAGGTATTATTTCTACAGAGTCTTGAAAGATTAAGAAAAATGAGGCAGCCAGATGCAGTGGCTCACACCTGTAATCCTAACACTTCGGGAGATCAAGGTGGGAGGATTGCTGGAGCCCAGGAGTTTGAGACCAGCCTGAATGATTGAGTAAGACTCCCCTCTCTACAAACAAAATTTAAAAAACTAGCCAGGCATGGTGGTGTGCACCTATGCTCAGGAGGCTGAGGTGGGAGGATCACTTGAGCCCAGGAGGTTGAGGCTGCAGTAAGCCGTGATCACACCACTGCACTTCAGCCTGGGTGACAGAGCAAGTCCCTGCCTCAGAAAAAAAAAAAAGAAAGAAAGAAACAAAAGAAAAGAAAAGAAAAAATGAAGCAAAAGATACCAGCAGCATTGGCTGAGCCCTAGAGGTAATGGGAAGGGTTGATGGGGCAAGATCAGAGACTTCTGTGATGATTCCATTTGATGAGACAAAACTCAGCATTAGCAGAATTAAAGTTACCTAATCTCTAGATTAGGAAAGGGAACAGAGAAATACCTCATGGCAACACATGGCCTTTTTGAGTTGCAAGTTGACAGAAACTCAAGTCAAACTGGCTTCACTGAGAAATTCACTCTAGGTGAGATCTGTCATCAGGTTGGAGGGGATACAGGCTGTTAGGCAGTGTGATCGGCTTTCCTTCTCCTCTCTCAGCTCGGCTCTCCTGTGATTTCCTTCTCAGGCAGGCTCTCCCCCAGGGTGATGAGATGACCACCAGCAGCTCCCGGTTTCCACCCTACCAGGTTTGCAACCCCAGCAAAAAGAGAACCCCTCTTTCCCTATCCACCTAACAGAAGTCCTGCCACTGATGCTCTTTGAACCACCTTAAAGGCAGGTTTCTGAATCAATCACAACAGCCAGGAGAATGGCATTCTCCCATCTGCCAAACCCAGTCTCTCGAGTCACCCAAAACACATGGGCTGAGAATGGAGGAGAGGTCCCACCTCTCCCCCAAAAAAGTGAGATACTGGTCTAAGAAACAGAAAAACGAAGCTTACATAGGCTAAATGAACCCAGAAGCACTATGTGGAGTTTTTCCTTCCAGAACATGAACCAAGTACTCAAGTTACCCCCAGATGGTATCAGAAGGAAGGATTCAACAGTGCCCTTAAAAAAGGGCCATGGTTCTCAACCAGGGGTGATTCCTCCTCCTCCCCTCAGGGGACATTTGGCAATGACAATGGGGCAGGGGGTTGTGCTACTGGCATCTAGTGGGCAGAGCCTAGGGATGCTGCTACACACCTTACAGTGCACAGGACAACCCTCACCCAAAGGATTATCTAGCCCAAAATGTCCACAGTGCTGAGACTGTGAAACCCAGAATTAGGATGACCTTATAAGTTATTGCCCAAACCAGAATGCTTTCGAGACAGGCAAAACCAGGAAAGCAGTCGTAACAGGGACTGTTGCAGCAAATGAGGACATATGGTTACCCTACTCTCAACACACCGTCCAAACAGAAGGCAAAGCCATTCTCACTGAAGGCTGTGATTCAAGGGAAACGTTTCAATGCTCCCCACCCCAATCATCAATTACAGGACCACAAAGATGCTCTTCCCAGCCGAGGCTTGTCTTTGACCCCTTCTGCTCTCTCCCACTTCCGGCATGGCTGACAGTCCCTCCCATCTACTTCTAAGAGGTCACTAAAAATCGACCAGGGCTTGCCAGCCTAGTGGGGTTGCCCAAATGTCTGCCCACAGATGCTGCTTCGAAAAGCTGTCTCTGGCATGGCCCCTACTGCAGCGGCGCGTGACAGACTGCCTTGCTTGGTGGAAGGAATCCCACCCCGATTAAATTGCTGGAGCCCTGCTGGGAAGGAGGTGGAGGCAGGAGGAGAAGGAGAGTAGGGAGCCAGGCAAGCCACTCCTGCCTCTCCTTTTTCATCTTGGAAGAGCCAATTTCAAGCTTGCCTCGGGTCATAAAAGAAATTAATTTGATTCTCTCAGCCTTGCTCAGAGTGGACACACGTCTTCGGCTGGAGCATCTGCTGCTGCTGGATCCAGAGCAAGGAGACCATCCCCTCGAAACGATTCCATTTCTGTTGCAAGGCAGGGCCAGAATCATCTGCCTGGAGCTGGAGAAGCAGCTGCCTGGAATACCCTGGGCTGTCATTTTTGCTGGTAAGTTCCAAAAACGGTTCTCACAGCTAAGGTGACTCCCAAGTCTCAGGAGGTTTACCCAGAGAGATACGCACGGGTGGGGCTGGTTCTTGGAAAACTCCCAACCAGAATTTAGCACTGGCAGCTGCCTAACCCACTTCATATTGATCAGCTTGATCACACTGAGTCCTCTTAACTGTCAGGCACGGCCCCTGGGCTGTATTCCTGATTGCACACAGCTAAGGTGACTCCCTTGTACAAGCCTCCCCGCCTGAGAGAGGATGGAATTTGTGACCTGCTTCTAATCAACAGAATATGGCAAAGGTGCTGAATGTCACTCTCTTGATCATGTTTCCAAATAAGATTTCCCCTTAGGAGACTTAGGGACTCCCTTGCTGGCTAGGAGGAAGTAAGCTACCATGTTGTGACAGGGCCATGTCAAAGAATGCAGGTGGCCTCTAGAAGCTGATAGAGGTCCCCAGCTGACAGCCAGCAAGAAAACAAGGCCTCAGCCAGGTGCAGTGGCTCACACCTATCATCCCAGCAATTTGGGAGGCTGAGGCAGGAGGATCGATTGAGCACAGGAGTTAGAGACCAGCCTGGGCAACATACAGAAACCTCATCTCTACCAACAATTTAAAAATTAGCCGGGCGTGAAGGCACCTGCCTGTGGTCCCAGCTACTTGGCAGGCTGAGATGGGATGATCCCTTGAATCTAGGAGTTAAAGGCTGCAGTGAGCTACGACTTACCACTGCACTCCAGCCCGGGTAACAGAACAAGAGGCTGTCTCAAAATAATAATAATAATAATAATAATAATAATAATAATAATAATAATAATTTCATTTAAAAGAAAAAGAAAACAAGAACCCAGCTTTACAACTACAAGGTAAGTCACCAGCAACTGCCATGAGGACCCATTGTCTAAATCTTTTAATGTAAAATAAAACTACATTAGAAACCACACAAACCAAATGTGTAGCTTCTTCAGCCTTTCCTTATTTTTCTAAGGTTGTACAAAACTATTGTATTTACAAAAATGGCACAAAAGTGAATTCAGCAGTCAATTCACATGCATACTTCCTTCACATCTTCAACAACAAAAGGTATTCTAACTCTAACTCTACAGAGCTTGGCAGTTTTCAGGAGTACTGGGGACGGATTTTGCAGGATATATCTCTGTATTAGTCCATTTTCATGCTGCTGATAAAGACATACCTGAGACTGGGCAATTTACAAAAGAAAGAGGTTTATTGGACTTACAGTTCCATGTGGCTGTGGAGGCCTCACAAATATGGTGGAAGGCAAGGAGGAGCAAGTCACATCTGATGTGGATGGCAGCAGGCAAAAAGAGCTTGTGCAGAGAAATTCCCATTTTTAAAAACCATCAGATCTCATAAGACTAATTCACTATCAGGAGAACAGCACAGGAAAAACCTGTCCCCATGATTCAATCATCTCCCACCAGGTCCCTCCCACAACACGTGGGAATTATGGGAGCCACAAGATGAGATTTGGAACACAGAGCCAAACCGTATTAGCCTCCATTTGAGTTTGTCTGATTTTTTTCTTTTTTCATGATTAGACTCAGGTCATGAGTTTTTGCAAAGAATACCACAGAGGTGAAGTGCCCTTCTTTTCCAAGCTTGTCACTCATCCATGGTGTGGTTCAAACTTTCCCTTGTCTGTGATGTTCCTGCAACTAGTTCTAGATTTTTAGACTGCAATAATCTCATTATAAGGTACAGAGCTCATTCAAGAAGGATAAGGGGCATATTGATTTCCTAAGGATGATTAACAAAACAGCACAAACGAGGTGGCTTGAAACAAGAGAAATTTATTCTCTCACAATTCTTGAGGGAAGAAGTCCAAAATCAAGGGGTTCACAGAGCTGTACCCCGAGCTTCTGGGGAAGATCCCATCCTTTCCTTTCCTGGCTTCTGGTAACCATAGGCATTCCTGGGCTTGTAGCAGCTTCACTTCAATCTCTACCTTGTGCTCGCTTCGGCAGCACGTACATTAAAATGGAACTTCAATCGCTATCCCCATTGTCACAAGGGGGTCTTCCCTGTGGGTCTGTGTCCAAATTTCCTACTTCTTCTAAGGACAATCTCGTATTAGATTAAGGGCCCACCCTACTCCAGTATCACATCTTCGTAATTACATCTGCAATGACCCTGTTTCCAACAGAGGTCACATTCTGGGGTACTGAGATGTTAGGGCTTTCAACATATCTCTTTGGAGAACACAGTTCAACCTATTAAATAAAGCATCCCACAAAACCAAAGTCAGAAAGCACAGCAGGGTTTTGGGATAGAAAGATAGCAGGAGTCAACACAGCCTGTCTCTGTCTTTCTGGGAGCTCCCGGTCTGTCCTTCCTAAGTCTGTATTGTGTTCTCAATCTCTTCTTTCTTTCTCTCTCTCTCTCTCTCTCACTCTCTCTCCCCCATCTTCTCGCTCCCCATCTCCCTCTCTCCCTCTCTGTCTCTCCGCCCCCCCATGTATTAGTCTGTTTTCACAATGCTAATAAAGACATACCCAAGACTGAGTAATTTATAAAGAAAAAGAGCGGTCACGGACTCCCAGTTCCACATGGCTTTGGAGATCTCACAATTATGGCAGAAGACGAATGAGGAGCAAAGTCACGTCTTACATGGTGGCAGGCAAGAGAGTGTGTGCAGGGGAACTCCCCTTTTTAAAGCCATCAGATCTCATGAGACCTATTCACTATCACGAGAACAGCATGGGAAAAACCCGCCCCATGATTCAATTACCTCCCACCATGTCCCTCCGATGACATGTGGAAATTATGGGAGCTACAGTTTGAGATTTAGGTGGGGACACAGCCAAACCATATCACCCTGCATATCAGTTTTTTCTATTGCAATTGTCCACAGGCCAAACATGACTATATTGTCACCAACTTTCTATCCCCCTCTAGTTTCAAGCACCTTCCAGAGATAAGCTCAGAGATTTTCAACTCCAAATTTCTGGGAGAGAGTCCACATGGCCTGGCTGTAATCCCATATCCAACCCCTTGGTACACAGCCATGGCCAGAGCCAAAAGAATCCTATGGGGTTCTGGATCTCCTAGGGCTCTGGGAAGGGCAAGTTTCCGAAGGAGGAATGGGGGTGGACAAAAATTATTGGCTGAGAAAATAGCTGGTGAACGAGACATTATTTCTGGTAGGGAATGAATGCAAGAGGCCACTATGTTCTGGAGCACAGAGAAAACTCCCACTGGATTCTCAGGACCGTCTGAGAGGAGAGGAATTTGAAAGCAGCTGAATTATCACAGGAGAAACAGAATGGAGTCAGAAAAATTCTGCTTTGTGGCACTTAGATCAATTCTACGTCTCATATCTTTGGGAGCATGGGTGGTTTCCCCCACCCTCCATTTTCCTCTTCTCTCTGAACAAAAGTTTTAGTTTGTGAAGTCAAATCTCATCTTTTTTTTTTTTTTTTTTTTTTTTTTTGAGACAGTCTCACTCTGTCACCCAGGCTGGAGTACAAGTGGTATGATCTCGGCTCACTGCAACTTCCGTCTCCAAGGTTCAAGTGATTCTCCTGCCTCAACCTCCAGAGTACTGGGATTACAGGTGTGCACCACCACATCTTGCTAATTTTTATATTTTTAGTAAAGACAGGGTTTCACCATGTTGGCCAGGCTGGTCTTGAACTCCTGGCCTCAGGTGATCCACCCACCTTGGCCTCCCAAAGTGCTGGGATTACAGGAATGAGCCACCACACCCTGCCCAAACCTTGTCATTTCTGAAATAGAGTGTCAGGGTAGTGTCTTAGTTAGCTTGAGCTGCTATAACAAATTATAATAGACTGTGAAGCTTAAACAACAGCAATTTATTTCTCACAGTTCTGGGGGCTGGGAAGTCTGAGATCAGGGTGCTGGCATGGTCAGGGTCTGGTGAGGACTCTCTCCTGGCTTGCAGATGGCTGCCTTCTCACTGTGTCCTCATGTGGTGGAGAGACGGGTATCATCTCTCTCATATCTCTTCTTACAAGGGCACTAATCCTATTCATGAGGGCTCCACCCTCATGATCTCATTACTTTCCAAAGGCCTCACCTCCTGATACCATCACATTGGGGGTTAGACTTCAGCCTATGAATCTGAGGGCAACACAACCAATGTCTGTTAGTTCACGGCAGACAGTGAAATAGTGGAAAGGAGGGTGTGATTGATTCTGGGAAGGGCTGGTGTTGAACTCTGACTGCAGGATAAAGCCCTCATTGGTTCTCTGGGCCCCGGTAACTGCCCATCTCCCCAAGAGGGTTCCCACATCCATTTCCTCCCACTCTGGGAGTGAGCCCAGCCCAGCATTTCATCAACAACTGATCTCAGGAGCCAAAAGACACAGGGAGAATATGGTGATCAGGGAGCTGAGGAAGAGGGTGAAAAAAGGCAAGGGGTGCCAAGCAACTCAACCAGCACTTCCCCTCCATCTTCTGCTGGATTTGCTCCTTTGTCTCCCCAGCAGGTAGGAGGGATTGTCCAAGACAAAGCATTGGTTACCATCTTTCTGTGCCAAGGCTCTGGGAGACAAGACTGGATTGCGGTCCTCCTTCCTTATTGTACTTATTGTCTAACCTTAAGGTACTTCCTTATGGTACCATTTTCACACGCTGATAAAGACATACCCCCACACCCCAGACTGAGTAATTTATAAGGAAAAATAGGTTTAATGGATTCACAGTTCCACATGGCTGGGGAAGCCTTACAGTCATAGCGGAAGACAAAAGGCACATCTTACATGGCAGCAGGCAAGAGAGAATGAGAGCCAAGCAGAAGGGGAAACCCCTTATAAAACCATCAGCTCTTATCAGACTTATTTACTACCATGAGAACAGTATGGGGGAACTGCCCCCATGATTCAATTATCTCCCACTGGGTCCCTCCCATGACACATGGGAATTATGGGAGCTAGAATTCAAGATGAGATTTGGGTGGGGACACAGCAAAACCATATCACTTATTCTGTAGGAAGAAATGACTTCCAAGGCATTCTCCACCCCTGTCTACATCTGACAGATAGAATTATATTTAACTATATATTAGTATATTACTATGACAATAATAACTCATTTATTCCTCACACCAACCCTGTGCTATCCCCGTTTAAAGATGAGAAAACAGAGGCACAGAAGGTTTGAGTATTATGCCCAAGATCATTCAGCTGATAAATGCCATATCCATCTAACTCCAAATCCCTTGTGGTTGTACAGTCAGCTGAGCTGGCTTTTGGATAAAATTGGTTGGAGGTGAATAGAGAGAATGGGTTGGGGGAAAGTGGTGGATGCCCCCAGCAGGTGTCTCAGAAATAATGTGTTGTCATTTTCACTGTGAATATCTCAGGCTCAAGAATAAAATCACTTTTCTATATAATGATTTGCAATAGTCATGATTCTTTATGATGAAAATATAACCCAAATCAAACTTGCCTAAGCAAAAAAATATATATATAACATAAAATTCACCTTCAAGGGATGGGGCTGGAGTTACCCCCGGAAGCAAGAAGAAAAATTATGCAGAGCGCCTGGTATATCCATCAGAGACCACCAATGTGTTCCTGTCACCCCAACAGGAAGCAGAGAACCCAAGGCTGTGTTGGCAAGTAGAAGACCCTAGGGACCCAGAGGGCCCAGAGAGCCCAGGGATTCCCAGTGCAAACCCTCAGATGCCTTGGTGCCTTAAGGAAAAACACACCAGCCTCATGCTGCCTAACTTCAGCAAGAAAAAAAAGGACCATTCCCTTAATACAAGCCTCAATTGCCCTGATGCCTTATGGCTGTTATTTTAGAGAATTATAATGCCACCTATGATTAATACCGCAATGTGGTCACACAGCAAACGCTCATAAGTAACCTCCCAGCATAAATACCAAGAAAATCCAGACTTACCACGGCTTCATATACATTTTAGATTTTTGCTAAATTGGCCCTTGATAAAGCGTGTGGCCACCTTCATCACAGAAATCAGCTTCCTCCCCAGGCCTAAAATTAGAAGCCCCAACTGCCAGTCGTTAGGTACAGAGCTCAATGCCTGCTGAGATTCCCCTCTCATTTATCTTCTGCGGGGAGCATTTCAAGTTATCGCCAGCTCTCGTATCAGCTGGCCCGGGGAAGGGCAGCAGGCAGCGAGAGGGGCAGCTAACATAGGAAGAGGTCAGCAGGTGAGGGGTGGCTCTGGAGGCGGTGGAACTGGCTGGTCCCTGGAAAGCTTCCCGCTGCAGGTCTAGAGTGGAGAACTCGGACTCCAACAGGGAAGATTGTGGCTGGGAAGAATTACAGACCAGATCCAGGGCTGGATTCTGAATTTAGATGGGGCCCGTAACAATTTGCCTAAATGATTTATTTCAACAATCAACACATCCATATGCTCAGCCACTCAGAATGATGACTGAAATAAAAATGAAAGGTAACAGGCTGGGCATGGTGGCTCACACCTGTAATCCCAGCACTTTAGGAGGCCGAGGTGGGAGGATTGCTTGAGCCCAGGAATTCAAGACCAGCCCTGGCAATATAGTGAGACTGCATCTCTACAAAAAAAAAAAAAAAAAAAAAAAAAGAAGAGCAATAGAAAGAGAGAATTGGATGCATGCTATAACAGCCTATGATGGTAGATCCAGCTGGTCTGGGGAAAAAGGAGAGTATCCAACTAGGCTTCCCCAAGGTCATGAATTTTTTTTTTTTTGAGACAGTCTCACTCTGTCACCCAGGATGAGGTGCAATGGTGCAATTACAGTTCACTGCAGCCTCGACCTTCCAGGCTCACATGATTCTCCCACGTCAACATCCTAAGTAGCTGGGACTACAGGCATGCAGCACCACATGCAGCTAATTTTTTGTTTTTTTTTTTCTTTTGGTAGAGATGGGGTCTCACTTCATTGCCCAGGCTGGTCTCTAACTCCTGGGCTCAAGCGAACCTCCCACCTCGGCCTCCCAAAGTGCTGGGATTACAGGTGTCAGCCATCATGCCTGGCCAGATGATGACATTTAAGCTAAGACTAGGACAATGAGGAGTTATCCAGGTGTCAAGTGAGAGGAATGCATTTATACAGAGATAGTAACATGTGCAAAGGCCCTGGGGTGAGAAGGAGTTCCATGTGTTGAAGGAATTGGAATGTTGGGAGGAATGAAAAGGGTGTGGCAAAATATGTGGGCTGGGGAGGGAGGCAGGGGCTAGCTCAGGCAGGATGAGATAAACTCTGGTAAGGGTTGTATGTGCTCACAGAAACTCATTAACACTTCACTGAATGCTAATATTTATTTATCAGGTTTCAGAGTCTGTTTGTTCGTGAGGGGAGGGTTTTCCATCTTCTCCACTTGAATATAAACTCCTTGAAGGCAATGACCTTTGGTTCACAGTTCTATCACCAGCACCTAGAACAAGAACTAGAACAAAGGTAAATAAAGACACCCTTATCAGGCACAATGTTGCAAAGACTTAGTGGTTATCTTCCAGGAGCCAGTGAAGGGCCAGACCTTTCTTAGGAATGTGCAGGATTTGAACTCCCCAGACCTGCTGAGTCAACTCTACTGCAGGGGACCATACAGAGATGAGAAAGATGCGACATTCTTTCACTTCTGGGTAGCAGAGTCAACAAATGGAACCAGGGTGCCCCCAACGCCCATTACCTATGACATCTTCCTCTGAAATAAGCTCAACAGAAGATGGTCCCTGGCTACAGTGACTTTTGTCAGGGATCTCCAAGACCGCCCTCAGGCCCATTGATTTGCCAGAAGGACCCACAGAATCAGGAAAGCCATTGTCCTCATGAACATTGTTTATTGCACTAAAAGGATACAGATTAAAATCAACCAAGGTACAAGATGCATAGGTCTCTCCAAGAGAGACCAGGGGTAAGTTTCCAGTAGTTTTCTCCCAGTGGAGTTAGAAGGATAGCTCCTAATGCTCTGTATTAGTCTGTTTTCATGCTGCTGATAAAGACACACCCGAGACTGGGTAATTTATGAAAAAAAAAAAGAGGTTTAATGGACTCGCAGTTCCACGTGACTAGGGAGGCCTCACAATCATGGCAGAAGAGCAAGGGAGAGCAAAGGGATGTCTTACATGGCGGCTGGCAAAGAGAGAATGAGAGCCAAGTGAAAGGGGTTCTCCTTATAAAACCATCAGATCTTGTGAGACTTATTCACTGCCATGAAAACAGTATGGGGGAAACCACTCCTGTGATTCAATTACTTCCCACTGGGTCCCTCTCACAACACGTAGGAATTGTGGGGGCTACAATTCAAGATGAGATTTGGGTGGGGACACAGCCAAGCTATAAGAGACAATTAGCAATGTATACAAAGTACTGCCAGCCACAGCAGCTCCCCCAAGCCTTGGTGTCCAGGGGTTTTATCAGCATTTCATCACCCAGGCATGGAGCACCTGCATGGGTGACTTTTGTTACTCAGTCTCCAGCCCCTCTAGAGGTCAAACTGACACATACAAAAACAGGCACTCACCATAAATTGCATTGTTAGCATGGACTAGCTAGCTCAGCCTGAGGCCATAGGTAAACAAAGACACTCTTATCAGGCAGAATGTTCCAAAGACTTGGCGGTTATCTCCCAGGAGCCAGTCAAGGGCCAGAGCTTTCTTTGGAATGTGCAGGATTTGAACTCCCCAGACCGGCTGAGTCAACTCCTTACTGCATGGGGACCATATAGAGATGAGAAAGATGCCATATTCTTTCACTTCTGGGTAGCAGAGTCAACAAATGGACGAGGCTGAACGAAGACAGTCAGGTAGAACCAGAAACCACCTCCACCTGCACCCCTGCATAGGACCTAAAAAAATGTCATAGGACCATGACAACTTTTTTGAGACAGGGTCTCAGTCTGCCACCCAGGATGAAGAGCAGTGGTGCAATCATAGCTCACTGCAGCCTCAACCTCCTGGGCTAATGCTATCCTCCCATCTCAGCCTCCCAAGTAGCTGGGGGCATGCACCACATCTGGCTAATTTTTTGACTTTTTTTTTTTTTTTTTTTGGAGAGATGGGGTCTCACTTCGTTGCCCAGGCCGGTCTCTAACTCCTGGGCTCATCAGGAGTTAGATGATCACCCAGATGAACAACAGGGACCTCATCCCTCCCCAGGGGTCCTGGGGTAGGACCCTCAGCAGATGAGAGGAGTAGCTCTCCTGGCCCATACCCATACCCTGTTGTGGTGTTTATAAGCCTGTCATAGGTCAGGTTTCTAGAGAGACAAGCTGTGGGATGGAGATCTGGGTGCAGGGGGTTTACTGGGAGGAGCACCTGCTGGAAAGCAAGGAAGCAGCATTGGGCAGAGAGGGGAGTGGCACTGTGGAACAGTCCCCAGGACCCCTGAGACACCCCCTGTGATGGTTAATACTGAGTGTCAACTTAATTGGATTGAAGGATACAAAGTATTGTTTCTGGATGTGTCTGTGAGGGTGTTGCCAAAAAAGATTAATATTTGAGTCAGTGGACTAGGAAAAGCAGACCCACCCTCAATCTGGGTGGGCACCATCTAATCAGCTGCCAGCATAGGTAGAATATAAGCAGGCAGAGCAGCATAGAAGGGCTTGACTGGCTGAGTCTTCCAGCCTTCATCTTTCTCTCGTGCTGGATGCTTCCTGCCCTCGAACGTCGGACTCTGAGTTCTTCAGCTTTGGGACTCTTGGACTTTTGACCACAGACTGAAGGCTGCACTGTTAGCGTCCCTACTTTTGAGGCTTTGGGATTTGGACTGGCTTCCTTGCTCCTCAGCTTGGAGATGGCCTACTGTGTGACCTCACCTGGTGATCGTGTGAGTCAATACTCCTTAATAAACTCCGCTTTTTATATACATCTATCCTATTAGTTCTGTCCCTCTAGAGAACGCTGACTAATACACTCCCATACGGAGGGGCAAGGGACAGAGCCTTTGTAACCCTCCAGGATTATGGGATGCCTAGGAGGGGAGGAGGATTTCCCAGCACTAGGTGGCTTCCTGCAGGTGCCTTCTTGCCAGAGGCAGGACTTTGCTATGAGCTGTTAGCAGCTAGGTCTCCCAGCAGCTGGGGGGACAGAGGGCCTCGGTGGTCCTGCACAGAGGTCTGAGTGGTATAGCACCCACAGCGAAGCCAGTGACCAAAGTGGAAAGATAAAGATATGAAAATCTTTCAACTAATTAAGATTTAAAACTCAGATTGATGTGAGGATCCTGAATTGACTGTTTACCAAAGAGACTAGGTTTTAAATGAGAAGGGTCTGGGTTTACATTGACTTGGCAAGACTGAGTGTCCTATCACTGGAGTGACAAGGGAGGCTGGTGGGGATGGATCCAGGGAAAAGAAGCAAAGTATGGAACAAAGAAGTTTAGAATAAAGAAAGTGGCCAAGGCTGGGCGCCACGGTTCACACCTGTAATCCCAGGGTGGCCAAGGCAGGAAGATTGCTTGAGCCCAGAAGTTCAAGGCTGCAGTGAGCTATGATCATGCCACTGCACTCCAGCCTGGGTAACAAAGCAAGAAAAAAAAAAAGCAAGAAAGGAAGGGAGGGATGGAGGAAGGAAGGAAGGGAGAGAGGGAAAGAGAGAGAGAAAGAGGAAAGAAAGAAAAAGAAAGAAGAAGGAAAAAAGAAAGAAGAACGAAAGAAAGAAAGGAAGGAAGGAAGGAAGGAAGGAAGGAAGAAAAGAAAGAAAGAAAGAAAGAAAGAAAGAAAGAAAAAAAGACAGAGAGAGACAGAAAGAAAGAAAGAAAGAAAGAAAGAAAGAAAGAAAGAAAGAAAGAAAGAAAGAGGCATCAAACCTCACAGGTTGAGGTAACTGTAAATACACGGTAGTTTATCCCTGAGCACAAAATCTCAATGGCACAGTCAAAGCCCCAAAGAAGTAAGAAACAAACATCATTTCCACCTTTTGGGCCTGAAGAAGCAGGTACATTAGAGAAGGGCAGCCACAATATCTGTGAACAGTCATTAAGCTCTCAGACACAGCATCCCACCTTCACCAATCTGATCTCCTTGAGGGGGGTGATGCTCCCTCCAAGATAACAAAGAAAACCTGGCCAGGCACAGTGGCCCACGTCTGTAATCCCAGCATTTTGGAAGGCTGAGGCAGGAGGATTGCTAGAGCCCAGGAGTTCAAGACCAGCCTGGGCAACATAGTGAGACCCCTGTCTCTTAATAAAATAAGAAAAAAGAAAAGGAAACCTTCCCTTTACATGAAGGCATCATACCTTAAATGCACATCCCATCTGCCCAGGAGGCTCACCTCTAGATTTGTATCCTACTGATGAACACACACCAAGATGGACATACTAGCATAAATTGTGGAGAATGACAGAAAATATCCTGAATGTCCACCATGAGGGAACTGATTAATTTATACACATCCGTATACTGGAATACTACACAGCTGATAAAAAGAATAAGGAATGTCTATATGGACTGCTATGCAAAAACCTCAAAGATATATTGTTGAATGAAGTCAAGATGCAGTGTAATATGTACAATGGGCTATCATTTATAAAACCGGGAGGAGACATATATACATATGTTTTTCTATATAAAGATTGTATCTCTGGAAAGTTTCAAGAGAAGCCAGCAACACTTTTGACCTTGGAGAAGAAGAACTGGTGGTTGGGATGGAAAACAAACTTAATTTTCACTGTATACTTTTTCTGGTACTGTTTAATTTTTTTTTTTTTACCATATGCACACGTTTCCTATTCAAAAGAGAATTTTTTTGAATAGGAAACAATGAAAAATCTTATAGGCATACAAACTAAATTAATTAGCCATCCCTATAGCTTCAACATGCATTTCAATTTGCAAGCACCCTGGCCTCCAAGATTGATTGATTGGCTGTAAATTGAGAACCTCAGCAATTTCCTTTCACAGGGACAGATGTTGACATTATTCCTGTGATTTTTCACAGATGTTTCCCTTCCAGCATCTTTAAAATCGAGTTTTCTGTCAATTTGGAAATCCCAAATTTCTCATATCAAATCGAGATGACAGGAAAATCAAAACCGTTATCACATTTTGAAAGAGTTTATGGATGGCAAATGACACTGGGAAGGGAGATGTTTAAGGAGCAGCCGACGTCTCTTAACCCTTTCTCATCACTTCCTGCCTCAGTTTACCTAAGCCAGAAAAAGGGGAAATTTGATTCAATATACAGACAAGGGCTTTAGAGTCTGCGTAGCTGTGCGATCTCACTTTGGCTCCAACTGTCTAGCTGTGATACTTTGAACCAGTTCATTAACTTGCCCAGCCTCCTCTCTCTCATCTGTAAAATGGGGATAATATCCCCAGCCTTGCAGTGTGATTTTACAATTCACTGATGCAAAAATGGAAAATGCGTGGCACTTAGCACCACCTAAATGTTTTTTCCTTTTTTTTTCCCTTTCCCTCCTCCTTCACCAATCCTCCAAGCAGCTTTTCTTCCTTCTTCATGTCCCCATTTTGCTCACGAGATTCCAAGATTTACCCACTGAAGCTCTCATGAGATTCCCAGATTTACCCATTGTTGAGAAATCAGAAACATCCCCCACCCCCTAGAATTCTCCTGACCTGTGTCCCCTCCCCTTAGGACTCTGCTCTCCCTCAGTGACAACAGGCAGGAATATGATCTACTCATACAAACCAAACCTCTGCTGTTTGTACATCTTAGCTAATAATGCCCAACACGCAGCCAACATTTACTAAGTCAGGCTCTTGAGAGCCACTTCATCTGCATGACGCCACAAAATCCTCTCAGCAACAAAAAGGCACTGTTATTATTTCTGTTTTAGAGATGTGGAAATGAGCACCAGAGGTAGATGTAACTTGACAAATATCTGGGTGGTAGATCTGGAAATCAAAGAACCCTGAACCCCAACCACAGACACATCTTCAGTTCAGGCTGGGTCTCTACGCTTTGTTATTTTTAACGGGGCATTACGCTCCCTGGATGGCTATGATGCTGCAGTTAACTCTGCTCTTGTGGATGAATGCAATTATCTGGGGAGCTCGCACTTATAAGATGTACAGCTATGGGCAACCTAAGGCACATCGTGGAGTCTTAATTTCCTCATCTGTCAAATGAGAATAGCAAGGATGGCAGGGAGGGATTAAGGAGCATTTTTGGAAAAGGAAGTGCTATGAAATGAACGTTTGTGCCTCCACCCCCAAACTGATATGTCGAAGCTGACACCCTAATTACCAGTGTTACGGTATTTGGGTATTTGAAGATGCGGCTTTGGTGATTATGTTTAGATGAGATCATAAGCCTAAGGTCCTGGAGATGTGATGTGTCCATATTAGAAGAGACACCAGAGATACCTTTCTCTCTCTCTCACTCTTGCTTGATCTCTCCCTCTCTCTCTTGCACTCTCTCTCATGCTTGCGTGCTCTCTCTCTCCCCTGTGAGGATACAACAAGAAGGCTTCCAACTGAAAGCCACAAAGAGGGCCCTCACTGGAGAAACAAATCACCCAGCACCTTGATCTTCGAATTCCCAGCCCCCAGAATAGTGAACAATAAATGTCTCCTGTTTAAGCCACGTAGTATGTGGTATTTTGTATGGCAGCCTGAGCAGACTGCCACAGTAGATGGTTGGTCTTTCCTCCAACCAATAATAGATGGCTTGTCCTTTCCATCGCCCACCTTGGGCAAGGCAAACAGGACAGTGAAGGCAAGCACATCTCACAGACACCAGCATTCATGTGCTAATGAGGCTCACTACTAGTATTGCAAAGATGGGAAGTCAAACAGAATTATGTCCTTGCGAACATACAATAACTTGGAAAATTTTATTGAAAGACATTAAGTTTGCATACACACAAAAATGAGTGAAGAGTTTTTTGTTCCATTGAATAATTTAGAGGACATCTAAGAGAACACAAGTTTGAAATCTTATTATATTTTGTATAATGATACATAATAATTTCCATGATAAAGCTGATGTGTATTGAGGAGATCATATGTGCCAAGCACTCACTGTGTGTTAAGCATATTCTATTCATTGTATCATTTAATCCTCAAAATATTATCACCGCCTGTATTGATTGGGGTTTTCCAGAGAAACAGAACCAATGTCTAAACAGAGAGAGAGATTTCACGCAATTATGGAGGCTAACAAGTGCTGTCATCTGCAGGGTGAGGCAGCAAACTGGAGACCCCAGAGAACTGATGGTGTTAGTTCCAGTCCTAAGGCCAGCAGGCTCGAAACCCGGAAAGAGCAGTGTTTCAGTCTGAGTACAAAGGCAGAAAAAAGCCAATGGTGCAGTTTAAAAACCTTCAGGCAGGAGGAATTCTCTCTTACTTCGGAAAGGACCGACTTTTGCTCTATTCAGGTCTTCCGTGGATTGGATGAAGTCCACCCACATTAGGAGGGGCAACTGCTTTCCTCAATCTGCCAATTTAAATGACAATCATCCCAAAACGCCCTCACGAACACACCCAAAATGATGTTTAGGCAAATAGCTGTGCACCTGTATCCCTAAGAGTTAACACATAAAACCTACCATCCCATCACTCTTTCCAAATAGAAAAAGTGAGGCTCAGAGAGGTTAAGTCACTTCCCCAAAGTCACAGAGCTTCTTATAAGTGGTGGAGGGTTTGACTGAGGACCCATGCTCTATTGTAATCATAGAAAATCCTAGTGGAATTTTCCAATAGAATAAAACGCCTGCCCAGCTGCAGCCAAACGTTCCATAGACAATGTCTCTGGGCCTTTTGTGGCAGAAAAACCAACATAAGGAAAAGAAGGCTGGAGATGCCAGTTTTATCAAACTCCCATAAGGTAAAGGGAAATATCTTTCTGGGGAAAGGAGACTAAAGGAGAAAATTAACAGCCACTTTTCAGGGAGAGAGAAAGAGCAGGGACCCAGCCCCTCTGAGACTGTGGGCTGGGTGTGGCCTGAGCTGATTGGCAGCTCCATTGTAACTATACTGTAAAGGAATGACTCTACCCAAACTGACCTAAAGGAGAGTTTGAAGCATTTTTAAAAACTCTGCCCAGGCCAGGCGTGGTGGCTCATGCCTGTAATCTCAGCACTTTGGGAAGCTGAGGCAGGCAGATCATTTGAGATCAGGAGTTCAAGACCAGCCTGGACAACATGGTGAAACCTCATCTCTACTAAAAATACAAAAATCAGCTGGGTGTGGTGGTGCACACCTGTAATCCCAGCTCTTTGGGAGGCCAAGACAGGTGAATCACCTGAGGTCGGGAGTTTGAGACCAGCCAGGCCAACATGGTGAAGTCCCATCTCTACTAAAAACACAAAAATTAGCTGAACATGGTGGTGGACACCTGTAATCCCAGCTACTTGGGAGGCTGAGGCAGGAGAATCACTTGAACCCAAGAGGCAGAGGTTGCAGTGAGCCAAGACTGCGCCACTGCACTCCAGCCTGGGTGACAGAGCGAGACTCTGTCCAAAAAAAAAAAAAAAAAAATTCTCAGACAACCAGCAGTGATACAAGAGATAAAAGGCATCTGGCTTTACGCTGCAAACAAAAGGGAAACAGGAAGTGAGAGAGCAGTTGGCCTCTAAGAAGCATCCATTTGTTTTACCCTGCCAGGTGCCTACAAGGTGATGGTTTTGCCTCCCAAATATAATCAGGGGCCCAATCTCTGCATTCAGAGAAGTATATTTCAGCAACCCATAAGTAATCCAAAAGCAGTTCCCCACACATCAGCTCAAACAGTGTTACAGGACAGGCATTCTTGGTGCCATCAGATCCAATGTCCCATGTTTTAACCAACAATTGAAAAGCCCTCTTTTTTTTTTGAGACAGGGTCTTACTCTATAGTCCAGGCTGGAGGGCAGTGGTGGGATCTTGGCTCATTGCAACCTCCACCTCCTGAGTTCAAGCGATTCTCGTGCCTCAGCCTCCCGAGTAGCTGGGATTACAGATGCGTGCCACCATGCCCGGTACATTGTTTTTTTTGTATTTTTGGTAGAGACAGGGTTTCACCATGTTGGCCAGGCTGGTCTCGAACTCCTGACCTCAAATGATCCACCAGCCTCAGCCTCCCAAAGTGCTGGGATTATAGGCGTGAGCCACCATGCCCAGCTGAAAAGCTCTCTTTTCTACCCTGAAAAAAAAAAAAAAATGTGCTGATCCTATAACCCATCTACTCTTCTAACCAATCACAATTGTGCCCTAATTATAATAAAAAGGAGAAATGAAATGATGAGGATTTCTAATGAAATAATATATAGAGAAATGATATGGGTTTCCACCAGGAAAGACGGAGCGAAGCAGTCAAGTGCTCACACACGTGTGTGTAGAATAACCAGTGACAGTCACAAACGCAGACAGCGTGGTGTGTTGTCGCATCAGCTTTACTGAGAGTGCCATGTTCTTCAAAAGAGTGGCTCTTTCTTGATAAATTCCCATACCAAACAGAGTCAAATCTTCTCTTGATTTACACCATAGCTGCTACATTCTTGGAAACATCAGTGTTCATTCAACACTTACATGTAAAATAGAACATGTAAACATATAAAATAGAATAGGCAGATAAAATAGAAGAAGGTTGGACCGGGCGTGGTGGCTCACACCTGTAATCCTAGCACTTTGGGAGGCCAAGGTGGGCCGATCACAAGATCAAGAGAGCAAGACCATCCTGGCCAACAGGGTGAAACCCCGTCTCTACTAAAAATACAAAAATTAGCTGGACGTGGTAGTACCCGCCTGTAGTCCCAGCTACTCGGGAGGCTGGGGCAGGAGAATCGCTGGAACCAGGGAGGCAGAGGTTGCAGTGAGCCGAGATGGCACCACTGCACTCCAGCCTGGGTGACAGAGTGAGACTCTGTTTCAAAAAAAAAAAAAAAAATAGAACAAGGTTATAGACTCTGATAATCATGGTTCTTCTAACCCATATGAATTTGGGATCTACACATATATATATTCAAAAAACTACCCCACACCGTAATGACTCCCCCATCCCTATCATTAGGGCAACCAAAAGCTCTCTGCAGATTTAAAACACACACACACAAACACACACACACACACACACACACACACACACAAACACACACACACACACACACACAAACACACACACACACAAACACACACACACGGGACAATTCAGTCCCCAGTGAGAACCTCTGTAATAAAAGGTCCAATTCCTAACCCGCAATAATATTCTTTTTTTTTTTTTTTGAGACAGAGTCTCGCTGTCGCCCGGGCTGGAGTGCAGTGGTGCGACCTCAGCTCACTGCAAGCTCCGCCTCCCAGGTTCACGCCATTCTCCTGCCTCAGCCTCCCGAGTAGCTGGGACTACAGGCATCCGCCACCATGGCCGGCTACTTTTTTGTATTTTTAGTAGAGACGGGGTTTCACTGCGTTAGCCAGGATGGTCTCGATCTACTGACCTCGTGATCTGCCCGCCTCAGCCTCCAAAGTGCTGGGATTACAGGCGTGAGCCACCACGCCTGGCCCACAATAATATTCTTAAAGTCCCCTTTCCCGCCTCCTCAGTTCTCCCACAATTCCCAGTTTCCCCAGAACAAACCCCAAGAGATTTCTCTGCCCTTCCCCCCACCCCCAGGCAGAGATGTCTTCCAACTCTTCCCCAGCACTGTAACTCTCCACTCTGGTCAAGTGGACTCCACCTTGGGGAAAGAATGTTTGTACCGGGCACCAAACTAGACTTTGGAGATACACTAGTTCTTAGTATCTGCTAGTGTGATAATTAAGGTAATTATTTAGACCAGGAATCTGCAAAATACAGCCTGAAGGCCAAATCCGAGCTGCTTGTTTTCCTATGGCCTGAAAGCTAAGAAAGAATGGTTCTTACATTTTATATTATTATTATTATTATTATTATTATTATTATTATTATTATTTTGAGATGGAGTCTCGCTCTGTCGCCCAGGCTGGAGTGCAGTGGCACCATCTCAGCTCACTGCAACATCTGCCTGCCAGGTTCAAGCGATTCTACTGCCTCAGCCTCCTGAGTAGCTGGAATTACAGGCACCTGCCACCACACCCGGCTAATTTTTGTATTTTTAGTAGAGACAGGGCTTTACCATGTTGTCCAGGCTGGTCTCGAACTCCTGACCTCAGGTCATCCGCCCACCTCGGCCTCCCAAAGTACTGGGATTACAGGCATGAGCCACTGCGCCCAGCTAGTTCTTACATTTTAAATAGTTAGTGGGAAAAAGACAAAAGGAATAATACGTCATTACATGACAATTATATGAAATTCCAATTTCAGAGTTTATAAATAAAGTATTGTCTGTGGCTGCTTTTGCACTACAATGGCAGGGTTGCATGGTTGCAAGAGAGCACATGGCCCCCAAAGCCTCAAATAATCCACTATCTGGGCCTTTACAGTAAGGTTGTCAGCCCCTGGCTTAGGCACTAAACAAGTGCTTTCAAGCACCTACTATATGCCAGACACTAAGGTAATAGAGAGGGGAGACAATCAACAAGAAGCATTCTTTCTCAAAAGTTTTAGGCTGGGCACAGTGGCTAAAGCCTATAATCCCAGTACTTTGGGAGGTCGCGGCAGGAGGGTCAATTGAATGCAGGAGTCCAAGACCAGCCTAGACAACATAGTAAGACCCCGTCTCCTCAAAAAATGCAAAAAAAAAAAAAAAAATTAGTTGAGCATGGCAGTGTGTGCCTGTAGTCCCAGGTAGTTGGGAGGCTGAGGTGGGAGGATCACTTGAGCCCAGGAGGTCAAGGCTGCAGTGAGCCAAGCCATGATGGTGCAATGGCACTGCAGCCTGGGAGACAGAGTGAGACCCTGTCTCAAATAAATAAATAAGTAAATTAATTAATTAATTAAATTAAAAGCATGTTATTCAGAATCACATAGACTTGGGCTCAGCTCTTCAGCCATAAGCATGTTTCTTTTCTCTTTTTCTTTTTTTTTTTTTTTGTTGAGACAGAGCCTTGCTCTGTCACCCAGGTTGGAGTGCAGTGGCACAATCTTGGCTGACTGCAACCTCCACCTCGTGAGGTCAAGCGATTCTCCTACCTCAGCTTCCTGAGTAGCTGGGATTACAGGCACGTGCCACGATGCTCGGCTAATATTTGTTTTCCTTTTTTTTTTTTTTTTTTTGAGACGGAGTTTCGCTCTTTTTGCCCAGGCTGGAGTGCAATGGTGCAATCTCAGCTCACTGCAACCTCCTGCCTTCCGGGTTCATTCGATTCTCCTGTCTCAGCTTCCCGAGTAACTGGGATTACAGGTGCATGCCACCACACCTGGCCTAATGTTTGTATTTTTAGTAGAGACAGGGTTTCACCATGTTGGCCAGGCTGATCTCGAATGCTGAACCTCATGATCTGCCCACCTCAGCCTCCCAAAGTGCTGGGATTACAAGCGTGAGCCACCGCGCCCGGCCCATGAGCATGTTTCTTGACCTCAGTTTCCCCTTCTGTAAAGCATGGTGTGGATTGTTCACCTCGCATGGGCATGTGAATATCAAATGAGACATCCTGTGCAATGTGCCTCAGACAAAGAAAGGAGATCAGCAAATAATATTTCCTTTCTAGTTCATCCTCTCTTCCCATGTATGCCAAGAAAGCAGGCGAGATTGAGTGAGGGAGGTCATATCCTCTTTGTCTAAATGTTTTCTTGTTAGAGAACATCTTTCTTCTTAACATCCCTTCCTACATAAAGAATCTCTGTCAGAGGAATATTAAAAGGCCCTAACCTACAGTTAGATGGAAGGCGAGACTCCGATCTCACAGCTGAATCACTTTAGTCTACCTCTCTACCCATCTAATGCTATCCCCTTCAAAAATAATAATAATAATATGAAAGTTGGGAAGTGGAAAACCATCCTCTGGAGTTTTCAAAAACTAATTCCGTTGTAATCATAGAAGACTGAAGGCAGGATTCATGACACATTTCTCTTCCTCCTGGGCAGATGAATCTACAATTTGTATTTGATTTTAAATGTGATTCTCCTGCATCTTCAGTGGGTTTGATTGATAGAGCACATGGGGCCACTCAGTAAAATGATACAGTGGAGATCAAAGCCGGAAAGATAATTTTTGCCAAAATGTCTGCAGCCGACAGTGAGTTATAAGCCTTTGTCTCCCACTTTACGGAACACAATTTTATTTAAAGCCGAAATCTGTCACTTTGGTATTGTTTATTGAAATGCATCCCATACCACGGTCCCGTGAAGAACAACGTCAAGTCAAAAGGTAAAAAAATCCAATGGTTACAAACAGCCCAGGACCAAATAAAGGAGGGAGAATGCTTCCAATCTGCGTAAATATTACCCACCAGTGATGCATTTGGGGCAAGCAATGAAGTCATTCATCTGCAAAGTAAATATCTGGCATTGTCAGAGGTGCCTGACACAGCCCCATAAACCCAGTGAGTTCTGTTCCATTCAGCAGCTCACACATCTCTATTTGATAACTTTGCTTTATTTATGGGTCCACAATGGGAGTCATAACTGGGTTTTTATCTTTGCACAACTTTTTTACTTTATTTTTTGAGACAGGGTCTCACTCTGTCACCCAGGCTGGAAGTGCAGTGGTGTGATCACAGCTCACTGCAGCCTCGACCTCCTGTGCCCAAGCAATCCTCCCACCTCAGCCTCCCAAGTAGATGGGATTACAGAAATGCACTTCCACACCTTGCTAATTTATATTAGTTTTTGTAGAGACGGGCTCTCCCTAGGTTGCTCAGGCTGGTCTTGAACTCCTGGGCTCAAGTGATCCTCCCACCTAGGCCTTCCAAGTAGCTGGGACTACAGATGCACACCACCATACCCAGCTAATTTTTAAATTTTTTATAGAAAAGGAGTCTCACTATGTTGCCCAGGCTAGTCTCAAACTCCTGGCCTCAAGACATTCTCCCACCCTGGCCTCCCAAATTGCTGAGATTACAGGTGTGAGCCACTGTGCCCAGCTTGCACAGCTTTTTTAAACCTTTTTTTTTTTTTTGTATTCATTCACGCTTTTCATACATCATGATTGAGGATCTACCCTGCAGACTGTATGGAGTTATCTAGAAGGCAGGAAGGCAGAGAACTAAAACCTTTGGTTAAAATATCTGGGGTTGAGCTCAGTGTTTCCTGCTCTCCAGCTATGTGACCTTGATCGGGTCTCTTCACCTGTCTGAACCTCAGTTTCCCCACTGCAAAGTGGAGAGCAAATGAGACCATGGACTTGGAAATGCTTCATACATTTCTGAGTGCCTCACAGATATGAAGCCCAAAGATAGCACCATTCTAGGCTCTGTCAGGACAATGAGGCCAAAGTTGTCACTGATGCCATAAAGTTGTCTCTACAGCGAAAGGTCCCTGGAATTAGCAGGAGGCTTTTGTGGAGCAAATGCCTCCTTTTCTGCGTAGAAAGTGAGATGCCTCAATCACTCTGCCTAGATGCCTCTAGATGCCTCAATTCCTCTGCCACCAACAGACTCTGTGACATTGGGTCACTTTTGAGATTCCTGGGTCCTGCCTACTTCACCAGAATGTCATGTTCTGGAACCTTCTCAGTCTCCAACCTCATCACTCACAAGCTTTTCTTATGCTTTGATAGATGCTACAATTGCTTGTCAAAAAAAGAGCCTCATCTTCTCCGTTGCTAAGAGAACCCCAATTTTTAAAGTATTGAACAGTCACATGCTTTAGGAGAAGTTGCCCTTCTGAGCCTCAAGGAGTGAATCTTGACTGACCTAAACTAATCATAGTAATACTGACCCCCTGTCTAGTGATTGCTTTCGAATAGGCACGTGACCCATTGTGACCAATGAGAGTTGATGGAAATTTCCTCCTTGCTGTCAACAATGGACACAAGGAAGACACATTTTCTCCTCTGACCTTTGGACATTGAACGTTATTGTGTTAGGATGTGATGTAAGGCACTGTGGCACCCATTTTGTGCTCATTAGAGGAAAAGACTGGAATTAAGCCCTTGCTCTGTAAGTCAGAGCACAAAGATGGCAAGAGCCCAGGTCTTTGATGATACAACTGAACTACTGAATAAACCAACCCTAGACTCACCTACCCCCAAATTCCTTTTAATGTGAGAGAATAATGTCCCATCTTGTTTAAGCAATTTCAGGTTTCCATTACTTACTAATGAATATATTTGGATTCCAAGTTGTTATTTCCTTGCATGGAATGCTTCTGACACAACTCACCCTTGCTAGCCTCAAGGGTGGTGGCCGAACTGGGGAGGGTCCAAGAGGAATTGCAAAAAACAGAGCTGCAAGGAGCAGCCTTATCTCTGACCGCTGTGGTGAGCCCTCCACTTTGTATACCCTCCCCCAACCGTGTGACTCTGGATCAGCCAATCAGGTGATCTCTCTTGGCACCTTGACTCATGATGCAAGAACACAGGCCCTATTGGGTTTCCATGAATTCTCTGCAGGGAGAGCAGGGGTCCCCAGATCAGCCTATCCCTAACGCATGCCCTTGGAGGAGTTGCCACTATAAAGCTATCTGGAGTCACCTTGTATGGGGTGTTTTCCAAGGCTGGGCCTTCAGCAGTGCCTTCGGCATGTTCTCTTTCTTTGGTAAGAGTCAGTTTCTGGGGTGAACAACTGAGAACTCAGGGACATAGACAAGAAATCATGTCTCATTCTTAAAAGCCTCAGCACAAGTCCTGGCATAGAGTAAGTGTTGATGGGAGGTTGGATGAATGAATAAAGGAGTGAGAAAGTTAATTGCTTCCCTTCTCTGGGCTGCTGTATCAATCAAGGTTGTGGCAGGAAATACATAGTAAACTGAAATGGGGTAACTAAAAAGAGTTTAGCAAAGGGCTATATATAGCTGTATAAGTGGGATTAAAAAAAACAAAAACAAAAAGGGAGGTTGCAGTAGCCCTAACTAGCAGCAGTGAGGAGCCATTTCTACCCCTAGACCTGGAGGGGAAATAGTTATGGAACCCAAGGAGAGTAGCCACAGTCTTCAGGGAAAGACAGCTGCCTGGCAGGAGCTTCCAACCTATGGCAACCCAACAGGAAGGAGCCACAGAAATAAATATCCGAATCCCTCTCTCCTCCCACCTTCTAGTATTCTATGATCCCCACCCCATTGGCCAAACCCAAGCAGCCACAAGAGGATGGGAGACCACATGTGATGTAGTCCATAGAAGTCAGCCTCCTGGGGTACAAAGCAGGAAATGGGGGTGGACAGTGGATGTAAAGGAGCAAATACAAAATATCCGGCACAGATATTGCTATGGTTTGCATGTGTTCCCCAAAGTTCGAGTGCTGGAAACTTAATCCCTGATGCAACCGTGTTGAGAGGTGAGGCCTTCAAGAGGTGTTTGGATCATGGGGACATCATCTTTCTGAATGGATTAATGCCTTTATCATGGGAGCGGGCTGGTTTTCACAGGAGTAGGTGCTCTCTCTCACCCTCTCTCTCACCCATGTGATGCCTTGGGTCACACCATGATGCAGCAAGAAGGCCTTCACCAGATGTAAGCTCTCAACCTCGGACTTCCCAGCCTCCAGAACTGTGAGCCAAGTAAATTTCTATTCATTGTAAATTACCTGGTCTGTGGTATTCTGTTATAGCAGCACAAAATGGACTAAGACAGATAGTATCTAGTGATAGGATAGACTACAAGAATCTCTTTCACCCAGATCCTGCAGCCACAAAAGGGCCAACGCTCTTTGGAGAGTTTATCTCTCACCCAAGCAGCCACCAGCATCATCAGAAAACAGCAATGTTCCTCTACACGCTTGTGTGTTTCCTTCATTGGTACAAGTTTCCACCATTGTTTTGCTCATAAGAGAAACCATTCTCCAAAGCCCAGAGTAATTATAGAGCCCATAAGTCTTGGGGCTTTCTGAATTTGAAGCAGATTCAGGGCTCAAGAGAGCCAAGAAGTCATATCAATGCCAGGAATCTGGACCCCAGGCAGACAGCGTGGATAACCTACCCCAACAGAGGTGCAGGCTCTCTTCCTTTCACCCAAAAAATAGCAAACACATTTATTGATCACCGTGGGCCTTTTCCTTCCACCTGGAGGTTAGCAGGAACTTTCAAAGGTTTAGTGTCATCCATATCCCATTGTCTTCTTCATGCACAGAAAAGACAAACTTCTTCATCTCTGGAAAGGAGACATGGACTCACACTCCCCTTATTCTGAATTTTTGCCCACTAAGCCATTTCACAGGAAGTTAGCCATGGTTTGTGGATTTTTAAATGCTTCTGGGAGGAGAAGGATTTACTAGTGATAAGAAATAAAAATGCAAATGTTTTACTGATGAGATATGCATGTAAAGTGCTTGATATAATGCCTGACATGGAAAAAACACTCAATAAACGTTAGTCATCAGTATTTATATCATCATTCCTTTTAATACACGCCATCGACTGGGTGCAGTGGCTCACGCCTGTTATCCCAGCACTTTGGGAAGCAGAGGCGGGAGGATCACTTGAGCCCAGGAGTTTGAGACGAGCCTGGGCAACATAAGAAGACCCCATCTCTATAAAAGAATCTTTAAAAATTACCTAGGTATGGTGGCATGTGCATACAGTCCCAGCTACTCAGGAGGCTGGGGTGGGAGGATCAATTGAGCCCAGGAGGTCAAAATGAGGCTGCAGTGAACCATGATAGTACAAAAAAATAGTTAGAAAGAATGAATAAGGCCGGGCGCGGTGGCTTACTCCTGTAATCCCAACACTTTGGGAGGCCAAGGTGGGTGGATCACGAGGTCAGGACTTCGAGACCAGCCCGGTCAATATGGTGAAACCCCATCTCTACTAAAAAATACAAAAGTTAGCCGGGCGTGGTGACAGGCGCCTGTAGTCCCAGCTACCCAGGAGGCTGAGGCAGGAGAATTCCTGGAACCTGGGAGGCAGAGGTTGCAGTGAGCCAAGATCGCACCACTGCACTCCAGCCTGGGCGACAGAGCAAGACTCCATCTCAAAAAAAAAAAAAAAAAAAGAATGAATAAGACCTACTATTTGCTAGCACAATGGGGTGACTATAATCAAAAACAATTTAATCGTACATTTTAGAATAACTAAAAGAGAATAATTAGATTGTAACACAAAGGAAAACGCTTGAGATGATGGATACCCCATTTAGCCTGATGTGATAATTACACATTGCATGCCTATAATATCTCACGTAACCCATAAATATATACACCTACGATGTAGTCACAAAAACTAAAACTAAATATAAAACAACAAGCATTTATCATCTAATTGTCTGGATTTGGAACCCACAAGCCAACTCAGCTAAGTGCTCTGGCTTAGGGTCTCCAATGAGGCTGCAGGTAAGATGTCAGCCAGGACTGCAGTCATCTGAGCGTTTCTGGGGCTGAAGACTAGGCTTCCAGGCTCACTGTGTGGTTGTCTCTATTCCTTACTGGCTCTTAGACAGAAACCTCAATTCCTCACCACGTGGGCCTCTCCATAAAGTGCCTTAGTGTCCTCAAAACATGGCAGCTGGCTTCCTCCAAAGCGACTGATCCAAGAAAGAGAAAGAAAGAGCCAACAATGGAAGCTGCAGTCTTTCATGACGTAATCGCGGAAGTGACATAACATCACTTCTGCGGCATTGGTCACACACGAGCCCCAACATGGATCTTTCCAGCGTGGGAGGGGACTAAACAAGGTGTGAATGGCAGCAGGCAGGGATTGTTGCGGGCCATCTTGAAAACTGGTTCCCTCAGAGGAGAGCTGGAAGGCTGGGGACAAGGACACAAGAGAGGCTTTTTTATTTTTTTATTTTTTTGAGACCGAGTCTCGCTCTCGCTGCCCAGGCTGAAGTGCAATGGCGCGATCTCAGCTCACTGCAACCTCCGCCTCCCGGGTTCCAGGAATTCTCCTGCCTCAGCCTCAGCAGAGTTCCCCAAGGGTACCTGTTGGCCTAGTTTGAGACTCTTGGCTCTGTTAGTGGGAGTCTCAAACTATGCTCCAGGCTGCTGATTGTTCTGAGGGATTTCTCTCTCTTTCTTTCTAACACTAAGAAATAGGAACTTGGCCTCCCAGAGTGCTGGGATTACAGGCGTGAGCCACCACGCCTGGCCTGTCTGTAATCTTTAAAAGTAATAGCATATTAGCTCTGAGGGTCGGTTGGATTTTCTTTTTTAAACAGTTGGCAGTCATTTGTAGCCAAGTCAGGTGAAAAGGGTAGGTGATCAAGCTCATTACAATTTTTATTGAAATAAAATTTATCTTTAGTAACGAGATTGATTTTTTGTGTGTGACTCCGGAGGGCAGTTTGCCCAGAGCAGTGGTTTTCAAACTCTTAACAAACTATCCCTGAGAGGAAAAGAGAATGAATTCATACTCTGTGGAGTGTAGCCCAAAATAACCTCTGCAAAGGTGAAATTTTCTTTGAAGTCTTATTTTACCTTAGGTATTTGTGAACTCTGCGTTCTATTTTGTGCCACATGTGTTTTAAGTTACTATTACTCTACTAAAGTTTATTCATCCTCCAGGAAGATGATGATGTTTGTACTGTAGTTTTTTATGTCCCAGGGATACAGCAGGGTTCCCCAAGGGTATCTGTTGGCCTAGTTTGAGACTCTTGGCTCTGTTAGTGGGAGTCTCAAACTATGCTCCAGGCTGCTGATTGTTCTGAGGGATTTCTCTTTCTTTCTAACACTAAGAAATAGGAAACACAGTTTTCAGTTTAAAAATAACATAATTACAAAGTGTAGAAAAGTCTCTCTTGGCCGGGCACGGTGGCTCATGCCTGTAATACCAGCACTTTGGAAGGCCGAGGCGGGTGGATCACGAGGTTAGGAGTTCGAGACCAGCCTCGCCAACATGGCAAAATCCCATCTCTACTAAAAATACAAAAATTAGCTGGGTGTGGAGGCAGGCAGCTGTAATCCCAGCTACTTGGGAGGCTGAGGCAGGAGAATCCCTTGAACCCAGGAGGTGGAGGTTGCAGTGAGCTGAGAATGCACTACTGCACTCCAGCCTGGGCGACAGAGCGAGACTGTCTCAAAAAAAAAAAAAAAATTACAGGCAAAAGAGGTTGCCCATGTTCTCATCATTGGCAGCAGCAGCATCAAAATATGGCACCCACTCCAGTGATGCCTTTCCAGAAGGAGCAACACTCATGTGAAACCACCAGCTTTGCTTTGTTTTTGTTTTTGTTGTTGTTGTTTTTTCAGAGACAGAGTCTCACTCTGTTGCTCAGGCTGGAGTGCAGTGGTGGGATCATAGCTCACTGCAGCCTTGAACTCCTGGGCTCAAGCGATCCTCCTGCTTCAGCCTCCCCAGTAGCTGTGGCTACAGGTGCACACCAGCACGCCTTGCTAATTCAAAAAAAGAAAAAAAAGAAAAGAATTGTAGAGATGGGGTCTCGCTATATTGCCCAGGCTGGTCTCAAACTTCTGACCTCAATTGATCCTCCTGCCTTGGCCTCCCAAAGTGGCAGGATTACAGGCATAATCCAGCCATTGTCCCTGGCCTGGCTTTTTTTTTTTTTTTTTTTTTTAATGTAGCTCATGACCACAAACGGAGTTTGGTTTCCTTGCTCTCTCTTTTTCCCATTTGGTACTTTTCTTTCTCTCCCATGCACTCCTCTTCAAACCAAAAGTGAATCTTGTTATTTCTTGAAAAATGTGTAGATGTTGAAGGGATGAAAAACCTGAACTCTAACGTCTGACTATCTGAACCCAAATTCTAGCCGCCCCACTCAGTTGCTGTGTGACTGTGAGTAAGTTCTTACCCTCTCTGAGCCTGTTTCTTCACTTGGAAAATAAAAGTATACACATATACAGCTGTTAGCCAGAACTCAGCCTAGGGTAACCTTTCAATAAATATTAGCATCATCAAGGAAATCGCTTGACAAATTAATTTTCATTAAGCAATGAGGGTCTATAACAGTGATGACTTCTGACCAACCAACCAGCCCAATGGCTGACAAAGGACTGATAACACTTTACATTTTTATAATTTCCCTAGATTTCAAATTCTCCATAAGGAGCAAGTACAGTTTTTATAATCAGACATAGAACTCGCGTTCACTCTGCTCATCCTGACCCTAGCCACTGGCCACCAATTTCTGGGTTGGCTGCTCCAACCTGAGAGCACAGCTACTGGAATCAGAGGCAGAGGAGCTCCTCTTGCGTTCGTTGTTGGTTTCCCTTGGTTTTGTAAAAATAAATAAATAATAAAATAGGGATACACCCTTCAGACAGCAGGTAACTTCCTAAGCTAAGATGAACAGGAGGAAATTTAAATGTCTTTCCCCGGTTCAAATCCCCTACCCTCTCCCATCTGCCTACCCTGGGCTCCAACACTCGGGAGAAAGACCATAAGTCGTTCAGATGATGCTTTGGAGCTGGACAATCAATCGTGATCAAAAACAGGGGCATGGGAGCCTGGCTAACGTGGAGGGATGGGAGAAAATCAGGCTGAATTAGAGAAGGGTACATTGTGGAGTGTGTTTTACAACGCCATTAGTTCTAAGCACATAAGGATTTCAAATCAAGGAGCATCCACACACACACAAACTCTTGGATTCCTTAAGAGATAAGGCGGATCCAAAATTAGCATATAGATCAGAGGCATGCAGTTGAGTGCTGCTAAAGTGGGCTATAAATGCTTGGGGGAAAATAGTTGTTTTTCTGAAGAAACTTTACAACATTCCAAAATCTTGTCCAGGAAGTGTGAACTCTAAGTCCAATGGACTGAACTGTGTCCCCTCAAAATTGATATGTTGAAGCCTTAACTTCCATTATGATGGTATTAGGAGGTGGGCTTTTTTGGAAGACTATTAGTTTAGATGAGATCATGAGGATGAGGTCTTCGTGATGGAATTAGCATCCTTACAAGAAAAGACACCAGACGGCTTGCTCTCTTGCTCTGTCTCTCCTCTTCCCTCCCTCCCTCTCTCTCTCCCTCTCTACCTCCGCTCCCCCCACCCCCCACTTCCTCCGTCATGTGAGAATGCAGAGAGAAAGCAGCTTTCTGCAAGCCAGGAGGAGGGTCCGCTGGGAGCTACATCAGCCAGATTGTGGCACTTCTCAGCCTCCAAAACTGTGAGAAATAGATTTCTGTTGCTTAAGCCATCCAGTTTATACTATTTTGTTATTTGCAGCCTGATATGGTTCGGATTTGTGTCCCCACCCAAATCTCGTGTCGAATCATAATCCCCAGTGTTGGAGGAGGGGCCTGGGGGAAGGGGATTGGATCACGGGGACAGACTTGCCCCTTGCTGTTCTCATGACAGTGAGTGAGTTCTCACAAGATCTGGTTGTTTAAAAGTGTGTAGCACTTTCCCCTTTGCTCTCTTCCTCCTACTCCAGCCATGTAGGACATGCCAGCTTCCCTTTCACCTTCTGCCATGATTGTAAGTTTCCTGAGGCTTCCTCAGCTATGCTTCCTGTACAGCCTGCAAAACTGTGAGCCAATTAAACCTCTTTTCTTTATAAATTACCCAGTCTCAGGTATTTCTTTATAACAATGCAAGAAGAGACTAATACACAGCCCAAACTAACTAAGACAAACCCACTCTGACCCATTCTGACACCCAAACTAACTAAGTCCTGGTTTGAACCCTTCACTATTGTGTCACCTTGGGGCAAGTCACCCAACTTCTCCAAATGTTTGTTTCCCACCAGGAAGATGGAAATGACAGTACCTCTCCTTCCTACCCCGCAAACCTATCAGGAGGATCGAAAGGGACATGGCAAGCAAATACTTTCTAAACTGTAAAGTGCTGTGCAAATGCAAGACAGCATTACTCTCTTTTTATGGAGTTATTTATACTCTACCTGGTTACAGCAGAGGATTTATGGTAGATGTCAGTAAGACTCTTTATTTTGAATTTTAAGAGAGAAATAAGAATCTTTGTTATCTGTAGAGAAACAAATATAATTTCCATGGGGCACTAATATAATATAATATAATATAATATAATATAATATAATATAATATAATATAAATATACCTTACCGAATAAACCCTTTGCTCAGACGTAGTGAAAAGGTAAATTCCCCTTCAACCTAATGAAGTTTCAGTCGCTCACATTTTCTGAATTTGCCGAACAGAAATGCGATCAGGTGCCTACTAAGTGCAGTACCCAGCACGATGTCTAACATTGAAACATACAGTGTATACACCAGCACCTCCACCAAACCCATATCCAGCATGCAAAACATACCCTTTTCAAGTCGGAAGCACATAGATAGATTTTTTGGAGTTCAAAAGGTCTTAATGCAAACTGGCTCCAATTCCTTTTTTTTTTTTTTTTTTAAATCTTTGAAACATTGGTTAAGTCTTCTCAGAGCTATCATTTTGCACACATGGAAACTTTAGACCATCCATCCTTCAAGTGTCTTGGGGTAATTAGAGATACTGAAGGTTAAGGACCTAGCATACTACTAATAGATTTTCAACAAATGGTAGCTACTGTTATTTCTCATCATTGCAGATTTAAGAGTGCCAATTCTCAGAGCACTTCAGATAAAAACCCTACCTTTCTTAAGGCAAAAAACAACGGCATTAACTTTTTTTTTTAATTAACCTAAGTTCCCATTATGTTTAGAGAAGAGATCACAATGATAAATGCTTGCCCTGTCTCTCTTTTTTAAAAATTTACTGTTCTTACATGTGACATATACTGTGGTACTTAGTGTCACCCTACAAAGAATAAATTTAAATTGAAGAAACAGAAACACGGGAGAGTCCTTGTTTGGGTTTAATTTGTATCTGACTACAATAAAATTCTATCCTGGAAGCTAGAGTCATAAAACTAAAAGTCAGGAAGGAAAAGAATGGCTAATTAAGCTCCAAAACTAAAAGCTCTTTCTTTATTGCTATTTCTTTAAGTCCTAACAATTGGTCAGGCACAGGGTCTTAGCTGTGCCATTCTAGTTAATGGTCGGTTACAAATTTCCACCATAAACTCATCTTCCTTCTAGCAACTTAAATCTCAGGCACTGGGATGTAATAAGGAGAGAAAGCTCTTAGGCCCAGGGCAATCTCTCTCTCAATCCCAATCTCCCTTCCCCCCATCCCTATCCCACCACAGTAACTGTTAGTAAGAGCTTTTGGTTGCATGCCCAGAAATCTAACTCTGGCTAAATTAATCAAGAAACGAATATACTGGTTTACCCAGCTGAGGTCATTTACGGAAAGGGAATGCTAAGGTTTGAATGTGTCTCCTCCAAAATTCATGTTGAAACTTAATCCTTATTGCAGTGGTATTAAGAGGTGGGGCCTTTTAGGAAGTGATTCAGTCAGGAGGGCTTGGCCCTTAAGCAATGAATTCATGCCTTATAAAGGGGTAGAGGGAACTAACTTAGGCCCTTTCGCCCTTCCACCTTCCACATATGAGGATACAGCATTCATGCCCTCCAGAGGACACAAGGCACCACCTTAGAAGTAAGGAACAGAGCCCCTTACCAGACACAAAATGTGCCTGTGCCTTGATCCTGGACTCCTCAGCCTCCAGAACGGTGAGAAATAAGTTTCTGTCCTTTATAAGTTATCTAGTCTTGGGTATTTTGTTACAGCAGCAAAAACAGACTAAGACAGGAAGAGAAAAGAACCAGAGCCCCAGGGACTAGAAACAGGACTCACTGCCTCAAAGTACATGTATACTCTCTCTCTCTCTCTCTCTCGCTCTCTCTCTCTCTCTCTCTCTCTCTCTGTCTCCATTTCTCTTCACTGTTTGTCTTTGCTCAGCCTTATTCTCCATCTCTCTCCATGTGGGAGGGCAAGTAGAGGCTGGCACCTCCAGATATATATCCTCTCTGTTCAAGAACCACAATAAGTTAATCCCCAGGGAAGATTCTGATGCCTGTGCCACTCCAAGGTCCAACACTGCTGGGTGGATAGAGCCTGATGTTTGACCAGATATGTGCCACTTACCAACCATAGCAGACACTGGCAATGGCCACCCATGTCCCTTGGACCCTCCCCATCCCATACAAGCTGAAGGCCTCCCTCTGCAAGCACCTGCAACTCCCCACCTGAAGGCCTTTTCTCGGCCTCGGCAAGACAGGCCAGAAGTTCAAGGATGTCAAAGTCCCTGAGAGAATCCCTTGGTCAATGTCAGATGAGTGATGAAAGATAAATATCTCAGTTTTCTCAACACTCAGGTGGGACACTTTGAGGTGTGTTCCATGCCATCAACCAAAGCCCATCAAAAGGACCAAGCCCCGGCTGCCCATAGAAGTAACTTACTCATTACCTTGCTCTATTCTGGTTTAGATTTCCTTGTCTCATTTTGCCCTGTGATGGTTAATTTTATGTGTCAACCTGACTGGGACGCTGAGTGCCCAGATAATTGGTAAAACATTATTCTGGGTGTTCCCGTGAAGGTGTTTTCAGACGAGATTAACATTTAAATCGGTAGACGGAGGAAAGCAGGTTGCACTCCAGATGTGCGTGGTCCTCATCCAATCAGTTGAAGGTCTAAATAGAACAAAAGGCCAACCCTTGCCTGAGTCAGAGAGATCTCCTCCTGCCTGAGGGCCTTCAAACTGAAACGTCAAAATTTTCCTGCCTTTAGACTCAAACTGAAACACGGCTCTTTCTGGATCTCAAGCCTGCTGGTTTTCAGACTGGAACTACACCACTGGGTCTCCTGGGTCTCCAGCTTACTGACTCATTCTGCAGATCTTAGGACTTGTCAGCCTCCATAATTGCATACACACACACACATACACACACACACACACATATATATAAAAGTGCATATAGATACATATATGTATGTGAATGTATGTATATAAAAGTGCATATAGATACATATATGTATGTGTATATATATATACACACATACACACACATATATGTGTGTGTGTGTGTGTGTGTACATATACATGTGTGTATATATACACACACACACACACACACACACACATATATATATATATATATATGGACCATAGAGAAGTCTCTAAGCCAAAGCTGGGGACAGGGGAATCCTGTGTCTCCTGGGGAGAGGTCTGCTTTAGTGTCCCTGCCATGCTCAGTCATTAGCCAGGAGCACCTCATGGAAGGAAGCTTATGGATTCCCCATATGCTTATATATGTGTGTGTGTGTGTGTGTGTGTATATGTATATGCATATGTGTGTGTGTATGTGTGTGTGCTATTCTATTGGTTCTACTTCTCTAAAGAACCCTGACTAATACACTCCCATTCTCCTACTGGTGCTTCCCAGAGTCACCCTACAAATAAACCATTACATGGAAATCCTCATCACAGGATCTGCCTCTGGGAAAACCCAGCCTAAGACATCCATGACTTTCATAGGAGAAGAAAGAGCTCTAGAATTGGCAGCCTTACTGAACCATGTGGAAGAGGAAAGGAGAGCACCTAAACAAAAGGGTATTAACCAATTAAAATAACCTAAACCCACACTTGTCCAAATTGCTGAGCAAGTGGGATGGGATGAAACAACTTTCAACCAGTGTCCAAATATTGCTGTGACTCCTAGACTGGCTTGACACAAAGGCAGTGTCCACCAGCTCTAAACATCCATCTCAACTAAGATTTCTCCAGGAAGGCTAGAACTGACACCCTCTGCTTAGGTTCTCAGTGACTTCACCCAGCCAGCAAAGGAGCTCTTAGGAAGGCAGACAAGCCCTGAAGTCTGTCTGCTCAGACTCCAGCTACCTGCTCTATTCCTGCTTTATCAACCTCTAGCTTAGTCGCTCAATCTCCAGCTTTGCTCCTTCCCATTAGATTCTATGGCTGAACCTGACTGCCATAGTTTGTTTCTCAGATGAATTTAAGGCAAGGGTTGCAAACTTAAATGCACACATGGGCAGACAAGTAACACAAATGAGTGAAGAGTACAGATTAGGGCAACTGGGTCTGGTGGAGACTGTGGCAAACTAGAGAGCACACAACCTATCTAAGGAGGCAGCGAGGACTCAATTTTGCAAGATTTGTGGAATGGACTCCCAATGTTGCCAAACTGCCACTATTTTTTAAAGAGAAGCAGGAAATCCAGGGGTTTTTAAAGATGTAAAATACACAGTTTGTTGAATGCTGGCGACTGATTTTTTTTTTTTTTTTTTTGAGACAAGAGTCTCACTCTGTTGCCCAGGCTGGAGTGCAGTGGCATGATCTCAGCTCACTGCAGCCTCCTCCTCCCACATTCAAGAAATTCTCCTGCCTCAGCCTCCTAAGTAGCTGGGATTACAGGGGTGCACCACCATACCCAGCTAATTTTTGTATTTTTAGTAGAGATGAGGTTTCCCCCTTGTTGGCCACGCTGGTCTCCAGCTCCTAATCTCAAGTGATCTGCCTGCCTTGGCCTCCCAGAATGCTGGGGTTACAGGTGTGAGCCACAGCACCCAGCCCTGATTTTTTTTAATGTAAATACTGTATGAACCCAGACAAATGTTCTGCCAGGCCAGTGCTGCATGGCTCACCACGTGGTGGCCCTGAGAATGGGCCTCATCGACCTGCCTCTACTGGGAGTGTAATTAACCAGGGCCCCAGCTGCTGCGCTGGGGAATCCATATGCTTCCTTCCATGAGGTGCTCCTGGCTAATGACTGAGCATGGCAGGGACACTAAAGCAGACCCCTCCCCGGGAGACACAGGATTCCCCTGTCCCCGGCTTTGGCTTAGGGACTTCCCTATGGTGTTCGCACCCTAACTTTTTTCTCCTCTCTCTTTTACTCAGAGTCAGACTTGCATTACTGTCTCAGGTTCTCCCAGCTTTATGTGGCACCTTCTTTGCTTTCTCTCAAGGGCATTTCCCTTAATAAAAATCACATATGTGTAATCCTGTATGGGAGTTTGTTTCTCAGAACTGGGCTGACACACCATCTTGCAAACTCTGCTTTCGGCATTCAGCTCACACTTACTTACACCCTCCAAACTCCAACTATTTAGGGCTAATTCCATTCCAGCTCCCACCCGTTGAATCCCTTCCCCCCTCCCCCTGCTTCCTCCTCCCATTCTGCTTTCCTGGAAACAGCATTTCCACTTACTTTTGAACAATGGTCCTTCCTTCACTGTTCATTCATGGAGTTTGGATAGCACCATCTTCTAAAGCTAGGGCTGAGCACATGATCAGGACTGACTAATCACCCTCTTCTACTTCCTTAGCCACAATAATTCGTTCAGAGATGGGCACCTGACTCTTACAATGCAATGAGAGTCAGCTTCTTATGCCAGTGCTTTTGGCAAAGGTAAGTTCATTTTCCCCTGGGATTACTAAGCTGGTAGGAGGTAAGTCAGCAGCTGCTGATGGCATAAGAAAAGGGCCTGATAATGAAGCCAACATGGATGAAAAGAGAGCTGAGAAGTAGAGATCAGACAGATTTCAAAGCATATCATTTAAGCATCTGGATCCAGCCATACTTGAAGTCCAGTCTATCTGTGGGCTTTGAAGTTGCATGGAACAATAGCAAGATGTAGCTGAGAGAGTTTTGGCTAATATACCACCTCACCTCTCATTCAGTTTCATGGAATATAACAGACATTGCCAACTAAAATTTACAAACAGCATTGATATAAAAGCTCCGCCATTTAAAAAAGGAAACTTTCTATTCTTTCACTGTGTGGCCTTGGGAAATTTCTAATCCGTTCTGAACTTCAGCTTTTTTCCCTCTCAAATGTAGCAAATACAACATAACTTGCTTGCCATGGAGGGAAATCAGATGCCCTTATCTAGGAAAGTAAAGATAGAGGTATAAAACATTGTTATTTCAAAAAAAAAAAAAAAAATCCAGCACATAAGTCTAGGAGCATTGAACAAGGGTCAGATTGCATGGATTCAGATTCCAGCTCCATTACTAACTGGCTGTGTGACCTTGGACAACTCAATTGACCTCTCTGGCCCTCAGTTTCCTTATCAGTAAGACGGAAACTCCAATCATATCTATTGCACGGGATAGTTGTAGAAATTAATAGATACATAAGTGCTTAGTGCAACATGTGGCACTCAAAATATGTGTGGTATGATTGTTATTGACACAATGTTTGACCCATGAATGATTGTGATGCCAACCCCCTCACAGTTGGAAATCCACCTATAACTTTTGACTCCCCCAAAACGTAGCTACTAATAGCCTATTGTTGACCAGAAGTCTTACCAATAACACAAACAATAGACACATATGTTGTATTTTAGATGATTATACACTGTATTCTTACAATAAAATAAGCCAGAGAAAACAATATATGATTAAGAAAATCATAAGGAAGAGAAAATGTATTTGTTATTCATTAAGTGGAAGTGGATCATCATAAACGTCTTCATCCTCATTGTCTTCACATTGAGGAGACTGAGGAAGAGGAGGAAGAGGAGGAATTGGTTTTGCCGTCTCAGAGGTGGCAAAAACAGAAAAAAATCCATGTATAAGTGGACCCATGTGGTTCAAATCCATGTTGTTCAAGGGCCAACTGTATTTATATTACAATAAATGCTGTTAATGTTGTCACTGTTGACCCTTCTATTCCATTCCCAGCATCACTTCCTATGCCCAGTGGAAAATTCCATCTTAAAATCACCCAGCCCAAGCCCTCTTCAGTAGACTCAGATAGATGGCTTGTCAAGGGCATGACTTAACTTCTCCAAACACAACCAGCCCAGTTTCAACTGCCATTTGGGGAACTTTCCCAATTACCACATTTCCGCACGTCAAGTATGAATTACTTTAATTGCCCCAGAAGAACGCACTGTTGAAACATTTGACTTGCCCAGAACTAATTGTCTGTCAAAAAGATATTTTGCAGCCAAGCTGATCTCTTAATTGGACATCTAATTTAACTGAAAACCTTTTTCCCTGCTTGTTTTATGCTTTCTTCTCCTGTTTTTGCCAAATTCTGGATGCTGGGCACTGCTTTCAGAAATAATTTATCTTGTTATTTTCTATTATAAAAGTAATACATGTTCATTATAGAAAAACTGAAAAAAAAAATTCCACATGAAGAAAAACAGTGGATCCTAGACTCATTGCCCAGAGGAGGACTATGAACATTCCACATGAAGAAAAACAGTGGCTCCTAGACTCATTGCCCAGAGGAAGACTATGAACATTCCAAATGAAGAAAAACAGTGGCTCCTAGACTCATTGCCCAGAGGAAGACTATGAACATTCCAAATGAAGAAAAACAGTGGCTCCTAGACTCATTGCCCAGAGGAAGACTATTAACATTCCACATGAAGAAAAACAGTGGCTCCTAGACTCATTGCCCAGAGGAGGACTATGAATATTCCACATGAAGAAAAACAGTGGCTCCTAGACTCATTGCCCAGAGGAAGACTATGAACATTCCAAATGAAGAAAAACAGTGGCTCCTAGACTCATTGCCCAGAGGAAGACTATGAACATTCCAAATGAAGAAAAACAGTGGATTCTAGACTCATTGCCCAGAGAAAGACTATGAACATTCCAAATGAAGAAAAACAGTGGATCCTAGACTCACTGCCCAGAGGAGGACTATGAACATTCCAAATGAAGAAAAACAGTGGATCCTAGACTCATTGCCCAGAGAAAGACTATGAACATTCCAAATGAAGAAAAACAGTGGATCCTAGACTCACTGCCCAGAGGAGGACTATGAACATCTTAGCAAGTCTCCCCTCAGGTTGTCCTAGAATAGATGTCTCTACGTAGTTAATAAAAACATACATTCAAGTTTTGCAGCTTTTTGTTCCACTTTACATTTTAAGTTGAACGTTTACACTTCCCATTCCAAGATCTTCAGAAACATGTTTAGAAACAGAAGAATATCCCAACAACAGTCTGTTTAACCTCTTCCCCTAATGCTGAACTATTGTTGCTTTAAGCATACATTTTCTGTGTGTGTTTCAGATGTAGTTTCCTTAGGAAAGATTCTCTATGCTGTGCAACAATTCCCCATGTGTCTCTTACATTTCTGCACATCTTGTGTCAGCATTTGTTCTAGACCGTCTTTATAAGGATGTTTGTATAGCTAATAGCATTGGAAGATAGGGCTAATATAGTAGAAGACAGATTTATTTGCTGATTAGGATTATAATAATAATATCTCCGGACCAGGCGCAGTGGCTCATGCCTGTAATCCCACCAATTTGTGAGGCTGAGGCAGGCAGATGACCTGAGGTTGGGAGTTCGAGACCAGCCTGGCTAATATGGTGAAACCCCCGTCTCTACTACAAACACTTAAAAAATTAGCTGGGTGTGGTGGTGGGTGCCTGTAATCCCAGCTACTTGGGAGACAGGTGGGAGAATTGCTTGAACCCAAGAGGCAGGGGTTGCAATGAGCTAAGATCATACCACTGCACTCCAACATGGGTGTGACAGAGCAAGACTCTACCTCAAAAAAAACAAAAAACAAAAAAAGAAGAAGAAAAAGAAAAAGAAAGGATTATAATGACAATGTCTCCCTCCATCCAGGGTAAAGGTTGAAAAGACCAAGATTCCTAAACTTGGGGTTCCTCAGGTGTGATGCAAATCCACTGCAGGCACAGATTCTACCTGGATCCATCCGTGTATTACTCATTTCTCACACTGCTAATAAAAACATACCCAAGGCTGGATGTGGTGTCTCACACCTGTAATCCTAACACCTTGGGAGGCCGAGGTGGGCAGATTGCCTGAGCTCAGGAGTTTGAGACCAGCCTGGGCAACATGGTGAAACCTCATCTCTACTAAAATACAAAAAATTAGCCAGGCATTGTGGTGCACACCTATAATCCTAGCTACTCAGGAGGCTGAGGTGGGAGAATCGCTTGAACCCGGGAGGTGGAGGTTGCAGTGAGCCAAGAATGCGCCACTGCACTCCAGCCTGGGCGACAGAGTGAGATTCTGTCTCAAAAAAAGAAAAAAAAAAAGGCTAGGCATGGCTGTAATCTCAGCACTTTGGGATGCTGAGGTGGGCAGATCACCTGAGGTCAGGAGTTCAAGACCAGCCTGACCAACATGGAGAAATCCCATCTGTACTAAATATACAAAATTAGCTGGGTGTGGTGGTACATGCCTGTAATCCCAGCTACTCAGGAGGCTGAGGCAGGACAATTGCTTGAACTTGGGAGGCAGAGGTTGGGGTGAGCTGAGATCCTGCCATTGCACTCCAGCCTGGGCGACAAGAGTGAAACTCTGTCTCAAAAAAAACAAAAAAACAAACAAACAAAAAACATACCCTAGACTGAGTAATTTATAAAGGAAAGAGATTTAATTGACTCAGGGAGGCCTCGGGAAACTTACAATCATGGCAGAAGGGAAAGCAAACATGTCCTTCTTCACATGGCGGCAGAAAGGGGAAGAATGAGCAAAAGAAGAAAAAGCCCCGTATAAAACCATCAGATTTTGTGAGAACTCATTCACTATCATAAGAACAGCATGAAGATAACTGCCCCCATGATTAAATTACCTCCCACTGGGTCCCTTCCATGACACATGGGGATTGTGGGAACTACAATTCAAGATGAGATTTGGGTGGGGACACAGCCAAACCATGTCAACCTGTGTCACCCTTGAGGGACTTGGGGGTCAAAGGGAACTGGTGCAGACATGAAGCTCAAGCTTCCTGTTGTGCCATGAAAAATAAAGTCCTTTATCTCTCAATCCAGAGTCTCATGTCTTCTGCCCACATCCATAAAACTCGCTAGCCTCCATGTAGGATAATATCTTAGACCAGCACAGTTCTTGACACTCTAGAAGTGAATTTGTTGGATCAAAAAGCATGAACAATTGCTAAAACTCTTAATATGTCTTGTCAATTAGCTCTCCAAACAAATATGAGTCATTGCCTGAAATCTCTTTTGTCCTCAGGAAGGGATAGAGCTGCTTGACTCAGATCTCTCAGGTGGCCTTAGACTGTAATGTCTTCCTTTCGTGCAGAGCTCTTACCATCCTAAGCCACTACACCTACCTAATATTCTATAAAAAGCTTTTTCTCCCTACCCAGTGTCTCCAATGAGCTGACTTTCTTTTCTGGATTACTCTTTTATGTAATAAAAAGTAGACATGAGGGTCAAACAGAAAGGGAAAAAGGGGAATTTGTTTAATTTCTACCAAGTGCCAGGCATAGTACAAAGAACATTTAGATAAGGCAGAAGGCATTAATTATTTTTATCTACCCAGAACCCACTGCCCCACCTAAGCACCCCAGCCCCTGACCTGGCCACGTGGGTGGCTATGTGACCTGAGCTGAACCAATCAGAGTCCTTCCCTGGGATTTTTTTCACATCATAACCACATGAGAAGGTCTCCCATTATGAAACAGAGAAGCTTGTTGGCAGCCATGGTTCTAGCCAAGGATGGAAAAAACAACCAAAAAAAGAAAAGAAACAAAAAAAACCCACCATGGTAAAAAAATACATATATAAAAATAAAAAAGATATGAAAGACAGACAGACATGGGGAATGGTCTCTTTCCAGTTGCCCCTGCCACTCAACTGCTCTCCTACCTTCCTGGATTTGGTTATGAGAGTCAATAAATTATCCCCTTTTATTGCCTAAATGACTTCCATATGAGTTTCTGCTCCTTGCAACCAACATAATCTTGACAATTAATAGTAGCTAGCATTTTGTGAGTGTTTACTGTGCCATGCCCATTAATACACCTAATCCTCTCTACAATTGGACAGGTAAGGTGCTTTTAGTAACCTCCAATGTACAAAAAGGAAAACAAGTTGGGTGAAGTGAAATGACTTGCTCACAGTCGCTGGGCTAACAAGGGGGCAGAGTCAAAGTTTAAAGCCAGAGCCCATACTCTTCCCTATTGTATAACACAGACATGCTGTCTCTGTTCCCAGTGCTGGGGAATGCAGAGAACTGGGGACTGAAGGAAGAGCAGGCGTTCAGGTAAGCATTAATCAGGGGACCTTCCACAAGGGAAAAGGGAGTACTGGCCCAGTTGAAGTCCAGCCAGCACTCAGCATGGTCAAGGATGGGGTGGTGCTCTCTCCAGCCATTCAAGGTGCTGAGAAAAGAACAGAACTTTCATCTGAGGAATACAAGCCTTTTAAATTATTAGGCCCAGAGAGGCAATAGAACGAGATAGCAATCATGTCCTACATACCCCCTTTGAGCTCGGTATTCATTTCTTAAAACTGCTTGCCATTGCCACAAGTAGCTATAAATTAATCTAATAATGCCCCACTGGATGCTATAACCCACACCTCATAGCTTAACAATGTATAGCCAATCACTCGTCAATGTTATTTCTGAAAACCAGTGAGAATTCCTGGCAACCAACTGTGTACCAGCCCACTCCATGTCCCCCTTTTTTGCCTTTATAAATCCACTTGTAACTGCTGCTAATTGGAGTGTATATTCAGGGAAACTTGAATCTATGCTCCCTGGCTACAGTCCTCAAGCTTGGCCCAAACAGAGTCTTTACTTATATTAATTTTGCCTCAGCTTCTTCCTTTTAGGTTGACAGTGCTACAGGCTGAATTATGTCCCCCTAAAATTCAAATTTGAATAAATGTTCAAATATGAATTTGAGGCCAGGCACAGTGGCTCATGCCTGTAATCCCAGTACTCTGGGAGGCCGAGGTGGGCAGATCATCTTAGGTCAGCAGTTTGAGACCAGCCTGGCCAACATGGCGAAACCCCATCTCTACTAAAAATACAAAAATTAGCCAGGTGTGGTGACGCATGCCTATCATCCCAGCTACTTGGGAGGCCAGGATAGGAGAATCACTTGAACCTGGGAGGTGGAAGTGGCAGTGAGCCAAGATCGCACCACTGCACTCCAGCCTAGGCGACAGAACGAGACTGTCTCTCTCTCTCTCTCTCTCTCTCTCTCTCTCTCTCTCTCTCTCTATATATATATATATATATATATATATATATATGAATTTGAAGCCCTTCAACCATATGGATCATATCTTGAAGCCCTAACCCCCTAGCACCTCAGACTGTCACTGTATTTGGAGATAGGGGCTTGAAATAGGTGATTAAGTTTAAACCTATTTAGCTCATTTAGGGTGAGCTCTAATCCAACCAGACTCATGTTGTTATAGGAAGAGGAGATTAGGACACACAGAGAGACACCAGGGATGGACAGGCACAGAGGAAAGACCATCTGAGGACACACCAGAATCGACCATCTGCAAGCCAAGAGGAGGTCTTTGGAGGAACCAACCCTGCTGACACCCTGATCTCAGACTTCCAGCCTCCAGAATTGTGAGAAAATTAATCTCTGTCATTTAAGCCACCCAGTCTGTAGTACTTTGTTATGGCAGCTCCAGCAAACTATATCTACAGGAATCCATCACCACTTATGACAGGCTCTGCCACATAGTAGGTGTGTGTGCACACACCACACACAAACATGTTTAGAATATGAAATCCGTGAACCCTACTCCCACACTGATAACAGTTCAGGAACAGTTGATTTTCCCTCAGGGAATCTGGTTTGTTTTCCTAGTTTCCATCCCATCAAGACCCCTTCCCACCTGCTGGGAAATACTTGCCTGAACCCCTCGTTCCTTTCACAACACACACCTGATGGTAGGAAGAAGCTTCCAACTCTGATATTGACAGGGTGCTTGTAACCTAGCACCCTTTCTCCTACCTTGTTATGGAAAAATAAATCCTTTATCCTATTTCAACTACAGTCTTGGCAAAGGAAAAAACAAAACAAAAAAGGAAACCAGCCTAGAAATGGAAACCAAAGATCATGAACAGTGCTATGCTGAGTTACAGCTAAGGGTTGGCCTTTCTGGAGCTGGCTGCCTTCAGATGGCAGGGCTCTGAGTGTGTGTGTGTGTGTGTGTGTGTGTGTGTGTGCCAGAAGCACAAGATGACACACCCTGTGGTGGGGTCAGGCAAGCTGATTGTGGGAAAGGTGGGAACAGAATATTTTACAACAATGTTGGAAAAATGGGTTTACATTCTCTGAGAGGAAGATACCCAAAGCTTCAAGCTCACCTCAAGGGAAAATTGAGCTAGGTTTCCATGCTCTCCACTTGGATCTCACGCACATGAACACACATACAACCTTCTCCTCAATATTCACAAGAGGCCTCTGTTGTCTGCTTCTCCAGAGAGCGGAGGTGAATTTACCTGAAGCTAATGAGGCTTGGGCTTCAGGGTCTTTTCCTTGTACCTGTCTCTTTAAATGCTGGACTTGGGGAAGGCTTTAGGTGAGAAGGGAAAGCTGGGTTTCAATAATGAAGCACCTCTATGTTCACATTTCTGATTAATTGCCTACACAGATCCCAGAAGAATGGAATGGAAATAGCTAAAGGCTCCAGAATTTTCTCTTTTTATTTTTTTGAGACAACATCTCACTCTGTTACCCCCAGGCTGGAGGCTGGAGTGTGGTGGCAAGATCATCGCTCACTGCAGCCTCTAACTCCCTGGCTCAAGCGATCCTCCCACCTCGGCCTCCTGAGTAGCTGGGACTACAGGCACACACCACCACACCTGGCTAATTTTTTGAATTTTTTTTTTTTGTAGAGATGGGGGTCTTGCCATGTTGCTTAGGCTGGTCTTGAACTCCTGGGCTCAAGAAATCCTCCTACCTTGGCGTCTCAAAAAGCTGGGATTACAGGCATGAGCTACCATGTCCAGGCAGCTACAGGAATATTATACTTAATTTCTCATTCCAAAATAACATTCTCTTTTGTGCCTAATTTTAAATTCATAATTTTGTATTCTTTTTCTTAAACAGAGATCCCCATATTATAAAAGCTTCAGTCCCCACAAAAACTGGATCTGGTTCTGCCAAAATGATATATCCTTTATGATATTTATAGAGACGTTCTGATTATTTCTGAACATCTCAGACTTTCTGGAACCAAGACAGGTTCGATTATGAACATCTGTTGTCTAATTTTAAAGACCAAGGGGGAAGCCGGGTCCTTATGAGGGCCATAAAGGCTCCAAGCTAGATGGATATTGGGGGAGTGGGTTAGCAGAGATGTCCTAAAACAATGAATTACACTAATGGGAAGAACAAAAGGTAAGTCTAATCACAGATGTCTTGGTTTTCAAGCTAGTCAGACTTCAGATAACTGTCAAATCTTCAGCCATAAATCGAAAGTGGAGGAGAATTAAAGATCCATCCTTGTTTGCTTACAGAATTTACTTAATTTAGCCACTCTATCCTTAATTGATAGCAACAGGTTTTTTCAAAATAGTCAAAGTAATCTATGCTTTGCTACATAATAGCAAAAGTAATAGCCAACATTCATCAACACCTACTATGTTATACCCTTGACAGGGTTTCCTATTTTAGTAGTCAAAGCAATTTCATGGAGTAGCAATTACAGTTGTAATTTCACTAGTGAGAATGCAGAGTGAGGCTCAGAGAGGTTAAGGAACTTACCCAAGGTCACACAGCTAGTGAGTGGAGAGTTGGAATTTCATCTCTCTGATTTTAAAGTCTGGGCCCTTTCCTCTACTGTCTCTCTCTGAACTCAATGACACATCCTAAGTAAGTAAGGGCTTCTACACAGGATGTGTTAGACTATGCTGCAGTAACAAACAACCCCTGGATCTCAGGAACTTAAAACAAAATTTCAGGCTGGGTGTGGTGTCTCACACCTGTAATCCCAGCACATTGGGAGGCCAAGGCCAGTGGATCACTTGAGGTCAGGAGTTCGACACCAGCCTGGTCAACATGGAGAAACCCCATCTCTACTAAAAATACAAAAATTAGCCAAGCATGGTGGTGGGTACCTGTAATCCCAGCTACTTGGGAGGCTGAGGCATGAGAATCACTTGAACCTGGGAGGCAGAGGTTGCAGTGAGCCGAGATCACACCATTGCACTCCAGCCTGGGCGACAGAGCGAGACTCTGTCTCAAAAAAAAAAAAAAAAAAAAATTCTAGAAATAACTCCAACCTTATTTTCTTGAACACGACTCATCCTGACCCTCCAGCACTCCATTGATCTGGGCTAAATATATGGAATCCTGCAGATGAAGACACCAGCACCCAAAGCTAATGGGACACAGAAAACAGAGGCCACTCAAATAAATGTCAGCACTCCTAGTTACTGAATACTCTGTGTCTGGCAAGTTTCATCATTAGTCAGTTATTCATTCACTCAATCAACAACTACTTACTGAGTTAATATGGCAGCATGGTTATGAGCACAGACTCTGGAGCAAGAGGTCCTAGGTTCAAATCCCAGTTACCCTGCTTATCAGCTAAATGACTTCTCAGTGCCTTGGTTTCTCCATCCAGAAAAATGGGGATTATAATTAATAATTGCCTACCTCATTGGGTTAAGTGGATAAACTAAGAACAGTGGCATGCCCATATGACATGCTCTATAATTTTTATTATCACTGTGTGCCAGGCATTATTCTATATGATGGAGGATGCAGCTATGAATAGGGCAGACAAGGTGCCTGTCTTTACAGAGCTTCTATTCTAGTGAAGGAGAGAGGCTTTATTAGCGAGTAATCCTTGATCGAGCCATACCTGAAGCTAATGCCACATCCTTCAACCTTCCAATTTCCCCAGGCATTAAGTTCTTTTTTCTTTTCTGCCTAGGCTAGCTTGCACTGAGTTTCTCTCCCTTGTGAACCAAAGTGTCCTGACCAGTACAGAGGTCTAAAGCCTAAGCTCTTTCCAGTCTGCCCCTTGCCCCTTTCCAGCTGAAGCCCTATTCATTTGCACCCAACATCATCATTGCGTCCAGTGCCTCACCACTTGGTGAGACCCTTGAATATTCAAACCAGCGTGTAAGCAGAGAGTTAGGAACTATAAACAGTAAATTATAACAAGCATGAAATGGAAGCCTGCTGCTGATCATTCGCAAGAGAGCAATCAAATCTGTCTTGGTGCCTACATGTTTTATGGAAAACATGTCTATGTTTTAAAAGTGTTTTTGAAATAAAAAATAATTTACTAACTAAATTAGATTTCCACATGTTTTATCTAGTTAACCCATCCCTTATCATAAGAAACGTAACTTCTTTTTTTTTTTTTTTTTTTGCGATGGAGTCTCACTCTATCACCCAGGCTGGAGTACAGTGGTGTGATCCCGGCTCACTGCAACCTCTGCCTCCTGAATTCAAGTGATGCTCCTGCCTCAGCCTCTCAAGTAGCTGTGATTACAGGTGTGCGTCACCATGCCCAGCTAATTTTTATAATTGTAGTAGAGATGGGGTTTCACCATGTTGACCAGGCTGGTCTTGAACTCCTGACCTCAAGTGATCCTCCTGCCCTGGCCTCCCAATCATGGTGGGATTATAGGCTTGAGCCCCTGTGCCTGGCCTAGAAAGCTAACTTCTTAATTGCAAGCTACTTTCATCAATATAATGCATTTGTCTCACTCCTTAAAGGACTCCTGTCACAGTGGATTGGCAAAGAACAGGTCAGACACAAGAGGCAGTGGAGTATTAGTAAAATACACGTGGATTTGGAGTCAGACCTTCCTAGGTTTAAATGCTGGTTTTATCGCATACTAGTTGTATGCCTTCATTGGGGTTTCCCAAGAATCAGACCCTGAGACAAGACTCCAAGAGTAAGTCATCTATGTGGGAGGTAAATGAAACATGACACAGGAAATGAAATAGGTCAGGGAGGCAGCCAGTAAAGGGCATATTATAAAACAAGTTACTACTTGGGACAATAACTGGAAAACTTGCTGGAAAACTTGCTGGAAAACTCTAGGATACAGTGTAGAACATCTCTAGCAATGTGCTGGTAGATGTTTAACAACCAACACTGCAGAAAAATATTAAAAGCCCAGATTTGTAGTGTCTGCCCATATCCATGGTGTAAATCCTCCCACCATGGCTGATTTCACACTACCTTGTCCCTGAACAAGGACTTGGGGAAAGATGCACATACCAGCTCTTGCTTCATAGTTATCTGACCTAAGGGGTGAGGGAGATGGGGTACTTATCCACATACACCAACTCTCATCAGTTCCTGGTGGAGGGATGCTCCCAGGGCAGGTGTTGATTCCTCCAAGACTTCCAAGCCATCATACGGGTGGGCAAAGACAGTACAACCAGAAAAAGACCTCAGAAAGAGGGCCAGGCATGGTGGCTCACGCCTGTAATCCCAGCACTTTGGGAGGCCGAGGTGGGCGGATCAGGAGGTCAGGAGATCGAGACCATCCTGGCTAACACGGTGAAACCCCGTCTCTACTAAAAATACAAAAAATTAGCCGGGCGTAGTGGCGGGCGCCTGTAGTCCCAGCTACTCGGGAGGCTGAGGCAGGAGAATGGCGTGAACCCGGGAGGCGGAGCTTGCAGTGAGCCGAGATCGCGCCACTGCACTCCAGCCTGGGCGACAGAGCGAGACTCCGTCTCAAAAAAAAAAAAAAAAAAAATAGCTGGGCATGGTGGTGCATGCCTGTAATTCCAGCTACTCAGGAGGCTGAGGCAGGAGAATTGCTTGAACCTGGGAGGTGGGAGCTGAGATCAAGCCACTGCACTTCAGCCTGGGCGACAGAGTGAGACTCCATCTCAAAAAAAAAAAAGAAAAGAAAAAGAAAAAGTCCTCAGAAAGAGAATGCAACTACATTTGGATGGGTCAGTGGATGCTTAAGAGGTAAAGGGTTAGAAGATACAAGGGAAGCACTGAAAGCATCTGTTACTCTGTGCAATTGTGAAAACGTTATTTCATTTCTCTAGGCTTCCAATATTGCATTGGTAAGATATGATTCATTGAATCTTCCAACAAATATTCATGGAGCACTTAGTATATACCCAGCAATCTTCAGGCCATAGGAAACAGAATGTTGAGTTACCATGACAAAGTCACTGTCACAGAGCCAGTGGGGAAAGCAGCCTCTAAACATGCCACCCAGTAAGTAACAAAGATCATTTCGGGAATGGTGAGGACTATGATGTTAGAGAGGGTGATGGGAGGGAGAATAATGTAGCGGAGAGGACATGAACGGGAAAATCTTTCTGAAAGGGTAACGTGTAAGGTGAGGCTCAACAGATGAGAGGAAATGTGTTGTAAAAAGATCTGGGAGCAGCATTCCAGGTGGAGGAAACTGCATGTGCAAAGGCCCAGAGGTGGGAAGGAGCTTGGCTTGTTCATGGAAAAGAATGGAAGCCAGTGTGTCTAGATCAAAATGAATCAGGCAGAAGGTAAGCAGGTAACCAGGAAACAGAGTGGAGGGGCAGGCAGGAATCAGTGTCTGCAGTGCGTGCTCAGCATCATAAAGGGTTTGGGTAGTAACACAACCCTGAAGAGTTGTTAAATGAGCTCCCATGCATGTAACTGGCATTACTCATGTTATTAACCTGGGAAACTGTCACGTCTCTTACTTTTCCATTTAATCTCATGCCCATCCTCTTTGCTCACAGGAGCCAAGAAGTCCAGTATCTCACTCCACATCTGCCTTCTCGTGGTCCAACACTCTGCCGACTCAGTTAATCCAAAGATCACTTCCAAACTTCAGGCTGATGGAAACCTGAGGAGTCGGATCCATTCATAGGCAGCCCCATTTTCACCTTCCCTTGTCCCCGAGGCTGCCATTAGGTTGAAAACCAGTCTGGTACTGTCAGCGTGTCTTTGTCTACAGCTATGAAAAAGTCCACATAGTCCAGTCTCTACATAGGGCACAATGATTCTCCTCTACATCTCAGCTACCAGGTACCAGCTTGTCGAACACACATGCAAACATTCAAACCCTTCTCAGGTTCCCCTCTAGGGCCTTCAGGGACTTATCCGGCATACCTGAGGTTGGGGCCATTGCAATCTATTCTTAGTCTAGTGTTAAGCCGGGTCAACAGCGGAGATGCTCCTTCTCCTTGAACTAATTTTATTTCCAGAGTTTCATTTTCCTTCCCTGCAACATTAGGCATCATTTGGGGATATTTTTATCCATCCATATGGATTTCAAAATCTCATAAAGAAGGAGCTGGGAGAAGAATGAGGAATCACTGATTTTAATGACTGTATTTGTTGATCTCTTACTCCATTCCTGGACCCATGTTGAATAACATAAATATATATGCATGTACACATGCTATACATGGTATCTGGATGCTATATGTGTTATATATAACATACATGTTATAATATATGTTAGATATGTATGTCATACATATCATAATATATAATTATACATTGTATATTATATATTATACTATTACATATAATATATAATTATACATTGTATAATTATACTATTACATAGTATAATATATACTTATGTTTATATAATAAAATATAATGTATATGAAATATACATAATACATATATGATATATTATATAATTATATCATATAATATATAATTATGTATATTTCATATACCATATATTTTATCATACATAAATATATAAGTTATATATAATATATAATGTCATATATTATATAAATTATAATTATTATATATTATATAAAACATATATTATATATAATACATGGTTTATATGTTATATAACATATATAACAAATTATATATTATATAACGTGTTATATAATATAACATATTATATATTATATAACGTGTTATATAACAAGTTATGTAATATACAATATGTTATTAAAAAGATATTACAGAATATATTAAATAATGTATGTTTTATATATTATATTATATATGTTTTTTATATATTATATAATATATATGTTTTATATATATTATTTTTGTTTTTTTTGTTTTTTGGGGGTTTTCTTGAGACAGAGTCTTGCTCTATTGTCCAGGCTGCAGTGCAGTGGTATGATCTTGGCTCACAGCAACCTCCGTCTCCCGGGTTCAAGCAATTCTCCTGTCTCAGCCTCCCAAGTAGCTGGGACTACAGGTGCCCACAACCAGGCCTGGCTCATTTTTGTATTTTCTTTAGAGGCAAGGTTTCACCATGTTGGCCGGACTGGTTCTCAACTCCTGACCCCAAGTGCCCCGCCCACCCCATCCTCCTAAAATGCCGGAATTACAGGCATGAGCCACTGCATCCAGCCTATATATGTTCTTTCATCATCACCACATCATCTAATTTTACAGATGAGAACACTGAGGCTTGGGGAGATATTAAATGTCTTATCCAGATTGCATGCATGTAAGTGACATAAGCACGATTTGAAACTAAGCAATCCAACACGAGAGTCCTAGGTCTAGAGCCTCTCTGACCTGCTTTCTACCTAGAAATTATCTGAGTTCTTTATGCAAATTGATGCACTTTTTCATCCCTTTGGTCTCTTGAAGTGGCAGCTTTTGCTGCACCCAGTTCTCACAACAACTTGCAAAGAGGATCAACACACACGACTGATCACGAGATAAAGGAAGTCTGAAGCAGTCCCCACCAAACATGCAAATTCAATGAATGAAGATCCATTTCTTGCAGCTTTCTGCTTTGTATAATAACATTTGGCTGTGATGATCTATTATGACACTAATCCTTGCACAGCCCAGAGAAGATGGGCAATAGTTTTCTGGATGTCAGTGGGACTCTGGCACAAGGGCCAGCCAATTTTGGTGAGCGCAACAGGAAATTCTTTGCAATGTCCTTGTGAATCTGAGGTTACAAAGACTGGCTCAATCTGTCACAGGAAGCATGCTGGAATGCCTTTGTCCTTCTTTCTAGTTTTTCTTTCTTTCTTTCTAATAATTCTCAGTGTGGGAGAATATTATTCTTTCTAATAATTCTCGGTGTGGGCTTACATCCTTTGCTTTGGGAAAGGTTTCTATCATTAGACCTCTCTTTTCCCCCAACCAGCCAGCTGTGAAGCGGTTCACTGCGGACCCAACCTCTGGCATGACTGTGGATCAGCAGCACCAATGCCATGAAGACTGCAGACACACTGGAGAACCAAGGCTAATTCCCTTAGCCATTGAGCCTCCGCTTTCCATCCATGAAATGACTCTCAAAATGCCAGCTTGGGCTATTGCTTGCTTCAGAGCACCTAAGAGCATCTGAACAAAAGGAATATCTTTTTCACAGATGTAAATGAGGAAAGCGAGGATTATACAGTAGAAGAAGTGCTCTATAAGGCTGCTGAAGATCACAATTTTTTTTTTTTTTGAGACAGTCTTGCTCTGTGTCCCAGGCTGGAGTGCAGTGGCGCGATCTCGGCTTACTGCAACCTCCGCCTCCCAGGTTCAAACGATTCTCCTACCTCAGCCTCCCAAGAAGCTGGGATAACAGGTGTGTGCCACCACACCTGGCTAATTTTTGTATTTTTTAGTAGAAACAGAATTTCATCATGTTGGCCAGACTTGAGGTCAGGTCTTGAACTCCTGACATCAAGTGATCCACCCGCCTTGGCCTCCCAAAGTGCTGGGATTATAGGTGTGAGCCACCGTGCCCGGCCCGAAGATCACAATTCTTATCTAACTCTGCTATTCATTGGCTGGGCCACCTTGGGCATGTCCATTAGCTTTCTGGTTCTTAGGACCCTCATGTCTAATAACAAGGTCTTTCCTACCTGCCCCACAGGGCTGTTGTGAGGACCAAATGAGATCAAGAATGCAAAAGCTCTCTGTCAACTGTGAAACACTACCAGGAGTAAAGATTCACAAGGCATGAGTTGCCACAAGGCAGTATAGCATGGTGGTTAGGAGGTTAAGCTCTTAAACCAGATTACTTGGATTCCAGTATAACCCCAGGATACTTAACTTTGTTTTGTGGTGTTGTTGTTTTGTTGGTGTTGTTGCTTGGTATTTTGTCTAATTTTCAGAAACAGGGTCTTGCTCTGTTGCCCAGGCTGGAGTGCAGTGGGCATGATCATAGTTCACTGCAGCCTTGAACTCCTGGGCTTAAGCTATCCTCCTGCCTCAGCCTGTGGAGTAGCTGGGACTACAGGTGTGCACCACCGCACCTGGCTAATTTATTTAATTTTTGTGGAGACAGGGTCTTGCTTTCTTGCCTCAGCTTGTCTCGAACTCCTGACCTCAAGCAATCCTCCCATCTTGGCCTCCAAAAGAGCTGGGATTATAGGTGTGAGTCACTGCGCCCAGCCAATTTAAATTCTTTAAGTCTCAGTTTTTCCATTTGTAAAATGGGCATAGTAATAGTACATTTGTCACAGAGTTGGTTTGTGATAGGATAAGGTGATGCATGTTCACTAGAAATGAAGAGAGAAGGGTTATGATTCATTGAAAAGAAAGAAAAACCTAGGCTGGGTGTAGTGGCTCACACCTGTAATCCCAGCACTTTGGGAGGCTGAGGCAGGAGGATGAATTGAGGACAGAAGTTCTAGACCAGACTAGGCAACATAGTGAGACCCTGTTTCTACTAAATAAATAAATAAATAAGCCAGGCATGGTGGCATGAACCCTGCAGTCCAAGCTACTCAGAAGGCTAAGGCAGGAGGATCACCTGAGCTCAGGAACTTGAGGCTGCAGTGAGTTATAATTGTGCCACTACACTCCAGTATGGGTGACAGACTGAGATCTTGTCTCTATAAAGAAAAAAAGAAGAAGAGGAGGTAGAAGAAGAAAGTCTGAACTACTCCCTGCAGGAAGAGTAGACAAGGTAAAGAGCCCTAGAAAAGATTCGTCCCCGTGCTTTCCTCTAGAATGAGGACTCCAGTAATTTATACCAGTGCTGGAGCACAGGCTTGACAATGGCTGGAGCTCAGCCTCCACAGTATCTGCTGTGATTAGTGCTCAAAAGCATAAAGCATAACTGGAACTAAGAAGAAACAAGATGCTCAAGGTCTCCCCTTCAGCCTTCCTTCCAAGTAACAGAATCATGATTTGATGATTTGACCCCTTCTTCTACCACCTCAATATTGAAATCTGTTTCCAATTCCCATTACCTTAGAGAACACCATCAGATGTCCATTGTATATCTCAGATTCATTTCTGTCCAAAAACGAATTTAACTTGCCTTCCAAATAATTTTACTCCTAATTTTTAGCTCACTTTCTCCATGAATATCATCGCCATTCACCCAGTTACCCAAACCAAGAGCCCGAACAACATCTTTGAGTCCTTCTCCATCACACCCTACATTCAACCAATTGCCACCTTCTCTTTTATATACCTCCTTAAGTCACGGCCTTAATTTGGGAATGATCGTTTCTCATTTGGACTTGACTTCATGGTCAAATATGGCATCCAGAGATCTAGCCATTGCATCCTAATTCAAGACCAACAACAGGAAAAATGGGCAAAGAAATATATGGTCCTCATTCTGAGAAAATGTCCATATTACTCTTCTCTTTGCATTCCTTGGCCAAAGCTAATTCACATGGCTTGGGTAGCTTCATGAGAGACTGGGAAATTAGAGGGTTTTGGTTTTGTTGTTGTTGTTTAAAGCAGAGTCTATGTCACCCTAATTAAAATCAGTGTTTCATCTTTTATTCTTCCTCAAATATTCTGTGTTAAAGTCACTAAAGGGCACCAACCAAAGTAAGCATCAATGAGAGGGGATAGGACAGAGATCTGGCATGGGGTGTTGAAGCCTAGAATTGGTGCACGACCTAGTTCTAGTCACGAAAAAGCATCAGACAATCCCCAATTGAGAGCTCTTATACAACATAAATGGCCTGTATCTTCAAAAGTATCAAGGTCGAGAAAGTAACAAAGAGACTGATGAATCTGCCGGAATAAGACGTGACAATTAAATGCTATGATAATCTTGCCCTGCAAGATTATAAAGGACATTATTGGGATGGTCAGTGAAACCTGAATGGGGCCTTTGGATTAGATGGTGGTAATGTATCAATGTTATAATAATTTCCTGACTTTAATGGTCGTATTATGGGCATATAGGAGAAGGTCCTTATTGCAAGAAACACACAGTAAAGTATTGGGAAATGATTCGAGGAGAGGGAAAACTTAATTGTACTGTTCTTCCAACTATTGTCTCAGTTTGAAATTTTTCCCCCGAAAATAAGGTGTTATTTCAGAGAAGAAAAGGGAATGTAGATGTTTCAATATGTAAATAGTAGACTCCACCACAGATGGTATTTAAATAATGTATCAGAAGAGGTCATCCCAAGGGAGTAATATTTAAATCCAGAGCCAAAGAGAGAAAGCCATCCACGTGAAGAGCAAGGAGACAAAGTTTTCAGGCAGAAGGAACATGTGAGAAGTAGCTGAACTTGTTTTCAGAGTTATAACCCTAGCAATATGGTGGAAAATAACAAATAACTAGCAATGTGGTTGAAATAAACAAACTGCTATTCCTTCAGAAACATGAGTAAGCACCACTGTGTGCAGGAACTTGCAGCAGTCAGCTAGATGCTGTAAGACAAACAACCCCAAATCCCAGAAAGAGCTTATTTCTCTGCCATGCCCATATAGCTTGGCTGGAGCAGCTCTGCTGGAGGTTGCAGGTCTGAAGACATGCTGGGGCGGCTCTGCTCTAGATGCATCTCATTTTTCTAGGACCAGTGACCAACTAAGTCATGTTTTTCTCATAGAGAAGGCAAAAGCACAAGAAGGCAAACTCATCACACGAGAGCATTTCAAGCCTTTCATAAGGGTTATGTCCTCTCACATCCCATTAGCCAAAGAAAGTTAAGCTCAACTCAACAGTTGAAGGGTAGGGAAGTACACTATGCCATCTCTCAGGGAAAAGGAAGTCACATAGCCTAGCTGAACATCAATGATGTAATAGGAGAGGGAACAAATATTTACTAAACAATAGTCTCATCTACCGTAAAGCTCAAATACTTCACAAAAGAGCCACCCTTAGAAATAGCTTTTATCTCATCTATTTTATGGGTGAGTGGGGAAGAAGGATGACAAAGCCCCTTTAAGAATTTTATATACCCTAGACACATTCACTTTTGGAGGTCTCACCAGAAAGCATTTGAAACATGCTACAAATTTGCCTGTATCCTACATTAAATGGATTTTTGGCTCTAAACATTTTTTGAGAAAATTTTAAAATTCTGCTCCTGAAATTATCTGGCAATAGGTGATTTATTTAAATTTAGATTGGATGTGATTTCTTGGTAATTGTGCATATTCAGGAGGTCTAGAAAGTGGGAAATTCTAACTATCCACATTTTTCAGATGTAATGAAATCCCTAGGAATGTTAAATTTAACAATTAGTGATATTGACAAAGCAGCACAATTTGTAGGTAATTTTTTTTTTTTTTTTTTAGAAGGAGTTTCACTCTTGTTGCCCAGGCTGGAGTGCAATGGCATGATCTCGGCTCACTGCCACCTCCACCTCCCAGGTTCAAGCAATTCTCCTGTCTCAGCCTCCTGAGTAGCTGGGATTACAGGTTTACAGGCATGCACCACCATACCAAGCTCATTTTCATATTTTTAGTAGAGACAGGGTTTCACCATGTTGGTCAGCCTGGTCTCGAACTCCTGACCTCAGGTGATCTGCCTGCCTCAGCCTCCCAAAGTGCTGGGATTACAGTCGTGAGCCACCATGCCCAGCGTAGGTAATTTTTAAGATATTCATTAATTTCAATTTTGTCATTTTCTCTTTTGCATTTTTAAGCCAATGTGTGTGTGTGTATGTGTGTTTGTGTGGTGTGTTTGTTTGTTTGTTTGTTTGTTTGTTTTTGGTCTCAAACATTTCTGTAGATCTTGAAAAACGTATAGGTCCCGGGAAGACCCTATGCCTAACGGATTAAAAATGCACATGTTGCCTGGAATCAAAGCTAATTATTATTGGTTGGGAAATGGATACCCTCCCACTCCAGACTCCTCAGCACAGGAAAATAAGAGCAGCTAACTCCAACAGAACCCAATTCATTTAGGAGGCTCTCTGCCTCTGCATAAGGGTGAATGGTTTGGGATTGCTGCTCAGCAGAGCCCTTCATCTCATTCACGAAGCCATTCACACTGTATCCAGTCCATTTGTAAGGCAAATAAAAATGTCGTCTTCCAATCTTGGCTCATTTCATCTTATAAGAAAAGTCTCCCGTCCGATGCCTAGCCAACATTTCCCTGTTGTGATTAAAGAAACAGCAGGTAATAAAAGCTGGACTAGCGGTTGGTCCTCTAAGGACCAAAATATGGTTGAAGAAGCAATAACTTACCCCAGTGCCCCCAAGGCAAGTTGTCTCAATAATGTAACAAAGCTATACTTAATGGCAACAGAGCACGTTTCACTGATACTACACCGTAAACTGCCCGCTTTCAATTAGTTGCATATGTATTAAAGGGAGTCAACACATATTTACAGCAATCATTTCTATGTATACAAGATGCCACAAAAATGTAGCTTTCTGCTCCTTCTGGTCATCTGGCCACATAGGAATAATCACCAACCATAGATGCAATTCTGGAAAAGTCATTAATGCTCATCTCTATGGTTGCAAGAGATTATTGGGCTTCTATTTCATGCCAAGGCACTTTACATATGTAAATAATGGTGCATGCTTTGAATGAAGTCATGTTTTTGTGACCTACAATCCCCACTGGCTGCTGCAGCACCTGGCACATATTAGCCACTCAAGAAATTCTCGTTGAGTGAATAAATGAAACATTCAATGGCTCTGAGAGCCTACCTTTCAGATTATCAGCACCATGACCCTGCTTTTGAGACCCCTACTCTCTCTCCCTTCCCTATTATCTCTTGGTGAATATTGGGGAATGGCTCACCTGAACTGCCCCACGATTTCATGCCTCTGTTTTCGCCATTACCTGTCACCTTACCTGGCCACAGTCATTCCTTCCAAAGCCACTATTCACATCTCTATCAGATGCTCTGCAGTTCTGGGGCTCCTGCCTCTTGGGACAAGGCTAGTACTGTCATACCAGGTGTGATGGTTAATATTGAGTGTCAACTTGATTGGATCGAAGGGGGCAAAGTATTGATCCTGGGTGCGTCTGTGAGGATGTTGCTAAAGGAGATTTACACTTGAGTCAGTGGACTGGGAGAGGCAGACCCACCCTCAATCTGGGTGGGTACCATCTAATCAGCTGCCAGCATGGCTAGAATAAAGCAGGCAGAAGTTGGAAAGAACAGACTTACTGAGTCTTCTGGCCTTCATCTTTCTCCTGTGCTGTATGCTTCCTGCCCTGGAATATTGGACTCCAAGTTCTTCAGCTTTTGGACTCTTGGACTTACACCAGTGGTTTGCCAGGGGCTCTCAAGCCTTTGGCCACAGAATGAACGCTGCACTGCTGGCTTCCCTACTTTTGAGGTTTTGGGACTCAGACTGGTTTCCTTGCTCCTCAGCTTGCAGATGGCCTATTGTGGGACTTCACCTTGTGACCGTGTGAGTCAGTACCCCTGAATAAACTCCCCTTTGTATATACATCTATCCTATTAGTTCTGTCCCTCCACAGAACCCTGTGTAATACACCAGGCCAGCAGAAGGGAGACATTTGCTTTCCTGGACATTTTCTGTTCATTTTACATTTGCTCAATGAAAAAAATCAGGTTGCAATACATATATAAATAGAAAACACAGAAAGACATAAATATTTTTTAAAAAGAATCAGAAACATATGCCCCAAAATGCTAATATGATTACATCCGGGTGGTTAATATTTATTTTCTGTTTCTATTCTCTTTTTGTTTCCCCAAATTTGCTTGTTGACAGAACATGTGCATTGCTTTTGGCCAATAAATGTTTGGCTTATTTAAAGAGTTATCTTGATGATAGCCAGGTGTGGTGGCTCACACTTGTAATCCCAGAACTTTGGGATGCCAAGGTGAGCAGATCACCTGAGGTCAGGAGTTCGAGACCAGCCTGGCCAACATGGTGAAACCCCATCTCTATTAAAAATACAAAAATCAGTCTATCTTAAAAAAAAAATTAGCTAGGTGTGGTGGCACGTGCCTGTAATCCCAGCTACTCAGGAGGCTGAGAGATGAGAATTGCTTGAACCTGAGTGGCGGAGGTTGCAGTGAGCCAAGATCATGCCACTGCACTCCAGCCTGAGCAACAGAGCGAGACTCTGTCTCGATTAAACACACAAACACACACACACACACACAGTTATCTTGATGGCAGTTCAGGAACTTGGGAGATGAGGGCTGTTCTCCTAAAACCCTATAAGAACCCTCAGGTGGGTTATGCCACCCATTCACTAATATCCCATTTACGGGTGAAGGGAAAGGTGGAGGAGACCAACCAACCCACCAGCAGTGGCCTCAGTCTCAAATAAAACTTAGTCCCTGAGTTAGAAGCCAACTTAACCATGGAGAGGAAAGAGTTCATCAGATGGGACTAAACCTGCTCACTTCCTTCCAAGAACCACCCCAAGGGTTCATTTCCCAGGCACCAGGAGCCACCCAGCTCCAACATGCTGTTTTCTGTCTTCTGGTGACTTATCACTTGTTGTTTCTTCAAGAATAAGCCTTCGTTGTTCCAAGTAAACATCTCAAATGCACACATTCTTAAAGTAGTAAGTCATGTATCCACCTGTGCATCCAACAAATTATTATGTAGTGAACACCCATGAGGGACGTGCTGCTGTGTTCAATGCTGGGGACACCACAGGGGGCCACCCACGGACTTGGTTCCTGCCATCATGGAGCTCTCGGTCCAGTGGAGGAATTAGACATGAACCAAATAAAACACAGTCATGAATGTAAAACCAGAAACTAGAGTAAGTGCTCTTGAAACTGCCTTAGCAAAATTATGACTGAGACAGTGAAAGAGATTTAACTTGATCAATTCCATCTTGCTTCTAACCTCCAAGCTGTCCTTATTCATTCTTGGGTGTAGGCTGACCTAACTTTGGGAGAAACTGAGTTCATGGTTCATAGTTTGTAGTTTAAAGCAAAGATGATAACAGCCCTTTCCCAAAGCAGACCTCCTTCTTGCCTGGGGACTAGATTGCCTTTGTTAGGACTAAAATGAGCCACAAGATTAGAAACTATGGTTTAGGAGTCAGGCGGCTGGAGGTTACAAGATTCTGACCCTCCCTAAACTGTTCCTAAGATCAGTGCTTGAGATAATTTGCAGACCCTGCACGTGACGGGTCAGGTGGCACCACCCAGATCGATCAACTGGCTCATCTGATCTTGTGGCCCCAACCCAGGAACTGACTCAGCGCAAGAGGACAGCTTCGACTCCCTATGATTTCTTCCCTGACCAATCTGCACTCCTGGCTCACTGGCTTCAACTAACCACCCCTACCAAGCTGTTCTTAAAAACTCTGCTCCCCAAATGCTTGTGGAGACTGATTTGAGTGATAATCAAACTCCAGTCTCCCACAATGCCCCTCTGCATGAATTACTCTCTCTGTATTCCAATCCCCCTGTCTTGATAAATCAGCTCTGTCTAGGCAGCGGGCAAGGTGGACCCAATGGGCGGTCACACTCTGTCGAGAAGGAACACAGGGAGTTGCGGAAGGCTTCCAGAGGAAGTGCCTGGGCTTTGAAGAATGAGCAGGCATTAAGTGGGCAAAAGAGCATGTGCAAGGGTACTGTGCAATGTGTCACCACCCAGGGAGAGAGGAGAAGTGGACTATGAGGCTGGGGACATAAACACGGTCCTGGCCATGGAGGGCCTTGTAAACCCCATGAAGGATGTTTGCTCTTTATCCTAATATCAACATGAAGTGATTAGAAGGTAGCAAGCCCTTGATTAACCAACAATTCTAGATCCTTCTCCAAACTTCTCTTTTAGGGAAAGGAAACCTAGAAGTCAAAACATAAGGTGGTGGGATTTCAGTTGAAAAGGTGTCCAGGGTCGGCCTCGGGTCAGTCTATCTTTGGGTCTATCACAAACACTATATTAATTGCCCCTATTAATCTTTCATTATGTGCCAGGCATTGTGATGATGTATACTTTATATCCATTGGCACATGTAAGCCTCACCACAAGATTTAGGGCCTATCATTATGCCCATTTCACAGATGAGGAAACTGAGGTTCAGGGGGGCTTGTAACATGTCCCAAATGGTGTAGCTAGTAAGTGGCAATGCCGAGGCTCAAATCCCTCCAAAGATTCTCTCTCCAAAGGTCATTTTCCTTTCCCTAAGCCATGCTGGTGCATCTGGGGTCCTGGAAACTAGGAGATGATTTTCAGAATTATAAGACTTAGGTCGTGCAAGCTTCTTAATCATCAAAGAAAGTCTGGAAAGAGAAGAAGATGTTTGCAGGAAGCTGCCACAGAAGAGAACATTTTAGACAGAGGAACAGCATGAAGAACCGAACACACGTGGCATCCCCTAGGGGCCATGAATATAGCAGGGAGGCAACCACAGAGTTGGGAAGATCCAGAGAGAGGCGGGACAGATACAGTGGGTCCTGAAAGTATGTTAAATAAAGTCACAGTGACACGGCAATCAGGAGTGGCAAGGGAGCCACAGACACACATGATTAGACACAAAAATCATGTTTTCAAGGCACAGCCCACTTAGAGATCACAGCAAGATGCTTTATCCAACCTCCGCCGGCAATCAGAGCTTGAAAAAGGAGCATTGTCGTCAATCAACTTCCCTTTGGGCAAAAGACACAGGCAAAGGAGAAGATACTTCACCCACCTTTTAATAAATGTGTCTTGAGGAGAGAGTTGGCCCACATAGTACAGTCTCCAAGATCTAAGACTCCACATGGGTAGTGGCAGGGGAGACAATGGGAACCAACAGGACATTGGCTGGAATCACAAGTCACACCTTCAGTAAACCAGAGGAGTCATTTCTCTCTCCCTTATTGACTCTGGGCCCTGGAGAAATGCCACAGAAATTCATGAGAAGAGGAGTTGAAGGTAGACGGCACCTGGACATTATTTCTGCCAGCCCATTTGAGTTCATCTGGTAAACATTTTGCATTTGGAAGTTGACATCGTTTAATAATAACTGTCAATGTCAATGATCAATGCCATCATAATGGCACAAATACCCTTGTGGGCTTGGGGTTGGGAGGGGTACGGTGGGGACTGACTTCTTTGTCTCCTGTCCTTTCAATGGTTATAAATAATGATGATAATAATTTCTATTTGTGTAGCTTTGTGATTGCAGAGAGCTTTAGGCTTCCTGAGAGCTTTCACCTATATTACCTCAGCTGATCCCTCTACAATGTGCAGTATCTATTTTGGTCCCCTCTGGGAACCTGAGGCTTGACAAGGTCAGGAAAGGCCACACCATGGCCTGTTCCTGAAACAGGAACCACAAATGAAAATCCTTGCAGAGAGTCCAGGCAGATAACATAAGTGAAGAAAGGGAGGAATGAGAAGCAGTAGGGAATGGTGGGGTCTGTGGTGAATTGGAGTGCATGCCTCATTGAAAGACGGGGGTAGCTGCCTATCTTGTATCCACCAACTGTCTCCACGTGGGAACATGGGCCCAATGCTGTCAGAGCTTCTAATAAATTAAGAGGAGCTAAAAGCCAGATGCTATGTCAGTCTCCCAGTTTTTAAATGATCGCAACTGGGAGTCTTGCAACTCTGTCTCCCAGGCTGTAAGGCAGTGGCACAATCCTAGCTCACTGCAGCCTCGAAACCCTAGGCTCCAAAGATCCTCCTGCCTCAGACTACCGATTAGCTCGAACTACAGGCATGTGTCACCATGCGTGGCTAGTTTTCACAATGTTTGTAGAAATGGGGCCATCTCACTATGTTGCCCAGGCTGGTCTCAAACTCCTGGGCTCAAGCAATCCTCCCTGCTCAGCTTCCCAATTAGCTAGAACTACAGGTGTGCACCACCACACCTGGCTACAAACTCTCCTTGTCACCCCCTGTTGATAGGTCTCTTTCCTTCACAGGCTGAGACAACTCCAATTCAACTCTGAATCCCCAATACAGGACCTGCCCAGGGAACAGGGCTCAGACATTTATGCTGGGAAATACTCAGCTTTTGGGGCTCAGCGTCCTTTTCTGCAAAAAGAGTTCCCCTCCCAAGAGGAAATCCCCTAAGCCTAAGGACAGGAGGTGATGGAAAGATGGATGGATGGGCAGATAGATGGATGGAAAAAAAATGGACAGTTGGAAACAGACAAACTTGGTGGATGAGCAGAAATAAGCCTCATTCTCGCCTAACAACGGGACAGCCTGGGGGAGGGGTGGGACACACCAAGGCTCCCAGTTGACCCCCAGCAATTGGACAAGAGAGTTTATAAACCAGCATTGGGGTTTTAGGAGCATTGTAAGCTGCAGAGTGCATGGGGTCTTCAGTGGGAAGCATCTCCTTCCCCATCCCTGTTCTCTGTCCTGGGGTTGCCCATCAAGCTAATCACATGTCCACCCCTGGGGTCCCTCTGGCCTCTGCCACTCTTCACCAAAGTACAGTTAAACTCCAGGGGCAAATGATGTGTTGGGGGTGTGGCAGACAGGGATTGTGTCTCAGCAGAGAGGGCACAGCACTCACAAAATAGCTTCAATAGTTCCAGGGTCAGTAGATGTGCCCGAAGAGGAACCCCACATCGCAAGTGGCCTAAGCCTGGGGTAGGGTGAGCACTGCTCACTCCTGCCCAGAGGAGTAGCTGAGGGGCCTAAGCTCTAGCTCTGAGCCCACCAGCCATTCCATCCACCACCCACCTGAAACTGTTCTGTTGACCCACAGCAATTGGTCCTGGTGCCAGGCACAGAACAGATGCTCAAAAGATACGGTTGATTCTGTCTGGGTGCAGTGGCTCACGCCTGTAAACCCAGCACTTTGCGAGGCTGGGATGGGAGGATTGCTGGAGGCCAGGAGTTCAAGACCAGCCTGGGCAACATAGTGAGATCCCTATCTCTATAAAAATAAAAATTAGCTGAGCATGATGGTGTGCGCCTGTAGTTCCAGCTACTCGGGAGACTGAGGTGGAAGGATAGTCTGAGCCAGGAGTTCGAGGCTGCAGTGAGCTACGATCATGACACTACACTCCAGCCTGGGAGACACAGCAAGACCCTATTTAAAAAAAAAAATGGTATGGTTAATCTGCCTTTACTGATTACAAATCAATAAATTTGTATTATCGTAATAAATCTGTCTTTATTGATTACAAGGCACTTTCTCATCCCCCATCACCTAAGACAACTGCATAAAGACCGCATGAGCTATAAAGACCATTTCCTTGCCCCAGGTCACACGGAGGAAAAGAGACAGAGCCAGGATTTAAACCCCTGCCCCTGGCTTTCATTCCTTTGCTGTGTCCCTGCAGACCCGAGGCCCACCTGGGTGAAGAACAGGTGGGTGGACATTGGCAGTGTTCACCAGGGGAAGCATGCCAGGTGCAAGGAAACATGTGAGCACCTGTCCGTGCCCAATGGGTCTCTGTTTGTCTCCCTGCATCTTCACCCAAACCAGCTTCTCACACCCCCACGGCCACCACCACCACTCCAGGCCTCTACCTGGGCCCTTTAATGCCCCTTCCCCATTCCTCAAGAGCCCACTGGGGTCCCTTCCCTGATGGCCTGCTGGCCTCCTGCCTCCCTCCCTGACCTCAGCCTCCTCGGATTTTCAACAGCCTGGGGTTGCAGGCTGAGCTCAGCATCTGGCAGGGGCCTGGAAGAAATGACCTCTAGAGGGCCCACACTCTCTGGGTGTCATATTTTGGGGCTATTATCACAAAATACCTTAGACTGGGTAATTTATAAATGACAGAAGTGTGTTGCTCACAGTTCTGGAGGCTGGGATGTCCCAGATCAAGGCACCTGCAGATTCAGTGCCTGGTGAGGAGGGCTCACTCTGCATCATAGGTGGTACCTTGTTGCCGTGTCCTTATATGGCAAAAGAGGCAAAGGCGCTTGCTCAAGCCCCTTTTATAAAAGGGGGCACTAATCCCATTCATGAAGGTGGATTCCTCATGAATTAGTCACTTCCTAAGGGGCCCCTCTTACTACTATCACATTGGGTATTAAGTTCCAACATATGAATTCAAGGGGAACAATGACATTCAGACCATAGCACCAGACGTCTATCTGGGGAAGCCCCCAAATATTTGTCTTTTTTTTTTTTTGGAGGCAGGGTCTGCCTCTGTCATTCAGGCTGGAGTGCAATGGTACAATCACAGCTCACTGCAGCTTTGAACTCCTGGGCTCAAGTGATCCTCCTATCTCAGCCTCCCCAGTAGCTAGGACCACAGATGTGCACTACCACATCCGACTATTTTTTTATTTTAGTTTTTTTGTAGAGACAGAGTCTCACCATGTTGCCCAGGCTGATCTCGAACTCCTGACCCCAAGCAATCCTCCCACCACCTCAGCCTCCCAAAGTGCTGGGATCACGAGTGTGAGCCATCATGCCCAGCCAGCCCCCTCATATTTGATCCAGGCATTAAGCCTCCTGGCAAGACCAGCAGCTCCCTGCCCCTGAGGCAGGGCTGAGTTTCAGAAGCTGCTTTTCATTCTCAGACTATGCTGAGCCTGGTACTGTGCACACAGCACATCTGAACTTTGTTCAACATATCCCTGCATCAACCTGGCAGGACGGCCTCAGGCCAGGGAGGAACCGGGGAGATGATGTGGGATGAGAAGAGAGATCAGACAGAGGCTGTCTAGACACAGTTTCCTGGCAAAGTCACCAAGAGCCCTGCGAGCAGCTGTCCACACCTCCTGGCACTCTCTGTATCTGTCCCGTCCCTGCCAGCTCCCCACCCGCCCAGTGCTTCACCAGCTCACCCCTCAGACACTGTCCAGGTGGGAACCATTCCCCTCAACTCCCTCCAGAACAACCAGATGGCACCTGCCAGCAGCCCTGGGAGCCAGAATCCCACCCACCTGACCCAAGGGCTCTATCTGATCTCAGCCTAACCCATGAATCAGGCCCTTTGGAGAGCCAAAGGAAAATTGGGCTTCCCTGCCAGCTGACTATGTGACAGTTCAGATGTCCCAGAGCACAGGAAAGAGGCAGAGACAGGGTCGTGAGGAGCCCTTGCTTCTCCTTCAACATCTCCCATAAACAGCTGGAGAGGGGCTCTCACAGGGTCCATGGGAAGAGACCAAGGAGGGGCATGGAGGAGAGGGGAGGGCTGAGAAGACCAGGGTGAAATGGATGAGGAGAAGGAAGCAGATGGCAGGGACCCTCCCATCTCCCACATGGGCCCCCTTAGGTGCTACTGGCCTTGTGCAAATTTGCACACTCACATTCACACATTTCTGTCTGCTTCTCTCCAATCGTTCAGATACCTAGCACACACCCCAGCCTCTAGAATCAGGTAGTCAGTCTAGCAGAGTCTTTAGCATTTGACTTCTGGGTTTAAATCCTGGCTTTAGCACTTCCTAGCTTCACGGCCCTGTTTAGGCAGTTTAGATGCCTCCCTGAGCTTCCCAGGTTTTGGGGAGGAATAAATGGCATAGCAGATGGGGAACATCTAGCACTGTCCTGCTATATCATAGACTGTGAAAGATCACTGTTTTTGTACTATTGGCCTTGCTTTGTAGTAATTATCATTAACTTTTTTTTGAGATAAGGTCTCACTCTGTCTCCCAGCCTAGTGTGATCATAGTTCACTGCCACCTCGATCTCCCGGGCTTAAGTGATCCTCCCACCTCAGCCTCCCAAGTAGCTGGGACTACAGGCACACACCACCACACTTGGCTAATCTCTCTCCTTTTTTTTTTTTTTTTTTTTTTTTTTTTAGAGACCGGGTCTCATTATGTTGCCCAGGCTGGCCTCCCAAAGTGCTAGAATTACAGGTGTGAGCCACTGCACACGGCCTACTTTGTAATAATAACAAACAATACAGCCGCTACTTTTTGGTAGTTTCAAACCATGATCCCAGAATTTTTTGATTCATCAAAAGGTAGAACCTATGTCATCTACCGTTGAATCCAGACTGTGCGATTGCTTGACCAATAGAATATAGAAGAAACGTTATGCGACATCCAAGGCTACATCATAAAATGTGACAGAGCTTCCACTGGGTTCTCCTTGTCTTAGAGCTCAGCCACCATACGATGAGGAAGCCCAAGTAGCTGAAGAGAGGAGAGGCCCAAACAAAGGAACCAAGTCCCCTGGACCACAGCCTAGCTGAGCTCCCAGCCAACCAGAAAGCGCCAACTTAGCAACCGCTAGAGGAGCCATCTCAGAAATGAATTCTGCAGCCCCCTGGTGAGCTCCAGCTGATGCCACGTGGAGCAGGAACGAACTGTCCCCTCAACATCCTGCCCAAATTGTGGATGTGTGAGCAAAATAAATGACTGTCATGTTTTAAGCTACTACATGTTGGGTGGTTTGTTGCACAGCCATAGACAACTGGATGACAAACACATATCTGACGCTTTATCCGTCATTGCCATGCTAAGCTGCAGATATTTTTGTAATCTACACGTTTAGACCTTTTCCAGCTTTTAGAGCTCACACTTCCCTTCAGTACACCTGCAAGCTCCCTGAATTCATTTTCATGTAATCCTCCACTTTTTTCCTTCAGCCGGTTCATGTTAGGTTTCTCTCATAGCCCCTAAACACAGTGCTCAAATACCAATAACCTGGATCCCATCTTGCGGCTCTGCAGGAAGCTGTTTTTGCACAAGGTTCTTCCACATTTCTGGGAACCAGGAGATGTCTACTTCAGCTACAATCTCTCCTGCTCGTCCCCTGTCCCCTCGGGAGGGTCTGGCTCAGAACAGATTTCACTGTGGGACCCAAGCCAACCTGTTAGCCACTCCTACCCCAGGACGGGTGAAACACAGTCTTGCAGTAACAAGACTTACTTTTGAAGGATGGAATTACAATATGGAAAAAATACAACTTCACAAGGTACACGTTCAGTTCATAGCAGCAGCCAAGACTTTGAAGGAAGAGTTCAAGTCGCCACAAAAACATAGCAGAGGGAATAGTACGGATTTTAGAGCCAGATAGTACTGGAGACTTGGAGACTGCAGGGCTGGGAGGGTCACAGACAGTCCTGAGTTCAAATCTCCACTCCACCACTCATTGCCCACGTGAACTTGAGCAAGTTATTTAACCTCTCTGAGCCTCCATTTCCTCAAAGGCAAATTGGGGATAATAAACCCAGTGTTTGTGAGGATAGATAGGATGCATATTCTGCTCGTGGTTGTGCCAACCAAGGACACATTCAGAGTAAATTCAAGACTCTTCTTGAAGAGTCACGAGCACAGTGGCCCATGGCAGTAATCCCAGCACTTTGGGAGGGTGAGGCGGGTGGATCACTTGAGGTCAGGAGCTCAAGACCAGCCTGGACAACATGTTGAAACCTTGTCTCTACTAAAAATACAATAAATTAGCAGGGCGTAGGCATGCCTGTAGTCCCAGCTACTCAGAAGTTTGAGGCAGGACAATCCCTTGAACCTGAGAGATGGAGGTTGCAGCCGCTGCAGTCCAGCCAGCCTGGATGACAGAGAGAGACTGTCTCAAAATACAAATAAAATAAAATAAAAAAAGAATGAGACTCTTCCTACTGCAAAAACTGACCTCTGGGGGGTGGAAACAAACAAACAAATGAGCAAAAACCATTGTTCTTGCCTAGCTGTTAAAGAATATTGCGTTTTCTCATAACTTGACACGATACAGAAACATACAATGAAGAATCTGGTGGGTATTGAACTGTCAATTGCAAAATAATTATTCATCACTGCAGGTCCAGCCTGTTCTCCGGGAAGGACTGTTTGAATGTCCTGGGCCTCCAAGCCAAGCTCCCAGAGCCCAGACCGTCTCTTTGGCTAATGCTGGCTCTATCTCCTGAAGAAAATAGTTTGATGCAAGGAAGAACTTTCATTATCTTTTGCCCTGGAGCACCAGTAACTGTCTACAAAGAGCAGAGCAAGGGAAGAAGGGCAGTGAGAAATTAATCTTTGAGTTTCCTCCTTGGTGATTCATCCATTTAGAAATGGGTAGATTCAGAGAAGTGTTTCTTCATCCGGTCCCTCTGTTCCCATGATCTCAAAAATGAAAAGGCAGCCAACCCTGATCACCACCCATCAGTCAGCCTCTTTTCACAAGTGGGAGGCATGGGCTGTGCTGGACCAAGTGCAAATGCAAGACATGTCTCTAACAGGCCTTCTGGAACCAGGGGAAGCTGGTGGCTTGGATGCACCCACTGTGAGGTAGAGTGTTATACTGCAGCCCCCATAACCCTGCACTTCTCCAAGTCTATGATTATTTGACTCTGGAATCTGGTGTAGCACATCTGCTCAGTTGCTCAGTCATTACTTACTGAGCACTTACAATGTGCCAGGACAGGCAGGGTATAAAGGATTGAGAATTGAACAAGGTAGTCAAGGTAGTATGATCCCTGCCCTCAAAGAGCTTGTTTTAGTATATAGGGTTTCTCAACTTTGGCACCATTGTGGGCTGAATAATTCTTTGTTGTGGGGCTGTCCTATGTACTATATTTTTTTTTTTTTTTGAGACAGAGTCTCGCTCTGTCGCCCAGGCTGGAGTGCGGTGGCGCTATCTCAGCTCACTGCAACCTCTGTCTCCCGGGTTCAAGTGATTTTCCTGCCTCAGCCTCCCGAGTAGCTGAGATTACAGGCACCAACCACCACGCCTGGCTAATTTTTGTATTTTTAGTAGAAACGCGGTTTCACCGTGTTGGCCAGGGTGGTCTCGAACTCCTGACCTCAGGTGATCCACCCACCTCGGCCTCCCAAAATATTGGGATTATGGGCATGAGCCACCACGCCCGGCCCACTATAAAAACTTTAGCAGCATCCATGGCCTCTATCCACTAGATTCCAATATCACACCCTTTCTCCCAATTATGACAACCAAAAATGTCTCCAAGCATTTTCAAATTTCACCCGAGGGTCAAAATTCACCCCACCCCACTCCTACCATTCACGATTGAGAACCTCTATTCCAATGAAAGAAGCAGGCAGCTTAGTGGAAAGAGTGTGAGCTTCGGAGCCAGGTGGGCCTGGGTTCTCCCTTCCACTTTATTAGCTGCGTGATCTTTGGGGAATCACTTCTCTCTCTTACGCATACGTAGATTATTTGAAAATTATGGGTAGCAATCATATTTTTACAAGGTTGTTGGGTGAGCTAAAGATCAAATGTGTAAAGAACTGTGGCAGGCTGGGCACGGTGGCTCACACGTGTAATCCCAGCACTTTAGGAGGCCAAGGCGGGTGGATCACCTGAGGTCAGGAGTTCGAGACCAGCCTGGCCAACATGGTGAAATCCCGTCTCTACTAAAAATACAAAAATCAGCCAGGTGTGGTGCCACACGCCTGTAATCCCAGCTACCCGGGAGGCTGAGGCAGGAGAATCGCTTGAACTCAGGAGGCAGAGGTTGCAGTGAGCTGAGATCACGCCACTGCACTCCAGCCTGGGTGACAGAGCGAGACACCATCTCAAAAAAACAAACAAACAAACAAACAAACAAAAAACAGGGGCAGACACTGTCAACACCAAAAGTCATCCTCTTGTCTTAATTCTTCTTGCTAACAGAACCCCAGTTCTTTCAAGGGTCCCTATCTCAGAAGTTGGGCTCAGTCCCTAGAGGGGGTGGGCATGCAAACCAGGTCTAGTTAATGAGCTATTTGAGGGAGGGGGCCCTCTGGGGGTAGAAGGTTAATAAAAAGTTTGGTTATTTTATTTTTATGCTTTTATTTTTTTAGAGACAGGACCTTGCTCTGTTGCCCAGGCTAGAGTACAGTGCCACAATCATAGCTCACTGCAGCCTCGAACTCCTGGGCTAAAGGAAGGTGGGGACTAGAAGATGGATAAGCACTCCACACTTGTTAGCTATCTATTATTGCTGTTAGCACTGTCATTATCAGTATTTTTTTTTTTTTTTTTGACGGAGTCTCGCTCTGTCACCCAGGCTGGAGTACAGTGGTGCACTCTCGGCTCACTGCAACCTCCGCCTCCCAGGTTCAAGCAATTCTCCTGCCTCAGCCTCCCAAGTAGCTGGGAGTACAGGCGCCTGCCACCACGCCCGGCTAATTTTTGTATTTTTAGTAGAGACAGGGTTTCACCATATTGGCCAGGCTGGTCTCAAACTCCTGACCTTGTGATCCGCCCGCCTCGGCCTCCCAAAGTGCTGGGATTACAGGCATGAGCCACCACGCCCAGCCCTTTTTGCTTTTTTTTTTTTTGAAACAGGGTCTTGCTCTGTCACCCAGGCTGGAGTGCAGTGGTGCAATCTTGGCTCACTGCAACCTCCACCTCCCAGGTTCAAGCAATTCTCCTGCCTCAGCCTCTTGAGTAGCTGGGAGTACAGGCATGTGCCACCACGCCCAGCTAATTTTTGCATTTTTAGTAGAGATGGGGTTTCTCCATGTTGGCCAGGCTGGTCTCGAACTCCTGACCTCAGGTGATCTTCCCGCCTCGGCCTCCCAAAGTGCTGGAATTACAGGTGTAAGCCACCACGCACGGCCCTTTATCAGTATTATTATTATTAACTTTTACTAAGGAAAGAGGGAGGCCCTTGGCCAGGCCGTAGGATTGCTGGCCTTCCAGGGAGTGTGTTACCCAGGGAAGTGGCATAAAATTACAGAATTGGGAAGCTAAGAGGTAGCTCTAGACATCACACCTCTAAACTTTTTGATATTCTGTTGCTCCATCTACAAATGGCATTTAGAATTTTTGTTCTTAAAGAGTCACAAATCACGTGCAGGAAGCTTGAAACCAGTCCTGTTACCTTCCTATGCTCTGATGCCACCTGGGAATTTGAGCTGGTGTTTCGGGTAAGAGAACAGCTTATAACCAGGCTTTTCAGGACAATGAAGACTGCCTTTCAGTGGGAAGATGAACAATCTGCCTAAGTCATAAGAATGATACAATGGACTTTGGGGACTTGGGGGAAAGAGTGGAAGGGGGTCGAGGGACAAAAGGCTACAAATATGGGGCAGCGTATAGTGTTCAGATGATGGGTGCACCAATATCTCACAAATCACCACTAAAGAACTTACTCATGTAACCAAATACCACTTGTACCCCAATAACTTATGGGAAAAAAATCTACCCAAGGAATAAAACTAAATTGAGACTTTAAAAGCGAGACATTAAGGAAGTTGACTCTTAGCTGACCTGGACACAGGCCTATCATGGTAAGTGCTGCAGGTGAACAAACAGCAGCAATTTGACCCTTCTTCCTTATACATCAAATTCCTTTTTTTAAAAAATTATTTTTGAGACAGAGTCTCGCTCTGTTGCCCAGGCTGGAGTGCAGTGGCACGATCTCGGCTCACTGCAACCTCTGCCTCCCAGGTTCAAGCCATTCTCCTGCCTCAGCCTCCCGAGCAGCTGGGATTATAGGCACCCACCAGCACGTCCGGCTAATTTTTGTATTTTTAGTAGAGATGGGGTTTCGCCATGTTGGCCAGGCTGGTCTTGAACTCCTGACTTCAGGTGATCCACCCACTTTGGCCTCCCAAAGTGCTGGGATTAGAGACATGAGCCACCGCGCCTGGCCCAATTTCATTTTTTTTTTTTTTAGACAGAGACAGTGTCTTGCTCTGTCACCCAGGCTGCAATCAGTGGCGTGATCATAGCTCACTGCAGCCTCAAACTCCTGGGCTCAAGAGATCCTCCTGCCTCAGCCTCCTGAGTAGCTGGGACTACAGGTACATGCCACCACGTCCGACTATTATTTTTATTTTTTGTAAAGATGGGGTCTCATTATGTTGCCCAGGCTGGCCTCAAATTCCTGGGCTCAAGCCATCCTCCCACCTCAGCCTCCCAAAGTGCTGGGATTACAGATGTGAGCCACCACACCCAGCCCAAATTCCAATTTTCTAAAGAATCTGGGGCTCTCTGTGTTTTAAGACTATTAGGCTCTCCCCAGTTTCAGGGGATGAATCTTGAGCAGTCTGATGGAGGGCTGGCAAGCCATTGCCTAAACCCGGCCCACCACCTGCTTTTGTACGGCTCAGGAGCTGGAAATGGCTTTTACATTTTTAAGTAGTTAGAAAAGATCAAAAGTGTAATAATATCTCCTAACACATAAAAATTAGATGAAATTCAAATCTCAGTCTCCATAAATAAACCCATTCACTTATTTATTATCATCTATAGCTGCTTTCACACTGCAACAGCAGAACAGAGTGGTTGCTACAGAAACTGTGTGGCCACAAGCCTGAAATATTTATTCTCTGGCTCTTCAGAGGAAAAGATCTTAGGAAGCCAGAGGTTCTCAAACTCAGTGTCCATCAGAAACCCCCGGAGGGCACGTTTAAACATAGACTATGGGCCGGGCGCAGTGGCTCACGCCTGTAATTCTAACACTTTGGGAGGCCGAGAGTTTGAGACCAGAGCATTGTTTAAGCCAAGAGTTTGAGACCAGACTGGACAACATAGCAAGACCCTGTCTCTACAAAAAATAAAAAAAATAGCTGGGTGTGGGGGTGCACACCTGTAGTCCTGGCTACATGGGAGGCTGAGGCAGGAGGATCGCTCAAGCCCAGGAGTTGGAGGCTGCAATGCGCTATGATAGTGTCACTGTACTCCTGCCTGGGCAACAGAGACCCCGATTCTAGTAAATAAATAAATAAAAACATAGATCCCACCCCAGAGTTTCTGATTTAGTAGGTCTGAACTGGGGTCTGAGAATTTGCAGTTCTTAAAATTGCCTAGACATGGCAGATGCTGCTGGCCTGGGGATCTCACTTTAAGAAGCACTGGTCTAAGGCAACCTTGGGAATTCCATTCCCTTGCCAGCAACTGGCTTAGAAAAGGGCACGTGATACATTTCTGACCAATGAGATGAAGGAGAAGTCAGCTGGCAGCTTCTGAGAAAATGAGAAAATGATCATAAAAAGGGACAGATGGGCTGGGCGTGGTGGCTCACATCTGTAACCCTAGTGCTTTGGGAGGTTGAGGCAAGAGGATCACTTGAGGCCCAGAGTTCGAGACCAGCCTGGGCAACAGAGGGAGACCTCATCTCTAGAAAAAACTCTAAAGTTAGCTGGGTATGGTAGCATGCACCTATAGTCCCAGCTACTCAGGAAACTGAAGGAGGATCACTTGAGCCTAGAAGTTCAAGGCTGCAGCGAGCTATGATTGCACCACTACACTCCAGTCTGGGTGACAGAGCGAGACCCTGTCTCAAAAACAAGCGGGGAACAAGTGGAAGAAGGCTCTCTTCTCTCTTGTCCATATTATCTTGAGACCATGATGGGGTGTGGCTGAGGGCAAGAGCCAGCTGCTAAGAATGGAATAGTGGAAAAGTGGAAGGAAACAAGGCCCACCATTCCACAATGGAGCCACTGAATCAATTAACCACATGGCCCCCTGCAGAGAAACAATAACTTCCATTAGCATCTACACCACTTCCAGTTGGGTTCTCAGTGATTTGAAGCCAAACACAACCTACCTGGCAACCCTACAACTTCACCCCTCACCACTGTTTGGACACTACCAAACTTAGGCCATGATGATTAAGGCCAGGCATGAGCTCCACCCTCCCTGCCACCCTATGAGGAATAAAGCAGATATGGGGAAGGTGAAAGGGCATGATTTAGGGATCCATAAAGCCCCAGATTGGAGCCTTAGTTCTACAACTCAATAATGGTGGGCTAGAGCTCTATGCACCCCATACTCTAGGATGGGGACTCATACCTGCATGGTTGACTAGTGCAGTCATGTCTGTGCATCTGAGCAGTTATTTTCTTCTCTGGACCATTATTAACCATTAGAGCTAGCATTTGTCCCCAGGTCCCGGGCACTGTGCAAGTCTTCACCTACATTATCCTACTACCTCATAAGATAGTTTGGATGTGTGTCCCCTCCAAACCTCATGTTGAAATGTGATCCCCAATGTTGGAGGCGGGGCTTGGCGAGAGGTATTTGGGTGGTGGGAGCAGATCCCTCATGAATAGCTTGGTGCCCTCCCTGAGTAATGAGTGAGTTCTCACTCTTTTAGTTCACGGCGAGGTCTGATTGTTAAAAAAGTGTTTGGCACCCTTCCTGTCTCTCTCTCACCCCTCTTCTCACCATGTGACACACCTGCTCCCCTTTCACCCTCCACAGTGAAGAAAAGCTTCCTGAGGTCTCACCAGAAGCAGATGCTGGCATCATGCTTCTTGTACAGTCTGCAGAACCGTGAGCTAAACAAACCTCTTTTCTTATAAATTACCCACCCTCAAGTATTCCTTTATGGCAACGCAAAACAGGCTAAGACACCTCAATGGACTAATACATAACAGCCCCATAAGGTGAGTGCCACCATCTCCCCCACCTTACAGATCAGGAAACAGGGGCTCTGAAAAACTGTGGCTCACTCAAGGTCATACCGCTTGTTAAGTGCAGAGATAGGATTCCAACTCAGAGGCATCTGGCTCAAGAACCCACGTGTCTGTGTTTCAGGTTGCAATGCTGAGGTTAAACAAGAGGATGTGTGCTAGGAGCCCCAGCACACCACAGGGGCTGGGAAACGTTATTGCATCGAGTTTGAGTCCAACACACGGTCTCATTCCTCCACCCACCACTCAGCCTAGAAAAAGGGTCGGAAGGTTGACTCCACTTTCAGAAGCTTGCCAGCTCCAGCCAGTCAGCCAGAGTGAAGCTGACAAGAGCAATGAGGGAAATACGGAAAGATAAATCCAGATGTGGACAATGAGACCGTGTCCCCTGAGAACTGTGGTGGCAGAGGGACTCAAAGGTCCAGGCCTGCTCGGCGTGGCTGCGGCTTGGGTTCCTGGGCCACAGGGCTGCCTTACCTGCCAGTTTCCATGCCTGGCTGACTCCCCTCACTGCCCCTCTGGCTTCCACACCAGCCCACTGATGCCACCCCAGAGAACTCGGCTGTTTGCCTTGCTCCTCTAGAGGGCAGGTGGATGCGGTGAAACGGGCAGCGATTCCAGGGCCATCACAACTCCTGGCTGAAACCAAACATGACAGATTTACCATTGGGCAGGCTGCTCCATTTATTATTTAACGCTCGCAATAAATATTTGCATGACCCAGTGCTGGAGGGAACGCTCTGTGATAACTCACTGCATTTTCCTGCCAAACACCAGCACAGTCGGATTCCGAAGCTGCAGCAGAGAATATTTTATGCTATTCTAAAAATCCAGGTGATGGCCCCTTGTTAGAAAACCTTTTCTCATCCATTTCCATAGAGGAAAAAAGGAGCAGGGAGACCTTAGCTCTGAGAAGCAACTAGAGGAGGAGGAAGAGGAGGAGGAAGATGCTGACAGGTGACATTTACTTAGCACCTACTGAGTGCCAGGCCCTAAGCTAAGGACTTCACACTCATTCATTCAACACCTCTCTCTAGAGGGTAGGGTTGCCAGACTTAACAAGTAAAAATATACGACACCCAATTCCATTTTAAATCCAGTGAAATAAGGAATGATTTTTTAAATACAAGTTATGTATCTGATGTAATACTGGAAAATTATTCAATGTTTATCTAAGCTTCAAATTTGGGTGCAGTGGCACGCACTTATATTCCCAGCTACTTGGAAGGCTGAGGCAGGGAAATCACTTGAACCCGGGAGGCAGAAGTTGCAGTGAGCCAAGATCATGCCACTGCACTCCAGCCTGGGCGACAGAGCGAGACTCTGTCTCAAAAAAAAAAAAAAAAAAAAAATAGAACAAACTGGGCTACAAAGTTTTGCCAGGCATGGTGGCTCACGCCTGTCACCCCAGGACTTTGGGAGGCCAAGGTGGGCAGATCACCTGAGATCAGGAGTTCGAGACCAACCTGGCCAACAGGGCAAAAACCCATCTCTACTAAAAATACAAACATTAGCCAGGCCTGGTGGTGCACGTCTGTAATTCCAGCTACTCGGGAGGCTGAGGCATCAGCATCACTTGAACCTGGGAGGCAGAGGTTGCAGTGAGCCAAGATCATGCCACTGCACTCCAGCCTGGGGGATAGAGTGAGACTCTGTCTCAAAAAAAAAAAAAAAAAAAAAATGTAACTGGGCATCCTGTTTGTATCTGGTAACACTCCTTAAGGTTGGACTAACTATGCGAAGACACTGAATTTAAAAGGCTTTTCTTTTCATTTATTTTTTAAGAGACGTATCTGTGTAACTCAGGCTGCAGTGCAATGGCTATTCACAGGGATGATCAGGGCTCACTGCAGCCTCAAACTCCCAGGCTTAAGAGATGGTCCCACCTCAGCCTCCCAAGCAGCCGGGACTACAAGTACATGACACTGCGTCTGGTGTTCAGTGGTGCAATCACGGCTCACTGCAGCCTCGAACTCCTGGGCTCAAGCAATCCTCTTGCCTCAGCCACCAGAGTAGCTAGAACTATGGGTATACAGCACCACGCCTCGCTATTTTTTTTTTTTTTTTTTTTTTTTTGTAGAGATGGGGTCTCAATGTGTTGCCCAGGCTGATCTCAAACTCCCGGTCTCAAGTGATCCTCCTACCTCAGTCTCCCAAAGCACTGGAATTACAGGCATGAGCCACCACGTCCAGCCTCTTTTTTTCTTTAAGGAGGCTTATTTTTTAGTGTGGGTTAGGGAAGAGCCATGTGTGAAGTTGACTCTGGAGCAGAGATGTCAAAGATGAGAAAGAGCTACCCATAACAAAAAAATGGGGAACAGGATTCCTGGCAAAGACCCCACAAAGACCCTGGGGCTGGAAACCATGCGGGGCATTGGAGGAGTCAAGGGAGGTGACACTTTTGGAGCTGAGTAATGGAGAGGAGAGTGACAGGAGCAGACTGCACAGGGCCTTGGTCACAATGAAGGATTTGGATGCTATTCTAAGTTAAAGGGAAGGCATGGGAAAGCTTTTCAGCTGGAAGTGGCCAAACTGGGGACCGACTCTGGCTGTACGGATTTCTGAGCCTGGAGATGGCACAAAGGACCTGACATTGGCAGGAAAAGAAAAGAGGAGGAACAAGAACACAAGAAATTGCCTTAAAAGGGAGCTGGTCAGGTCTCACCAGAAAAATTCACGCAATAACAAACCAGCCGCCCACAACAGACATCTCCACATTTTCCCAGAGCTGTCCCCCAGCCAGGCGGCCGGAGTGAGGGGATGCCGACGGTGACAATGCTATCAATTTCCATTTTGCTTTTGCCAAATACGGAAAAGGACACTTCAAAGACTTTTAAAAATAACTTCCAAACAACTCAAGGGTGAAAAAAAAGAAAGAGGTAAAAAATTACAGTCTGCCTGCTTGAGAATAGCGATAATGAAAATAAGTGATAGAAATAAGAACAGCTGCTTTTGCACACGTTATGTCATCTGCTCCTTAGCACTCTATGAAGCAGGCAGAACAGGTCATGGTATCCCCATTTCATAGATAAGGAAACTGAGACCCAGAAACATAGGATACAACAGAGAGGAAATGATCAGGTGGGTGAGAAGCTATGTTTGTCTGGCCCCAAAGCCTGGGTTCCCCAAAGCCCTCTGCAGGCTGATATGAGCCTAACCCCAGCCCGGCTCCTGGCTCTCAGCCATCTCATCCTCCCAGCCCAGCTATGGGGAGCAAGATACCTCCTACCATGTCCCTTGCAGCCTTCCTCCCTCGCCTGCAGGGGCTTCCTGCCTGGAAAGCCTGTTCCTTTGCCCTTCTTCTCCAGAGGATTCACGTACCTCAGCACATGTTCGACGACAAAGTCACAGCACTGCAGGGACACCTCCCCTGGAGAGGAACACGATGGTAGAGTGGAAGGGGCACAGCTTTGCCATTAGAATGCCTGAGTTCAAATCCCAGCTCAATCACCAACTGGTTGGGTATCCTTAAGCTCTTCCAAGGAGTGGGGGATAATCCAATCCATCCCCACAGGATCCTGGTGGGGATTAAATGAGATGCTGTATGTAAAACATCAACACAGGGCCAGGTGCCATGGCTCACACCTGTAACACCAGCACATTGGGAGGTGGAGGCAGGAGAATCGCTTGAAGCCAGGAGTTTGAGACTAACCTGGGCAACATAGCCAGACCCCTATCTATACAATAAAATGTCTTTTTAATTAGCTGGGTGTGATAGCCCATGCCTGTAATCCCAGCTACTTGGGAAGCTGAGACAGGAAGATTGCTTAAGCCCAGGAGTTCAAAGCTGTAGTGAGCTATGATCATGCCACTGAACTCCAGCCATGGTGACAGAACTAGACCCCAACTCTAAAAAAATAAAAAACATTAAAAAAAAATCAGCACAGTGCCTGGCATACAGTCAGCACCTAATAAGTAGTAGCTGTTTTTTGTTTTTTGTTTTTTTTTCCATCTCTGAAAAAAAAATCAGCCATTTTTTAAAATTAGCTGAGTGTAATGGTATATCTCTGTAATCCCAGCTACTTGGGAAGCTGAAGCAGGGGGACTGCTTGACCCCAGGAGTTTGAAGCTTCAGCGAGCTATGATTGTGCCACTGAACTCCAGCCATGGTGACAGAACAAGACCCAATCCCTGAAAATAAATAAATCAATTGGCACAGTGCCTGGCATATAGTCAGCACCTAATAAGTAGTAGCTGTTAGAATAATTACAAAAGGCCAGGCGTGGTGGCTCACACCTGTAATCCCAACACTTTCAGAGGCCAAGGAGGGTGGATGGCCTGAGGTCAGGAGTTTAAGACCAGCATGGCCAACACAGTGAAACCCCATCTCTGCTAAAAATACACACACACGCAAAACAAATTACTGGGCATGGTGGCACATGCCTGTAGTTAGTCTCAGCTTCTTGAGAGGCTGAGGCAAGAAAATCACTTGAACCCAGGATGCAGAGATTGCAGTGAGCCAAGATAGTACCACTGCACTCCAGCCTGGGTGATAGAGCAAGACTTTGTCTCAAAACAAACAAACAAACAAAAACAAAAAAAACACTCAAATCATGGGATTGAGTGTTCAATCATTCAATCAATTTTTATTGAATGCCTACTACATGCTAGGTACTTAGGGATATAACAGGAAATAAGACATACGTGATTCTACCTTAATGAAACTTAGAAGAAGGAATATACTTATGGTATAGTGAAAGAAACATATTTATTAGAAATCAAACATAAAAAGCATAAAAAGTGTTGAAGAGTGCTCTAAAAGAACAGAGGTTTCTGTGAATCATCTACTTTATTTATTTATTTATTTATTTATTTATTTATTTATTTATTTTGAGACAGAGTTTTGCTCTGTCACCCAGGCTGGAGTGCAGTGGCGTGATCTCAGCTCACTGCAACCTCCGCCTCCCAGGTTCAAGCGATTCTCCTGCCTCAGCCTCCCAAGTAGCTGGGATTACAGGCACCCGCCAACATGCCTGGCTTATTTTTGTATTTTTAGTAGACACGGGGTTTTACTATGTTGGCCAGGCTGGACTTGAACTCCTGATGTCAGGTGATCTGCCTGCCTCAGCCTCCCAAAGTGCTGGGATTACAGGCGTGAGCCACTGCACCCAGCCCGGAATCATCTACTTTAGACTGAGGCATCTGAGACGCGCTCAAAGGACATTTCAGTGGAGAACCATGGGTGTGAAGGAGGGAGTCACACGGAGACTGGGAAGGGACGGACCTTTGTAGGACAGACGGCAACACGTGCAAAGCTTGTGCTGGGAGGTGAAGGGAGAACAACTCGCTGGAGGAAGCAAGGAAGAGGAGATTTAGTTAGAGCAGACAGCCAGGATCAGAGCATGCAGGGTCTGATCATTTATTTCCAAGTTATTCTGAAATCAAAGAGAAGCAGGCTTTTAAGCTAAGAATGCAGCACATCGGCTGGCATAGAATAAGAGTTCAAAAAAAGTGTAAGCTCCCTTCCCTATCCTGAAACAACCAAAGTAAATAAAAATGGCCCCTCTGTTTTGAATTATTTATTTATTTGTGCTTTCAAACTGTTTTCTTAAAAAAAAAAAAAACTACAGAGTAGTGAGTGGGGGCGGGGGGGTAAGGGGTGGAATACTCAAAACGTGTTCAAAATCAAACGAGCCAGAAACTCCTCGCTGGAAATTTTCTCTCTAGATCTCTGCAGGAATCAGTGGAACCATGAGAGACAGAGTCGAAAGCAGCAGAGCCTGGAATTATTTCTCTAAGCAAGACCCAGACGCCACGCAGGTAGTGAAATTGCTCCTGCCCCACCTCCATCCTTGCTGCCTATCTGAGAACAGAGTCTGCCAACCCCTCCTGATGAGAGACTGACCCCTCATAGCCACTGCAGGCTGGAAGCCATAAGCTTAAACCACTTCCATACCATGAAAGCAAAATGTATGGTTGGCAAAAAGCAAAAAAAAAAAAAAAAAACAAAAAACTGGTTACTGGCGAGTGCAGAATCACAGTCTGGGTCGATGACAAATTATCCAGCATGAATCTTGGTGTGACTTAGGCCCTTCTTAGTCCTCTAAAATTCATCACATTTTGTTTATTCGTTCACTACCCACTTACAGTAGATGCCAAGAAATATATATAACAAGATTATAGATATAAATTTAAAATTAGGACTAAAGAAAGATAATCTAGAATAAGAGGTAAAAGCAGAACAGAGCAGGATGGAAGGTAGAATAAAGATATACAGGCCAGAAGGCCAGTTACTAAACTGGATTTGAGAACATGGCGCTGAGTTCCCTGGTGGCCAAGTCAAAAAGGGCAGTTGGAGATGTTCTCATGGTCCACAAAAAGAAACACACTTAACTTTGCAGAACAAGCACTGTCCTGCCGTGTGACCTCAGATAAGTGATTTAACCTACTTAGACTCAGCTGCCTCATTGCCAAAAAGTTAGTGAAAACTATTGAATGTTTAGGTAAAAAGTTGTAATAAAAAACAAGAATGGGAAAGGATTCCCTATTTAAAATGGTGTTGGGAAAACTGGCTAGCCATATGCAGAAAACTGAAACTGGGCCCCTTCCTTACACCTGATACAAAAATTAACTCAAGATTGATTAAAGTCTTAAATGTTAGACCTAAAACCATAAAAACCCAAGAAGAAAACCTAGGCAATACCATTCAGGACATAGGCATGGGCAAAGGCTTCATGACTGAAACACCAAAAGCAATGGCAACAAAAGCCAAAATTGACAAATGGGATCTAATTAAACTAAAGAGCTTCTGCACAGCAAAACAAACTATCATCAGAGTGAACAGGCAACTTACAGAATGGGAGAAAAGTTTTGCAATCTATCCATCGGGCTAATATCCAGAATCCACAAGGAACTTAAACATATTTACAAGAAAAAAACAACCCCATCCAAAAGTGGCCGGAGGATATGAACAGACACTTCTCAAAAGAAGACATTTATGTGGCCAACAAACATGTGAAGAAAAGCTCATCATCACTGGTCATTAGAGAAATGCAAATCATTGTCAGAGTGCTCAGAGAGGGCATGTTCCCTGGGTCTTGGTGGATTTAGAGGTCAAGGGACCATTTCTGGAAGCTCACTGTGTGCCAGGGCAGCTTATATCAGAGCTCCGCTCTTTTTCTTTCTTTTTTTTTTTTTAAGACAGAGTCTCACTGTTGCCCAGGCTGGAGTGCAGTGGCACCATTTCGGCTCACTGCAACCTCCACCTCCCGGGTCCAAGAGATTCTCCTGCCTCAGCCTCCTGAGTAGCTGGGACTACAGGCATGCACCACCACCACACCCGGCTAATTTTTGTATTTTTAGTAGAGACGGGGTTTCACCATGTTAGCAAGGCTGGTCTCGAACTCCTGACCTCAGGTGATCCACCTGCCTTGGCCTCTGAAAGTGCTGAGATTACAGGCATGAGCCACTGCGCTTGGCCAGAGATCTGCTCTGGAAGACCCCCCAGGCCGGAGGGCACTGCCACAAGCAGACAGTATGGCGAGGGTCCCTATGGCCACCTGGCAGGCGAGGTGGATTCTGGAGGGAGGTGGCCTGGGAGCAGGCTGAGGATGGGGTGAGGGCATTTGAGCAGCAGAGTGTCTGCGTGACCGGGCATAACTGGAGGGACAGTAAATGACTCTTGTGTGAGAGGATGAGGGAGGGGTGAGAGGGGCTGACTACCCCCAGGACTTGGGGTGCAGTGAGACTCCTTAGCTTTATCCAGACTCATGGGAGCCATGGAGGTTTGAGGCAGAGGCGTGGGCTGCTGGGAGAGTGAGGACTCACCATCCAGAGAGGAAGGTGAAGCTTTCAACTCTAAATGCCGTTTTATTTTCGTGTGTTTTTTTTTTTTTTTTTTTTGAGACAGAGTTTCACTCTTATTGCCCAGGCTGGAGTGTGATAGCACGAGCTCGGCTCACTGCAACCTCTGCCTCCCGGGTTCAAGCGATTCTCCTGCCTCACCCTCCCAAGTAGCTGGGATTACAGGCATGCGCCACCATGCGTGGCTAATTTTATATTTTTAGTAGAAACAGGGTTTCTCCGTGTTGGTCAGGCTGGTCTGGAACTCCTGACTTCAGGTGATCCGCCCGCCTTGGCCTCCCAAAGTGCTGGGATTACAGGCATGAGCCACTGTGCCCGGCCCCAAATGTGTTTTACATTTTCTTCCTATTTGATTCATCTTTGTCGTGCAACATAAATATGCTACTTTTCCACTGATAAAAAGACAAAATGAAATTTAAAATTGGCCTGGACTTCTCAAAAAAGTCAGTGTGATGAAAACATGTTCTAGATAAAACAGAAATGAGACTGCGCATGGTGGCTCATGCCTGGAATCCCAGTGCCTTGGGAGGCCAAGGAAGGAGAATCACTTGAGGCCAGGAGTTTGTGACCAGCCTGGGCAACATAGTGAGACCGCAGATCTACTAAAAATTTAAAAATTAGCTGGGCATGGTGGTGCGTGCCCGTATGTCTGGAGGCTGAGGCAGGAGGATCACTTGAGCCCAGGATTTGGAGGCTGCAGTGAGCTATGATTGTGCCACTGCACTCCAGTGTGGGTGACAGAGTGAGACCCTGTCTCTATTTAAAAAAAGAGAGACAAGATGATCAGGATGAGCGCAGTGGCTCACGCCTATAATCCCAGCACTTTGGGAGGCCAAAGCAGGTGGATCACATGAGGTCAGGAGTTTGAGACCGGCCCAGCCTAGATGGTGAAACCCCGTTTCTACTAGAAATACAAAAATCAGCTGGGTGTGGTGGGGCACGCCTGTGATCCCAGCTACTCGGGAGACTGAGGCTGGACAATTGCTTGAACCTGGGAGGCAGAAGTTGCTGTGAGCAAGATGACACCACTGTGCTCCAGCCTGGGCAACAGGAATGAGACACTGTCTCAAAAAAAAAAAAAAAAAAAAAAGGGATGATCAAACACAATGCATCAACCTCCCGGAGCCGTATAAACCCTAAACCTAAACCAGGAAGCAGGCAAGCCTGTGTGTGAGTTTCCACTCTATTGCTGGTACCACTCGGCTCTGGCAACCCGGAAGGCCACCTTCCCCTGTTGTTACTGTGTAAGGAGGAAGGAGCACTGGTTTGCAAGTCAGAAGCCTGGGTTGAAGCCTCTGCTTGAGTTCCTGCTGGCTGTGGGAATGTGGGGTTACCTTTCCCGGCTGGCCTCGTTTCCTACATGTCCAATGCAGGGGTTCCAGTCACATGCATTGGGCACCATTACATGTCCAAGCTGTGCCAGGATCTAGAAAAATGGCTGGGCTCAGGCCAAGGGGCCTTCCTGTCTGGCAGTGAAAATAAGAGGAGATACCAAGGGCCCTGAGCCTGAGTCTGGAGGAAAAGTCATGAGCACAGGGCAGTGCCAGGGCCTGGGAGCTGCCACAGAGGAGCCCACCTTGGTGACAGACACCTGTAGGCTCATATGATGCCGAGTGCCCAACACAGGGAACTGGACAAAGGTTTCATGCACGACTCTTTTCCCTCCTTGGCTACCTTGAGGACCTTGATTATAATAGTTAGCCTTTTTTTTTTTTCTTTTTTTGAGACTCTTGCTCTGTCGCCCAGGTTGGAATGCAGTGGCAAAATCTTGGCTCACTGCAATCTTCGCCTCTCAGGTTCAAGTGACTCTCCTTCCTCAGCCTCCCTAGTAGCTGGGATTACAGGCGTGCACCACTATGCTCGGCTAATTTTTGTATTTTTACTACAGATGGGGTTTCACCATGTTGGCCAGGCTGATCTTGAACTGCTGACCTCAGGTGATCTGCCCGCCTGGGCCTCCCAAAATCTTGGGATTACAGGTGTAAGCCACTGAGCCCAGCCGGATTATAATAGCCTTTTCATGCACCAGGGGCTTTATACTCATTATCTCATTTCATTCATATGAGTTGAAGTCAGCTTATCCCCCATTTCACAGATGAGGAAACCAAGGCCCAGAGAGGTTAGGAATTTGTCCAAGGTCACACAGCCAGGAAGTAGGATTCAAACCCAGACAGCCAGGCTGTAATACCTAGGCTCTTCTCAGGCTCATGCCCTTCCCAGGGGTCTGGGAAGCCCTGACCTGCAGCCTGTCACCTTTGTTTACCCCCCAGCCTCCAGGATATTATGTGTGCACCGGCGTGGGATCCTGGAACTGGCAGGAATTGTGGGTTGTGTTGGTCCCTGAACTCCCATCGCCTATGTGAAATATGGTTGCTTTTGTGGCTTGGGAGGCCATGGCCAGCCCCGCGATGCCATTGACTGGTGAGTGCATGCCTGGGACCAGGCCACAAAATCCCTCACACTCTGGGGTAGTCAAGGCTTATGAGGAAGTACCCAAAACTGAAGCTGGGGTTTGGTCCAGGGAGATCCCAGTGTGCAGTACTACTTTGCAGGCAGGCAGAGGCCTCTTGGATAACATGGCCAGTGAAGCCAGATCTTGGTACTAGCTGTGCCTTACCCTGGCCATGGGCTGAAAACGTTGCCTTAAAAAATTGGCCAGGAGCGCTGGCTCACTCCTGTAATCCCAGCACTTTGGGAGGCCGAGGCGGGCAGATCACTTGAGGTCAGGAGTTCAAGACCAGCCTGGCCAATATGGTGAAACCCCATCTCTACTAAAAATGCAAAAATTAGCTGTGTGTGGTGGCAGGCATCTGTAATCTCAGCTACTCGGGAGACTGAGGCAGGAGAATTGCTTGAACCCGGGAGGCAGAGTTTGCAGTGAGTTGAGATTGCACCGCTGTATTCCAACCTGGACAACAGTGCCAAACCCTGTCTCAAAAGAAAAAAAAAAATAATATAAAGTGACCAGGTGTGTTGACTCATGCCTGTAATCCCACCACTTTGGGTCGAGGCAGGAGGATCACTGGAGCCCAGGAGTTTGAAACGAGCCTAGGCAACAGAGTGAGACCCTGTCTCTATATTAAACACACACACACACGCACACACACACACACACACACATACAAAGGCAGCCAGACTATGCACTAGGAACTGCCCTGGGAATCCCTTTGTGTTCTCACAACAATCCCATTTCACATGAAGAAACCTAGGCACAGAAATATTCAGTAACGTGTCCAGGTGCGGTGGCTCACGCCTGTAATCCCAGTACTTTGGGAGGCTGAGGCAGGCAGATCACGAGGTCAGGAGTTCGAGACCATCCTGGCCAACATGGTGAAACCCCGTCTCTACTAAAAATACAAAAATTAGCTGTGTGTGGTGGCAGGTGCCTGTAATTCCAGCTACTCAGGAAGCTGAGGCAGGAGAATTGCTTGAACCCGGGAGGCAGAGGTTGCAATGAGCCGAGATCACACCACTGCACTCCAACCTGGGTGACAGAGCAAAACTCCGTCTGAAAAAAAAAAAAAAGAAATATTAAGTAACTTGTCTGAGGCCACATAGTTACCAAGACGTGGGAGCTGGGACTTGAACCCAGGCAGTCTGGCTGGATTCATGCCTGCAGCCTCTGCACTCCTGCTACTTACTGTGTGAGAAGCGTCTGTTCTGTGGAAGGTTGTGGGCTGAGATCTTTCCATGACTTCCACTCATTTACCCCCAAGGCTGTTCTTAAAGACGGGCATGACAGTTATGCCCATTTTACAGATGGGGCCCTGAGGCTCACAAGGGCACGCCACTCACCCATTTCCACAAAGCTATAGTTAGTTAGCAGAGGGCAGAATTCGGCCGCCTCTCCCCTAGCTTGTAGGCTGTGATTGACACAGAGGTTTTTTTGTTGTCGTTGCTGTTGTTTGTTCCTTTTTCTTTTTTTTGAGACAGGGTCTTGCTCTGTCATCCCGGCTGGAGCGCAGTGGTGCGATGTCAGCTCACTGCAAATTCTGCCTCCAAGATGCAAATGATTCTCGTGCCTCAGCCTCCCAAGTAGCTAGAATTACAGGTGTGCACTACCACGCCCAGCTGTTTTTTGTAGAGATGGGGTTAGTAGAGATTTGTTTAATAGAGACGGGGTTTCACCATGGTCTCTACTAAACCCTGTCTCTACTAAAAATACAAAAATTACCCAGGCGTGGTGGCACATGCCTGTAGTCCCAGGTACTCAAGAGGCTGAGGCAGGGGAATCACTTGAACCTGGGAGGTGGAGGTTGCAGTGACCCAAAATCATGCACTCTAGCCTGGGGTCTCGCTTTTGCCCAGGTTAGAGTGCAGTGGCACAATCATAGTGGCTCACTGCAGCCTCAAACTCCTGGGCTGAAGGGAATCCTCCCACCTCAGCCTCCCAAGTAGCTAGGACTATAGGCATGTGCCATCATGGCGAGTTAATTTTTTGTGTGTTTTTATTGTCTCGAGACAGAGTCTTGCTCTGTTGCTCAGGCTGGACTGCAATGGCGTGATCCTGGCTCACCGCAACCTCCACCTCCTGGGTTCAAGCAATTCTCCTACCTCAGCCTCCCGAGTAGCTGGGATTACAGGTGCGTGCCACCATGCCTGGCTAATCTTGTATTTTTAGTAGAGACAGGGTTTCGCCATGTTGGTCAGGCTGCTCTCGAACTCCTGACCTCGTGATCCACCTGCCTCGGCCTCTCAAAGTGTTGGGATTACAGGCATGAGCCACTGAGCCTGGCCTGGTGAGCTAATTTTTAAATTTGTTATAGAGACAAGAGTCTCTCTTATGTTGCCCAGGCTGGTCTCGACCCCCTGGCCTCAAGTGATCCTCCCACCTCAGCCTCCCAAAGTGCTGGGATTACAGATGGGTGTCACCGCACCTGGCCTCTGAGGAGGATTTCATTATAAACCTGCCCTGAAGGGAGGGAATCCAATTTTACGAGAGGGTGTAGCCTGGTGAGGCCTGGATGACCTCCGGAGGCAGGGGCTTGTGCCTGGGCTGAGGCCTAAGGGACAATGGGCAGACATGAAGTTGCCCCAGGCAGAGGGTACAGTGTGGGCAAAGTCAGGAAGTGGCAGGGCTTGGATCACTCCAGGAAGAGAGAGGAGTCATGTGTCACAGGAGCTCAAGACCCAGAGAGGGAGGCAGGCAGGCAGGCAGGGACCAAGCTTGGGCACAGCCAGGAAGGCAGAGGGCATGGTGGGGCCAATGGAATCATTACCCAAGACGGGGATTTTCAGGGAAACAGCTTAGATAAGGCCAGGCGTACAGTAGCTCCCACCTGTAATCCCAGCATTTGTGGAGGCTGAGGTAGGAGGACTGCTTGAGCCTGGGAGTTCGAGACCAGCCTAGGCAACATAGTGAGACCCCATATCCATAAAAAATTTAAAAAAGGAGTCTGTGTTCCTGTAGTAGCAGACTTGGGAGGTTGAGGTGGCAGTATCACTTGAGCCCGGGAGTTCAAGGCTAAAGTGAGCTGATTGAGCCACTGCACTCCAGCCTGAGCAACAGAGAGATACGCTGTCTCAAAGGAAATACAAATTAAAAAACCAGCCAGGCATGCTGGCGTGTGCCTGTAGTCTCAGCTACTTGGGACACTGAAGTGGGAGGATCGCTTGAGCCCAGGAGTTCAAGGCTGCCATGAGCTATGATTGTGCCTCTGCAGTCCAGCCTGGGCGACAGAGAAAGACCCTGTCTCTTAAAAAAAAAAAAAAAAAAATCTTAGATAAGAGGATGCTGTGCCTCCCTGGGGGTCTTCAGTCACCCATGGTCCTGGCAAGAGAGGAGGGCCAGGAGAGAGCTTCACCCACCTGCTGTCCTGCCCATGTGACATCCGCAGGTGCTGCCATGGCCACGACTGTTGTTACACTCGAGCTGAGGAGGCCGGCTGCAGCCCCAAGACAGAGCGCTACTCCTGGCAGTGCGTCAATCAGAGCGTCCTGTGCGGTGAGTCCCCAGCAGCACCATGCCACCCACCCCGAGTATCCCCTGGGCACCCTGGCATAGCCAGATGACTTCCGTGCCCCTGTTGCAATAACCACTGCTTCCAAGTCTCTATAGACCACCCCTTGGGTATATCTAATGTAAGTGATATTTATTTTATTTATTTTTTGAGTCAGTCTCGCTCTGTCACCCAGGCTAGAGTGTGCTGATGTGATCTCGGCTCACTACAACCTCTGCCTCCTGGGTTCAAGCGATTCTCATGCCTCAGCCTCCCAAGTGGCTGGGACTACAGGCATGCACCATCACGCCCAGCTAATTTTTGTATTTTTTCAGTAGAGGTGGGGTTTCACCAAGTTGGCCGGGCTGGTCTCAAACTCCCCACCTCAAGTGCTCTGCCCGCCTCGGCCTCCCAAAGTGCTGGGATTACAGGCATGAGCCGTGGTGTCTGGCCCTAATGTGAGTGATCTTTAACACTGAGCACTTGAAAAAGAAAACCCTGAAGAAACCTAATTCTTTGATGTCTGGATGACAAGGAAGAAGATAGAAATGGCATCAGATAATAAACAGTGTAAATGTTTATCAGAAAGAGGCTGGTGGTCGGGACAAGTAGGAGGATTGCTTGAGTCCAGGAGTGCATCTCTACAAAAAAGTTAAAGGATTTTTTAACATTGGCCAGGCGTGGTGGCACACATCTGTGATCCCAGCTACTTGGGAGGCTGGGGCAGGAGGATTGCTTGAAGCCCAGGAGGTTGAGGCTGCAGTGAGCTGTGATCGAGCCACTGCACTCCAGCCTGGGTGACAGAGCAAACTCCAGTCTCAAAAAAAAAACAAATAATAATATTTTACATAACCAACCACTTCTAAAGATTAAAAAAACCCCTATGATTAAAAACCTCAGGTCCCTCAGGCAATCATACCAGATATTGAAACAAAGCAATAACATAAGGACTGCAGTATTCATTTTATTTTTATATTATTTATTTATTCTTCCTTAGTTTCTTGAGATTATCATCCGCTGAGGGTGGAAGGGGAGTGAGCAGACACACTTGGGAGGTGTCTTGAGATTATCATCCGCTGAGGGTGGAGCTGAGGGTGGAAGGGGAGTGAGCAGACACTCGGGAGGTGTCTTGAGATTATCATCCGCTGAGGGTGGAAGGGGATAGAGCAGACACTCCGCAGGTGTCTTGAGATTATCATCCGCTGAGGGTAGAGCTGAGGGTGGAAGGGGAGTGAGCAGACACTCGGGAGGTGTCTTGAGGCTCAGGGAGTTATCAATTATAGAATGTTGTTGAGTTGGAGGAGGTGGCTGGTGGCCCATCCTGTTTTTTAAAGTTTCAGCTGTGAGGTAGGGCCAGTAGGGCAATCCTGAAGAATGACGATGCTCCGCTGCCGCCATTCTGACCTGTAGGGCCAAAGGAGGGAATGTTTTCACACATATTCATTTGATGGACAAAATTACCGCCACCAACACAGTCTGCACCTTCTGTTGCTGGTGATAGATTTTTGCACCTTTCCATCCTCCAGGTTTCAAAATAGCAGTGTCAGTGTCATAATATCACCCTTCCACTGAGTACTGCCGACAGCTGGGGGGTAAAGAAAAGTCATTGGGACACACTGTTGTCTCCACATGCCACTGTGTCTGTCTGCAAATGTAGGCAGGCTGGGGTCCTGCCCCAGGGAAGACAGAGTCATAACAGAGTAATAAAGAAGCATGTTTGAGACACAGGAGTGTCTATGTCTATCCTCATTCCTCCCTCACAGCCATCACCAGAGCATGTTTCTTGCACCAGGTCAATAGACAGTAAGAGACAGTAAGAGAGGCATGAAAAGCCCATTGTCCACACATGTTGCAGCTTCTTTTTGGAGAATGTTTTCCAGGCCTTTTATGTTCTGTCTCTGATTCTCAGAACTCTGCAAGGTCAGTGTGACCACCCTGCTCCAAATCTAAGAAAACAGAGGTTTCCAGAGGAAGGAGAAATTGTGCCCAGGGTCACACAGCTTGCAAGAGGCAGAGTGGAAGTTGATTCCAGCTCTGCCTGCAGGACCCTCTCATTTCCCCTCTGTTTCCCTTCTTGACAAAGGATCTTCTTCACTCTGGAGGTGCCACCCATGAGAACAAAGAGCTCTGGAGAGATGTGGATTCCTGAAGAGCTGCAGGGGAACTGGGAGAGGGTTTTCTGACAGAACAATCTTACCTCAAGAAGTCAGTTAGGCATGGCTGTAATATTTCTTTTCACTCCCAGGTAATACCAAATTGTAAGTGCACTAGGACCTAAAGAATACTTTTGTCCATGGAAAAATGAGGTGGGAATTCTAAACAAAGCAAGTTTTAAAACTGTGTTTCACTTCAAGTGTACAAGTCCCATCGCGTGTAATCATAGGACTCGGCAGCTTTTGAAGGTACAGAGGCCACACAAGAACCAGCTTAGCTGAGCATCATTTAAGGCCTTCATTTGGAATTGTCCCTGTGGGTAATAAGTTACATTCACTCTTCACTAATTTACAGTCAGGGCCCATTTGCTATTACAAATACGGAACCTCTGACACTTAGAATATTAGATGGGGGCCCCACTGGGTGGGGATGAAGGTGTTTTTGCGCAACACGGTTACCAACAGGGATGGGACTGTGATGCTTGTAGGCAGCCTTCCTCTCTGCCATCTCCCTCTGCAGGGCTTGAGCACAGAGCCGTAGGGAGAAAAATGTATCCATGTCCTGACCTGGCAGACTATGTCCAAAAGCAAGGAAAACAAGCAAACTTACCCGGTTGCAAAGAGGCTTTCTTGCAGAAGGGGTGATCTGAAAAAGCCAACACATGAGAAATTGAATGTTGAGAGAGTCTAAGGGCCGTGGCATCATCTGCATCAGCACTGAACTATCCTGCAACTGCGGGGAGGAAGCTCCTTACTTTGCATCTGTAGTAGTCCTCTGCCCGCCGCCGCAACGCTTGCGCACGTTGAAACATTTCCCTATGGATTACAATCACTTTCATCAGATAAAGCACCACTTTCAGGATGATTTTAAATAATCTGCCATGTTTCTGTTATCCTCACAACTGTACCCTTACACAATCTATCTCTACCTAGAAAACGTATTTCAGATGGCTGTAAGAGTACAGTCTGAGCCGGTCACGGTGGCTGACGCCTGTAATCCCAGCACTCTGGGAGGGCGAGGCGGATGGATCACGAGGTCAGGAGATTGAGACCATCCTGGCTAATACGGTGAAACCCCGTCTCTACTAAAAATACAAAAAATTAGGCGGGGGTGGTGGCAGGCACCTGTAATCCCAGCTACTCAGGAGGCTGAGGCAGGGGAATCACTTGAACCTGGGAGGCAGAGGTTGCAATGAGCCAAGATCACGTCATTGCACTCCAGCCTGGGTGACACAGCGAGACTCCATCTCAGAAAAACAAAAACAAAAACAAAAACAAAAAAAACTGTACAGTCTGATCCAAACTGTTGCTGTATTGATTCCTCCTCTTGCTTACTGCCTGCTGACTTCTGAGATGATAGCTTCCTTCCCCATTCTCAGTATATCCCTAATTCATCCTTCATTGAGCATCTTTTATCATAAAGCTGTATTCTCTTTGTATTAATATCTTTACCGTGTTTCACAGGGCAGAAACAGCTGGGCTTATAAACAGGCATAGTCCTTTTGAAGGATGTGGTTGATCCTACAACAACACACTTTCCTAAGGATGACAACAACTCACCCCACCCCTAGAATGGCTGGTATGAACCGAGTTTCCACACAGTCTAGCTGGCAATGGGGTCAGGAGCCGTTTTGCTACTTCACATCTTTTGGTCACTGGTAAATATTAAGGTACTTTGTTTTCTGTTTTGTGAACTCTCTCTCTCTCTCACGATATGTCTTCTGACCATTTGTTTCTATTTCTGCATTTACTGGGTCTAAACATTGTACAAAGGTTAAAAACAACACTCCAATGGGCGTTTCCCAAGAGGGTGGGGTTCAGTTTCTGAACTCACATGTAGGTGTGTATTTCTTTCATATCCAATTTCCCGTTTTCCTCTGCCTCTGACACCTGCCTCTCCTTTTCTCCGTGCTCACGTTCTTTCATGCTTAGTTTCCTCAGACTAGAAGGGAGAGAAATGCACACACATGATCCACCAGCCCGTGTGGGATTCCCTCTGCCCTTCTGGCATCTGAAGGCTGATTCAAAGATCCCCCCTGCAACCTTCCCACAAATGAACCAACTGATTCTCACAAGCAAAGGGAGAATGGACACCTCCCATTGAGGGACAAAAAAAAAATCACACTCTGGCCTGCTGGCAAGTCACCTGTCATTTCCAGCTCATCTTCATAGTTCCATAGTTAGTCCTATTCTTTAGTAAATATAAAGACTATTAAAAGCTTCTATGAGGTGCACTATGTGTGTCTCTGGGGTCAGTCTTGTGCTTGACACAGCGAAAGCTCATTTTAGTTCAGTGTGAAAAACCAGACCTCACCAATTCATCACAACTAACTCCATCGGAGGCAGAGGATTGCTCCTCATCTGACTCCTCCTGTGTGAGACCTGATTCTCAGTCAGAGGCTGATGCCGGAACTGAGACCATCAGCCATAGAGAGATCCTTCCAGAATATGGTGTCATTAACCCCGCAGTTCACTACTGCACTTTGCCATGATTCAGGACTGGAACTCTTGTCATCGACTTTAAAGATCCTGAAAAGGCAATCTGAATGCTGGGCGCATCTATTGAATTAGAAATGATCGGAATGGCTCCTAAGTCAGGGTGTTATGTCCTGAAAATAGGTGACAACTGCAAACCATCCACCCTGGTGTTGACTGACTTTAACAAGGTTCAGTTCACAGAGATTGAGGGCAGAAAAAGGAAACGGCCTCAAAAGGGTAAGTTTGCTGTGTTGCCCTCACACCACTTGATTCATGGTCCTGATCCTAAGGATCTCACCTGATACTTGGTTTTATAGGAAGGATGTGTAAAATTCCCAGAATGCTAGGAAACAGAGACGAAAACACTTCAAAGAGAAAGTTAATGAACTTGTTTCTGACCACAGGGCATCCTTCAGCACATGCTGTCTGGAGTGGCCTCAAACAAGGTGTGTGTGGTGAGGTGCTGACAATGCAATGGGAGCAGGGTCCTGTCCCCACGCTAAAGAAGCTCACAGTTTAATGCAAATGAGAAGCCAGTGAGGACAGCACTACTCCTGCTGTGCACTTGGGAACTAGAAACACAAAACCTGACTCTGGAGGGAAGCTAAGGAAGCATTCTACTCTTGAGTTGACATAAGTGCATCTGAAGCTTCTGATCTCCGATGAGAACAATGGGGGACACCAAACAGAATATAAAACCCATGACTGAATACATCAAATTGCTCACATGGCAGTAAACAGACATGAGGTGAAGATGGAGAAGAAGGAAACCCAGGACGAAAGTCAGCCTCGCATTTGGAACCCATTTCCCTGAGTTTCATTGCTGAATTCCAGAAGGAACTACTGAGATGCAAAGAAGCACAGCAGCTTTTGCACACATGTGTGGGGTTAGATGGAAAACAAGTGGATTGAGGGTCTGCCAATGAAAGCGACCCATACTGAAGTCCACTGGCTCTGGTTGAGACCCAGAAGAGTCATGCATCAGAATAGAGGTGGACAGGAAATACCCTGGCCTTTGTAGGGACTGAGCCTGCACTGACGACCTCAATTGCAGCCTGTATGGAGGACCCCTGACCATCCCCCAGAAGTAGACTCCCATCTCTTCTGCAGCAAGATAACATGCTACTAGGCCTCAATTCATTGCTAAATATTTTTTAACAAGTATCTCACATTTAACAAAAAAAGATCAGTCATATGGCAGCAAAATACAATGTAATATGACCAAAACATGAAAGACTGTGAAAATGAATCTGGAGGTGACCCGAGCATTGAATTCAACAATCCAGGCTGGGTGCGGTGGCTCACACCGGGAGGCTGAGGTAGGCAGATCACCTGAGGTCAGGAGTTCAAGACTAGCCTGGCCAACATGGTGAACCCGTCTCTACTAAAAATACAAAAATTGGGCTGGGCACGGTGGCTCACGCCTGTAATCCCAGCACATTGGGAGGCCGAGGTGTGCGGATCATGATGTCAGGAGTTCTAGACCAGCTTGGCCAATATGGTGAAACCCCGCCTCTACTAAAAACACAAAAATTATCCGGGCATGGTGGCATATGCCTGTAGTCCCAGCTACTCAAGAGGCTGAGGGATAAGAATCGTTTGAACCTGGGAGGCGGAAGTTGCAGTGAGCCAAGATCTTGCCACTGCACTCTAGCCTGGGTGACAGAGTGAGACTCTGTCTCAAAAAAAAAAAAAAAAAAAAAAAAAAAATTGGCCAAATGTGGTGGCACACTCCTGTAATCCAAGCTACTCGGGAAGCTGAGGCAGAATTGCTTCAAACTGGGAGGCAGAGGTTGCAGTGAGCCAAGATTGCACCACAGCACTCCAGCCTGGGCGACAGAGCGAGACTCTATCTCAAAATTTAAAAAAAAAAAAAAAAGGCTGGGTGTGGTGGCTCACGCCTCTAATCCCAGCACTTTGGGAGGCTGAGGCGGGTGGATTACCTGAGGTCAGAAGTTCGAGACCAGCCTGGACAACATGGTGAAACCCCATCTCTAGTAAAAATACAAAAATTAGCTGGGCGTGGTGGTGGGCACCTGTAATCCCAGCTACTTGGGAGGCTGAGGCAGGAGAATTGCTTGAACCCAAAAGGCAGTGAGCTGAGATTGTGCCATTGCACTACAGCCTGGGCAACAAGAGCAAAGCCCCATCTCAGGAAAAAAAAAAAAAAAAAAAAGAGAGAGAAAGGAAAACCAATGCCAGTACTAGCAACTCCTCTTCCCCTGAAAAAATGACAAACAAGAATGTAGGAAGGGAAAGGAATTATACAGCTTAAACTAATGAAGCAGAAAGGACAAACTCAATTTTGAACCCACTGAATTTGCCACAAATATTGTAGAAAATATTCTCAAGGACTTTACAGTTGTCTACTTTGATTGGCACATGGTTCATACAACAGTATTTGTGTCAAGGCACATCTTACTGTTCTTTGGCGGTCTTCCTCTTTCCATTGATTTTGTCATGACGGTTGACTTTTGTTGTCACCTTCATCTTACAGATTTTAGCTCGAACTTTGGTTTCCACCTGTCTCCATAAAGTAAAGATGTCTTCCAGGACAATTTTAATTCCTGGAAAGGAAGAAACTCTTTTCTTTGTGTGCATACAAACGGACCTCAGCCCTTGGTGAGAGTGAGGAGAGGAGAAGGTGAGAAACCTGAGGGCAAGAAGCTGTTCTTTCCCTTTCCAGGGCAAACTCATTTCCACACTATGGGGACTCCAACAGAGCCATACCTTCCTGTCTACGGCGGTTGGACCTCCTGGCTCTCTGCTGTACATCCGTGGATCCATCATGTCCATTTTGAGACGGGAAGATAGTCTTCAGGAAAGACACCTAGGAAATAATAATATAAGAATGACGGCTGGGCACGGTGGCTCATGCGTATAATCCCAGTACTTTGGGAGGCCGAGGCAGGGTGGATCACGGGGTCAGGAGTTCAAGACCAGCCTGGCCAAGATGGTGAAACCCCGTCTCTACTAAAAATACAAAAATTAGCCGGGCATGGCAGTGGGCGCCTGTAATCCGAGCTACTCGGGAGGCTGAGGCAGAGAACCATTTGAAGCTGGGAGGCAGAGTTTGCAGTGAGCCGAGATCACACCACTGCACTCCAGCCTGAGCGACAGAATGAGACTCTGTCACACACACACACACACACACACACACACACACACACACACACACACACACAAAGAATGACATGAGGCTGGCACGGTGGCTCACTCCTGTAATCCCAGCACTTTGGGAGGCCGAGGCAGGCGGATCACCTGAGGTCGGGAGTTTGAGACCAGCCTCACCAACATGGAGAAACGCTGTCTCTGCTAAAAATACAAAATTAGCCAGGCATGGTGGTGCATGCCTGTAATCCCAGCTAGTCGGGAGGCTGGGGCAGGAGAATCACTTGAACCCAGCAGGAAAAGATTGTGGTGAGCTGAGATTGTGCCATTGCACTCCAACCTGGGCAACAAAATTGAAACTCTGTCTCAAAAAAAAAAAAAAAAAAATAGGCCAGGTGCGGTAGCTCACGCCTGTAATCCCAGCACTTTGGGAGGCCGAGGCGGGTGAATCACAAGGTCAAGAGATGGAGACCATCCTGGGCAACATGGTGAAACCCCGTCTCTACTAAAAATACAAAAATTAGCTGAGCATGGTGGCGCACGCCTGTAGTCCCAGCTACTCGGGAGGCTGAGGCAGGAGAACTGCTTGAACCCAGGAGGCAGAGGGTGCAGTGAGCCAAGATCCCACCACTGCACTCCAGCCTGGTGACAGAGTGAGACTCCGTCTCAAAAAAAAAAAAAAAAAAAAAAATGACATGAATATACTTCACACAACTGAACTGTACACTTCAACACGGTTAGATGGTAATTATCATCTTGTAAGTATTTTACCACAGGTTAACATGTTTCACAACTTGAAAAGGAAGTAATTAATTACCTTCAGCTCTCTGAGTTCTAGAATTTGTAACATTTCACCCCCTGCTCCTTCCTGATCTGCACTGGAGCATCTTTCTTCTGTCCCTGCTCTACTCAGAGTTCACTTTCCCTTCCCTCACATCAGCTTCGTTGAGGCTGGTTTGAACTTAACGCAAAACATTCTCACTAATGACTGAATTCCCGCCAAGATTTCCATATTATCACAGTATGCTTTTAATCTTCTAAGATATTAAATATTTGTTCTCATCATAGCTAAAATGCAATGCAAATCCCATCTCAGATGTGGGTCAGATACCTATGAATCTCCTGAGGTAGTCATTGAAATGACTTTTTTCTTGAGACGGAGTGTCACTCAACCATGCTGAAGTGCAGTGGCGCTACCTTGGCTCACGGCAACCTCCACCTCCCAGATTCAAGCGATTCTTGTGCCTCGGCCTCCCAAGTAGCTGGGATTACAGGTGCCTGCTACCATGCCTGGCTAATTTTTGTCTTTTTAGTAGAGATGGGGTTTCACTATGTTGGCCCATCTGGTCTTGAACTCCTGACCTCAAGTGATCCACCTGCCTCAGCCTCCCAAAGTGCTGGGATTACAGGCATGAGCCACCACACCTGGCCTGAAATAATATCTTTCAAATTCTTTGTAGAATTTGTTTTTTCCTGATTTCTGCACATAGGATGAAAAAAAAATCATGTACTAGGATTTCGAGAGAAGCAATGGGTAATCTAAAAAGATGAAAAGAGAAACCACGTCTATCCCACAGCTACTGCTAGATTTCATAGGAAAGGTAGCTGGCCCAGTTTGGAGCTAGGAGAAATGTCAAACACATGAAGAAATGAGAAGCAAAGAAATGCCATCACACATGAATGCTTCATGGCACCCATGATGTCCCTGCTTAGGAGGTAATGGTATAGATGACTAGATGACAAGGACAAAGATGAGAGGTGCAAAGTTGTCCAAGTCCAATAGCTCAACTGAACTTTCCTAATGGAATTGTTAAAAAGTGGTAAATTTAAAAACTTCCCCTGGCTCACGTGGTGGCTCACGCTTGTAATCCCAGCACTTTGGGAGGCTGAGGCGGGTGGATCATTTGAGGTCGGGTTTTGAGACTAGCCTGGCCAACATGGTAAAACCCCGACTCTACTAAAAATACACAAATTAGCTGGGCATGGTGGTGGGCACCTGTAATCCCAGCTACTTGAGAGGCTGAGGCAGGGGAATCACTTGAAGCCAGGAGGTGGAGGTTGCAGTGAGCCGAGATCACACCATTATACTCCAGCCTGGGCAACAGAGGGAGACTCGTCTTGGGGGTGAGAAAAGAAAAAAAAAAAGCTTCCTCCAATTTATACCGAAAATTCTCTGTTCAGGACTAAGTGGCATAGAGAATGTTAAATGTGCCTAGATATCTTCATAACTCATATATTTTCTGTTTTCTACATATCTTGAAAGGCAGTGCCAAATGACGTGTAATTATCTAGGCGGTAAAACTGAAACATACTTCCTCTTCCCTTGAATATCAAAAAGCATTGTGGTATTAGTACTTTTATCTTGGATCATTGTTCAGAAGGAGGTTCAGCCCCCAGACAACCACATTTTTACTGTCATGAATGGCAAGACAAAATGTAGAGCTCAACTTACCCAAAGGATAAAAGGCTCAAAAGACAAATTATGGCACAACTTAGCAGCCAAATTCTTACCAAGTACAGACTTTTGACATACTGATCTCTCTCCAGTTGCAAGTGGGAACATGCACTTTGAATGATGTCATTCAAAATTACCCTGCCCAGACACACTTTTCATTGATTCTCTTGGAGGGCAGTTCTAAGAGATTCTCTGGGGCTTTCTCTGCATCATGAGACGCAGTGCAGTTCTGCCCTTCACCTTCCGGCAGTTTGTCACCTCGTCCCTATGACCTCCGAGGAACTTTGTCTCAGGCCAACTGTTTGTTCCTTGGGCTCTTTCATTTCCCCTAAAAATCATTTGCTGCCCCTCTAAATGGCCTACATCTCCATCTATCTCCCTCTCCCCTCAGAAGAGGGTGCTCTTTAAGCATCAACCATCCAGCCCTTCTAGCAGTCTCATTTTTCAGCTGGTTCCCATGTTTATGTCTGTTCTATGTTTTTCTTTTCCTGTTAAGCTGTCTGTTGTCAGCTCATTTCTGCAGTGAATCTTCAGAGAGGAGATTGGAAGCTTTCCTTCCACCCATACGATAGAACTATAAAGCAGAAGAGTTTAGAAAGACTTTCCCATTTAAGTGACGAAACCTCATACTCCATTTGTGACAAATAGCACAAAGGTTAAAAAAACTTATTTTTGACCAAAAGCTCTGTTGACATTCTATTAAACACCGACCTATTTAATTTTCATAATGTAAATGGCAGATATTTTCATAATTCTTATGCTAATAAATCATTTCCCTGATTTTTTGGGTAAAACCACATATTCACAATGAAGTCCAGAAACGTGAATTGTTTCATATAATTTACTCTTATTTGTGATTACAAGTATACCTCTACAGAAAGTTAGTATACTCACACAAAGGTAACTTGTGCAGAGGGAGATGGCAAATTTATAACTTCTCAGAAACACAGTAATGATAAGTAACCAAGGACTTCCACCAAAGTCAGTCCCACGATGACGATGGTCAGCCAGAGTATTGATAACCTGGAATAATAATAGTTGAAATAATGAAAAGGTCAATGACACTGACAATATTTCACTCAGAAAGAATCATCCTTAGAAACCGTCAACCTCCTCCAAAAGGTAACCACATCCCTCAGATATCACCATGGGATTCCACTGCTACAAAAAAGAACAGAAGTTAGAGAAGTCTCATGTTTTTCAGATGGCTGGTAGTGTTTTTAGGCATTGCAAATGTGGGGTGTTGTCATTCTTGGTATAAAGCAGGGATATCCAATCTTTTGACTTCCCTGCCTATATTAAAAGAAGCAAAGTTGTCTTGAGCCACACATAACATACACTAACAATAGCTGATGATCTAAAAAAAAAAACTTTTTTTCTTTTTTTTTTTTGAGACAGAGTTCCGCTCCACTCAGTCGCCCAGGCTGGAGTGCAGTGGTGCAATCTTGGCTCACTGCAACCTCCAGCTCCTGGGCTCAAGCCATTCTCCTGCCTCAGCCTCCCGAGCAGCTGAGATTACCGGTCTCTGCCACCATGCCCGACTAATTTTTGTATTTTTAGTAGAGATGAGGTTTCACCATGTTGGCCAGTCTGGCCTTGAACTCCTGACAGGAGATCTGCCTGCCTCGGCCTCCCAAAGTGCTGGGATTACAGGTGTGAGCCACCGTGCCCGGCCATTTTTTTTGTTTTTGTTTGTTGTTTGTTTTTGAGATGGGGTCTCACTCTGTCACCCAGGCTGGAGTGCAGTGGTGTGCTCTCGGCTCACTGCAACCTCTGCCTCTCAGGTTCAAGTGATTCTCCTGCCTCAGCCTCCTGAGTAGCTGGGAGTACAGGTGCCTGACAGTGCACTCAGCAAATTTTTGTATTTTTTGTGGAGATGGGGTTTTGCCATGTTGGCCAGGGTGGTCTCGAACTCCTGACCTCAGGTAATCTGCCCGCCTCAGCCTCCCAAAGTGCTGGGATTACAGGCATGAGCCACTGTACCTGGCCAAAATCTCCTAATGTTTTAAGAAAGTTTACAAATTTGTGTTGAACTGCATTCAAAACTGTCCTGGGCCACATGCAGCCCGTCACTCATGGGTAAGACAAGCTAAGTATAAAGTAATTATCTTTTCTTTTCTTTTTGTTTTGAGACAAAGTCTTGCTCTGTCGCCCAGGCTAGATTGCAGTGGCATGATCTCAGCTCACTGCAACCTCCGCCTCCCGGGTTCAAGCGATTCTCCTGCCTCAGCTACTGAGTAACTGGGATTACAGGCGCCTGCCACCACGCTCGGCTAATTTTTGTCTTTTTAGTAGAAACAGGGTTTCACCATCTTGGCCAGGCTGGTCTCCAACTCCTGACCTCATGATCCACCTGCCTCGGCCTCCCAAAGTGCTGGGAATACAGGTGTGAGCCACTGCACTTGGCCAGTAGTTATCTTTTCTTTAATTATTTGTTTTTTAAATTGATGTATAACATTGGATGCATTTATTACATATCACATGGTAAAAGAATCCCTCTAAATAATACTTCTCTCTTGGATTACATGAATCTTTGTCATTTAAAGCTCAGTATAAGTAAAAAAAAAAAAATACAATGAAGAGATTACTTCATTCACAAATAAGTATCGAATTTTAGTGCTTAAAAATTAACAAGGTGGGCCGGGCGTGGTGGCTTACGCCTGCAATCCCAGCACTTTGGGAAGCCAAGGTGGGTGGACCGTGAGATCAGGAGATTGAGACCATCCTAGCTAACACGGTGAAACCCATCTCTACTAAAAATACAAAAAATTAGCAGGGCATGGTGGCACGCGCCTATAGTTCCAGCTACTTGGGAGGCTGAGGCAGAAGAATCACTTGAACCCGTGAGGCAGAGGTTGCAGTGAGCCGAGATCGCACCACTGCACTTCAGCCTGGGTGACAGAGTGAGACTCTGTCTGAAAAAAAAAAAAAAAATTACCAAGGTGGAGATCATGAAAATGGCATGAATAGTGTGGGATTTCTCTAAGATTGTTGATATTAATTCCATTAGACTCTTATGTGAGTGAAGACGAAGACTTCCCCTGAGTAAGTTCAGACAGCTTGTGATAACATTTCTACATCAATTCCTCAGGATTTAACTATATATTCTTGAAAACATCTCAATTTTAAGTGTTTCTTTCAAGATGGTGAATTAAACAGAGATAGCCCTTCAACAGGTTGAACTCAGCATATGCTGAGTCTGAAATGGAAATGATGGAGTTAGAGAACCATACAACAATGGTAATGATTTCAGAAACATGGTGTTGAGCAGAACAAAGCAGACACAAAAGAGTACCTATGGCATGGCATGCATCTGTATACGCGAAATTCCAGAATAAGCAAGCTAACCTATGATAAGAAAGAGACTGGCTGGGAAGAGTGAGAGTTCACTTTCTGGGGTGACATAATAGTGTAGATCTTGGCTGGGCACGGTGGTTCACGCCTGTAATCCCAACACTTTGGGAGGCCGAGGCGGGCGGATCACCTGAGGTCGGGAGTTCAAAACCAGCCTGACCAACATGGAGAAACCCTATCTCTACTAAAAATACAAAATTAGCTGGGAGTGGTGGCACATGTCTGTAATCCCAGCCACTCGGGAGGCTGAGGCAGGAGAATCGCTCGAACCTGGGAAGCAGAGGTTGCGGTGAGCTGATATTGCCCCATTGCACTCCAGCCTCAGCAACAAGGGAGAAACTGTCTCAAATAAATAAATAAATAAATAAATAAAATAATGTAGATCTTGAACGGGGGTTGGTTTATGCTGGTGTATGTACTTTCCAAAGTTAGTAAACTTACACTTGAGGTTATATATTTTGGCCAGGCGCGGTGGCTCACGCCTGTAATCCCAGCACTGGGAGGCCGAGGCAGGCGGATCACGAGGTCAAGAGATGGAGACTATCCTGGCGAACATGGTGAAACCCAGTGTCTACTAAAAATACAAAAATTAGCCAGGCGTTGTAATCTGAGCTACTCAGGAGGCTGAGGCAGGACAATTGCTTGAACCCCGGAAGCGGAGGTTGCAGTGAGCCGAGATCTTGCCACTGCACTCCAGCCTGGGCGACAGAGTGAGACTCTGTCTAAAAAACAAACAAACAAAAAAAAGTCATCAAACCAGATGACACAAATCAAATGACATTTCACTTTGTTTTGGTCCGTTTTGTCTGTTGGAGACAAGAGTGCAGCGGGGCCATCTCGGCTCACTGCAACGTCCAGCTCCTGGGCCCAAGCGATCCTCCCACCTCAGCCTCTCCAGTAACTGGGATAACAGGTACGCACCACCAGGCCCGACTAATCTTTTTTGGAATTTTTTGTAGAGATGGGGTTTCGCTATGATGCCCTGGCTAGTCTTCAACTCCTGGACTCAAGTGATCTGCCCACCTCGGCCCCCTAAAGTGCTGGGATTACAGGCCTGAGCTGTGTAATTTCATGCCGCGTGACACAGCCCAGTAAAAAGGAAGAAACCCCGCGGGTCCAGCGTCTACTCACACAGGTGGACTGATGGCTGATAAATCCCAGCAGGAGCCAAAAGAGCAGCCACAGCACCCATCTACTCACACAGGTGGACTGATGGCTGATAAATCCCAGCAGGAGCCAAAAGAGGAGCCAAAAGAGTAGCCACCGCACCCGCATGTCCTGGTCCTTTCAGGGCTCCCTGAGGCGGCCAGGACAGAGGTGGAGGTGGCTTAGGGCAGGGGGGAGGGAAGGGGACGGGGACCGGGGCCGGATCTGAGTTGGGGAGGGGGAGGGGAGGGGGAGGGGAAGGGGAGGGGAAGGGGGGAAGTAAGGGAAGGGAAAGGAGGAGAAGGGGGCTGTTGGGGAGGAGGAGGAGGAGAAGAAGAAAGGGGTCTGGGAAAGGATCCGGTTCAAATTAAGTTCTCAAGCGCTGGTGGAAGGTTTAGCTACAGGTCACGGAGAAGATCAGGGAAGCAACAGGACAGGCAGGGCAAGGGAGCGTGAGGCTTAGGAGCAATTAGAGGGAGACAAAGGTTCTGCTTTCCACCAAACCTTCTTCGGTCTGGGCCCTCCCTTAGCAACCCTGGGGCTTTAGACTCTCTCTCCACCAATCCCTGATGACCCCGGTGGTGCCTCACAATGGACATTCCAAGTAGCGCCCGCATCATCCCAATGACCCCTCCCCCATCTCAGTCCCCCACGCTCCTCCCAAGGCCAGGTCCTCTCTGGAACCTTCACAAACCTGACTTCTGGTCCTCCCCAACCAGCTCCCTGTCCCTGCTTCTGGGCGCTCCTTCCTTCCTGAGCTCCCAGGGTTCCTCAAGGTCACTTTTGGCGACAAAACATAAAAAACAAATGATGGCAGGATGGCAGGAAGAACCTCATACCCAAGCAGAGTGCCAGGTTTTACAGCCTCCGCTCAGCCATTCATATCCTAAGCAACAAAACATCAGCAGGATGCGGAAGGTCCCGATAGTAAACCATCTCCATCACATCCATGTAGCCATCCGTCCATCAACCTGTATCTCAGGAACAAATGTACATACATTCATTTTAAGCATGCATGGTACATTTACAAAAATTAACCTGACTTATTTTGTTCCAGCAAATCTCAATATATTTGAGAGCAATCAAATCACACAGCATGTTTCTGATCATAAAACTGTGCTAGAAGTCAATGATTAAAAGCTAATTCAAAATTATTATTTGCTTGGAAATTCAAAGTGCCCTTATAAGACATAAACATAAGAAAGAATCCAAAATGAAACAAGATTGCCTTTCAACTCAATGATGAGATCATAACATGGCAATAAAATGTCTCCCTCTGGCCGGGGAATTCCTCTTTGTGGCACAACGTTGTGTGATCTCAAATCACCCCTAACCCACCTAGACATTTTAACATCCAAAACCGAGTGATGATGTCCTTATCTATATCATCTTACTGCCCGTGTGTGTGGACTTTAAATTCTGAACCCAAATGAGGGGGAGAAAACCAAGCTGACTTTCATGACTGAGCTCTCAGGGACGTCCAAGGAATCTGTGCATTTCAAGAAACAAAGTTCATCAGCTTCTCTCCTAAGGTATTTGCCCACAATAGCCAGAGGGCTTGGCCGCATCATGTGTGATGGGTGGGGAGCTCCAAGCAGGTGGGCAGGACCCAGGGGCCTGGTGACCAGGACAGACCCCCACTGTCCATCACCTTTCCTGGCCCTGTCCTCAGCTAAACTTCCCACAGGCCTTCTGCCCGATCACACAGAGTGTGCCCAAACTCACTCAGGCCTCTGGCAGCTGAAAACCACTGCTTTAAATCCCTTTACCATTTACTATGACATAAGGTTATTGTAAACAGGAAATATTCTATTGATGCTACAAATGGAAAGCCAATGCCTTTACCATAAATAGAAAAACAACCCTAAGAAACAAGCAAAACAGGGGCTGGGGGTGGTGGCTCACGCCTGTAATCCCAGCACTTTGGGAGGCTGAGGCGGGCGGATCACAAGGTCAGGAGTTCCAGACCAGCCTGGCCAATATGGTGAAACCCTGTCTCTAATAAAATACAAAAATTAGCTGGGTGTGGTGGTGGGCGCCTGTAGTCCCACCTACTTGGAAGGCTGAGGCAGGAGAATAGTTTGAACCCGGGAGGCAGAGTCTGCAGTGAGCCGAGATTGCACCACTGCACTCCAGCCTAGGTGACAGAGCGAGACTCTGTCTCAAAAACAGCAACAACTACAAACAAACAAAAAACAGGGTTAACAAAAGTATGGAATTCAATTCTTTTTATATGCTGCAGCCATGTTCCAGCCCTAGATTTGGCTGGGCATGGTGGCTCACGCCTGTAATCCCAGCACTTTGGGAGGCTGAGGCAGGCGGATCACGAGGTTAGGGGTTGACACGAGCCTGGCCAATATGGTGAAACCCCATCTCTGCTAAGAATACAAAAATTAGCTGGGCATGGTGGTGCACACCTGTAGTCCCAGCTACTCAGAGGCTGAGGCAGAGGAATTGCTTGAACCCGGGAGACGGAGGTTGCAGTGAGCCAAGATTGTGCCATTGCACTCCAGCCTGGGGGACAGAGTGAAACTCTGTCTCAAAAAAAAAAAAAAAAAATATATATATATATATATGTGTGTGTGTGTGTGTCTGTCTGTGTGTGTGTGTGTATCTATATAAATCTCAAAAATAAAAGATCATTTTTGAGATTATCATTTTAAAAGACAAGATAATGTTCAACTTAATGAATAATTTAATTATTACTACTGGACTTTTTGTAGACTGCACAGAGCATTCAAAACAAATGAAGGAGAATAAAAAATATGTATTACATGTTGTAAAATAAATATGATGTGGTTAATTCTTTTATTCAAAATTATAGAACATATATATGTACTGTAGAATGTATTTCTTATTATGAGTCATGTTAAAAAGTAGTTTAGAAGCTGTTGATTTGAATTTCCTTTTCAAATTTTGCAGGATAATTTTTTTTTTTTTTTGACAGAGTCTCGCTCTGTCGCCCAGTCTGGAGTGCAATGGCGTGATCTCGGCCCACTAAAACCTCCACCTCCTGAATCTCAGCAATTCTCCTGTCTCAGCCTCCTGAGTAGCTGGGACTACAGGCTGACACCACCATGCCCGGCTAATTTTTGTATTTTTAATAGGGACGAGGTTTTGCCATATTGGTCAGGCTGGTCTCGAAGTCCTGGCCTCTGGTGATCCACCAGCCTCAGCCTCCCAAAATGCTGGGATTACAGGCATGAGTCACCATGCCCAGCCTAAACTTGGCAAGATAATAAATAACCTTTTAAAGTGTCGTTGGGCACTTGTCTGGTTGTTTTTCTTTAGGTTACCATGCCAGCAATGATTCCTTTTGAGTTTCTGACAGAAGATAGTGGTTTTCATCCAAATAAGTCAACTACTCTACCCCATCCCTAAGCCACTTGTATGGAAAGAAAAAGAGGAAGAAGCCAGTACTGAGACTGCGTAAGCTTCCCCCAGCATCACCCGCTATGAGATGTGTGGCAGCTGAGACCCGGGAACTGCTCAAGGGCACCAGGCCCCATCTGTCTGCACTCACTCACCTTCCTCAGGTACTCGCATGGGCATGTCACTGACTTTACGTGCTGCTGCAGCTCCTTGGTGAGCTGGCCCTGGTCATGGGACAGGAACCGTGGGGTCAGGACAATAGAGAGCTTCACCATTTGCAGAATGAGAACAGGGGCTCATGATGAGTGCCAACCTATTAGACAATTAAAAAAAAAAGTGTTGAATGAGTGGAAAAACAAGGTGATGTTTGAGTCTATAGTGGTCAAGGGCTTCAGAAAAGGACAGAACCAAGTTCAAATTCCTGTACTTTGAATTTCTACTTCATGCCATGCAAAATTACTTTACCCCTTTTAACCTCAGTTTTCTTCTGTGTGAAACAGGAACAATAGTTTCATTCGTCATTCAGTTTCTCTCAAGGTTTCACGAGATCATACCTATAAAACATCCAAGTCATTTAAATGTATCATCATTTCGGTCATAATTAGTGGGATCCATTTCACTATTATTGGATATACAGTTCTGTGCCTGAAACCTACAAAGAAAGAAAATGTTAAGTCTAAAAAGCATTAGTGATTTCTCATTTTTATATTACTAATTATAACCCTATTTAATCACACAAGGCCTTGTCCGCGGCAGGTGCTCAATAAACACTTGTCGAATCAATGCATGTGGGCTCCGGAGCCACACTGTTTAGATTCTATTCTGCCTCCACCACTTATCAGCTGTGTGATCTGGGTAAGATAATTCACCTCTTTATGTCTGCACTTCCCTCTCCATAAACTATATATAACGAGAATCCTTAGCTCATTTGGTTGTGGTGAGGGGTGAATGATTTGGCACACAGGAGGGGCTTGTTAACATTAGCTGTGATGATCTCCTTCCAAATCTTCATTTTCAGAGCCACAGATGAGGCCATAGGGCAACCAGGTGACCTTAGAGTGTAAGTACACATGATCGCCAGCTATGCTCTATCTCCACCATAGGTCCAAGACTGGGTAGTTCTGGCCTGGAGGCTTCTGCTGCATCTGCCTTCTCAGTGTTCACCTAATGACTTTTGTATTTTCCTCCTCACATCCCCACAGATGGGGTTCAGGCTGCCGAACACAGCTGGGTGATGCCAGGGCAGTGGCCACCTGTGCCAGCCCTGTGAGGTAGCTGGAGGATCATTGTTCCTTCCTTCTCGGGCTCTGGGCAGATGCCAGGGCTGGGGTGACCCATGACCTCAAGTTTCTTGCTTTGGAGGGCCACATTTTCCCTTGGCAAAGAGGGTAAAGGTCACAGGATGCCGGAGAGCTGTGACTTCTCTGTGCCCTGGGCCCAAACTATGAAGACCTGACACACTATGCTAAAAGTCCAAGGCTGGATGCTCCCCAGAGCTTCTTGCCTCACCGCTTCTGCTGAGGGAGGAATGAATACTATGTCCTCCCAGAGCTTTGGGAGCTTGTAGCAAGCAGCCTCCCCAGCGCAAAATCTCTTGGAAACCTCTAACTGTGTCGGAAACATTAGTGCAAATGTTGCATCCTATTTCCCATATGTCCGCGTGTTTTAGGAAAAAACCCTCAATTTCCTAAATATGCAAGAAAAATTGGTATTGTAGGACAATGTGACTTTTTAAAAAATGTTATTTAAACATCTTCCCCACCTCCTTTTCTGCCCTCCAAGACTGCCAAATACTTGTTGAACAAATATTATTAAATGCCTACTACGTGCCAGCCATGATTCATGGTCTTGGGGACACAGCAGAGAACGAACTGACAGGATTCCTCCCTTATGTAATTCACATTCTTATATGATAATGATAAGGGTTAACATTAATTAAGCTGTCACTACGTGTTAGTCACGGTGCAGTCATTCCCACACATTATTACACTTAAACCTGCTAGCAAGCTTGCAAGGTAGTTAGTTGTTTTTCCTTTAAAAACTGAGTCTCAGAATGATGAAGCACTTTGTCCAATGTCACACAGCTAGTAAGTGTGGAGACCTTGCATCCAATCAATGCCCGTCTCATTCTAAACACCACATTATGTGTTCTCCAGCCCATGGAGAATAATTTTAACACAGTCAATGAAATTTCTACACAACAATGTTCTTGTCTCAAGTCCAAGAATGCCTCCTACACCTCCCATAATACTGGCTTTCTGGTGAGTAAAGATGCCATTCTCATGTGTAATCAGGTGGCAAATGGAGATATGACCAAAGTAACCATTTGCCTACACTCGTAACCCTGTACACACTCTTCCTGTGTCGATTCAATTCAAGTACCCCTTTTGATCACTTAGCAAATCTGACCTTTAAAAGGGTTAAGGTTTTTATATCCATGTAAGTTTCTGTATTGCTTTGGAAGTCTCTGGTTAAATGAATACCCTTTTTAATAGTGACCTGTGATTCTGTTTTGATCAAGTGTTTACAAACTTGACATCTTTGATGGGTTTCTCCAGTGTCAAAATCCTAAATCAGGTCTTTTTGGCTTAAAATTAACTTTGGGATTTTTCAGCTGCATCCCTTCGGGAGTCTAAAGAATGCATCTCTCATCTTGTAGAGGTATTAAGTGATTCGATTTATTTGGTAGATTATATGGGCGGGCATTGTCAAATGTGGTGATACTGCATGGGAGGGCACTGTCAAGTGAGGTGACATTAGATCTCATCTCAGTTATATTTATGGGTATGTTGTTGATATACGTGTTCCAAAAATTACATACATTTATACAAATTTAATATGTTATGATTTGTAATTTTGATTGTTATGCTAAATATTTGCTAAAGTTTAGCTTTAGCAATATTATGCTAAATATATGCTAAATATTTGCTAAAGTTATATTTGCATAAACATGTTATGAATGGCTGGGCACCATCACTCATGCCTATAATCCCAGCACTTTGGGAGACCAAGGCAGGTGGATCACCTGAGGTCAGGAGTTCAAGACCAGCCTGACCAATAGGGTGAAAATTACACGAAAATACTGTCTCCATGAAAAATACAAAAATTAGCCAGGCTTGGTAGCACAGGCCTGTCATCTCAGCAACTCGGGAGGCTGAGATAGGAGAATTGCTTGAACCCAGGAGGCGGAGGTTGCAGTGAGCCGAGATTGCACCACTGCACTCCAGCCTGGGCGACAGAGCTGGAATCTATCTAAAAAAAAAAAAAAAAGTTATTAATTATTTCTGAAGATGATATGAAATTTATAAAACACTGGTGGTCCTGATGTAATGCTGTCAGTCATGATTCTGATCACTGTCTTAAAATGCTGCACATAAGATAAGTAATTGGCTGGGCACAGTGGCTCACACCTGTAATCCCAGCACTCTGGGAGGCCGAGGCGGGTGGATCACGAGGTCAGGAAATCGAGACCATCCTGGCTAACACGGTGAAACCTCGTCTCTACTAAAAACACACAAAAAAAAAATTAGCCGGGCATGGTGGCGGGTACCTGTAGTCCCAGCTACTTGGGAGGCTGAGAGGCTGAGGCAGGAGAATGGCATGACCCTAGGAGGTGGAGCATGCAGTGAGCGGAGATCACGTCACTGCACTCCAGCCTGGGTGACACAGTGAGACTCCGTCTCAAAAAAAAAAAAAAAAAAAGTAATTAAATTTCCTTGTGAACTGGGAAGTTTCATCAGACTTTTATCATAACTATTGTTTTCATCATCCACAGTTAGTTTTGAATTCTTCTCTAAAAATATTTGTAATTGGCAGTAGTCCAAATTTTCTTTTGTTTTCTTTCCTGTTTTTGAGACACAGTCTGGCTCTGTCGCCTAAGCTGGAGTACAGTGGTGCCATCTTGGCTCTCTGCAACCTCTGCCTCCTGGGTTCAAGCGATTCTCCTGCCTCAGCCTCCCAAGTAGCTGGGACTACAGTCGCCCGCCACCACGCCCAGCTAACTGGTGGTGGTACAGACGGGGTTTTACCATATTGGCCCGGCTGGTCTTCAACTCCTGACCTCGTGATCCGCCCGCCTCAGCCTCCCAAAGCGCTGGGATTACAGCCGTGGAGCCACCGCGCCCGGCCCCCAAATTTGCTTTGCATGGAGAAAACTCTAACAAATCCTCTTGAACATGGTTTTCTGATAACCCAGATCAATGAACTACCCAGGCTTCACCACTATAGGCATGTGAGAAACTCGCACTTATACCCCCTCAATACATTAAAACTAAATATTTTTTTAAAAATCAATGGGCCAGGCGCAGTGGCTCACGCCTGTAATCTCAGCACTTTGGGAGGCCAAGGCAGGCGGATCACTTGCGGTTAGGAGTTCCAGACCAGCCTGGCCAGCCCATCTTACTAAAAATACAAAAATTAGCCAGGCATGGTGGTGCATGTCTGTAATCCCAGCTACTCGGGAGGCTGAGGCATGAGAATCGCTTGAACCTGGGAGGCAGAGGTTGCAGTGAACCAAAATTGTGCCACTGCACTCCAGCCTGGGCGACAGACTGAGACTCTGTCTCAGAAATAAAAAAAATAAAAACCAATGAACTAAAAACCAATTTCTAGTGGCTTCTAATAAGGAAACAATGGTTCAAAAAACTGCTAAGCAAGATCAAGCAAAACAAAAAAATCTATTAAGATAATGTTTTTATAATTCGTATTTAAAACATTGTTGTTTGTTGATTCTTGATTCATTCTTTTTTTTTTTTTTTGAGACGGAGTCTCACTCTGTCACCCAGGCTGGAGTGCAGTGGCGGGATTTCTGCTCAGTGCAACCTCCGCCTCCTGAGTTCAAGCCATTCTCCTGCCTCAGCCCCCCGAGTAGCTGGGATTACCGGCGCCCGCCACCACGCCCAGCTAGTTTTTGTATTTGTAGTGGAGACCGGGTTTCACCATGTTGGCCAGGCTGGTCTCCAACTGCTGATTTCAGGTGATCACCCCCCCGCCTGGGCCTCCCAAAGTGCTGGGATTGCAGGCGTGAGCCGCCGCGCCGGGCCCTTGTTTTGTTTTCTAGATTGAAGAAAATTTTTTCTCAGAAGTTATCTAGAATTTACACCGATTTGGTAAAGCACACTTTTGTGAACAAAGGTGGGTGGAAGCGTTTGTTTTTCCTTCCTACTTGATCCTTCCAAAGTTTGGAAACTATTCATAAATATTCTTACTTTGATGTACACATGTTCTCCTTATAAGCAGGCTGTAATCAGAATGATTGGTTATATTATCAAGGCTTTGACTGAAACATCCTATTTAAGAATACGCAGAAAATGCCTGGCTTCGAGTTTGCAGCCTTACGTTCCAGTCAGGGGGAAACTGTCACTCCCTGCAGGCCTGAGAACCTGAGAGCTTTTCCGGGAGCAACTTGGCAGGGAGGGTCCCGGCAGCTGCTCCGTGGGCAGGAACCATGGGGCGCAGCCCCGGGCGACCCTCGGGCCGGCGGGGACCTTCCGCTTCCTGGCGTCTTTCTCCATCGCCCCGCCGGCTGCTGGGGAAGCGGCGGGTGCCCAGTGCCTGGAGGTCGCTCTCTCCCCACCTCTGGCTGCGGGAACGGAGAGGCCGCGGCGGCCGGAGCAGGGTGGGCGGCCTGAGGCGAGAGCCCAGCCGGCCTCCGCGGGGAATATGGCGACCTGCGGCGAGCTGAGCGTCAACTGCTGCGCCGCCGACTTCTCGGAGCAGCGAAGGCGACTCGAGAGAAGACGCCGCCAAGTGGAACCCGGGCCCCGCGGCCCTGGGATGGGGCAGCAGCCACTGCAGCCAGGAAGCCCTGGGCGGGGCGCTGGGCGCCAACGAGCGTCACGGCAACCTCCATGCGGCGCCCTCACCAGCCTACAGGCGGCACCGCAGCAGCCTCCAGGCAGCGCCCACACCAGCCTACAGGGGTCGCCGCTCGCACTGCACCTGCCTCCGCCGCCCCGGGGTGTGAACTGCGCTGTCTGTCGGCCTGGCTACGCTGACCCGGGCAGCCCAGGCCCGCAGCAGCCGGACGAGGAGCCCAGGGCCACTGCCCGGGGTTACGAGAAGGAGCAGGACGGTGCCCCAGAAAAATGCAAGAGCTCAGAGCTAGGGCCCCCGTGCCAGGAAAGGCTAGGAGCAGAAGATGGAGAGATGGAGATGGAGAAGCGGCAGGTGGGAAGGAGCGGCGCTCCACCGGTGGGGTCAGCATGCGCTGGCGGGGCTTAGAGTATGAAGAGGAAGAAGCTGGGCAGAAAGAGCGGAAACGAGAAGGTGCAATGACACAACAGAGCACAATGCAGAATCCAGCCCTAGGACTCCAATAAAGGCTGGGTTTAATTGCAACTCACACACCCCACCCCTAATCAGAGAGGATCAGGGGAGAGAGAGGACCCAAGGAACACTGGAACCTGAAGGGCGGGAATCTGAGGCCAAGACTGATTGTTGGAAATTGTGGGCATCAGGAAAGGAGAAAGTGAGTCAGAATGGGTGGACCGAGGGTGGTGTTGGGGCGGGGGGGGCAGTGAACTGGGTTAGGAAGGATTAGAAATCAGAACCTTAGGAAGGATCCAGAAAGGAACTGTCCTTAAAAAGGTGCATGCTGCGGCTGGGTACTGTGGCTCACGCCTGTAATCCCAGCACTTTGGGAGGCTGAGGCGGGCAGATCACGAGGTCAGGAGATGGAGATCATCCTGGCTAACACAGTGAAACCCCGTCTGTACTAAAAATACAAAAAATTAGCCAGGCGCGGTGGCAGGTGCCTGTAGTCCCAGCTACTTGGGAGGCTGAGGCAGGAGAATGGCGTGAACCCGGGAGGTGGAGCTTGCAGTGAGCTGAGATCACACCACTGCGCTCCAGCCTGGGTGACAGAGCGAGACTCCATCTCCGAAAAAACAAAAACAAAAATTAGCCGGGCATGGTGGCACATGCCTGCAGTCCCAGCTACTCGCGAGGCTGAGGCAAGAGAATCGCTTGAACCAGGGGGAAGGAGGTTGCAGTGAGCCGAGACTGCGCTACTGCACTTCAGCCTGGGAGACAGAGTGAGACTCCTCAGAAAAACTGCTTTCTTCCAACTTACAAAAGCCGGAAGAAGAAAATGTCATTTATTTTCATGGTAGGAGATTTATGCCAAGATTGTACACCAGGTGGAGACCTGTACCAGCTCCCTCTGCTCCCATCTCCCAGAGTTCTAGGAATTTACTCTTGCACACTGGCTCTTTCATGTCTCTTCGACTTTGCCTACGGAGGTCTCTCTGCCTAGCATGCCTTCTCTCCATGTCTCACCATTATCCTCCGGCTTTATTTATTTATTTATTTATTTATTTATTTATTTTTATTGTTTGAGAAAGTGTCTGACTTTACCTTCCAGGCTGGAGTGCAGTGGCGTGGTCACTGTTGACTGCAGCCTCAAATTCCTGGGCTCAAGAAATCCTCCCGTCTCAGCCTCCCAAGTAGGTATGCATCGCCACACCCAACTAGTTTTTTAATTTGTGTGTGTGTGTTTGGTAGAGATGGTAGAGATGTTGCCCAGGTTGGTCTCAAACTCCTGGGCCCCACTGATCCTCCCACCTAAGCCTCCCAAAGTGCAGAGATTACAGGTATGAGCCACCACACACACCCAGCCTCTCCATCTGTTTTATTTATTTATTTATTTATTTATTTTTGAGACAGAGTCTCCCCCTATGCCCCACACTGGTGTGCAGTGGCGCAATCTTGGGTTCACCGCAACATTTGACTCCCGGGTTCAAGTGATTCTCCTGCCTCAGCTTCCAGGGTAGCTGGGATTACAGGCGTGCACCATCATGCCCAGCTAATTTTTCTGTTTTTAGTAGAGACGGGGTTTTGCCATGTTGGCCAGGCTGGTCTCAAACTCCTGACCTCAAGGGATGCACCTGCCTCAGCCTCCCAAAGTGCTGAGATTACAGGCCTGAGCCACCATGCCCTGCTACTGCACCCAGCTACTCAAGGCACATATGGAGCCAACATACTTGACCATCTGCAGGGGTCCACCCAGGGTAGGGGAGCTATGAGCACTGGCGTCGGAGGGAGCCCAGCTTATTGGCCCAACCCCGAGATAGACCCATTTCCCAGTGGGCATAGCACTCCAAGGCTTGTCACTCACAGCCTCTGCAACTCCAAGTCTTGGTATGCCTGAAACCCATACTCCACATGAGCACACCTTCACTGAGCACCTAGTGTGGGACAGATAGGCCAGGGCTGAGCACACAAGAGGAAGGAGACGCAGACTTTGCCTTGAGGAGATCACGTTCAGGCAGGGACAGAATTACTCCAGAGTGTCGCAGGCAAAGGGACCAAAGCCTCGGATTTTCTTTTCTTTTTTTTTTTTTTAATTTTTTTGAGATGGAGTTTCACTCTTGTTTCCCAGGCTGGAGTGCAATGGCATGATCTCGGCTCACTGAAACCTCTGCCTCCTGGGTTCAAGCGATTCTCCTGCCTCAGCCTCCTGTGTAGCTGGGATTACAGGCACCCACCACCACACCCAGCTAATTTTTTGCATTTTTACTAGAGACAGGGTTTCACCATACTGGCCAGGCTGGTCTCAAATTCCTGACCTCAGGTGATCCACCTACCTAGGCCTCCTAAAGTGCTGGGATCTCAGGTGTGAGCCACCGTGCCCAGCCGTCTCCAATAGAAGGAGGCAGAGAGAGGTTTGGCACCCAACAGAAATGAGTTTAAATCTTGGTTCCCCTGGTTCTTGGCTCAAGCTTCTCTGGTGCCCAGTGCCTTCCTATGAAAGGGAATGAGAGGGGTCTGGGGTTGTGACAAAATCATGTTTCTAGTGCTGGGCAAGGTGATATGCACCTGTAATATCAGCAACTCAGGAGCCTGAGGAGGGAGGATTGCTTGAGGTCAGAAATTCAAGCCCAGGCCGGGTGTAGTGGCACACAACTGTAATCCTAGCACTTTGGGAGGCCGAGGTGGGCAGATCACCTAAGGTCAGGAGTTTGAGACCAGCCTGGCCAACGTGGTGAAATCGCAGCTCTACTAAACATACAAAAAGTAGCTGGGCATAGTGGCGGGCAGCTGTAGTCCCAGCTACTCCCAACCTGGGAGGCAGAGGTTGCAGTGAGCCAAGATCGTGCCACTGCACTGCAGCCTGGGCGACAAGAGCAAAACTCCATCTCAAAAAATAAAAAAATAATAATAAATAAAATAAATGAATAAATAAATAAAATAAAAATAAAAATAAATTCAAGCTTAGCCTGGGCAACAGGCTCAACCCCATCTCAAAAAAAAAAAAAAAAAAAAAAAAAGGCCAGGCATGGTGGCTCACACCTGTAATCTCAGCACTTTGGGAGGCCAAGGCAGGTGGATCACCTGAGGTCAGGAGTTCAAGACGAGCCTGGCCAACATGTTAAAATCCTATCTCTACTAAAAATACAAAAACTAGCTGGGCGTGGTAGCACATGCCTATAGTCCTAGCTACTTGGGAGGCTGAGGCAGGAGAATCACTGGAACCTGGAGGCAGAGGTTGCAATGAGCTGAGATCACACCACTGCACTCCAGGCTGGACATCAGAGTGAGACTCTATCTCCAAAAAAAAAAAAAAAAAAAGTAGTCAGGAAGAGACATCAACAAAAATTGGTGATGAATGGGGTAGCAGTGGCACTGGGGACCAAAAGGGAACAGATATTTTGCACTACAATTGTCATCTCGTTTCTTTTCTTTTTTTTTTGAGATGGAGTCTCCCTCTGTTGCCAGGCTGGAATACAGTGGTGCGAACTCGGCTCACTGCAACCTCCGCCTCCCGGGTTCAAGCAATTCTCCTGCCTCAGCCTCCCGAATAGCTGAGACTACAGGCACATGCCACCATGCCCAGCTAATTTTTTTATTTTTAGTAGAGACAGGGTTTCACCATTTTGATTAGGATTGTTTTGATCTCTTGACCTTCTGATCTGTCCACTTCGTCCTCCCAAAGTGCTGGGATTACAGGTGTGAGCCATCACGCCTGGCCAATTGTCATCTCTTTTCACTTTTGAGCACATATGGGTATGCTGTAAAGGAAATTTTAAAATCTCAGGATCCCAGCCCCCCATCTTCTTATGCAAAAGAGAAAGTCATTGTGACACCCTTTTCCAAATGAATAGCTGTTCCTAAGATCATGTAACAGCCAGATAGATGTCCATTCAGCAAGAAAAGGCCTCAGGCATCTGGGAAGGGCTGCGCCCCGTAGATCATTCATAAATAAATTATTTGCTGGCCTCCTATAATCAAGTACATGCCAATGTTAACTTTAGGTCTACAATCTTTTTTTTTTCTTTGAGATGGAGTCTCCCTCTGTCACCGAGGCTGGAGTGTACTTGTGCAGTCTGGGCTCACTGCAACCTCTGCCTCTCAGGCTCAAGCAATTCTCTTGCCTCAGCCACCCGAGTAGCTGGGATTATGGGCGTGTGCCTCCGCACTGGGCTAATTTTTGTATTTTTAGTACAGATGGGGTTTTGTCATGTTGGCCAGGCTGTTTTCAAACTCCTGACCTCAGGTGATCCACCCGCCTTGGCCTCCCGAAGTGCTGGAATTACAGGTGTGAGCCACTGCACCCAGCTGAGTAAATTTCTTGATTGCACAGAATGTATGGTGATATTGGTGGACTTAAGGACATTGAATTGTTTATCAGGAATAAAGTATTATGTGTGTTTTCTGGGGTCCTGGATAATGCTGTAGCATTCAGGGTAGATTGAGTAAAAAAAATGTAGAGATGGTTTCCTAGTTACTTGTTTTTGCTTCTAATTTTCATTCATTTGCTATTTATTCTCTTCTGGCTTTGCTTGTGTATGCATATATATATAACCATTATTATTATTATTATTTTTAGTTTCTAGTGGAAGGCTTTTATTTGGTTCTGTGAATAGTCATTTTGTTTCCTATGTATTTCTAGCAAGTTGTATTCATTCCATTGATCTAGAATTCCTAGGCTGCCTTCGTTGGGCCTGCAGGAATTAATGGAGCATAGCAGCTTTTTATTTTTTATATTTATTTTTTGAGACAGAGTCTCACACTGTCGCCCAGGCTGGAGTGCAATGGTACGATATCAGCTCACTGCAACCTCCACCTCAGAGGTTCAAGTGATTCTCCTGCCTCAGCCTCTGGAATAGCTGTGACTACAGGCACCCACTACCACACCTGGCTAACTTTTTGTATTTTTAGTGGAGATGGGGTTTCATCATGTTGGCCAAGCTGGTCTCAAACTCCTGACCTCAGGTGATCCATCTGCCTCGGCCTCCCAAAGTGCTGGGAGTACAGGCTTGAGCCACACCGTCCAGCGAGTATACTTTCATAAATAGAATTTGAGTCATATTTCTGTCTCTGCCTAATTTCTCCAAAATTTGTAAACTATTTGTGAATATTCTTAATTCATGACAATGTGTTTGTTGGCATACAGTCCAACAGGGTCACCAGGGCCGATCAGGGAGAGAGAGCCTAGAAACTTGACATGTTGGCACTACTGTAACTGCTCAAGGGGTTCACCTTGCCCACTGCCTAGACAGAGCCGATTCATGAAGACAGGGGAATTGTAATTGACCAACATGGTATAATCCTGTCTCTACTAAAAAAATACAAAATTAGCTGGGAATGGTGGTGGGCATCTCTAATCCCAGCTACTTGGGAGCCTGAGGCAGGAGAACCGGTTGAACTCGGGAGGCGGAGATTGCAGTGAGCCATGATCGTGCCATTGCACTTCAGCCTGGGTGACAGAAAGAAAGAAAGAAAGAAAGAAGGAAGGGAGGAAGGGAGGAAGGAAGGGAAGAAAGAGAGAGAGAAAGAAAGAAAGCTGCTAACCCAAGCAGAACAAAAAATTAATTGAATACCAAAAAAACACTTTGCTAAATTTTCATGTTAAAACAGCCGATACCAAAATTGTTTAGATAAACAGTTTGGTTTTTGTTGTTGTTGTTTGTTTTTGTTTTTTGCTTTTTGCTTTTTTGAGACGGAGTCTCAATCTGTCACCCAGGCTGGAGTGCAATGGCGTGATTTTGGCTCACTGCAACCTCTGCCTCCCAGGTTCAAGTGATTCTCGTACCTCAGCCTTCTGAGTAGCTGGGATTACAGGTGCCCACCACTATGCCTGGCTAATTTTTTTGAATTTTTAGTAGAGACGGGGTTTCACCATGTTGGTCAGGCTGGTCTTGAACTCCCAACCTCAGGTGATCCACCCGCCTTGGCATCCCAAAGTGCTGGGATTACAGGCATGAGCCACCACCCCTTTTTTGTTGTTTTTGAAACAGGGTCTCACTCTGTCGCCCAGGCTGGAGTGCAGTGGAGCAATCTCCCCTCACTGAAACCTCCTTCTCCTGGGTTCAAGGGATTCTCCCATCTCCTCCCAAGTAGCTGGGATTACAGGCTTCTGCCACCATGCCCAGCTAATTTTTTGTGGGCTCGCCCAGCCTAGGTATACAATTTGAATGAACTCCAAGGTCTAAGTCAAATTACCTATGATAACCCATTAGGTATCAGTGCTATGCACGTAAACTGGAGAAACAACTGATATTCAGAGCACGCAAGTCCGATGTTAACCATGGACTCATGGAGAATCAAGATGGTCACCTTGTCCTTCCTGACTCCTTAAAGTGTTTGTTATTAAAGGTTCTGCAGTTGGGCGTGGTAGCTCACACCTGTAATCCCAGCACTTTGGGAGGCCGAGGTGGGCAAATCACCTGAGGTCGGGAGTTCAATATCAGCCTCACCAACATGGAGAAACCCCATCTCTACTAAAAATACAAAAAATTATCCGGGCGTGGTGGCTCATGCCTGTAATCCCAGCTACTCAGGAGGCTGAGGCAGAAGAGTCGCTTGAACCCAGGAGGCGGAGGTTGCGGTGAGCCGAGATAGCGCCATTGCACTCCAACCTGGGCAACAAGAATGAAACTCTGTCTAAAAATGAAAAATAAAAGACTCTGCATTCCATGACTCATCATGGAAAAGATAAAATGATCTAAATTAAATATGTATTGGTGTGCTGAATTATAAATTGCTAAAATAGTTCATAACCAATGTTTCGTTTGTCAAATTCATGTTCCTGGGAAGACAATCAAAGCTTCAGGTGCATTTGGCTACCTCATGGGCCATTTGAACATTTCAGTTGTCAATTATCATTTTCAATGCATGTTTTCTGGTTGCTTTCCCATGCAAGAGGGCTGATATTACAACAGTAGATCATTATGGTACAGTGTATTTTCACCAGGTACTGAAAGCTTTTTATGGCTCACTGACTGGGGACAATCAATTCCTTCACAATCTAGAACCAAAGATTGGATCTTCTGAGAACATCAGAGAAAGAATGTCCTTGCCATCCACAATACAGCAAAACTTCAGGACCTTGAACTTTGGGTTCATAATCTCACAAGAGGGAAGTTTTTCGCCAGAAAAAGATGGCATCCTTGATGTGAACAGCTTTTCCCAAGATCACAGATCAAGACTTCTAGTTTTTTTTTTTGAGACAGAGTCATTTTTTTTTTTTTTTTTGAGACATAGTCTCGGTCTTGTTGCTCAGGTTGGAGTGGAATAGCGCGATCTTGGCTCACTGCAACCTCCGCCTCCTGGGTTCAAGTAATTCTCCTGACTCAGCCTCCAGAGTAGCTGGGATTACAGGCGCCCACCACCATGCCCGGCTAATTTTTTTGTATTTTTAGTGGAGACAGGGTTTCACCATGTTGGCCAGGCTGGTCTCGAACTCCTGACCTCAGGTGATCCGCCTACCTCGGCCTCCCAAAGCGCTGGGATTACAGGCATCAGTCACCGTGCCCGGCCTTGTGATAGTGTCTTACTCTGGCACCCAGGCTGGAGTGCAGTGGTGCAATCTTGGTTCACTGCAACCTTCGCCTCCCAGATTCAAGCGATTCTTGTACATCAGCCTCCCGAGCCGCTGAGACTACAGGCACGTGCCACCATGCCTGGTTAATTTTGTGTGTGTGTGTGTGTGTATGTTTGTGTGTGATGGAGTTTTGCTCTTGTTGCCCAGGCTGGAGTGCAGTGGTGCGATCTTCGCTCACTGCAACGTCTGCCTCCCGGGTTCAAGCGATTCTCCTGCCTCGGGCTCCTGAGTAGTTGGGATTATAGGCGCTCAACACCATACCCGGGGAATTTTTTGTATTTTTAGTAGAGACGGGGTTTCATCATGTTGGCCAGGTTGGTCTCCAACTCCTGACCTCAGGTGATCCACCCGCCTCGGTGTCCCAAAGTGCTGGGATTACAGGCGTGAGCCCTGTGCCCAGCCTCAGTGTCTCTCTCTCTCTCGACTAGAGAGACTGACCAGGGACAATCAACTCTCTCCAGACTGACAGAGAGAGAGACAGAGAGAGCGAGAAAGAGACAGAGTCTGGCTCTCACCCAGGCTGGAGTGCAGTGGTGTGATCTTGGCTCACTGCAACCTCTGCCTTCCGTGTTCAAGCGATTCCTGTGCCTCAGCCTCCCAAGTAGCTGGGATTATAGGTCCACACCACCACGCCCGGCTAATTTTTGTGTTTTTAGTAGAGACAGCCTCACCATGTTGGCCAGGCTGGTTTTGAACTCCTGACCTCAGGTGATCCGCCAGCCTCGGCCTTCCAAAGTGCTGGGATTACAGGCGTGAGTCACCGCGCCCGGCCAAATAAAATAAAATGTTAAAGCAAATTCAGGACTACCCCTCCTCCAAGTCTTCTGTTCCCTTTGGGCGCCCAGGTGAGCGGGGGAGGGGCTGGGGGAGTAATAACATCAAAAGAGCGCCTTTTCCTCCCTTATTCCGAGGAGACTTCCCTGGGCCTGACTCCCGGTCCTGTCCCCAGCGCCCCGCGGCCTCTGGAGCCCCTTCAGTGACCAAGATACAGAGATCAGGACGCCTTTGCGCCGCCCCAGGTGCCCGCCCCTAGCTGGCTCTGCTTGGGCCGCGAGGGAAGGTGAGGTCGGGGGCGGAGCCGGGGCGTGACAGCCGGGGTGTGTGTCCGCCGGGCTTGGTGCCTCCGGTGGCCCTGCAGCACCGTCCCACCTCTGCCACCCTCCGATGGGGCCGCTACCTGTGTGCCTGCCAATCATGCTGCTCCTGCTACTGCCGTCGCTGCTGCTGCTGCTGCTTCTACCTGGCCCCGGGTCCGGCGAGGGTGAGTGAGGAAGGGGCTTTCCCGGAACTCAGGCGTTCCGGTATTCCTCCAGCCCTTCCTAGGGACCCAGCAGCCCTGCCTCCCATCCCTCTCCAAGTTCCTAGTTGCCCTAGAGCCCCCAGCTCGCTCTTCTAATGCTCACCCACACGATGCGCCCCAGCCTTCTGCAGGGCCCCCCACTCACTCCTCCCAGGGACCCAGAACTAGCCCAGTCCTTCCCCAGGGGCGCAGAGTCCTCTCCTGGCTCCCTCCCCTAACCGGCTGTGACCCTCTCCGGCAGCCCGGAAGCCTCCCGGTTGTCCTGATCTGGGGTCCGCGAACTTACCCTTCATTCCACCTGTCCCTGAGATGTGAGACACCAGAGGGTGGGAGGAGCAGGGGCAGAAAGGGCCGGCTTGGGGGTGGGAGAAGAATATATTGTGCCCCTGTACAACAAACCCCGGTGACCAAAAACAAAACAAAACAAAACAAACAAACAAAAAAACAAAAAATAGAACATACTGTCCCTATCTCACTATCCATCCTTTGGGGTCACTGTAGAGAGGTCCCGTGGGTGACTGCCCATTTCTGGGGTGCACAGATACATGTACCCGCAGAGTACTATGCAGACACCGCCAGCACACAGATGCGCAGGCACAGGACCAGCCCCAGACTCACCTGGCCCTCAGGTGTGCGGCTCCCACAGGGAAAAATACTGACATACCGCTAGGGGGACACACGCACACACAGCTCAAGGATACCCGAGACAGCACTCAGGACAATTCAGATGCACCGTGTACACACACACACACACACACACACACACACACACACACACACACACACAGAGCAGCACAGACACACATATGTGCGCATAGACCCTGGGGTCACAGGATGGACAGACAGCCCTGGCCCTCCCCCGAGGAGGCTGCAGCGGGCAGACAGGGCAAACAGACCCCAGCGTGACCTGCCACACCTATGTTGGCACAGAGGGAGTGTTTTGCTTGGTTATAAGCACAGTGCTCATGCCTGCCCCACGCCTAGAACCCTCCCTCTATAAGGCTGTTGCTAGGGCTCTGAGATACCAGAGAGTGGTCAGGGACGGTGGCAGGGGAACCTTTGGGGACAGCTTCAGGGTACGGTGTTGGGACTGGGACATTGTCAGGGTGCTCAGACAGGGCGTGTTCCCTGGGTCTTGGTGCATTTAGAGGTCAAGGGACCATTTCTGGAAGCTCACTGTGTGCCAGGGCAGCTTATATCAGAGCTCAGCTCTTTTTTTTTTTTTTTTTTGAGACAGAGTCTCACTGTTGCCCAGGCTGGAGTGCAGTGGTACGAGCTCGGCTCACTGCAACCTCCACCTCCCGGGTTCAAGCGATTCTCCTGCCTCAGCCTCCCAAGTAGCTGGGATTACAGGCGTGCACCACCATGCCCAGCTAATTATGTATTTTTCGTAGAAACAGCTTTCTCCATGTTGGTCAGGCTGGTCTGGAACTGCTCACTTCAGGTGATCTGCCCGCCTCGGACTCCCAAAGTGCTGGGATTACAGGCGTGAGCCACCGCGCCCGGCCCCAAATGCGTTTTACATTTTCTTCCTCTTTGATTCATCTTTGTCCTCCAACATAAATATGCTACTTTTTCCACTGATAAAAAGACAAAATGGAATTTCAATCTGGCCTGGACTTCTCAAAAAAGTCAGTGTGATGAAAACTGTTCTAGATAAAACAGAAATGAGACTGGGCATGGTGGCTCATGCCTGGAATCCCAGCGCCTTCGGAGGCCAAGGCAGGAGAATCACTTGAGGCCAGGAGTTTGTGAACAGCCTGGGCAACATAGTGAGACCCCATATCTACTAAAAATTTAAAAATTAGCTGGGCATGGTGGTGCATGCCCGTATGTCTGGAGACTGAGGCAGGAGGATTGCTTGAGCCCAGGATTTGGAGGCTGCAGTGAACTGATTGTGCCACTGCACTCCAGTGTGGGTGACAAAGTGAGACACTGTCTCTAAAAAAAAAAAAAAGAGAGACAAGATGATCAGGATGAGCGCAGTGGCTCATGCCTATAATCCCAGCACTTTGGGAGGCCAAACCAGGTGGATCATATGAGGTCAGGAGTTCGAGACCAGCCTGGCCAAGATGGTGAAACCCCTTTCTACTAAAAATACAAAAATTAGCTGGGTGTGGTGTCGCACGCCTGTGATCCCAGCTACTCGGGAGGCTAAGGCAGGAGAATTGCTTGAACCTGGGAGGCAGAGGTTGCTGTGAGCAAGATTAAACCACTGTGCTCCAGCCTGGGCAACAAGAATGAGACTGTGTCTCAAAAAAAAAAAAAAAAGATGATCAAACACAATGCGTCAACCTCCCAGAGCTGTATAAACCCTAACCCTAACCCAGGAAGCAGGCAAGCCTGTGTGTGAGTTTCCACTCTATTGCTGGTACTACTCGGCTCTGGCAACCCCGAAGGCCACCTTCCCCTGTTGTCACTGTGTAAGGAGGAAGGAGCACTGGTTTGCAAGTCAGAAGCCTGGGTTGAAGCCTCTGCTCGGGTTCCTGCTGGCTGTGGGAATGTGGGGTTACCTTTCCCGGCTGGCCTCGTTTCCTACATGTCCAATGCAGGGGTTCCAGTCACATGCATTGGGCACCATTACATGTCCAAGCTGTGCCAGGATCTAGAAAAATGGCTGGGCTCAGGCCAAGGGGCCTTCCTGTCTGGCAGTGAAAATAAGAGGAGATACCAAGGGCCCTGAGTCTGAGTCTGGAGGGGAAGTCATGAGCACAGGGCAGTGCCAGGGCCCGGGAGCTGCCACAGAGGAGCCCACCTTGGTGACAGACACCTGTAGGCGCGTCCGTGATGCCCAGTTCCCAACACAGGGAACTGGACAAACGTTTCATGCACGACTCTTTTTTCCCTTCTTGGCTACCTTGAGGACCTTGATTATAATAGTTAGCCTTTTTTTTTTCTTTTTTTGAGACTCTTGCTCTGTCACCCAGGTTGGAATGCAGTGGCAAAATCTTGGCTCACTGCAACCTTCATCTCTCAGGTTCAAGTGACTCTCCTTCCTCAGCCTCCCTAGTAGCTGGGATTACAGGCATGAACCACTATGCTCGGCTAATTTTTGTATTTTTACTACAGATGGGGTTTCACCATGTTGGCCAGGCTGATCTTGAACTGCTGACCTCAGGTGATCTGCCCGCCTGGGCCTCCCAAAATGTTGGGATTACAGGTGTGAGCCACTGAGCCCAGCCGGATTATAATAGCCTTTTCATGCACCAGGGGCTTTATACTCATTATCTCATTTCATTCATATGAGTTGAAGTCAGTTTATCCCCCATTTCACAGATGAGGAAACCAAGGCCCAGAGAGGTTAAGAATTTGTCCAAGGTCACACAGCCAGGAAGTAGGATTCAAACCCAGACAGCCAGGCTGTAACACCTAGGCTCTTCTCAGGCTCATGCCCTTCCCAGGGGTCTGGGAAGCCCTGACCTGCAGCCTGTCACCTTTGTTTACCCCCCAGCCTCCAGGATATTACGTGTGCACCGGCGTGGGATCCTGGAACTGGCAGGAACTGTGGGTTGTGTTGGTCCCCGAACCCCCATCGCCTATATGAAATATGGTTGCTTTTGTGGCTTGGGAGGCCATGGCCAGCCCCGCGATGCCATTGACTGGTGAGTGCATGCCTGGGACCAGGCCACAAAATCCCTCACACTCTGGGGTAGTCAAGGCTTATGAGGAAGTACCCAAAACTGAAGCTGGGGTTTGGTCCAGGGAGATCCCAGTGTGCAGTACTACTTTGCAGGCAGGCAGAGGCCTCTTGGATAACATGGCCAGTGAAGCCAGATCTTGGTACCAGCTGCCCCTTACCCTGGCCTTGAGCTGATGACGTTGCCTTAAAAACTTGGCTAGGAGCTGTGGCTCACTCCTGTAATCCCAGCACTTTGGAAGGCCGAGGTGGGCAGATCACTTGAGGTCAGGAGTTCAAGACCAGCCTGGCCAATATGGTGAAACCCCATCTGTACTAAAAATGCAAAAATTAGCTGTGTGTGGTGGCAGGCGTCTGTAATCCCAGCTACTCAGGAGACCGAGGCAGGAGAATTGCTTCAACCCAGGAGGTGGAGTTTGCAGTGAGTTGAGATTGCACCACTGCATTCCAACCTGGGTGACAGTGCGAGACCCTGTCTCAAAAGAAAAAAATAATAAAAATATAAAGTGACCAGGTGTGGTGATTCACACCTGTAATCCCACCACTTTGGGTCGAAGCAGTAATATCACTGGAGACCAGGAGTTTGAAACCAGCCTAGGCAACATAGTGAGACCCTGTCTCTATATTAAACACACACACACACACACACACACACACACACACACACACACACACACACACACAAAGGAAGCCAGACTATGCACTAGGAACTGCCCTGGGAATCCCTTTGCGTTCTCACAACAATCCCATTTCACAGATGAAGAAACCAAGGCACAGAAATATTCAGTAACGTGTCCAGGTGCGGTGGCTCACGCCTGTAATCCCAGTATTTTGGGAGGCCAAGGCAGGTGGATCACGAGGTCAGGAGTTCCAGACCAGCCTGGCCAACACGGCGAAACCCTGTCTCTACTAAAACTACAAAATTAGCCAGGCATGGTGGCGCATGCCTGTAATCCCAGCTACTCGGGAGGCTGAGGCAGGAGAATCACCTGAACCCAGGAGGTGGAGGTTGCAGTGAGCCAAGATCGTGCCATTGCACTCCAGCCTGAGTGGGATTACAGGCATGAGCCACTGAGCCTGGCCTGGTGAGCTAATTTTTAAATTTGTTATAGAGACAAGAGAGACAAGAGTTTTCTTATGTTGCCCAGGCTGGTCTCGACCCCCTGATCTCAAGTGATCCTCCCACCTTAGCCTCCCAAAGTGCTGGGATTACAGATGGGTGTCACCGCACCTGGCCTCTAAGGAGGGTTTCATTATAAACCTACCCTGAAGGGAGGGAATCCGATTTTATGAGAGGGTGTAGCCTGGTGAGGCCTGGATGACCTCCAGAGGCAGGGGCTTGTGCCTGGGCTGAGGCCTAAGGGTCAATGGGCAGACATGAAGTTGCCCCAGGCAGAGGGTACAGTGTGGGCAAAGTCAGGAAGTGGCAGGGCTTGGATCACTCCAGGAAGAGAGAGGAGTCATGTGTCACAGGAGCTCGAGACCCAGAGAGGGAGGCAGGCAGGCAGGCAGGGACCAAGCTTGGGCACAGCCAGGAAGGCAGGACAGGGCATGGTGGGGCCAATGGAATCATTACCCAAGACGGGGATTTTCAGGGAAACAGCTTAGATAAGGCCAGGTGTACAGTAGCTCCCACCTGTAATCCCAGCATTTGTGGAGGCTGAGGTAGGAGGACTGCTTGAGCCTGGGAGCTCGAGACCAGCCTAGGCAACATAGTGAGACCCCATATCCACAAAAAATTTAAAAAAGGAGTTTGTCTTCCTGTAGTAGCAGACTTGAGAGGTTGAGGTGGCAGTATCACTTGAGCCTGGGAGTTCAAGGCTAAAGTGAGCTGATTGAGCCATTGCACTCCAGCCTGAGCAACAGAGAGATACGCTGTCTCAAAGGAAATACAAATTAAAAAACCAGCCGGGCATGCTGGCGTGTGCCTGTAGTCTCAGCTACTTGGGACACTGAAGTGGGAGGATCGCTTGAGCCCAGGAGTTCAAGGCTGCAGTGAGCTATGATTGTGCCACTGCAGTCCAGCCTGGGCGACAGAGAAAGACCCTGTCTCTTAAAAAAAAAAAAATCTTAGATAAGAGGATGCTGTGCCTCCCTGGGGGTCTTCAGTCACCCATAGTCCTGGCAAGAGAGGAGGGCCAGGAGAGAGCTTCACCCACCTGCTGTCCTGCCCATGTGACATCCGCAGGTGCTGCCATGGCCACGACTGTTGTTACACTCGAGCTGAGGAGGCCGGCTGCAGCCCCAAGACAGAGCGCTACTCCTGGCAGTGCGTCAATCAGAGCGTCCTGTGCGGTGAGTCCCCAGCAGCACCATGCCACCCACCCCGAGTATCCCCTGGGCATCCTGGCATAGCCAGATGACTTCCGTGCCCCTGTTGCAATAACCACTGCTTCCAAGTCTCTATAGACCACCCCTTGGGTATATCTAATGTAAGTGATATTTATTTTATTTATTTTTTGAGTCAGAGTCTCGCTCTGTCACCCAGGCTAGAGTGTGCTGATGTGATCTTGGCTCACTACAACCTCTGCCTCCTGGGTTCAAGCGATTCTCGTGCCTCAGCCTCCCAAGTGGCTGGGACTACAGGCATGCACCATCACGCCCAGCTAATTTTTGTATTTTTTCAGTAGAGGTGGGGTTTCACCAAGTTGGCCAGGCTGGTCTCAAACTCCCCACCTCAAGTGCTCTGCCCGCCTCGGCCTCCCAAAGTGCTGAGATTACAGGCGTGAGGCATGGTGTCTGGCCCTAATGTGAGTGATCTTTAACAATGAGGACTTGAAAAAGAAAACCATGAAGAAACCTAATTATTTGATGTCTGGACGACAAGGAAGAAGATAGAAATGGCATCAGATAATAAACAGTGTAAATGTTTATCAGAAAGAGGCTGGGGGTGGGGACCAGAAGGAGGATCGCTTGAGGCCAGGAGTGCATCTCTACAAAAAAGTTAAAGGATTTTTTTAACATTGGCCAGGCGTGGTGGCACACATCTGTGATCCCAGCTACTTGGGAGGCTGAGGTGGGAGGATCGCTTGAAGCCCAGGAGGTTGAGGCTGCAGTGAGCTGTGATCGAGTCACAGCACTCCAGCCTGTGTAACAGGGCAAAACCCAGTCTCAAAAAAAAAAAAAAAAAATTTTACCTAACCAACCACTTCTAAAGATATATAAAAAAAACCCTGCAATTAAAAATCTCAGGTCCCTCAGGCAATCCTACAAGATTTTGAAACAAAGCAATAACATAAGGACTGTAGTATTTATTTTATTTTTATATTATTTATTTATTGTTTGTTTGTTTGTTTTTGGAGTGTGGGTTTTTTTGTTTGTTTGTTTTTTGATTTTTTTTTGTTTTTTTTTGAGACAGAGTTTTACTCCTGTTGCCCAGGCTGGAGTGCAATGGCATGTTCTTGGCTTACTGCAACCTCCACCTCTTGGGTTCAAGTGATTCTCCTGCCTCAGCCTCCTGAGTAGCTGAGATTACAGGTGCCTGCCACTACACCTGGCTAATATTTTTGTATTTTTAGTAGAGATGAGGTTTTGCCATGTTGGTCAGGCTGGTCTTGTACTCCTGACCTCAAGTGATCCACCCGCCTCAGCCTCTCAAAGTGCTGGAATTACAGGTGTGAGCCACTGCATCTGGCCGTGGTATTTATTTTTAAGATTCCATTTTGGGCCGGGTGCTGTGGCTCACGCCTATAGTTCCAGCACTTTGGGAGGCCAAGGCAGGTGGATCACTTGAGGCCAGGAGTTTGAGAGCAGCCTCAATGGTGAAACCCTGTCTCTACTAAAAATACAAAATTACCCTGGTATGTTGGTGCATGCTTGTAATCCCAGCTACTCGAGAGTCTGACGCAGGAGAATCACTTGAATCCAGGAGGCACAGGTTGCAGTGAGCCGAGATCGTACTCCAGCCTGGGCAACAGAGTGAAACTCTATCTCAAACAAAAACAAAAAGAAATAGATTCCATTCTGATGTATGGCATTTTCCATTTATAGTTTCCCTTCAAATAAATAAGAAAGCTAAAACAATGAAAACAACTAGGAAGTGAGTAATGGTACAGGGAGAATGCAGATAAGGCTTGAGTTTCGGCAGCGAGACTCAAAGTTATCTGAAGAGCTAGTCATGATCCAGACCACTAGTTCCATCCCTTTTTTTCTATTTTCTGTTACTTGAAAATAGACATAACAGGCTCGGCGCTGTGGCTCACTCCTGTAATCTCAAGACGGGCAGATGGCTTGAGCCTAGGAATTCAAGACCAGCCTGGGCAACATGGTGAAACCCTATCTCTACAAATAATATGAAAACTAGCACGGTGTGGTGGTGTGCACCTGCAGTCTCAGCTACTTGGGAGGCTGAGGAAGGAGGATCACCTAAGCCCAGGGAGGCTGAGGCTGTAGTGAGCCAAGATTGCACCACTGCACTTCAGCCTGGGCAACAGAGTGAGAGCCTGTCTCAAAAAAAAAAAAAAAAAAAAAGAGTAAAGAAAAAAAGAGGCTGGGCGTGGTGGCTCACACCAGTAATCCCAACACTTTGGGAGGCTGAGGTGGGCGGATCACGAGGTCAGGAGTTCCAGACCAGCCTGGCCAACATGGTGAAACCACGTCTCTACTAAAATACAGGTGGGTGCTTTTAATTCCAGCTACTAAGAAGGCTGAGGCAGGAGAATTGCTTGAATCCAGGAGGTGGAGGTTGCAGTGAGCCGAGACTGCACCATTGCACTCCAGCCTGGGCGACAGCGTGGGACTCTGTCTCAAAAACAACAACAACAACAAAAAGAAAATAGACATAACACAAAATTAACTATGTTAAAGTGTATAATTCAGTGATACTTAGTATATTCACAATGTCATCCAACCACCACCTAAACTTTTTCATCACTCTGCCTCGAAAAATCCCTTTCCCCTTAAGCAATCCGTTCCCATTCCTCCCTACCACCAACACCTGGTAAACTTACCAGGTTACCAGTTTTCTATCTCTGGATTTACCCTGTCTAGATATTTCATATAAATAGAATCATACACTATGTTCCTGGCTTCTTCACTTAGTATAATGTTTTTGAGATTTGCTCATTTTCTTTCTTTTTTTTTTTTTTTTGACACGAAATCTCACCTGTCACCCAGGCTGGAGTGCAGTGGTGCCATCTCGGCTTACTGCAACCTCCGCCTCCCGGGTTCAAGCGATTCTCCTGCCTCAGCTTCCTGAGTAGCTGGGATTACAAACGTGCACCACCATGCCTGGGTAATTTTGGTATTTTTAGCAGAGATGGAGTTTTACCATGTTGGCCAGGCTGGTCTTGAACTCCTGACCTCAAGTGATCTGCCTGCCTCAGCCTCCCAAAGTGCTGTGATTACAGGCGTGAGCCACCACACCCATCCTGTTCATGTTGTATTAATAGCATGTGTCAGTACGTCATTCATTTTATGGCTGAATAATATCCACTGCATGGATAGATCACATTTCGTTTATCCATTCATTCAATGATGGGCATTTGGGTTGTTTCCACCTTTTGGCTTATGTGAATAGTGCTGCTATGAACATTCATGAACAAATACTTATTTGAGTACCTGGTTTCAATATTTTGGAGTATATACCTAGGAGTGGAATTGCTGGGTCATACGGTAATCCTGTTTTACTTCTTTTGTTGAGACAGGGTCTTGCTCTGTCACCCAGCTTGGAGTACAGTGGCATGATCATGGCTCACTGCAGCCTCAAACTCCTGGGCTCAAACTATCCTCTTGGCTCAGCCTCCTGAGTAGCTGAGACTATAGGTGTGTGGCACGATGCTGGGCTAATTTTTTTGAGACAAAGTCTCACTTTGTCGCCCAGGCTGGAGTGCAGTGGCACGATCGTGGCTCACTACAACCTCTGCCTCCCAGGTTTTAGCGATTCTCCTGCCTCAGCCTCCTGAGTAGCTGGGATTTCAGGTGCCCGCCACCACGCCCAGCTAATTTTTGTATTTTTAGTAGAGACTGGGTTTCACCCTGTTGGTCAGGCTGGTCTCAAATTCCTGACCTCAAGCAATCCACCCACATTGGCCTCCAAAGTGCTGGGATTACAGGCATGAGCCACTGTGCCTGGCCAAGTGCCCAGCTAATTTTTAGCCTTTTTTTTTTTTTTTTTTTTTTTTGAGATGGAGTCTCACTCTTTTTGTCCAGGCTGGAGTGCAATGGCGTGATCTCGGCTCACTTCAGCCTCCGCCTCCTGAACTCAAGCTATTCTCCTGTCTCAGGCATGCACCACCACGCCCGGCTAATTTTTATATATTTTTTAGTAGAGACGGGGTTTCACCATGTTGGCCAGGCTGTCTCGAACTCCTGACCTCATGATCCATCTGCCTTGGCCTCCCAAAGTGCTGGGATTACAGGCGCGAGCCACCACGCCCCGCCATTTTTAAACTTTTTGTAGAGATAAGTTGCCCAGGCTGGTCTCAAAATCTTGGCTTCAAGCAATCCTTCTGCCTGTCTGCCTCTGAAAGTGCTGGGATTGCAGGCATGAATCACCATGCCCAGTTAAGAGTTCTTTATATACTGTGGATACTGACTCTTACCCGATATGTGATTTGCAAATATTTTCTCCCATTATGTAAGTTGTCTTTTCACTTCCTTGATAGTGTCTTTGCACAAAACTGTTTAAGTTTGATGAAGTTCAATTAATCTGTTGTCTTTTGTTGCTCGTGTTTTTGGTGTCCTTAGAATCCACTGCCAAATCCAAAGTTATAAATATTTACCGTTAAGTTTTCTTCTAATAGGTTTATCATATTTAACTCTAATATTTAGGTCATTGATCCATTTTGAGTTAATTTTTGTCTACGGAGTGAGGTAAGGGGTTGAACTTTATTCTTTTGCATGTTGTTATCCAGTTATCTCAGCCCTCTTGGTTGAAGAGACTCTTCCCCATTGAATCATCCTGCTACCTTTGCTGAAAATCACCGCCAGGAGTGGTGGCTCACACCTGTAATCCTAGCACTTTGGGAGGCTGAGGCGGATGGATTGCCTGAACTCAGGAGTTCGAGACCAGCCAGGGCAGCACGGTGAAACCCCATCTCTACTAAGATACAAAAAAAAATTAGGCGGGTGTGGCAGCATGCTCCTGTAGTCCCAGCTACTCAGGAGGCTGAGGCAGGAGAATTGCTTGAACCTGGGAGGTGGAGATTGCAGTGAGCAGAGATTGCACCACTGCACTTCAGCCTGGGCAACAGAGCAAGACTCCATCTCAAAAAAAAAAAAAACAAAAAAAGAAAGAAAAAGAAAATCACTTGGCTCTAGATGGAGGAGGATTTCATCACTTTGAGCTAATAATTTGACTTCTCTTAACCCCAGCTTCCTTACCTGTAAGATAGGTGTTGTGAAGATGAGAAAAGATTTGTAAGATGAGAAACAGATTTTGTTTTTGTTTTGAGATGGAGTCTTGCTCTGTCGCCCAGGCTGAAGTGCAGTGGCACGATCTCTGCCCACTGCAAACTCTGCCTCCTGGGTTGAAGTGATTATCTTGCCTCAGCCTCCCAGGTAGCTGGGATTACAGGCCCCTGCCACCACACCCAGTTGATTTTTGTATTTTTAGTAGAGATGGGGTTTCACCATGTTGGCCTGGCTGGTCTCAAACTCCTAACCTCAGGTGATCTGCCCACCTCGGCCTCCCAAAGTGCTGGGATTACAGGTATGAGCCACCATGCCCAGCTGAGAAACAGATTGGATGGGAATTTTTCTTCTATCTCCTCCTCCTATCTTTATCTGAACTTCTCTCTGACCCCTGCTAACTCCTGGAGAGAATCAAAGATCTGTTCCAACTCTTGATTAAAACTCCAGGTTCTGCTGACTTGGTCTGCTCTGGTGGCAAAGAGGCTATTGTAAGCGTTATTAGAAGTATGTTTTTATTTTTATTTATTTTTTGAGACAGAGTCTTACTCTGTAGCCCAGGCAGGAGTACAGTGGAGTGATCTCAACTCACTGCAACTCACTGCCTCCCAGGTTCAAGTGATTCTCATGCCTCAGTCTTCTGAGTAGCTGGGACTAGAGGTGCACACCACCATGCCCAGCTAATTTTTTTGTATTTTTAGTAGAGACAGTGTTTCACCATGTTGGCTAGGCTCGTCTTGAACTCCTGATCCATCCGCCTCGGCCTCCCAAAGTTTTGGGATTACAGGCACGAGCCACCGCGCCCGGCCTACTTGAAGTATGTTTTTAGATCTTCAGCTATATATTCTTACTACGGATTAGAACTTGGCATAAGAGCAAAGCTGAATTAATATGATGATATAATCAATTTTTAGGCCTGAACATGCCCCAGGTATCTATCATCTCATCCAACCCTCTCATTTAGAGTTGGGGAAACTGGCTGGGCATGGTAGCTCATACCTATAATCCCAGCACTTTGAGAGGCCAAGGCAGGAGGATAGCTTGAGCCCAGGAGTTCAAGACCACCCTGGCAGCATAGAGAGACCCCATCTCTACAAAAGACAAAAATAAAGGGGAAACTGAGGCTCAGGGAGAGTAAGTGACTTATTCCCAAAACTGCCCCCTTCTGGTGTGGGTGATGAGGAGGTGAAATGAGGCTTCAGTGGGAAATCTGTTGAAAATCTTTCCTTTCTCCCTTCAACTTGCCTATTCTGCTTGCTCCTACCCAGGTGAAAATGATATTTATAAAATATTGGTGTGTCTGTTGGTAGAGTCTGTGCCTGTTTACAGAACTGTCTTCTCTGAACCAAATGAAAGGAACTAAAATATCTATTATGCATTTTGGACTAAAAATATTATCTTATTCTGTTTGGAGATATTCTGAACATAGTTGTTTATTTAATTACAGGTTTGGCCCATTTTCCATTTATGGGCCTGACTTAAATATATTAAAAAAAATTTAAACCTATAATAATATTTACTAGCAGGCCTTAATTTTAAACTTAAGCCTCGGGAGCTATTCTTCCTTTCAAATTTTTATTCTTCTTCAAAATGTGATGCCATCGGGTTCCTGAGATCATGGAGCAGTGGGGCCAGGTCTTGCTGTTGGCGGAATCTTTGTTGCTCAAGGAGAAAAGTAAGAGGACAAGCAGAGGCGTTGTTGGGTCAGGAGACCCTGGGCTGGAATCCTGGTCCACACCTTCCCAGTTCTGTGACCTTGGATGAGTTACCGAATTCCTGTAAGCCTCACTTTCCTCATCTGTAAAATGGGAATAACAGACCAGAGTTGCTGGGGTTGTGTGAGCATTGGAGATTGTATATGGCTTTGCTTTTCTTTTCCCTCCTCTCCCCTCCTCTCTCTCTCTCCCCCCTCCCCCTTTTCTTTTCTTTTCTCTTTTCTTTTCTTTGAGATAGAGTCTCACTCTGTTGCCCAGGCTGGAGTGCAGTGGTGCTATCTCAGCTCACTGCAACCTCCACCTCCCCGGTTCAAGCCATTCTCCTGCCTCAGCCTCCCAAGTAGCTGGGACTACAGGCGCACCACCATACCCAGCTAATTTTTTTTTGTATTTTTAGTAGAGACGGGGTTTCATCATGTTGGCCAGGCTGGTCTTGAACTCCTGACCTCAAGGGATCTGCCCACCTCAGCCTCCCAAAGTGCTGGGATTACAGGCATGAGGATGAATGGCTTTTCTAAGGCTTTTCTCTGGTCTGTCAACAAATATTACTGTGAGTCTACTCTGCCGGGCTCCATGCTAGGTTTTGGGCAAGGCAGAGCCACGAGGTATTGTTAAAAAGGAGGAGACAGGGAAGTAGTGTGTGCGCCAAGTGCTTTGTAACTATTGTGTTGAGAGATAAAGCAGGTGAATTACTATACCTGCTACAACATGGATGAACTTTGAAAATATGATGGGCTGAGTACGATGGCTCCCACCTGTAATCCCAACACTTTGGGAGGCCAAGACAGAAGTATCACTTGAGCCCAGAAATTTGAGACCAGCCTGGGCAACATAGCGAGACCCTGGCATAGTAGCGCATGCCTGTAGTTCCAGCTACTCGGGAGGCTGAGGTGGGAGGATCACTTGAGCTCAGGAGGTCCAGGCTGCAGTGAGCCGTGATCATGCCACTGCATTCCAGCCTGGGTGACAGAGTGAGACCCTGCCTCAACAAAAAAGGCCGGGCACAGTGTCTCACGCCTGTAATCCCAGCACTTTGAGAGGCTTAGGCTGGTGAATCACTTGAGGTCAGGAGTTCGAGATCAGTCTCGCCAACATGGTGAAACCCCGTCTCTACTAGAAATATGAAATTAGCCGGTCGTGGTGGCAGGTGCCTGTAATCCCAGCTATTCGGGAGGTTGAGGCAGGAGAATTGCTTGAACCTGGAAGACAGAGAGGTTGCAATGAGTGGAGATCATGCCACTGCCCTCCAGCCTGGGCGACTGAGTGAGACTCTGTTTCAAAAAAAAAAAAAAAGAAAAGCAAAAAGAAAGGAAGAAGAAATACAGCATCGAGTGAACAGAGCCAGACATAAGAGGTCATGTATATAGGCTTTCTGTTGCTATGTTAGGAATACAAAAAAGAGGTCACGTATATCATATGACTTCATTTATATGAATTGTCCAGAATAGGCAAATCCACAGAAATAGAAAGTAGACTAGTGGTTGCTGGGAATGCAGAAGAGTGGGAACGGGGAGCGAATGCTTAAAGAGAGTTGGGTTTCTTCTGTGGTGACCATCTCGATCTGTCACCCAGGCTGGGTGCAGTGGCATGATCACAACTCACTGCAGCCTCAAAATCCTGAGATTAAGGGATTCTCCTGCCTCAGCCTCTCAAGTAGCTGGGACTACAGGCACGTGCCACCATGCTGAGCTAATTTTTGTATTATTATTATTATTATTATTTTTTTTTTTTTTTGAGGTGGAGTCTTGCTCTTGTTGCCCAGGCTGGAGTGCAATGGCATGATCTCGGCTCACTGCAACCTCCGTCTCCCGAGTTCAAGTGATTCTCCTGCCTCAGCCTCCCTAGTAGCTGGGATTACAGGCATGTGCCACCACACCTGGCTAATTTTTGTATTTTTAGTAGAGATGGGTTTTCTCTATGTTGGCCAGGCTGTTCTTGAACTCCTGACCTTGTGAACTGCCCGCCTCGGCCTCCCAAAGTGCCGAGATTACAGGCACGAGCACCACGCCCGGCCTGTATTTTTTGTAGAGATGGTGTCTTGCTATGCTGCCTAGGTTGGTCTTGAACTCCTGACCTCAAGCAATCCTTCTGACTCAGCCTCCCAAAGTGTTGAGATTACAGCCCTAAGCCACCATGCTCAGCCTGGGGTGATAACAGTGTTTTAGTACTAGATAGGTGCCCAGCATTGTGAAGGTACTAAATGCTACTGACTGTACATTTTAATATGGTAAATTTTAGGTTGTGAGAATTTTGCCCCAATAACAAAAAGCAGGAGTGCATGGTGAGGATTTCTCTGTTACTGAGAGTGGTTGGGGTGAGAGAAAGTCTCCCGGAGACACCAATGAAGCAGAGACCTGAGGAACAGAGGAGACAGCCACGTGGAGGTGATGCAACAGCCAGTGCAAGGGCCCTGGGGTACGCACAAGTGTCTGGGTGGTCTGAGGATCACAAGGAGTTCGGTGAGGCTGGAGCAGAGTCCCCCAGAGTGACAGAAGTAGGGGATGATGTCGGAGAGTGATAGGGGCTAGATTCCTAGGGCATTGGAGGCTCTTCTCTGAGAGAGATGGGGAGCCAAGGAGGGTTTTGAGCAGGGGAGGGACATGACCTGATTTGCATTTTTTTTTTTTGAGACAGTCTTGCTCTGTCACCCAGGCTGGAGTGCAGTGGTGTGATCTCGGCTCACTTCAACCTCTGCCTTTTGGGCTCAAGCGATCCTCGCACCTCAGCCTCCTGAGTAGCTGGAATCACAGGTATGTGCCACCATGCCCTGCTAATTTATGTACTTTTAGTAGAGATGGAGTTTCACCATGTTGGCCAGGCTGGTCTCAAAATTTCTGACCTCGGGTGACCCACCTACCTCGGCCTCCCAAAATGTTGGGATTACAGGCGTGAGCCACCACACTCGGCCTTGATATGTATTTTAACCAAACTACTCTGGTTGCCATATGGTACAAACCCAGGAGAGGGAAAGGGTGGAAGCTGGATGTGGCTATCAGGCTGTTGCAGTGGTCTTGGAGAGAGGTGGCTTGGGCAGGGGGTGGCAGTGAAGATGGTGGAAGGGGCTGGCTTCTGGACAAATCTGGCTGGATGGAACTGCAGGAGTTGCCAGTGGATGGGTGAGGGTGTGAGGGGAAGAGGAGCTGGCTGGGGTATTTGTCCCCGTCGCCCTGTAGCTGACCACTCTTCTGTCCTTGGACAGCCGGCCTTCAGCCAGCCCTGTATGCCACCCTGGGGCTATAGCCAGGAAGCTACAGTGGCTCCTTCCTCAAGAGTCCCCTCCCCACTACATCATATTTCTCTGAGGGTTTCTGTTGTGCAGCAGCCCATGGAAAGCTTACAGGCAGGAAGGCTTGTTCCTGCACTGGCTGGTTCTATGACTAATTTTCGCACATATTATGTTTATCCATTCATCTGTCTCGCCATCTATTCATCCATTATCCATTCACCTATCATCCATCTATCCATCCATCCATCATCCATCCATTCATTCTTCCATCTATCCATCCATCCATCCATCCATCCATCCATCCATCCATCCATCTATCCATCCATCACCCATCCATCCAATTTCCATCCATCCATCATCCATCCACCCATCTTCCATCCATCCACCCACCATCCATCTATCCAGCCATCCATTGTCCATCATCCATCATCCATCCATCCATCCATCCATCCATGGGGAGTGCCTGCTTGAGGGGAATGGGGTTTCTTCTGGGGTGATAAAAATGTTTTAGAACTCCGGGCGCAATGGCTCACGCCTGTAATTTAGGAGGCTAAGGCGGGCAGATCACGAGGTCAAGAGATTGAGAGCATCCTGGCCAACATGGTAAAACCCGGTCTCTACTAAAAACACAAAAATTAACTAGGCGTGGTGGTGTGCGCCTGTAGTCCCAGCTACTCGGGAGGCTGAGGCAGGAGAATCGCTTGAACCCAGGAGGCGGAGGTTGCAGTGAGCTGAGATCGTGCCACTGCACTCCAGCCTGGCAACAGAGTGAAACTCCGTCTCAAAAAAAAATGAAAAGTTTTAGAACTAGATAGATGCCCAGCATTGTGAATGTACTAAATGTCACTGACTTGTACACTTTGAAATGGTACATTTTGTGTTGTGAGAATTTTGCCCTGGTAACAAGAAGCAGGAGTGCATGATGAGGGATCCATCTATCCCACCATTCATTCAACCATTCATTTGCATACTTTTTCTGATTCAAACCCAATACATGTTTGTTATGAAAAATTAAAACATTCCAGAAATATTCTTTTGAAAATTTTTACTTATTATTTATTTCAGTAGCCTTAGGGGTACAAGTGGTTTTTGGTTACATGGATGAATTGTATAGTGGTGAAATCTGAGCTTTTAGTGCACCCATCACCCAAGTAGTCTACATTGTACCCAATACATAGCTTTTTATCCCTCCCCACCTCAGTCTCCAATGTGTCCGTTATACCACTCTGTATGCCTTTGTGTACCCCCCATAGCTTAGCTCTCACTTATAAGTGAGAACATACAGTATTTGGTTTTCCATTCTTAAGTTTCATCAGTTAGAATAAGTGACGTAACTTCCTTGCAATCCCTATCAAAATACCAACATCAATTCATCCAAGTTGCTTCATCCAGCTTCATCCAAGTTGCTGCAGAAAACATTTTGTTCTTTTTTATGGCTAAGTAGTATTCCATGGTGTATATGTAACCACATTTTCTTTTCCTTCTTTTTTGAGAAGGAGTCTTGTTCTGTCACCCAGGTTGGAGTGCAGTGGCGTGATCTTGGCCCCCTGCAACCTCCACCTCCTGGGTTCAAGCGATTCTCCTGCCGTAGCCTCCCAAGTAGCTGGGACTACAGGCATGCGCCACCACGCCTGGCTAATTTTTGTATTTTTAGTAGAGATGGGGTTTCACCATATTGGTGAGGCTGGTCTTGAACTCCTGACCTCGTGATCCGCCCACCTCGGCCTACCAAAGTGCTGGCATTATAGGCGTGAGCCACTGCACCCAGCCACCACATTTTCTTTATCTGCTCATTGGTTGATGGGCACTTAGGTTGGTTCTATATCTTTGCAATTGTGACTGTGCTGTGATAAACAAATGCGCGCACGTCTTTTTGATATAATGATTTATTTTCCTTTGGGTAGATACCTAGTAGTGGGATGGCTAGAAAGAATAGTAGATTTACTTTTCGTTCTTTGAGAAATCTCCATACTGTTTTCCATGGAGGTTGTGCTAACTGATCTTAGCACCAGCAGTCTAAAAGCATTCTTTTTTCATCACATTCAGGTCAATGTCTATTTTGACTTTTCAATAATGGCCATTCTGGCTGGGGTAAGGTAGTATCTCATTGTGGTTTTAATTTGCAGTTCCCCGATGACGAGTTATGTTAAACATTTTTTCATTTGCTGGTCATTTATATATATTTTGAGAAATGTCTATTCATGTCATGTGCCCACTTTTTTTTTTTTTTTTTTTTGAGTCTTGCTCTGTCACCTAGGCTGGAGCGCAGTGACATAACCTCAGCTCCCTGCAACCTCTGCCTCCCGGGTTCAAATGATTCTCCTGCCTCAGCCTCCCAAGTAGCTGGGATTACAGGCATGAGCCACCACACTAGGCTAATTTTTGTATTTTTAGTAGAGACGGGGTTTCACCATGTTGGCTAGGCTGGTCTCGAACTCCTGACCTCATGATCTGCCCACCTTGGCCTCCCAAAGTGCTGGGATTACAGATGTGAGCCATCGTGCCTGGCCATGTGCCCACTTTTTGATGAGGTTTTTTCTTTTCTTCTTGCTGATTTGAGTTTTTTGTAGATTCAGGATATTAGTCCTTTGTCAGATATGTAGTTTGCAAATATTTTCTCCCATTCTGTGGGTTGTCTGTTTACTCTGATGATTACTTCTTTTGCTATGCAGAAGCTTTTTAGTTTAATTAAGTCCTATTTATTTATTTTTGTTTTGTTGCATTTGCTTTTGGGGTCTTAGTCATAAATTCCTTGCCTAGGTCAATGTCCAGGGGAGTTTTTCCAAGGTTTTCTTCTAGAATTCTTATGGTTTCAGGTCTTAGATTTAAGTCTTTAATCCATCTTGAGTTGATGTATATGGTGAGTTTTGTAGATGGTGAGAGATAGGGATCCAGTTTCATTCTTCTACATGCAGCTCTTCAGTTTTCCCAGTACTATTTATTGAATAGGGTGTCATTTCCCCAATTTATGTTTTTGAGTGTTTTTTTTTTTTTTTTGAGATGGAGTTTCACTCTTGTTGCCCAGGCTGGAGTGCAATGGTGCAATCTCAGCTCACTGCAACCTCCTCCTCCCGGGTTCAAGCGATCCTTCTGCCTCAGCTTACCAAGTAGCTGGGATTACAGGCATGTACCACTACGCCCAGCTAATTTTGTATTTTTAGTAGAGACGAGGTTTCTCCATGTTGGTCAGGCTGGTCTCAAACACTGAACCTCAGGTGATCCGCTTGCCTTGGCCTCCCAAAGTGCTGGGATTACAGGCATGAGCCACTACGCCTGGCCTTGAGTGCTTTGTTGAAGATCAGTTAGTTGTACGTGTTTAGCTTTATTTCTGGGTTTTCTATTCTGTTCTGTTGGTCTATGTATCTACTTTTATATTAGTACCATGCTGTTTTGGTTACTATAGCCTTGTAGCATAATTTGAAGCTGGGTAGTGATGCCTACAGATTTTTTCTTCTTTTCTTTTTTTTTTTAGATGGAGTCTCTCTGTCACCCAGGCTGGAGTGCAGGGGGCATGATCTCAGCTCACTGCAACCTCTGCCCCCCAGGTTTAAGTGATTCTCCTGCCTTAGCCTCCCGATCAGCTGGGCTTATAGGCACACACCATCATGCCTGGCTAATTTTTGTATTTTTAGTAGAAATGGGGTTTTACCATGTTGGCCAGGCTGGTCTCGAACTGACCTCAGGTGTTCCACCCACCTCGGCCTTGCAAAGTGCTAGGATTACAGGCGTGAGCCACTGTGCCCAGCCTATTTGGCTCTTTTTTAGTTCCATGTAAATTTTAGGATTGTTTCTTCTAATTATGTGAAAAATGATGTTGGTATTTTGATAGGAATTGCATTGAATCTGTAGATTGCTTTGGGTAGTATGGTCATTTTCATTACATTGATTCTTCCAATCCATGAGCATGGGATGTATTTCCATTTGTTTGTGTCATCTATGATTTCTTTCGGCAGTGTTTTGTAGTTCTGTTTGTAGAGATCTTTCACCTTCCTGCTCAAGTATATTACTAGGTTTGGGGTAGCTATTTTCCTTTTTTTTTTTCCAGCTATTATAAAAGGGACTGAGTTCTTGATTTCATTCTCAGCTTAGTCCTTATTGATGTATAGCAGTGCTACTGGTTTGTAACCTGAGACTTTATTGAATTCATTGGTCAAATCTAGGAGTCTTTTGGAGGAGTCTCTAGGATTTTCTAGGTATATGATTGTATCATTGGCAGAGGTAGTTTGATTTCCTCTTTTCCCATTTGGATGCCCTTTATTTCTTTCTCTTTCCTGACTGCTCTGGCTAGGACTTCCAATACTTTGCTGAATAGAAGTGGTGAGAGTGGGCATCCTTGTCTTGTTCCAGCTCTTGGGGGAATGAATGCTTTCAACTCATCCCCATTCAGTATGATGTGGGCTATGGGTTTGTCATCTATCACTTTTATTATTTTGAGGTATGTTCCTTCTATGCCTAGTATATTGAGGAGAAGTATGTTTCTTTAAAAAAAATATTATTATGGGCTGAGAGTGGTGGCTCGTGCCTGTAATCCCAGTACTTTGGGAGGCTGAGGCAGGTGGATCACTTGAGCTCAGGAGTTCAAGACCAGCCTGGCAATATGGCAAAACCCCATCTCTACTAAAAATACAAAAATTAGCTGGGCATGGTGGTGGGCCTGTAGTCCCAGCCACATGGGAGGCTGAGGTGGGAGAATGGCTTGAGTCCAGGAGGCGGAGGCTGCAGTGAGCCACAACCTTGCCACTACACTCCAGCCTGGGTGACAGAGACAGACCTTATCTCAAAAAATAAATAATTACTATTATTATTTTTAAATAAAGGAATCCCCAAATGAAGTCGTGTAATATCAGGCCAGGCATGGTGGCTCACGCCTGTAATCCCAGCACTTTCGGAGGCCGAGGTAGGTGGATCACCTGAGGTCAGGAGTTCGAGACCATCCTGGCCAACACGACGAAACCCTGTCTCCACTAAAAATACAAAAAAAATTAGCTCGGTGTGGTGGCCTGTGCCTTTAGTCCCAGCTACTTGGGATGCTGAGGCAGGAGAATCACTTGAACCCGGGAGGCGGAGGCTGCAGTGAGCTGAGATCATACCACTGCACTCCAGCCTGGGCGACAGAGCAAGCCCCCATCTCAGAAAAAAAAAAAAAAAAAAAGAAAAGAAAAAAGAAATCGTGTAATATTGATGCAGAAGAGCAGTATGGCAGACTTTGGACTCTCCATTTGAAACTTTCAATTTCCTTTTCTGTAAAATGGGGCTGACATCACCTGCTTCCTGGGGAGCCCTGCAGATGGAGATCACGTGGTGGGCTGTCAAGTGTCTCAGAAATGTAATTTATGACCCGTCCTGCCTCTTGCTTTACTGGTTTCCCTTGAGTCTCTCCAGGTCCCTGCTCTAATCTCAGTTTCCCCACTTCTTCCAGGACCGGCAGAGAACAAATGCCAAGAACTGTTGTGCAAGTGTGACCAGGAGATTGCTAACTGCTTAGCCCAAACTGAGTACAACTTAAAGTACCTCTTCTACCCCCAGTTCCTATGTGAGCCGGACTCGCCCAAGTGTGACTGACTACCTTGACTTGAAATGCTCTTTTGCACAAGGAAATAAAGCGTCCTCTCAGTAATGAACAACAGCATTCAGTTATTTGCAGAAGGGAACCGAAGCCAAGTGATAAAGCCACAACCTTGTGTTTGCTTTCCCTCCCAATCCCAGAACTCAGGACTGGAGCCCATGTGGTTTGCAGTTAAAGGCCAAAAGTCCTGCACCTATTTTATAAAACTATGACTGTGTTTATCACTGTGTTGGGGTCGGTTCCATTTTTGAGGTTCCATCTTTATGAAAAGATAACCTGTCTTCTAACCTGCTTGGATGGCTGGTAGTCAAATGTGAACGAACACCTACCGTGTGCCTGGCCATGTTCTATGTTCTAGGCTGCAGCAATCAACAAGATGGCCATACAACACCCACCCGGTGAAGTTCAAGTCCAGTAGCTGTTAGCTTAAGAAAGAGTATTCCCTTATCCCACTACACCTTAAAATGTATTTGCTGTCCTGCAGCGTTGGCTCATTTCTGTAAGCCCAGCACAATGATTACAAAAGTGGTACATACTTGTTGCTTCTTAAAAAAATGAAAGTGCAGAGAAATATAGAGCAGAAAGAAAAATCACTCCAATTCCCACAATTCAGAATAATCTGTTAGGATCTATAGTTTTAAAAATGTAGTTCAAGGCCGGGTGCTGTGGCTCACGCTTGTAATCCTAGCACTTTGCGAGGCCAAGGCACGTGAATCACAAGGTCAGGAGTTCGAGACCAGCCTGACCAACATGGTGAAACCCCGTCTCTACTAAAAATACAAAAATTAGCCAGGCGTGGTGGCACGCGCCTGTAATCCCAGCTACTCAGGAGGCTGAGGCAGGACAATCACTTGAACCCAGGAGGTGGAGGTTGCAGTGAGCAGAGATTGTGCCACTGCACTCCAGCCTGGGCGACAGAACAAGACTCTATCTCAAAAAAAAAAAAAAAAAAAAAAAAAAAAAGGGTAGTTCAGATTATACTGTATGATGTTTATAAACTTTTCTCCATGTCATAAAAAATCTTTGGAAACTTCATTTAAAATGTCTGTGTTAGGGTTGGATGAGGTGGCTCATGCCTATAATCTCAATACTTTGGGAGGCTAAGGAGGGAGGACTACATGAGGACATGAGTTCAAGACCAGCCTGGGCAACAGAGCAAGACTCTATCTGTATAAAACAAAAAAAATTAGTAAGGCATGGTGGCATGCACCTGTTGTCCCAGCTACTCGGGAGGCCGAAGAGGGAAGATAACTTGTGCCTAGGAGTTCAAAGTTGCAGTGAGCTATGATTACATCACTGTACTCCAGTCTGGGCAACAGAACAGGACCTTGACGCAAATAAATAAATAAATAAATATCTGTATTAGATACCATTTTATAGATTGACAGTTTTTGGATATTGGAGCTATTTTCTGTTTCCATTAGTTGCTTGATGAGGATGCTTGTAAATAAATCTTCACCACTCCCTTCCCCATAACCTATTCCTTAGCCCAGATTTGCAGAAATGGCATTTTTGGATCAAAGGATCTGAATATTTTTTGAGACAGGGTCTCCCGCTATCACCTAGGCTGGAGTGCAGTGGTGCAACCTCAGCTCATTGCAGCCTCGACCTCCTGGGCTCAGGCAAATCTCACTTCAGCCTCCCAGGTAGCTAGGACTACAGGTGCGTACACTCACATCTGGCTAGTTTTTTTATTTTTAGTAGAGATGAGGTTTCCACATGTTGTCTAGGTTGGTCTCGAACTCCTGGGCTCAAGTGATCTGCCCACTTCAGCCTCCCAAAGTGTTAGGATTACAGGTGCGAGCCACCACACCCAGCCGGGTCTGAGTATTTTATTTTTATTTTGCATTTTTCGGAGACAGAGTCTCACTGTGTCGCCCAGGCTGGAGTGCAGTGGGGCAATCTCGGCTCACTGCAACCTTTGCCTCCCGCGTTCAAGCGATTCTCCTGCCTCAGCCTTCCGAGTAGTTGGGATTACAGGTACTGCCACCACACCCAGCTAATTTTTTGTATTTTTTCCCCCTGAGATGGAGTCCTGCCCTGTCGCCCAGAGCTGGAGTGCAATGGTGTGATATCGGCTCACTGCAACCTCCACCTCCTGGGTTCAAGCAATTCTCCTTCCTCAGCCTCCCAAGTAGCTGGGATTACAGGCACACGCCACCACACCTGGCTAATTTTTGTATTTTTATTAGAGATGGGGTTTCACCATGTTGGCCAGGCTGGTCTCGAACTCCTGACCTTGTGATCCACCCTGCCTTGGCCTCCCAAAATGCTGGGATTACAGGTGTGAGCCACTGTGCCCTGCCAATTTTTTGTACTTTTAGTAGAGATGGGGTTTCACCATGTTGGTCAGGGTGGTCTTGAACTCCTGACCTCAGATAATCCACCCACCTCGGCCTCCCAAAGTGCTAGGATTACAGGCATGAGCCACTGCATCCAGCCTGGACTATTTTAAGACACCCCCTTTAGATGTACCCATCCTGCTATGATTGGTAAGAAGAGGTAGAGGCAGCCTGTGGCCCCTGATCTGAGTGTGCCCGTCCCTCCTGCTGGTGATAAGGAGTAAGGTCCTGCCCAGCCTGTTTGCTCTACGCCATGGCTTTGCCCCAGTCCCTGAGCAAATCTGGGTATTACTCATCTTTGAAGCAGGGTGTGGGAGCAGGTGGCGACAATGTGAGAGGCCATGGGGTGGAGGTGGATGGCCCAGGCCCAGCTCTGCCAAAGCCAGCCAGCGCCAACTTGGTGTTTTGCCAGCCATCCTCCATCTATTCACCTGTAAAGGATACTGGCAACCCCTGGGTGGCATGAGACCAGGGATATGCAAACACTGCCATGTGAGTGTCCATGGGAGGTCACAAGCATTAAATAGGTAAAGTCAAGCAACCCTGGGGCTTGATGTGCAAACACGAGCAGGAAAAAACCCATTTTCCCTTAGGGTGGCTCCTCGGCTCAGTATCTGCGTCAGGCTGGGGGATTTAAGCATGACTAGACTGACTAGATGACTTTTTTTTTTTTGAGACGGAATCTTGCTCAGTCACCCAGATGGAGTGCAGTGGCATGATCTTGGCTCAATGCAACTTCTGCCTCCTGGGTTCAAGTGATTCTCCTGCCTCAGCCTCCCAAGTAGCTGGGACTACAGGTGCGCACCACCGTGCCTGGCTAATTTTTGTATTTTCAGTAGAGACGGGGTTTCACCATGTTCGTCAGGCTGGTCTTGAACTCCTGACCTCAAGTGATCCATCCACCTTGGCCTCCCAAAGTGCCGGGATTACAGGCGCGAACCACCACGCTCGGCCCATGGCTAGAAGATTCTATCCGGCAATGCAGAAGTTTTGTGTTTTCTAGACAATTGCTTTTTCTCTACATATAGGTTTTATCTATATAGAAATCTTTATTTTTATTTCAAGTAATTTCTTCGAACTTCCAGATGCAACTTTTGAGTAAAATTTTCACTCAAAGATACAAAGGGTTAATGAATGGTTCATGGAGTCACAAGATAATATTTTGGATGTAGGCCTATTTCTGCAAGGCCTGTCTTCCAAGATGACATCTCACACCTGCTGTGTTCACACTGGAAGGAAATAAAAGGCCATAGTTCACTTCATGCCATATTTATAACTATAGCGCTTGGTGTAATTATACCTGCTGTATTATACATCAGGATAGGACAATAAAGATTATATAGTGTGAGCTCAATTTACAAAACATTTCCTTGAACAAAACGACTATCCCGGAATTTATTTTACAGATGATTTTTTTTTTTTTTTTAAGACAGAGTCTCCCTCTGTCACCCAGGCTGAAGTGCAGTGGTGCAGTCTCCCTCCCTGCAACCTCCGCCTCCTGGGTTCAGGCGATTTCCAATTCCAAGTAGCTGGGATTACAGGTATGTGCCATCACACTTGGCTAATTTTTGTATTTTTAGTAGAGATGAGGTTTCACCATGTTGGCCAAGCTGGTCTTGAAGTCCTGGCTTCAAGTGATCCGCCTGCCTCACCCACCCAAAGTGCTGGGATTACAGGGGTGAGGTATCACCAAAACAATTCTGAATAACATGAAGGCCACTAAATCTAATGGGAACTGCCCGACATCCCTCTCAATCTCTCCATTCAGAGAAAGGGATCCAGACCTTCAATGATTTCCATAAAGCAAAACAAAAGCCCAGTGACTACAAGTCTAACCATCATTCTAGGCTCAAACTGAATCCTTTGAGTTTTACTCTGAATCCTAGCAACTCTTCAATAAGACAGAATTGTTGATTGAATTTTGGGTTTTCTTCGGTATTTTTTATGTGCAACTCTCTATGCCTATGACAGAATCTTATCCTTGTTTTCCTAAACTTGACTTAGAGGACAGGCCAGGCCCCAATAAACCTGGTCTCAGGCTCTGAGATCCGGATCCTCTGTCAGTCACTGAGGTTGGGGAGGGGACTGATGTGGCACCCTTCTGATGTCACCCACACCATGTCCACTGAGGACCCTGAGTCTTGCCAGCCGTTGGGGACTGAGCCTCCTAGTCCCTGTGAGGAAGGTGGCTGGGTGGGAAGGGCTGCTGCTGTGTCAGCCAAACAGACAATCCTCCCTGTGCGGATGTCAGTCCTTGCTCGTGCCACCCACAGGCTGAGGGGGAGAGGACATGGTTGGAGCTTTTGATATACAAAGCAGCACCTTGTTTTACTGAGGGTAGAAAATAGGAAGTCCGCTCCCTGCCTCACCCCTCTTAAGCATCAAAGCTCAGACGTCAGCGGGACTTGAAGAGTCTCAGCCTGGGCAGTGCCAGTCACAACACCTGGGTTTCCAGCCGCCGGAGTTCCTTGACCACAAGATCAATGTTAATAATTGGGTTAAAGTACAGGGCCCAGTAAAACAAACAGTTGCAAACAAACTGAGGGATGAGGGGCCAGAACATGGCCACAAAAAGCCCCTGCGTTGATACTTTCCAGAAATGGCTCCACATCCTCTGAGGCACGGTCCTGAAACAAGAAGAGAAGAGGCTGAATCGGAGGCGCTTCTCATGACCACACCCAGGAGTCCGGGCCCTGGGCCTTTTCTGGGTGCTGGGAAGAGCATGGCTGCCCGTGCTGAATGTCCTTGTCTTCTGTCCCCGGTGCCTGAGACCTCTGCCTACTCAACCCATCTTTTAACTCTCAAGGACATGACCTACAGGGAGCTTCTTTGCCCCCACACTGGGCAAGGCCTCCCTGTGACAGCCTCAACTTCACCTGCTTCATCACTTTGTTACATTTACATATTTTTTTTTCCTTTTGAGACAGGGTCTCATTCCTTTGTCCAGCCTGGGAGTGCAGTGGTGCAAATGTGGCTCAACTGCAGCCTTGACCTCCAGGTCTCAAGTGATCCTCCTGAGTAGCTGGGACCACAGGCACACATCACCACATCTGGCTAATTATTATTATTATTATTATTATTATTTTAAGTAGGGACAAGGTCTCGCTATGTTACCCAGGCTGGTCTCAAACTCCTCGGCTCAGGTGATCCTCCACCTCAACCTCCCGAGTAGCTGGGACTACAGGTGTGCACCACCACGCCCAGTTAATTTTTTGTATTTTTAGAGACAGGTTTTGCCACGTTGCCCAGGCTGCACTTGAACTCCTGGTCTCAAGCAATCCTCTCACCTCCCAAAGTGCTGGGATTACAGGCATGAGCCAAGGTGCCTGACCATCTATTTTTTAACGTACATATTTTCTTTGCTAGGCTGTAGGGCCTCACACTATAGACTGTCTTCTTTACCAAAAGATCTGCCATGCCCAGGAGAGAACCAGGAGTACAGTAGGGGCATAAATATGCATATTGTATATAAATAAGTGAGTTTGCTAAATGGAAAGAAATGAGGGAGATTCTTTTTTTATTTTTACCTAGTGAGTCACCATTGGAAAGGTGAGGGAGATTGTTAGGTTCTCAGAACCATTCATAAGGCTGCGAGTCAGAATGTCAAGGTAAAAGGCTGCAAGGGTGGCAGTGTTACTTCTGCCTGTCCCTTTCTTCTGGAAATAGCTTCTAAGTTTTTGGGGGTTTTTTGAGATGGACTCTCGTTTTGTCGCCCAGGGTGGAGTGCAATGGTGCAATCTTAGCTCACTGCAACCTCCACCTCTCTGAGTTCAAGCGATCCTCCTGCCTCAGCCTCCCGAGTAGCTGGGATTACAGGCACCCACCGCCACGCCTGGCTAATTTTTGTATTTTTGGTAGAGATGAGGTTTCACTATGTTGGCCAGGCTGGTCTCGAACTCCTGACCTCAGGTGATCCACCTGCCTTGGCCTCCCAAAGTTCTAGGATTACAGGCATGAACCACTGCACCTGGCAACAGCCTCTAAGTTTTGGGGATTCTCTCTCTTTTGTTCTTTTCCATGTGGTCTGGGTAGGGCTGAAACCAGCCTCTGGTTGTGGGGTGAACTCATGCCTCAAGCCTGGGTCCATCAGAACAAAGGCATGTGAGCCCTGAGACCTTTTCCAGTGCCACAGGGAAGGAAGTGCTTTCTTTCTGGAGGTTTGTTAAGCTGCACAGATCAAAGTCTGGAGTGGAGAAGACAAGGGCCCCCACATGAAGAGAGATGCCTGAGGCAGAAAACACAAGAAAGAACAGTGCTGTGAGGGACAGAGAAAGAGTCAGTACTGGTGACAGCGTTTGGGTCTCAGGGTCCAGTCATGCTTGAAGCCTAAGTTATTATTATCCTAGTTGGTTACAGATCAGGATTAGAACTCATGCCTACAGAATTTCCCATGAGATCTCTTTATGCTCTACCTTACTGCATTTTCTATAAAGCACCCTGTGGAGGCCAAAGCAACTCTATATTGGATGCTAATCTGCCATATTGACTTCTCACTAACTCCGGTTTGGGGGAAGCCTCTAAGATCTCTGGTTTTATCTAATGTTTCTTGTGTAAGAGCACGTACATCACGTAAATCCTGCCCTTTGGTGAAACAGCCTTGATGTTCTCTTACTTACCATAGATCCCGACCCTAAGCAATTGTTCTGCACATCCCTTCTGAAGCATGTATGCCCCTTCCCTATGTATACAAGCCCTGAGTCTGGGGATCCACCATCTTGTCTCGCTACCATCCAAGACACAGACAGGGCTTCTGTTGGCAAGGCCTTATTAAGTGTTTCTTTCTGAGAAACTGAATTTGCCAGCTTCTTCCTTCAGCCCCTCAGCTTCCTCTGATTTAGGGGATAGGTTTGCACAGGCCTGCCTACCTTAAAACAGACCCTTTTCTATTCAGTTGCTTATTCCTTGATTATTACAATCCTTTGCCCCCCTCCCCCTGAAATTAAATGGTATATTATTGCATAGAGATAAGACATATAGGAAAATACTTTTAACAATGAGCACCACAACCCCCACCCCCAAAACACAGGTAATTGTCCTATTCACTGCTTAAGCTAGGTTTCTCAAAGCAGAGTCTGAAGGGTCTGGGTGGATGGAGGATTTATTTCAAGTGTGAGAAATAAAAGAGGATCTTTCTCTCACTTGGTATTTCTTTCCCATCCCCTGTTGTGACAACCATTAAAACATACTTACTTCAGTTCACTTCTCGACCAGATTCTCCAAAAGGAGAATAATTCCAGAACTGAGAGTAACATAGCATTGATGATGAGAAACCGTGATGTCCAGTAATGGACCTCCAACCAGTCCCAAGCAAACTCAGCAATCAGCTGGTATGGAAGGAAGGAGTATTTGACCAGGAACTCTCTCCACTGCTTCCACGTAGGCTCCTTAAGATCCTTAAAAAATAACACACAGACGCAAAAAGTCATGAGGACTGACTTTTACACAAAATATTGTGATGATCAGGCTAGGCACGGTGGCTCACACCTGTAATCCCACCACTTTGGGAGGCCTAGGTGGGCGGATCACCTGAGGTAAGGAGTTCAAGACCAGGCTGGCCAACATGGTGAAACCCCATCTCTACTAAAAATTCAAAAATTGGCCAGACGTGGTGGTGTGTGCCTGTAATCCCAACTACTCTAGAGGCTGAGGCAAGAGAATCACTTGAACCCGGGATGTGCAGGTTGCAGTGAGTTGAGATCGCACCACTGCACTTCACCCTGGGTGATAGAGGGAGACTGTGTCTCAAAAAAAATTGTGATGATCACAGTGAGTTCTACATTGATTACCACACACACACACACATCCAACAATCTAAAATGAAATTTCCATCCATCAACTCATCTTGTAATTGTTTTTTTTTTTTTTTTTTTTGAGACGGAGTCTTGATCTGTTACCCAGGCTGGAATGCAGTGGTGCCATCTCGGCTCACTGCAGCCTCCACCTCCTGGGTTCAAGTGATTCTCCTGTCTCAGCCTCCTGAGTATGTTCTCGTACTTACCATAAATCCCGACCCTAAGCAATTGTTCTGCACATCCCTTCTGAAGCATGTATGCCCCTTCCCTATGTATACAAGCCCTGAGTCTGGGGATCCACCATCTTGTCTCGCTACCATCCAAGACACAGACAGTGCTTCTGGGATTAAAGGTGTATACCACCACGCCCGGCTAATTTTTGTATTTTTAGTAGAGACGAGGTTTTGCCATGTTGGCCAGGCTGGTCTTGAAACTCCTGACCTCAGGTGATTTGCCCGCCTCTGCCTCCCAAAGTGCTTGGATTATAGGAGTGAACCACCGCACCCGGCCGTAATTAATCTCAAATTAAGTAAATGTTAGCAAAAAGGTTGAAATGAAATGCTTGTCATATAATTGTGGAAGCTCAGAAAAAAAAAAGCATGAATTATGAATACATTGAAATAAATTTAAATTAACCAGTTATTCTCCCATCAAGCTACCCAAATGGTAGCTTGAACCATTTCCTAAATTCAACATTGGCTATGGTAGAATAATGGTAGTTTCTGGGAAAATTACAAACACTCCCTCCTCCCTCCAAAAAAAGGTAATTTTTTTTGTGATGGCAGGAGGAGAAGCTTTTCAATTACACATATTAGCAGATAAAAAATTAGCCTGATGATGGCCAGGTACAGTGGCTCACGCCTGTAATCCCAGCACTTTGGGAGGCTGAGGAGGGCGGATTACGAGGTCAGGAGATCAAGACCATCCTGGCTGACACAGTGAAACCCCATCTCTACTAAAAACACAAAAAATTAGCCGGGTGTGGTGGCGGGCGCCTGTAGTCCCAGCTACTCAGGAGGCTGAGGCAGGAGAATGGCATGAACCCGGGAGATGGAGGTTGCAGTGAGCCAAGATTGCGCCACTGCACTCCAGCCTGGGCGACAGGGCGAGACTCTGTCTCAAAAAAAAAAAAATTAGCCTGATGAACAGGCAGAGGCTGTTGGAGCTCGTTAAAATTGAAGGGCTGGGTGCCAGGTGCAGTGGCTCACGCCTCTAATCCCAACACTTTGGGAGGGCAAGGTGGGAGTAAGGGAGGAGACCACCCCTCATGTTGTCTTATGCCCAATTTCTGCCTCCAAAGAAAGAAGTAAAAACTAAAAGGCAGAAATGAAATCCACAGGCAGACAGCCCGGCGCTGCGCTCTGGGCCTGGTAGTTAAAGATCGACCCCTGACCTAACCAGTTATGTTATCTATAGATTCCAGACATTGTATGGAAAAGCACTGTAAAAATCCCTGTCGTATTCTCTTCTGTTCTGATTACCGGCGCATGCAGCCCCCAGTCACGTATCCCACTGCTTGCTCCATTGATCACGACCCTCTCATGTGGACTCCCTTAGAGTTGTGAGCCCTTAAAAGGGACAGGAATTGCTCACTCGGGGAGCTCGGCTCTTGAGACAGGAGTCTTGCCGACGCTCCCGGACAAATAAATCCCTTCCTTCTTTAACTCGGTGTCTGAGGGGTTTTGTCTGCAGCTCTTCCTGCTACAGGAGGATGGTTTGAATTCAGGAGTTCAAGACCAGGCTGGGCAACATGGTGAAACCCTGTCTCTGCAAAAAATGCAACAATTAGCTGGGTGGTGGTGCTCGCCTGTAGTCCCAGCTACTTGGGAGGCTGAGGTGTGAAGATCGCTTGAGCCCAGGAGGTCGAGGCTGCAGTGAGCTGTGATTGTGCCACTGTACTCCAGCCTGGGAGAAAGAATGAGACCCAATCTCAAACAATCAATCAATAAATAAAATTAAAGGTCAGGGTCTCTGCACAGCCAGTCTGGTGAGGTAAACAGCAAGTGGAGACTGGGTAATTAGGGGAGGAATGTGCAAGGGAGCCGATTAGCAGGCTTCAGACTATATTCAAGGCTGAAACCAGTTAGCCAGCACTTGATTGTAGTGTTTACAAGGGTCTTTGGGGGAAAAAAAGGATCTCTGGAGATTTCAAAATTCTGTGTTATTATTTATGGGTGTGGATGATACTTGATGATTCCTCTATGCATGTGACTTGATATGAACAGGTCAGAAGTACTGGCCCCAAGAGAAGCAAAGCAAAGGATATTACTCTCAAATGACCTACCAGACATTCTGAAGGAGTTCATGGGTCAAACTGAAGAAACATGGCACCCATGGTGGGTAGCAATCTCTGCAAATAACTTGACAGTGGAATAACTTTATTCCAGGCACTGTGCAGACCTACCAGAAGCTTGGTGACGATGTCCTCCCCAGAGCTGTCTTCTTGCAGAGGGCAGATGGTGTGGATGAAAGGTAGGAAGGTGTCGGTGTAGTCAAACAGGTACAGGTAGAGCAGACTCAGCCTGGGGGAGCTCTTGAGGGCGTATAGCAGGAACAGGGACCTGCCTGGGTTCACAGCCTGCAGAGGAGAAGAGTACAGGGCCACATTACAACCATGGCGGCCAGCTACCCACCCACGCTCCTTCCCATCTCTCGCTTGTTGCCATCAGCCTTTTTGCATGGTACACACAATGCATGAATGAATGAACGGCAAGAAGAGGCCAAGTGATCCACATTTGGGGTTACATTGTATAAAGATTCGATCTTGGCGGAGCATGGTGGCTCACGCCTGTAAATCCCAACACTTGGGAAGGCCGAGGTGGACGGATCACTTGAGGTTAGGAGTTTGAGACCAGCCTGGCCAACATGGTGAAATGCTGTCTGTACTACAAATAAAAAAATTAGCTGGGCATGGTGGCTCATGCCCTGTAGTCCCAGCTACTCAGGAGGCTGAGGCTGGAGAATCGCTTGAACCTGGGAGGTGGAGGTTGCAGTGTGCCGAGATCATACCACTGCACTCCAGCCTATGCAATACAGTGAGATTCCAGCTCAAAAAAAAAAAAAAAAAAAAAAAAAAAAGATCCAATCTCTAGCTCTAGCTGGGGGGAGGGGTGAAAAGCATACTCTTGCACCCTGCTTGCAGAATATAGCCTTTTTAAAAAGCTATTTTGAAAAAGGTATCAAAGAGTCTTAAAATTGTTTAATTCAATCAGTCTGTAAGTGGGCACCACTTAATGCAAATAATCTGAAATACAGATTTTATATACAAGATGTTTAGTACTACACTGAGTGTAATAGTGAAACCAGTGAAATCTACAGTTACAGCAGATACTTAACATGGAATTCACATAGCCATTTTCATTTTCTTCAGTTTTTTAAATCAAGTTTTACTACAGTGAATGTTTACTTCCTTATTATAAAAGTAACTGAATAGATTATTCAGGGTAAGCGTGGTGGCTCACGCCTGTAATCCTAACACTTTGGGAGGCAAGAGGATTGCTTGAGGCCAGGAGTTCAAGACCAGCCTGAGCAACAAAGCAAGACCCAGTCTCTTAATTTTTTTATTTTTTTGAGACAGAGTCTTGCTCTGTCGCCCAGGCTGGAGTGCAATGGTGCATTTTTGGCTCACTGCAACGTCTACCTCCCAGGTTCAAGCAATTCTCCTGCCTCAGCCTCCCAAGTAGCTGGGATTACAAGTGAGTAATGCCACGCCTGGCTAATTTTTGTATTTTCAGTAGACACTGGGTTTCACTATGTTGGCCAGGCTGGTCTCGAACTCCTGACCTCAGGTGATCCACCTGCCTCGGTCTCCCAAAGTGCTGGGATTACAGGTGTGAGCCACCACGCCTGGCGTAAGACCTCGTTTCTTTAAAAAAAAAAAAAAAAAGGCGCGAGTGCGGTGGCTCACACCTGTAATCCCAGCACTTTGGGAGGCCAAGGCAGGAGGATCACCTGAGGTCAGGAGTTCGAGACCAGCCTGACCAATATGATGAAACCCTGTCTACTAAAAATACAAAAATTAGCTAGGCTTGGTGGCATGTGCCTGTAATCCCAGCTACTCGGGAGGCTGAGACAGGACAATCACTTGAACCCGGGAGGCAGAGGTTGCAGTGAGCCAAGATCTTGCCATTGAAATCCAGCGTGGGCAACAAGGGCAAAACTCCATCTCAAAAAGAAAAAAGATTCAATTTATTTGATTCTTAGTAGCATCAAAATAAAATGAGCAGTTTACCACAGAAGATATAAGGATGGCAAATAAGCATGTGAATGTGAATTAAATGAGAAATGCAAATTAAATCCCCAGTGTCCAGTGGAGATCACTGCATCCTTGTTGGAATTGGGAGGGCTGGGAGGGAAGGCTTAACAGGGGCAGGAGGAAACTTCTGGGAGTGACGGAGATGTTCCCCATCTTCATCGTGTGATGCTTTCATGGGTGTGCATATGTGAAAACTTATCACATCGTACACTTTAAGTAGGTGTATATCAATTTTACCTCAATAAAAACTGTTAAAACATTCAATTTAGCTGATGCTATGAATAACTTACTGTTAGATTTTTAAAAAGTGTGATGATGATTGCATTTTTAAAAAGATTCTTTCTCTTTAGAAATGTATACTATAGAGACCGGGCGTGGTGGCTCAGCCTGTAATCCCAGCACTTTGGGAAGCTGAGGCAGGCAGATCACCTGAGGTCAGGAGATTGAGACCAGCCTGGCTAAAACGGTGAAATCCCGTCTCTACTAAAAATACAAAAAATTAGCCGGGCATGGTGGCGGGTGCCTGTAGTCCCAGCTACTGGGGAGGCTGAGGCAGGAGAATGGTGTGAACCCAGGAGGCGGAGCTTGCAGTGAGTGGAGATTGCGCCACTGCACTCCAGCCTGGGCGACAGAGTGAGACTCCATCTCAAAAAAAAAAGAAGTATACTATAGAGGCCGGACATGGTGGCTCACGCCTGTAATCCCAGCACTTTGGGAGGCTGATGCAGGCAGATTGCCTGAGGTCAGGAGTTCGAGACCAGCCTGACCAACATGGTGAAACCCTGTCTCGACTAAAAATACAAAAAAAATTAGCCGGTGTGGTGGTGGGCACCTGTAGTCCCAGCTACTTGGGAGGCTGAGGCAGGAGAATCGCTTGAACCTGGGAGGTGGAGGTTGCAGTGAGCCAAGATCATGCCACTGCACTCCATCCTGGAGGCAGAGCGAGACTCTGTTTCAAAAAAAAACAAAAAACAAAAAAAAACAAAAAAAACCAAATTGCATACTACAGGCTGGGCATGGTGGCTCACGCCTATAATCCCAGCACTTTGGGAGGCTGAGGCGGGTGGATCACCTGAGGTCAGCAGTTTGAGATCAGCCTGGCCAACACGGTGAAACCCCGTCCCTACTAAAAATACAAAAAATTAGCTTGGCATGGAGGCGCACACCTGTAGTCCCAGCTACTCAGGAGGCTGAGGCAGGGGAATCGCTCGAACCTGGGAGGTGGAGTTTGCAGTGAGCTGAGATCGCGCCATTGCACTCCAGCCTGGATGACAAGAGCAAAACTCCATCTCAGAAAAAAAAAAAAAATCATAATTACTATTAATTGGTGGAGGGGTGTACAATGGTGATATTGTAATTTTGTCTTTTGAAAAGTCCTTACTTTTCAAGCAGGACATGGTAGTGATACAGGAGTGAAGAAGAAGTTACTTAGGCAGATAGTGAGGGTAAGGGAGCCCTCATTAAGGTTTTCCTTTTTTTTTTTTCAGATGGAGTCTCGGTCTGCCACCCAGGCTGGAGTGCAGTGGCACAATCTTGGCTCACTGCAAGCTCCGTCTCCCGGGTTCACGCCACTCTCCTGCCTCAGCCTCCCCAGTAGCTGGGACTACAGGCGCCCACCACCACGCCCAGCTAATTTTTTTTTGTATTTTAGTAGAGATGGGGTTTCACTGTGTTAGCCAGGATGGAGGTTTTCCTTTTAATGAAAAGCAGCCTCAAATCATTTTCCTTTCTAACAAACAGCAGCCTGTAAAATGGAACTGCAGACACAGATGCTGGCAGTTATGTCAATCATGTTCAAGACAGAAGCTCCATCTTCCCTTCTCTTTGTCAGCCACATGTACAGTACAGTAAGGAGCAGACAAGATAGCACCAGCCAAGGGGACAGAAAGTTCCTTTGCATAATAAGATTAGGGTGGGGTGACCACCCTTCCTGTGCACTGTGGAAACATCATACCTGATCGAACCAATCTGTGAGCCCTATGTAAATCAGACACCGCCTCCTCAAAACTGACTAAAAAATCCAGCACATCTGCTGCCTGCCAGTCTTTTCCTCTTGGAAGTCCCCTCTCTCTTGCTAGAGACAGAGCTGTTTTCCTTTCTCTTACTTTTGCCTATTAAACCTCTGCTCAACTCTTGTGTGTCTGTGTCCTAAATTTTCCTGGTGCAAGATGACAAACCCCAGTTCCCCAGGCAATGTAGCTGCTTCAGTAGCCTGTGCCTGTAGCCCCAGCTACTTGGGAGGTTGAGGTGGGAGGATTACTTGACCAGGAATTTGAGACCAGCCTGGGCAACATGGTGAGACTCCATTTCAAAAAAAAATTTTTTTTTAAGAGATTAATGCTGAAATATTTACCTATGAAAAATATGGCAGCTTGGCTGGGCGCAGTGGCTCACGCCTGTAATCCCAGCACTTTGGGGAGGCTGAGGCGGGCAGATCACCTGAGGTCAGGAGTTCAAGACTAGCCTGGCCAATATGGCAAAACTCCGCCTCTACTAAAAATACAAAATTAGCTGGGCATGGTGGCACCTGCATGTATTCCTAGCTACTCTGGAGGGTGAGATATGAGAATTGCTTGAACCTGGAAGGCAGAGGTTGTAGTGAGCTAAGGTCGCACCACTGCACTCCAGTCTGGGAAACAGTGAGACTCTGTCTCAAAAAAACAAAAACAGGTCAGGCGCGGTGGCTCACACCTGTAATCCCAGCACTTTGGGAGGCCGAGGCAGGCGGATCACAAGGTCAGGAGATCCAGACTACCCTGGTTAACATGGTGAAAGCTCGTCTCTACCAAAAAATAAAAAAATTAGCCGGGCACGGTGGTGGGCGCCTGTAGTCCCAGCTACTTGGGAGGCTGAGGCAGGAGAATGGCGTGAACCCAGTAGGCAGAGCTTGCAGTGAGCTGAGATCGCGCCACTGCACTCCAGCCTGGGCGACAGAGCGAGACACCCTCTCAAAAAACAAAACAAAACAAAACAAAAACAAAAACCAAATAACACAAAAAATAACAAACATTCTATTTCAGGAGCTCCACGCACATTCTTTACAATATTTGAAACTAGTTATTAAAGTAATACACGCACATATTACAGAAGCATTTTTTATTTCTTTCTTCATTTGAGACAGTGTCTCACTCTGTCACCCAGGCTGGAGTGCAGTGGCACCATCTCAGCTCACTGCAACCTCCACCTCCTTAGTTCAAGCAATTCTCCTGCCGTAGCCTCCTGAGTAGCTGGGATTATAGGCATGCACCACCACACCTGGCTAATTTTTGTGTTTTTAGTAGAGATGGGGTTTCACCATGTTGGTCAGGCTGGTCTGGAACTCCTGGCCTCAAGTGATCAGCCTGCCTCGGCCTCCCAAAGTGCTGGGATTACAGGACTTTGTTCCTTATGGATTACAGGACTTTGTTCCTTATTAACACAAAGTCTTTGTCTCCTTTTCCGGTGGCTGCCTACATGGGTGTGCCTTGTTTATTCAACTTGTTCCTAATGAGGGGCACTTAGGTTGTTTTCTACTCCCTGCAATTACCAACAATGCTGCCGTGAATAACTTGTTTAACAACTTTCCGTTAATCAAACATTGGAGTCTCACAATGACCCTCTAAGGTTATTTACCCAGGAGGAAACAGGCAAGGAGAGGTGCAGGTACTTGCTGGTGTTCCAACAGGTGGTGTGTCTTGGAGGAGCTGGCCCAGGCAGGCTAGTGCCAGGGCCTTTTTTTTTTTTTCTGAAACAGGGTCTCAACTCTCTTGCCCAGGCTGGAGTGCAGTGGTTCGATCATGGTTTAGCGCAGCCTCAGCCTCGCAAATGGCTGGCATCACCACACTCAACTAATTTTTTTTGTGTCTGTACTTTTTGTAGAGATGGGGTCTTGCCATGTTACCCAGGCTAGTCTTGAACTCCTGAGCTAAGCAATCCTCCCACCTCAGCCTTCCAAAGTACTAGCATTATAGTTGTGAACCACCATGCCCAGCCCACAGCGTTACTCTTTTTGTTTCTGTTCTTTGCTTTTTTTTTTGGGACGGAGTCTTGCTCTGTCCCCTAGGCTGCCATGCAGCGGTGTGATCTCGGCTACCGCAGCCTCAACCTCCCAGGTTCAAGCATTTCTCCTGCCTCCAAGTAAATGGACCTACAGGAGTGTGCCACCACTCCCAGCTAATTTTTGTGATTTTAGTAGAGACGGGGTTTCACCACGTTGGCCAGGCTGGTCTCAAACTGCTGACCTCAGGTCATCCCCCCGCCTCGGCCTCCCAAAGTGCTGGGATTACAGTTGTGAGCCACGGTGACCAGCCCAGAGCCTCACTCTTGACCACCGTGCTGTGCTGCCTCCATTCCAAGTGCAAAGGAGTGAAATGCTGGCTTAAAGAGCAGATGCGGTTTAAACTGAAATGTTATTGACAAATTGTCCTCCAGTGATATTCCAACAATTCAAGGTCCCCAAAACATGTAAGTGTCTCTTTCCTTATTTATTTGTAAAACAGGCCAGGCGCGGTGGCTGACGCCTGTAATCCCAGCACTTTGGGAGGCTGAGGTCAGGAGGCAGGTGGATCACCTGAGGTCAGGAGTTTGAGATCAGCCTGGCCAACATCCTGAAACCATCTCTACTAGAAACATAAACATTAGCCTGGTGTGGTGGCGTGTGCCTGTAATCCCAGCTGCTGGTGAGGCTGGGGTAGGAGAATCGCTTGAACCTGGGAGGTGGAGGTTGCAGTGAGCCAGAAAAAAAAAAAAAAGAAAGAAAAAATTAGCTGGGTAGGGTAATCCCAGCTACTCTGGAGGCTGAGGTAGGATAATCACTTGAACCTGGGAGGCAGAGGTTGCACTGAGCTGAGATTGCGCCATTGCACTCCAGCCTGGGCGACAGAGAAGGACTCTGTCTCAAAATAAAATAAATAAATAAATAAGTACATAAACTGTCAAAAATAAAAAAGAAAACCCTGAAATTAAAAAAAATTAACAAAAAATAAAAATAAAAAGTAAAAAAAAAAAAAAAAAATTAAAGTGTTCACCTTATATTCCCAGAGATTCTGGGGGGGCTTCACGCCTAATGCTTTGACACGTTCTAGCTCCATGAGGATGGCTCTCCTGTGGCTGCTGTTTTCTATGGTATAGGGCGTCTTGGAAAATTCTTCCTCTGTCAAAGTTAAAAGCAACCTGTAGAGGGGCAGGAGGAGATTTATTTTGCGATTATATACTGGAAGCAAACTCTCTACACTCAGAGTTCCATCTTACTAATATAAATATTGTAGGCTTGAGGTATGGTGAGACATTTCACATTTAACAACATCAAGAGCAGCAAATAATTGAATGCTTACTATTTACCAGTGACAATCTATAAATACTTTCATAAGTCATCACTGATCCATATAACAATTATTCAGGGTAGTGGCATTATGCTGCTTTTGTAGATCAGAAAACTCGCTTTGGCTGGGTGCAGTGGCTCATGCCTATAATCCCAGCTCTTTGGGAGGCTGAGGCAGGCAGATCACTTGAAATCAGGTGTTTAACACCAGCCCAGCCAACATGGTGAAACCACGTCTCTACTAAAAGTACAAAAATTAGCGTGCACCTGTAATCCCAGCTACTTGGGAGGCTGAGGCATGAGAATTGCCTGAACCTGGGAGGCGGAGGTTGCAGTGAGCTAAGATCTCGTCACTGCCCTCCAGCCTTCAGCCCAGGCAACAGAGTGAGACTCCATCTCAAAAAAAAAAAAAAAAAAAAAAAAAGGAAAACTCACTTAGAGAAATAAGGTGACTTTCCCAAGGCACTCCTAGGTCTGTTTTGTTCCTAAGCCTTTGATCTTTCAGTTATACGCTCTGACCTCTCACATATTACTCTATTTTTATTTATTTTTTTATATTACTCTATTTTTAAAACTGTGTGTATGTATAGGAAAAATTAGAAGGAAATCCAATAAAACATTACAACATTAAGAATAGTTCGCACTTTGGGAGGCCGAGGCGGGCAGATCACGAGGTCAGGAGATCAAGACCATCCTGGCTAACACGGTGAAACCCCGTCTCTACTGAAAATACAAAAAATTAGCCAGGTGTCGTGGCAGGCGCCTATAGTCCCAGCTACTCGGGAGGCTGAGGCAGAAGAATGGCGTGAACCCGGAAGGCGGAGCTTGCAGTGAGCCGAGATCACACTGTTGCACTCCAGCCTGGGTGACAGAGCAAGACTCCGCCTCAAAAAAAAAAAAAAAAAAAAAAAGTTCTTAGATGGGCACAGTGGCTCACACCTATAATCCCAGTACTTTGGTAGGCTGAGGCAGAAGAATCACTTGAGCCCAGGAGTTTGAGACCAGCCTGGGCAACACAGTGAGACCCTGTCTCTCCAGAAAAATTAGCCAGGCATGGTGGCATGCACCTGTCGTTTTAATTACTTGGGAGGCTGAGACAAGAGGATTGCTTGAGCCCAGGACTTTGAGGCTGTAGTGAGCTATGATACTGCTACTGCACTCTAGCCTTGGTGACAGAAAGAGACTCTGTCTCTTGAAGAAAAAAGAGTAGTTGTTTTAAGGTAGGGATTTAATTTAATAAAAATAATTGGAGATCCCGTATCTGCTTTCCTCATCAGAAAACACAAATTCTGGCTGGGGGCGGTGGCTCATGCCTGTAATCCAGCACTTTGGGAGGCTGAGGCACAGGTAGATCATCTGAGGTCAGGAGTTTGAGACCAGCCTGGCCAACGTGGTGAAACCTCGTCTCTACTAAAAATACAAATTAGGCGGGCATGGTGGCGTGTGCCTGTAATCCCAGCTACTCAGGAGGCTGAAGCAGGAGAATCGCTTGAACCCAGGAGGTGAAGGTTGCAGTGAGCCAAGATCACGCCACTGCACTCCAGCCTGGGCAACAAGAGTGAAACTGTCTCAAAAAAATAAAAATTAAATTAAAAAAAACACACACAAGAAAACACAAATTCCCCTCCACAGTGATTCATCCTTAAAAACATCACTGTAAGCTGGCCGGAGAGCTATTAACAGGCATATGCAACTACTGGTTGAGTGGTGTAAATTGATCGTCCTTTTATGGGTAATTTGGTGATGCTTATTAAATTTGTACAGATTTACTATCTTTGGCCCAGCAATTCCAGTTCCAGGAATTTGTCCTCTAGAAAGCTATGTAAAAATACATTGTACTAACTAGGTAGAGAAATTTTTATACCATAATTTTGCGGGAGGTGAATTTCTATATAAAGCTAATTAAAGTAGGAGCATGCCATTTCCTCAAAACAGAGTCAGTCAAGTGCTGAAAACTGAGTGGAGAGGAGAGAAAAAGTCACTGGAGTAGGAGGGGTGGCAGTCAGGCAGCCAGGCAGTGGGTGAAGTGGGTGTCTGAAACAAATGAATCAGGGAGAGAGGCTGCTCTTATCACTGTGTGATGTTATACGTAACACCCTTAGGGGGTGGATATAGATGTAAATATATATATACATGTATACATACAAACACATGTCTGTTTAGTACAATCATATTTTCAGTTTAAATTAAAAAAAACACATTTATATCTGTGTAAGTACTGAAACATCTGGAAAGGTGTCTAGCAAGATAAATTGTTTTCTGAAGAGTAGGATTACAAGAGTATGTCACTTTCAATATCACATAGTTATTATTTTTTTAAAAATAAAAATATATATTTGCCAGGTGTGGTGGCTCACACGTGTAATCCTAGCACTTTGGGAGGCCGAGGTGGGTGGATCACCAGAGGTCAGGAGTTTCAGACCAGCCTGGTCAACATGGCGAAACCCCATCTCTACTAAAAATACAAAAATTAGCCACGCATGATGGCAGGCGCCTATAATCCTAGCTACTCGGGAAGCTGAGGCAGGAGGATCACCCAAAACTGGGAGGTGGAGGTTGCAGTGAGCTGAGATCGCTGCCACTGCACTCCAGCCTGGGAGACAGAGTAAGACTCCATCTCAAAAAAAAAAATAAAAATATATATTAATGTGGTGTTACATATTGGCTTTCGTCCATAGTTCCCGGCTCATAGCTGCTGTATCCCTTATTCCAATCTGTGTTAGAATGTTGGAGGCCTAGCACGGTGGCTCACGCCTATAATTCCAGCACTTTGGGAGGCCAAGGCGGTGGATCACCTGAGGTCAGTAGTTCAACACCAGCCTGGTCAACATGGTAAAACCCCATCTCTACTAAAAATACAAAAATTAGCCGGGCGTGGTGGCAGGCACTTGCAGTGCCAGCTACTCGGGAGGCTGAGGCAGGAGAATCGCTTGAACCCAGGAGGCGGAGGTTGCAGTGAGCCAGGATCACACCACTACACTCCAGCCTGAAGGACAGAGCGAGACTCCATCTAAAAAAAAAAAAAAAAAAAAAAAAATTGGGCATGTCAGGCCTCAGTACAGGCATCTGACCTCCTGCTCTCCTTTCACTCTAATCTTTTCCTACCTTTCTGATTGTGGGTCTTAAGAATCTTCCATGAGGAGGGTGCGGGGGCTCATGCCTATAATCACAACATTTTGGGAAGCTCAGGCGGGTGGATTGTTTGAGTCCAGGAGTTCAAGATCAGACTGGGCGACATGGCAAAACCCTGTCTCTATTAAAAATACAAAAATTAGCTGGGCCTGATGGCATGTGCCTGCAGTCCCAGCTACTTGGGAGGCTGAGGTAGGACTCCTTGAGCCCTAAACACAGAGATTGCAGTTGAGTTGAGGTTGTGCCACTGCACTCCAGCCTGGGCTACAGAGTGAGACCCTGTCTGAAAAAACAAAAACAAAAACACAATACTCCAGGGGACAGGATTCAGTGAGCTTCTGGATAGCTGAGCATGTGAGGTTCCTGGAGGGGAGTGCACCCGTGGAGAGCATGGAAGCTCTGTGCCCCTTCCCCCATACCTTGCCCTAAGTGTCTCTTTATCTGTATCTTTTGCAATATCCTTTATAATAAACCAGTGAAAGTACGTGTTTCCTTGAGTTCTGTGAGCTGCTCCAGCAAATTAATTGAACCCAAAGAGGGAATCATGGGAACCCCAACTTGAAGCTGGTGGGTCAGAAATTCTGGAAGCCTGGATTTCTGACTAGAATTAGTCAGGGGCAGTCTTGGGGACAGAGCCCTCACCCTGTGGGATCTCACACTATCTCTGGGTAGACAGTGTGGGAACTGAATTAGAGGACATCCAGCTGGTGTCTCCTGCTGGGTGTGTGCAGGAGAACCCCACATATTTGGTCACAAAAGTCTTCTGTGTTGATTCTTGTGATTAGAGAGAATTTTTCCTTACACAATTTGATAATCCGGAAGCAACAAAGAAATTTAAATGTCATGGACATTAAACGGTGTAGCTGCTGTGGAAAATAGTTTGACAGTTAAACATAGAGTCTGAATAGAGTTACCATATGACTCAGTCATTCCACTCCAAGACAGTATTGAAAATACATGTTCATGCAAGAATCTGCACATGAACGATCATAGCATCATTATTCATAATAGCCAAAAAATGGAATCAGCCCAAATGTCCATCAACCAATGAATGGATAAACAAAATACGGTATACTCTTACAGTAGAATTATTACTCAGCCATAAAACGGAATGAAGTACTGATACATGTTATGTCACGGGTAAACCTTGAAAAAGATTATGCTAAGTGAAAAAGCCAGACACAAAATACCACGCATTGTATGAATCCATTTATATCAAACGTCCAGAATAGACAAATCCATAAAGACAGAAAGTAGAATGGTGTTTGCCAGGGGCTGGGGGTTGGGGAGAAATGAGGATTGACTGAAGGGTAAAAGCTTTCTTTTAGGGTGATGAAAATGTTCTAAAACCAGCTGTGGTGATAATCACACTATTTGTGAACACATTAAAAACCATGGATTGTGCACTTCAAACGTGTGAATTTTATGTAGATTACATCTCTCTCTCTCTCTTTTTGAGATGGAGTCTTGCCTTGTTGCCTAGGCTGGAGTGCAGTGGCATGATCTTGGCTCATTGTAACCTCCACCTCTTGGGTTCAAGTGATTCTCCTGTCTCAGCCTCCCGAATAGATGGGATTACAAGGTGTGCACTACCAAGCCTGGCCAATTTTTTTTTTTTGTATTTTTAGTAGAGATGGGGTTTCATCATATTGGTCAGGCTGGTCTGGAACTCCTGACCTCAAATGATCGATCCGCCTCGGCCTCCCAAAGTGCTGGGATCCAGGTGTGAGCCACCGCGCCTGGCCTGGATTATATCTCAAGAAAGCTGTTTTCTAAAATGTCCACGGTGTGTCAGAAGACTTTGCTCCTCACCTTCCATTTACTCGTTCAGATAAAAACCTTTCCCTGTAAAGAGATGCCCAAGGGCCCAGCTGCTCCAGCCAGAGGACAACTTCTTCCGCCGTCCATTTGGCCACAGCCTTGTGGACCAGGAGGTCGTGTTCAGATTCCCTGCTGCTCCAGTGATAGACGAGCAGGACCACCTGGGGAAAAGTGACAGGGACTTTAAACCATGGAGAGGCAGAGATGCCAGTTTCTAAATATGCGGGTGGGAGGTGGGGAAAGGAAGAGGCTGAGCTCACAGGGAATGATGCGGAGCCCGTACACAGAAGCAGGGCAACAAAAGCAGGGCAACGCCACGGCCACAGAGAACTGGGGACCACAGCTCTCCTCGGGTGCCTCTCTCTGCTGATTGCGTGGCAGTGAGGGCACAGAGGCGAGAAAAGGACTTATCTCAGGCACCTGGGAGCAGGTGGTGCCTTGACTCCATCAACTTGCTCAACATAACTGACTTGTGCCTTTTCTACTGGAAAAACATTTAGATTTTTTATGCACAGAACTTTAAAAGAAAATAGTCTCCACATTGGAAGTTAGTAAACTGGTGGGTTCTTAAGACTGTATTACCAAGGAGGTCCAGGCGTGGTGGCTCACGCCTATAATCCCAGCACTTGAGGAGTCTGAGGCGGGTGGATCACTTGAGGTCAGGAGTTCCAGACCAGCCTGGCCAACATGGTGAAACCCCATCTCTACTAATCACACAAAAATTAGCCTCTTGTAGTGGCGCATGCCTGTAATCCCAGCTACTTGGGAAGCTGAGGCAGAAGAATCACTTGAACTCGGGAGGTGGAGGTGGCAGTGAGCCGAGATCATGCCACCGCACTCTAGCCTAGGCAACAGGGCAAGACTTCATCTCAAAAAAAAAAAAAAAAAAAAAAAGAGCAAGAGATGTAATCCACATAAAATTCACACATTTGAAGTGCACACAATCCACGGTTTTTAATGTGTTCACAAATATGTGTCATCATCACCACAGCTGGTTTTAGTTCATTTTCACCACCCTAAAAGAAAGTTTTTACCTAGATCGCACCACTGCACTCCAGCCTGGGCGACAGAGCAAGAGTCCGTCTCAAAAACAAAACAAAACAAAAAAAGATTGTATTACCAAGGCAGACATGGTCTTGAATTCCAGTTCTACCACCTTTCTCCATTTACTAGGTACTATGATCTGATCTACCTGAGTAAGCAACATTCCTGAGGAAATCATAGAACCCAGCAGATTTCAATGTACGTAGTAAATTACATGGAGTCACATCATCAATTATTTCAGTGATTTCAACAGAACTGACTTCAGTGGAAATCAGGGGTCGGGGGGTGAGGTGTGGGGGGGCACAGAGGAACACAGTGATCAACTTACTGCCACTCCAGTTAAAGCTGTGAGCACACCGGAAAAGAATCCCCCTCCCATCTGCTGATTCGCTCGGCCTGTGTTAGGAGCTAAAGGAATCTGATCATTCCCATATTTCTGAAAGGCTGCAAGACTTTGGACTATGTCATTATTCTGCTGAATGTCTTCAAATCTCAGTCTAATGGCATCAGGAAATAACTTTTCAATGGCATCCCTATGGAGAATAGAAAAAAAAAATTAAGACAGTTGTTTGACTAAATATCATGTTTAGAGGCCAAAAAAGCCCTGATAGTCAACATCTAATAATATATAGCTACCCTAGGAGAACTGACAAGAAATGTATTATAGTCCTGTGGGTAAAAGCAAAAAATCTGAAATAATCTATTAGGTTGTTTACCATTACTTTCTCCTTTTGTTTTTTTGAGACGGAGTCTTACTCTGTCGCCCAGGCTGGAGTGCAATGGCGTGATCTTGGCTCACCGGTGCACACCACCATACCCGGATAACTTTTTTTTTGTATTTTTAGTAGAGATAGGGTTTCACTATGTTGCCCAGGCTGGTATTGAACTCCTGAGCTCAGGCAATCTGCCCACCGGGGCCTCCCAAAGTGCTAAGATTAGAGGCATGAGCCACTGCACCCAGCCTACCATTACTTTCAATGGTAAAAACTGCAATTACTTGTGCACCAACCTGATGATATACATTTACTACTAGGTAAAAGGCTAAATGAAATATGGTATATTCATACAATGAAGTATCACAATTTTAAATGCATTTGCTGGATCACTAAATGTGTCAAGGTGGAGAAATTTAAGACGTACATAATTGATTTAAAATAGTAAACTGCAGAACCATGCAGAGAGCACATCAATGATGTGAGAAAATACTTGCATTTTCTATTGGCACTTGTTTTTTTTTTTTTTTGAGACAAGAGTCTTGCTCTGTCACCCAGGCTGGAGTGTAATGTCATGATCTCAGCTTACCGCAACCTCCGTGTCCTTCAAGTGATTCTCATGTCTCAGCCTCCTGAGTAGCTGGGATTATGGGCATGCGCCATTACACCAGGCTAATTTTTGTATTTTTGGTCATGTTGGCTAGGCTGGTCTTGAATTCCTGGCCTCATGAGATCCGCCTGCCTCGGTCCTCCCAAGGTACTGGGATTACAGGCATGAGCCACCGCACCCAGCCTGGCACATGTATGTTTAGAAGTATTTTTAAGCCGGGCGTGGTGGCTCACGCCTGTAATCCCAGCACTTTGGGAGGCCGAGGTGGGCAGATCACTTAAGGTCAGGAGTTCCAGACCAGCCTGGCCAACATGGTAAAACCCTGTTTCTACTAAAAATACAAAAATCAACCGGGTGTGGTGGTGGGCGCCTGTAATCCCAGCTACTTGGGAGGCTGAGGCAGGAGAATCGCTTGAACCTGGGAGGAGGAGGTTGCAGTGAGCTGAGATCGCACCATTGCACTCCAGCCTGGGCAACAGAGCGAGACTCTGTCTCAAAAAAGAGTATTTTGAAAAATCTGAGGCTGGGTGTAGTGGCTCACGCCTGTAATCTCAGCACTGTGGGATGCTGAGGCAGGAGGTTCACTTGAGCTCAGCAGTTGGAGACCAGCCTGGGCAACATAGTGAGACCTGATCGCTACTAAAAAGTTAAAAAAAAGTATTTAAAAAAATCTGAACAAAAGCACAACTAAGTCATAACTGAAATTATTCTAAGGAAAAAGGAAAGGATTCTAAGATGGGAAAATAAGGGGTCAAAAGGATCTTTAGTTTTATCAGTAATTTTCCAATATTTTAAAAAGAGGCTGGGCGCGGGGGCTCATGCCTGTAATCCCAGCACTTTGGGAGGCTGAGGCGGGCGGATCACCTGAGGTCGGGAGTATGAGACCAGCCTGACCAACATGGAGAAACTCTGTCTCTACGAAAAATACAAAATTAGCCAGGCATGGTGGCACATGCCTGTAATCCCAGCTACTTGGGAGGCTGAGGCAGGAGAATCACTTGAACCTGGGAGGCGGAGGTTGCAGTGAGCCGAGATTTTGCCAATGCACTCCAGCCCGGGCAACAAGGGTGAAGCTCCATCTTAAAAAAAAAAAATTTTAGCTGGGCATTTGGCCAGGCACAGTGGCTCACGCCTGTAATCCCAGCACTTTGGGAGGCCAAGACGGGCGGATCACTAAAGGTCAGGAGTTCGAGACCAGCCTGGCCAAAACTGTGAAACCCCGTCTCTACTGAAAATACAAACATTCACCAGGCACGGTGGCTCACGCCTATAATCCCAGCACTTTGGGAGGCCAAGGTGGGCGGATCATCTGAGGTAAGGAGTTTGAGACTAGCCTCATCAACATGGGGAAACCCCGTCTCTACTAAAAATACAAAATTAGCCGGGCGTGGTGGCAGTTGCCTGTAATCCCAGCTATTAGGGAAGCTGAGGCAGGAGAAAACTGCTTGAACCTGAGAGGGAGAGGTTGTGGTAAGTCGAGATCACGCCATTGCACTCCAGCCTAGGAAACAAGAGTGAAACTCCGTCTCAAAAAACAAAAAACAAACAAAAAAACCCAAAAATTAGCTGGGCGTGGTAGCAGGCTCCTGTAATCCCAGCTACTCCAGAGGCTGAGGCAGGAGAATCACTTGAACCTAGGAGGTGGAGGTTGCAGTGAGCCAAGGTCGTACCACTGCACTCCAGCCTGAGCGACAGAGTGAGACTTTGTCTCAAAGAATATAAACAATGAATGTATGTATGTGTGTGTATGTGTGTGTATATATATGTATCTTATGTTATTAAAATCAGTTTATAAGAAGGGAAAAAAGCAAAATTCAGTAATAAGACCAACTGTCAGCTTAAATTGTAGGGCTCTTTTTAAATGTTCAGTTATACACAAAGAACCCTCCTTTAATTTAAGATTAAATTTAACCTTCAGCTAAATCAAGACTGACAGGTAAGAGCAAAGTGTAAACACATCTTTTGTGAAAAAGAAAAGGTTGGGTTCATGGAACTTTCTAGTACTCTGTTGAAATCAAGAAGGGCACACACATTGTTAGACAATAGAAGAGGGGAAGAGGATTTAAGCCTCAGAGCCTTCACAGGTACATTATGAGCCAAAGAAGCAGAAAATAACAAGCTATCTGAAAGGTGGCTTTGGCACTGTGATGCTACACATGAGAAACTCTATTAATGTGATAACTGGAACTGGGGTTATCTAAAGATTATTAAAATCAGCAACAAACCAGTTATTCACAATTATACAGTTATACCATTTGCTTTCTTTCTTTCTTTCTTTCTTTTTTTTTGAGACAGGGTCTTGCTCTGTTGCCCAGGCTGGAGTGTAGTGGTGTGAGCTCATTGCAGCCTCGACCTCCCAGGCTCAAGCAATCCTCCCACCTCAGCCACTGGCATAGCTGGGACTATAGGCATGTACCACCACACCTGGCTAATTTTTAAAACTTTCTATAGAGATAAGGACTCACCGTGTTGCCCAGGATGCTTCTAAATTCCTGGTGTCAAGCAATGTTCCTACCTCAGCCTCTGAAAGTGTTGGGATTACAGGCGTGAGCCACTGGTCTGGCCTTTATATGACAGGATTACCAGCAACGGTCTGCTAACCAGACTTTCTTTCTTTCCTTCATTCATAATAAATAATTTAAAAAGTCATGGTCACCTATGAGGAAGAGAATCTGGATTTCCAGTTCCTTGAGCTCCCTGACTCATATTCCAGAAGATCCACCCCCAAGGAGGTGGGCTCCAAGTGTGCGACCTTTCAAACACTGCTGTTCCTGTTAAGAGAAAGCCCACTGGCTGGACATGGTGGCTCACACCTATAATCCCAGCACTTTGGGAGGCTGAAGTGGGAGGATCACTTGAGGTCAGGAGTTTGAGACCAGCCTGGGCAACATAGCGAGACGCCATCTCTGTTAAAAAAAAAAAAAAAAAAGCAAGAGAGAAACCACATTTTATGGGCTGTTTGTGCTACCAATATAGGCTGAACATTACCTGAGGAGAATACTGACTTTGGGGAAACCTTCCCATTTTTCTCTGCATTCTGGACATTCTGTTTTCTTTGAAGATGCCCACCATAAAGCAAGGCAGTGACGGCAGAAGCTGTGCCCACAGTTCAAGGTGGTGGGGTTAACCAGGATGTCGTAGCAGCAGTGGCAAGAAAATTCACTAACAGAAATCTGAGGGCCGGTGCTTTTGAGAGGTTCATCTCTCTCAAGGTCCATTGTGTTCACATAGCTTTTCTGAGGTTCCTCCATCTCTTAGCAAATTCTGGGTTCCAGAGACATAAAAAATTTCAGACGTAGAAAACTGCTGCAAAACATCATTAATCTAGAAAAAAAAAACAGAGACAAAAATAAGGCAAATAGTAGTTGTTTGAAGAGCAGTTAATATAAAAGTATTGACATTCTATTGAAGCGCTAATTTTTTTTTTTTTTTTTTGAGACACAGTCTTGCTCTCTGGCCCAGGATGGAGTGCAGTGGCGTGATCTCAGCTCACTGCAACCTCCACCTCCCAGGTTCAAGCAATTCTCCTGCCTCAGCCTCCCCAGTAGCTGGGACTACAGGTGCAACCCACCATACCCAGCTAATTTTTCATATTTTTTTAGCAGAGACGGGGTTTCACCGTGTTAGCCAAGATGGTCTCGATCTCCTGACCTCGTGATCTGCCTGCCTTGGCCTCCCAAAGTGCTGAGATTACAGGCATGAGCCACTGTGCCCAGCCTGATTTTTTTTTTTTTTTGGTGGGGGTGGGGGAGGCTTTCTGATAAAGACCAGAAAACCTTCTAGACAAATTGTAAAGGAGTTGTAATACTAAAGCTCTAATTTTAATTAATTAATTAATTCATTCTCAACAAGGCTGGAGTCCAGTGGCGCAATCACAGCTCACTGCCGCCTCAACTTCCCAGGCTCAGGTAGGTGATCCTCCACCTCACCCTCCTGAGTAGCTGGGACTACAGGTGTGCACTACTATGCCCGGGTAATTTTTTGTATTTTTAGTAGAGATGCAGTTTCGCCACATTGCCCAGGCTGGAGCTCTAATTTTTTAAAGTGACAAATTTGATTTATTAAAATCCACATACCATAAACCACATAATCAGCATTCAATTTCTTTCTGGCCTATTTGTTATACTTTTCAAATGTAGTAAAGCAAAATAATATGTGTAGTGGAAGGTTCCATAGACTCGAAGGATGTGGGCAGAGATTTCTGGATCATTCTCCTTCACTAACTTCCTTAGAAAATGAAATTTCCCTGATCTCAGTGTTCTCAATTAAATTTCCTTTTTTTTTTTTTGAGACGAAGTCTCACTCTATCAGCCAGGCTGGAGTGCGGTGGTGTGATCTTGGCTCACGTCAACCTCTGCCTGCCAGGTTCAAGCAATTCTGCCTTGGCCTCCCAAGTAGCTGGGATTACAGGTGCGTGCCATTGGGCCCAGCTAATTTTTGTATTTTTAGTAGAGACGGGTTTTCGCCATGTTGGCCAGGCTGGTCTTGAACTCCTGACCTCAGGTGATCCACCCTCTTCAGCCTCCCAAAGTGCTGGGATTACAGGTATGAGCCACCACATCTGGCTTTAATTTTTGTATTTTTAGTAGAGGTGGGTTTTCACCATGTTGGCCAGGCTGGTCTCGAACTCCTGAACTCGAGTGATCTGCCAGTCTTGGCCTATCAAAGTGCTGGGATTACAGGTGTGAGCTACTATGCCTGGCCTCAATTAAATTCCCAAAGACCTTTCCAGGTCTATGACTTTAAATAAACCAGCTTCTTGGCCTAGTAAAATGTCTGGGGTTGGTAACAACAGATATGCTTCCTGTAAATAACACTTGTTGTGCACACAAATCTGCCTTCTCATTAGGCAATCATTATTTTATAAACATTTGACTTCAGAGGCTCTAATGCGAGCAATTCCAAGAAGTGAGTGAAGCCTCATTTTCTAGCTGTGCCAGGCCAAATCTGCCATGGCTCAATATACCCTTTCCCTCCAAATCAACCCAAAAAATGCATCTCATGCCCTCTGGATCCAGCCAGCTTGGTGCCACAGAAATGCTAATATTACTAATAAGCAAATGACAAAAGGTAAGCAAATGACAAAGGACCATTCTCTTCTTGTTTTCATCTGGGTTTTAGGAGACATTTTTAAAAATTTTTTTAAATTGAGAAGTAGTATGACACAGATCTTGGAGTTGGACTCTTAACTCCCCCAAGTCACTAGCTCTGTGACTCTGCAGAAGTTACTCAAGCTCTCTGATCAAGTTTCCTCAACTGTGAAATGGTGGTCACAGTACACAAACCATCAAGATTTCTTGTGAGGATTAGAGACAGTGAAGGAAAGTGGCTCAAAATTTGTATGGTGTAAATACGCGCTATAGAAATGATTATTCATACTATTTCTGGTGAGTTTCTCAATCTTGCTATTGTGAAGGAAAAGACTGAAAATTGCTCTCCGCCGCCCACACTGGCCATGCAGGGAAGGGCTCACGCTTCATGCTCTGGAGGCACAGTGGTTAGGAACACAGGTCCCATGGCTGGGCTGCCTGGGTTCTCACCCCACCTCTGCCATTTACCAGCGGTGAGGCTCAGCTTGCTCACCATATAGATGAGGGACAATGACAGCACTTAACCATAGTGGGAGTTTTGCAGCATTAAAGAAGAGAATTCGAGTCAAGTGCCTAGTACAGAGCCTGGCACATGGTAAGTCTACCATAAATGGTAACAATTCACTTGATTTTTATTTTATTTTAGTGATAGAGTTTTGCTCTTTTTGCCCAGGCTGGAGTGCAATAGCACAACCTGAGCTCACTGCAATCTCCACCTCCTGGGGTTCAAGCGATTCTCCTGCCTCAGCCTCCTAAGTAGCTGGGATTACAGGCAGGCACCACCACATCTGCTAATTTTGTATTTTTAGTCGAGATGGGGGTTTCACCATGTTGGTCAGGTTGGTCTTGAACTCCTGACCTCGGGCAATCTGCCTGCGTCAGCCTCCCAAAGTGCTGGGATTACAGGCGTGAGCCACCATGTCCGGCCTCTATAGTATACTTTTTTTTTTTTTTTTTGAGATGGAGTCTCACTCTGTCGCCCAGGCTGGAGTGCAGGGGCGCGATCTCCACTCACTGCAAGCTCCGCCTCCTGGGTTCACACCCTCCTGCACCAGCAATAATGCTGGTTATTAATTATTAACTAATTAATAATTAAAGGCCTCTTTGAGAAGGCCTCCACCTCCTAAGGATGTTTACAGTTGTTCTCTGCACATATGGCTAGCTGTCAGCAGCAGGCTGCAGGCGTTAGAAGCAGCTCTCAGCTACTCTTCTCTTCACTGTTTTCTCCATCTTGAAGGCTCCAAAGACAAGGGGGTAGGGGCAGGATTGCGGGGAGGAGAATCATTCTATTCCTACCCCTGGTGCTCCATTCATATGGATACACTTGTGTTTAGGAAATCATAACTGTTATTTACCCAGTTTAGTTGATCTTAGCCAAAAGGGCGAGAAGCAATAATTACTTAGTTCAAAAACGAATGGGAAGAATGACTGGGTTTGGAAAAATCTACAAAACAGCAAACAAACAAGTTTAAAACCATAGACTGAACACCTTAGAACTGAAGAGGACAGCAAAACCTCAGGAGTTCCCATAGGCACTGAGTCACTCTGAAGAGCTAAGGTTTCTGAATAAAAAGTTGGGTCTACAACTGGTATCTGGAGAGATGCCTCGGGAAGTCTGAATTCTGTGCCACGCTTGCGTTTGTGTATGGTACGTCCATGTTTCTAGAAGGCAGTCTATAGGGTTTATTAGGCTCTCAGAAGGGGCCAACTCCCAGAGGCGGTTAAGAGCTACTGCTGATCTACTGGGATAAGAGGGTGTTAATGTGCGACACACTTCTGCCTCTTGCAGTGGTTATAAGGAAGCAGGTGAGCCTCACCACGGTGACGCATCATTATTAACATCATCATCCATCTTCCGTGTCCTGGAACAGTCTCACCACCAGTAGCCACCGCCCTACCAGGGCAACACCTGGCCTGTAGGGAGGCTTTCCTTCACCTGGTGTTTTTTCTCCCTTTTCTAAGTTAAATGAGGTGCCAGCATTTACAAAAAAAAATCTGATATGACATAAAAATCTAGATTCCTGGCTTCTCTTGAAAAAAAACAAAAACAAAAACCCAGAGATCTGGCAATACTGGAATCGCATCACGCATGACAAGATCAGCTCGAGCAGAGGAACTCAGCAGCCGTGCCAGCGTCAGCTTGCTACACTCCTCTCCCACCTGTCCATTTCAGTTCTGTTACCTGCCTGACCCCCGAGCTTTCATCCCCTGTCCCATAATGTGATGCCTTCTTCCAAGTGTACTAATGGGTATATATGGTTGTTTCTAGGCAGCTTGGCTTTAGGCTAGTTAGCTTTTGGAGTTCTGTCAGCTTCGAGCTTTCCTCTCTCTCTCTCTTCTTCTTTTTTTTTTTTTTGGAGCTAGGTCTCACTCTGTTGCCCAGGCTGGAATGCAGTGGTGAGATCATGGCTCACTGTAGCCTCGACCTCCCCAGGCTCAGGTGATCCTCCTGCCTCAGCCTCCTATGTAGCCTGGACTACAGGTGTGCGCCACCACACCTGGCTAATTTTCTGCAGAGATGGGATTTTGCCATGTTGCCCAGGCTGATCTCGAACTCCTAAACTCAAGCAATCTGCCTACCGCGACCTCCCAAAATGCTGGGGTTACAGGTTTGAGTCACTGTGCCTGACCAGAGCTTTCCTCTCTCTTGATTTCACGTCAGGTCGTTACTTATCATTGTTGGCACAACTGACAGGAAACCAATATCATAATCTCTGAGGATCTGGACAATTCCAAGATATATAATCAACATGACCTTCTCTATGTTTTCCTGAAGACATGCCTAACTGACAAAGTATAATTATCTTTAAATCCCTAAAAGAAAAGGAAAGACTGGGAACACACACAATCTCCCAATGATGCATGTAACTAAAGAACTTGTTTCTGGCCTGGCGTGGTGGCTCACGCCTGTAATCCTAGCACTTTAGGAGGCTCTGTCTACCAAAATGGAGGTGGGCGGATCACCTGAGGTTAGGAATTCGAGACAAGCCTGGTCAACGTGGTGAAACTCCATCTCTACCAAAAATACAAAAATTAGCCGGGCATGGTGGTGCACAACTGTAATCCCAGCTACTCAGGAGGTTGAGGCAGGATAATCATTTGCACCCAGGACGTGGAGGATGCAGTGATACAAGATTGCACCACTGCACTCCAGCCTGGGTGACACAGCGAGACTCTGTCTGAAAAAAAAAAAAGAACTTATTTCTTAGTTCTGGGGTGCTGGGATGAACGTGGCTATTCTTCCCTGGACTTTGGGAGGCTGAGGCGGGTGGACTGCTTGATTCCAGGAGTTGGAGACCAGCCTACCAGCCTGCCAGCCTGGGCAACATGGTGAAACCCGGTCTCTACAAAGGAACTTGTTTTTCTGAGTTGGTGAATTTGAATGATCATCTATGGATCTATCCAGAGGGCTATTCTCCAGGAGGCAGTGGCACCCTGTTTGCTTCTTTAGCTGTCCAATTAACACTTAGGAAAGTCAATTAATACAATCATTCTTACTGCGTTTATTAAAGAGAAATCATTAATTCTGAGTTTAAGAATTTTTCTTTTTTTTTTTTTCTTTTTGAGACAAGTCTTACTCTGTTGCCCAAGCTACAGTGCAGTGGTGCAATCTCGGCTCACTGCAACCTCCGCCTCCTGGATTCAAGCAATTCTCATGCCTCAGCCTCCTGAGTAGCTGGGATTACAGGCGCCCAGCACCATGCCTGGCTAATTTTTGTATTTTTAATAGAGATGGGGTTTGCCACGTTGGCCAGACTGGTTTCAAACTCCTGACCTCACGTGATCCACCCATCTTGGCCTCCCAAAGTGTTGGGATTACAGGCGTGAGCCACTGCACCCAGGCTAAGAATTTTTATACCCTTACTTATAAAGATCTTGTGATGTAATGATTGTTAACTCTTTAGAAATTGTAATCTTTATCCAGAATCACAGGGAAAATAAAGAAATCGTAATTTTTAAACCACTTGGTTCAGCAGTATATGATCATGGTTGCACCCCTTCACTCAACATACATTTATTATGACCATTGTATATGGCTAATATTTTAAGAATGATCCTTTTAAGGGCTACTTTATTGGAAGTCCAGCCTGAAAAATATGATTTCAATCATTTCTTCTTTTTTAGAGACAGGGTCTCACTCTGTTGCCCAGGCCTGGAGGGCAGTGGTGCAATCATGGATCACTGTGGGCTTGAACTTTCGGGCTCCAGTGATCCTCCCACCTCAGCCTCCCAAGTAGCTGGGACCATAGGCATGTGCCACCACACCCAGCTAATTAAAATTTTTTTTGTATAGACAGGGTCTTGTTAAGTTGTCCATGATGGTCTCGAGTTCCTGGGCTCAAGCAATCATCTGGTCTCAGCTTCCCAAAGGGCTGGGATTATGGCATGAGCCCAGCTGACCTCAATTGTTTCTCAGCAAGAAGGTTCAGTGTAAGAATAGAAAGATTTTGGCTTCCATGGGCCTCTGGTTAGGCTAAATTCTCTCGTTATATATTAACTGACAATAGATGACTTCTTTACTTCGCAATGATTGCCTGTATTTATCACCTTATTTTTCCAGGGTACAAACTGAAAAAAAAAATCAAAGAGAGAAATTAAACTTCTCTAGCAGCAGGGAAAATACAGCATTGGAAATAAAATACATTGCAGGAAAAAAAAATGACTTTTTTTTTTTTTCTGAGATGGAGTCTTGCTCTGTCACCCAGGCTGGAGTGCAGTGGCACAATTTTGGCTCACCTCAACCTCTGCCTCCTGTGTTCAAGCGATTCTCCTGCCTCAGCCTCCCGAGTAGCTGGGATTACAAGCAGGCGCCACCATGCCTGGCTAAATTTTTCGTAGAGATGGGGTTTCACCATGTTGGCCAGGCTGGTCTCAAACTCCTGACCTCAGGTGATCTGCCTGCCGTGGCCTCTCAAAGTGCTGGGATTTACAGGCGTGAGCCATTGCACCCCGCGACAATTATTAATATTTACGGAGGCCTTATAATATTAAGGACATAACAATCATATGGAATAAGCATTACTACCATGTTCATTTTACAGATGAGAAAATGGAGTTCTAACTAGTAAAGGGCAGAGCCATGTTTTAAATCATGGTCTGGTCCCTGGTTGGAAACCAGGCGGAAACACCAAAAGAAAAAAAAAAATCATGGTCTGACTTAAAGCCTGTCTTCCTAATACGCCATTATCCTGATAAAGTAATCAATAACGGTTATTAGTTCAAAGGACTGATTTACTCCTTTATCATCTAGGCCACATCATAGAGATGCTACTGCACAGCTGAGAAAAACAAACTAGCATTTGACCACACAGCATTTTGGAACATGAACTCTAGCTGGTAGCTGTTAGGGTGACTATGCAGAGACATTTACAATAGAAATAGGGGTAGGAATGGGTGGGGGTGGGGGGAAAAGAAAGAGAGATCAGATTGTTACTGTGTCTGTATAGAAAGAGATAGACATAGGAGACTCCATTTTGTTCTGTACTAAGAAAAATTCTTCTGCCTTGAGATGCTGTTAATCTATAACCTTACCCCCAACCCCGTGCTCTCTGAAACACGTGCTGTGTCAACTCAGGGTTAAATGGATTACGGGCGGTACAAGATGTGCTTTGTTAAACAGATGCTTGAAGGCAGCATACTCCTTAAGAGTCATCACCACTCCCTAATCTCAAGTACCCAGGGACGCAAACACTGCGGAAGCCCGCAGGGACCTCTGCCTAGGAAAGCCAGGTATTGTCTAAGGTTTCTCCCCATGTGATAGTCTGAAATATGGCCTCTTGGGAAGGGAAAGACCTGACCGTCCCCCAGCCCGACACCCGTAAAGGGTCTGTGCTGAGGAGGATTAGCATAAGAGGAAGGCATGCCTCTTTGCAGTTGAGCCAAGAGGAAGGCATCTGTCTCCTGCCCGTCCCTGGGCAATGGAATGTCTTGGTATAAAACCCGATTGTATGTTCCATCTACTGAGATAGGGGAAAACCGCCTTAGGGCTGGAGGTGGGACATGCAGGCAACAATACCGCTCTGTAAGGCATTGAGATGTTTATGTGTATGCATATCTAAAGCACAGCATTTAATTCTTTACCTTGTCTATGATGCAGAGACCTTTGTTCACATGTTTATCTGCTGACCTTCTCTCCACTATTATCCTGACCCTGCCACATCCCCCTCTCTGAGAAACACCCAAGAATGATCAATAAATACTAAGGAAACTCAGAGGCTGGCGGGATCCTCCATATGCTGAACGCTGGTCTCCTGGGCCTCCTTATTTCTTTCTCTATACTTTGTGTCTTTTTCTTTTCCAAGTCTCTCGTTCCACCTAACGAGAAACACCCACAGGTGTGGAGGGGCAACCCACCCCTTCATGGGGGAAACCCCTATTTCTGACACTCCAGGTCCATTCCTGGAGACATCACTATAACTACCAGCAGAATACTACAGAAATTATTAAATATCTAGAGTGCACACCCATTTATAGTGACTACAAAATTAAAACGTGCTCAAATGTAAGCAAGGCAAGGTTCAGGAACCGCAAACAGAACAGACAAAAGCCGGCTCTCCCATTAACATAAGAGAAGCATTAGGCCGGGGCAGTGGCTCATGCCTGTAATCCCACCACTTTGGGAGGCCGAGGCGGGTGGATCAAGAGGTCAGGAGTTCGAGACCAGCCTGGCCAATATGGTGAAACCCCGTATCTACTAAAAATATTAAAATTAGCTGGGTGTGGGACTCCATCTTAAAAAAAAAAAAAGAGAGAGAAGCATTTCCAGTCACTTACTGTATAAAACATTGAGTTTTCAAACTCCAACTAGATTTTTTTTCTGGACAGGGTCAGAAACCAGTGGAGCAAAGGTGACTAGCTCCTCTAGATGCTGACTTGCTGCCTAGACCTTAAAGCCCTGTGATTTATTGCCCTAGGTGGTGTAGGGTAAGACGAAGGCGGGCTGAGAAGGCTATCCTGGCTCTCGCTGGAGCCTGCCCTCTTTCATTTCTCGTGGCATATATGCAAGGACCTATCCTGTACTATACTCTGTAGATGTTCAGTAACTCAGCTATCAAAAACTATGGTTAGTTACCAAGTCAGTAACTCAGATAGCTATAAAAAACTATGGGTAGTTACCAAGTTACACGCACTTTAACTATTGGTTTTTGTTTGTTTTCAATCTTTTATGTCTTTGAGACTGAGTCTCACTCTGTCGCCCAGGCTGGAGTGCAGTGGCACAATCTCGGCTCACTGCAACATCTGCCTCCTGGGTTCCTGCGATTCTTGTTTCTCAGCCTCACAAGTAGCTGGAACTACAGGCGTCCACCACCATGCCCAGCTAATTTTTGTATTTTTAGTAGAGACAGGGTTTCACCATGTATCCCAAGCTGATCTTGAACACCTGAGCTCAAGCAATCTGCCCGCCTTGGCATCCCAAAGTGCAGGGATTACAGGAGTGAGCCACCGTGCCTGGCCTTGGACATTTTTCCTTATCCTCACATTGTTCCCTTCACCTGTAACACAACTTCACAACATCGCTGGGTCAAAAGTATCCAACTGGAAAGACCCAAATCAACTGTCACTTGAAAGTCTTTAATGACTAACTCCTCAACACCCAAATTAATCTTTCTTGTCTCTGTGCATTAGCATAACTTTTATTTGTGTACGTTTTCTCATCTCCTGGATTATAATTTCCTTAGGCTGGTAGAGTTGAAACAGTATGGTCTTAGGAGTGACACTGATCTGGGTTCCAAATCGCGTCACGATTTATTCTTCCTAAACTTCCTATTTCCCACTGATCCGTCTAGGATAATCATGTCAACTTCGAAGGGCTGTTGGGAGGTTTACTTTAAAAAAATTTTTTTAAGAGACAGCGTCTCCCTATGTTGCCTAGGTTGGTCTGGTCTCCTGGGCTCAAGGGATACTCCCACTTCTGCCTCCCAAACTGCTGGGATTACAGGCGTGAGCTGCGGAGCCCCGCCCTGCTGTGAGGTTTAGATGACAAACTATCTACAGGTACTCAAAGTTTGCTGTGTGGGGCTGATCGGCATTATTAACAGAATTATCAATAGCAGCATTTATTGAGTGATGGCTACCTACTTAGTGGCACTGCCAAACGCTGGAACCAAAAAGCAAACAAAAAGAACTGCCCTGGAGAAATACAATGTCTCCATCAAGTTTATGGATATAGGGAAATGCAGAGCACACCTGTCAGGATACACCCAGGCTGGATGTTGAGAAAACAGCAGCGACAAGAACAAACAAAACAACCCCATCAGCACGTGCAGTCCCTGCCGGCTCGGGGGTGTGTCCTGGGAAGAGAGTAAAGCTCTTTCCTATTGGCGATTTGGAGCATGACATCAAGACCACCCCCCTTGCAAAGGACCGACCAATGGGCTTCGGCGGGGAGGACCCAATGGCGACAGTTGAGGGCTTAACAGCGTCTAGGCTCTCACTCTGTTTTCCGCGGAAGCTGGGATGCTGCCTCCTGCCCCTCCAAAGGTCCCCGTTTAGACACAACCTGACTCTCATCTGTCGCCCCCTCCCGCCGGCTTTTTTAATAAAAGACAATTCTCGGCCGGGCGCGGTGGCTCACGCCTGTAATCTCCCCACTTTGGGAGGCCGAGGCGAGTGGGTCACTTGAGGCCAGGAGTTCGAGAACAGTCTGACCAACATGGTGAAACCCCGTCTCTACTAAAAATACAAAAATCAGCCGGGCGTGGTTACGCGGGCCCGTAATCCCAGCTACTCAGAAGGCTGAGGCAAGAGAATCGCTTGAACCTGGGAGGCGGAGGTTGCAGTGAGCCGAGATTGCTCCACCGCACTCCAGCCTGGGCGGCAGGGCAAGACTCCGTCTCTAAAAAGAAAAAAAAGAAAATTCTCTTTTGCCTAAGTTATTTCCGAGCCGCAAGTCGCAGAATCAGAAGAGCCGAGTTCTTGCCTGGCCCCAGTGTGACTTTGGGATTTCACTTTCTCCCTTCTGCGCTTCGGTCACCCTACTTTAAAGAATGGGCACAATCGCTCCGCCTTAGGCCAGGAACGTGCCTCGACAATTAGACCGTAAACTCAGCGTGGCGACTATCAGAAGCCTCATCAATTCTGGTCCGGCTGTTGCAGGGTGTGGCAAGCGCTCCTGGCGGGCAGGCGCCCCGTGGTTCCCCTCCAAGGTGTTTGGAAGCGACCCCTCCTCCTTCCCGCCCTAGGGAGCCCCAGGAGGGAGTGGCTCTGACCCTGACCCCCGAAAGGACGCAGGCGAGGCCCAGCGACCGGCTGTGCGGACGTGGGGCTCTCGGGAAGGGATAGCGCAGTTGGCCAAGCTGGGGTCCGAACCCCGCGGCCAGGAGTGGGGATGCTCAGGACTCGGGCCTGCGTGAGGAGAGGCCCCGCGCGCCTCCTACGACCCGGCTGGGGAGGCTCCGCAGAAGGGATTCCCGCTCCGTCTTCCACATCACTCCCCGATATCAAGCCCGAGTCGCCCCCTCAGCACCCCCCAGCCGTGTCGCGGCTTACCATTCCACTCGTCCCGGGCCAACCGGGCCATTATTCTCAGCACAGACCCCGCGGGAGCAGAGGAAGAGGGAGAGGCTTCGCTACCGGAAGTAACAAGACAGAGTGGGGGAAGCGTGCCCCGGCCCCGTGACCATAGAGGAGAGGCCGCTCTCCTTTCACAACCCCCCTCAACCCCGCGACCTCCCCGCTGCCTAGAGCGGCCACTCCCAGCCGGAGGAAGTGGGCGCATGCGTAATACCGCCGGTCCCGCCCCTTCCTCTTCACCCAGAGACCGAGTACCCGGGCTCGGCAGTCACAGCCCAAGGGGTGACGGGTGTGTGTCAGTTTCCGCTCCTCCTGGGCGGCTGTTCTTGTATCCGGAGGATACAAGCTTTGCCTAGAAATTAAAATATTACAAGGCCGCACCGTACTCTCTACAGTTATTTTTTGCCTTCACATTTTATGTAGAAAATCACAGGACTATACGTTCAATTTACGGTGTTAAGAATCGGAATTAAATGACTTTTATTTCTATTAAAATATTTTTTTTTTCGTAGAGATGGGGTCTCGCTGCGTTTTCCAGGCTGATCTTGAACATATGGCGTCAAGGGATCCTCCTGCCTCAGCCTTACAAAGTGCTGCGATTACAGGCGTGAGCCACCTCGTACAGCTTGAAATGGTTTTCTTATCACCACGTTTCGCCCCTTCCCAGCGTCTAGGTCACAGCGTCTAGAACTTATGCTGATTATTTGGTTTTGTTTTGTTGTTGTTGTTTGTTTTTGAGACAGAGTCTCACTCTCACCCGCCAGGCTGGCGTACAGTGGCACGATCTTGGCTCACTGCAACCTCCGCCTCCCGGGTTCAAGCGATTATCCCACCTCAGCCTCGTGAATAGTTGGGACTACGGGCGTGCACAACCACGCCTGGCTCATTTTAAAATTTCATTTTATTTTTATGGAGACAGGGTCTCGCTCTTTTCCCCAGGCTGGTCTGGAACTCCTGGGTTCAGGCGATTCTCCTGCCTCAGCCCCCGAAAACGCTGGGATTACAGGTGTGAGTCATGGCGCCAGGCCCCCATTAAACAGTTATTTATACAGATTTATTAATACGCTGCTTCCCAGTTCACATTCATTAGCACCACTGAGCCTCAATACAATCCCAGGAAATTGAGGTTTAGGAAGGTTTAATGCATTCCAGAACTAATAAGTGGCTGAGATAGATTTTGAAAATAGGTCTTCTAATCAACTTTCCTTTTGTTCGTTTGTTTGTTTTGGAGACGGAGTCTCGCTCTGTCGCCCAGGTTGGAGTGCAGTGGCACAATCTTGGCTCACTGCAACCTCCGCCTCCCGGGTTCAAGCAGTTCTCCTGCCTCAGCCTCCCGAGTAGCTGGGACTACAGGGGTGCGCCACCACGCCAGGCTAATTCTTTGTATTTTAGTAGAGATGGGGTTTCACCGTGTTGCCCAGGCTGGTCTCGAGCTCCTGGCCTCAAGCAATCCGCCTGCCTCGGCCTCCCAAAGTGCCAGGATCACAGGCGTGAGCCATCGCATCCGGCACTAACCAACTTTTCATAGTTGGCTTTTGTGAAAGACCAACCTGAATGTATTCATTCAACCCATGCTTATTGAGTGTCTACTACGTGTCAGCCCAGTGCTAGGCATTGGAGAACAGCAACCCCAAACCAACATACAATTCCATTAGGGCCGGGCCTCATATGTTGCACTCGACATAGTATTCCCAGAGGCTAATGCAGTAGCTAAGGGTCTCAGCTTTGCTTTCCGTGATCACCTAAGTAACAACCCCTATTATTCTTTTAATTTAATTTAATTTTTTTTTTGAAAACAAGTCTCGTTCTGTCACCCAGGCTGGAGTGCAGTGGCGTGATCTCGGTTCACAGCAACCTCCGCCTCCCAGGTTCAAGAGATTCTCCTGCCTCAGCTTCCCGAATAGCTGGGATTACAGGCGCGCACCACTGCACCCGGCTAATTTTTTGTATTTTTAATAGAGACAGGGTTTCACCATGTTGGCCAGGCTGCTCTTGAACTTCTGACCTCAGGTAATCCGCCCGCTTCTGCCTCCCAAATCGCTAGGATTACAGGCATGAGTCACCAAGCCCAGCCAATTTTTATATTTTTAGTAGAGACAGGGTTTCACTATGTTGGCCAGGCTGGTCTCGAACTCCTGATCTCGTGATCCGCCCGCCTCGGCCTTCCAAAGTGCTGGGATTACAGGCATAAGCCACCGGGTCCGGCCTAATTTTATTTTTTTAAGAGACAGGTCTCACTATGCTGTCCAGGCTGGTCTCGAACTCTTCAGTTCAACGGATCCTCCCGCCTCGGGTTCCCAAAGTGTTAGGCTTACAGGCGTGAGCCACCGCACCCGGATCCCATTATTCTCTATTACATCGCCCCGCTCTTTTTCTTAATAGCGATTTTCATGTGTTACCAAATGGCAAGTTTCACTCCTGCCTGAATTTCCCCTTACCCCAAGTTTAAGCTACAATGGGGCAGGGAGCACGTCTTCCTGTTCATCACTGTATCTCCACCCCTGTAAGAGTGGCTAGCATATCACAGAAACCCAGTCAGTATTTCCTGGTCGACTGGATGTCGAGACATGCACATTTTTTCTACTGAAGTGAAAGCCCGCACAAATTAGGCCACGCCTTGGGGACTTCGATAGCCACGCCCCTCCCCTGTCCCTATAAGGAGGGAAAGGAGCCCAGCCTTGGCCCCGCCCCCGCCGCCGCGCAGGCGCTGACGCAAGCGCAGCAGGCGCGCGCTGTTTCCGGAAGTCGCGGCCGGCGTCACCGCTGCGGCTGCCTCAGCTACTGCCGCAGTCGCCGCGGAATTCGGCGAGTAGAACCGCTGAGGCGGGCGCGGGCCCGGGTGGGGCCAAGGTTCCGGCCACTCTGCAGAATGGAGATAATCAGGAGCAGTGCGTGTCCGCCGTACACCTCCCCGCCTCCCCACACCCGGCTGCCCCTGGCCTGCTAGGCCGAGACCATGGCCGGCGTGTTTGGCTGGGCCTGGGGCTGAGGCAGCCCCTCAGGGCTTTTCCCTCCTTAAGCCGGTGCGCCTCTTGGGGTCTTTTCCGGCTGCGGACCGTGCACCCTAGGAGCCTTGTACTTACTCCTCCAACCCCGGCACCATCCGGGGCCTTGTCCTTCTCCGGGCCGGGCACCCCCCGGGGCTTGTCCCCCCTGACCCATGCACCCCTCGAGGACTTGATTCCCCTCGCCCCGGTGCACACCTCCGGGACTTTTCCCCTTCCGGCTCTCAGCCTCGGGAGCTCCTCGGCCCTCCTTCCCTCTCCCCTTAGCAGGAATTCAGGCCACTGGTTCTGAGCCTCTTTTCGGTTTCTCCGCAGATTTTAAGAGTAATCTTCACAAAGTGTACCAGGCCATAGAGGAGGCCGACTTCTTCGCCATCGATGGGGAGTTTTCAGGTATCCCTCCCTTGCAAGCTCAGGCTAGCACTTTGCAGTGCATAGCCAAGGCTCCTTCAATCCCCCAGCCCCCAACTTCTTATGCTTGGTGGTGGCCTCTTGCTGTTAGTAGCCTTGGGCGGGTTTCACAGGTCTCAGTGTTACCCTTTAAACGTTTCAAAAGCACGAAAGAAATGAAGATACGCCGTAGGTTTGTGATTGGACTCAGGATCTCAGATAGAGATGATGGTTTTGATGCTGCTTAAAACAGTGCGGCGTGTACATTGCAGAGAGCTTGAGGATTAGGGTCAGACTGTTTTTTTTCTTGATTGTAAAATAGGTATAACATGAAATTTGCCATTTTAAGTGGCTTTACAGTTAAGTGGCATTAAGTACATTCACATTGCTGTGCAAACATCACCATCCATCTCTAGGACTTCTTCATCTTCACAGTCTGAAACTCTTTACACATTAAACTCCCCATTTCTCCTTTCGCCCAGCCTTTAGCAACCGCCATTTGTCTCTGAATTTGACTGCCCTTAACATCTCATATAAGTGGAATCTTACAATATTTGCCCTTTTGTGACCGGCTAGGGTCAGGTTTTTGCAGATAAATGAGATATTTCTTTATGCATTAGTGGACGTGTTCATTGCCTGCCTCAACAGGTGTGTATACAGGAAATACTTCACTGACACTTAAAGTTGCAAATTTTTTTTCCCCTTTTTTAGGGGGAGCAAAGACTAGTTTTTAAATTGCTGATGTCAATATGAACGGTTCACTCCCTTTGATATGGATATCCATTTTTGCTGTCTGATTTTCCATGTTTGAATCATGAAGGAATCCATGCAGGGGTAAATAGTATCCTTGGCTTTAGGTAGTGTCTAGTTGGAATCACTTCCCTAGGAAGCTAAGAGTTTTCACTTAGAGAAATAATTTTCTCTTAATCTTGAAGATACATTCTTTGCATAGATATTAACCACTCCAAACTCTTGACCAAGACTGGAACTCTGGCAATAATATACTTAGGGATTTATTGATGTCTGTTTATACAGGAATCTTTTAAAGCAGCAAAACTTATTCAAGCATAGAGATTGTTTTCTTACATGATTACTGTGTTTTAAGTCATGTTTTAGACGCTGGAACTGCCTATTCTCATGTTGAAACATTCGCATCTCTAAGTTCATTATTAGAGGGTTTAACCTGGTGGCCACTGAAATTAATGCTTATTTTAAAAAAGTAAGTTAGGGAGTGCTTCCAAGTAACCTTAATTCGTGATACGACATTATAGAGGCACTGAATGATTGACTGGCATTTTTACGTTAGTATTTATTAGTAAGCTAAAAATTTTTATTTCTTAAAATCTAGGAATCAGTGATGGACCTTCAGTCTCTGCATTAACAAATGGTTTTGACACTCCAGAAGAGAGGTATCAGAAGCTTAAAAAGGCAAGTGGATGTGCTAGGAAATCTTTTTCTTTCTCATGTTAGTCTTCCTTATGTTAAATGATAAATATTGTTACTAAACTTGTGCATTAAGGTTTTGTAAGTGCAGTATTTTCTCCTCAAACCTAGCCATGAAGTGATTTTTTTTTTTGTTTTGTCTTGTTTTAGAGACAAGGTCTCGCTCTGTCACCCAGGCTGGGGTGCAGTGGCGTGATCACTGCTCTGTGGAGCCTTGAACTCCTGGCTCAACTGATTCTCCTGCCACAGCCTCCCAAGTAGTTGGGACTACAGGCGCAAGCCACTGTGCCCAGCCAATTATTATTATTTTTTTTAATTTTTACATATTCTTTTGTAGAGATCGGTCTCACTTTGTTGACCAGGCTGGTCTCGAACTTCTGGCGTCAAATGATCCTCCTGCTTTAGCCTCCCAAAGTGCTGGGATTACAGGTGTGAGCCACCACACCTGGCCTTAAAGTGTTATTTTAATGATATTTAAAACAGCAAAAATAATTGTTTGCTGGAAAATATTTTGGGGAAAGTTTAGCATTTTCAGTGTTAATTTGATTCATAGGAAATATGAGGCAGTTATTTTAATCATTTGGAAATAGACCTAATATGATTCTTTGGATGATGGATAAATAGGTCCTTAAATGGGAAAAGTATTATGAAATGTATACAAATTAATAATGCTTCTGATTCATATGTGTAATCTGTTCTAATTGGAAGTATTCTGCTGAAGTCTCATTGAGTAATTCAGAAAGCCCACCTGTTTGAGAATGCTATGCTCACATGGAATATGCAGCACTTTTGTGACAGATGTTTTATTTCCCTTTTCCAGCATTCCATGGACTTTTTGCTATTTCAGTTTGGCCTTTGCACTTTTAAGTATGACTACACAGATTCAAAGTAGGTTGTGTTAACAAACGTTGGGAATTCCGTTTTTGTGGCACAATGTCACCTCCTAAGTCTCCTTTTATCTTATCCCAGGTATATAACGAAGTCATTTAACTTCTATGTTTTCCCGAAACCCTTCAATAGATCCTCACCAGATGTCAAATTTGTTTGTCAGGTAAGTAGCATAATTGAGATTTTTCTTTTCTGAATTGCTGATGAGGCAGCATGGAAATGTGAAATCAGAATTTGGTTCTCTATTAACTTTGGGCTTTGGGGCAAATCATTTCACCTTTGACCTTCAGTTTTAGGGTAATAAATTCATGACCCTGTTATCTCCTCCTTTGCTGTAGAATGAATTAAGGAGGGCCAGGTACGGCGGCTCATGCCTATAATCCCAGCACTTTGGGAGGCCGGGGAGGGCGGATCATGAGGTCAGGAGATCGAGACCATCCTGGCTAACATGGTGAAACCCTGTCTCTACTAAAAATACAAAAAAAAAAATTTGCCGAGTGTGGTCATGGGTGCCTGTAATCCCAGCTACTTAGGGAGGCTGAGGCAGGAGAATGGCGTGAACCTGGGAGGTGGAGGTTGCAGTGAGCCGAGATCACGCCCCTGCACTCCAGCTTGGGCAACAGAGCGAGACTCTGGCTCAAAAAAAAAAAAAAGAATGAATTAAGGAATAAGATGCAGAGACAGACAGACAGATATGAGAACATGAGGTTTAGTAATTCTAAAGCTGAATTTGAGAACATAGTTTCGTAACTCCATTTGGGATTTTTATTATTTTACCCCCAAGTTGAACCACCTACACATCAAGACTTGCAGGCTTCTTGGCTGGATGTGGTGGTTTACACCTGTAATCCTAGCAGTTTTGGAGGCCAAGACGGGAGAATCACTTGAGCTCAGGAGTCTGAGACCAGCCTGGGCATAAAATAGTGAAACCTCATCTCTATTTTAAAATAAAAATTAAAATAAACAAAAGACTTGGAGGCTTCTCCCTATCCTCACTCATTCTCCTCGCATCCACTCTGAGGGTGTAGACCTTTATTTTCTGGAAAAGCAGAGTATGTGTGTATCCTATGCAAAAAGAGAAAGCGCAGAAGGGGTTCAAGTATTTATGCTGACTTCCTTTTCTCAAGCTCACTAATTAGGAAAGGGGGGTAGAAAAAAAAACTACTGTTTCTCTTGAGGAGAAGAGAGCTTAATTGATGGGTCAATATTAGGGAGGTTCTCCTTCAGGATATTCCCTCTAGAGGTGTTGTAGCTGACCTGGTAGACACTCAGTAAATATCACTGTTTCCTTTCTGCTCTTTTGATTATCTGTTGTAATGGATAAGGAGAATGTGAGTAAGGGGTATGGTTGTGTGGCTATGTGATTAAAGATAAGTCTTAATCTTTTCTCCCTTAAAATCTTGCATCCTATCTTCTCTCCCACTAAAAACATGAATTCATTTGAGTCTTGCCATCTTTCCCTTCTCTTGCAGATTAATGGTAATGCAGTTATGAAAGCCTCGAGGGTAGGCTTCAAGTGATTGAGTTATGTCAAATTCTTTCTCAAAACTGGCAGTATATAAACAAATGAAATCGAGAGTTAATCATATGCTTATGGGCAAAAGAGAAAAGGTGAAGGTTAAATTCTGGTCTTATAGACAGTTTCCTAAATTAGCAAGTAAACCAGTTGACATTTTACCTTTACCCTGCAATCAGTTAATAGCTATTTGTCAATCACCGTGGTATGGGATACTTAAAGAGTATTTATAAATTTTCTTTTCTTTTTTTTCTTGAGATGAAGTTTCGCTCTTCTTGTCCAGGCTAGAGTGTGATGGCATGATCTAGGCTCACTGTAACCTCTGCCTCCTGGGTGGAAGCGATTCTCCTGCCTCAGCCTCCCGAGTAGCTGGGATTACAGGCATGCACCAAGATGCTCAGCTAATTTTGTATTTTTGGTAGAGGTGAGGCTTCTCCATGTTGATCAGGCTGGTCTCGAACTCTCGACCCCAGGTGATCTGCCCGGCTTGGCCTCCCAAAGTGCTGAGCCACCGCACCCGGCCTTACAGTTTTGTTTTGTTTTGTTTTTTTTTTGGTAAATTTTCATTGAGGGAAAAGTAGGCTCAGTTGGGAAATTTGTGTGGATATAGTTTTCTAGCAGTACCAGCAACACAGAATTATTTAAAGTGGGTTCCATGGCTTTGGCCAGGGGTTAATCAAACAAAAGCAGAGGGTGGCAATGAGACACCTTGGGGATGGCACTTTGTTCTTTTTTTTTTGAGATGGAGTTTCGCTCTTGTTGCCCAGGCTAAAGCCCCGGGTTTAAGTGATTCTCCTGCGTCAGCCTCCTGAGTAGCTGTTATTACAGGCATGCACCATCACGCCGGCTTATTTTATATTTTTAGTAGAGATAGGGTTTTTCCATGTTGGTCAGGCTGGTCTTGAAATCCCGACCTCAGGTGATCCTCCCATCTTGGCCTCCCAAAGTGCTGGGATTACAGGCATGCACCACCACACCGGCTAATTTTATATTTTTAGTAGAGATGGGGTTTCTCCATGTCGGTCGGGCTGGTCTCAAACTCCTGACCTCAGGTGATCCTCCCACTTTGGCCTCCCAAAGTGCTAGGGTTACAGGCGTAAGCCACCACATCTGGCCGATGGCACTCTGTTCTAAACAACCAAGACAAAACTGGTTATTTTGAGAAATGTATTGGAAACAGATCAGAGGAACTTCACCCATTGTACAAACCATGATTGTACACCTGGAATACTTAATACAGTTGTAGTTGCCAGCCACTCCTTTAAAAAAAGCTATCATAGACTTGAAGATAGCCCAGAGAGTAATGTCTAAAACAGATGAATAAAAATGCCGGGATTCTCTAGTGTGGAAAAGCAAAGGCAGAGAAAAGGTTTAGACTCTAAATTTGGGAATTGTATGAAAAGGTTAATGTATTTTTGGATTTTCTTTGGTCTCTCATTTAAGGTTTTTGTTTTATTTAAAATTCTATAGTTGTAGCAGAGTTGCATACAAGGGCATTAGTTTCTGGAGTTATTAAGTAGGGTGAAAATTGGGTCAAAATCTCTCTCAGAAAGCTCTTATCACCCTTAAAGCATATAGGATTTGAGGATACAACAATTTAATATGTTCTTTAAAAAATAAGACCCTGTGTGCGCAGTGAGATGCTCCCATATGCTTGTCAAGATGTGGAGGAATGGGCTGACAGAACCACACTCACACCCAGAAGAGTGTGTTTGTAGAATAGTAGGGCAGTCAGCATAGCATGACATTTACATCATTTTTGTCTTCTCCTTTTTCTTTTCTTCCTCTTCCTTTTTCAGGCTGAAGATCTGTAGTTGAATTCATAGAAGGTATTTTATATATATGGTTGTGAAAAATTGAAGCATAACTGCTGTATGTAGAGTAACAGATGTGTTTCTTTTCTTTTTTTTTTTTTTGAGATGGAGCCTTACACTGTCGCCCAGGCTGGAGTGCAGTGGTGTGATTTCGGCTCACTGCAACCTCTGCCTCCTGGGTTCAAGCAATTCTCTTGTCTCAGCCTCCTGAGTATCTGGGACTACAGGCACCTGCCACCACGCCCTGCTAATTTTTGTATTTTTAATGGGGACAGCGTTTCACCATATTGGTCAGGCTGGTCTCAAACTCCTGACCTCAGGTGATCCACCCGCCTTGGCCTTCCAGTGTGCTGGGATTATAGACGTGAGCCATCGCGCCTGGCCAGATGTGTTTCTTTTTTTTTTCTTTTCTTTTTTTTTGTTTTTGAGATGGGGTTTTGCTCTGTTTCCAGGCTGGAGTGCAGTGGTGCGATCTTGGCTCACCACGACCTCCACCTCCTGGGTTCAAGCGATCCTCCTGCCTGAGCCTCTGGAGTGGCTGGGACTACAAACATGTGCTAACACGCCCAGCTAATTTTTGTATTTTTAGTAGAGACGGGGTTTCACCATGTTGGCCAGGATGGTCTCGATCTCTTGACCTCGTGATCTGCCCACCTCGGCCTCCCAAAGTGCTGGGATTACAGGTATTAGCCATGGTGCCTGGCTGTGTTTCCCTTCTTATATCCTTTTCCCATGCCACTTCCTTCCCATTTTACTCCTTTTTTCCTAGCTTTTATGTACATGTATACATATAGACATATGCCTAGACACACATACATATTAGCTTTTTTTTTTTTTTGGAGACAGAGTCTCTGTCACCAAGGCTAGAGTGCAGTGATGTTGTCATGGCTCACTGCAGCCTTGACCTCACCAGCTCAAGTGATCCTCCTGCCTTAGCCTCCTCAGTAGCTGGAACTACAGGCACATGCCACCATGCCCAGCTAATTTTTGTATTTTTTGTAGAGCCAAGGTTTTACCATGTTGCCTTGGCTCGTCTTGAACTCCTGGGCTCAAGCGATCTGCCCACTTTGGCTTCCCAAAGTGCTGGGATTACAAGCACGTACCACTGCGCCAGGCTTACATTGTAAAAAATGGGCCGGGTGTGGTGACTCACTCCTGTAATCCCAGCACTTTGGGAGGCCAAGTCGGGCGGATCACGAGGTCAGGAGATTAAGACCATCCTGGCTAACACGGTGAAACCCCGTCTCTACTAAAAATACAAAAAAAATTAGCCAGGCGTGGGGGCGGGCGCCTGTAGTCCCAGCTACTCGGGAGGCTGAGGCAGGAGAATGGTGTGAACCCGAGAGGCAGAGCTTGCACTGAGCCAAGATCGCGCCACTGCGCTCCAGCCTGGGTGACAGAGCGAGACTCCGTCTCAAATATATATATATGGAATCCTAATTTCACATTTTATGCAACTCGCACTTGCCACTCAGCAGAATGTCTTTTATTTCGTAGTATGGATACGTATAATTTGTTTGATCAGTTAATTGAAATTTGGAGGCTTTCCAGTGGTTATCAGCAATTCTATAGTCAACATCTGTGTTCAGTATATCTTTTTGTATGTGTAAGAATTTTTTTGTATTGTAGATTTCCTAGAAGGAGAGTTGTTGAGACATAGGATATATGCATTTAAAGTTTTGATGGATGTCTCAAATTGTCCTCCCAAATATCTGTTCTCATGTCTTGAATCTTTTTATTTTTTTTGAGACGGAGTCTCACTCTGTCACCCAGGCTGGAGTGCAGTGGCACTATCTTGGCTCACTGTAACCTCCACCTCCCGAGTTCAAGTGATTCTTCTGCCTCAGCCTCCCAAGTAGTTGGGTCTACAGATGCGTGCCACCATGCCTGGCTAATTTTTGTATTTTTAGTAGGGACAGAGTTTCACCATGTTGGCCAGTCTGGTCACGAATTCCTGACCTCAAGTGATCCACCCGCCTTGGCCTCCCAAAGTGCTGGAATTACAGGCGTGAGACACTGCTCCCAGCCTCATCTCTTCAATCTTGAACATGTTACATTTATGACAAATCAAAGGTAGTGGCTAGTAAACTCCAAAAGGTTTTGTTAGTTCAAAGGTTTTTTTTTTTTTTTTTGAGACGAAGCCCCTGTCGCCCAGGCTGGAGTGCAGTGGCACGATCTTGGCTCACTGCAAGCTCTGCCTCCCGTGTTCACGCCATTCTCCTGCCTCAGCCTCCCAAGTAGCTGGGACTACAGGCGCTGCCACCATGCCCAGCTAATTTTTTGTATTTTTAGTAGAGACAGGGTTTTCACCGTATTAGCCAGGATAGTCTTGATCTCTTGACCTCGTGATCTGCCTGCCTCGCCTCCCAAAGTGCTCGGATTACAGGCGTGAGCCACCGTGTCTGGCCAAGTTCAGAGGTTTTCTTAAAAATTGTGGTAAAATATATGTAACATAAATTTTACTATTCTAACCGTATTTAAATGTATAGCTCAGTGGCATTAAGTACATTGACACTATTGTACAACCCAAAGAGTGTTGTTTTGATTAGAAAATAAGCAGCTTCAGGAAAGGCATAGATGACTCTGACTTTGAATTCAGTGGGATAAAGGAAAGTAGGATGTTTTGGTGTCTAGTACTAGAAGGACAAAAATGCCTTCCACAGTTTGTGTTTCAGTGCCTTTGTCAGAGATGGAATGTTTAGGTGGGCAGAGTTATAAGAACACTCCAGCCATGGTAGACAGAAGCCCACAGACCAATCAAAATACATTGAGTCTTGGTTCTTGGTTCAGGACAGGATTAAAAAAGAAGTGGGGGTAGGGAAAGATTGCTTGTTGTAAAGTATAAAAGCCTGGACACGATGGAAGTGATTTGCATGTGCTTCTATTTGTTTGTGTGTTTTTCTGTGTTCAGATTGTCTTTTTATATCTCACCATTTCAAAACGATTTGTTTTGGTTATTAAAGATATATACGGTATTTACCTTTTAACATAAGATTAAAAAATTAGTAAATGAAAATTTGAAAGAAAAGAAAAATGATACAATCACTATGGTATGAATAGAACACAGAATTTGTGCCAAAGAAAGTGTAATTTGTTTGTCCCTGAGCTTCCTAGTAGCAAAGAAAAGAGGGAAACACAGTCATTCCGTGGTCCATAGGATTAGGACAATCCAGAACTCAGGATTAGTATAGCTTTCCCCAGAATAGAGACCTCAGAACATTTACCCTTGAATTATAAGTAAATGATTACTGTAGAAAACCTGATCTTCAATCACATCTCTGAAGTCAGTACTGTGATAAGTTTAATGGAACTGTTTGTTACCATGTCCTTCAATCTAGACTGATGGCATAATGTCAAAGTACAGTGCAGGAAAGGGACCAGATGAAAATGATTCAGATGTGTAGCCTGCTGATGTTCTGACTTGGCCAAGAATAAAATTAGAGTAGCTACAGTAATGCTTATTTCTTAAGTTCATTTGAGTATGAACTCCATAATTTTGCCGTGCTTGTGTTTCATCTATAGTATTGTTCACTTAATACAGTGTTTTTTGTTTTTTGTTTTTGAGATGGAGTCTCGCTCTGTCGCCCAGGCTGGAGTGCAGTGGCACAAACTCAGCTCACTGCAAGCTCCGCCTCCCTGGTTCACACCATTCTCCTGCCTCAGCCTCCCGAGTAGCTGGGACTACAGGTGCCCACTACCGCGCCTGGCTAATTTTTTGTATTTTTAGTAGAGACGGGGTTTCACCATGTTAGCCAGGGTGGTCTCGATCTCCTGACCTTGTAATCTGCCCGCCTGGGCCTCCCAAAGTGCTGGGATTACAGGCATGAGCCACTGTGCCCGGCCAGTGTTTTTTTTTTTTTTTTTTTTTTGAGACAGAGTCTTGCTCTGTCACCCAGGCTGGAGTGCAGTGGCATGATCTCGGCTCATGGCAACCTCTGCCTCCTGGGTTCACACCATTCTCCTGCCTCAGCCTGCTGAGTAGCTGGGATTACAGGCGTGCACCACCACGCCTGGCTAATTTTTGTATTTTTAGTAGAGACGGGGTTTCACCATGTTGGTCAGGCGGGTCTCGAACTCCTGACCTCTTGATCCGCCTGCCTCAGCCTCCGAAAGTGCTGGGATTACAGGCATGAGCCATCACACTCAACCTGTTTTTTGTTTTTTTTTTAAGAGGCAGAGACTTGTTCTGTCACCCACGCTGGAGTCCAGCGGTGTGATCACAGCTCACTGCAGACTTGAACTCCTGGGCTGAAATGATTTTCTGATTCTCCCACCTCAGCCTGTGGGATAGTTGGGACTACAGATGGGAACCACCACACCTGGCTAATTTTTAAATTTTTTGTAGAGATGGGTCTCCCTATGTTACTCAGGCTGGTCTCGAAGTCTTGGGCTCAAGCGATCCTCCCACCATCTCCTAAAGTGCTGGGATTACAGGTGTGAGCCACTGCACCCAGCCTAATATATACTTATTTTAAAATAATTTTATTATTATTATTTTTAATTGAAATGGGGTCTTGCCATGTTGCCCAGGCTGGTCACACAAACTCCTGGGCTCCAGCGATGCAACCACCTCAGCCTCCGGAAGTGCTGGGATTACAGGTGTGAGCCACCATGTCCAGCCCAGTCTAATGTTTTTATTTAAATCTGGGAACATATTTTGGCTCATGCTAGGTTCGAGATATATTTGTTTCGTAAGGCTTATTATTGGGAACTTTCCTTTTGATCTTTTTTGTTTTGAGGCAAGGTCTCACTTTGTCACTCAGGCTGGAGTGCAGTGGCATGATGGTAGCCCACTACAGCCTCAACCTCCTCACCTTCCATACTTAAGTGATCCTCCTACCTCAGCCCCTGGGTAGCTGGGACTGCAGGCATGTGCTACCATGCCTGGCTAATTTTTAAATTTTTTGTGGAGATAGGATCTCACTGTTTTGCCCAAGCTGGTCTTTAACTCCTGGGCTCAAGCGATCTTCCTCATTTGGCCTCCCTAAGTGCTAGGATTACAGGTGCGAGCCACCGTGCCTGGTTTCTCTTTTGATCTTCAACATTGAGAACATTTAATTAAGATTTTGGGCTTTCATTATCTAATTTGAGGTGGATGTCAGTGTCTTATAACCTGTGCATGTGCCTGTGTTAAACTTGAACCTGGGACAGGGTAATAAAATACATACTAGTTCTATTTATAGTTTCCTAGTCAGTACTGCAACAGTCAAGCGATCAGGAGCTTTCTGCCTATTGGGAGAATAATCCGTTCGCCCAGTGGAATATTTTTTTTTTTTTTTTTTGAGACAGTCTTGCTCTCTCGCCTGGGCTGGAGTGCAGTGGCTCTCTCGGCTCACTGCAACCTCCACCTCCCAAACTCAAGAAATTTTCCTGCCTCAGCCTCCTGAGTAACTGGGATTGCAGGTACACACCACCACACCTGGCTAATTTTTTTTTTTTTTTTTTGAGACAGAGTCTTGCTCTGTCACCCAGGCTGGAGTGCAGTGGCAGTGGCATGATCTCGGCTCACTGCAAGCTCCACCTCTCGGGTTCACGCCATTCTCCTGCCTCAGCCTCCCCAGCAGCTGGGACTAGAGGCACATGCTGCCTCGCCTGGCTAATTTATTTTTATTTTTAGTAGAGACGGAGTTTGACCATGTTAGCCAGGATGGTCTTGATCTCCCGACCTCGTGATCTACCCGCCTTGGCCTCCCAAAGTGCTGGGATTACAGGTGTCAGCCACCGCGCCTGGCACACCCGGCTAATTTTTGTATTTTTAGTAGAGACAGGGTTTCACCATGTTGACCAGGCTGTTCTCAAAGTTCTGACCTGCCGGTCTCGAACTTCTGACCTCAAGTGATGTGCCCACCTCTGCCTCCCAAAGTGCTGGGATTACAGGCATGAGCCACTGTGCCGGTCTACCCAGTAGATTTTTAAAAAATATTATGAAGTAGGCTGGATGTGGTGACTCACATCTGTAATCCCAGCACTTTGGGAGGCCGAGGCAGGAGGATTGCTTGAGTCCGGAAGTTTGAGACCAGCCTGGGCAACATAGTGAGACCCTGTCTATAAAAAAAAAATTGTGAAACAAAGGATGTTTGTTTTGTAAGCTATAAAGGAGAAGAGCCCAAATGTTTTAAGCAAGTTAATGGATTGTTTGTGGAGTAGAAATTCCTTGTATTGTGACCTCTGGCACATCGCTTCCTTCCCATATTGTCTTTGTTTTCTTGTTTGAGTTACTTCTCTGCATCTCTTTATATTCCTGCCGCTAACATCCCCAAAACATGTGTTCTGTTTACTCTGTTTCAGAGCTCCAGCATTGACTTTCTAGCAAGCCAGGGATTTGATTTTAATAAAGTTTTTCGAAATGGTAAGATTATGGGTAACCTATCTTTAGAGCTTATAAACCTTCAAAATATCCTTGGGAAGTAAGTCTGAACTTGGTTGAGAATTATTATTTTGTGCCTGCTGAGACACAGTCTTAGAGTTCCAGCATACATGTGCAGCCAGTACACATATGCAGCCTTAGAATTTTTAAAAACTTGCTTACTGTGATTTTTTTTTTTTTTTTTTTTTTGAGAAGAGTCTCGCTCTGTTGCCCAGGCTGGAGTGCAGTGGTGTGATCTCGGCTCACTGCAAGCTCTGCCTCCCAGTTTCACACCATTCTCCTACCTCAGCCTCCCGAGTAGCTGGGACTACAGGTGCCCGCCACCACGCCTGGCTAATTTTTTGTATTTTTAGTAGAGACAGGGTTTCACCGTGTTAGCCAGGATGGTCTCGATCTCCTGACCTCGTGATCTGCCCACCTTGGCCTCCAAAAATGCTGGGATTACAAGTGTGAGCCACCACGCCTGGCCTACTGTGATCTTTTTTTTTTTTTTTTAAAAAAAAACAAAAAACATAATCAGCCATGAGCTAAACAGAATAGATACTACTTCATTTAACTCTGATAAGGCCTTTCAAACTCCTGTTTTTATCGAGTGCAGTTTATTCTACCACTGGCGTGATATAGTGGCCTAACTCACCACCTGTGGGGAGTGCTTCCTTGTTTTCTTCCAGTGTAACAAGAGGTATGTAGTTTAGAAATGTCCTGTATTCCACTGATGCTGTAATGAAAACCCTCTTTTCCAGCTAGTGCATGTTTATGTTTATTTTATTTTTTATGTTTATTTTTTATAACCCCTCTGCTGGCAGGAATTATTTTTAATTTTTTTTTTGAGACAGGGTCCCACTCTGTCACCCAGGGTGAGTGCAGTGGTGCAATCATAGCTCACCGGAGCCTTGACCTCCTGGGCTCAAATGATCCTCCCACCTCACCCTCCCAAGTAGCTGGAACTACAGCTGTGCACCAGCATGCCTGGCTGATTTTCGAATTTTTTGTAGAAATGGGATTTCGCCATTGCCCAGGCTGGTCCCAAACTCCTGTCCTCGAACAATCCACCTGCCTTGGCCTCCCAGCCTGCTGGGATTACAGGCATGAGACACCACACCCTGCCTACCTGTTGCTTTTTTAGTAGTTGGAGACAGTTTCTTAGTTTCTTATGGGAGAAGAAAAGTGCAGAGACTGCACGATTGATAATGGCTAACTTGCTAGAGTGATGGCCTGGGGAGCACCTGAGGAAGGGATTGTGTCTTGTTCTTTTCACATCCCCTTGCATAGCATGATTTCTCTTCTACATCAGGGAGGTGACCACCAAATATTTGATGCATAAATGGGTGCATGACTACTGGACATTAGAACATTTCAGATTGGTTTTCCTTCCTCTCCATTTGTTTCTCTAAAAGTGTTTGGAAAGACTGTGCTTTTTGCAGTGGTATTAAGTATGTACAAGGTCAATATTTTAATTTAATTATTTACATAAATTTTGTTTTTTTTCCCCCATGGTGAATGTAGAATTAATGAATGAAAGAGGGAAGGAGGTTTATCCCAACAAAAATAACTGAACTTTTCTCAAAAAAAAGTACATGGACTTCAAATGAATTCTCCTATTCTCAGCAGAACCTCTTTGCAAGGTGTTTAGTACCCATGCCATATTGGTGGTGTTTTTTTTTTTTTTTTGAGACAGAATCTCACTGTGTCGCCCAGGCTGGAGTGCAATGGTATGATCTCGACTCACCGCAGCCTCCACCTAACAGGTTCAAGTGATACTCGTGCCTCAGCCTCCCGAGTAGCTGAGACCACAGGCACATGCCACCACGCACACCTAATTTTTGTATTTTTAGTAGCGATGGGGTTTCACTATGTTGGCTGGGCTGGTCTTGAACTCCTGACCTCAAGTGATTCACTTACCTTTGCCTCTTAAAGTGCTGGGATTACAGGCATGAGCCACCGGGCCTGGCCCATATTGTTTTTTAATTGTTTCAGTGATGCTGCATCTTAATTTTTACTGATTTTGATCTTCGGAGGTAATAAAAACAAACTTGTTTTGAGCCAAAACTGCTTCACATAGTGACTGAACCAGCAGAGCAATACAGTTTGGGTATTATAAAGAATTTTTTTTATTCGTCTCATACTTGACTCTGAAAGCCATTATAAAATATAAGTTCCAAATGCATTTAGAGCACTATATTGGACTAGTGGCAGCATCTCTTGAAGGAACCACTTTATCTGGTACTCATATGGATGCATAGTTCTAACTTGTTTTTTTTTTTTTTTCCCATAAAAGAAGAGAAACAGCCAGATTGGAATGTGCCTCCTTCTTCTGTTTTATAGTCATGCCCTGGAATATTTTAGTCACGATAGTCAGGACTCCCAGGTCATCCATACTACCAAGCCTCATCCCATGCCGTTGTTGATATGCTCTAAATCTGACTTAGACCCTCATCTCTCTCCATTTTCAAGGCTTTCCATTCAGGCTCTGTAAATGTCAGGCCCTTTCTTTACGGCAGTCTTCTCTCAAGTTCCTTTTGATTTCCTTGTCTGGAGGGAAACCAGGTGACTCCTTGTTAGTTTCCCCCTGTAGCCTTCTCCATCCCCGGTGGTTTTCCCTCTCACTCTTGTCTTCCTCTGGCCAGGCTGTGCTAGGTGTCCTCCTTGTTTCCCCACACCACCTTCAGACACCTGAATTTTCTTTTCTTTTCTTTTTTTTTTTTTTTTTTTTTTTTTTTTTTTGAGACAGTTTCGCTCTTCTTTCCCATGCTGGAGTGCAATGGTGCGATCTCAGCTCACCACCACCTCTGCCTCCTGGGTTCAAGTGATTCTCCTGCCTCACCCTCCCAAGTAGCTGGGATTACAGGCATGTGCCACCACACCCAGCTAATTTTGTATTTTTAGTAGAGACAGTTTCTCCATGTCGGCCAGGCTGGTCTCCAACTCCCGACCTCAGATGGTCCACCTGCCTTGGCCTCCCAAAGAGCTGGGATTACAGGTGTGATCACCGTGCCTGGCCCCTGAATTTTCTTTTGTACGGGAGCCACCATTTTCAGGCTGTCACCAGCTCTGCTGCCCCTCTGTGCTGACTCCTGTAGGCACAGCGTGCATCTTAGCCTTGGCTTTGGTGTGTTATAATTCTCTCCACTCCTGCCCCTCTCTGGGTGACTTTAGTATCCTCAAGGATAACCAGCAAATGCTCTGGTCTGTTTCTTGACCAGGTGGTCAGCATCTTTCTATCTCTCTTTAGTCCTCTATACCAATGGCAGCGTCATGGGTCTTAGGGTCAAAAACTGCACCTCTCATTTACTCTTTTTTTTTTTTCCCATTTTTGAGACAAGATGTTGCTTTGTCACCAGGCTGGAGTGCACTGGCACATTCATGACTCACTGCAGCCTTGACCTCCTGGGCCCAAGTGATTCTCCCACCTCAGCCTTCCGTGTAGCTGGAACCATAGGTGCACACCATCATGTCCAGCTAATTTTTATGTTTTTTATAGAGGCAGGGTCTCACTATATTGTCCAGGCTGGTCTCAAACTCCTGGTATTCCTGCCGCCACCCCCTAAAGCTCTGGGATTATAGGAGTGACCTGTTACGCATGGTCTCATTTATTGTTTTTAGTGTTTTTAATGTTTCTTTTTTTGAGAGTACTACTCATGCTTCTGATTCACTTGCTCTGGTACCTATTTCAGCAATCTGTTGACTTCCATTGCTTTTTCACTATCTGTTGCCTTCCCGCTTCTCCTCTATGTGTATTCTTCTCCGTGTATCATACCAGGAGGCACGTGATGTCATTTGTCCCAATACTGGTGATGTTAACGTGGACCACTTTTTTTGCCAGTTAGTTTTAGCATCTATTGATAGTTCTTGCTTTAAGCAATTATCGTTGACTGATGGTGGTTTTCTACGTTCATTGTTCTTTCTACAAATTCCTTAGTGTCCCATGGCTTTGTTGTTATTGTTGTTTTGAGACTGTCTCACCCTGTCGTCCAGGCTGGAGTGCAGTGGCGTGATCTTGGCTCACTGCAACCTCTACCTCCCAGATTCACGTGATTATCCCACCTCAGCCTCCTGAGTACCTGGGACTATAGGCGCGTGGCACCACGCGTGGCAAATTTTTGTACTTTTTGGTAGAGAGAGGGTTTTACCATATTGGACAGGCTGGTCTTAAACTCTTGATCTTAAGTGATGCGCCCTCCTCAGCCTCCCAAAGTGCTGGGATTATAGGCATGAGCCAGGCGCCCGGCCTCCCATGGTGTTTTGTTTTTTTTTTTTTTTTGAGATGGAGTTTCACCCTTGTTGCCCAGGCTGGAGTGGAATGGTGCAATCTTGACTCACCGCAACCTCTGCCTCCCAGGTTCAAGCGATTCTCCTGCCTCAGCCTCCAGAGTAGCTGGGATTACAGGCATGTGCCACCACGCCCGGCTAATTTTGTATTTTTAGTAGAGACAGGGTTTCTCCATGTTGGTCAGGCTGGTCTTGAACTCACGACCTCAGGTGATCTGCCCGCCTTGGCCTCCCAAAGTTCTGGGATTACAGGCGTGAGCCACCGCGCCCCGTCCCCATGGATTTTAATACCACCCGTGTCCCAATGATAACTAAATGTATATCTCAACACCTTTCTCTTGAGCTATAGGCTTGTAACTGCAGCTTTTAATTTGTGTATTCCCTTAGATGATTTAACATGTCCGTGGTAGGGCGCGGTGGCTCACGCCTGTAATCTCAGCACTTTTAGAGGCTGAGATGGGCAGATGACCTGAGGTCAGGAGTTCAAGATCAGCCTGGCCAACATGTTGAAACCTTGTCTCTACTAAAATACAAAAATTAGCTGGGTATGGTGGCGGGCGCCTGTAATCCCAGCAACTTGGGAGGCTGAGGCGGGAGAATTGCCTGAACCCGAGAGGTGGCGGTTGCAGTGAGCCGAGATCGTGCCATTGCACTCCAGCCTGGGTGACAGAGCAAGACTTCGTTCTAAAAAGAAAAAAAAGAAAAAAAAATAGTATGTCCAAAAGGTAGCTTTTGATTTTCACTCCTTGGACCCCGATACCTATTTTTCCCCTCATTGTCTTCACATCAGTTAGTGGCCCTACCATCTTCCCAATCGCTTGAACCAAATAGCAAGGTGTTTTTTTTATTTTTATTTTTATTTTTTTTTGAGACAGTGTCACACCGTCGCCAGGCTGAAGTGCGGTGGCACGATCTCGGCTCACTGTAACCTCTGCCTCCTGTGTTCAAGTGATTCTCCTGCCTTAGCCTCCCAAGTAGCTGGGACTACAGGCACACACCACCATGCCCAGCTAATTTTTGTATTTTTAGTAGAGACGGGGTTTCACCATGTTGGCCAGGCTGGTCTCCATCTTTTGAACTTGTGATCCGCCCGCCTCGGCCTCTCAAAGTGGTTGGATTATAGGCGTGAGCCACCATGCCCGGCCGCAAGGTGTTACTCTTGATTTTGCCTTTCCCTTTATCCTTCATCTCCAGGATATCAGTAAGTGTTACGTCTTATGTCTAGAAAATCACTGTCTCCTTCTACCCTGCCATCTCTACACCAGGGTTACAAACAAGAGCCCACTGCTGGCTCCTTGTTTTGTAAATAAGATTTGTTGGACTACAGCTATGCCCGTACATGTACATTTTGTGTATGGCTGCTTTTGTGCCACAACAGCAGGGTTGAGTATTGCGACAGAGACCCCCATTGCCCACAAGCCTAAAACATTTGCCATCGAGCCCTTTAAGAAAGAGTTTGCTGGCCGTGCGCGGTGGCCGTGGCTCCCGCCTGTAATCCCAGCACTTTGGAAGGCTGAGGCAGGCGGTGAGGTCTGGAGTTCGAAACCAGCCTGGCCAACATAGCGAAACCCTGTCTCTACCGAAAATACAAAAATTAGCCTGGTGTGATGGTGCACGCTTGTAATTCCAGCTACTCGGGAGGCTGAGACAGAAGAATTGCTTGAACCTGGGAGGCAGAGGTTGCAGTGAGCTCATATTGTGCCATTGCATGCCAGCCTGGGTGACAGAGTAAGACTGTCTCACAACAAAACAAAACAAAGAAAAAGTTTGCTGACCTCTGATCTGAGCTCTTGTCTCTTGCCTGGACAATTGCTCCTGACTTGTTTCCTAACTTCACTCTCAGAGTAGTCATCATGGCCTTTGAAACATTATGCAGATAAGGTAATTATCTTGCTTAAAATCTTCTAATGTTGTCCAGCCACTGTTAGAATAATGTACATTTCTTACACTGGCCTGTGAGGGCCTGCAGAATCTTGCTCCATACTCTCTCCAATGTGATGCTGTACCATTCCATTTTTGCTCATGACATCTGGCCACACCAGCTCCTTGCTGCTCCTGGAACCGTCCAAGCCATTTCCATGTTCTGGGTATTAATACTTGTTTCCCCTACCCGAAGGACTCTTCCCCTAGCTCCTTTCGTATCCGACTTATTCTCATCCTTTGGGTTTTCCCTGACTTTCCTGATTTTCTTGTCAGAAGTAGTTCCCTTCACTACAGAGCAGGATGCATCAGCTTGTCACTGTTCATTCCCCAGTGCCTAATATAATGCTTTGGCACAGCATAAGTGCCAGATAAATATTTCTTGAAAGAAGACTGAATGAATGGATGAATGATAAACACATTTCAAAATCATTTGCCTTTCTGTTCATTTTTTGAGATGTAGTTAAATATGGTAAATCTTTCCTGAGTAATTTAGACTCTTTGGTTTGTTAAACAAATTTTATGTTAGACAGTTACTTCTGCTAATGCATTCTTTTTAAAATCGTGTTTAGGAATTCCATATTTAAATCAGGAAGAAGAAAGACAGTTAAGAGAGCAGTATGATGAAAAACGTTCACAGGCGAATGGTGCAGGAGCTCTGTCCTATGTATCTCCTAACACTTCAAAATGTCCTGTCACGATTCCTGAGGATCAAAAGAAGTTTATTGACCAAGTGGTGTAAGTTCCTAAATTAAAACTAAGCGTGCATTGTGTGCTATATATTGGGGATGACAGGCATCTATATCTCAAACCTGTGCTTTACAAACATAGTACACACACGGGTGTGATGTTGTGAATGGCAGGATATAATTGTGGCATATTAAAAAAAAAATTTTTTTTTTTTTTTTTTTGAGACAGTCTTGCTCTTTTGCCCAGGCTGGAGTGCATTGGTGCAATCCTGGCTTACTGCAACCTCTGCCTCCTAGGTTCAAGCAATTCTTGTGCCTCAGCCTCCAGAGTAGCTGGGATTATAGGCGTGCACCACCACACCCGCCTAATTTTTATATTTTTAGTAGAGACGAGGTTTTGCCATGTTGGCCACGCTGGTCTCGAACTCCTGGCCTCAAGTGATCTGCCCGCCTCAGCCTCTCAAAGTGTTGAGATTACAGGCATGAGCCAGCATGCCTAGCCGGCATATTCAAATTAGTGTAACAGCAACAAATTGTAAATAGAGTTCCATGTATTGTACTTGGACTTGCTACATGTCACTAGGCAAGAGATTTCAGTACGTGGTCAGACCTGCGTGGATTTTTTATTTTATTTTATTTTTTTTAATAGAGACGGATCTCACTATGTTTCCCAGGCTGGTGTCAAACTCCTGAGCTCAAGGGATCTTCCTGCCTCAGCCTCCCAGAGCGCTGGGATTACAGGCGTGAGCCATTGTCCAGCCCCTTTTCTTGTTTTTTAAATGCTAATCAGCTGACTTCTAAAACTTGCATGGACTGAATACCTGACAGCCACTGTCCAATGTCCTTGAAGGCAGAGGAGTGGATCAGGCTTATCCAGCCTGTAGCATGTCCATGTTCTCTTTGCTTGCAGTAAAGGTGCCGACAAGCAGATGTGATTTTGGACAAGTGTCTGGTCTTGCTCAGCTTAGTTGTTGGTGTAACCATTTTACTGGGAAAGTCAAAAATTAAATCACTTGTATTGACGAGTCCTTGAGAAGTTGTCACTAATAAATAGCAGCAGTAACCCTCTTCCCCCCAAAATACGCCAAATAAAGCTTTTTTATTTTATGTTATTTATTTTTTGAGACAGGGTCTCGTTCTGTTGCCAAGGCTGGAGTGCAGTGATGCGATCACAGCTCACTGCAGCCTCAACTTCCTGGGCTCAGGTGATCCTCCCACCTCCGCTTCTGGAGTAGCTGGGACCACAGTTACACTGCACCACTCCCAGCTAATTTTTAAGATTTATTTTTTGTAGTGAGGGGCTCTCAGTATATTGCCCAGGCTGGTCGCGAACTCCTGGGCTCAAGTGATCCACCCAACGTCGACCTCCCAAAGTGCTGGGATTCTATGCCTAGGTCAAAATAAAGCATTTTTAAAAAAGTCTTTGAACTAAAATTTCTAGGGTAATTTGGTAGAATTACATTGTCACATGTTCTTATAGTTAGACTGTTTTTGGTTGTGATTATTTTCTTGGTTGATGACTTCATTCCTTAAAGGTACTGATGGTTATGGTCTATTCTTATTCCTCAGAGAGAAAATAGAGGATTTATTACAAAGTGAAGAAAACAAGAACTTGGATTTAGAGCCATGTACCGGGTTAGTTGTCCTGAACATTTCTGCATGTCCTTTTTTTGGAAAGGTAGATGGTTTGTGGCATTTGATGCATCTAGTCTTTTAAAAACAGCTTTATAAAGGGTCTTTTTATTATTGCTATGTTCTCAAGAATTAAACACTAACTTTAGCGTTACACAGTGGGGATGACTGTGTATACTGAGACACTGAATGAATGCTTTGTCCTGTACTTGGAGCGGAGAAAACTGTTGTGCAACCTTGACTTTCAGTTATGCCCAAGAGTGGCATAATTAATTTGGCCTTGAGGCGCGCTTAATACGTGAAGGCTTCAGAAGAAAGAATTCACTTTCAGGCTACTTCCACCCTTTTAATTTCTCTCTGTATTCAGAGAACATTAGCATTTCAAAGAGTCAGTAACGTGATTGTCTTTTTTTCCTTTTACTTTGTGAGGAGTTTCACAAAAGTATTTCAATGCATCTGTCTACTTTAAGCTCTCTTTATGCAGCTGCAGGAAGCAATATTTTGATTAGACGAGAACTTCTACCTCTTCAGTAAAAGCAGCATAATATTAAAGAAAATTTTAGAAGACAAGTGATGAGGAAATCCCCCCACCTCAAAAAACCTGCGTATTTTTGTTTGCAAATTACCTATCAGTTCTAATGAAGTCTCTTTTTAAAGCGAAATCCTTCTCAACAAATGCTTGATCAGTTTGGATTTACTTCTAATGAGCCAAAATCAATACCTTTTCTTTTGTTTTTATAGGTTCCAAAGAAAACTAATTTATCAGACTTTGAGCTGGAAGTAAGTATTTATATTGTATGCAGCAGCTCTGTGGGGGACCCAGGATTTAAAGACTAAATATAATCTCTTAGTTCTCATTTCCTTTTTGAAATTCTGCGGTTCTCAGTGATTTGACTACATGAAGTTCCCCCTACTTTCTTAAGTTGAATACTCACTTAATTTTCTTTTGTTATTGTTTTTTAACAGATGCTTTAAGGCTTCTTAAAATAATTATCACTTTGGTGCATCTGTTAAGCTATGGATTGGTAGTGTTTTTGTCCTTTGGGGTATACAATAAATATTTGGTTTTCAGACCTAGGAAATACTCAGATGAATGCTTTTGGTAAAGCAAGAGTTCTTAACTTAGGGTGAGACTATGGATGGGTTTCAGGAGGTCTGTGAATCCCCTGAAATAACATCCAGACTTTTGTGTGTGTATTTTTCCAAGGATGTTTCCCTTGGTTTCCTTGTGTTTGCAGGTGGGTCTTCAACTCAGAAATTGAACATTGACATAGACAGGTGGACATTTCCATTTGACTTTGGGGACCTTGTTCTTCTGTTGGAATCTACCAGTGACATGTATACTGGGAATATACTTTGAACACAACAGGAAAGGGCTGTTTAGTTTGCCCACACTCCTTTCCTGTCATGTCGTCCTTGCAGCCTACTCCACCTGCATTCCAGATCCCTCTCCTCCTTGGCTGATGCAAGCTGTTAATACCATGCAAAACTACAGCAGAGCTGGCCATCTAAAACCTCCTCTTTATATGCCCTGTGCAATCTAAAAAGACTCAGGCCGGGCGCGGTGGCTCACTCCTGTAATCCTGGTACTTTGGGAGGCCGAGGTGGGCAGATCACCTGAGGTCAGGAGTTCAAGACCAGCCTGGCCAACATGGTGAAACCCCGTCTCTACTACAAATACAAAATTTAGCCGGACATGGTGGCACATGCCTGTAATCCCAGCTACTTGGGAGGCAAAGGCAGGAGCATCTCTTGAACCCTGGAGGCAGAGGTGCAGTGAGCCAAGATTGCGGCTTGGCACTCCAGCCTGAGTGGCAGAGTGAGACTCCATCTCAAAAAAATAAATAAATAAATAAAATAAAAAGACTTTCACAATTTCAGTTAGGAAACATTTTTATATTTGGAAGCAAGATTTGACTCTGTGGTAATGAGTTGACTGTATTTTGAGATGTAGGACATTTTAGAAAGTGCCTAAGTCCTGGTCAGGCGCAGTGGCTCACACCTGTAATCCCAATACTTTGGGAGGCCCAGGCGGGAGGATCACGAGGTCAGGACATCGAGACCATCCTGGCTAACACGGTGAAACCCCGTTTCTACTAAAAATACAAAAAATTAGCTGGGTGTGGTGGCAGGTGCCTATAGTCCCAGCTACTTGGGAAGCTGAGGCAGGAGAATGGCGTGAACCAGGGAGGTGGAGCTTGCAGTGAGCCGAGATCGCGCCACTGCCCTCCAGCCTGGGCGACAGAGAGAGACTCTTGTCTCAAAAAAAAAAAAAAAAATAGAAAATACCTAAGTCCTAAAAAAAATTAATTTGAAGTCAAATCCACGTTTATGTGTTTAAGAGCAAGGGTAAGGAAACATTTAGCAGCTGAAACGTTATAAAATAAATGTGCTGTAAAGTCTCCATTGTAGTGATAATTATTTTGTAGTTAATAAAACTTACTTAATTAGTAGCTGGATAGTTGCTTATAAAATACTTTGGGATTTAGCTGTCATTGACTCATCTACTGATACTATGTTTTTCTTTTCTTTAGGTATCCGAAAGGCATTCATGTTGAGACTTTAGAAACTGAAAAGGTAACCCCAAGAATTATCTAGGGCTAACATTAAACACATCCATTGTTACACTGTTAGGGGTTTCTTTTTTTTTTCTTTTTTTTTTTTCCTCAGGGTCTTTCTCTGATTACCCAGGCTGGAGTGCAGTGGTTAGTCACGGCTCACTGCAGCCTTGACTTCCTGGGCTCAGGTGATCCTCCTACATCAGCCTCCCAAGCTGGGACTACAGGCTCGTGCCACCATGCTTGGCTAATTTTTTATATTTTTAGTAGAGACAGGGTTTCGCCCTGTTGCCCAGGCTAGTCTTGAACTCCTGGGCTCAAACAATTTGCCCGCCTCGGCCTCGCAGAGTGCTGGATTACAGGCCTGAGCTACCATGCTCAATCCTTAGTGTGCTGAAAGTCAGAATTTGTATCTTGTCTGTGCTTGTTATGAGCTAGGTAACCTAGGGTAAGTCATTTGATCTCTTTAAGCCTAATTTTCTTCTGTACATTGGGACTGAGCATGATAACGGTGATCTATACTTTCTCATAGCCTTTTTATGGTGATACCGTGGGTAAGTGGAAGTGATGCCTTGTAAACTTGAAAGTATACAAATATTAGTTTGTATTCTTACTATGGCAGAAAGCTATAATGGTACATGTGAAGAAATGGCTTCATGTTGCGTGGGCAGACAAAATTAAATTTTAGAATTTGGGTCGTAAGCACAGCTATTGTCCTGAGTACACAGGGTACACTGATAGAATTGTGATGGGAAGTGGGTGGCTAGTGGTGGGTTCCTTCTGCAGTTTTTCAATTTTATAATTTGTTGTTGCTGTTAAGTCAGGTATAAAATTAGAGATTAAATAAAGTAGAAAAATAATCTTGGTAGATAATTTATCTTTAGTGGACACAAAATATATGAGAAAGAAAGTACTAGTTATCTGACACTTTGGCAGAAAATCCAGAGTTTTTTCTTATGGTAATACAACATATATATGTAAGTTTTGTTAATGTTAATACAACATATACATTTTACTTTAAAACTCTTCAGAAGTCAATGTTCAAATGCAATATAACTTTTTTAGTATTTGTCATAGGAAATGTCTTATTCTCACAGTCTGTTGATATTTTTAACTGATGTCTGTTGGGTTGAATTAGTAAACCGTAGGAAAATGTCATGGAAACACAGAGACAAAATTTGGTTTGTAATGCATTAGCTCAACTTATGTTGGCATTTCAAAGTATTTTCTGTTGTATTTGGCTCATGAAAGACTACAGTGGCTGGGCATGGTGGCTCAGGCCTGTAATCCCAGCACTTTGGGAGGCTGAGATGAGCAGGTCATTTGAGCCCAGGAGTTTGAGACCAGCCTGGACAACATGGTGAAACTCCGTCTCTACTAAAAATATAAAAAGAAATTAGCCAGGCATAGTGGTACATGCCTGTAGTCCCAGCTACTCAGGAGGCTGAGGTGAGAGGATCATCTGAACCCAGAAATTTGAGGCTGCAGTGAGCTGTGATCATGCCACTGCACTCCAGCCTGAGCAATGGGAGTGATAACCTGTCACACATACAAAAAAAGTGTGCGGTTACAAAAATTACAACTTCTGGCTGGGTGTGGTGGCTCATGCCTGTAATCCCAGCACTTTGGGATGCCAAGGTGGGCAGATCACTTGAGGTCAGGAGTTTGAGACCAGCCTGGGCAACATGGTGAAACCCTGTCTCTACTACAAATACAAAAATTAGCTGGGCGTATTGGTGCGCACCTGTAATCTTGGCTACTCTGGAGGCTGAGGCAGGAGAATCACTTGAATCTGGGAGGCAGAGTTTGCAGTGAGCTGAGGTTGTGCCACTGCACTCCAGCTTGGGTGACAGAGTGAGACTGTCTCAAAAAAAAAATTCTAATGGCAGCAGAAATCTGAATTTTTTGGATTAAGTTGTCTCTAGAAAATTGTATATATCTGTGGCCAGGACCGTGGCTCACACCTGTAATCCCAGCACTTTGGGAGACTGAGGCGGGTGGATCACCTGAGGTGGGGAGTTTGAGACCAGCCTGACCAACATGGAGAAACTCCGTCTCTACTAAAAATACAAAAATTAGCCGGGTGTGGTGGCACAAGCCTGTAATCCCAGCTACTCGGGAGGCTAAGGTAAGATAATCGCTTGAACCCAGGAGGCGGAGTTTGCAGTGAGCTGAGATCATGCAATTGCACTCCAGCCTGAGCAACAAGAGCGAAACTCTGTCTCAAAAAAAAAGAAAAAGAAAAGAAAATTGTATATCTGCTTTATGTCTTTTAGAAGGAGCGATATATAGTTATCAGCAAAGTAGATGAAGAAGAACGCAAAAGAAGAGAGCAGCAGAAACATGCCAAAGAACAGGTAATTGGGCTATGTTAATTCTTGGGGGGTGAGAAATGGCAACATAAATATTGATTTATTCCTGTCTATTTCAGATCATATGTTGGATTCAATTTAATGAATAGTTTTCTTTCATAGAACAATGGAATTGGCAGAAAAACCTGGACTAGAATAAGGGGAAGTTAGATTTAAGCATGAGACGTAGCTAGCAAAGTGAGTCTGACGTCACTGATGACCAGTGTCTACTTAAACCAGTCCTGAAGAAAGTACTCTTGATTCTCATTTAGCTTGTGTCACTGAGTGTCACTATCCTTTAATACTGCAACGTCTAACTTCATGTATAGTTACTAGTTTTCCTTAAACCAAGTTCAGAGCACATGATCTGACAGATGAGGATGACATGCTTAGGTTGTACTGTTGGAACATCACCCTGCTTGCTGTGTGAAGAATGGTTTCGAGTGAGTAAGACTGGAGGCAGGAGACTAGTTAAGCTGTGGAGTAACCTAGCTAGGAGATGTTGGTGACCTGGCGTAGGATAGTGAGTAGCAGTGTAGATGGAATCTGGAGATACTTGGAAGGTAGAATCCGTGGAATTTATGACTGAATGTGGGTGGTGGAGGAGGAAGGGGGAAGGAGGAAGATGCTCATGCCAGACATTTGCACAACGGGGTAGACTGCACTCCATTCACTTGGAGGGGTTGGCTGGAGTGACATCGGTTGGGGGAAAAGGTGGAGGAGAGAGGAGTGGGTTTGCATGTGGATGAATGTCATGCTCATATGTACATTAGGCAGGGTCACTCCTAATTGACTTAACCACAATGACCCACTTTGGGAGACAGCATATTACCTACACAGGGAAAGATTAGCAAGAGGTGCTGCCTGTGGTCCCTGTCCCACATACTAAAAAGGACAACGCAGAAACAAAAGGTGCCAGTTAGAGGCCAGGTGTGATGGCTCATGACTGTAATCGCAGCACTACTTTAGGAGGCTGAGGTGGGAGGATCACTTTGAGCTCAGTAGTTTGAGACCAGTCTGAGCAACATAGCGAAACCCCATCTCTACAAAAAATACAAAAAAAATTATCCAGGTGTGGTGACGTGCGCCTGTAGTCCTAGCTACTTGGGAGGCTGATGCTGGAGAATTGCTTGACCCCGGGAGGTGGAGGTTGCAGTTGCAGTGAGTTGAGATTATGCCACTGTACTCTAGCTTGGGTGACAGAGTGAGACCTTGTCTTAAAAAAAAAAGATACGAGATGATTGCAGCATGTGTTTTGTGATGTGGCTTCACTGAGGATGAGTTCTAGGCTGCAGCTCAGGGCTTTGATACTCTGCAGCTCTCTTCTGAGAGGGCGAGGCAGAGAGCCCCACACCTCCTCAGAACCCAGGAGGCAATGAGGAACTGTTTCATGACAGCCTCCCAGGAGTGACAGGGAAGGGGGTGGGAGCTGGCCTCATAGCAGCTCCTTAGAAGCCTCTGCCTCCCACCCTTCCCTCCTGATGTGTTGTGCCAAGACGCAGATGAGTCTGTGGCCAAGACGCAGATTAGCCTTTACCTGCATGGCCCGTTTTGATACATGCAAGGCCACCAGGGCACCATGGCATCCCCTAGAGTGGAAAAAGATGTTCCCCCAGAGTGGAAAAAGATGTTCCATTCTGGTTTTGACCTGATGAGGTTTCGAGTGTTTTTAGGACATGCAAGGGTGGATGTCCTCTTAGCAGGTTTGTCAGTGTTGAGCACAGGAGAGGGGTGAGGGCTAGGCATGATTGTCATTGGCAGAGAGACTGGGACTGGATCAGAGCAACTGCAGAGTACGTGAGGAATGAGAAGAGGACCTGGGGCTGAATCCTGAGGATCAACAGCATTTAAATGATAGGCAGAAGTCGACAAAATGTACCGGGAGATTATTGTGGTACACAGCCAAGGGAGGAGAGAAAAAGGGGCAGTCAGCAATGTCAGCTCCCATGTAGGGGTTAGTATTGAGACATGGCTGTTGGATTCAGCCCTGGCAGTAGTTTTTTAAACTATAATTAAAGCAATTTTTCCCTATCTCTACTAAAAGTGCAAAAAAATTAGCCGGGCGCAGTGGCATGTGCCTGCATTCCCAGCTACTCGGGAGGCTGAGGCAGGAGAATCGCTTGAACCCGGGAGGCGGAGGTTGCAGTGAGCCGAGATCACGCCACTGCACTCCAGCCTGGACAACAGAGTGAGACTCTGTCTCAAAAACAAAAAACAAAACCAAAAAAGCAATTTTTGTTTTTGTTTGAAATGGAGCCTTGCTTGCAGTGACATGATCTCGGCTCACTGCAACCTCCGCCTCCCGGGTTCAAGCGATTCTCCTGCCTCAGCCTCCCGAGTAGCTGGGATTACAGGTGCATGCCACTGCGTCCGGCTAATTTTTGTATTTTTAGTAGAGACGGGGTTTCGCCATGTTGGCCAGGCAGGTCTTGAACTCTTGACCTCAGGTGATCTGCCTGCCTCAGCCTGCCAAAGTGCTGGGATTACCAGCGTGAGCTACCATGCCTGACCCCCCCAAAAAAATTTTAATTGTGGTAAAATACACATAACAAAATTTATCATCTTAACTATTAAATGTATAGTTCAGTGACATCAAGTAGTTTAACATTGCTGTGCAATCATCACCACCATCCATCTCCAGAATTCTCTTCATCTTGCAAAACCGAAACTGTACTAATCAAGCAGCTCTCCATCTCCCACCCCTGACACCCAGCCCCTGGCAACCACTATTCTACTTACTGTCATATGAATTTGGTCACTCTGAGTACCTCATATAAGTACAGTATTTGTCCTCCTGTGACTGGCTTATTTCTCTTAGCATAGCAGCCTCAAGGTTCCCCATGTTATAGCATGTGTCAGAATTTCCTTCCTTTTTAAAGGCTGAATAATATTCCATTGTGTGGCTAGACCACATTTTGTTTATCCATTTGTTTGTGGACACCTGGGTTGCTTTTGACTATTGTGAATAATGCTCTTGTGAATTTAGGTATGCATATACCTATTTGAGTCCCTGCTTTCAATTCTTTGGGGTATATACCCAGAAATGGAATTGCTGGGTAATATGGGAATTCTTTTTGGGATGAGCCTCCATACTGTTTTCCTTAGCTGCTGCACTGTTTAACATTTTCATCAACGGCACACAGGTTCCAGTTTCTCTACATCCTTGCAAATACTTGTTAGTCTTGGGGTTAGTTTTTTGTTTGTTTGTTTGTTTTTTGAGATGGAGTTTCGCTCTTGTTGCCCAGGCTGGAGTGCAATGGTGCGATCTTGGCTTACAGCATGCAACCTCCGTCTCCCGGGTTCAAGCGATTCTCCTGCCTCAGCCTCTGGAATAGCTGGGATTACAGGCATGCACCACCACGTCCGGATAATTTTTTATTTTTAGTAGAGACAGGGTTTCACCATGTTGGTCAGGCTGGTCTCGAACTCCCGACCTCAAGTGATCCATCTGCCTCTGCCTCCCAAAGTGCTCGGATTACAGGCGTGAGCCACTTCACCCAGCCAGTGTTGGGGTTAGTTTTAAGGAGGTGAGCAATTTCAGTGAGCATGAAGCCAGAGGGCTGGGAACACCTGGGAGTTAAACTGGAGAAAGCAAGTTAGCTTTGATGAGACAAGTAGAAGGGGCAGTAGTCTGAGAGATCTTAGAGGAGGGGAGGGTTTTCAAGATAAGAGAGACACTGAGCCTCTTTCAACACTGCTGGAAAGAATATAGGAGAGAAGAAGGTGGGTGGGAGAATTTTGTAAAAATGTATTTTTCGAGGAAAAAAAATCAGGAATTATGAAAATACTTGATTTGATCAGTTAACTGCCAGATGGGTTTCCTCAGAATTGAATGTGTTACTGAGTTTAGCCTGCAGGTGGCAACTTTTTAAGTTACTGTTTTTAAGACACCTTGAAAGACTTGGAAATTTTAAAGAAGTCGGTGAAGTGATGGATAAACCCTAAGCATTGTTCTTTTAGTAACTAATGAATAATTTTCCATTTGTTCATTCTACTTTCTAAAATAGAAGAAAAGTATGTACGTAGATCATTTTAGATGCAAATGTTTGGGAAGATAGGCGCAAAGCACAGGAAACTAAAGCTATCTAACTTGATACAAAATTTCAGTGTCTTTTTTTTGGGGTAGTTTTTTAATTCACATAAGGAATATTTATACATCAATAATACATATGTATATATTTTTTTAATTAGGAGGAGCTGAATGATGCTGTGGGATTTTCTAGAGTCATTCACGCCATTGCTAATTCGGTAAGTGAGCCAGACTTTTTAGCAAGATTGCAGAACATACTATTTCAGGTGAAGTATCTAATTATCATTGCAGATTAATCATTTCATCTCCTTTAGAATGTTTACCTAGAACATTCTAAGAAGTTAGAACTTCATCAAGATAGACTGTTGTTATAATGCACTTGGTGAGGCATAATTGCTAAATTATATTCAAATCAATTTTCAGGGAGCCTTGCTTGAAAAATGCATAGGAGGGTTACACTATGTTGTCCTTATATGGCTACATGGAAACCAAGAGTTATTTTCAAAACCAGTAAGAAGTCGAAAAAGAAAGTAAGGAATAAGGGGAGAAACAATCAGATATTTGACTGAAGGTGTTTTGTTCCCTAAGTAGAAGAATCTAGAGGGTAAAAATAATGATGTCTTTGTTTAGTGCTACATAAGTGTAATTGAATCTTATTCTTAATAATATTTGATATGTTTTAAAAAGATATTGGCCATTTGTGTAAATGTGCTAGGGGACTCTATGATAGATATGATGGGTGTTTTTCCTTGCTTTGTGAGGCCTTTCTGAAAACAGGCGGCCGGGCATAGTGGCTCATGTCTGTAATCCCAGCACTTCGGGAGGCCGATAAGGATGGATTGCTTGAGCTCAGGAGTTCGAGACCAGCCTGGGAAATATGGGGAAACCCCATCTCTACCAAAAATACAAAAATTAGCCAGGTGTGGTGGTATATGCCTGTGGTTCCAGCTACTTGGGAGGCTGAGGTGGGAGGATCGCTGGAGCTCGGGAAGTCAAGGCTGCAGTGAGCTGTGATCACGCCATTGCACCCCAGCCTGGGTGACAGACAGACCCTGTCTCCAAAAAAAAAAAAAAAAAAAAAAAAGAAGAGGAGAAAGAAAACAGGCATCCGCATTTTACATAGGTAAACTAGGTCATGCTGCTGGTTGTTCTAGACAGCTTGCTTGGATGCTGAATTGCCTGTAGTCTAGGACATTCTCTTATTTGAGCAGTTGGCCTGGGAGAAGGAATCATCTTATACCTTAGATGCTGAACTTTGCATCAGGGAAGCTTTAAGGCCATAGAAACCCTCTCAAGGTTTCATGCTGTCTCACTGCCAGCTGCAGGCTTGTAAACACAGGGGCGCTGTAGGGAAGGCCCCTGCTGTCCTCATTCCGGGATAAACAGAGGTTTACAGAGCCTTGTAAAAGAAGAGGGTTGGCTCACGAGGACTTCTCTTGCTCAAGTAAGTGGGGCGATTAAAGTCGAATAGAAAGTTGGAAAGATCCGGAGAGAAACAATGCTGTGAGCCTCTTCAGCAGTGGCTGAGATTACAGGTATCCAGAAAAGCAGAGTTGAGTTTCTGGTTCCATTTGCTCATGTTGTGCACACCTAGCCAGCAGACTTCAGATAAGTGGTGGTTTTGATTGAGGCGGGCCCTAAAATTCAGAGATACGGAACATAAGTTGGTTTTGAGCTCTTTTGTAGCCGTCATGATAGTTCAGTCAGCTTTTCCAAGATTGGACATTTGTTTGTCTTATACACATTCGGATACCTTAGCTTGCTGTACCTGTTTTCTTTTCTCTGACATCTTTCTTCTACAGAATATTCATAACATGTTGCTGACCGTTGGTAGTCAACATCCCAAAGCATACTACCAAAAAGCCCTGTTTATTAGCGATCCGGACATTTAAAATTTTTGAGTCTTGAATGAAAGTTGACTAAAGTAAAATAAGATGCGTAAATCCCATACCTTAAATATATATATATATATATTTTTTGAGCCGGAGTCTCGCTCTGTTGTCCTGCTGGAGTGCAGTGGCGCAATCCTGGCTCACCACAACCTCCGCCTCTCGGGTTCAAGCAAGTCTCCTGCCTCAGCCTCCCAAGTAGCTGGGATTACAGGTGCCTGCTACCACGCCTGGCTAATTTCTGTATTTTTAGTTGAGACGGGCTTTCACCATGTTGGCCAGGCTGGCCTCGAACTCCTGACCTCAAGTAATCTGCCTTCTTCAGCCTCCCAAGATACTGGGTTTACAGGTGTGAGCCACCATGCCCGGCTGTATAACTTGGATACTTTTGAATGGTATTGATTGCTGTTTTGTCAGAAGTCCGCCAGTTGGAATTTGTCTCACATTTTCTCATGACTGATTTGAGGATATATGGTTTGGCAAGAATACCACAGAAATGATGGTTCATGATGTCGATCAATTTTTTTTTTTTTTTTGAGATGGAGTCTTGCTTTGTCGCCCACGCTGGAGCGCGGTGGCGCGATCTTGGCGTACTGCAAGCTCTGCCTCCTGGGTTCACGCCATTCTCCTGCCTCAGCCTCCTGAGTAGCTGGGACTACAGGCGCCTGCCACCACACCAGGCTAATTTTTTTGTATTTTTAGTAGAGACGGGGTTTCACCATGTTAGCCAGGATGGTCTCGGTCTCCTGACCTCGTGATCCGCCTGCCTTGGCCTCCCAAAATGCTGGGATTACAGGCGTGAGCCACCATTCTCTGCCCGTGATGTTGATCTTGATCGCTTGGTTAAGGTGGTGTTGGCTGGATTTGTGTTCTGTGAAATTAATTTTATAGTTAATAAGTTAACTATGTCATTAAATTATAGTTAAATTAACTATATAGTTTAACTTTATAGTTTATGAATATCTTGGGGGAGATACTTTGAGACCATGAAAATCCTGTTTTCCCTCAAACTTTGCCTACTAATATTATCGTCTATCAGCATATCTTGCCTGTAGCAGTTATTACTGTGGTATTCTAATGGCAAGTTTATATTTCCTTCGTCCTTTCTACATTTATTCTTGGAATTCTTCTATAAAGAAAAAAATGGGCTGGGCATGGTGGCTCACACCTGTAATCCCAGTACTTTGGGAGGCCAAGGGGGGCGGATCACTGGAGGTCGGGAGTTCGACACCAGCCTAACCAACATGGTGAAATACCATCTCTAATGAAAATACAAAAATTAGCTGAGCGTGGTGGCACACACCTGTAATCCCAGCTACTTGGGAGGCTGAGGCAGGAGAATCGCTTGAACCTAGGAGGCGGGGGTTGCAGTAACCTGAGATTGCACCATTGCACTGTAGCCTGGTGACAAAGTTGAGACCCTGTCTCGAAAAAAAAAAAAAAAGGAAAGAAAAAAATGTCCTTTTCCCCTGTTTATTTATGTATTTATTTAATTTTGAGACACAGTCTCTGTCTGTTCCCCAAGCTGGGAGTACACTGGCTCACTGCAGCCTCTACCTCCCGGGCTCAAGCGATCCTCCCTCCTCCTTAGCCTCCTGAGCAGCTGGGACTACAGGCATGCAGTACCACACGTGGATAATTTTATATATATATTTTTTTTGTGGAGAAGGGGTCTTCCTATGTTGTCCAGGCTGGTCTTGAACTCTTAGGCTCAAGCAGTCTCCCGCGCCTCAGCCTCCCAAAGTATTTGGATTATAGGCACGAGCCACCACACCCAGCCCTTTCCCTTGTTTATTTAATGGTTTTTATGTATATGTATGGACTCAGGGATTTTTTTTAATTATTAGTATTAATAATAATACTAGATTATTATCTAGGATTTTTACTGTTTACTTTGTTGCTTAAATTGTACCACCTTTGGCCATTGGAGCTTCTTTGACTTGGCTCCTGTGCCCTCTGAACAAGCCCCCCATCCTTTTCTGAGCACTTCTTTGCTTTCTGGTATTCTTGTAGTTTCTCTGGCTCAGCTATGGAATGAATGACTTCTCCACGGAGCTCTGGTTCCTCTTAATGGGGAATGATGTTTAGAAACCAAGATCTGGCCCTAGGTTACTGCTTCTGGCCCTAGGTGATATTATTGCTTCTAAGCCCTCTCACTGGACAGAACTAAGAACCATATGTATGTAGACCTAGGCATGTACACACACAGCTATATTTCTGTGTCTCTCTGTATATGTATGTGTGTGTGGATCTATATAAATGTGTATGTAGCTGGGCATGGTGGCTCAACCCTGTAATCCCACACTTAGGGAGGTCAAGGCAGGAGGACTGCTTCAGGCTAGTAGTTCAAGACCAGCCTGGGCAACATGGGAGACCCCCTCTCTACAAAAAATGTAAAAATTGGCTGGGTGTGGTGGCTCGCTCCTGTAATCCCAGCACTTTGAGAGGCCAAGGCGGGCAGATCACGTGAGGTCAGGAGTTTGAGACCAGCCTAGCCAACATGGTAAAACCCCGTCTCTACTGAAAATCCAAAAATTAGCTGGTGTGGTGGTGCCACCTGTAATCCCAGCTACTCAGGAGGCTGAGGCAGGAGAATCTCTTGAACCTGGAAGGCAGAGGTTGCAGTGAGCTGAGATTATGCCACCGCACTCCAGCCTGGGCAACAGAGCAAGACTGCATTTCAAAAAAAAAAATTAAAAAATTAGCCAGGAGTGGTGGCACATGCCTGTGGTCCCAGCTGTAGGGGAGGCTGAGGTGGGAGGATTGCTTGAGCATGGGAGTTTGAGGCTGCATTGAGCCATGATGGTGCCATTGCACTACAGCCTGGGCAACAGAGCGAGACCCTGTCTCTAAATAAATAAGTGTGTGTGTGTTTGTGTGTGTGTGCGCATGGGTGTATGCATGCCTTTATACTGATACCTCAGATTCCAGTACAATACCACGTGACTTATTTTTAGCTTCCTCTCTTTTCTTATTTGTGCCTTCTTTCTCAACAGTGAGAAATCCAGTTTCTATTACTTCCATTATGTTTATTTGTTTAAACCCGGTATACACATAAAGTAGCTTCAGAGCTACTAACCCATACCTCGCGAGAAGTACATTTATTGATGAAATGATAACATTTATGATTTATGTGCAATTCGTTTTGTTTTTAGCCTTACAGTATCTAGTCAAGATGCTCTTTTCCAAGTTAGTTTGTTTCTTCTTAACCTTCAGTGTGGTTATGGTAGTCATTTATAATACAGTTTGGTTCATTTCTTAGTGTTTGCATTCCATTTGGGGTTACCTACACATCTTTTCTGTGGTTTCAATCAATGCTCATTATTTTAGCGTAGCATAGGTATTCAGAATGTACACCAATAATGAGCCAAAAGGACAGCTTCTCTGTTAGATTTGGGAGATTTTGTGTAGGATTATTTCAGATAATTAATGTGTAGTCCCATGAATCAAGCAGTGTTACACTGAAGGTCCTTTGGGTTATAGTAAAAGCTCCATCGTGGTAACCTGATTTTTTTTTCCAAGACAGAGTCTGACTGTCGCCCAGGCTGGAGTGCAGTGGTGCGATCTCAGCTCACTGCAACCTCCGCCTCCTGGGTTCAAGCCATTCTTTTGCCTCAGCCTCCCGAGTTGCTGAGATTACAGGCATCTGCCACCACACCCAGCTAATTTTTTGTGTTTTTAGTAGATACAGGATTTTGCCATGCTGGGCAGGCTGTTCTCAAACTCCCGACCTCAGGTGATCCGCCTGCCTTGGCCTCTCAAAGTGCTGGGATTAACAGGTGTGAGCCACCACGCCCGGCCCCTGATGTTTTATGTTAAAAATGGTGTCACCTGGCTGGCTAAATCTAAATTTATGTTCCATTTTGGAAATTTAATTTTTATCAAAATGGACTAATTTGTTGCACATATAGTGTGAGACAGACACACCGCCCATTGCACGAAGAGGGCTGCCAGCACATATATTGTATTTCGGTTGGCTGAAAGGCAGTGACTTTTAATGGATGTGTGTTTAAGAACATGCCCCATGAATTTTGACATAATGATATAGGAAATGCAATTCTGTTTAATATAGTTAGAAATTAGTTATTTTTACCTTTTAGCATTGGTATGAATGTATCTTTTAAAATAAGTGGGTTGTTTTAAAGGATGCAGCCCTAAAATTTGTGTTTAGTTTTTTCCCAAATTATTTGACAGTTTAAGGGAGTCAACGCTTTCAGATTTTACTTTTTTTTTTTTGAGACGGGGTCTCACTCTGTTGCCCAGGCTGGAGTGCAGTGGTGCAATCTTGGCTCACTGCAGCCTCTGCCTCCCGGGTTCCAGCGATTCTCCTGCCTCAGCCTGCTGGGTAGCTGGAGTTATAGGCATGCACCACCGCACCTGGCTAATTTTTCTATTTTTAGTAGAGATGGGATTTCGCCATGTTGGCCAGGCTGGTCTCGAACTACTGACCTCAGGTGATCCACCCGCCTTGACCTCCCAAAGTGGTAGGATAACATTTGTGAGCCACCGTGCCTGGCCCAGATTTTACTTTTAAAAAAACTTTTCAATCAAAATTTTACTACTTCTGATTCATGAGGGTGGCATAATTAATAAAAATTCAAGAAAAAGATCAGTGACATCAAAGTCATTTGTGCTTTCACTTTGCTTTCTGGATTTAACATTCCAAAATGGAGGAGGAATGAAGCCAGCCCAAATTAGCTTATTTGTACTTTTTTTTTTTTTTTTTTTTTTTTTTTTTTTAAGTCTGGAAAGCGAGTTTAGTACAAAGTCCTCTTGGAATCTGAACTATACATTCTGAAACCCCAGTATAATTTCGAATGTAGAAGTCTTTTTTCTAACCTTGACTTTCTTTAGGGAAAACTTGTTATTGGACACAATATGCTCTTGGACGTCATGCACACAGTTCATCAGTTCTACTGCCCTCTGCCTGCGGTAAGTGACCTGTTGGTCTGTGTTTAATATTAGCAGGATTCTTTTTATCTGAAAAAATATTATTATGATGCTTTTAACTGAACTGTCCTCTACTTGGGTGCCATTTCCTTGTATGCAGCATGTTCCCAGAGAGAATCTTATGCACTCAGTTGCACATTTTTTTTTCCTTGAGATGTATTCTCACTCTGTTGCCCAGGAGTGCAGTGGTGCAATCTTGGCTTGCTGCAGCCTCCACCTCTTGGGTTCAAGCGAGTCTCCTGCCTCAGCCTCCTGAGTAGCTGGGATTACAGGCACCCGTCACCACGCCCAGCTACTTTTTGTATTTTTAGTAGAGATGGGGTTTCACCATATTGGCCAGGTTGTTCTCGAACTCCTGACCTCGTGATCCGCCTGCCTTAGCCTCCCATAGTGCTGGGATTACAGGCCTGAGCTACCACGCCTGGCCACAAACTTTTTTATTAAGGGATCTTCAGTCACTGCCATTGCCAGAGGAAGATTAAACATTTGTTTCATTGTCTTAATGCCAGTGGTTTGCTCATTTAGTGCTGGGCAGGGATTCCCAGGCCACAGGTGTGGGCTGCTAGTTTGGTCCTGCTACAATTAGACATAGCAGGGCCATTGAAGGTAAGTGGTGGCAGCTGAAGTGGGTCCAGTCCTACAGAATTCTTGATCGCCCTTGCTAGGCTGCTTCCCTTAGATTCTCTGCTGACCTCAGTAGTGCATTTTTCAGTCCTTGAGCCAAGTTGCCTTGGTTGACCAAAGCACAAGCTGCTTTGGTTCCTCTACTGGCTCTCCCTCTTCTGCTCCATACGGTTTGCGTGGCCTCACGTTACTTGTCCCTCGCCACTCTGCGCTCCACTCTTTTATTTCCTCTTCATCTTTTTTGTCTTTTAGTGATCTCACTCACTTTACAGCTTCAGCTGTAGACACCAACATCTTTATCCCCAGCTGTGGTCTCTGTTCAGATCCAGGTATACATTTCATGCTGGACTCCAGACATCCCTACCTGGATAGCCCCCAGACTAAGTGTTGTTTTGAATTGACGTGGCTCAAATGAGATATTTAACTTGTACTTCTTTTCTTTCTTACTGTCTCCAAACCACTTCTTTCTCCTCATCCCATTACTATAAGTGATTCCCAGTTACCAACCCTGTTTTTAGCATCAGTTTTGACTCTTGCTCTGTCTCCAGATCTGGTCATTTCCAAAATTCTGACGATTTTATCTCCATGCCCTCTCTCACATCTGGATTCTTTTTTTTTTTTTGAGATGGAGTCTCACTCTTTCACCAGGCTGGAGTGCAGTGGCATGATCTCGGCTCCCTGCAACATCCGCCTCCTGGGTTCAAGTGATTCTCCTGCCTCAGCCTCCCGAGTAGCTGGGACTACAGGTGCGTGCCACCATGCCCAGCTAGTTTTTTTGTATTTTTAGTAGAGACAGGGTTTCACTGTGTTGGCCATGATGGTCTCAATCTCCTGACCTCCTGATCTGCCCGCCTCAGCCTCCTAAAGTGCTGGGATTACAGGTGTGAGCCACTATGCCCAGCTGATTGTTTTTATTTTTGTTGCAAGCGGCCTTATTTCTCATCTTTGAGTTTAGCAAATTCCAGGCAGCATTTCCTGTCCCCCTTCAACCTTCAGCCCATCCTTTAAAATGAACGTTGGCACGTTTTCTATAAAGGGCCAGATAGTAAAATATTTTCAGCTTTCCATGCTGCATAGTTTCTGTCACAACTCTTAGCTCTGCCACTGTAGCCCCGAAATGCCATAGAATACGTAAACCAATTGGCATAGCCGTGTTGCAATAAAACTTCATTTACAAAATAATTGGTTGGCTGTATTTGGCCTATGGACCATAGTATGCCACTGGACTAATCTTTTTCTTATTTTAAATAATTTTTTTTTTTTTTTTTAGAGATGGAGTCTTACTCTGTTGCCAGGCTGGAGTGCAGTGGTGCAATCTCGGCTCACTGCAACCTCCGCCTCCGAGGTTCAAGTGTTTCCCCGGCCTCAGCCTCCCGAGTAGCTGGGACTACAGGCGTGCACCACCACGCCCTGCTAATTTTTTTGTATTTTTAGTGGAGATGGGGTTTCACCATGTTGGCCAGGATGGTCTCGATCTCCTGGCCTCATGATCTGCCTGCCTTGGCCTCCCAGAGTGCTGGGATTACAGGTGTGAGCCACTGTGCCCGGCCTTCCCCATATCTTTTTAATAAAATAGAGACTAGGTCTCACTCTTTTGTCCAAGCTGATCTCAGGGTGCTGGGCTCAAGCGGTCCTCCTGCCTCAGCCTCCCAAATAGGTAAAACCACAGGTGTGCACTACCACGCCCAGCTAAAAGATTAATATTTTGTTACTTCTAGATTGGAAGACACCTGCTTGAGAGTTCAGTCTCACTTATACATCTGTAAACCTTCAGTTACTTCACATTTCTTAGGTCCCATTGTTCCGTCAGCATTTTGATTACCCTCCTTTAAAAAAGTACAATACAGACGTCATGAGTGGGTCAGTTGCTCCCCTTGTATTTCTTAAAATTTAGGTTGTCATCACTGTTTAAGACAGCTCTATCACCTTTTAACACCTTTTAGGACTCAAAGACTTCATAGTTGTGGGTCTCAAAACAAGTGTAAAAGGTATGGAATTGCATTTCTTTTTTTTTTTTTTTTTTTGAGACTGAATCTTGTTCTGTGGCCCAGGCTGGAGTGCAGTGGTGTGATCTCTGCTCAGTGCACCCTCCGCTTCCTGGGTTCAAGCGACTCTCCTTCCTCAGACTGCTGAGGAGCTGGGATTACAGATGCCTGCTACCATGCCCGGGTAATTTTTGTATGTTTAGTAGAGACGGGATTTCACCATGTTGGCCTGGCTGGTCTCGAACGCCTCATCTCAGGTGATCCACCCGCCTCCGCCTCCCAAAGTTCTGGGATTACAGGCGTGAGCCACCACGTCTGGCCTGGATTGGCATTTCTTAAGTCTAATGAGCTAATGTTTATTTTATGTCACTCACCACACTTCTGTTTTTTTTTTTTTTTCTCTTCTCTTTCCTACCTTTTTTTTTTTTTTTTTTTTTTTGAGATGGAGTCTCACTCTGTCACCTAGGCTGGAGTGCAGTGGTGCGATCTCGGCCTCCTGTGTTCAAGTGATTCTCTTGACTCAGCCCCCCGAGTAGCTGGGATTACAGGCGCCCGCCACCATGCCCAGCTAATTTTTGTATTTTTAGTAGAGATGGGGTTTCACCATGTTGGCAAGGCTGGTCTTGAACTCCTGACCTCAGGGGATCCACCGGCCTCTGCCTCCCAAAGTACTGGGATTACAGGTGTGAGCCACCGGGCTTGGCCTGGATTTGCGTTTCTTAAGTCTAATGAGCTAATGTTTATTTTATGTCATCCCACTTCTGTTTTTTTCTTTTCTTTTTTCTTCACTTTCGCACCTTTTTTTTTGAGATGGAGTCTTACTCTGTCACCTAGGCTGGAGTGCAGTGGTGCAGTCTTGGCCCACTGCAACCTCTGTCTCCTGGGTTCAAGCGATTCTTCTGCCTCAGCCTCCTGAGTAGCTAGAATTAACAGGCGCTTGCCACCATGCCTGGCTAATTTTTGTATTTTTAGTAGAGACGGGATTTCGCCATGTTGGCCAGGCCGGTCTCGAATTCCTGACCTTAGGTGATCCGCCTGCCTGGGCCTCCCAAAGTGTTGCGATTACAGGCATGAGCCATTATGCCCGGCCATTTTTTTTTTTCTTTTTTGAGAGAGTGTCTCACTCTGTCACCCAGGCTGGAGTGCAGTGGCGCCATCTTGGCTCACTGCAGCCTCAACTCCCTGGGCTCAAGTGATACTCCTACCTCAGCCTCTCGAGTAGCTGGGACCACAGGCACATGCCACCATGCCTCACTAATTGTTTTGAAAGTTTTGTAGAGACAGGATCTCACCATTTGCCCAGGCTGCTCTCGAACTCCTGCGTTCAAGAGAAGTCTGCCCACCTCAGTCTCCCAAAGTGCTAAGATTATAGATGTGAGCCACCACACCTGGCCAGATCACCCACTTCTTACTGGCCAAGTAGATCAAAGTAGCAGCTCCTCTCTTGACTTTTTGACCTTTATTATTTATTTATTTATTTATTTATTTATTTTTGAGACAGAGTCTTGCTCTGTGGCCCAGGGTGGAGTGCAGTGGTGCGATCTTGACTCACTGCAACCTCTGCCTACCGGATCCAAGCGATTCTCCTGCCTTAGCCTCCCGAGTAGCTGGGTTTACAGGCACCTGCCACCATGCCCAGCTAATTTTTATATTTTCAGTAGAGACGGAGTTTCACCATGTTGGCCAGGCTGGTCTTGAACCCCTGACTTCAGGTAATCCACCTGCTTTGGCCTCCCAATGCTCTGGGATTACAGGTGTGAGCCACCACGCCCAGCCTGTTCATTTGTTTTTTTGAGACAGAGTCTCACTCTGTCGCCAGGCTGGAGTGCAGTGGTGTGATTTTGGCTCACTGCAACCTCCCTCTCCCAAGTTCAAGTGATTCTCATGTCTCAGTCTCTCAAGTAGCTGGGATTACAGGTGTACGCCACCACATCTGGCTAATTTTTGTAATTTTTTTTAGTGGAGATGGGATTTCACCATGCTTGCCAGGCTGGTCTCGAACTTCCGGCCTCAAGTGATCCACCCGCTCGGCTTTCCAAAGTGCTGGGATTACAGGAATGAGCCACCCGCTCCCAGCCTTTTTTGATCTTTAAAGCAATGAAGTTATCAGCAAGGCAAGAGGAAAATGTATTTAATTCTGTGCTTCTAGGTGTTTCGAATACTGAATAGAGCTTGGCACTAGAAGGCATTAAATATCGATTTAACAAATGAAGTATCTCCCGACTGCCAGTTTTGTAATCTTCTGATGTATGGCTCCGTTCCTGTCACTGACCCTGCTGAAAATTCTAAATTAATCCCACACTCTTTGTTTTCTAGGCAGTTGACTATTTTTACCCATGCATAACAGGCTTTCTGTGATCCAGCCCAACCTTTCTGTGTAGTCTAATCCCTTGTTGCTCTCCTTTTTCCAAGACTGACTTATTTGTTCCCTAAGAGGTGCTTTGTTTAATTTCTTCCAACTTGAATTTTCTCTTGTTGTTCTCAATGTTTGTTGTTCACAGCTTTCCCTTAACTTTCCGCGGTGCAGCTTTTGCCTTCTCCATGAAGTTTTTATTGCCTGCTACCTTGCCCAAGAGGTGATCTTTCCTTTCTCTCAACTCCCACAGAACATTGTACATCTCTATGTTACATAAATTTTGTCTTGTATTATACAGCATAACCCCCTTCTAGGTGGTTAGCTCCTTGGACAAGGGGTGTAGCCATTTTGTTGTGTAAGTGCGTAACATAACACATTGCGTGTAAGCAGTTAATGAATGGCCTGACTTAACACATTGTATGTAAGCAGTTAATGAACGTTAAGTGGAATGAAAGTGGTCTTGAATTAAATTCTGGTAGAAAGAGCAAGTGATTTGTTGTAGAGTAGTAAGTGGGTTAGGATAAGCAGTTTTATCCTTCACTTTATTACTAAGGCTACCTGGTAAGTAACTTAACTTCTTTATGTTCTGGCATTGTCAGAGAAAGAAAATGTTTTGTTTTGTTTTTTTCCATCTACCTTTAGAAGAAGTGATGAGAAGAAATTAGAAAGCCTAATAAATTAGAAGGCTGGGTGTGGTGGTGCATACCTGCAGTGCCTGCTACTTGAGAGGCTGTTACAGGAGAATTGCTTGAGTGCAGGAGTTCAAGGCTAGTCTGGGCAACATAGTGAGACCCTGACTTGATAAAAAGGTAGAGCTTTTACATGCACTGGTATCAAAATTTGCATTTAAAAGGATACTAAATAATCCACATTTTGGAGTTGCCTTTTAGAGGAGAGTGTTTTCTTATGAACTATCTTGATACTTGAGCATGACCTTTTAGAAGACATTGGTCTAGAACTGTGCTATATGTTGGCCCTGGAGGTGGCCGTAATTCTCCTTGTTCCTTGCTTGTAAAGCTTTCTAGTGGTATTGAGAGATTACAAACATCATTATTGCATTTTTTGACGTTGCATTGAAATCGCCTGTTCATGCTTTGCCCATTAATTTATAGCCAGTGAAAAGCTGGTAAATATATCAGGCTAGCTAAATACAGTCTGTATTTACAGGCTTGAAAAGCTAATTGGAAACAGCAGTTTCCTATGAAGCATGAATAACATTGAAGAGAAGTGTAGTTTACAAAGAGTCAGGAGTATGACTACTCAGTCTAGCATGGCAATTATGTATGTAAATGAGTTAATTCAAAATTAGAGGACTCTCATTTCAGCTCTAGACTTCCTGATCAAAATAAACTTGAGAAATGAATTGTCTAATCTAGGCACTTGCTATTAGTGCCACTTGAGCAATTTTCTGGAGTTGAAACAGGAATCATATGTGTATTGAAAAGCCTGTGTTTCCAAGGCCATTTTTACTAACATTTCAAAGGTGATCTCAGGAAAGGTCTAAGCTAGTTTACAGTATGCCCATTTCCTGTGTAAACCATTTAATTTAAATGACTCTGCTTGTCTCACTGTTATGATAAATTTGTGTGGTAGATCGCAGCCTGTTAGCTATTACTGGAAGTTTTCTGCTTTTATTACAGGCCTCTCAAATAGGTAGGTTTTAACATTTTATTGGACCCCCTGCCCCTTCCCAATTTCAACTATTAAATCCTTAAATTTGTTGTTTTGGTTATGCAGAAGTTAGTTATCAGGTTATATGGTTCCCAATGAGTGAGGAAATTGGGAAGGTTTTGTGTTTTTTTTGTACTTGTTAACTAGAAATGGGTTTTGTAGTTTAGCTTAAGGGCCCCAACAGCTTGTTTGAGAAGACAGCTATGGAACTTGAGCTGTTTACATGTTTTTTAATACTGCGAGTGTATTAGGAAAATTGTAACAAGTCCTTCTCTTGTTCTTTAGGACTTAAGTGAGTTTAAAGAGATGACAACATGTGTTTTCCCCAGGTAAGCTTTCTTTGAGGATTTGTCTTTCTTTTAAAAAAGTTGGCTGGGCACGGTGGCTCACACCTATAATCCCACCACTTTGGGAGACTGAGGTGGGAGGATCACTTGAGCCTAGGGAGTTCAGAACCAGCCTGGGCAACATAGTGAAACCACATATCTATAAAAAATAAAAAATTAGCTGGGTGTGGTGGGATACGTGTGGTCCAGCTACTCAGGAGGCTGAAGTGGGCGAATTGCTTGAACCCAGGAGGTCCAGGTTGCAGTGAGCCATAATAGTGCTACTATCCAGCCTGGGTGACAGAGTGAGATCCTGTCTCAAAAAAAAAAAAAAAAAAAAGAGTCATTGTGACATACACAATACAAATAGGTATATAGTAATTTGTTAAAACCATTAGATCATGTTCATATAAGCTTGGAACTTATTTAATGTCTCCAATGTTGTGATGGCTTGCTTTTATAATTTATGATTGGTTTTGTTATCAAAAAATCACAGTTTGAACTGAGAGTGAAAGTAGACCAACGACTCCTTTTTTCTTATCTCTCATCTTGCTGTCTGAAGAACTGTTGAAGCCTCCTTGAGATGGCTCTTGTCTGTCTTGCATGTAGGATGTACCTTGTAACTATTGAAGTGTCCAATTGAGAGTGTTCAAGAGTCAGTCAAGAACTGTCCATCTGGCTAGAGATTTTGTTTTTCATCCACTTCAAGTCAGTGCCTTTTCCTGTTGGTGTTTTCCATAGTTATTATTGCCCCCTTGTTCTGATAGGTCATATGTCACATATCTCTGAGACATCATAGGTCAGCCATGTGGAGCCTACCGAACAAGTGTTTGTGTCTTAGGACCTGTTGAAGAGGGATAGGCGTGGTGTTCGAGCAGTTTCTCTTTCAGCTGGGCTTATTTCTGTCCTGTTACCCACTCTGTTCACATTTATATGAAAAAAAAAAAAAAAAAAAACAGAGAAATAGAGTTTTCATGTGGGTTTCTCCCCACCCTCCCCTTTTGGTGTTTCTGATCTCTGAAATAGAATAATAAGAAATAAAAACAACAGCGTGAAAGTACTGATTGTAGATTTTGGCCCTGCAGAAGAATTTATAGTTTACAAACCTGAGGAGTAGGAGTAGATGGTAGCAGTTTGGGAATGGTAGACCGGCAGCAGTATTTGAACCACGTAAAACCATGTGAGAGTATTTGACTCACCCTTGAGATTGATGGAGCCCAGGCTCTCTGAGGATCCAGGTGAATCTAGAACTTGTACTCCAAGTGTGGACTCTCCTGCAGTTGCTCAATGAAGTCGCTGATGATGGGACTGAGTACCTACTCCAACGTAGCAGGGATGCTGGTGCTGGGTTCAAAATGGCCAATGTGTTTAATTACTTTGTCTGTGTTTAAGTATTTTCTGTATTAAACATTTTATGTTTTAATTATGTTTTTTATGTATGAAGTATTTTAAGTAGCTTACATATTTGAGTAAAAGACATTTTAAACATTGATATACATTTTGTTTACCTTGTTAAAAATTCTTTTTAGACTCTTGGATACTAAATTGATGGCCAGCACACAACCTTTTAAGGTATTATTCATTTGCTACTTTATAAAGCGACTGCATATTACTGAGTGAAATGAATGCCAGAACAATATAGCCTTCTGGCAAAAGGTTTGGAGGTATTTAATGCATCTGTAAAGATCTTTATTCATTTGGTTATACTTTGTATATTATAAAAATTAAACTAGCTGCTTCTCTTTCACATTGAAAAAAACGAAGACTTCTGTGTTTCTTTAAAGAACACAAGGAGACAGTACTAGATGCTGTCTTTTTTTTGGGGGGGTCAGTGAATCTCTTTAATATATTGTTCTGAGATGATGAAATCTCATAATTCTTTGCTTCGTGGTTTGCAGGATATCATTAACAACACATCCCTTGCGGAATTGGAAAAGCGGTTAAAAGAGACACCTTTCAACCCTCCTAAAGTTGGTAAGAATATTAAACCGGAAACCCTCCAAACTCTTTGTAATAATTATTGATGTATATTGTAGAAGAAAAGCAGAATGGCTCTGGAGACCGTATTGTTCATTTATAGATTTTGGCTGAATTCACTTGCACGTACCGTGTGTTGAATTATTGTTTTTTGAATAAAGATGGTCTTTTAATTCTACATATATTTTATGTTAATGGAGTTGGGTAGCCATTCATTGAGAATTTTAGCAATTAAAGCTTCAAGGCTTCTATTTTCTAATAATATGGAATTCTCCTAAAACTTGATGTGCCCTTTTATTCTTTCATACATTATTGAAGCAGAGACAAAGAGCTAGTGATTAATCACCAGGGGTAGAGTAAAAAATATATTTTCCATCTCAGAAAAGCCCGAGAACTGGATTTACAGGTGAGATTAAGGCAAGTCCCCACCCTGCCTCCTTTTCAGCTGGTTTAGAGAGTAGAAACAGCAGCACTGAGGAAAACCAGAAGTAGGGAGATGAGATGGAGGTGTTTTGCCACCTCGGGCCACCACCAAGGTATGTGGAGAGCCTACCAGGTGCTACTTCCTTGGTCCCTGTTAACCTGATTGTGCTGCTGATACGGTGATTAGCGAGCCATTAGTTGTAGCCTGAAAACTTCTAAAGACATGGATAATAGGACTAATGGTTTAGAAATTGATAATGCAAAGTATTAAAGCAGCCAAGATTACAGTTATTTGCCCCTTTCTGGGTAATAGTCCAAGAAAGGAATTAAGAAAAGTGGTGGTGGGGCCATTGGGGGAGAAAACGTGGACCTTTTCTATAACAATATAATGGAAATAATTGATTTTGGAAAGAATGTGTCTCAGTTGATGATGGAGTGGAAGATATTACTTAGGTGGCTACCATGTTAAAAGGCTTTTTTTTAAAGGCATCAAGTCTAATATTTAATATGGAGTTAAAGAATTCTTGCTTAAAGAGCATTGTATTGACATAAAAACAGTTACAGCCTTTTCATTGTTAATTTCCATTTATGCTTTTGATTCTGTGTTATAGTAACCTTCCTGACATTCATTTCCAGAATGGTTCTAGGATATAATTATTTATGAGTTATAGTTTTATGTTATTATTTCCATATAAAATAGTGGTATCTGGTAGAGAATTCAGTCTAAAGCAGGTCATTCCTCTTATAGTTTATCTGGTCACATCTGTATTTATCAATGTCACAAAAGAACCATATTGTATATAAAGCGGTCTTTGCTGTAAAGTGGTTCCATGATCCAAGGCCAGCATTATAGCAAGTTCGATTTATTTTTGGAGTTGGTTGTGCTGTCACCTTTCGATCTCTAAGCTTGGGAACATAGTAGAGGACAGTAGTGAGTTGGAGCTGTTGATAGTGAATTGCAGTCTTCTCTTTTTTTGGGGGAGGGTTGCCTCAGGTATTGATAGATAACAGTTTTTGAGCACTTACTATGTACCAAGCACTAGGTAAGAGTTTAACTTATATTATCTTATCTGATCCTAACAATAACCTTTTGAAGAAGGTTTGATTATCATCTCTGTTTTACAAAACTGGAACCTTAGGGATGAAGTGACTTGCCCAAGGTCATACCGCAAATAAGTGGTGGAGCAGAGATTCGAACTCAGTGTGACTCCAGAGCCCATGCTCTTAATCTTTACTCTGGATCATCTATTGTGGCCTGATGTGACCATCTTGTATAAGGGAAGAATATCCTTTTCATGGCCTTAGAAAGCAAGCAGAAGAGGAATCATTGTCCTAGAGTGAGTTATGGATGATCATAAATAGCACCCACCAGTGTGGGACGAGAAAGCCCACGGCTGAGTCCTTTGTAATCTAACTGAGGCATTTCTGTATCCTAGACCAAAGCCCTCCTTTTCAGTGACTCTGTTATCTTGTATTTTAAGGTCTTATATAGAGAGAATTAAGGAATAGATAGCTTTTTTCTGCCTATTTAGGGTATTTCTCTAGCATATGCTAATGCAATTTTGATTGGTAGGGCAATGTGCTTACTAGTCTTTGTTTTGAGGAAAACTTTTTCCTTTTTTTTCTTAGAAAGTGCCGAAGGTTTTCCAAGTTATGACACAGCCTCTGAACAACTCCACGAGGCAGGCTACGATGCCTACATCACAGGGCTGTGCTTCATCTCCATGGCCAATTACCTAGGTACGCATTACATGTCTTTCAGTCAAACACGCAGTGATCTAGGGTGGATCTTACCTGTCTCCTGGCTTAGGCTGCTGTAATAAATTACTGTCGAGTGTGGGGCTTAAACAACAGACATTTATTTCTCATGTTCAGGAGGCTGGAAAGTCCAAGACCCAGTTGCCAGCAGACCTAGTATCTGGTGAGAGCCCACTTCCTGGTTTGCAGATGGCTGCCTTCTCCTGTCCTTACGTGGTGGAGAGCAGAGAGAGCAGAAGCTGTGCCGCCTCTTTTTTAAGAGTCAGGGTCTCACTCTGTCACCCAGGCTGGAAGTACAGTGGTTCAATCATAGCTTACTGCAACGCTGAACTCCTGGGCTCAGCCTCCCAAGTAGCTGGGACTACTGGTGTGCATCACTGTGCCTGGCTAACTTTTTAATTTTTTTATAGAGACAGGGTCTTGCTGTGTTAACCAGGCTGATCTAGAATTTCTGGGCTCAAGTGATCCTCCTACCTCAGCCTCCCAAAGTGCTGGAATTACAGGCTTGAGCCACCGCACCCAGCCTCCTGACCCTTCTTATAAGGGCACTAATTCCCTCGTGACTTAATTACCTCCCAAAGGTCTCACTTCCAAATACCATCGTACTGGGGAGGCTTCAACATATGAATTTTAGGGGGACACAAACATTGAACCTATAGCACTACCATTTCCTTGGGATCCACTCACCCAATTAAAAGTGGGAGGGTTTTGAGGTAGGAGTGGGAGGAGATGAGGGGAGGAGGAAATCTGCAAGAAAAACCACTGACACTTGCTGTGGTATGGTACTTGGTGCGTAAGAATACCTTTCACAGGCCGGGCGCAGTGGCTTACTCCTGTAATCCCAGCACTTTAGGAGGCTGAGGTGGGTGGATCACCTGAGGTTAGGAGTTTGAGACCAGCCTGACCAACATGGAAAAACCCTGTCTCCACTAAAAATACAAAATTAGCTGGGCATGGTGGCACATGTCTGTAATCCCTGGTCCTCGGGAGGCTGAGGCAGGACAATCACTTGAATCTGGGAGGTGGAAGTTTCAGTGAACCGAGATTGCGCCATTGCACTCCAGCCTGGGCAACAAGAGTGAAACTCTGACTCAAAAAAAAAAGAATACCTTTCACACTTGTTGAACCATGCTGTTAATTTAAATCTGTTTTGGTCTGAACTTTCAGGCTTGGTCTATGTGACTATGAATAATAATACCTCTCTTCTTTTCTTCATTAGGTTCTTTTCTCAGCCCTCCAAAAATTCATGTGTCTGCCAGATCAAAACTCATTGAACCTTTTTTTAACAAGTAAGTAATCAGAGAGTTCCAGTTTCCAAGTTCTCTCACTGTGGAACAGCCTCATATCTTGGGATGTCAGTTTGGAGTTATTGGGAGCTATAACACATTTTTAGATAAGCTGTTTTTCATCTCGAGTGACTCACATGTTTTTTGAAAGTAGAAAGTGACCTTTTGGGGAACAAATGTATTAAAAATATAGGCTTAAAAAAAAAAAAGAAAACATTGCTAGACGTAGTATAGTAGATCTCTTCCAAGAAAAAGAACTGGTAGTTCTGGCATTTAAATTTCCTATGAGGGGCCGGGTGTGGTGGCTCACACCTGTAATCCCAGCACTTTGGGAGGCTGAGGTGGGCAGAGTGCTTGAGGTCAGGAGTTCGAGGCCAGCCTGGCCAACATGATGAAACTCGTCTCTATTAAAAATACAAAAATTAGCCAGGCGTGGTGGCATGTGCCTGTAATCCCAGCTACTCGGGAGGCTGTAGTGGGAGAATTGCTTCAACCCAGGTGGCAGAGGTTGCAGTGAGCTGAGATTGCACCACTGCACTGCAGCCTGGGCAACACAGCAAAACTCTGTCTGAAAAAAAAAAACAAAAAAAACAAAAGAAAATTTCCTGGCCAGGCGCGGTGGCTCACGCCTGTAATCCCCCAACTTTGGGAGACTGAGGCAGGCGGATCATGAAGTCAGGAGATTGAGACCATCCTGGCTAACACGGTGAAACCCCATCTCTACTAAAAATACAAAAAATTAGCCGGCACGGTGGCGGGCGCCTGTAGAAAACATGATTTTCTTAGCTCTTTTATTTTTTGGGGCAGTGTTTGTCTTTGGAAATGTAGCCTTTGCTGTAGACCATGGAACCCACAGGTGATTGATGTTAAATATAGTTCTTTTTTTTTTTTTTTGAGATGGTGTCTCACTCTGTCACCCAGGCTGCAATGTGGAGTGCAGTGGCACAATCTCAGCTCACGGCAATGTCTGCCTCCTGGGTTCAAGCAGTCCTCCTGCTGCAGCCTATGGAGTAGCTGGAACTACAGGCATGTACCACCACACCTGGCTAATCTTTATATTTTTAGTAGAGATGGTGTTTCACCATGCTGAATAGGCTTCTCTCGAACTCCCTGACCTCAGGTTATCTGCCCACCTCAGCCTCCCAAAGTGCTGGGATTACAGGTGTGAACCACCGTGGCCAGCTAAATATAGGTCCAATTATGATTGTTCCCTTACATTTTTATGTACTTGATGTTAAATTCATTGTTCTGCAGTATTTTTCAACTGAGAGATGTTGACTCATTTGTATTATTATTATTATTTTTTTGAGTCACGGTCTTGCTCTTTTTTCCATGCTGGAGTGCAGTGGCATGATCTTGGCTCACTGCAGCCTCCACCTCCTGAGCTCAAGTGACCCTTCCACCTCAGTCTCTTGAGTAGTCATTTGTAAATATTTACACGCTGTAAATATTAAAACAGTAATCCTGCTTCTCCACTAAAGTCAGCTCCTTATAAAATCAGATGTTGGATGCAAACTGGGTTAGATGTGGGCTGCATCTAGTTTATCAGTCATGTATGTGACCAACATGCAGAGCAATCAAAATAAACTTTGATTAAAAAGCTTAGCTGGGCTGGGTATAGTGGCTTACGCCTGTAATCCCAGCACTTTGGGAGAACAAGGCGGGCAGATCACTCGAGGTCAGGAGTTCGAGACCAGCCTGGCCAGCATGGTGAAAACCGGTCTGTACTAAAAGTACAAAAATTAGCCTGTATTCCCAGCTACTCGGGAGGCTAAGGCAGGAGAATCGCTTGAAACCAGGAGGCGGAAGCTGCAGTGAGCCAAGATCACACCACTGCACTCCAGCCTGGGCAACAGAGTGAGACTCCCTCTCAAAAAAAAAAAGAAAAAAAAGCTAGCTGAGACTTTCTGTATTTCTAGATCAATCTAATATTGCTAATACTGTGCAGGACTATTATTGAAAAGAACTAGACAGTAAATGTGTAGGCTTATTTTGAATTGGGACATCTGTCCATTCAGAATTTTTTTGTAAAACCTAGATGCATACCAAGAGTAGTTGAATAGGAGGTGGGATTTGGGAATCCTTCTGTGATTATTTTTTTGGTCTATTTTTTTCCAATCTGTAAAGGAAGAATATTTTCTTCATCATTAAAGGAAAAATATTCCTGCAAGATTTGAAATACAAAATAAGAACTGTGTTTTTTTTCTTTCTTTTTTTTTTGAGATGTTGTTTCACTCTTGTTGCCCAGGCTGGAGTGCAATGGCGTGATCTCGGCTCACCGCAACCTCTGCCTCTCGGGTTCAAGTGATTCTCCTGTCTCAGCCTCCCAAGTAGCTGGGATTACAGGCAAGTGCCACCATGCCCGGCCATTTTTTTGTATTTTTAGTAGAGATGGGGTTTCTCCATGTTGGTCAGGCTGGTCTCGAACTCCTGACCTCAGGTGATCCACCCGCCTCGGCCTCCCAGAGTGCTGGAGTTACAGACGTTAGTCACCGCGCCTAGCCAAGAACTGTTTTTATTCCTCTTTTTTTTTTTTTTTTTTTTTGGTGAGACAGAGTCTCACTCTGTCACTTAGGCTGGAGTGCAGTGGCGTGATCTCAGCTCACTGCAACCTCCACCTCCTAGGTTCAAGTGATTCTCCTGCCTCAGCCTCCTGAGTAGCTGGGACTACAGGCTCGTACCACCACGCCCTGCTAATTTTTGTATTTTTAGTAGAGACAGGGTTTCACCATGTTGGCCAGGCTGGTCTCAAACTCCTGACCTCAGGTGATCCACCTGCCTTGGCCTCCCAAAGTGTTGGGATTACAGGCGTGAGCCACCATGCATGGCCTGTTTTTATTATTATTTATTGGAATAACTTGGTTAAGTATAGGCATTCATTCTTAACCCCCTTAGAAAGTGGGTTTTATGGCCAGATGCGTTGGCCTATGTCTGTAATCCCAGCACTTTGGGAGGCTGAGGCGGGCGGATCACCTGAGGTCAGGAGTTCAAGACCAGCCTGGCCAACATGGCGAAACCCTGTCTCTACTACAAATACAAAAAGTAGCTGAGCGTGTTGATGGGTGCCTGTAATCCCAGCTACTGGGGGGGCTGAGGCAGGAGAATTGCTTGAACCCAGGAGGCAGAGGTTGCAGTGAGCCGAGATTGCGCCACTGCATTCCAGCCTGGGCAACAAGAGTGAGACTCTATCTCAAAAATAAATAAATAAATGTAAGTAAGTAAGTAAGTAAAGTGGGTTTTCTGGACCAGGTGCCGTGGCTCATGCCTGTAATCCCACCACTTTGTGAAGGTGAGGAAGGAGGGTTGCTTGAGCCCAGGAGTTTGAGAGCAGCCTGGACAATGTGGCAAAACCCAGTCTATACAAAAAATACAAAAATTAGGTGGGTGTAGGGGCAGACACCTGTAGTCCCAGCTACTCGGGAGGCTGAGGCAGGAGGATCACTTGAGTCTGGGAAGAGGAGACCAAAAAGAAAAAAGAAGGAAAAACAATTGCTTCTTTTGACATCTCTTTCTATGTTAATACTGACCTTGTTTTTACTTACTTGCAGGTGATTTAGGATATTAAACCTTGATTTTTGTCATTTTTCATGGTTACCCTTGTAGAAAAACATTTGGTAGTTGCCCCCAACATTATCTCAAGCTGATGATTTTAGAAAAATATGCAAGATTTTCTGAAGATTAATTTATTTTGACACCAGTCTTTTCTAAATGTAACCTTTACCAAACATGCATACTCCTAACATAAATTTGGGTGGACATTAAACTGCCCACATATGCAAACAATATTTTATTTTGCTCTCACCAGACTTAACATTTAAAAAGTAAACCTCGAAGGGAAATAAACTTCACTTACGTCTGCATTATTCTAAATTAGCATTTAGTAGCATCAGTTATGCCATTTTGGGAAGCTTTATCAAGTCAACTATTGAGGAAATCCTGAGACCACTGTTGTTTAAGCAGTATGCAAAGACTGAATGTGATATGAGGTGTTTTTTTAAGCCATACTGGTCTAGAAGAATGTCCCATAAGGGTTTTGCATGGTGCCATTTTGTCTTTTTCATGGCCTGGGCACCTCCCATAGTCCTCCTTGCTTTTTTGGAATCAGGAGGAAAGTCATGAGAGAATTGAGCCATGGAAATCAGGATCACGCCACTGCTAATGACAGCCTGTGTGGAATGCACTCTGTTTATATTGGAGGCTGTCTCCTCAGCAAATGATTTACCTGCTTTTATAGCTTTGGTCAGTTTTAATCAATGCATTGAAAACCAAACTTAATGTTAAGATCCTTTGGTCAAATCCAGATCTAAAATCTAAGAGCTAAAAATGCTCTCTGCTTTTGCTTTTTATTGTACAACAGAAAGCACAAAATCAGACGTTTGCCTTATGTTTTGTTAACTGTCTTCGGTATTGTCAAGACACCTTGACCCTTTTATGAAGGTTTTCGGGAAGGTTGTTTTCTGTTTACCTCAGTTCTTAGAAAGAGGAAGAATAAGCAGGTCTCTTTTTTGGCTATCTTCAGTAAGCACTGGAATGTGAAAAGATGAGCTAGATGCCTGCAGTTTACTCTACAGGACTGCTTCCTTGTTTTGAATCTGAACAGGGTTCCGCTGGAAATCTAGGCCTTCCTGGAATGACACTGCTTTATGGTCTTTCTGAGCTACCGATGAGACAAGGAATGATATGCTCTTGGACAAATGTTTTCTCCTCTGTAAAATGGGGATAAAATGATTCACCTTCTGTATTGGTCCATTTTCATGCTGCTAATAAAGACACAACTAAGACAGGGCAATTTACAAAATAAAGAGGTTTATTGGACTTGTAGTTTCACGTGGCTGGGGAGGCCTCACAGTCATGGCAGAAGGTGAAAGCCACATCTCACATGGCAGCAGATGAGAAGAGAGCTTGTGCAGGGACACTCCCATTTTTAAAACCATCAGATCTTGTGAGATTCATTCACTATCACGAGAACAGTGCAGGAAAGACCTGCCCCATAATTGTATCACCTCCCACCGGGTTCCTCCTACGATATGTGGGAATTGTGGGAGTTAAAATTCAAGATGAGATTTGGGTGGGGACACAGCCAAACCATATAATTCCACCCTTGGCCCCTCCCACATCTCATGTCCTCAGAATTCAAAACCAGTCATGCCTTCCCAACAGTCCCCCAAAGTCTTATTTCAGCATTAACTTAAAAGTCCACAGTCCAAACTCTCATTTGAATCAAGGCAAGTCTCCCTTCCGCCTATGAGCCTGTAAAATCACAAGCAAGTTAGTTACTTCCTAGATACAATGGGGGTACAGGCTATGGATAAATACAGCCATTCCAAATGGGAGTAATTGGCTACAGGCTCTTATTACCTGTGTGATTTTGGGCAAGTTATGCAAGTCTGAAATCCAGCAGGGCAGTCAAATCTTAAAGCTCCAAAATGATCTCCTTTGACTCCATGTCTCACGTTCAGATTACGCTGATGCAGGAGGCGAGTTCCCATGGTCTTGGGCAGCTCTGCTCCTGTGGCTTTGCAGGGTTACAACCTCCCTCCTGGCTCCTTTCATGTGCTGGCATTGAGTGTCTGTGGCTTTTCCAGATGCATGGTGCAAGCTGTTGGTGGATCTGCCATTCTGCTGTCTGAAGGACAGTGGCCCTCTTCTCACAGCTCCACTAGGTGGTGCCCCAGTAGGGACTCTGTGTGGGGGTTCTGACCCCACATTTCCCTTCTGCACTGCCCTAGCAGAAGTTCTCCATGAGGGCCCCACCCCTGCAGCAGACTTCTTCCTGGGCATCCAGGCATGTCCATACATCTTCTGAAATCTAGGTAGAGGTCCCCAAACCTCAATTCTTGACTTCTGTGTGCCCACAGGCTCAATGCTGCATGGAAGTTGCCAAGGCCTAGGGCTTCCACCCTCTGAAGCAACAGCCTGATCTGTACCTTGGCCACTTTTAGTCATGGCTGGAGCAGCTGGGATGCAGGGCTCCTGGGCCTGGCCTGTGAAACCATTTTTTCCTCCTAAACTTCTGGGCCTGTGATGGGAGGGCCTGCCTTGAAGACCTCTGACACGCCCTGGAGACATTTTCCCCATTGTCTTTGGCTCCTCATTACTTACGCAAATTTCTGCAGCCAGCTTAATTTCTCCTCAGAAAATGGGATTTTCTTTTCTTTTTTTTTGAGATGGGGTCTCACTCTCTTGCCCAGGCTGGAGTGCAGTGGCACAATCTCGGCTCACTGCAACCTCTGCCTCATGGGTTCAAGTGATTCTCCTGCCTCAGCCTCCTGAGTAGCTGGGATTACAGGTGTGCGCCACCACGCCCAGCTAATTTTTGTATTTTTAGTAGAGGTGGGATTTCACCATGTTGGTCAGGCTTGTCTCGAACTCCTGACCTCATGATCTGCCCACCTTGGCTTCCCAAAGTGCTGGGATTACAGGCATGAGCCACCATGCCCGGCCAGGATTTTCTTGTCTATCACATTGTCAGGTTTCAAATTTTCCAAACTTTTGTGCTCTACTTCCCTCATAAAACTGAATGCCTTTAACAGCACTCAGGTCACCTCTTGAATGCTTTGCTGCTTAGAAATTTCTTCTGCCAGATACCCTAAATTATTTCTCTCAAGCTCAAAGTTCTACAAATCTCTATGGCAAGGGCAAAATGCTGCCAGTGTCTGCTAAAACATAACAAGGGTCACCTTTGCTCCAGTTCCCAAAAAGTTTCTCATCTCCATCTGAGACCATCTCAGCCTTGATTTCATTATCCATATCATTACCAGCATTTTGGTCAAAACCATTCAACAAGTCTCTAGGGAGTTCCAAACTTTCCCACATTTTTCTGTCTTCTTCTGAGCCCTCCAAACTGTTCCGGCCTCTGCCTGTTACCCAGTTTCAAAGTCACTTTCACATTTTTTGATAGCTTTTCAGCAGCCCCCTCTCCCGCCCCAGTACCAATTTACTGTATTAGTCTATTTTCATGCTGCTGATAAAGACATACCTGAGACTGGGCAATTTACAAAAGAAAGAGGTTTATTGGACTTACAGTTCCATGTGGCTGGGGAGGCCTCACAATCATGATAGAAGGTAAAAGGCACATCTCACATGGCAGCAGACAAGAGAGCTTGTGCAGGGAACCTCCCGTTTTTAAAACACCAGATCTCGTGAGACTCACTCACTATCAAAATAACAGTACAGGAAAGATCCGCCCCCATAATTCAATCACCTTCCATCACGTTCCTCCCACAACATGTAGGAATTGTGAGAGTTACAATTCAAGATAAGATTTGGATGGGGACATAGCCAAAGCGTATCATCTTCCGTCGAGGTTATAAGGATTGTATGAGATTTGAAAGGACTTTGATAGTTCCTAGAACTTAATAAGTGCCCAGCATATATTCTTTTCCGTTTCTTGAAATATAAGGGGTGCGGGGAGGATTGGGGAGATATTGGTCAAAGGACACAAAATTTCAGTTAGTAGGAATAAATTCAAGAGATATGTTATACAGCATGGTGACTGTAGTTACTAACAGTGTATTGTAAACTTGAAGATTACCAGAAGAGTAGGTTTTAAGTGTTTTCACTGCAAAAAGTGAGTATGTTAGGTAATGGATATGTTAGTCTAATTTAGCCATCTTACAGTGTATACATATTTCAAAACATGTTGTACATATCAATATATACAATTTTTAGTTGTTAATTAAAAATAAATAAATAAGGTTGGGCATGGTGGCTCATGCCTATAATCCTAGCACTTTGGGAGGCCAGGGAGGTGGATTGCTTGAGGCCAGGAGTTGAAACCAGGCAGGGGAACATAGCGAGACTCCATCTCTTAAAAAAAAATTAGCTGGGAATGGTGGCACATGCCTGTAGTCCCAGCTACTCAGGAGGCTGAGGCAGGAGGATTGCTTGAGCCCAGGAGGTTGAGGCTGCAGTGAGCCATGGTTGCAGCACTGCACTCCAGCTTTGGTGACAGAGTAAGACCCTGTCTCAAAAAAAAAAAAAGAAAAAATACAAAAAGATCTAACATGCTAGGAGATTCAGTAAAGGTAGAGGTGGTAGCAGAATGTGTTTTATGTTTTAGTTTAATGAAAAAGAAACTATGTTAGCTTGTGGACATAAAATTGGAGTGCAGTAGCAACAAATGTGAAGTGTCTACTTCTGCTAGTACCTACCCATTAGTGTTTGCTTATGAAAAATCAGATGATGATTGTGTCACATTGGTACGTAATAGAAGCATGATGGCTTTGGTTTGGAGCATTTTTTAAAGTTTTGTTTTTGAAATGAATATAACGCAGCAGTGTATGGAGGGTTGAATAGGTATACATAACAGCTGTATGTACAGATGGGAGAGGAAGGAACCTGTGGTGCCTGAAATAAAAGCACACCAGTGTTTTCCCTTTTTCTCCATAGAAAGCAATTGCATGCTGTTAGCAAATTGGGTTTTTCTTGTAATATGCATGTGCTTGACATTTAACATCAGAGAGATTTTAAACTGAAGAATTAAAGATTTCTTCCCAGTGTCAACTTATTTTGGGTGACCAAAAAAAAAAAGAAAAGATTTCTTCCCAGCCCTCTCGCCAGTAACGGACAGAACAAGGCTTTATTTGCTGCTTACTAGCACAACTGCCGTTCGTGCCCAGCAGCATGGCGTGCAGGGTCGCAGTGGGTTGTTAAGGGACCCCGTGTGTCAAGCTTGTCTCCCTGGAGGGTGCTGCCTGATCACCTGCAGGGAAGCCCTCGCTTAACCTTCTGCTGTCCAGCCTGTCCCTCCCTCATACAGAGGAGCAGTGTATTAAATTGAGTCTTACAGTAATTCCACCTCCCTCCTCCATGGGACTTCCAGCTTCCCAACATAAACATGAGTTTTAACATAGCTTTATTGTTGGTAAGCATATAGCTGTCAGTGTCACAACACTCCATAGGATTCATTTCCATTTGAATTTAAATATTTAAAAAGCCGTTTGATTGATTTCTCCAGTAGGATTGCTTTACTTCAGGATCTTGTGGAGCGTAGTATAGTACAGTTGAATCCCGGCTCTGCTCCTTATTACCTGTGTGATCTTGGGCAAGTTACTCACCCTCCCTGTACCTCAGCTTCCTCGTTTTTAAATTGAGAATATTAGAACCTGTTTGATAGGGTTGTTGTGAGGATGAAATGAGAGAGTGTGTGTAAAATGCATAGTGGCTGGTACATCATAGGCCTCAGTTAACTTCTCACTGCTGTCACTGCTGTGGTGACATAGTTTGAGACACTTCTCTGACTAGATGTGGGGGACAGAAGGAGGGCTGTTGGTTTGCATAGAAGATGTTGTATGATGCACTGTGTACATCCAGTAAACAGGACTTTGTTTTGAATTATTGAGCCTTGACCAGAAAGCAGAGGAGACCTCCCGCAAAAAACCTACATGTAACTAAATAATATGCAGGGAGAAGATTGAATATGTTACTGTTTTTTGTTTCTCCCCTTTGAATCATATGGTTAGTTCTTACTCTTAGTTCTGTATTGTGTTTTCAGTTTTAGACTTTTTTTTTTTTTTTGAGTTGGAATCTTGCTCTGTTAGCCCAGGCTGGAGTGCAGTGGTGCAATCTTGGCTCACTGCAATCTCTGCCTCCGCCTCCTGATAGCTGGGATTACAGGTGCCCGCCACCACTCCTAGCTAATTTTTGTATTTTTGGTAGAGATGGGCTTTCACCAAGTTGGCTAGGCTGGTCTTGAACTCCTGACCTCAAGTGAACCACCCACCCTAGCCTCCCAAAGTGTTGGAATTACAGGCATGAGCCACCGCGCCTGGAGTTTTAGACTTTTATTGGGAAAAGGAAGTAAAGAAATATATCTTCTAAGTGAACTATTAGAAGCTGTTTCTTTCCTTTTTTAAATTTTAACTTTAATTCTTTTCTTTTTCTTTCCCTTGAGACAGGGTCTTGCTCTGTCATCCAGGCTGGAGTGCAGAGGCACGATCATGGCTCACTGCACCCTCAACCTTCTGGGCATAAATGATCCTTCTGCCTCAGCCTCCCAAGTAGCTACCAAAGGCGCATGCCACCATGCCTGGCTAATTTTTTTTTTTTTTTTTTTTTTTGTAGAGGTGGGGGCCTCATTACGTTGCCCTCGCTGGTCTTGACCTCCTGGGCTCAAGCGATCCTCCAACCTCAGCCTCCCAAAGTTCTGGGATTACAGGCATGAGCCACGGTGCCCAGCCTCTTTCCTTTTTCTTTTTTCTTTTTCTTTTCTCTTTTTTTTTTTTTGAGATGGAGTCTCACTCTGTCGCCCAGGCTGGAGTGCAGTGGCATGATCTTTGTTCACTGCAACCTCCGCCTCCCAGGTTCAAGGGATCCTCCTACCTCAGCCTCTTGAGTAGCTGAGACTACAAGCATGCGCCACCGTGTCTGGCTAATTTTTGTACTTTTAGTAGAGACAGGGTTTCACTGTGTTGGGCAGGCTGGTCTCGAACTCTTGACCTCATGATCCGCCGCCTCGGTCTCCCAAAGTGGTGGGATTACAGCAGGCATGAGCCACAGGGCCCGGCCCTCTTTCCTTTTTCTTTTCTTTTTTTTTTTTTTTTTTTTTTTTTTTGAGACAGAGTCTCGCTCTGCCACCTAGGCTGGAGCGCAGTGGTGTGATACCACCTCCCAGATTCAAGCAATTCTCCTGCCCCAGCCTCCTGAGTAGTTGGGATTACAGGCACGTGCCACTGCACCCTGCTAATTTTTGTATTTTTAGTAGAGTCAGGGTTTCACCATGTTGGCCAGGCTGGTCTTGAACTCCTGACCTCGTGATCTGCTCGCCTTGGCCTGTCAAAGTGCTGGGATTACAGGCGTGAGCCACCGCACCCGGCCTCCTCTTTCCTATTTCAAAACCACTTTATTGAGATATAAATTCACATACCATATAGTTCACTCATTTAAAGTGTATAGTTCAGTGGTTTTTGGCATATTACGTTATTAATTTTTTTTAATTTGGTAAAATATACAACTTTTGCTATTTAACCATTTAAAATGTACAGTTTGATGGCATTAATTACATTCACAATATTATACAACCATAGCCACTGTTTCCAGAACTTTTTCGTCACCCCAAACAGAAACTCTGTAACCAGCAAGCCAGTAACTCCCTATCTTCTGCCTCCCCTCAGCTCCTGGTTACCTCTAATCTGTCTATGAATGTATCCTTTTGTGAACTGTTCTTTTTGAGCAACTCATTGCTTCACTGACATTTTAATTTATTAAAACAATGATATTTTGCATCACCTGGAGCATTTTTCTTTTGTAATTGTATTACTGCCTTATGTTTAGATCACACCTTGGGCACATAAACTTTAAGATACATAGATGTGTATCTGTGCAACATCTCAGCTAGGGTGGCTTATGCATAAGGCAGCAGGAGCATAAGGGAAATAGCTGAGGCTTCAGGGTGGGTCGGTTGGATTGATGCCACCAGACGGGAGATTTGTCTTGCCAAAGCTAGGTTTCTAGTCTTTCAACTGTAGATCATAATCTCCACCTGGTTGGGCAGCAGCGCTGATAAGGCTGTTTGGTGTTGGGTGTGGCATGTAGAAGGTGTGCAGAAAGGGTGGTTGTTACTGTGACTTACACTGTAGTGAACTTGAAGAAAATAATGGAAATCTTGTTTCTCATTTCATTTCGTTTTTTTAAATTCTTTTTTTTTTTTAAATTTGTATATATTTTTTGAGAAGTCTCCTCCATCGCCCAGGCTGGAGTGCAGTGGCGTGATCTCGTCTCACTGCAACCTTCACCTCCGAGGCTCTAGCAATTCTCATGCCTCAGCCTCCTGAGTAGCTGGGATTACAGGCTCAAGCCACCATACCCGGCAAATTTTTGTATTTTTAGTAGAGACGGGGTTTAACCATGTTGGCCAGGCTGGTCTCGAACTCTTGGCCTCAAGTGATCCGCCCACCTCAGCCTCTCAAAGTGTTGGGTTTTCAGACATGAGCCACTGTCCCCGCACTTTTTTTAAAAAATTTAATTTAATTTAATTTTTTTTGAGATGGAGTCTTGCTCTGTTGCCAGGCTAGAGTGCAATGGCGTGATCTCGGCTCACTGCAACCTCTGCCTCCCAGGTTCAAGCGATTCCCCTTTCTCAGCCTCCTGAGTAGCTGGGACTACAGGCGCGTGCCACCATGCCCTGCTAACTTTTTGTATTTTTAGTAGAGACAGGGTTTCACCATGTTGGACAGGATAGTCTTGATCTCCGCCCGCCTCAGCCTCCCAAAGTGCTGGGATTACAGACGTGGGCCACCGTGCCCTGCCAGCGCCCGGCATTTTTTTAAATTATTTTTTTTGAGACAGGGTCTGGCTCTGTCACTCAGGCTGGAGTGCAGTGGAGCAGACATGGCTCATTGCATTCTGGGCCCAAGGGATCCTCCTGCTCCACCCTCCAAGTAGCAGGGAGTACAGATGCATGCTACCACACCCAGCTATTTTTTTTTTTTTTTAAGTTTTTCATACCAGCCTGGCCAATGTGGTGAAACCCTGTCTCTACTAAAAATACAAAAAAATTAGCTGGGCATGGTGGCGGGTACCTGTAGTCCCAGCTACTCGGGAGGCTGAAGCGGAAGAATCGCTTGAACCCGGGAGGCAGAGGCTGCGGTGAGCCGAGATCGTGCCACTGCACCGCAGCCTGGGCAACAGGGCGAGACTCCGTCTCAAAAAAAAAAAAAAAAGGTAAAAATAAAAAAAATAAAGTTTTTCATAGAGATGAGGTCGCGCCCTGTCACCCAGACTGGTCTTGAACTTCTGGACCCAAAAGATTCTCCCGTCTCGGCCTCCCACAGTGCTGGGTAGGTCTTCATTTTATGAAAGAAACACAGCAGGCGGTGTGTTCTGTGCTGAGGACCCTTGGGTGACAGTCTCTCTGTGTTGATAGAAGCAAAGTGGCCCACATACGTGATGCCAACAAAAACTTTTTAATTGAGAATGGCAATTTAGATATCTTCTTAAGAAAACACTTTATAACTGTCTTTGCATCTTAATTTTAAAGGTCTTGCTGCAAAGTTGGGTTGTAAGTGAAAAGAAAATACCTACCCTGTGTGTTATTTGCACTAATTTGTGTTGAGCCTTCTGACGCTGGTGAGGCTGTGTGATTTGTGAGGCATTAGGGTCGAGAACACAGCCTCCTCCATTGTCTGCCTGTGCCGGGCACATCCCTTCTCATCCCTTTCCCAGAAGCACCTGGTGATGCCAGAACCGAGGTCAGGGAAGGCAGGAAGGAGGCCACTTATAGCAGTGGTGATCATGGGCCCCTTCTTTCTTATTGGCTGGCTTTCCCAAGAACTTGGTAGTAGTTATCCTTTAATTTTATATTAATGTGCTTGCATGAGGGAGTAACAAATCTTTTAAAAGATGATATCCTGTGCCCTGCAGCTTTTACCAAAAATGGGTATGAACCTGGACTAGGCAGCACAGCTTATCATAAACTGGCTGCATGTGGACAGTGGTATGATTGTTGATATTACCCTTTAATCATAAAGAGCCCAGGAAATACGTCTTTAAAAAATAGTCTCCATTTTCAACCTCTTCTGGATTGTGTAAATTTTGGAGTCAGGTGCCATGGAGGAGTGAAATTTTAGCACTGCAGATGCTTCAAGCCAGCCTCCCAGATTCCAGAAGGCTTGAAGCCAGTTTTTCCCTAGTTCACAAAATATATTTTCCCCTAATATACAAGATGCATTTTTTCTTCCTCACATACTTTAACCAAAGCCATTTATTTTTCCTCAAAGTCTTGTTTATTTCGTTTTTGGCTCCCCAAGTTACCATGATAAAAAGAATCTCCATGAATTGGCTTGGTTTGATTACCCTCAAAGTTTAATGCACTCACTGATTTTCACAAAGTCAAAAGACAGGGCACATTAAATTACTGTGAAGCCTTGAGTCTGGTTTTTTAAGACTGGAAACAAGTGCTACTTCAGGGAAGGGACTGCTTGCCTCAAGTTGATACTGCCTTATTTAATTTCTGCCTTGTGATCTTGATTGCCACTTCTGTGGCAGCATCAAAAAACTGCTTTTTAAAGAAACCTTACAGGCCACCCACCCAGCAACCTGTACTTGGTATGCTAGCCCTGCAGCACTGCAGGGGCAGTCCACGTGCTGAGCTGTTCTAGTCTTGTGTTTGCTCTAGTTACTTTAAAGTACATTTCTCTCTGGCTTAATAGCTTGTTTATTATTATAATTTAAAATAACTTGTTGAGGTAAAAGGAAATCAGTCAACCCTTGGATGTATATTTAAGCAACTTGCCTCCTCTGTAGTAGGGTATTGGATTAGTGTTCTGTAGGGTATTGGATTAGTGTTCTGTGGCTGCTGTGACAAGTTACTGCAAGCTTGGTGGCTTAAAATACCAAGTGTTTTAGGTGAATACATCTCTCATGGTTCTGGAGGCCAGAAGTTTCAAATCAAGTCATCAGCATTGCTGAGCTCCCTCCAGAGGCTCTGGGGAAGAATCTGTCCTTGTCTCCTCTGGCTTCCAGTGGCTGCAGGCGTTCCTTGGCATCCCTCTGCTTAGGGCCACATCACTCCAGTCTCTGTCCCCATGGTCACATTGCCTCCTCCTCCTCTGTGTGTGTGTCCTCTCTGTCTCTGCCTCTCTCTTATGAGGACACATATGATGGCAGTGAGGCCCCACTTGTATAATCCCAGATAATATCATCAATCCCAGATATTATCATTTTAGTAGATGTTAATATAATAACATCTACTAAGATTCCTTTTCCAACTAAGGTAGCACTCAGAGGTTCCAGGGAGTAGAAAGTGGACATATCTTTTTGGAGGCCACCATTCAGCCCACTGTAGGCAGGTTAGTAGTAAAGTCAGCATTCTTAGCTATTTCCAGCCTTGCATTGGTCCTGGCTTGGAGCAAGTGGGTAATAGTTATTTCCAAGACTATTTAGCATTTAATTTGCAGTGTTCAAGGATTAGCAGTATACTCTAAGAAATTTGGGCTACCTATCAAATAGCTTATCGATTGAACACCTTCCACTATGCACAGTATGTCACCTGCATTGACTGTTTTTTCTAAAGGCAGCCCTCATAGATAGGGGAAAATGTGCCCATTTTAAAGCCGAGACATCTGCCTAGGGCCCCAGGAGTGGCAGAGTCAGGGATAATCAAGCCTGTGCTCCACTAAGAAGGGATTCTTCTTCCATAGCACACAGTGTCTATAAGGGACAATGCTGTAGTTGGTGGCATATCTTTTTAAGAGACAGTGTTAGTGTCTTTGAAAGAAGATTTCCGTTTCTCTCAATGTTTGGCCTGAGCACAGACTGTAAAAGATGTTGACTTAGACTGTTGGATTGTGTGGGGCTTGTTTCCTCTGACACTTTACAGTATGTTGTTTTACAGGCCCTGCAGGCATTGCCTTTGTATAATGTTTAATTTAATGTTTTTAGTTGATGTAATTTGATATGCTTCATTTGGAGACTGTTGAAATGAGCTGCTGGTTTTGTTTTTTTCTTCCTTTGTTTTTTTTTTTTTGCCTTTGTTTCTAGTGTATGTATTTAAGAAAGGATATGAGTTGGCTTCAGGACAAATGTTGAGTAACGCTCTATTTGTCAAAACAGCAAGTGGCTAGATTGAAAACTGTATTCCCCCCACCTGAGTGAAATTAAAATAACTGATGCCACAGTCACTCCCATCTAGCCAGTGGTTACCCTTATTTTACACAGGAGCCTTAGTGAGCAAAATAAATGAGCTTATTTTGTGAGAGATGTCTGCATGCTTCCTACCCTGGATGATAAAATTAGTTTTTTATAGCACATAAATATGTATAATGATGAGCCTTGCATACAGGGTTCTTATGAAGTGCTTTTACTGCTCTGCCCTGAAGGAAATACCAAGACCGTTTGCAAGTACAGTAGAGCTGCTGGTCGGTTAAGGTTTCAATTTCTCTTTAGAAGGCTTGGGACTTGGGGTGAGCCGCAGATTAATTCTGTGCTCAAATTGGGTTGAGATGAGATTGTATTCAACATTTCTGTATCCCAGTCTGTAGTGGTAGGAGAGGGGTACAATTTTACTTGGAAATCTCTTTTTTGAGAAATCGGAAGTGTAGTCTTGAGAGAAGCAGAAAGCAGATGGACACGAATGCAAATTTTTCACTCGGGGAGTGAAAATACTGAGTTCTTAGGAGGAAGGATAAAGAGTTTGGGGGCTTGAGGTTTTTCCTTTTGCTAGGAAGAGAGACCAGAATAAACTCTGTTCTTCTTTATTAACACATGTCATGACATTAGAAGTCTGTCTAGATCATCCAGGCCTGTGTGTGTGTCATTATGCAAACTAAACCTCTGTGTCCCTACACCTCTGAGGCCTCGCCTCACCCTGAGATGCTGATTCACTCGTTTTCCTGATGGTGATCACGGTGTGTGGGAGCAGGTGTGCCTGGCAAGCCCCATGCCCAGGTAGCAGCTTGCTTTGCACTACAGTCGTGGGAAGGTTGTCCTTTTGATCTCCGGCCACATGGCTCTCTTCACTGCGTGTTGTTCCTGTTGCCTTGAAAATTCGCTCTACCCAAAGCTCTTCCTCAGACAGCAACCTCATTTTTTGTATCAGGGCTCCACGCCATCACGTGAAGCTATAAGTTAATCAGCCCTTTGAGTATTATAAAAAAATGTTTCTGGGATGTTGTATCCTGAGCACTTGCTTACACTTGCTTCTCTTATATACACAAGGGCTTTGACTAGTGGTTTAGGATGAAAACCCTTGTCCCTAGCTGCTCCCGCTGGTACTCTAGGCTTACCATTTCACAGGGAGGCTATGGAGACAGCTCAGGTTAAAAGCCACGTGGGAGAGAGAGAACAGGGCCTGCGTGTGTAGGGCGGGTAGTGGGAAGCTTAGGGTCGGCCTCCATGGTGGCCAAGGGCAAGTGGCTAAACTTGGAAGAATCTGCCTCCCATTCTCAGTACAGGGGGACCGATAACTTCCAGACAGGAGAGGATCAACTGAGGCTGAACAGGCCATGATAAATGTTACTTTAGTTAGGAATTTTTGTCCTTAATTTTTTTTTCTTTTTAAAACACAAAAATCCCACTCATAATTCCTCAGCCCAGAAGAAAAAAAGCTGTCCTCTTAGAGAATTTCCTGCTAGTTTGTGTTCTGTGTCTATTTCATTTACTAATTGAGATCAGTGTTCCTCATTTGCTGATTGAGATTATACTAGTTATATAATTGTATAACTAAAAAAAAAAAAAAAGCCAGGTGCGGTGGTGTGCACCTGTCATTCCAGCCATTTATGAGGCTGAGGTGGGAGGATCACTTGAGACTGAGTTTGAGTCTTGCTTGGGCAACATAGACCCTGTCTCAATTTAAAAGATACATATTTAACCTGCGTGTCCTGCACATGTATCCCAGAACTTAAAAGAATTATATACACACACACACACACACACACACACACACACACACACACACACACAAAGGAATTTTCAAACACATTAAAACTCGTGGTCAGCATCATGTAGACAGCCTTCAGTGGCCTGCCAGCCAGATCTGTCATGGTACACTCACAACCTTCCTTCGTGGCTGGAGCTCTTGTCAGTACATGCTTGCCTTGCACTGCACTGGCTCCAACACTAGGCGTGACCATTTTTTGCTAACTGCTTCTTAAAGTGGCCGCCTGTCTGATTCACGCTCCTCCTCTGCCATCAGTTTTAGGACTGGAAAGCCTGCTGCCTCAGGAGCAAAACTAAGTATTTCCTTTCCTTTGTGAATCAAATCTGTGATTTTGTAGATAGATTTGGTAATGTAGAATTTGAAAGAACTATAATGATCTTTTCAGTTCTCAGAGGTTTGAGTCTCCATCCAAAGTATTCCTGAATCACCTTTAGGACTGCTTGCATGCATTTTTGAATATCATACTTCGTTTTCTTGAGCATAGCTGCGTGAAATGGGTTAATAGCAGCATTGTTTTGCAACCCACTTAATATTCACCGGACTACTAGGGAATGGCTTAGATAAGCCACAGTCCAAGGCAAGCCATTGTGTCATCATAGAATAACCTTTGATCTGTGCTTGTACTTAACATAATCTGTGTCTGAAGCTTTGTGGTAAGGGTGGAGGATTTTGCTAATGTTAGAGGTGTCTGATTCTTTTGTATTGTGTGTGTTACTCCCTCAAGTGTTTGCTAATCTTTAGTGCTGCATTAGTGGCTAAAGCTTAATTTGTGGCCAATTCACAGAAACAGGTTAGACTTTTGCTAATGAGTTGCCAAGAGAGTAGTTTGAGTAATTTTTTTTTTTTTTTTAAATCTACTTAAAAACAAGAGTGGTAGCTGTCAGCAGTAATTTCACCCAATTTATCTCTTGCAGAGAACCTAGTTGCATGCTACAGTTTGGCCTCCTGGTTTCAAGGAGTGGTAGAAGGCTTATGTTACTGCCTTCTGGATTTTGAGGTAGTCCTTGGTATTTAATAGTTTTATGTTTTTCTTTTTTTTATTCATAGTTTTTTTTTTTTTTTTTTTCGAGACAGAGTCCCGCTCTGACCCCCAGGCTCACTGCAACCTCCACCTCTCAGGCTCAGGGGCTCCTCCTGCCTTAGCCTCCCAAGTAGCTCGGACTACAGGCATGTGCCACCACACCTGGCTAATTTTCTGTATTTCTTTGTAGCAGTCATGTTGCCCAGGCTGGTTTCAAACTCTGATCTGCCTGCCTTGGCCTCCCCAGGTGCTGGGATTACGGGCATGAGCCACTATGCTTGGCAGTTTTTTTCTTTTTTAAAATTTTATGTGTCAAAGTTTTGTACTTTTCTTTTCTTTTTTTGCGATGGAGTCTCACTCTGTTCCCCAGGCTGGAGTGTAATGGTGCAACCTCTGCCTCCCAGGTTTAAGCGATTCTCCTGCCTCAGCCTCCCGAGTAGCTGGGATTACAGGCGTGCGCCACCACCCCTGGCTAATTTTTGTATTTTTAGTAGAGATGGGGTTTTGCCATATTGGCAAGGCCAGTCTGGAACTCTTGACCTCCAGTGATCCACCTGCCTCAGCCTCCCAGAGTGCTGGGATTACAGGCGTAAGCCACTGTGGCTGGCCAGTTTTGTGTTTTTCTACGTATTTTATTTATGGTTTGTTCATTTAATTGTTTATTTATTGTGTAGACAGGGTCTTTCTCTGTTGCCCAGACTGGAGTGCAGTGGCATGTTATAGCTCATTGCAGCCTCAAATTCATGGAGTCAAACAATCCTGCTGCCTTAGCCTCCTGAGTAGCTGGGACTACAGGCACGAGCCACCTTGCCCGGCTAATTTACTTTTTGTAAAGACAGGAGTCTCACCATGTTGCTCAGACTGATCTCAAACTCCAGGCCTCAAGTAATTCTCCCACTTCTGCCTCCCGAAGCAGTGGGATTAACAGGGATGAGCCACAGAATGATTTAATATAAACAAATCATTAAGACTAATATCTTTTGGAGAAGTTGGCACAAGTCATTATCCAGCTGATTGCTGCATCATCTTTAGTGGTAATTAACAACACCACATTGAATATACTGTTTTCCTGTTAACTCGGTGATTCTCAGTCCAGAGTTTCTGAGTCAGGAGTCTTGGATGGCGCTTGGGAATTTGCATCTCTAACAAGTTCCCAGGTGATGCTGATCCAGTTGGCGGGGAAGCACATTTTGCTAACGGTTCAAGGTTCTATATTCTAGAGTTATATATCTGAAATGAAATTCTTCAGTAACTAATGAGCCTTCTTAGGCAGCCTGGGACACAGTGTCATCCCGCCCTTTTCTTTTTTTTTTTTTTTTTTGAGACGGAGTTTTGCTCTTATCACTTAGGCTGGAGTGCAGCAGTGCAATCTCGGCTCACTGCAGCCTTCGCCTCCTGGGTTCAAGCGATTCTCCTGCCTCAGCCTCCTAAGTAGCTGGGATTACAGGCACCCGCCACCATACCCAGCTAATTTTTGTATTTTTAAATAGAGACGAGGTTTCACCACATTGGCTAGGCTGGTCTGGAACTCTTGACCTCAGGTGATCTACCTGCCTCGGCCTCCCAGATTGCTGGGATTATAGGCGTGAGCCACCGCGCCCGGCCTATACCGCCTGTTTCACAAAAAAGTTTGGAGGGTGGCTTTTTGTGAGTGCCACCCAGCACATGGGTAATGGAGATGAGGTGGTGGCTCTTTGGAGCTAAAGGTATTGTGTAGCGTATGCTGTGTAGCCTGTGAAGAGACTGAGTGGAAGTGACCCAGTGTATTGAGCAAAAGATCCTGGTATGCTGTGCTTTACCCTGGAGTCTTTCCAGACTTGTTTGAAAGCCAGGATAACAAGCACTGCCAGTGATATACTCATACAACATTTAAAAAATGACAGATTCCACAAAGGTTAAAACTTGCTCTATGACATCTAGAATGTGAACTTGAGTTACACTGTTTCTTAGGATAGAATTCTTTTGTAAAATTAGCCATTGTATTTAATGGGAATTTTAATTTTAGTGTTTGATAAAGTTAATGTCAGTCCTTTAGAGAATAAGTGGGGAAATAATATTTCATCAGAAAGCTTTCAGAAATGTGGCAAGATACCCGCACGCAGTCTTGAGGGTCTTTACCGTGTTACACCCTCTCGGATCTTTGCTAAAATAGAAAGAACGTTTCGTGCAAGTGTTAGTCTGAGTGTCTTTTTGATATCTGCAGATGAAAGTCCTTCTGGGAGAGATTGTTCTTCAATACAGTTCACAGTGATGGAACATCCTTTCATGTCTTTATCAGCATTTCTGCTTGCCTAGTGCATTTCCTCATATGCTAGGATGAAAACTGTCAAGTTGGATGAGGCATATGTGAAGTATTTTATCAAATCATTCCAGGGAGTCAGTGCAGGCCATTTGACAGCCAGCTGGGATGAGGCATGCCTATATTGAAATGTTTTAATTTTACTTCAGAAGGGCAGAGATGTTACCAGAGCAGTGGCTTCCAAACAGCATGGCATAAGGACGGTGGGAGGCCGTTGGGAGAGTTTACTTTGGTTCAGTTCCGCAGACACTCAGCCACAGTTTTAGAGTCAGTTTCACAATTGCGTGGCGCTCTCCAGAGCCGCAGTCTGCCAAGTCACACAGAGTTGGTTTTCGTGTTCTTCCGGGTTTTGGAGCTATTCAGTTCCCTCTAAACCCCAGATGTGAAGGTGAAGGTATAGGGAAAGAGTGAGAAGTGCTATTAATAATTCATTTGAAAGGGGTTTCTGTGTAAGGTAATGTGGAGTAAACAAACAAGATAGTGTAGGATTGACTACATTAAAAAATAGCTTTTATGGGTACAAAAAATAGAATGAATAAGACCTATTTGATAGCACAACAGGGTGACTATATTTGGTAATAACTTAATTGCACATTTTTAAATAGAGTGTCGTTGGATTGTTTGTAACTGAAAGGATAAATGCTTGAGGGGATGGACACTGCATTCTCCATGATGTGCTTATTTCACATTGCATGCCTCTATCCAAACATCTCACGTACCCTACAAATATATACATCTACTGTATACTCATAAAAATTAAAAAAAAAAAACAAATCTTTTGAGTGTTTTAGCTGAGAATAAATTTTTGCTTACTTTAATCAGAGATAATATTGAAAATTCAGGTGAAATATTAGAGAACACATAGCTTATATATTGACAAAAAATATTTTTCAAAAAAATTTTTTCAAAACATCTAAATGGAAAAAAATAAAATAAAGAAATAAAAAAAAAACAACAACATCTAAATGGTAAGAGAAATTGGGAGAGCCTTCTTTTTCTTTGTTAGTATAATCCTTCCTGGTATTTTTACAACACTGAGTTTCCTAAATTTGTTGTTGAGGTCCCATGACTTTAGCAATATAACAGAATTGTAAACAGAAATACAAGAATTGCAAATTCGAGTTTGTGGTTTTATATTTATATTTTTATATTTATATTTTTCTCCCTCCCAGCCAGGTGAGGTAGTGCACAGTATACGAAAGATTAATTCAGATGGCATTTTCGGTTGGCTTTTTCTAAGAAAGTCTCTAGTTATTTTCCCTGGGCTTCTCAGTTCTGGTAGCCTTTAAAGTTTAAAAAATGATCGTAAAAGGAATTTTGAGAAACAAAGCTCAAAGTTTCCCAAAGCTGTTGGTGGGAGAGGGGAGGGTATTTTTTATTCTTGGCTTAATGATATAAATATTTTATAAAGGTAAAATCATAGTATAAAATTTTGTGCCTTTTTAAAACTTAGAATTATAAGTTATCCATGTTTTGACATTTTCGTAGTTATTTTGGTTGCTTAATATTATATTGAAATTTTGAACTATAATTTACTGACCTCCATGTATTATCAAATCTTGAGGTTGATTTTGATTATTGGCATATTTGATGGTATAGCAGTGAACATTTTGTTGATTCAACTTTTGTTCTTCTCAGTTATTTTTATGGTGCTTGATACGTTTCATTAACTTTTTTTTTTTTGAGACAGAGTCTCGCTCTGTTGCCAGGCTGGAGTCCAATGGCGCAATCTCGACTCACTGCAACTTCTGCCTCCTGGGTTCAAGTGATTCTCCTGTCTCGGCCTCCCAAGTAGCTGGGATTACAGGTGCTCGCCACCATACCCACTAATTTTTTGTATTTTTAGTAGAGACAGGGTTTCACCGTGTTGGCCAGGCTGGTCTCAAACTCACTAATTTTTTGTATTTTTAGTAGAGACAGGGTTTCACCGTGTTGGCCAGGCTGGTCTCAAACTCCTGACCTCAGGTGATCTGCCTGCCTTGGTCTCGTAAAGTGCTGGGATTACAGGCGTGAGCCAGTGTGCCCAGCCTTCATTAACTTTTAAAATTAATTTTTTAAAAAATTTGGTGTTTAGAATTGGAGACTATTTCTAAATTTACTAAACGGAGAACTGAAAATTATATGAAGCATGACTAACAATAACAAGAGTTATTCCTAGGTTAGTTAACTTATCTAACTAACTAGCTCACTAACCTAGGAATAACTTTTGTTATTATTAGGTTCTGGTAGGCGAAAATAATGATAGTTCCAGTGTGTATCGTTTATGCTGGAAAATAATATTTAAGAAAACATGATAGCTGCCCTCACTGAGAACCCACCATGCTAGGTGCTTTATGTATCTTCTTGTCTTCTGGCATTGCAGGGAGTATTGATTAAATTGGTTAAAACAGCTTACAAAACCAGAATAGTACACTTGAGCCTAAATTAGTGAACTAAAAATAAATTTGGTTTCTTAGCCATAGAATTTGGTTTATTAAATTGTAGGCCAGACAACAAATTCTCAAACCACAGAGTACTATGACTTCGTTTTTTCTGACATTAACAGAACAGTATTGTTCATGCTGATGGTTCCATTTGTAAACTAGCTTTTGCCCTGCTTGGCTTTTTTTTTTTTTTTTTTTTGAGGCAGAGTTTTGCTCTTGTCGCCCAGGCTAGAGTGCAGTGTTGCTATCTCGGTTCACTGCAACCTCCGCCTCCATGGTTCAAGCGATTCTCCTGCCTTAGCCTCCCGAGTAGCTGGGATTACAGGTGCCTGCTACCATGCCCAGCGAATTTTTGTATTTTTAGTAGAGACGGGATTTCACCATGTTGGCCAGGCTGGTCTTGAACTTCTGACCTCAGGTGATCCACCCTCAGCCTCCCAAAGTGCTGGGATTACAGGTGTGAGCCACCGCGCCTGGCCCTGCTTGGCTTTTGAATGCCTGGTAATAATGTTCCTTAACTGTGGGTCCGTGAAGCCAAACTAATTGCTTCTTGGGCAGATAGATTGCCTTTTTAATTTGCTGTATAATGTTGTCTCTACCAGAAATGCATAATATATTGTTATCTAAGTAAAACTCATTAAAATAATCTTACACACAACAGAATGCATGATATTTTGTCCATAATCTTGCAAATAAAAGAAAATTGAATGGCATGACAGAGAGTTGTAATTTACAAGCACTCTTTTATAAGTGCCTTTGTACCCATTTTGGAAGATAAACATAAAATGACTGCTATGATTTATATTAGTGTGATAGTTTTCTTTACCAAGGATTGTTTTGTTTGGTGCTTTTAGTGTGTTTTAAATGATAATAATGATGTGGGCTTTTGAGACAGTCACTTATTTCAGACTCCCAGAGAGATTAGCATTTATCCAGTGACTTTGCATTTCATTAAAAAAAAAGAAACCTGTGTTGTCATTCTCAGCTCACAAATGCCCATTGTAAGGGTTACACTTAGAATTTTTAGGAACACTTGTTCATAGATTGGTAAGATGGGTAATATTTATTTTCTTTCTGTTTACTTGGACTAACACGACAGCTCTGTGGAGGACTTTCCCTTGACTCTTTGATGATTAATTTTGTTCATTTAGCTAATATTTATTGAGCAGCTACTGAGTGCCAGGAACTGTTGAGGATGCCAGTTTGTTGCTTGTTTGTTTTTTCTATTTGTGATAAATATTTGGCCCAGGAGAAAAATCTCTGAAATGAATTTCAGAGCTTTAGAAATGATTTTACATGGCTGGTGCAGTGGCTCACGCCTGTAATTGCAACACTTTGGGAGGCTGAGGCAGGTGGATCACTTGAGGTCAGGAGTTAGAGACTAGCCTGGTCAACATCGGGAAACCCCATCTGTACTAAAAATACAAAAAATTAGCTGGGCTTGGTGGCATACGCCTGTAGTCCCAGCAACTCGGGAGGCTGAGGCGGGTGAATCGCTGGAACCTGGGAGGCAGAGGTTGCAGTGAGCCGAGATTGTGCCGCTGCACTCCAGCCTGGCGACAGAATAAGACTCCGTCTCAAAATGATAATAATAATAATAATAGTAATAATAATAATTATAAAGCCAGATGTGGTGGCTCACGCCTGTAATGCCAGCACTTTGGGAGGCAGAGGCAGGTAGATCACTTGAGGCCAGGAGTTCAAGACCAGCCTGGCCAACATGGTGAAACCCCGTTTGTACTAAAAATACAAAAATTAGAGCTACTCAGGAGGCTGAGGCAGAAGAACCACTTAACTGGGGAGGTAGAGGTTGCAGTGAGCCAAGATCACACCACTGCATGCCAGCCTGGGCGGCAGAGTGAAACTCCATCTAAAAAAAAATAAATAATAGAAATAATTTTACAAATAGAGTGATATCAAGGATCTTCTACAAAAGATATAATAAATGCCTATTAAAATTTTTTTTTTCTAATTCAACCTTAAAAATGCAAAATGCCTGTCTTTTAAAGGAAATTGCCCATTACTTGTTTGTCTTTTCTTCTTGTAGGTTATTTCTTATGAGGGTCATGGATATCCCCTATCTAAACTTGGAAGGACCAGACTGTAAGTAAATTTTTATTTTCTTATTGCATCTGTGCATTTAAGTGTGTGGTCTGGAAGGGATAACAGGAAAATATTACTAAAGAAAAAGCTTTTTTCACTCAAAATTGGGCTGTGATTTTGTGGTTGATATGAATAGTATGCTTAAGTTAATGGGACTCTTGGGCATTCATTAGTCATTTCTTCATTTATGTTTTCCAGTTTATGCATGAAATGAATTTTAGAAGCATGTATCTTCTCTATATATTTCATTTTCACTCAGAATTCTGATTTCATCATTTTCTATAAGTATTTATAATAGATTTTTAAGATATGCTAGCTGTCAGTTATCTTGGTAAAATTTCTGTTTTCCAGTTACTTGAGTATGTGTATATTTGAATTTAGTAGGTTGATTTCTGTTTTGTTTTGTTTTGTTTTATTTAAAAAACGTGGAAGGTCTATGGGAGGTGGTTGCTTTTTCTTCTCCTCTGCTTTTTTTCTGCTATTTCACTGCTCTTTTTTACCTTAATGCATGTCACTGGCAGGTGGAAGTGGGTGAACTATACTTGGTGACAATAATTGTTGCAATGATAGTTTGAGGACATACTGTTGTGTTGCCCTCCACATTAGACTGATATTTTGGTCTGTCATTCTCACAAGAATTCTGTATGCTAAATATTGCCATTCCCAGTTTATAGTCCAGAGTGGTTAGAGTGGTTAGATCTCTTGCTTAGAGCTGCACAAATAAGTTCTAGGTTTGGGATTAGAAAGCAAGATTATGACTCGGGATTGCCTTACTTAACAATTAGTCCATTTAATTTGGACAGTGCTTTTTTTTTTAACTAAGTATATTAAAATGGGAAAGTTAAATGTTTAGTGAAGTGAAACTTCATGAACAGAGCAGCGTTTTTTTTTTCTTCTAAATAATTTGCACAGTTGGGTGTGGTGGTTCATGCTTGTAATTCCAGCACTTTTGGAGACCGAGGTGGGAGGATCACTTGAGGCCAGGAATTCAAGACCAGCGTGGGCAGCATAGCGAGACCCCCATCTCTACAAAAATAAAATTAAAAAATAAAAAAATTAGCCAGGCACGGTGGCATGCACCTGTAGCCTCAGCTGCTCAGGAGGTTGAGGTGGGAGGATCGCTTGAACCCAGGAGTTTGAGGCTGCAGTGAGCTATTATTGTGCCACTGTACTCTAGCCTGGATGACAAGGCAAAACCCTGTCTCAAAAAAAAAAAAAATTAAAAAATAAACAAATAATTTGCACAGGAACTTCATGAGAAGAGAAGATGCCTTTGCATTGGGTTCAAGTTGTTGTGGGTTCTGTAAAGTATCAGAACCTGAGGTCTAGATTACCATGGCAGAATCCCACCAATCCTAGGCATACTTTTAGGAGTTGTTTGGTAATCATGAGGAATTCATAACAGTTCTCCAAATTAGCTCAGACTTAGTTTCATCAAAGAGTCACTGGTTTACTTGATCACTTTTCACCCATCAATATTTCATCATAAATTTGTCTTGTAGTGCAGCCTAAACGTGATCATGTTCTCCATGTGACATTCCCCAAAGAATGGAAAACCAGCGACCTTTACCAGCTTTTCAGTGCCTTTGGTAAGTCGCAAGTTCAGATGTACTTTTTAGGGTTTTGCTATTCATTTGGTATAGGTGGTCAGAAGTAGAAAGATAGTTTTGGCCTGCGTATAAAAGAATGTTAATATTCAAGGTTTTAATTTCACTCTTTGAATTTTCTGGTTTAGGATACTGTTATCTTTGTGCTAATATCATCTGAGAAACTTTTAATAGCACCTCACAATACAGAGCTATTAATTCATGGAAAGCAAAACACCGTGATGAGGACTGTCCTTACTACTGACCAGGGAAAATAAGCTGTGGCTAAGCATAAATAATTTTTAAGATTAAACTCACAGGGTTTGTGTGTTTCATAATGGCAGGGGAGGTCTTCTCTGCTTTAGATTAATCAAAGTGACAGATGTTTGGGTAGATCAGGATTTGTGATACGTGTATGAGGTAGGGCAGTCCTTCTCTTTCCTTTTTTACCAGGTCATGTGATTAGGTTCGTTTGAGCAGTCTCCTGATAAGTGTTTATGAAGACCATTCTGATTGTAAACCCACAGCAATGCCTCTTATTTTAACAAACGAAGCATTTAAGCTATTCTCTTTGGAAATTCTTGGATAAAGTGAAGGCCACAAAACCTAAATGTCCAGTAGTAAGAAAGTTTAGTAAATGTTTATGTATCTTCTAGTATGTAGCCATTTAAAAAATATTTGAGGAGTTTATTAAAAGAAGTTAAAGTGCTTGTATTTTAACGTTTAGAGTAAAAAGCAGATACGAAGTAGGCTTTCCATGTAACTTAACACCATTTTTCATTTTCTTTCTTTTTTTTTTTTTTTTTTTTTTAAATAGAAATAGGGTCTTCCTGTGTAGCCCAGGCTGGCCTCGAACTCCTGGGCTCAAGTGATCCTCCCGCCTCGGACTCTCAAAGTGCTGGGATTACAGGCATGAGCCACTGAGCCTGATCTATTTTTTTCTTATCTTTTTTTTTAAATTGATATTTTAGAATAGTAGACTTTCACAGCAGTGCCTCCTGCACTGATAATACAGTACACCATTTCTGCATGTAAATATTTAAAATAAGTCAGAACGAACGTTAAGGCATATAAAGTTACTTTAAGTACTAACACTATTATTATTATTATTATTTTTTTGAGACAGAGTTTCGTTCTTGTTGCCCAGGCTGGAGTGCAATGGCGCGATCTCGGCTCACCTCAACCTCCGCCTCCCAGGTTCAAGCCATTCTCCTGCCTCAGCCTCGCGAGTAGCTGGGATTACAGGCATGCGCCACCATGCCCAGCTAATTTTGTATTTTTAGCAGAGTTGGGGTTTCTCCATGTTGGTCAGGCTGGTCTCAAACTCCTGACCTCAGGTGATCCTCCCACCTCGGCCTCCCAAAGTGCTGGGATTATAGGCGTGAGCCACCGCGCCCGGCCTCTAACACTATTTTCAATAAGATTATGTGTAAGCATGGTGGTGTGTGCCTGTAGTCCCAGCTACTTGGGACACTGAGGTGGGAGGATTGCTTGACCCAGGAGGCAGAGGTTGCAGTGAGCTGAGATTGTGCCACTGCACTCCAGCTTGGGCAACAGAGTGAGACTCTGTCTCAAAAATAAAAAAAAGAAATAGTTGTGTTTTTGAACCTATGTGGTCTCTGATTTTTGTTAGTGGTCTTGATAGGAAAATAAGTCCCTAATCCTAGTATTGCACTGAATGATGACAAGCCCCAGGGTTTAATCTGGAAGGATCTTTCTATTGTGTTAAATTTCTAATAGCGTCTTTTCCCCCTGGTTTGTCTCTTCTCTTGAAGTTTTAACGTAAATAACTGCTGTGGTAGCCTTTGAACAGGCTAACTCTCTGTAGGGCTGAGATTTTGATCACATTTTAAATAAGCACCTTCTCTCTCTTTAAAGATAGACTATACTGAAATATGTAAGATACGCGCATTAAATCTAATAGCTCTCCACATGGTCAAATGTTCACTTTACTTTTAATTTGCGATTGCAGGTAACATTCAGATATCCTGGATTGATGACACATCAGCATTTGTTTCCCTTAGCCAGCCCGAGCAAGTAAAGATTGGTAAGTGTTTTGGATTTCTGTTTTGTGTATTAAATACAGTGAGAGGTTGCCCTCCCACTGCCCCCTTAATTTAAAAGCTATGGGCTCAGTCAGCTTACACTCATTGCTGCCTCGTTTGTTTTTGAGATTGTCTCTGAAATAAATGAAATAATTAGTAAGTATCATGTATAGATGAGAAAATAAGACAAATCTCTTTTGATTCATTAGGTATGCTACATAGTATATTTTTTCATTTACCTCCATTCTGTTCCTTTCTCATTGCACTTTTTCTGAAGTGAGTTGCAGATTTACTTTGAGAATGAGAAGTACCTGTAATAAATTAATACTTACATTGACCTGTTCATCTCTGTACTTTCCCCCCATTTGTTGATACATATTTGAGATTTATTCACTCCATTAAACTTGTATCAAATACTTGTTGTTTTTGTTGTTGTCATTGTTGTTGTTGTTTTGAGACATAGTCTCGCTCTGTCGCCTAGGCTGGAGTGCAGTGGCGCAATGTCGGCTCACTGCAACCTCTGGTTCTCGGGTTCAAGCACTTCTCCTGTCTCAGCCTCCTGAGTAGCTGGGATTACAGGCGCGCAACATGATACCCGGCTAATTTTTGTATTTTTAGTAGAGATGGGGTTTCACGATGTTGGCCGGTTTGGTCTCAAACTCCTGACCTCAGGTGATCTGCCTGCCTCGGCCTTTCAGAGTGCTGGGATTACAGGCATGAGCCACAATGCCCAGCCTTGTTTTACAAACAAATAAACTGAATATTTTATTTGCTTTTAAAATATGGTTCTAGGCTGGGCATGGTGGCTCACGCTTGTAATCCCAGCACTTAGGGAGGCCGAGGCAGGCGGATCATCTGAGGTCAGGAGTTCGAGACGAGCCTGGCCAATAAGGTGAAACCCTATCTCTACTAAATATGCAAAATTTAGCTGGGCGTGATGGCTGAGGCAGGAGAATTGCTTGAACCCGGGAGGCAGAGGTTGCAGTGAGCCAACATCCGCACCCACTGCACTCTGGCCTGGGCGACAGAGTGAGACCCTGTCTTGAAAAAAAAAGGAGGGGATTCTAAAAAGATGGAGCACCCCGTCTCTTGTAGGATCCTAAATAATTTTGATATTTTGATATTAACCATCAATTAAACGTTTTGTTTTCTTAAGATGGGAAGTTTTTGAATAAAATATTGGTGAAAATATGTATTGTTAAGCTGTATATTCAAGTAAATTTCAAGCACCATGTTGCTTTGATAATGTAAAAGATGTGAAATTTTTAAGTGATGTGTTTGTTTTTTACTTTAACAAAATGCCGCACAGTAAAACTATAATTCTGATAGTAGAACTGGTGAGTAATTATATATGAAAATTTCTGCAAATATACAAATTCAGATCACAGTATTTTGGCATTTTTCTTTCATTATCTGACTGTTGCAGGAATCCAGGCCATGCTGTAGAGGGGAAAAGCTTAGGCTTTTGGAATCATACTGCAGCATCACTTAACAGTTGTGTGACTTTGGGTGCCTTATTTAACCTTGATGAACTTCTGCTTATCTCTGTAAACTGCGCATAATAGTATGGACTTTAGTGTTATTGTAAGGATTCCATGAGATTAAGTAAATGAACCTTGGCATGGCTTTGAGCTTTTACTGTGGTTCTTTAATAGCAGATTTCAGGGTGGAATGTACTCAGGAGCATCAGACACCAGGGATAGTGGTGGATGCAGGGTGTGATTGATGTTGCTTGTTAAATATTTTAATTTTTGCATAGAGATTTTTTCTGTGATCCATTTCCCCACTATCCTTAGAAAGATGGTTTAGAGAGAATCCAGAGGGATTGAATTATTAGAAAGCTCAAGATAACTTTAGGTGGGGGTGGGGACCTTGAGGTTACAGTTACAGTGAGGCTTCAGTGTGGCTGCAAGAAGACTGAGTTCAAAGTCCTGACCTGCAGTCTAATTCAGCTTCCTCTGCTCACTGTACACTCTTCAGCTCCTTTGCTAGCCACACTCGGTGACATTGAAGCTGTGCAGCCCGATAAAAGGAGTTTTCACAGACTGACACGGGGACTAACTTTGGCTCCACCACTTGTCAGCCATGTGTCTTTGGGCAGGTTATGTAAACCTTCCGAGCCACAGGTTCCGTGTTTGTTTAAGAGGGAGATAATAGTTACTTGGCATGATTGTTGTGAGGATGAAATGAGATCATGGATATTAAGTTGCCAGCAAAGAGCCCCATACTACACAATCAGTGCTTGACCCGTGGTAGGTAATTATTAAAATAGCTGCTTGGCCTCCCTTGCTGTGAACAGTGTGTAAGAGTGCTTTGAAATCTGTAAAACATGAGTTAGTAGCATTTATTTGAAAATACAAGCATGATTCCTTGCTTGTGTGTATGGGATGTCAAAGTTTCTTTTAAAATTCCTGTTATACCACCATATCTGATGTCAAATAACAGTTGCTCTCTTCTTTACTACTGGACAATTCTTAAAACAGTAGCTTTTAAGCTAAGTATTTTATTCCGTGGTAACTCTAATCAGGGAGCTACATTTCAGAATCATGTGTAGCCATAGAAGCACTCTATTGTCTGATTGCTCATTGCATTGGTTTCCTGAGGGCAGTGTTGGGTCCCTCTTGTTTGGCCCTGAGTCCTCTCTCATACCTGACACACACTGCAGCATGAGGAAATAAATGTGTGTTTGAATAGGGAATATGGGGAATAGGCCAAGATGAAATTGTGATATTTTACCTTTTTTCCTCCTAGGTTAAGTAGATCACTGTTCTCTTGATATATGCAGCTTTGCTAGTAAAGTTTAATTTTCCGGTATAGTCTCTTTTCTTATGCAAAAGACAACTCTTAACAAAATACTTGGCAATTTGAGCATGCTGTGCCTCTGACAACATTTCCTTTGCCAGAAGAAGCCATCTTTTATGCAGTCATCACCTCCCACCAGAACCTGACTATGCCCTCCTTCCTGCCTTATCTCAGCTTCAACATCAGTTTCTCCAATGTTTCCTTCCCCTCCCCTCCCCACCTTCCCCCCTCTCCCTTCCCCTCTTCTTCCCTCCCCTCTTCCTTTTCTGAGACAGGGTCATTTCTTTTGCCCAGGCGAGAGTGGGGTGGCACAAACTCGACTCACTGCAGCCTCCACCTCCTGGGTTCAGGCAATTCTTGTGACTCAGCCTCCCAAATAGCTGAGATTACAAGCATGCACCACCACACTGGCTAATTTTTGTATTTTTTGTAGAGACAGGGTTTTGCTATGTTGGCCAGGCCGATTTCGAACCCCTGGCCTCAAGTGATCCGCCTATCTCAGCCTCCCAAAGTTCTGGGATTATAGGCATGAGCCACTGCACCCGGCCTCTGATGTTTTCTCTGGCTCTCTTTGTAGGGTATTGAACCTCATTCTCTGTGCTTTCATAGCATCTTGTATACCTTATTATATTGTTTTCACAGATAGACTGTAAACTCTTTGAGAGTAGGGACCATGTCTCAGTCACCATTGCGTTTTTAGTGCGTAAAGTGGTAGTGTCTGACATTAGTAAGTAAATGTTGAATATTTATTGAATTGCATAAATGATATTCATAGTATTGTGACTTGGAAATGCCTTTTTGCATGTGATGGATGTAACTAATGTCTCTGCTCTTTAGCTGTGATTTCTAAAATTATGCAGATGTTTCACTGAAAGACGGTGTGAAATTTGTTCTTTATAATGGTGATTCTAATGATAAGAAGGACCCAGGGTATCTGATGTGCTGCAAATCCTATTAATTTTTTTTTTTTTTTGAGACGGAGTCTTGCTCTGTCACCCAGGCTGGAGTGCAGTGGTGCGATCTCGGCTCACTGCAACCTCCACCTCCCAGGTTCAAGCGAGTCTCCTGCCTCAGCCTCCCGAGTAGCTGGGACTACAGGTGCGTGCCTCCACTCCCGGCTAATTTTTGTTTTGTATTTTTAGTAGGGACAGGGTTTCACCGTGTTAGACAGGATGGTCTCGAATGCCTGACCTTGTGATCTGCACTCTTCGGCCTTCCAAAGTGCTGGGATTACAAGCATGAGCCACCGCGCCCGGCCCCTATTAATGTTATCTTAAACAAATTACTTATTCATTTCAGTGGAAACAGAGCGCCTCTTAGGTCAATAATGTAACATTGAGAAAATCATTAAATGCCTATTTATATAGCAGCTTATAATGGCTTCTTTGGCTCTGTTACAAACTATTTCTGATTTACATTTAAGGAGTTGCTTTTTAACTGACACTTTTTTTTTTCTTTGAGTATTACTAATTTTAATCAAGATTTTTAAAGCCATTTTTGACTTTTTTTGGGAGACTGGGTTTCACTCTGTTGCCCAAGCTGGAGTGTGGTGGCATGATTATAACTCACTGCAGCCTCGAACTCCTGGGCTCAAGCAGTCCTCTTGCCTCAGCCTCTTGAGTAGCCAGGACTATAGGTGTGCACTCACCACACCCTGCTAATTTTTTCAAAATTTTCTTGTAGAGATGGGGCCTTGCCATGTTGCTCGGCTGGTCTTGAACTCTTGGCCTCAAGCCGTCCTCTCTCCTTGGGTTCCCAAAGTGCTGGGATTACAAGTGTGAGCCACTGTGCCTGGCTATTTTCGACATTTTGAATATGAAAGTTCTCTTTTATAGGAACCCTTTTTATACTAACTACTAAAACCCGTCTACTGAGTGCCATTCGGTTTCTGTTGCTTTTCATTTGCTGCTGCTGGGAAGCGGTTCCCTGCTGGCTTTGGGGTGTTTGGATACGTGGTAACCCATACAAGCTGTGCATTTAGCATTATTCCCCCTCTGGCTCTTCAGATGAAGCAGTACATGGCCAGTGTGGGACTTGGTGCCATGGAAAGACCACTTACCTTCACCATTTGAGAATTTTTCTCAAAGTAGTCAAGCAGGAAATCTTTTTTTTTCTTTTTTTTTTTTTTGAGACAGGGTCTCTCTCTGTTGCCCAGGCTGAAGTGCCGTTGTGCGATCTTGGCTCACTGCAACTTCTGCCTCCTAGGTTCAAGCAATTCTCCTGCCTCAGCCTCCTGAGTAGCTGGGATTACAGGTGCACGCCACCACACCTGGCTAATTTTTGTATTTTTAGTAGAGACGAGGGTTCACCATGTTGGTCAGGCTGGTCTCGAACTCCTGACCTCGTGATCTGCTCACCTCCCAAAGTGCTGGCATTACAGCGTAAGCCACTGTCCCTGGCCAGGAATTCATCTTTAATGGGCAAATCTGAATAGCTTGTTTATATTTTGGATTTTTATATTTCTAATGTAGTTTTATTAAATGGGGAAGAGCTCAACAATATTTCAAATGTAGTAGAACTTTCTAGCCATACTCTCAATATTTAGACATTGTTTTGAGTGTCTTTAAATGCATCGTAGGACATTGTGTCTCTGAATATAATTTTTATAGAAATGGCTTTAGAAAAAGAGCTTTTTCACATATTTTGAAAGCTGGAGATTGGAACACACACAGTAGATACTGTAAGAAACTTTTTAAAAGCAGAAATTGATAAAGACACTTTAGAAGAGGCAGGAACTCAACAGTTATTTTGGGTCATAAAAAGTTACCCAGTAATTATAAATAAAATAAAAGCCCAAATTCAGATAGTTGTATGAATTCCTGATACCCTGCCTTAGAAGCTTTTTCAGGATGATTTTTGGGATGAGGGAAGACACTTGGCTTTGCCTCAGTCTAAATTATTGAGTGTGCTTATGTTAAATTGTGTTTTTAAAAAGCACAGCTTTTGATTATGCTGAACAGATAAATATTAGAATTGTAGAGACAACTCTTTCAGGATGATTGTTCAGCCCTGAATTTGCTAAAAGGCTGCTTATAACTTTGAACTTTACCTGTGCTTTTTATTATCCTTTTGATGTTTGCAGAATCTGTAGTGATAACTGGTTTTTATTCGTGATATTACTCATTTGTGTCTCATTTTTCCTTGTTCATTCCAGTCAGCTGTTACCATTTTGTTGATCTCTCTCAAGAACGCTTTTGGCTGTGTTCGTTTCTCTGTATTGTTTGATATTGTCTATTTTGTTGGTTTCTGTTTTTTTTCTCCTTTTACTTGCTTGGGTTTACTTTGCTCTTCTTTTCTCAGTTTCTTGAGCTAGAACCGTATGTGATTGGTTCTTCTTTTCTTCTTTTTTCTAAATTCTTTTTAAAAAATTTAAGCCTGGCGTCCTCGAGGTTGTTGGTAGGTCAACATATTAATATCTTACTGATTAGCCAGTGATTGGTAAGAGGTGGTGCTGAAACACCTTGAGCTGGTAAAGCTTTAACCCTTTGCCAGCTAAGTTAGGGAACAGACTCAACATTCCGGCAGCTTACAAGTCTGCCCCAATGTTTACTTTTGTCTGGACCTCTGTCCTCTGTGGGCGCACAGGCCTTATGGTCAGCTAGCTATGTGTACATAGCTAAGACTCTGCAAGTCATTGACTTGAACCATTTTCCTTTTCTAACAGAAGCATTTAAAGCTATAAATTATCCTCTAAGTACTGCGTTAGTTGTATGTTAACTGTTTATTTATACGTATGTTTTAAATATCATTAAGTTGGAAAAGTTTTGTGATTTCTTCTTTGATCCTGGATTATTTAGAAATGTGTTGTTTCATTTCCAAATGCTTAGGATTTCGTTAGATTTCTTGTTACTAATTTATAATTTCATTCTGTTGTGACTAAAGATTTCAATAGGATTTCAGTCCTCTTAAATTTACCAGAATTTCCTTTATAGTCAAGCATAAGGTCTATGTTTTTGAACATACTGTGTGCACTTAAAAAGAACATCAATATTGGTTAGTCTTATTCATATATCCTGCATCCTTTTTTTGATGTTTTTCTTTGAGACAGAGTCTGGCTCTGTCACCCAGGCCAGAGTATGATCTCGGCTCACTGTAACCTCCACCTCCTGGGCTCAAGCCATCCTCCCACTTCAGCTTCCTGAGTAGCTGGGACTGCAGACACACGCTAGGATGCCTGGCTAATTTTTGTATTTTTTGGTAGAGATGGAGTTTCACCATGTTACGCAGGCTGACCTTGAACTGTTGAGCTCAAGCAATCCTCCCACCTCAGCCTCCCAAAGTGCCGGGATTACAGGCATGAGCCACTGTGCCCAGTCTTATTCTATATCTTCACTGACTTTTTTAGATTTAGTTGTTATATCAGTTTTTGAGAAGGGTTAAAATCGCCTGTGATTGTAGAATTGTCTGTTTACCCTTTTAATCTTGTCAATTTTCATGTCATGTATTTTGTGGCTGTATTATTAGGGGCATACGTATTTATGATTGTTTTGTCTTTCTGATAAACTGGCCTCTTTATAAAATGTTCTCCTTTATCTTTTGTAATACTATTATTTTTAAGTCTACCTTATCTGATATTATAATCACTTCATCCTCCTTATGTTTTTTATATTTGCCTGGTATATTCTTTTATTATTATTTTTCTTTTTGATACAGAGTCTCATTCTGTTGCCCAGGCAGGAGTGCAGTGGTGCGGTCTCAGCTTACTGCAACCTCCACCTCCTGGCTTTAAGTGATTCTCCTGCCTCAGCCTCCTGAGTAGCTGAGATTACAGGTGTGTGCCACCATGCCCAACTAATTTTTGTATTTTTAGTAGAGACAGGGTTTTGCCATGTTGCCCAGGCTGATCTCGATCTCCTTGCCTCAAGTGACCCACCTGCATTGACCTCCGAAAGTGCTGAGATTACAGATGTGAGCCGCCACACCCAGCCAAACTGGTCTTTTCCTTCTATTTATTCTAGACCTATCTGTGTATACACAAAGTGAGTCTCTTGTAGACAGTGTATAGCTTGGTTTTGGTTTTCTTTTTTTTGAGATGGAGTCTTGCTCTGTCACCCAGGCTAGAGTGCAATGGCATGATCTTGGCTCACCGCAACCTCCACCTCCCGGGTTCAAGCGATTCTCCTGCCTCTGCCTCCCAAGTAGCTGGGATTACAGGCATGCACCCCCATGCCTGGCTAATTTTGTATTTTTAGTAGAGACGGTTTCTCCATCTTGGTCAGGCTGGTCTTGAACTCCCGACCTCAGGTGATCTTCCCGCGTTGGCCTCCCAAAGTGCTGGGATTACAGGCGTGAGCCACCGTGCCCAGCCGGGTTTTGCTTTTTTATTTCTTCTGTTGACTCTGAAATTTAATTGGAGTATTTAGTCCAATTTAATGTCCTTATTGATATGGTTAGGTCTGTCATTTTAAAATTTGCTTTTTGTTTGCTTTCTCTGTGTTTTGTTCTTTTGTATACCCCCTTTTCTGCCTTCTTTTGGATTATTTGAATTTTTAAAAAGAATTCTGTTTTAATTTCTCTGCTGGCTTTTTTGTTTTATCTTTTTGCATTATTTTTAGTGGTTGCTTTACAAATTTAAATATCTATCCATAACTTTTAACAGTCTTCTCAGAGTTCATATTATACCATTTCACATAGAATGTAGAGACCTTACAATCATATAGGTTCATTTACAACCATTCCTTGTAGTCTTTTAGGCTTTAATTGGGCATATGTATTACATCTGCATTCATTATAAATCCCAGAAAGTGGTGTTACAATTTTACTTTAAACTCTCTATGTATTTTAAGAAATAAGGAGAAGAAAATATTTAGTCAGATATTTACCATTTTCAGTGTTCCTCATTCATGCCTGAAGATCCAGGTTTCTTTTTTGGTATCCTTTTCCTTCAGCTTTGTGAATTTACTTTAGTATTTCTTGTATTGATGGTTTGGTTGGCAGCTGATTCTCTAATTTTTTCTTTATCTGAAAATGTCTTTATTTTGCCTTTATTCACACAGGATATTTTCACTGGATATAGAATTCTGGGTTTTTCTTTCAGTGTTTTAAAGCTGTAGTTCCACTGTCTTCTGGCCTCCATGGTTTAAGATGAGATGTTTGTGTCATTTGAATTGTCATTTTCCTGTATATAATGTGTTAATTTTCTCTGGTTATTTTCAACATTTTCTATTTACGATTGGTTTTAGCAGTTTGAATATAATGCACGTAGGCGTAGCTTTCTTTGCAATTGTCCTGTTGGGGTTGGCTGAACTTATTGAGTCTATAAATTCATAGTTTTCACAGGATTTGGGAAGTTTTTAGACATTATTCAAATAATCTTTGTGTTCCATATTCTCTTTCTTCTCCTCTGAGACTCCAGGTACCCACATGTAGGAGATCTTTTGATGTTTTGGTATTTCCTAATGCTCTGTTCCTTTTTTCTGTGTTCGTTTCTTTGTCTTCTTCAGGTTATATATTTTCTGTCTATCCACAGGATCACTGACTCTTTCCTCTGACATCATTTTTCTGCTATTAAGCCCATCCAGTGAATTTTTATTGCATATATTGTATACTTTAGTTATGTATTTTCATTCAGTTTATTTTTTCTGTTTCTCTGTAGAGAGTTTCTTTTATTTCATTTGGAGCCTATGTTTCTGTTTTCTTTTCTTTTTTTTTTTAATTTTTTTGAGTTCCTGGCCACTTAGTCTTTATTTCTTTACCTCATTGAACATAGTTATAATAGGTTGTTTAAAGTCCTTGTCTACTGGCTGTGGTGGTGCACATTTTTATTCCCAGCTACTAGGGAGGCTATGGTGGAAGGATTGCTTGAGCCCAGTTTGAGGCTGTAATGAGCTGTAACTGTACCACTCCACTCCAGCCTGAGAGATACAGCGAGACCCTGTCTCTTAAAAAAGTTAAAAAAAGAAGAAAAAAAAAAAAGCCCAGGTGTGTTGGCTCATGACTGTAATCATAGTACTTGTAGAGGCAAAGGAGGGAAGATTACTGGAGCGTAGGAGTTTGAGACCAGCCTGGGCAACATAGTGAGACCCTGTCTCTACTAAAAATAAACAAAATTAGTCAGGCATGGTGGCATGTACCTGTAGTCCCAGCTACTTAGGAGGCTGAGGTGAGAGGATCCCCTGAGCTCAGGAGGTCAAGGTTGCATTGAACCAATATCACGCCACTGCACTCCAGCCTGGGTGACAGTGCAAGACCCTGTCTCAAAAAAAAATCATTCTCTAATAATTCCAACATCTGCATCATCTGAGGGTTGTTGATACCTGTTGTTGGGATGGTTTCCCTTGAGAATGGGTCATGTTTTCCTGGTTCTTTGTATATTGAGTAATTTGGGATTGAGTAATTTCATTGGTTTCCTGGACATTGTGAATGTTCTCTTGTGGAGACTCTGGATTTAGTTACATTCCTTAGAAGAATGTTGATATTTGTATTTTAATTTCAGCAGGTAATTGGCCTGGTGCAGTGGCTCACGCCTGTAATTCCAGCACTTTGGGAGGCTGAGGTGGGTGGATCACTTGAGGTCAGGAGTTTGAGACCAGCCTGGCCAGCATGGTAGAATCCCGTCTCTACTAAAAAATAGAAAAATTATCTGGACATGGTAGCATGTACCTGTAATCCCAGCTACTCAGGTGGCTAAGGCAGGAGAATCACTTGAACCCAGGAGGCAGAGGTTGCAGTGAGCCGAGATCACACCACTGCACTCCAGCCTGGGTGACAGAGCGAGACTCCATCTCAAAAAATAAATAAATAAAAATGAAAAATAATTTCAGCAGATAATTAACTTTGTTAGACTCAAACTACAAACTTTTTCATGGCTGTGGTGGGTTGTGGCTCAGAACTTAGCTTAGATTGCTCCCAGTTTGCCACATGCATGGTTTAGGGTCAACCAGAGACTTGGGCTGGGTCTATATACCAATATGAGTTTCTTCTTCTTCTCTAACTTCCTGTTTTCCAGAATTCCTTCCTCACTCTCTATTGCCCCTGTTTGCCCCTAAGCTTCTTCCATAAGGACTTCCTTACCTTTGATTTTTTAAAAAGTTATTTAGTTTCATGACATACCCTGCATGTAGCATTCAAAACCTGTGCTTTAAAAAAAAAAAAAAAAAAAGATGTTTCGCCATGATGTCCAGGCTGGTCTCAAACCCCTGAGATCAAGCGATCCACTTGCCGCAGCCTCCCAAAGTGCTAGGATTACAGGCATGAGCCACTGTGTTTGGCCGAAATCTGTGCTTTTTAGTTGTAACCCTTATGGCATCTATTTTTTTGTTTGTTTTTTCAAGACGGAGTCTTGTCCTGTGGCCCGGGCTGGAGTGCAGTGGCGCGTTCACAGCTCACTGCAGCCTCTACCTCCTGGGCTCAAGCAGTCCTCCTGCCTCAGCCTCCTGAGTAGCTGGGACTACAGATGTACACCACCATGCCCAGCTAATTTTTTATTTCATTTAGAGATAAGGATTTGCCATGTTGCCCAGGCTGGTCTTCAATTCCTGGGCTCAAGCCACCTGCCTGCCTCAGCCTCCAGCAATCTGCCTGCCTCAGCCTCCTAAAATCTTGGTATTACAGCTGTGAGCCACCGTGCCTGGCTGGCACCTATTTTGTGATCCAGACCTTCCTTCCATATCACATACCATGCTTAAACTACTTTAATAACATTTTCAGAAAATCTAATGTAAATGCATCAAAAAGCATGCCTTTAACTGATTAAAAGTGACTCAAGTTCATTTCCTTTCAGATATATATATGTATTATATCTGAAATACAATATATTGATATATATTTGATACGCTGTCCAGACATAGTAGTGTCTTTGCTTCTACCTTTGGTGCCTTTTGTAGTTGGCCAGTGTGTTACTGTTTATTTATTCTTGTCACAGAGGAAATGCACAAAATATTCAATAAAAACCAAAAAATGAATATTTTTCACATGAATGTTAATTTTCCTAATCTTAAACTGTATGTAGAATTCGTTTACAGTAGTGATCTTGAATTCTAAATGTGGCAATAGATAAATGAGTCAAACTATGGCATGACTTTTAAAAATAAGATTTCTGTTAAGCTTATTTTGGAGGAGGATATATGATTTTTATGCTGTAAGTACAGGATCCTGGAAAGCATGTTCAGTTGTCCCTTGGTATCCATGGGGGATTGGTTCCAGGACTCCATGCAGACTTCAAAATCCAGGCATGTTCAAGGCCTTGATATAAAATGCTATAATTTTTGCATATAACCTGTACATATCCTCCTGTATACTTAAAAACATCACTAGATTACTTACATGCCTAACAATGCAAATGCTATGTAAGTAGTTGTTATATTGTATATTGTTTAGGAAAAATGACAAGAAAAAAGTCTGTGTGTTCAGTACAGACGCAATTTTTTCCCCCAAATATTTTCCATCTGAGTCGGTTAAATCCACAGATGGGAAACCCACAGATATGGAGGGCTGACAGTATTTCTTTTTAACAGGCAAGATTTTTACAACAGTGGCTTATAAAATACCTCAGTCTGCTATAGGAGAATCATTATTAGTAAGACATGTGAATGTATGTTTTGTATGGATGGATACCTTCTGATTAGAAAACTTGTAAAAGCAACTGACTTGTTTTTCTCTAAATCACTTAAGTCATCAAAAGCACCATGGAAATGTTTAATAATACTGACTGAGAATCTTATTGTTTTCTGATATCCCTAATGTGTTCAATTTGGAGAATTAGCCGTCTTATGTATCTCTGCTACGAAATGTTCATCAGACAGATTTAAGAGCGTGACAATAACTTGGACTCTCCCTAATTAGCATTCTTTAGGGCATTAACTGGTATGAGAATAGAGCAAAAAGCTTTCTGAGTGCCAGAGAAGGATTCCCAAGTCCTTGATACAGCATTAAAGCGGCTGTTGTGTCCTGTGGCAGTTAGAATGCAGCCAGGAGAAGGGGAGCACTTGTGCTCTGGAGACCGAAGTTTCATATTCTGTTACATTGTTTCTTATCCATATTACTGGCACTTGATTTTTATGTTTTAGGGCAGCAGTCTTTGGCACCAGGGACTGGTTTTGTGAAAGACAGTTTTTCCACAGAGCTAGGTGGGAGCAGGGGTAGGGAATGGTTTTGGGATGATTCAAGCACATTACATTTATTGTGTGTTTTATTTCGGTTATTATTACATTGTAATAATGAAATAATTATACAACTCACCATAATGTAGAATCATTGGGAGCCCTGACCTTGTTTTCCTGCAACTAGACAGTCCCATCTGGGGGTGATGGGAGACAGTGACAGATCATCAGACATTAGATTCTGGGAGTGCACAACCTAGATTCCTCATATGTGCAATTTACAATAGGGCTCATGTTCTTACGGGAATCTAATGCTGCCACTGATCTGACAGGACGTGGAGCTTAGGTGGTAATGCGAGCGATGGGGAGTGGCTGTAAAAACAGATGAAGCTTTGCTAGCTCACCTGCTGCTCATCTCCTGCTGTGCAGCCTGGTTCCTAACATGCCAGGGAACATAGATCAGTACAGATTGGCGACTTCGGTTTTAGGGCCTATGTTAGCTGGACCTAAGAATGTTTGCTTTATGATGCGGTTTCAGAGTATTGAATAAATCTCTCTAATTTAATTGCAATGTCATTTGTGAAAAATTGCTTTCATTGTGCTCTCTCACCCCCTTCAAAAATTTGAAGTACATCAATCTCATTGAAAATGTGAAAAAAAGGCCAGGCGTGGTGGCTGACACCTGTAATCCCAGCACTTTGGGAGGCTGAGGCAGGCGTTATCACTTGATGCCAGGAGTTTGAGACCAGCCTGGTCAACATGGCAAAACCCTGTCTCTACTAACAGTACAAAAATTAGCTGGGCATGGTGGCGTTGCACCTGTAGTCCCAGTTACTTGGGAGGCTGAGGCAGGAGAGTTGCTTGAACCCGTGGGGCAAAGGTTGTAGTGAGCCAAGATCATGCCCCTGCACTCCAGCCTGGACGACAGAATGAAACTGTCTCAAAAAAAAAAAAAAAAAAAGTGAAAAATATTTGAAAATACAAGGAAAACAATTCAGCCATGATCTTACAACCTAGTAATGAAGTAAAATTTTGGTATTTCCTGTTTCTTTACTCTGCCTAGATAAGTATTTTCATATTATTTCCCCTTTAATTTTAGTTGACACATGATCATTGTACGTACATATTTATGGGATTCAGAGTCACATTTCAATATATGTATACAGTATGTAATGATCAAATCATTAGCATATCCATCATGTCAAAGATGTATTATAGTTTTGTGTTGTGAACATTCAAACTTCTCTCTTCTAGCTTTTTGAAAATATATAATAAATTATTATTTAACCACATTTACCACATTCACCTTCCAGTGCTGCCAGAACATCAGAACACATTCCTCTTATCTCACTGTAATTTTGTAGGCATTAACCAGCGTCTCTCTATCCTCCTCTTCCCTCTACCCTTCCGCGCCTTTAATACTCCCAATTATACTCTCTACTTGAGCTCAAAGCTTTTCGGCTCCCACATACGAATCAGAACATGCATTTGCCTTTCTATGCCTGCCGTATTTTGCTTAAGCTAATGTCTTCTAGGCTCATCTGTGTTGCCATAAATGACAGAATTTCATTCTTTTTTTTGGCTAAATGGTATTACATTGTGATATATACCACATTTTCTTTATCCACTCATCTTTTGATGAACATTTAGGTTGATTCCTTATCTTAGCTATTGTGAATAGTGCTGCAGTAAACATGGGGGTGCAGCGTATGCCTTTGACTTTGTTTCCTTCAGATAAATTTCCACTAGTGGGATTGCTGAATTGTATGGTAGTTCTGTTTCTAATTTTTTGAGGAACTTCCACGCTGTCTTTCATAGTAGCCATCCTAATTTTCCATCCCACCAACAGTGTGTAAGAGTTCCCATTTCTCTACATCATCGCCAGTCTGTGTTATTTTTTTGTCTTTTTTATAGTAGTCATTCTGACTGGGTTGAGATGGTATCTTACTGTTGTTTTGATTCACATTTCCCTGTTGATTTAGTGATGTTGAACATTTTCTTATGTTTGTTGCCATTTGTATGTCTTCTTTTGAGAAATGCCTTTTCTGTTTCTTTGCCTACTTTTTAATTGGATCATGTGGGTTCTTTGCCATTGAATTGTCTGAGTTCTTGTATATTCTGAATATTAGTCCCTTTTTGGATAGTTTGCAAATATTTTCTCCCATTCATCGGGTTGTTTTTCATTCTGTTGATTGTTTCTTTTGCTGTGCAGAAGCATTTCAGTTTAATATAGTCTCATTTTTCTGTTATTTTATTGTTGCCTGTGCTTCGAAGTCTTAGCTGTAAAATCTTTGTCTGGACCAATGTCTTTTAGCATTTGTCTAATGTTTTCTTCTAGTAGTTTTATAGTTTTGAGTCTTATGTTTAACATTTTTAATACTAATTGGGCTGAGACTTGAAATGCATTTTTGGATCTGCTTTTTTAATTAATCATGTCACAAGCGTTTCACATACCACTTATTTTTATTAGAAAAATTTAAAACTACATAGAAAAGGAAAAAGTTGTTTAATACCCCTCTCTTTATTAACAAAGATAATTGCAGATTAATATTTGAGATTTACCTTTCAATTGTGTATATAGTATTTAAGTGTACGATACATCTGCAGGATCAAGATCGCACAGCACACTTTAGAAAGCAGGTACCACTGTGCCTTATTTAGTGCCATAGTCATAATTCACTCTCTGGAAATACTTTAGGACTCTGGTGATAATAGGAAACGCAAAGCAGTGAAATTAATCTGCCAGTTTGCTCTTCGGCCACTGAGAAACTAAATATAAGGATCCTTATTTCTGAGGCTTTTAATGTTTTGTCGTTGTTTTTGTCAGTAGATATAATGAAATAGTTGATTAATATTAGCTGTGCTAGTCTTTACATGTTGACATTGTTTTCTCGTACATGATTCCTGTTCCCTACAACCTCACAGTTTTAAAAAATGAAATCTGATTTTAGCAAATTTAAAATATAAGTGAAATGTATTTGGAGGACTTTGTTATATAAATGGCTAATCCAGAATATAATATTATTTTGTAACTAAAAATGTTACCAATAAATCTTTCAGGGTGATGGAACTATAGATGGATTTTATGTTCTTATGTTTTCTTCTATTTTCTGATTTTTCCATAGTGAATAATGTGTAATACAATTTTTAAATTTAAGACTAAAAAAGCATTATATGCTTTTTTATTTTTTAAATAAGTAAAGGAACACAGCAAAGGGAAACATCTTGCTTTTAAAACTCTTAATATGGCTAGCAGAGTACAGTAGTCCCTCCTTATCCATGGAGGATACATTCCGAGACTCCAAGTAGATGCCTGAAGCTGGAGATGGTATGAAAGCCTGTATGTACTCTGTTTTTCCTATACATACATACCTATGATAAAGTTAAATTTATAAATTAGGCACAGGAAGAGATTAACAATAATAACCGACAATGAAACAGAACATTTATAACAATATTCTTAATAAAAGCTATGTGTATGTGCTCTGTTTTTCTCAAAATATCTTATCATACTCTACTGTAGGAAACAAACTTTGGAAAGCAAAATCATAGATAAGGGGGAACTAACTGTAGCCCTGTTTTTGTTGCTGACTGTAATTATTTTATGGCATTGTTTTTTCTAATCATGAAATGTATAGCATTAGTTTCTCTGAATTTTCCATCAACTTTTTGGTTTAAATCTGCTATTCTGAAAAAGAATCTATTAAACATTTTTGATTTGTGATGTTTATTGATAATATTTCCACTGTTGAGTATTTGTACAACTTGTCTTTTCTTAGAAAAGATGTAATTTATATATCCTGGAAAGAAGCCCAAACATCACTTTAATACCAGAGTGAATGTTACTTCATTTTGTTTAGCAAAAACACTAGCAAATGCTAGACCACTGGAGTGTTAGGTAACTTAAAATTGATGGCAGTGGTGACCTGAGCACCTCAGACCAGGGGTTTACCCACATCTCATCTAGTACTCACTAACATCTAGGTTAGTGAGTACTTTCAGGTGATAAGATTATAAAAAGTAAACATGACTTAAAATAGTTATTTAGCCAGGGTGCGATGGCTCACGCCTGGAATCCCAGCACTTTGGGAGGCCGAGGCGAGCGGATCACCTGAGGTCGGGAGTTCGAGACCAGCCTGACCAACATGGAGAAACCCTGTCTCTACTAAAAATACAAAATTAGCCGGGCATGGTGGCACATGCCTGTAATTCCAGCTACTTGGGAGGCTGAGGCAGGAGAATCGCTTGGACCCGGGAGGTGGAGGTTGTGGTGAGCCGAGATGGCGCCATTGCACTCCAGCCTGGGCAACAAGAGTGAAATTCTGTCTCCAAAAAAAAAAAAAAAAATTTAGAAATGAAACTTTACATTATGCAGTCCAGCTATTAATAGTAGGAATGCCTTTCATCCTTTCCGCTTGTGAAGTGGAGCGATGTGGGGAACTTCACAGAAACTTGTTTTCAAATTGCATCAGAGGCCAAGGAGCAGCTGCTACTCCTCCTATGTAAAGGAACACAGAAAGACACTGTCATATAAAATAAACTGAAAATGAGATTTTTCCCATCAGTCTTTTTTTAATATTATGTAATAATTTAGAGGGAAGAGAAACAAATGATCGTAGCATATTATGTAGGGGGGGAAATGAACTCATTATAGAATATCACTAATTTAAATAATTGTCTATTAATGCCCCAAATAAGTTTGAATCGCTTTTAGTGCATATTGAAGTTCACATTTAGGTATGCACTTCTGTGATTATATTTTAAGATGGAGGGTAAGCCTCTTATTTCTTACTGATTTATCTTTGTATAGTCTAGATACCATATGTTTATATGCCCTGTGTTCTTTATAGTAACAACAGAATAATTAGGAAGGTATTTTGCAAGATTTTTGAAACAATGGCTTTCATTTGAAACCTGCAGTATTATTCTTTAAGTATTGCCTTTTTTTTTTTTTTTTTTCTGAGACAGGGTCTTACTCCAGTTGCCCAGGCTGGAGTGCAGTGGCGCGATCTTGGTTCACAGCAGCCTTGACCTCCCGGGCTCAGATTACCCTCCCACCTCAGCCTTCTGAGTAGCTGGGACTACAGGAGCATGCCACCATGCCTAATTTTTTGTATTTTTAGGAGAGATGGGGTTTCACCATGTTGTCCAGGCTGGTCTCAAACACCTGGACACAAGCAGTTTGCCTGCCTCAGCCTCCCAAAGTGCTGGGATTACAGGCGTGAGCCACCACGCTTGGCCAATATTTGCCTTTGTACTGTTGAAGGACTGAGGGACTGAATTTAGATGTGGAAGATGAAATAATTGGCTTTCCATTCAAGGAATCAGTGTCTTGTGGTGCAGGCAGGTGTGTAGACAACCAGTGCATCAGTGGCTACTGAGTGTTGTGATAAAGGGAAGATCCTGGGGAGAGTGAACTGGCTCAAACTGGCAGGAAGATGCAGAAGAGGGTCACCAGGGAAGGCTTCCGAGGAGGCGATGGTGATGCCTGTGCTCACCCTCCGGTCATAAGTTGGAGTTGCCTAGTAGAGGAAGGCTGAGAAACCTGTGGTGGATTGTGGGACCAGCACATCCTTTGGCATGACTGAAACAGAGGGCACGTGGAGTGGAGCAGCTGTGGGGCAGCGGGGAGCTAGAACGTGGAAACATGGATTTTACTTGATTTGTTAAAAATCAGAGTTTGGAACCTCTCCCTCTCCCTCTCCCTCTCCCTCTCCCTCTCCCTCTCCCTCTCCCTCTCCCTCTCCCTCTCCCTCTCCGTCTCCCCACGGTCTCCCTCTCTTTCCACGGTCTCCCTCTGATGCCAAGCCGAAGCTGGACTGTACTGCTGCCATCTCGGCTCACTGCAACCTCCCTGCCTGATTCTCCTGCCTCGGCCTGCCGAGTACTTGCGATTGCAGGCGCGCGCCGCCACGCCTGACTGGTTTTCATATTTTTTTGGTGGAGACGGGGTTTCGCTGTGTTGGCCGGGCTGGTCTCCAGCTCCTAACCGCGAGTGATCCGCCAGCCTCGGCCTCCTGAGGTGCCGGGGTTGCAGACGGAGTCTGGTTCACTCAGTGCTCAATGGTGCCCAGGCTGGAGTGCAGTGGCGTGATCTCGGCTCGCTACAACCTCCACCTCCCAGCCGCCTGCCTTGGCCTCCCAAAGTGCTGAGATTGCAGCCTCTGCCCAGCCGCCACCCCTTCTGGGAAGTGAGGAACGTCTCTGCCTGGCCGCCCATCGTCTGGGACGTGAGGAGCCCCTCTGCCTGGCTGCCCAGTCTGGAAAGTGAGGAGCCCCTCTCCCGGCCAGCTGCCCTGTCCGGGAGGGAGGTGGGGGGGTCAGCCCCCCGCCCGGCCAGCCACCCCGTCCGGGAGGGAGGTGGGGGGGTCAGCCCCCCGCCCGGCCAGCCGCCCCGTCCAGGAGGGAGGTGGGGGGGTCAGCCCCCCACCCGGCCAGCCGCCCCTCCCGGGAGGTGAGGGGCGCCTCTGCCCGGTCGCCCCCCCGTCTGGGAGGTGTGCCCAGCAGCTCATTGAGAACGGGCCATGATGACAATGGCGGTTTTGTGGAGTAGAAAGGGGGGAAAGGTGGGGAAAGGATTGAGAAATCGGATGGTTGCCGTGTCTGTGTGGAGAGAGGTAGACATGGGAGACTTTTCGTTTTGCTCTGTACTAAGAAAAATTCTTATCCTGTTTATCTGTGACCTTGCCCCCAACCCTGTGCTCTCTGAAACATGTGCTGTGTCCACTCAGGGTTAAATGGATTAAGGGCGGTGCAAGATGTGCTTTGTTAAACAGATGCTTGAAGGCAGCATGCTCCTTAAGAGTCATCACCACTCCCTAATCTCAAGTACCCAGGGACACAAACACTGCGGAAGGCCGCAGGGTCCTCTGCCTAGGAAAACCAGAGAACTTCGTTCACTTGTTTATCTGCTGACCTTCCCTTCACTATTGTCCTATGACCCTGCCAAATCCCCCTCTGCGAGAAACACCCAAGAATGAACAATTAAAAAAAAAAAAAAAAAAAATCAGAGTTTGAATCTTGTGCCTTGTATAAACTTTGCTGTCATGTTGGTTGGGGGGATTTATTTATTCTTGGTTAAAGCAAGTTTTATATTTTAATTTAATTTAATTTTTTAAGACAGGATCTCACTCTGACAGGGTCAAGCTGGAGTACAGCAGTGCGATCATAGCTCACTGCAGCCTCGAACTCCTGGGCTGAAGCGATCCTCCTGCCTTAGCCTTCCAAGTAGCTGGGACTATAGGTGCATGCAACCATGCCTGCCTTTTTTTTTTTTTTTTTAAAGAAATGGGATCTTGCTATCTTGGCCAGGTTGAATACAAGTTTTAAAATAAAATATTACATCTAACCAGTTTTCATTGAGAAGTCTGGGGCTTTTGAAAGAATTTCCAAGTATTGAGTACGAAGTTGGTCAACCAAATAGAGCTGCCCTTGGAAAGCATGGTTGTTGTCTGGGGGGGCACCCTCATGGCACTCTTTCCCATGTGTGTAGGATGGCATGGTAGCACAAAGTCAAAAGTAGATGAAATTGACGGACGTACCCAAACAGTTTCTATGTATTTTTAAGCATGGTAGAAGGTTAGTCTTTGCATGTACTCTAGTTCACAGCCTTTTCTAAGAGGCTGAGGCCAAATTGAATTTATCTGGGAACCTGCCACATCTATAAATGCTACATAGGGTAATAAATGGGCCATTGGCTTCCAAGAATCAGTGACAGTGCACTTTAGTTCCTAATTTAGAGTTCATGAAAATTATCCCTTGACAAACAGATTGTGAAAAAGGAAACCCTATTAGATGGATTCATCTGTTTTTTTTTTTTGAGATGGAGTCTTGTGCTGTCACTCAGGCTGGAGTGCGGTGGTGTGATCTCACCTCACTGCAACCTCTGCCTCCCTGCAACCTCTGCGTTCTGGGTTCTAGCAATTCTCCTGCCTCAGCCTGCTGAGTAGCTAGGACTACAGGCACTAACCACAACGCCTGGCTAATTTTTGTATTTTTTGATATAGATGGGGTTTCACTCTGTTGGACAGGCTGTTCTCAAACTCCAAGTGATCTGCCTGCTTCAGCCTCCCAAAGTGCTGGGATTACAGGCATGAGACACCACGCCTGGCCTGCCTTTTGACAAATGTAAGCTGTTGTTTCCACAATGATGTGGGAGTGAGTCAAGGTGGGGGATGGATGGATGGATGGATGGATGGATGGATGAATGAATGAATGCATGCATGAATGAATGAATACAGATAACAAGTGTTTTTGTCTTCAGAGGAAGAGGCAATGTCAGTCTGTCCCACCCAGTAGACTTGGCTTCTCTGCATGGGGGCTACATCTTAGTCATTATTCTACATCCTTGGCATTTGGAATGGTGCTGGCACAGAGCTGGAGAGGGCTTTGAGGAGATGCCCTGGTACAGTCCTTGGGAAGGGGCCAATTCTGGGATAGCCGAGAAGAGAGAGGAGCATGGCACCCAACAGAGTGATGAACGAAGGCGGAAGTTTACGACAGTGTTCACCCAGTGAGGGTTGCACTCCCTCACTGGGTTGTGAAGTCATTTGAATGAATGGTGACCAGCATTTTTAATAAAATGGAAGAAGTTAGAAAATGTCAGTGTGTCTTATATAATATAGTTTTTTTTTTTTAATGTAACCTTTTTTTCAGGGTTCTGTACGTACAGATGTATGTGTGTGTACTGGGTTATAATGCACATGGATTTCTTGTTGAGGGTTATGGTAAACAGAGTTTGAACTCAGGCACTTCAGGAGAAACACAGATTAAAGTCCTCATTTAAAGAAGAATTACTCTTTTCCAGGTGTGCAAAGCACTGTGGCGGGTGTTGGTGGGCTGGGGGGAAGCAGAGGTAACTGGCAGAGCTCTCCCTCCTCAGGTGCTGCCTCTCTCTAGAGTAGCCTGGGGCTTGGGATTCCTGTGGACAGCTTCAGGAAGAAATGCTCATTCCTTCACCCTGTGGTCTCCACAGGTCTGGAGGAGACTTCTGTGCTGCTCACCAAGAGAAGGATGTCGTGATTAAAGCACAGTCCTCTCTCTGTCCACCTTGCTTGGCTCTCCTTGAGGGAGCAGGATGAATAGCTTACCTGATGAGCAGAATCAGGAAGAGTCTGACACCCAAGGGCCATTTGACAAGTGGATGGGGCCACTGCATTGAAGAAGGCAGGCCTGGAAACCAGCTGCTGGGGTCTCTTGGAAGCTGAGATTAAGGAATCGTTTAGAGTTCAGAGGCCTCTTGCAGCTGTCATGATGGGGTCTCGTGGTCTGGATTTCTGGATTTCTGTAGGGATGGTATCACCTATAGGAGGAAGCCCCATTTGGACCTCACACTCAAGATCCTTCTCCAGCACAGTCTACCAAGGAGTCCCATGCTTGAGGGGAACAGGAAGGGGATGCCGAGTCCTCATGGGCTCCATAAGAGGATGATAGTCCTCGTTAGAACCATCAGAGGACGATACTCCCTACCTGCCAACGAGTACCAGTGGGAGTGGTTGTTGGGCCAGTGTCTGATACTTTATTGCTGGCCATCAAATTTGGACTTTGTGAACAGCAGAGAACCTTTTTGCACAGCCAGGGGGATGGATGTGACTCTGATGACATGATAAGGAATTTCTTTCATAGGGCGCAGTGGGCTTCAATGTCAGGGCTGAGAGGCTGGAAGTGGCTGCAGTGTGCCCAGAAGTGGAGCAGTAGCCAGTAGTGACCTACAGTTACTATTCCATTACTGATCTGTGAGGGTGTTTAATTGCTACTGACATTGTTCGGATTTTATGGAAACTAGATTTTCAACTTTGCCATCCATCTGGCTTACAAAACTTGAAATGCTCCAGATGTGACTTTGTATCTTAATTCCTTTTCACCAACCAGAAGGTGGTGCTGTCGTGCTGGCAACCAATCTACCTTTCCAACGCCAAGTAAAACATTGAAATGCTTATTCATGCTAAGTAATGTGGACAGACTTAGCATTCGGATTCGACAGCGTACCTCTCCTGTAGTTGTGGGGAAGCCTTTAGAGTCCGGAGCTGGAGAAGCCTGGCAGAGGGGCCTTGGTTAGGCACTCGCTCAGGGCCACCTTTGCACTCACGGTGAAGTGACACTTTTATAGGAGTCAGGGCGAAGATGTCTGCTGAGTGCTGCTTGATCTGTGTCCAGTCTTCCATGAAACAGTTAAAGAATTATGACTAGAGATGAGAGAAGTTTCTGTAAAGAGAAAATGTTTTTTCTCTCGTTTCTTGCAGGGAAAGATCTCTACCTAGAGGAAAACTCATGAATCCAGTTTATAAGAAATACTTATAAAGTAATCATTAGTAATTAAAGTGATTAATTGAATACTCAACTAGTTGAAATATCCAAACAATCTCTCGAGTTATTTTAGCCGCTTGAAGGAAATAAAATCGGTGGTGTTTGATGTAACCTGAGTCCTTAGCTCCAGAGGTTAAAGTGGAGAAGAGAAAATTCATTTTACCAGGCTGGGGAGAATTCAGTGAGGTTATGAAGGTAAAGTTCTCGACATAGTGCCTGGCATTAGCTGCTCGGTAAATGTCCACTTTCCCCCCCACATCAGTCTATTCAGAAATCCAGACAATAAAATATCACAGAGTCAAGTTTGTAAAAAAGATGTATTGCTGCATCATGGAGACTGTGTGAGTGTGAAGCTCTTGGTGTTTGTATGATCGGCTTGCAAAATGACAGCATGTCCCTCAGGTAGGGCCATGTTTGTTGCCCTAAGTGACTTGCAGGTCTTCACCTGTCTGTACCTTTTAAACAAGAGACAAAACCTGCTGCCAGAATGATTTTTAGTTGTCTTTCCTTTTCTTTCCCATGGCTTCCTACAGTTGGGTTGCCGTTCTAATTAATCTCTTATCAGTGCAGTCAGGGGTCTCCTTTGGAGCCTCTTGTGGGGGTCCCACTTCAGTAGTTACTAGAGCAGCTTTCTGTTACAGAGGTTAACTTTTGAGTAGGTTCATAAGGAATGTGAGAATTCCACAGGCACAGGAGAAGTTTGCTGTAAGGTGAAGTTGTACTCATTAGGGCTATGGATTTATTCTGACACTCAGTTTGAGCAGCTGGTTTGGGCATGGTTTTAAAAATACAGTCAGTCCTCATTATTCACAGATTCTGTATTTGTGAATTCAGATATTCAATTTTTTGTAACCCACAATTCAGTTTTCACGTGCTTTTGTGGTCATCCCCAGGGATATGCAGGTTGGGAAAATTTTGTATTGCCCAACATGTGCTTCCAGCCAAAGCTGAAGGAGACTGCACTCTGCCTTCCAGTTTCTGCTCTTGGGCTGTAAACACGGCTCCTTTTCACAGGCTTTTAGTGCCAGTTTTTTGTTTTGAATTTTTGTCCTTTTTATTAGTGATTTTGCTGTTGAAAATGACCCCAAAGCATAGTGTTAGAGGGATACCCAGTGTTCCTGAATGCAAGAAGGATGTGAGGTGCCTTACAGAGAAAACACGTGTTAGATGAGCTTTGTTCACACATGAGTTAAAGTGCTCTTGGCCATGAGTTCAGTGTTAATGAATCAACAGTATATTAACTAAGATGTCTTTAAACAGAAACACACATAAAACAAGATAATATATTGATCGGTTGATGAACATGTGATCAGAGGTTTGTAGGACCCTAATCTTGTATTTCCCTAGAAACAATGACTCAGCATTTGCTAATTCAGCTTTCATGACGTCAAAAAGAAAAAAATTATGACAGATTTTGTTTAAAAATCTTGATTGGCTTTATTTGCAGTTCTGGAATGGGACAACAACTCATTCCATAAAATAGAATGAGCGTTCCAATGAGCTGGGCAGAGGAGGTTGGTTTTATAGATAGAGAAGGGTTGAAGAAAGCAGAAACAGAAAACAAAAAGCAGATTGGTCATTTCATAGTTGCTTTCCTTGTAAAGGTTAAAGCAGAGGGAACTCAATTTATCATGTCGTCAGGTAAAACTGGCTTGTTTGGAGATTCAGCTGTTTACTCTCATTTGGATTCCCCACAAGGTCATATAGAGAAATTAGTTTCAGCTTGGTGACATGGAACTTTAAGAGTGACTCCATTTCAGTTAGGTCTGTTGGGCCTAGTGCAGGAGCTCAGTCCAAACCATTGACCTCTATACATTTTATTTAACAATGGAGACTTTATAGAATATAGCTGCAAGACTGGAGTGTTTGTTGTTCTCTGCCTTCCTTTCTTCACCAGGGTGTTTGACCCAAAGCCATTAGGAAGAGGATTTCTGGGCTGTCTACTTTTTATTTGCTTTTAAAGGAGAGGTACTCACCTCAGAGCTTCAGGAGAGTCATTCTGGTTCTTGCCTGACAAGAGAAATGCCACAAAAATGGGCTGGCTGCAGGGAGGCCCGGCCACTCCTGGCCCAACTTTAACCCTGGCACAGTGACCGTGGACGGCTCCAAGTACTGGATAGTTAGGCAAATGGAGACATAGGATGGCTACAACTGTTGAATTTGACTTTAATTGAAGATGATGTTGCTTTTTTCTTTTCTTGATAGTTTATTTTCTGCAGATGAATCTCCTTATTGTGGATTACACCCTTGACTTTTCCTTTGTGTGATGAGGTTTGGGAAAACCAGGGATGTATGGTTTACTTTGCCAGCCTGTTCATTTCAGCTGCTTATTAACTTGCATCTTGGCCCCTTTAGAAGGAAGCGGCCTGAGATGGGAGCTGAGTAAAAACAGTGGATGAGGCCGGGCACGGTGGCTCATGCCTGTAATCCCAGCACTTTGGGAGGCTGAGGTGGGTGGATCACGAGGTCAGGAGGTTGAGACCATCCTGGCTAACATGGTGAAACCCCATCTGTACTAAAAATACAAAAAAATTAGCCAGGCGTGGTGGCAGGCACCTGTAGTCCCAGCTACTTGGGAAGCTGAGGCAGGAGAATGGCGTGAACCCGGGAGGCGGAGCTTGCAGTGAGCCGAGATCGCACCACTGCCCTACAGCCTGGGTGACAGAGCAAGACTCCGTCTCAAAAAAAAAAAAAAACAGTGGATGATTTATTTAATTCTTTTGGCAAGTTCTTGGGAAAAGTAACATGTAGAAAATTTGGTTATAGGTGGTGGCTCATGCCTGTAATCCCAGCACTTTGGGAGGCTGAGGTGGGCGAATCACTTAAGGTCAGGAGTTTGAGACCAGCCTGGCCAACATGGTGAAACCCCGCCTCTAAAATACAAAAAAAATTAGCCGGGCCTGGTGGTGCACACCTGTAATCCTAGCTACTCGGGAGGCTGAGGTTGGAGGATTGCTTGAACCCGGGAGGTGGAGGTTGCAGTGAGCCAGGATCGCACCACTGTACACTACAGTTTGGGCTCCATCTCAAAGAAAAGAAAAAGAAAATTTGGTTGAAATCATGGTGAGAACACTCAGTGTCCTTCCTATTAGGCAATCTTTCTTTTCACCTCTGTGCAAATAACAGTATAGTCTTTTCCTGGTGGAGCCTACAATTAAGGAGAGTGTTGCTTTTTAGGTCTGTTGAGTGAACTGAATCTCTGGATTCACTGAGCGGCTCTGTCATAGGCTTGCAGGGCCCCTTTGCAGGTAGGTGATAATGAAGAGAGGGTGCCATGAACAGGAGGGACAGGCTGAGGGAAGGGTCCTGTGTCCCAGCAGAGCACACAGCCTCCATGCCATTGCCTTCCCTCATCTCCTGGAAGCTTGATTCATGGTCCCTGTTTGCTTGCTGTGCTGACCTTCATTTGAATGGAATGTTTGTGCACCCCACCTTGGTCTGGGAATAATTGGGTTCCCTGCCTTGCCATCATAGAAGGGTTGTCCCTTCTGTGACCGCTGCATTGAGGGTTACAAAATACCACATCAGTATTAAGTGCTGGAAACTGATGAGTCTTGGACAACTTCAAACTAGGCATCCTGAGTTTTCCAGAGACATCCTTATCTTTCAGGTGGGAGGGAGTCATCTGTTTCATTTCTTGGGGAACAGCCTTTATCCTTTGATGCATTTACTTCCTCATCTGTAGAGAGGCGCATTTACTAGCTTAAGAACTTAATCCGGATCTTTTTCTTAGAGATCTTCATACTGAAATTCCATTGCAAGATTATCTGTAAGTATTCTGGATAACTTCAGACAAACTGAAACAAGGAAATTTAACACTCCTCATATTTCGTAGTAGTAGTAGTTGTTTCTGTTATAGACTGTTTTAAAATCTGTCATTGTTTAAATCCTTCTCTTTTCTCATGAAATTATATCCCCATTCCTCCCTATTAGATATGCTGGGTTGGACTATAATATTTAAAAGAGAGATTCATCTTGATATACAAAGGAAATAAGAGTTTCATTTTATATGTATGATATTCTGTGTTGCCTGGTAATAGAAAGATTTAGTGGATCTGAACAAGGAAAGACACATAGAAACCATGAAGCAGGATCCGAGTGGCACTGATGGCTGTATTTTGCTGATGTTAACTACTTGGAGAAATTTTTACAGGCAGTTGATTACTCAGTTTTCATATTGTTTCTGAGATATTTTAATTGAATAATGTTTGGGAAATTATATTCTAGTGGAGATAAAATATCTTCAGTAACATATTTTAAGTAAATGTAAAGAGTTTCCTTTAAATTATCAGTAGGTTTCTAATTTTAGTTAAAGGAGCTTTTCCCCTCCTTGTCTTTCCCCACTTCGAATGCTTGCAAGCAGTTTGAAAAGTGATTATGTTCAAGCTTGATCTTTGTCTTCTTATCTTGATAAATCGAACACTCTTAATGCTGCAGTTTAGCAGCAGCAGTGAACAGCTGCCCCTAGGAGTAAAGATCTTTTTCATAATTCATGTTTGGACAGGAAGGTGTACCTGGTAATGAATCTTGATGATCTAAACCGCCGTGATGGACCAAGGGTATGATGGCATACTGGTTTGCCTTCACACTTTGGCTGTTCTTCGAGAGCTTACTAATAAGAAAAAACAAACAAAATAAAGAAGTCATAACCAGGTAGCTGTCTTGGGGAAACAACACTCCATGAAATATTTTAAGTGTCTTAGGGTAAGAAAAGTGAGAATTTTAATACATCACAGGTTAGAATCAACTACAGTCATATGCTACATAATGACATTTCAGTCAACTATGGACTGCGTATACTACAGTGGCCCCATAAGATTGTAATACCATATTTTTACTATACCTTTTCTGTGTTTAGGTAAACAAATACTTAACCATTGTGTTACAGTTGCCTACCGTATTCAGTACCATGCTGTGCAGGTTTGTAGCCTAGGATCAATAGGCTATACTGTATAGCCCAGGCGTGTAGTAGGCTACACCATCTAGTATAAGTGCTCCCTATGGTGTTCACACAGCAATGCATTCCTCAGAACATACCCCTTCATTAGGCAACAAGTGACTATACTTAGGTTGTTTAAGGACCTCCCTGTCCTCTGAATGACTGAGCCCTTTATGTCCCTAATCCTTCTGTCATTTCTGGGAGGCTCAAAGAGGCAGGCAGGTTTTGTTTTCCTTTGGTTAGCTGTTCTGTCTTTGACATTAAATGTAATAATCATTTCATATTCTGTATAAGTCTTTAGACTTTTCTGTATCTGATCTCTACGTATGTACAGTATTAATTTTAGGTCAGCAGGAGGATAGACTTCTCTGACTGTGTTCGGAGAAATGGGGCAGAAAGCAGAGATTGCTCTAATTTGCATCCTGTCCTGACTGTATTTTCTGATTGTATTGCATTGTGTTAGAGAATGTGGTTAAGACAGTGTGTGCTATCTGTTGAGTCTTGCTTTATGGCCTAGTCAGGTTTTGTAAATGTGCCACGTTTGTTTGAAAGTACATTTTCTAACTGTTAAGTGTAGGGTTTGTCAGAAACGTCCCAATCTTCTGTATATTTACTAATTATTTTTGTTTGCTTGACACGAGTTTATAATTGGGGGATATATATATGTATATGTATAGTTTGTGTGTGTGTGTGTGTGTGTGTGTGTGTGTGTACTTGTTAGTTTTTCTTTATAATTCTGTCAGTTTTTCTTTGCATAGTTTAATGCTGTTTTTCTAATTAGTGGTTTGTTGTTTGGGGTTTTTTTGTCCTGAACTCATTTTTGTCCGATAACTTTATGTCAAGGTTTTCCTTTTTTGTTAAGTATTTGCCTGATACATCTTTTTCATCCTTTTACTTCTGAATTTCTTTCTGAGTTGCTTTGTGAGTAGGTTTTTATGTGTCTTTTGTGAAGAGCATCTATATGTAAATTTGCTTTTCTTTAGTCTGAGAATCTGTCTTTTAAATGGTGAATTGGGTCCACTTATCTTTAGTATTACCAGGTGTTTTCTTTGTTCCTTTTTCTTAGCACCCACTTGTGGAGCAGGCTTGAGATGAGATTTCTCTTTACAGACCTTTCTCTCCCCACCCCAGGCCATGGACAGGGAGCTTTGGTTGCCATTTCTCTGGGCTGGTTGTTGTTCTTGCCTTCTTCACTTGGAGGGGGCAGCCTTTCTGTGTGCCCATCTTGATGCAGGGACCTTGTTCCAGCTTCCTGTGCCACACAGGTCTGAGGCCATGTCTGGGTCTTTGTGACTTCTGGATATTGTCCCCTGTACCTGGTCTTGTTTTCCCCTTTTTTCCACCAGGGCTGCCCCAGCCCACTCTTTCTCTTAAGCCCTGGCTTTACATTTTCTCTTATTTCTCCCCTTCCTGCTTCCCTCTTATTAAGAGACCAAGTCTCACTGTGCTGCCCATGCTGACCTTAAACTCCAGGACTCAAGCCATTCTCCTGCGTCAACCTCCCAGGTAGCTAGATTTCAGGTGTATACCACCATGCCCAGCTCTTTTCTCTCTTATTTCTGACACCTGAGATTTGTGCATTTAGGAAAAAAAGTTCTAATTATCCTTTAATACTCCTTTACATTCCTAGTGGGAAGAGGCTCTACCTTAGCTCAGCCCACCTCCTCACCTGCACCCCAATTCTGTTTGGTTCTTGATGTGCAAATGATGTTTGTGGCTAAAGATCTCTCTGTAGTATTGGTGTTTGAGCTTTTCTTGTTTTTACCTGCTGGACTATTTTTACCTTTGACTTAGCTCCTTAGTAATACAGTCATAAGCTTAGTAACAGGGGCCACCTTCTGAGAAATGTGTTGTTAGGCATTTTCGTTGTGTGAACATCGTTGTGTACTTAAACCTATATGGTACAGCCTACTGCAGTCCTAGACTACAAGGAGTAGCCTGTTGCTTCTAGGCTGCACACCTGTACAGCATGTTACTGTACTGAATACAGTAGGCAGTTGTAATACAATGGTATTTGTATATCTAAACATAGAAAAGATACAGTATCATAATCTTATGGGACCACCATGTATAAGGGGGTCCACTGTTGACTGAAACGTCAATAGGTGGTGGTTACGTGTATTTTTTTTTTTTTGAGATGGAGTTTGGCTCTTGTTGCCCAGGCTGGAGTGCAATGGCGCAATCTTGGTTTACCACAACCACCACTTCTCGGGTTCAAGCAATTCTCCTGCCTCAGCCTCCCTCCCGTGTAGCTGGGATTACAGGCATGTACCACTACACCCTGCTAATTCTGTATTTTTAGTAGAGATGGGATTTCTTCATGTTGGTCAGGCTGGTCTCAAACTCCCAACCTCAGGTGATCCGCCCGCCGCAGCCTCCCAAAGTGCTGGGATTACAGGCGTGAGCCACCGTGCCCGGCCCGTTACATATATTTAACAAATATTCCAAATGGAAAGCAAAAGCGTTCCTGTGGCTGTGAACTGATGTTCAGTGGAGTGGCTCTGTGTGTTTATTTCCTGACATGTGACTTTGCACAGGCTTTACCACATGTCAGAGATTTGCCGGGCTGGAGGATGGGGTGACGCAGGGACCTGCAGGCCATAGAACTTTTTGGCAACCCTGGTTTACTTTCAGAGAACGGCTGCAAGAGGTTGAGTTTGGAGCCTCATCTTCATTATTCTAAAGGGAAAAGAAGGGGAAATTCTCTGTTGTCTGTCAAGTACTCTATTTTGCTTTGTTTTTCTTATGAAAAAGAAAAGGGAATGTTTAGGTTTGCCAAAGTGTACATTACAGAAGCCCTTGATAGAGCTGAAAAGCAGTGAAAGTGAAAATGATGTTCTGATAAAAATCTTTTACCTTACTGAAGCTATTTGGAGAAACTAGACTAGAGAATTAAAGGATAAAGCATTGTGTAACCAGAGAGGCCAACACCATGATTGTGGCAGTGGCCAGTCTCCTCCATGCTCTGAGGGAGAACCTGTTGCACTCATGTTGTTTGTTTGGTTGAACTTTTTATTGTGGAAAAAAATGTCCAAGACACACACACTATAAAGAAGAATATAGTGACAAGTCTGTACTCACCCCCAACCCCTTCAGCCACTTAATCGTGGCCAGTCCTGTTTCATCTCTACGAACACCTGCTCTCTCACTTTTTATTTTGAAGCATATTTTAGATCCATATTGTATTCACTGGGAAATATTCCAGTGTGTCTCTTAAAAACAGATTTTTTTTTTTTTGAGACAGGGTTTCACTCCCATCACCCAGTCTGGAGTGCAGTGGTGCGATCTCCACTCGCTGCAACCTCCACCTCCCAGGCTCAAGCTGTTCTCCTGCCTCAGCCTCCCTAGTAGTTGGGACTACAGGTGCATGTCCCTGTACCTGGCTAATTTTTGGTAGAGACGGGGTTTCGATATGTTACTCCTAAGCTCAAACAGTCCACCTTGGCCTCCCAAAGTGCTGAGATTACAGGCATGAGCCACCATGCCTGGCCCACAGATTATTTTTTTAAACATAGGTACAATATTAGTATTGCTCCTAAAAAATAAATCATTAATATCTTAAAATGATAAACTATTGATAGACTGTTAAAATTTCAAGTTATCTCACAAATGTCATGAGTTTATCTTTTTCCACTGAAGTCAAGATTCATATAAGGGCCACACATGGTGGTTGTTGAAATGTCTGTGGTGTCTCTTAATCTATCAGTGTGTCTCTCTTCTGCCCTCACCCCCTCGTTTGTTGAAGAAGCAAGGTTATTCGTCCTGTAGCATTTCTTACAGTCTGAACTTTACTGATTGTATCCACTCCCCACCTCTCATGTTGTTTTATATATTCTTTTGTCCTCCTTTTTCATATAAGCTTGTTGTTAAAGCTAGAAGCTTGATCAGAATAAGAACTGATGTTTTGAGGCTGCAAGACTGCTTCACAGGTGGTGATGTGTTCTTCCATCAGGAAGCACATCTAGTATCTAGTATCTCTCTTTTTGTGTGTGATTTATTGGCTGTGTTAATGCTTAACCTAGATCCATTATTTCATTAGAGACTGCAATATGGTGATACTGTAATTCTAGCATGCCTTTTTCTTTTATTAGTTGGAATATATCTATAAAGAGAAACTTTTACTTGTCTGCTATGTGGTTGGCAATTGGTATAGGAAAAGCAGAATTTATGTTTGATTCTTGCCTAAAAATGGACAGTAGTGGCCAGTTAGTTTGTTTTAGTATCATCATGGACTTATGGACATAATGACATAGAGAAATCTATAATATGATTTAGTCAGTCACAGTTTTGACCCTTACTAATGCTCCAGTTCTCCCAGTGTTGCAAATCAGAACCTCTTGAGGTTGGCCGATGAATTCTTTTGACTGGCCCTCTGAGATGACAAGATGTTCCAGGCTCATCTTGTACATTCACTTCCCCAGACCTGGAATCAGCACTTCTACAAAGAGCTCTGGTTCCTTTCAAGGAAAATGGCATTTCGAGACCTCATTCTGGGTGCTAGAGTGCTCATTGTACTGGGTTGGTTATTGTTTCTGAGCTTTACAACAGACAGAGCTCAGAAAATGTTCTTCCTCCCCTCCCCTCCCCTCCCCTCCACCCTCCACTCACGTCCCCTCCCCTCCCCTTCCCTTCCCTCCCCTCCCCTCCCTTCCTCTCTCCTCTCCCCTCCCCTCCATGCCCCTCTCTTTTCTTTCAGATGAAAATACATCATGAGTTCAAACTGATATTTCTGATACAACATCAGGACTATAGGTTTTCTACTTAATCTTTTTTGTCCTAAATATATACGTTCTTTCTCTCATAGCAAGAATCCTGGTTCTCAATGACACTGGAGATGGTAGAAATAGAATATCATATAATCATTCAGTTGCTTTATCCCATGGTACACACCCCACAGCCTCAGAATAACAAAACCAGTGCATTCGCCACCGATTTAATAATCGAGGATGGCTTAAGATTTGTCTTTTGCAGTTCTTTCCACCTTAGTGTATCTCTAGGGGTGCACAGTCTGATAGCTTCTGGAACATTCCCTGTCTGTGAGCTTATGCCCCCAGTTGGAGACATTGGGTTCATTTGTTTTCTTTTATTTTCATTTCTTAGAGATCACTTTTAAAAATATAACTGTTCTGTAATTATTTAAAATATTGTCGTAGTTCCAAAGTCAAATTTAAAAGACAAGGTGTACTATATTGAAAAAAGTCTAGATTTTAATTCCTGTCTCCTCCATCCTGTTCTCTCCCCACCTTAATGAGTAACTATTTAAAAGTAATTTTTGTTTTGCTTCATCCTTCCATTGTTTTTCTTAACATAAAAACATAAGTATACATATTTATATTCTTCTGTTTCTTAGGTAAATTGTAATCTGCTATATTTACTTTTTTCTACTTTGCTTTTTTTATTTTACAAGCCATTCAGGAGATTACTGCATAGTAGTACGACAGTAGTAATATGGCATAGTGTGGGATTTTGCTTTGCTAGCCAATCTGAATTTTTTTTTTTAAATTTTAACACATAAATTAAGCCCATTTAAATGTATTGGTATAGCCAATATGTTTGGCCTTGGCTCTGTCATTGTTTCATATTACATATGTATGTATGCAATTCTTTAATATGAGTAGTCTTTTTTTTTTTTTTTTTTTTTTTTTGAGACAGGGTCTTACTCTGTTGCCTAGGCTGGAGTGTAGTGGTGTGATCTCAGCTCACTGCAGCCTCGACCTCCTGGGTATATGAAGTAGTCTTTCTCTGTGGTCTGTTTTATTTATTCTCTATCTCTTTTAATTTGTATTATTTTTATTATTTTTGAGGGTTTTTTAAAAAAGAGCAAATTAAATTTTTGTTCTAAGGGCTACATATGCCATTATGTAATACCATAGCCACTCCCCATGTTTTTCATTATCGATTATTTTTCTAATAGGAATATTGAAATTAGATAACACCCCCTCAACATCTGGTTTGAAAATATATCCTTTTGGCCAGGCATGGTGGCTCATGCCTGTAATCTCAGCACTTTGGGAGGCCGAAGTGGATCACTTGAGGCCAGGAGTTTGAGACCAGCCTGGCCAACCCCATCACTATGAAAAATACAAAAAAATTAGCTGGGTGTGGTGGCGCACACCTGTAATCCCAGCTACTCAGGAAGCCAAGGTACGAGAGTCACTTGAACCTGGGAGGTAGAGGTTGCAATGAGCCAAGATTTTGCCACTGCACTCTAGCCTGGGCAACAAGAGCAAAACTCTGTCTCAAAAAAAGAAAAAATAACCTTTTATTTTCTGTTGACTTATAAGGCAATCTTCAGGCATATTCTGTTTTTTAGCATATAAGCATATGGGCTCTTCACTTATAAGGCAGTCGTCAAGCATATTCTATTTTTCAGATGTCCTCCTCGTTCTAAACCTCATTTTTTGAACACATAATGGTTTAAAACAATACTTACCTGTTTCCCATAATTCCATAGGTTGCCTAGGCAGTTCTGGTCTAGGCCAGACTGGCTGGGATTGGATGACGTCAGTCACACTTCTGGTGTCTCAGCTGGGATTACTGGGACAGTGGGAGCCTCTCCCCATGTGGCCCCTCATCCTGTAGATGGCTAGTCCAGCTTGTCCACATGGTGACCAAAGGGTTCCCAGCAGCAAGACAGCACAAGCTACCCTGCAAGCCTCAGTTTGCATTATGCTTGTTAATATACCTTCAGCCAAAGCAGGTCTCATGCCAATCTTAAATTCAAGGGGAGCAGTAAATACACCGCACCTCTTGATGGCAGGAGCAGAAAAGTCACATTGCAAGGGGCATGCATAAAAAGGAAGGATTTTTTTTGCCATTTTACAGTCTGCCACAAATAACGTTATACAGTACTTCAGTCTTGTCTCTTTTTAGTCATTGTCTATTGGTACCCTACTATGACCAATATTGAAATTAGCTATAATCTCTTATTTTCCCTGCCTTCCCTCTTCTGTGTCTGATTTAGAAAAATACCCTTTATTAGCTGTAAGGAAGTCAGCACTCTTATTCTACCTTCTTGTGTGCCCTCTTCATTCTGTCCTTTTCTTTTTAAAATAATTATACCATATTTACATTGTCAGAGCAAATAGCCATTGTATACTCTATGCTAACGCTTATAACCATCATTTAGTCTCTGTTTTACAGGTAAGTGTACATTTAATTCTCACTCTCAGTTCCTACGATGATGTTTGTTCCATGAGTTTGGTCATCTACTACATTTTTTTGGAAGAGTCATGGGAAAAGTGCTCCCTGAGTTCTTGAATGTTAGTTTGTCAGAAGCCTTTGTACTTGAAAGTAGGCTCAGCTAGGTGTAAAATTATATATGAAAGAACCCTTGATTCAAATGTTCTTTCTTTGAGAATCTTAAATATGTTCCATTTTATTTTGGCTTGAAATGCTTCTCTCAAAGTGTGATGGCAATCTGACTTTTTTTTCTTGACTTACTCTTTTTGACCAGATGCGCTGAATTTTTTTTTAAGTCTCCTAGTTTTACTGAAATGTATATTTTGACTAGTTGTTTTGGATCCGTTTTCGCAGATGTATGCGGTATAGCCTTTCAGCATGCAATATTGAGCCTTTTTTGGTTATCTGAGCAAAGTTTTCTTGAGTTGTAATTTTCAGCGTTGTTCTGTTCCCTTGCTTTTGTTTTTGTCTATGAAAACTTCTATTATAGCTATTTGGATCTTTGCCCATCATCTGTGTCACTTTCTTTCAAGTCATTTTTAATTTATTTAATTTCTAATTATCTAATTTAATTCTTTTTTGGTTTTAAAATTTTTTATCTTTTAATTATCTGTTTCTCTTAAGGCAAGTTGTGTTTTTTTATTCTTGTATTTTTTCTAATTTGGCCCTCATAAAACAATTTTCCTTTTTATATCTAATTTTTTTTGAGTGTTAATGTTTTCTTGAGTACTGTGACCTCATTTCTGAGATTTCCTAATTCTGATTTAATGTTCATTCTGTTTGTCTGTCTATCTATCAATTTACTTATTTATTTTTAGTCGAGTATCTATCTGTTAACCTAGGCTGGAGTGCATTGGTGCTATCATAGCTCACTGCAGCCTCAATCTCCTGGCCTCAAGCAATCCTCCTGCTTCAGCCTCCTGAGTAGCTAGGACTACAGATGTGCGCCAGTATGCCTGGCTAATTTAAAAAAAAAAAAAATTAAGACACAGGGTCTTGCTGTATTGCCCAGGCTGGCCTTGAATCCCTGGGCTCAAATAATCCCCCTGCCTCAGCCTCTCGAGTAGCTAGGATTATGGGTACAAGCCACCATGCCTAGCCTTAATGTTCTTTCATATATTATTATCTTAAATCTTTTAGTTGATTTCAAAATATTAGGTACAGCTTTTCATCTCTTTTTTAGGCGTGTCCTTCTGTCATGCATTCATTGGCCGTAGGGAGAATTTTTTCTGCCACTGCTTTATGGGATTTAAATGCAGTCCTCTTCACTTACCTCTAGTGGCTGTTTTCCTTTCTTTTTACTGCTAAAATCTCTGAGGAAACATTAAATTGACAATAAAATATTTCCATCTACATATGTTTAAGGTCAGTTGTTAGGCCAGTGAAACCAGTAAAACTGCAACAAAATATACTGTAGAATTTGCTACCTGAGGTGGAATTCATGTTTATATTCGGGACATCTGTTTAAAAAAAGTTAGCAGCCAGGAGTGGTGGCACAAGCTTATAGTCCCAGCTACTCAGGAGATTGAGGCAGGAGGATTGTGGAGCCCAGGAGTTCAAGTCCAGCCTGGGCAATATAGCAAGATCCCATCTCAAAGGCTGATCAGTAAGAGACAAAAACAAGTATATGTTCTGGAATTTGGTGAAGAAATGAGTAACCAGCACAGTGACACAGTGACAACGGCAAGTTTGGTTGAGGGAACAATAAGGAACAGGCAAGTGTTGATTCGTAAAGATGTTTGTTCTTTGGGCCACATACTGTGTTACTCCCCACAGAGAAGTTACATGATGGAAACTTAGCTTCACCTTGGCATCTGTGATAATTAACAGCTTGATTTAACGTAGCTTCCCCGTGCAGCCTTATTTATGCCATGGAGTGTCTGCTATATGCTTGCTTATTCCAGACCATACTCCACAGGTCCTCAGGTGGCCTTTTCACTCACTGCTTCCTCCCTTCTCCCTTGGGAAGCTGGAAGACAAGCTGGCCACGTGCTACAGGGCCTTCTGGCCGAATTACAGATTTTGCTCTTAGTGAACTATCTAAAAAGTTACTCCAGTTCATAGCCATAAGGTAACCTTTTGGGCCAGAACTCATAAAATATGGCATATTTTAAGTATGGTATTTTATATTACAAGTATGGCATATTTCTGAGGAAATATCTTTCCTCAGATATTTAGTGATTCAGTCTCCCTCACCTCACCTCCATCAAATGATTGTTCAGAATTTCTTAATGATGTTGTGCCTTCAACTGCATTTAAAGTGACTCTTGGCCAGGCGTGGTGGCTCATGCCTGTAATCCCAGCACTTTGGGAGGCTGAGGCGGGTGGATCATGAGGTCAGGAGATCGAGATCATCCTGGCTAACACGGTGAAACCCTGTCTCTACTAAAAATACAAAAAAAACTAGCCAGGCATGGTGGTGGGCACCTGTAGTCCCAGCTACTCAGGAGGCTGAGGCAGGAGAATGGTGTGAACCTGGGAGGCAGAGGTTGCAGTGAGCCGAGATTGTGCCTCTGCACTCCAGCCTGGGTGACAGAGCAAAACTCCATCTCAAAAAAATAAATTAATTAATGACATTACATTAAATTAAATAAATAAAGTGACTCTTATATCCCCCCTTCCTTGCTATCTGGTTTTCTGAAGCACTGATTGTTTCCTTTTGTCCATACCCCCACCATTGTCTTGTTTCCTTGACTAGAATCTGAGGTTCATGATATGTCCCCTGTGCCTACAACAATCCCTTATGTGCACTAGTGCTCAAATGTTTGTTGAATTAATGCATGTGTGCCGGGCACTGACCTGGTACTGAGGATACTGTGGTGAACAAAACAGATGCCCTGCCCTCATGGAGTTTGCAGTCTAGTGGGAGAGACAGAAATTAGTCCAGTAAAGGGTAGAAAGTGCTTTGAGAGGGCAGAACAGGGTAAACGGACCTCGTCTGCGGCAGTCAGGGAGGCTTCTCTAAGAAAGAGAGTTTTGCTCCAAGAAGTGAAAGAATGGTCAGTGAGAGCTTTGTGACAGTGGCAGGAATGCTCCACGATGATGAAGCGCCTTTTCTAAAGGCTCAGCCACAACAGGGAGAAGGGCCGACAGGTTCCAGGAGTGGCAGAAGGCCAGTGCCAAGCAGTATTGTGCGGGCAGGGGAGGGAGCAGGAAGCTGGAAGACAGGTAGGCCATGTGCAGAGCCTTCTGGCCCAGTTACAGATTTTGCTCTTAGTGAACTATCTAAAAAGTAGCTCCAGTTCTTAGCCATAAGGTAACCTGTTGGGCCAGAACTCATAAAGTATGGTACATTATGTGTAATGAAGACAGGATTTTATAGGACTCCCAGCACGAAACGCTAATCATTACTGGTAGAATCCATGGGCCATGGCTTCAAAATGGTTTGAGAGAACAAAGCATAGCTCAGGTAAAATGAATATATATAGTAAATAGTTCATGTTTGTATTATATATGAGCAGTTTATATTACGTTAATGATTTTGTTTTTGATAATTATACTTTATTTGCTGAAGTTTTGAAAATATTTTTGGCCAGGCGCAGTGGCTCATGCCTGTAATCCCAGCACTTTGGGAGGCCGAGGCGGGCAGATCACTTGAGGTCAGGAGTTGGAGACCAGCCTGGCCAACATGGTGAAACCCCGTCTCTACTAAAAATACAAAAACTAGTCAGGTGTGGTGGCACGCACCTGTAATCCCAGCTACTCAGGAGGCTGAGGTACGAGAATCGCTTGAATCCTGGAGGTAAAGGTTGCAACAGTGAGCCAAGATCACGCCACTGCACTCCAGTTTGGGTGACAGAGCGAGACTCCATCTCAAAAATAATGATAATATTTCTTAAGTGCTTCTGGTAGAGAAACATTTATTTGAGCTGTAAGATTAAAAAATAAAAACCACAACAAAAACCGCTTAAAAATGTGCAAGAAGAGTGCTTGCTTTTATTGCTGATTTTACCTGAACGGTCAAATTCTGTAGAAACGTATGGATAAACATATCAGAGGCAATAAGGCAGAGTGGAAAGAACTCCATTTTTGGAGTCCCATAAGGTCCCACTTGGATTTCTGGGGTCCCACCCTTGATTTCTTATCAAAGGTTTCTGAGCCCAGGTGTCCTCCTGAGTAAAACGAAGCTGAAGTAATACTTTGCATGCACATCTGGAGCAAGACAGTGAGCCTCCTCCTCATAGACACACCATTCCCCCAGGTGTCTTTAGAGCAGACCTCACAGGATGGATCAGGTTGGGTGAGATGATTTTTTTCTTTTTTTGAGAGAGTCTCACTCTGTTGCCCAGGCTGAAGTGCAGTGGTGTGATCTTGGCTCACTGCAACCTCCACGTCCCAGGCTCAAACAATTCTCGTGCCTCAGCCTCGGGACTACAGGCGTGCACCACCACACCCAGCTAATTTTTTGTATTTTTAGTAGAGACAGGGTTTCAGCATGTTCACTAGGCTGGTCTCAAACTCCTGACCTCAAGCAATCTGCCTGCCTCAGCCTCCCAAAATGTTGGGATTACAGGCGTGAACTACCACGCCCGGCCAGGACGATTATTAATACAACACTTAGCACAGTCATGACAAGTCAAGGAGTTCTCAACTAAATGGTAATTCTTAGCTACACAGTGGAAGATTAAATTCTTTGTCATACTGACTTTTGTACACAATGCCTTTTTAACTTATGTCTTCCAGAAGGAAGGAAAAAAATCACTTTATTTTTAGACCCTAGAGACTTTTCAGAATTACTTGTGAAGTAGGTTATAGATGTATTTAATGTCCAGGCCTGGTGACTCACACCTATAATCCCAGTGCTTTGGGAGGCTGAGACTGAGGACAGTTCAAGACCAGCGTAGGTAACACAGAAAGACCTTCATCTCTACAAAGAAATTTTAAAAATTAGCTGAGCATGGTGGCACACACCCATAGTCCCAGCTACTTGGGAGGCTGAGGCAGGAGGATTGCTTGAGGCCAGGAGTTCGAGGCTGCAGTAAGTGAAGATCGTGCCACTCTACTCCAGACTGGGTGAGATGGTGAGACCCTGTGTCTAAAATATAACATAACATAACATAACATACCATAACATAGTGGATGCATTTAACCTTTCGGGTATACATGGATCTCTGCTTGAAACTGCTACACCCAATAATTTAGGAGGCAGAGAAGAACCGTATGTCTCAGTCTCATATTTTTGTCATGATTTGAGCTCATTGAGTCAAGCTTATATTATGTGTGATGTATTGTTGATTAGCTGTTCTTTCTGACTAGTGTAGGAATTTATCTGCTGCCTGAACACTTCCCAAGTAATTTTTTTTTTTTAATGAGCCATCAAATAGGATGTGGTTTGGGGTTTCTCAGCAGTGGGAATGGATTTGTGTTAATCTGTCTAGACGCTCTTTCCCTGTCCTTTGTGAACAAACAGTGGCATTCATTTCTGAGCAGGGTGTTGAGGGTATAGCCTTGTGTTCATCGAACAAGCCAAGCTATCTCATCCTTGACCTTTAAAAGATAATGAGACCTTGGACTCATCACCCTGTGTCAACTCATGGAGGTAAACAAGCTAGTGCTTAAGGCTTTAAGCTAGCAGTGAGTTTTTAATTTTTATTTCTTACATTTTTTTAACAAGGGAAGACTAATGTATAATTTAAAGGAAATAATTTCATAGATGTGATAGTGGAAGAATAAGAACTTTTGATCTGATTTTGTGTATTCATGGGGCTCTTTAAAAGGAGAAATGATCCAGAAACTACCTTGATTGAGCAATCCTATAGTTGGGTGGCATTCAGAACTTTTGACATTGGTGAATATTTTTTCCTCTGTGGCTCAGTTTTTTTCTGAAAAGAAAAATTGCCTCAGAAACATTTTCTGCTGTTTTTATAGATGTCTTTTCTTCCTTTGCCTTGTCTTTCCCCCTCCTGGTTTAGCGTAACAGAAGAGTAAGTTTGGCTAGGTGATAAGCATTGCCTGCATGGCAAAGTCAAAACACCATGTCACATAGATGGGGGTGGCAGGACTTCTGTCCTGGGCCTCATGCTGTTGGCAGCCGAGGACTGGAGCATGGAGATCTAGGCTCAAAACACACTTCTCTGGCATGGACTTCAAAAAAGCAGAAGGGTAGATTAAGAAACTAAGTCCAGCTAAAAGTTTGGGTTTCCTTATTTGTTGTTTTAACTAAGTAATTATTTTCTTTCTCTTTGAGTCTCTGAGTTTTTTTCTTTTTTAAATCATAAAGATTAATTTTTCTTCCATACTTGTGGATTAAACAAATTTTTACAAAGTCCTATATAATTTGTGGTTCAGTGTAGGCACTTAATTATTCCTAAGTTTATAGCTTCCCCATTCTTCATTTTTTTCCCACTAGAATTCGCCAAAATGATAGAAAAATAACAGTACTGGGTACATTGGATATTTTATATGTAATGATTAAAAGAGCCACCTTGATGGCAGTTTACAGTTAGGAGAATATGTAGCTTTACTCAGTTTTTCTGCAGTTTTTGTTGACTTATTTTTTGGCAAAACTAATCACCCCATGCTTTGAAAACGACCCTGACATTTTCCTTTTCTTCACAAATGAACATATTCCCCCAGCCTTTGCTGTTCTTTCCTTTGAGGAGAGTCTCGGGCTGCAAAGATGCCTGAAATGCCCTGGCAGCAACACCCAGTAGAGGACAGGAGGAATCTTTAGGTGATCCGGGAATCCTTCTCAACGGGAACATCCTACCAGTTGTTTTTGCCATTGTTCTGTTGGGGTGTTTTTGTTTGTTTGCTCTGGGTGAGGATTTAGTCCTCTCCACCGAAAGATAATTGTTAGGAGTATGTTAGAATCAACCAGGCCCTCACATTTTTGTTTTCCAACTCTGGTGAGTTGCGAAACCCATTTCTGAGGGATCCAAAGCAATAACAAGGACACTTACCCATTATCTTCCTTTTCTACTAAAAGAAATTCAGTGCCAAAGATGTATTCCTTGAAGAATAGAAAAACATGGAAAGCTTTCCAGGGGTTGAGGATGTACTGATTATATGAAGCAAGTTTTACACTTTGCCCCAGTACTTGTTTAGTGCAGTTAATATGTAAATAAAAGTATCTTTCAAGTGCTCTTAGAAATTGGTGGATTTGACCAACTGTTAGAGTTTAATATTGGTGGGTAGACTTTGAATGTTGATGAGAATTGATCTTCATAATTTGTTATCTATCTTATGTGATGGATGGGGTTTAGGGCTTAAAATTTGCATCTTCCAAAGGTCCTTTCACATGAAAAAGGATTAGTTATTAAACTGCTTTACCATTTCAATAAAAATTTAAAATAAACTGTTAGCCAAAGAAAAAATCACTAAATAATCATGCAGTAAGTCACACTTGTTAAATAAAGCCCCATTTCTTTCCCTTCTCTTCACCTCCAGCTCAGTAGCTCCTAAGTGCGCTGTTTGTTCTTTCTGTGAGCCAGCAGGGCCAGCTTAGTGGTGATGTTGCCAAGAGATTATCTATGGGTGGGTAGGTGGTGTCTGGATGCCACATCAGGGGCTGATGAGTAAGTCTAACAAACAGCTGACACGGGGTTTATACTTTTCTTAGGCAACTTCTCAAACAAGCTGTTTACCATAAGCCAAAAACATCTTACCTACTGTAACCTTGTAGGAGAGAGATACCTTTCTCATTGCAAAGGGGCGTCTTTCTTAAGAGTCAGTCTCAGTGGGTGACGTCACCTGAGTTATTTTAATTATTTCAGAATAATTTTATTTATTTATAATTTAATTGCTTCTTTGGAAATTTTACCTTTTAAAAAATTTTTTTACCTTCTGGATTCTCAGGATAATTTTATTATTCTCAGAACCACTTACTTTGAATTATATATATATATATATTTTAAATTAAGAGACTGGGTCTTGCTGTGTTGCCCAGGCTAGTCTTGAACTCCTGGCCTCAAGTGATCCTCCCACATCAGCCTCTCAAAGTGCTGGGATTATAGGCGTTAGCCACCATGCCCCGCCCCCTGAGAATAATTTTTAAATTATCTTTTTTTTTTTTCAAGTTTCCACATACAACATTGAATAATTTTAAAATTCTATCAAATGTTGGAAATTGTCAGCCTACAATGTTGATTTGCATACATTCAGAAATTATAGGGATTTCTATATTTTTGATATATCTGTTAGCCTTAAGCCTATAGTTATTTTAAAGTTTCGTTTTTATAAATTCTCTCTGGTTATTACAGAGTGTCTCACTATGGGAATGTGAGCCTGCATTTCCCCACACTCACTTTTTAGATCCTCTAAATCAGGTCACTATAATAACAAAAATCTTATATTATGTTCTGAGTCCAGGAATGCTACACGTTTTATCTTTTATTTTTATTTATTTTTTAAAAAATTTATTTTGCTACTATTATTTTTTATGGTGTAGAGATGAGGGGGTCTCACTCTACTGCCCAGGCTGGTCTTCAATTCCTGGCCTCAAGCAATCCCCCTACCTTGGCATCTCAAAGTGCTGGGATTACAGATGTGAGGCACCATGCCCAGCCTGCCTATTTGTCTGTCTTATCTATGTATCTATCCATGTATCTATCTATCTATCTATCTGCCTGCCTGCCTGCCTGCCTATGTTATTTGTCTATTGACCTGCCACTTTAGGATAAAAAGTATTTATAAAAATAAAACAGGTACATATTTATGACAGAAAATTTGGAAAACACACAATAATGAAACATAATCACCCAGAAATAATTATGATAACATTCTGGCATATTTTCTTACAGTATCATTTTCATTATTTTATGTAGGTGTAATCATACTATAGATGGACTTGAAGATTTGCTTTTCTCATTAACAGTTGAGAAATGTTCTCAGGTTGTTTAAACTCTGTGAAATCATTTTAAATTTTAACTGACTGCATTAGATAAGCCATCAAGTTGATATGCCATAATTTATTTACTCAATAGTATTCTTATTATAGGATCTTTCATTTATTTTGTATTTTTACTACAATTTTTATTACTCTCAAACCTCTTTGGGCGTAGGAATTTCGTATGAAAGAAAGAGCTGCAAATGGGAAATTAAAAGTCTCTAGAATTTCACTTGGCCTCTTTTTTTTTTCCCCCTGTCACCCAGGCTGGAGTGCAGTGGTGCAATCTTGGCTCACTGCAATCTCTGCCTCCCAGGTTCAAGTGATTCTTGCGCCTCAGCCTCCCGAGTAGCTGGGACTACAGACACACACCACCATGCCTTTTTTGTATTTTTAATAGAGACGGTTTTGCCATGTTGGCCAGGTCGGTCTCATACTCCTGGGCCCAAGCTATGCACCCACCTTGGCCTCCCAAAATGCTGGGATTACAGGTGTGAGCCACCACGCCTGGCCTTCACTTGGCCTCTGTTGATTACATGATAGAGTCAGAGAGCTGGTTTCAACAAAGTTTCAGAATCAGAATTTCTTCTTTTTTTTTTTTGAGACCGAATTTCCCTCTTGTTGCCCATGCTGGAGTGCAGTGGCACCATCTCAGCTCACCGCAACCTCCACCTCCCAGGTTCAAGTGATTCTCCTGCCTCAGCCTCCCGAGTAGCTGGGATTACAGGCATGCACCACCACGCCCAGCTAATTTTGTATTTTTAGTAGAGATGGGGTTTCTCCATGTTGGTCAGGCTGGTCTCGAACTCCTGACCTTAGGTGATCCGCCTGCCTCGGCCTCCCAAAGTGCTGGGATTATAGGCATGAGCCACCACGCCTGGCCCAGAATTTCTTATAGATTGTCAGATCACCCTCTAAAAAAGGTTATATTAGTTACGCTTCTCCAACATTAAGTCTTTTTCAAAACCATTCTTACTGGCATTTCTTTGATTACTACTGAGAGAGAATGCATTTTCTTTCCTTTTTTGTTTGTTTTTGGAGTTAGACCTCATGCATTTTATTTTTTATTAATATTTTCTCCCACTCTTTTTCTTTTTTTAAAGGCAGTGAGATCTCACTATATTGGCCAAGCTGGACTTGAACTCCTGGGCTCAGGCAGTCCTCCTGCCTCAGCCTCTCAAGTAGCTGGAACTAAAGGCTCGTGCCACTGCATTCAGCTTCACTTTTGATTCTGAAAAATTTCAAACCTATAGACAAGTTGGCAACATTCTATCATATTTGCTCTGTCTCCCTCTCTGCAGACACACACATATATACACAAGCATAATATGTACATATGTGAACATGTATACATGTATTTGTTTTTTATTGCTAAACTACTTGAGAGTCAGAGACATAACAGTTTGCTTAGAAGTATTTTAGTGTATTTCTCTTAAGAACACAGGCTTTTTAAAAATATTGCCCTAATATATTTATCACACTCAGGAAATTTAACACTGATATGATTTTGATATGATCTAATGTCCATGCTGTAATCAAATTTCCCCAAATGTCCTAATAATGTCCCTTACAGTTTTTCTATTTTTATTTTTGGATCCAAGCTCCAGTCAAAGTCTTGTGTTACTTTTAGTCATCATGGCTCTTTAGTCTTTAGTCTCCTTTAATCTGGAATAGTTCCCCAGCCTGTTTCTTATTTTCACAAGATTGACATTTTTCTGAGGAGTTCAGATCAGTTGTTTTACAGTGTCCTTCAATGTGTATGTTTCTGATTGTCTCATGATAAGATTCAGATTAAATGTTTCTGGCGGGAGTACCACGTAGTTGATGTGCTCTTTTCAGTGCATCACACTGAGAGGCACATGGTATCAGTTTGTTCCCTTATTGCTGATGTCTGGTTTGACATCATTTAGGTAAATAGTGGTCACAGATTTTTCCATTGTAGCCTTCCTGCTTTGTAATAAATAAGTACTCTGTGAGTAATACTTTGAGACTGTGAAACCCTGTTCCTCAGTAATCTTTCATCCAGCAGCATTAATGTCCATTGATGATTTTTTTAAAAAATGGATTGCTTTTAAAATTTTGTGACCTCTTTGTGCAAGGATGTCATTCAAATTTTAGTTCACATGTTGCCAAAGCTGACACTAGAATTATTTTCAGAAGTTTAATTGGTTGATATTATTTTGTGAATTGTGTGCTTTTCTTGCTGATTTATAAGTACACCTACATCATGATTATTATTTATTACATTTAATGAACCATTGGTTATTAGGTACAAGACATGGTTCTGAAATCCTTATAATTGTATGAACCACAGGTATCTTCCCCCTCCCCTCATTTTATAGGAGAAAATGATGCTTAGATTAATCCTGAGTTTTGTATTTTGCAAATACTTGTCCCAATTTGTTGTACAGTTTTGTGTGTGTATGTGTGTGTGTGTGTGTGTGTGTTTTAAGAGACGAGATCTTGCTTTGTTACCCAGTATTCACAGGTGTGATTATAGCACCCTCCAGCTTCAGCCTTTAACTCCTGGGCTCGAGGTCCTCCCACCTCAGCCTCTGGAGGAGCTGGGACTACAGGCGTGCGCCACTGTGCCCAGCTATTCTTAATCTAGCCTATGTTGCCGAACCAAAGCTTTACATTTTCCATAGTATATCTGTCAGTTTATTCTTTTATAGTTTCTGGCTTTAGTGTCCTATTCAGAAGCATTAACATTTAATTTATTAGGAATGAGGTTTGTTCACTTGCCTTTCAGTAAGTAAGATTGCCAGATTTCACTTAAAATAGCTGTGTGCCAAATATTGTATGATATACTAAACAGTGATATGTAATTTATCTGAAATTTGGCATCTTGCATTGTTATGTGGTAACTTTATCAGTAAGACTTTCCCTGACCACTTAATTTAAAATCACAACCCACATCTCAGTACTGCCTGCTTTTTGTTTTCTCCATAGCACTGCACGTACACTGTATATTTTACTTTTTTGTTTAGTGTCTATATCTCACCACTAGAATGTAAGATCCATGAAGTCAGGCTTTTTATTTTAACTTTTAAATGGAGGCTTAACATACATATAGGAAAATACCCATATGAAACTGTACTGCTTAACGAATTGTCTTAGGAGGGCAAAGATTTTTTTATTCTAAGTTTTTCTCAATGCTTAAAATAGGTGATCAGCAAATATTTGTTGATTGAGTCAATGGTATAACCTATGAGAGAGGCATTCATGTTACTTTTTCCCAAATAGCTAGCCAGAGAATTTATTGATTATATTTTGTTTGGTTATTATTGCTTTGAAAGCGTATTTTTTCTCCCCTCTCCCTACTTTCTCCCTCACGTAATTTTTATTTATTTTATTTATTTATTTTTTGAGACGGAGTCTTGCTCTGTCACCCAGGCTGGAGTGCAATGGCGCAATCTCTGCTCACTGCAACCTCCGCCTCCTGGGTTCAAGCTATTTTCCTGCCTCAGCCTCCCGAGTAGCTGGGATTACAGGCTCATGCCACCATGCCCGGATAATTTTTTGTATTTTTATTAGAGACAGGGTTTCACCATGTTGGCCAGGCTGATCTCCAACTCCTGACCTCGTGATTCACCCACCTCGGTCGCCAAAAGTGCTGGGATTACAGGTGTGAGCCACCGTGCCGGCCTCCCTCAACCTCACATAATTTTTAATGAATATGAATAGCATAATTATTTAACTATTCTCCTACTATTAAACATTTGTTTGTGTTTTGAAGACATTTTTAATTTAAAAATTTACGTATCCTTGTGCATTAAAAATTAGTCCTCATTTCAGATTGTTTTCATAGGATGATTTCCTAAAAGAGGAATTACTAGGTCAAAGGATATGATCCTCTCTAAGCCCCTTCTCGTTTAGACAGAACACTCACTGACAGTCAGTAGACCTCTCTGCTGAAGAAGGCACACACAAGGACTGTTGATATCATGCCCTTGGTTCACTGCTTCTAAGAACAATTTACCACCATCTGCTAGCAGAGTAGGTGGTCATTACTTTGTATCTTCCTTGACATCAGCTCCTTGCAGCATTGTATGATTGAAACATCTTGAATTTGTATTCCAGTTCTCCTTATACCAGCTGCAAGACTATGGACAAGCCATTCAACAGGGTCTTCAGTTTTCTGTATAAAGTGAGGGTAACAGAGCCTACAGCATTGGCAGCGTGTACTACCTGTGATATAATCTCAGGAAATGATAGCTACCACCCTGAGGCAGGTGACCGTGCTTCTCAAAACCTGCCCAGTCAGTGGTCCAGACCATTTTGGTAGATGCACGGGTGACCACTTCACCTTGGCTAAGAAATACTTGTAGGGCAAATGAGGGCCAGAACCTGAATTTATAGGACAGGATTCCCACCTTTCTGTTGTGTCCACAGGTAGGTAGGGAAAAGAGCAGTATCATAATCCCTTTCAAACAGGAAATTTATTTGAACACCTTCTCAGCTTAGGCTGCCCTCATCTTTCCTTGCATGACATATTCATGATACGTGCGTTTCTATCACCTTTGCTAAAAGAAATAGATACTGCATTACGCTTTTCTCATATGAGTCAGCTCTTTTCAGAATTGCTTCTAACCACAGAGAACTCCTTACAGCTCTCTGAGTGTTGTTTGTGCACCTAGAATACAAATTGACATGTATAAACTACCCTCATGTGGACATTACATTCACCTCCTTGCTGCCAAGAAGAGAAGGTGGAAGTCTCTTTTCCTTTCTGGTGTTCTCATTCCCCAGAAAGGAGAATCCATTCAGCTAGTATCAGTGCCTCTGTGGGGGGAGGTTCTTCTCAAACAACACCAAAGCAGCGTGGATAGGAGCACTCAGGGGCGCAGCGGGGTGAGGGGGGCAGAAGGTGAAATATCTCTACCGTCTTATGTTTTATTTAAACCATTCTCACAATTTAAAAAAATGCTATTCTGCAATATGTCCATTTTACTTTAATATTAATTTGTTTTAAATTGCCAGATTAATTATTTAATTTTTCCTCCCTGATCTCTGGTAAAATCCATGCCCTAAGAAGTTAAGCCGTGGTTCTTCAGTGGCTTGTAGTAATTGCAAGCCCAGGGCTGTTCGGAAGCAGAGAGAAGTAGCTGTATTAGCTGTTCTCTCCTGAAGAAATATCACTGGAGGTATAGAATAGCTAAAACACCTTCCTTGTCTTCAGAGAACTAGCTTGGGTACATGTGACCAGAGGACAGGCACAGAGGCTTAGATCGTATATTTGCTAGGTACCAAGTAGAGTTACATCATAACATTTTGAAACTTGTGTGAATTCAAATGTACTTGATGTGGCTAATTATTTTTTAGGGTGTGAGACTGGTTTTGCTTGTCACTTCACTCAGCAAAAGTATTTATCCTTATCCCAGTGAGTTGGAGATGAAATGGGAGATGTAGATTCTGCCCCTTCCTTGTGAATATCAACTTTCACACTCTTCTTGTAGCAAGCTTCCTGCTGGTTATAAACCATGTGTGTTCACACATGTGTGTACATGTGTGTTTAATAACATGGTGCTCACATGCAAGCCATCGTCTTCCTCTGATGTCCTAGAGGAGAAACAGTAGTGTGTTCTGACCCTGGAGGAAAAACCAGCTGTGTTGGCTTCACTGAGAGACGCATGTTCTCCAGTGTGAAGAAAGAAGTTTCAAGGGTAATTTTAACTAAAGGCAAAGTTCAGCTTTAGCGTCCCCACCCCTTGCCCCATGCGTGAATACTCTGTTGTGACTCCAGTCTTAGATGCTTTCCCTGAAGCCAACTGTGGAAAGCATCTCAGTTCAAAGATAAGAAAACAGTTGCCCAGAGAGGCATGTGGCCTTCCAGTAGTAGAGCTGTCTACCCCAGAGTGTACACACTCATTCCATTGTGCCTTCTGCTCATATGATGTTTGTTAACTCTTTTAAATCCTGAACCAGTCAAAACCACATTTTTTAAAAATAATCTAAACAGCATTTAGCTAAGGCCTCTAGAGAGCTGAGTGCAAGGTGTGCCTGTGCTCTTTCCAGAAACGGCAGTGATTTATGCCTGCACTCTGGCTTGAGTTGTGACAGAACAGGCTCCAATGGGTGTGTGTTTAGTGCCTTGTCTGTGATTTTCAGGATACATTCAGGTAGCTGCTTCCTAATGCATTCCCCAAAGAGTGTGCTTGTGGGCAGAGCATGTGCTGGGGAGGAGGGCCAGCTGTGAGCGGGGGAACAGATGACTCAGCATTCCAGCGGGCTGCCTGCCCAGGAACTCTCACCATGATGGCTTTAATAACATGGTGGCACATTGCCTGGTAACCTGAGGGTTGGTGGGGTTTGTTTCTACCTACTTTACCGAAAAGCCCTCTATCAGCTGTTGGCCAACCACATCAGGGTGGGGTAAGATATAAACTTGGCTCTGCAAGCTGACTTTCTTTTCTATTTTTCATGCCTCTGCCTACATTTTAACATTCATTCTCTTTTTCTTTCTGTTTTTTTTTTTTTTTTTTTTTTTTTGGACAGTCTTGCTTTGTCCCAGGCTGGAGTGCAGTGGCGCAATCAAGTGATCCTCCCACCTCAGCGTCCCAAGTAGCTGGGACTATAGGCGCACACCACCACTCCAGACTAATTATTATTATTATTATTATTATTATTATTGTTTTTTTGTTTGTTTTTTGTTTTTTTTTGTAAAGATGGGGTTTTACTGTTTTGCCCAGGCTGGTCTCTAACTCCTGGGCAGGCTCAAATAATCCAAAAGTGTTAAGATACAGACGTGAGCCACTGCACCCAACCTGCTCGCTTTTCTCTTCTCATTTATATACTATGTAAAGGTGGAAGCTGGATAGTTGACTTCCATATCATGTCCTCAAGGGAATTAGTTACTGAACAGATGGTCTTTTTTATATTAGTTAAAATTATTTTGTTTGCAATTCAGACCTCTGGACTATTTCCCTGGGTGCCTCATAGCAGAAGAATCTGTAGCCATGGACCTCCTTGCCACAGATTTGATTTTGGTGGAACAGATCTGGATGTATGTAGCCTTAGAAGCAAGCTAGGCTTTTTCTTTTCTGTTGGTAAAGGCCTCTAACTGCTGCCCTAAGCTGACATAGGGCACAGGGTACTATCTGTGAGCTCACTGGAAAAATGGGGTTTGTGGAGCTTTATAGCTGGGTTCCATGAAAGCTGCTTTCAGGTACTTTTTTTTTCCTCCATCAAAATCTTAGCATATGCAAAGGCAGTAGAAGCAAATTTATTCATTGGACATGCTTTAAAATGAGACTTTACTTATGTTAGAGGTATTAGATGTAGCACTTTAGAATTAGAATCTAAAGGGTGGTAATATTTTTTTCTAGGGAAAGAAATGTAGAGAGTACTTTATAAAATCCACAAGTGTAGGCAGGCTTGGTGGCACGTGCCTATAGCCCTGGCTGCTCGGGAGGGTTGCTTGAGTCCAGGAGTTTGAGGCTCCAGTGAGCTATGGTCACACCTGTGAATAGCCACTGCACTCCAGCCTGGGTAACATAGTGAGACCCTGTCTTAAAAAAACAAAACAAAACAAAAAAAGTAAAAGATAAAGTTTACAGAAACCATTCTAGCCTGGGCACAGCAGCTCATGCCTGTAATCCCAGCACTTTGGGAGGCTGAGGCAGGAGAATTCCTTAAGCCCAGGAGTTCAAGACCAGCCCTGGCAATGTAGCAAGATCCCACCTCTACAAAAAAAATTTTTAAATTACCCGGACATGGTGGCAAGCTCCTGTAGTCCCAGTTCCTTGAGAGGCTGAGGTGGGAGGATTGCTTGAGCCTGGGAAGTTGAGGCTGCAGTGAACCGTGGTTGTGCTACTACACTCCAGCCTGAGTGACAGAGTGAGACTGTCTCAAAAAACAAAGAATGAAAAAAAGCATTCTGTGTTCTTCTCTCTGTATACCTGACTTTCAGAAGTTGTTTTTCAGTTTCCTAATTTGTGTTGAGTATTTTGACATTGTAGGAAACTCTCAGGTCATTGAGAATTTTAAAATACAATGTTATAAAATATTCAAAAATACTTTGGCATGTGATAATATCACACTTGCCATTGTATTAATATTGTTTTTATTTAAAACATTTTTTGGAGACAGGGTTCCCTTTGTTTCCCAGGCTGGACTTGAACTCCTGGGCTCAAGTGATCCTCCTGCCTCCTCCTCCTGAGTAGCTGGGATTACAGGCACGTGCCACTGCACCTGGCTTGTTTTAGTTTTTTACATTTCTCTCTTTTGGCTTGACTTTTTTATCTAACCAGTTGGTTTTTACAATGAATGTTTAAATAGACAAAAAAGCTCTACACTTTTAGAATGTAGAAAGCAAAATGAATATTTAGAACAATTTAGAGATTTAATGACTTGAGTCTGGAAAGCTGAACAATGTCAATATCACTTTTTTAAAAATCGTATTCTCCTGCTGGCAAAGAATTTCACAGATCCTTTTAATGTCCAGGAGTGGTGAAGAACTTGTTACTTCTTTGAATTTTGGGAGTTGCCACCTTCTATTAATAAAAGCAGTTCCTCAGCAAATGGGAAAAGTTCGCTCTCCCTGATTCCCCTGCAGGCTCACTGTCTCCTTCCACTTCCTCTCTCTGTCCCGCTCTCTCCCTCTCCCTACTTTCTCCTTCTCCCATCCCCCTGTATTACCTGTGTTAGACTCAAGAGTAATGTCACTCAGCATGCTTCCTCTCCTAGCAGCCTAACCTGCTCCAGTTCAGACCTGAATGCTGTCTTTAGGTCTGGTGTCAGCAGCAACAGCCCCCGTAACAGGGAAGCAGCTTACTTAAGGAAAAAGAAAATAAAGAGCTGGAATAGTCCTCCTAAGATCCCAAATCCACAAGGAAGTGATGTGGTCATTTAAAAGCAGAAACAACAATACAAGTGTAGAATCATTGTGTTAAATGCCCAGGCAGGATGGGACTTCAAAATCAAAACAATTCTTACTCAGATTTGCGCCACCATTTGGGGACATTTGGTGACCTTCAGGGTTTCAGCGTGTAGGGTCTAGACAGAACTCACCAATGAAATAAATTAGTCATTGAGCACATCATCTCATCAAGGCAAAGCGTAAAATTGATGTGGAAAATAAAAATAACATCCTCATTCTTTATCCATTTCCCTTTTGGAGAAGTGTAACTCTTTTTCGAAGTCAAATATTGCCAGTTACAACAAGTAAATTTCATCGTCCCAAGGCAACCCATAGTCTGGAGAGAGGATTTCATTCCCTTCCTTTAAAATAAACTGTTCTCTCTCCACAGAGGATGGGAAGCACAGGCACAGGGCTCCATGAAGGCACGGAGGAGCTGGCCTGGTGTTCAAGGAGGTGGTGTTGGCATTTTTTCAAACCTTCTTGGTGGTGACAGATCGTGTATGATGTGTCCTGGAGCTGCTCTGCATCTGTAGGTGGATTGCAGGGCTAGCAGGTGGGAAGAGGTGAGAGGCAGGCCTAGGAAGAGGACTCATGTTCATAGCGCAGCATCCTGGCACCATCAGGAAAGTGCTGAGTGCTTCCAATGCTAGGAGCATGGCAAGGGACGGTTAAAGGGAACCAGAGACAAAATTGTCCCATTTACTATTGATACGGAATTTCTGTGACTCTCTAATAGGTTGGGAGAGGCTGCTTTTGGTGACAGACACCCTCCCTCCCAGGGGCCATGACTCACCTCGCAGGTGAGCTAGCTCAGCTCTGCCTGGCTGCCCATCATTCTCTTTCTCTCTCCAGTTCCCCTCCTCTCCTCCGGGGTTTCACTGGGTTAATGAATAAGCTGAGTCATGAGGTATAAGTAAATTCTTTTTTTTTTTTTTTTTTTTTGAGATGGAGTCTCTCTCTATTGCCAGGCTGGAGTGCAGTGGCACCATCTTGGCTCACTGCAACCTCCGACTCCCTGGTTCAAGCCATTCTCCTGCCTCAGCCTTCTGAGTAGCTGGGATTACAGGCACATGCCACCACACCCAGCTCATTTCTGTATTTTTAGTAGAAACAGGGTTTCATCATGTTGGCCAGGATGGTCTCTTGCTCTCATGTCCTTGTGATCCACCTGCCTTGGCCTCCCAAAGTACTGGGGTTACAGGTGTGAGCCACCGCACCCGGCCAGTAAATTCTTTTATCAGATGAAAACCACTTCAAAACATCCACAGAGACACAGTTAATGAAAGTGTAAATAGTGCAGCCCTTAATGAAAGTGTAAATAGTGCAGCCCAGCAGCTCCTATATTAGCTTATACACAAACAGACTAAGCTTTTCAACCACTGAAACCTGTAAGCCTTAAAATATGTGCTGCTCTGTCAGGCTGTTTGCGTATGTGGCTATGGGAAGTAGAAGAAACATGGAGCACTGTGCTTTATCACCGTATCACTAATGTTGTGGCAGATTTAATACTTCATAAACAGCCCAACAAGTTGCCAAAGTTAGCTAGGTCCAAAAGTGTTGTCTTGATGCAGGTGGTGTGTGTGCCTATTAGGTATATATTTGTACCTGGCATCTGAAGTTCCTGAGAACTAGTCCAGGTGAAAGGACCCAACTTGAATCTGTAGATGCAGCCACTACCTCCAGCCAGTGCTTCAGTTACACGCAGGCTGTGAAGAGATTGTGTCCTAAACGTTCTTTTGTTGATTAACCTTTTAGAACACAAAGCACATTGTCACATAGAAATGCTGTTTTGAATGGTGGGTGTCAATGAGCTGTGTTGTGTTATAGAGTTCAGGTCAGGCAGGGCTTGTTTAGTGGGTCAGGAAATCAATGCTGGTAGATACCAGCATTTAAAAAAAAGAGGGGAGAAAGTCGAAGAAAAGGACGTATGAGAGTGGGTTTCATGTAGTAAAAGTAGGTATTGTTTAGTGATACTGTTGCAATTTAAAACCTATTGCAGGCTGTATGCTGGCATTAAATTGGGAATCCCTCAGGCAGGGGAAGGGGCGTCAACAACGGGTTAAATACTGGCTGTGCACGGCAGTCCAGCACGGTGACATCAGGCAAGTTATTTTAACATGTCTCAGGCACTGTTCTGTCGTATTCAAAATAAGACTGCTTTACAGGGGTAGGATTAAAGATGGAAGAAAATAGATTAATGTTTTAGGATATAGAATAATGTATTAGGATTAGAGATAGTAGAGAACCTGGTGCTTAGTAACCTCCCTATAAACCATGATTGGTATCTGTTTGTACTTCTTTGTAATATGTAATAAGCAGACCTTAAAGATATAGTATTAACTAAGCCGTGTACTATTTAGTCTTCCCTGGAGTGGAATTTATTCAGAGTTCTTGACGTTTAGGATCTGCCATTTCACATGATCTAGCAGATCTTTGATTTTACCTTAAATTATTCTTGTGTAGTTGAGACATCAATCTTAATTTTCTGCCATGAAGTGTGAAGAATGTTGTAAATTGCTTAGGTCTTTCAGCTGTCTGTCAACTTCCTCAAGACTGTTAAGTATGGAATTGCTTCCCAAGTCTATTTTAAGTTGTGTTTCATCTTTTAAAAAAAGAAGGGTTTCTTCTTTTTTTTTCTTTAAGTAATAGTTCTAAACTTTTTGCCAAACTCCCATCTGCTTCTACTTGATGCCATCATAAATTCCTTCTTACCTTCTGCACTTCACTACCCACTTTTTAAGCTGCTGTGTCAGCACTTGGGAAAGCCCTTTTTTGTGTTGGGCTGGGTGTGAGCGCAGAGGCTTTGTTGACTGCTTTGAGGGGCAGGTTAAAGTTGTCATCAGAAGCATGCGTCAGGGTCAGGGAGCTCGGGCTTCACACCCCAGCCCTGCTGTCAGAATCGCCATCTTCAGCAGGCCACTCAACCTCTCTCGGCCCCTGTTTGCCTGGCCATGGAAGGAGAATTGTTACCCACTTTGTGGGGTGGTTTTGAGGAGGAAAAGAGCATTGGGCAGATTGTTAGCACTAGTTGGAAGGTCACATCTCTGGCAGGGACCTTATCAGGTACCAGCTCCATGGCCTCTTCTGCTCTTCCTGTCTTCCCAGGTTCCAGCCCTGGTGCTTTTGGGAAGATCCCTCCCCTCCCCTGACCTCGACCCCTCTTCAGAGGAAACAGTGAACTTCCAGGTGCGACTTCCTGCCCCCAGATTCACAAAGCTGTCCGCGCACACACCTCCCTCCTTCTGTGCCTCTGTCAGACATGTGTCCCCACCATGTGCTCCAAGTCCCTTCTCAGGGGCCTTGTGCTACATTTTATCCATGCCCACCCATGGGCAGAATTCCTTCCACCTGTTCAAAAGAACTCCCACAACCCCAGCTCGCCTCTTCTCCCAAATCTTTCCTTCCTTTTCGGAATTCGAGGCGTCTGCAGTCACCACCCTTACCGTGGTTCCTCGCTCACTCTCCTCTCGCTGTGGTCCCCACACCACAGAGCCTGTTCTTACTGAAGACCCTCTGACCCCTTTGCCACACCCACCAGGCAGTCTTCTCACCTTGCCTGAGTGCTCAGTACTCTGACCTCTGTTTTTTGGAGACAGAGTCTTGTTCTGTGGTCCAGGCTGGAATGTGGAATGCAGTGGTGTGGTCATAGCTCACTACAGCCTCAAACTCCTGGGCTCACGATCCTCCTGAGTAGCTGGGACTACAGGTGCGCACCACCATGCCTAGCTAATTTTTTTTTTTAGTGGACATTGAGGGGTATGTGTTGCCTAGGCTGGCCTCAAACCCGTGAACTCGAGTGATCCTCTCGCCTTGTCCTCCCAAAGTGCTGGCGACTACGGGCATGAGCCACCATGCCTGGCCTCTTCTTCCTCCTTGAAGCAATGTTTTCTTAAATCCCTAGGTTTGCCCTTCTCCTTTTCAGGCCACAGCTTCCCAGGCTTTCATGACTGCCCTCCCCATCCATACGAGGATTAAAGGCCGGTGCTCCTAAGTTCAGTCTGGAGGCTTCTGTGTTTACTCTGCACCTTCTCCTCAGCAATTCCATTCTTTCTCAGGGCTCACACCACCTTCATGCCAGTGATTCCCAAATGTATTCTCTCTGCCCATCCCACATTTCCACCGATGTTTCCCAGGTACTTCAAAGCCACCATCTACCCCATTCCTGTGTTCCCACTATCTTGTTCCCTGGTCCCAGATGGCACAACCCTGCACTGCCCAGGCTAGGACTCGGAGAACTGTGTAGTTTCTCTGTGTCCCCACCTCTTCCATCCTAACAAGCCACCGCCCTTTCTCTCCATATTTATTACCCTGGCGTCCTGCTGATCTCCCGGAATCTTTGTCAGGAGGAGGAGATCTGACCACAAGGCCCTCCTGACTGAACTCCTCAGTGTGGCGCTCCTCTGCGCATCGTTCCGGCTGCACCGCCGGCCCTTCTCCTGCTTCCTCCTTAGGATTCACTATTACGGTCATTCATCCTTAGTCTAGACTGTGTTCCTCTCTCAGATGAGTCACCTCATCATATTCCTTCTGCCTGGATCACAGTTCCCCACCTCCAGAATTTCTACACTACCTGCTCTCCCAACCCTCAAGTCTCAAGAAAGACCTGAGTGTCTTTTCCTTAGGGAAATTTTTCTGAGCCCCAGGTGTGGTCATTTCCCCATGGGAAACTCCAGAGCAAGCTCCTTTTCTAACCCTCAGCCCGTGGGTGATGGTCTGTGCTCTCTTTCTCTCCTTGAGTACTGGGCTTTGTCTCTCTGATTTCACTCTCAGCCTCAGTTGCCTAGTTTTAGAAGATAGTTTGTTCATGAATGAATGGATAGATGAATAAATGAACAAGTGAGATTGAAATATACAGGCGTTCATTAATGTCCATGAGAGACTGGTTCCAGGACCCCTGAGTATACCAAAATTCTCACGTACTCAGGTCCCCCAGTCAGTCCTGCAGAACGTGTGGGTATGAGAGGCCCTCCGTGTAGGCAGGTTTCAAATCCCTCAGAGACTGTGTTTTCAAGATGTGTTGGGTTGAAAAATAATCTGCATATAGGCGGACCCATGCAGTTCAAACACAGATTGTTCGAGGGTCAACTGTATTTGTTTGGAAAGTAGTTAGCATAGTTCTTTACAAGCATTATAGTAAGTACTTAGTAAATGGTGGCTTTAATAATTTTTGACTGACTTTTCAGCCTGAAACCATGAAGAAGAAAAAGAAAAACACCAGGCTGGCTAATCAAAGCAGGGTTCCTTAGTGACATCATTCATTCAATGCTGAGGCAATTGGCTTGGGCCATAGGAACTTACAGCCTAAGCAGTAGCTCTTCCACCTCTCAGTCAGCCTGTTAATAGCTTGTATTTATTGTCGCCTTTGCTGCTGCCCCTGCTCATGTTGAGATTATCATTTCCCACCTAGATACCTGCCTACTTGGTGTTGCTCTACCAGTCTTTTCGCCTCCTTTACTCTTCCTTCAGATTGCAGGCTTCTTAGGATCAGGGAATCTCTGCTTCCCACTGCTGCATCCCAGTACCCAGTGCCAGTGTTTATTGAATGAGATGGCTGGGCACAGTGGTTCATGCCTGTAATTTCAGCCCTTTGAGAGGCCAACATGGGTGGATCGCTTGTGCCCAGGAGTTTGAGAACAGCCTGGACAACATGGCAAAACCTTGTCTTTACAGAAAATACAAAAATCAGCCAGGTGTTGTAGCATGCACCTGTAGTCCCAGCTACTCAGGAGGCTGAGGTGGGAGGATTGCTTGAGCCCAGAAACTCGAGGCTACAGTGAGCCGTGATTGCACCACTGCACTCCAGCCTGGGGAACAGAGCGAGAGACCCTGTCTCAAAAATAAATAAATAATAAATGAATGAATGAGATGAATGTTTTAACAGGTGGTTTCAGGAGAGTTGGGAGAAAATCAATTAACTAATTTTGGTCTCGGAAAATTTTGAAATTTATAGTTCAGACTTTTAAATAATGGTTTCTTTTTTTTTATTGTTGTTTGAGAATATGCAGAGCAATGGAATGTCTTATATTGGCTTTGGCAAAGTTCTTTTTGTCTGAATTATATATTTGTGATTTAACAGCAGTAACCTTGTTAATTAAGCACCCACTGTGTCTCAGGCCCTGTGATAAAAGCTTTGTAAGGTAGGTGGAGATGTCTGTTTTATGGATAAGGAAAGAGAAGTCCAGGGAGGCAGGTAACTCACCCCACACAACTTAAGGTTTGGGCAGGATTCTAACCCAGGCCTGTGTGGCCTCAGAGCCTGTGGTTTTCCCATTTGACTTTGTGGCTTCCGTTTGGGTAGGTTTTAAATAATTAAACATCACCATTATTTTCATGTCTAGTTTGTAAAGACTGTTTTCTTTGCTGCTTCCGTGGCCTCAATTGGAGAACTGTAAAGTGAAGTGACACATGGGAACAGTGGCCAGTGTGCATGCCTGTCCATATTTAATTGAGGGGAAGGATGGGGAGGTAGCAGAGTAGAGGGCCTGACTTGCTCTAGGTAACAGAACCAAGATCACACTCTGCCCTGTTCTGCTACATCCTAGTTGGGTGCCGATGGAACTTTCTCTCTGCCTCGTCAGTGAAGCACTGATAACAGCACCTGCCCTCACCATGGTGAGGGTCCAGGCGGTGGGATCTGTGGAAGCTGTCTGTAAACACCTCACGGCTCTCCCAGGTTCCTCTGCACTCTGTGTCTCTGTAAGCATAGCCCTCTGAGCCTGCTTCCTTTCCTTGATTCATTTCCTTTCCTTTCCTGAGTGCATCTCATGGGTCAGGCGCTGCCATGGAGGCCCTGAGAAAGCAGAGAGGAAGGAATGCCGTCCTCCACTATCTTCCCTAGTTTTGTCTGTCCCCTTTACGGGGCTCAGATCTCTTTCACTGCCCTAGTTTCTACTCTTTCAGCCTCAGGACTTTTTAAAAAACATAATTAGCCTTTGTTGGAGAAACACCCACGATATGAAAGGAAGCATGAAGGACAAGGAATCCCAAGCTCTGGCTCCCAAGGGTGTGAGCAGGCAGGTGGGTTAGCCTCTGCTATCAGTGACGGTGGCCTGTTTCCTGCCCAGGCAAAACTACCCGTTCGAGCCAGAGCCAGGGCCTCCAGTTTCCAGTCCAGGCACTTTTTTCACATACCAGGCTTCAACATGGGATTTTTAACTGAAAAATGTATAAGTTTGTATCCTCATTCTGGCTTGTTTTTTCTCTTGAGTGGAGACAGGCTGCCAGCAGACATAAAAGCTGTTTTTTATTCATTCATTCATTTATTTGTTTACTTATTTATTTTCCTTTTTTTTTGAGATAGGGTCTTACTCTCTTGCGCAGGCTGGAATATAGTGGTGCAGTCTTGGCTTACTGCAGCCTCAACCTTGCTGGCTCAAGTGATCCTCCCACTTCAGCCTTCTGAGTAGCTGGGACTATAGGTGTGCACCACCACACCCAGCTAATTTATTTTTATGTTTTATGTTGTAGAGATGGGGGTCACACTATGTTGTCCAGGCTGGTCTCAAATTCCTGGGCTTAAGCGATCCTCCCACCTGGGCCTCTCAAGGTGCAGGGCTTACAGGCATGAGCCACTATGCCTGGCCTGAAGTTTTGTTTCTTCCTATGATCATATGTTGAATTCCTGGAAAACTACTATGATAAACCCTAGGTGCTACAGAAATGAATAATGTATAATCCCTTCCCTCAGAGAGCACCTGGTCCTGTTCAGAAGACAACAGCTAAATGTGGGAAAACAGAATTGAGATGAGAGGGCTGGACAGAGCTGGGTTATTATTGAGGCAAACTTGCTGGTACACCAGTTGGGTGTACCAGCAAGTTTGCACTTTATCTTGGATGCCGAAGGGTTTAACAGAATAGAATGGATCATGTCAGCAGGGTAAGGATGGACTAGAGAGGGTGGAAAGGAAGGCTGTCATTTTCTGGGCTTGCCTCCCCATTTTTACTTCTTTGGGCATGTTGGAAATACCTTCATTTTACCATGTTTCTGTTAGATCACTGATTCCTGTTTCCAACTTAGTATCTGCCTAGTTCCTTAGATGGGTTAAGGGGAAATACATCTGAGATCATTTTTCTGAACACAGGAAAATGTTCATAATGACCATTAGGGTTGGGTGTTTCTGTTTTCCTTGATTTTTAATATCTTTCTTTAAAGATTTTTAAAGCTTGCCCTTTTGCAAAATCTGATAAAACCCTCCATTCTCTTATCTGGTAAATTGGAGAGGCTGTCCATCTGTTGTAAATTTAAACTTGATCAAACTTTATGGAATATGAAAAAACTTTTGTATTTAATATATTCATATTTAAATAAGCAAACAAACACAAAGCAACCTTTAGTGTCATCCAGGCTTGGGGTGACAATCCTGAATGACAATGTGGTGATTTAGGGCCTCACGCTGGTGGGTGCTCTGAGGGGAATAAGGAGAGGCCATCTTAAAGGGTGTCAGAGAGGGCGTCTTTGACATTAAGGCACACACTGGCATTAGAGGAGTAGGATTTGGGCCTGTGAAGTAGGCAGAGGCCACTCTTGGCACACATCACTTCTGATTGTGGAGTAACACACCAGGTTATCACACAGGGACTCCTTCCAGCGTTTGCACAAGGCTGTTGGGTGGAGAGATGGACACACTGCTTCCTTGCAGACAGATGTATGCCTGTGTTAACTCTGCATGACACAAACCGGGTGCCTTCCAGTGCATGTGGTGTCGTGGAAAGAATGTAGGCTTTGGTTGGGGTCCCAGCCTACACATGTAATCTTTGGGACCTTGGGCCAGTCCCTTTTTATGAGTCTCAGTGTCCTTATCTATAAAGCCAGGATAATGCTGACAGGATTTTCTGTGCTAACAGAGGAAATAGCCAATAAATAGTTCTCTTTCTTTGTTTTATTTTTATTTATTTATTTATTTATTTGAGACAGGGTCTCACTTTGTCAACTTGGCTGGAGTGCAATGGCACGATCTCAGTTCACTGCAACCTCCACATCCCGGGCTCAAACAATCCTCCAGCCTCACCCCTCCAAGTATCTGGGACTACAGGCATGCCTGGCTAATCTTCGTATTTAAGTAGAGACAGGGTTTCACCATGTTACCCAGGCTGGTCTTGAACTGCTGGACTCAAGTGATCCGCCAGCCTTGGCCTCCCAAAGTGCTGGGATTATAGGCATGAGCCACCATGTCCAGCCCTCTTTGTTGTAACCATTGGGTTAATACGAATATAGGCAATTCCCTTAGACATTGAGAACTTGATGTTTGCTGAGAGTGGCCATGGCAAAAAATGCAGGACTAATGGTGTGTAACTGCTTCAGCAGTTTCCTAGTACACTCTCCCCACCCACAAACAGTTGCTACAATAAACTGGTTTCAACCCTCTAAGAAGCAGACTGCAAAAATGCCCTTAGCCACCGAGCAAGGCTGAAGTCTGGCATCTGAGTTGCAGTACGCATTTACACCACATGTGTCCCACTCAGGGGCTCCACTTCCATGTGACCGAAGACATTGAAACAGGAGTAAGTTTGAGCTAATCTTAAAGAGACCTTCTCACTTAAGCAGATTGTATTGGAAATGGCCTTTAGTAGTTGGACAGGGTAAAACAATGGAAAAGCTAGAATTTTTTTTTTTTTTTTTTTTTTTTTGAGTCTCTCTCTGTCGCCAGGCTGGAGTGCAGTGGCACGATCTCGGCTCACTGCAACCTCTGCCTCACATGTTCAAGCGATTCTCCTGCCTCAGCCTCCCGAGTAGCTGGGATTACAGGCGTGCTAGAAATTTTGTTTGTTTAAAATGTAATGCACATCTGTGAAACCACCACTCAACCAAAGAATTAAAACATTACTAATAAATTACATCTACCTATTGCTCTTCTCCTCTCTAGTTCTCCTGATTCCCTTCCAGTACCAGCTATTCTACTGAAGTTTGTGCTGATCATCTTCTTGCTATTTTTTGTTCTCCCTCTCATACACACCCCCGCCATGTGTGTATGTATGTGTGTTGCGGGGCGTGAGGGGGATTGCATTTATCATTCACCGTTACATCACTGAGATTCATCCATTTTATTCTGCGTAGCTGTAGTTCACTCATATTTTCTCTTAGACAATATTCCATTTTGTGAATATACTGCAGATTTGTCCATTTACCCAAGGATAAGGATTTGGAGCCCTCTTTCTCTTTCTTTTTAGCTATTATGAACAGTTTTTTTTTTTTGGAAACTATTGTATTGATCTCTTATTATTCGTGAGTGAAATTGCAGGGTCATAGGAAGTGAGAATGATCATCTTTAAGTGAGAACACTAACTTGTTTTCCAAAATGGTCGTACAACCACTGGGGATCCTGTTGCTCCACACCTTCCCAATAGTTGTATTATCAATGTTTTTTATAATTTTTGCCAACGCAGTAGGTATAGAATCATGTCTCATCATAGTCATGATTTGCCTTTGTCTGTGGCCGAGCATCTCTGCATATGTCCACTGGCCTCACACACCTCCCTTCTGTGCGGTGACCGTGCTTCTCATGCCTTGTGCCCACTTTTCTGCAGTTGTTTCCTCACTAGTTTGTGGCTATTTTTATATATTCTAGTGCTAATCCTGTCAGTTGAATGTCTTACAGATATCTTCTTCCAGTTTATAGATTGTCTTTCTTCTCTTTAAAGTGTCTTCTGATGGACAAAGGCTTTAATATTAATGTAGCCAAACTTATTGATCTTTTCTTTTATGCCTGTCCTTTTTTCTATCTTTGTAAATTCTTCCCTACTTCAAGCTCAGAAAGATACTCACTTATATTTCCTTTTCAAATTCTCAGAGTTTGCTTTTGACATTTCAGCTCTTCATCCATCTGGAGTGAATTTTTCGGCATGGTGTGACTAAGAATCCAATTTCTTTTTTTTTCCCCCCCATGGATAAACAATTTTTCCAGCTTTTCCTTTTCCAGGCAGTTCTGTCAAAAATCAAAGTTTCACAGATATATACGTGTTTTTCTAGGCTCTTAGAATTCTGTACCATTGGTCAGTTTATCTCAGCACCATTACTCCACTGTCTCAATTCCTATAGCTTTACAATAAGCTTTTTTACCTAGTAAAGCAAGTCCCCCTTCCCATTCTTTTTTAGAAATGTCCCAGCTATTGTTGGCCCTTTTATTCTAATTTTAGAATTCATCTTTCAGGTTTCCCAGAATAACTGAGGTTTAATTGATGTATAATAAAGTGACCGTCTTTGGTGTACAGTTCTGTGCCTCAGCAAATGCATGCAGTAATGTAATCAGCACTGCAATCAGGATATAAAATAGTTCTGTCACCTTCAAAATGCCCTCCCCTTCTTTGTAGTCAACTTCCTCTCCCGTTCCAGCCCCAGCACCAGCCCCAGGCTCTCACAACCACTGTTGTTTTCTACCGAGATTTTTTTTTCTTACTTTTAATTTTTTTCAATATTTAATTAAAATGTTGGAGGCCAACTCTGGGCACACTGCCTATGAGTTAGCCCTGTTCCACAGAAGTTGTTTAAAAAATAAAATAAAATGTTGGAATATTTTTGCTGGAGTTGCAGTAAATCTATAAGTCAATTTAGGAAGGAATCTACATCTTATGTTGTCTTCCTCTTCATAAACATAATGCATCAACTTAGTTGGAAAGTCTTTGCTTGACAGTAGTGGAAAGTTCTTTAAAAAACAATAAAGTCTAAACATTTTAAGTAATTCCTTAATACAGGAAGCATTTTATAAGCTAATTGTCAACCTACATAAACAAAATGCATATAAATACACAGCAGGCATGTGGCAGTATTAACATTGTTAAAATGTATATATAAATGCCACATCCTGGTTTCAAGCCAGCTTTGTTGCTTACCTACAAGACCTCAGGCAAGCTGTTTAGTTTCTCCGATGCTCAGTCTCTTTATTTGTGTGGTGACTAGAACATCCGAAGATTAAATGCTATGCTGTGTGCAGTGTCAAGAGACAACCGCGTTGATGCTGCCTTCGGATCCTCCGGCGAAGACTTCCACCGGATGCCCCGGGTGGGCCGGTTGGGATCAGACTGGACCACCCCGGACCGTGCTGTTCTTGGGCACAGTGAAGCCGGAGTGTTTGAGACTCTTATGTGAGGGAACTGCTCCCACTCACCTCCAGGGAAACAGGGAGGACTCTTAGCACATTTGGTTCCCCAGTGGCTTTCACAAAGTGGCAAGACCGATAGATTGCCTTGAATCATTTCCCTGACAAATTTGGAAAAGGTTAGTTTTACCCAGCAGCCTGCTACATGCTGCTTCTGACAGGCGAGCTGGAATAGCTGGAGGACACAGTTGACAGCCAATTCATTTTGCTGATTCATCCATTAGAGGCGTGGCTTTGAGCCAGAGCTTGGCTTCTAGATTAAAGGCCGAGAGCTGCAAAGCTGCTGGGACTCAAGGAATGCTGGTAAATTATTGCCACGTGGAGGCCAGCAGTGAAAAGCGGACTGTTATTTATTTCCCCTTTTAAGTGATCCTAAATTCCAAATGTGCTCAGATAAATCCCCTCGCCATGGTTAGGGAGTTGTTTGTAACATTTGTCTATCAGCTGGGAGCTGAATTATTGAAAACTATCAGATATCATTAAATAGATTAACTCAGCTCGCCTGTGACCCTGTCATCACCTTTGCTTTCATGGGGAATATTGACCCAAGCCTCCTCTCCTACTTGGTAATCCAAATTAAACTTGAGAGAAGGATTTTTTTCGAGATAGGGTCTTGCTGTGTTGCCCAAGCTGGAGTGAGTACAATGGTGCAATCGTGGCTCACTGCAGACTTGACTTCCTGGGCTCAGTCAATCCTCTCACCTCAGCCTCCCTAATAACTGAGACTATAGTCTGAAGCCACCACATCTGGCTAATTTTTGTGGTTTTTTTTGTGTGTGTGTGGAGAATGGGGTTTTGCCCCATTGTCCAGGCTGGTCTCGAACCCCTGGGCTCAAGCAGTCCTCCTGCCTTGGCCTCCCAGAGTGCTGGGACTGTAGGCATGAGCGACCACACCTGGCAACAGAGGGATTATTGCAGATGTCATCCCTTTTGGGTGTGCTTGCAAATCAAAATAAACCTTTTAGATTAAAGAACGCAATAGCCAGGCCAGGCACGGTGGCTCACGCCCATAATCCCAGCACTTTGAGAGGCCGAGGCAGGCGAATCACTTGAGCTCAGGAGTTCGAGACCAGCCTGGCCAACACGGTGAAACCCTGTCTCTGTGAAAATTACAAAAATTAGCCAGGCGTCGTGGCGCACGCCTATAGTTTAAGCTATTCAGGAGGCTGAGGCACGAGAATCACTTGAACCCGGGAGGCGGAGGTTGCAATGAGCCTAGATGGCGCCACTATACTCCAGCGTAGGCGGCAGAGCAAGACTGTCTCAAATAAATAAATATATTAATAAAAATAAAGAACTTTCTTAAAAAAAAAAAAGAATTGAAATAGAAGAAAATCCAGGAGAATGCTCATTGGTTAACAATTGGTACAGAATAATGATGGTAGAACCAATGGGTTCTCATATGTCCACATTGATAGATGAACATATTTTAATCTGTCACAAGCTTAGGGAGTGACAAGCTTACAGCGAAATCACCACTACATAAATCTGGTATGTGACAGGGTGACCTTTAAGAGAGGGTGGAGATTGTGTCTTGATTTACCAAATACCTGACATAGTTCCTGGGACAAAAACACTCAGTAAGCAGTTACCACATGGAAGAATGGGTGGACAATGGTTATTGGATATGAATTGTTGGGAGGCTGGGTAAATGAGTGAAAAATAACAGAAATATGACACATTCAAAGTAAGAAAAATAACTGTTCCAAGGAATAAGATTTTCAGGAAAGGATCCTATTTCTGTGGCTCTCTGATATGAGTAACTTTACTCAATAGCACATCTCCAGAACTGCCTGCTTTCACCGCTTATCTCCTGAGTGAGGCAGAGTGTGCTGTTTTCAGCTCACATTTCAGTAACCCACTCCACTTCTTTGGGAGACATTGTATAATATGAACATTCTCTAGCACTTTCTTTTTAGAGACGGGGGTCTCACAGTGTTGCCCAGGTTGGTCTTCAACTACATAGGCTCAAGTTATCCTCCCGCCTTGGCCTCCCAAAGTGCTGGGATTACAAGTGTGAGCCACTGTGCCCTGCCTCCCTAATACTTTGAGGGTTTTTTTTTTCTTTTTCTCTTTAACTCTTGAGTGAATATTTTAAAAGTACACAAACTTCTTAGTAAAAATTTGTGTTTTCTGAAGAAGTAGAGTTTTTTCCTGTTTTGTTCTGTTTTTTAGATGACTAAATATTTAGGGCATGACATTCCGGAAACCTTTGTTGCACTAAGTTTTAGTGAAGTCTGGCCTAGTTGAAGATTAAAATGTGTCAGGTGCCGGATGTGGGACATCTGCCTCTCATACAGTTGTCTTTCCCTCTGTTTTAAGGTCCCTGGTAAACTGGAGTCCCTTGTCCAGTGCCGACGTGCCCACAGCCTGCATGCTCGTCACCAGCACTGCATTCTGCTCTGCATTCAGTCACATCATTTTTATTGAGAACTATTCCATATCCAGGGGTTTTCTAGGTGCAAGTAGACAGATTCTGTTTCTGACATCATGGCGCTTTGCAGCTACCAGGTACAAAGACTGCCCTGAACAGCGTGGCCAGGCTCTGATGGTCTCACTGCCAGTGTGGGTAATAGTTGTTGGCAGTGATAGTGGGCTAGGAACGCATATGCCTAAACTGGAAGCCAGAAGTAGCAAATGGGCACCAAGAGGCCACCATTGATCCTCACTCCCATGCCGCCATCGTGATCCATCCACAGCAGCCTCAGAAGAGGGGGCAGCATGGGATCAGAACACAACTGACCTGGCCTTAGTCTGAAGCATTAACACCAAGGGGGGATTAAGCCCCAGTGTTCAAGTACTGCTGCCAGCCAGAGGCGCATTACGGAGAATTAGCAGTCTTTAAGGCAGAAGGAGCAGAGGCATGTCCTAAGTATTGTGCAGCTGTCTTAAATTTGCAGAGTGCATAGGAGCTAAGTTATGAGGAAGCAAAGGCATAAGAATGATGTAATGGACTTTGGGACTCCAGGGGAAGGACAGGAGGGGGTGAGGGATAAAAGACTGCACACTGGGTGCAGTGTACACTGCTCAGCTGATGGATGCACCAAAACTCAGAAATCGTCACTGAAGAACTTTTCCATGCAACCAAACACCACCTGTTCCCCCAAAACTATTGAAATAAGATAAATACAAAAAAATGCATATGTAGTGTAATTCCAGTTATAGGTAGCTCAAGAGAAGGCAAAATTAAGCCCTGATGATAGCAGTGGTGACAGCAAAGTTTTCAAGTTGAGGAAGATAATGCCATAATTGTACTACACATCTGAGGCGCCTTCGTCCAGTGAAGGAGGGGTGGGAGTCTGTCTAAAAACAGGCATGAGGGTGAGGGGGATGTTCTTTATCTTAATTTGCGTGATGGATGACATGTGGGTGTACAAATTTGTTTAAAACTCATTGTAACAGAACAGGTAATAAAGCCTGATCATTTAAAAAAATTAATAAAATGAAAATAATAAAGCACCTCCAATAGATGCAGAGTAATAAGAAGGACCCTGGTATTAGGGTTTGAGGAACCTGGTTTTGCATCTTATCCCTGCCATTCACCCAGGGATGGTCTGCAGCAAAACCCTGACCTCTGTGATCCTGCTTTCTCACCAGTAAAAACATTTCCTCTCTTGCAAGCGTACTATGAAGATTAGATATAATGCATGTAAAACACTGCACACAGACATACCGGAGATCTTCAGTGTGTGACACAGTAATCGCCACCACTGGCAATATTGCTTTTTGTTGTCATTTTATTTTAGGAAAATAGTGAGGGTTTATAGTTTTCCCTTAGTGGTTTTGTTTATTTTCATTTTGTTACTCTGAAAATGAATAATATCCAAATAGTAATGTTGGCTGCAAATATTTTGAAAATTAATATTTTACTTATATCATTACCGGTTCTTTACAGTTTACAAAGTACTTTCACACTGAAAATGAGATTGGGGAGCAATGGCTTTTTTTTCCAGGTGAGAAAACTCAGACTTGGAGAGTTTGCAGGTGTACCCAAGGTCATTTGTCTTCCAGGTGGCAGAGCCAAGGGTCAGACCTCAGGCCTGATGGGGCTCCTTTGACCACCTTAGGCCACATTTCAAAAGTGTCATCTTTGGGGCTAGGCCAGACTTTTGTAAGCATTTTATTTTTTTTTCTTTTCCTTGTAGCTGTCAATACCAGCAAATATGCAGAAAGCTATCGGATCCAAACCTATGCTGAATATATGGGGAGAAAACAGGAAGAGAAGCAGATCAAAAGAAAGTGGACTGAAGATAGCTGGAAGGAGGCTGACAGCAAACGGTTAAACCCCCAGTGCATACCCTACACCCTGCAGAATCACTATTACCGCAACAATAGGTAAGAGCTCTCAGCTGTTAATTTAAAAGGCCAGAGTTCTAGCAATGGCTTTTCTTGTTGCTTCTCATAGGTTTGTAAGTACTAAATCTGACTTTTGGGAAAGATGGCCTTTCAACTTTTCACATCATATCAGAAGTGACTATGACCTGAATTTCCTGTATTTTAGAGACTGCTTTATAGACCATAGCCATTTTGGTTAACCCTCACAAAACCTCTTTGAGGTAGACAGGAATTTTTTTTTTTTTTGAGACAGGGTCTCATTCTGTTGCCCAGGCTGGAGTGCAGTGGCACAATCACAGCTTGCTGCAGCTTCGACCTCCTGGGCTCAAGTGATCCTCCAACCTCAACCTGAGTAGCTGGCACTACAGGTACGCACCACCACACCTGGCTAATTTTGATTTTTTGTAGAGATGAGGTCTCGCTCTATTGCCCATGCTGGTCTCAAATTCCTGGATGCAAGTGATGCTCTTGCCTTGGCCTCCCAAAGTGCTGGAATTACAGGTGTGAACCACTGTGCCTGGCCCAGGATATGTCTTACTCCCATTTTAGGGTTGAGGAGATGGAGGCTTTGTGTCTTGTTCACCAGTTCTGTGCAAGAACCAGGATTAGAAGTGAACTTGTGTGTGTCTGATCCCTTGCTCTTCTCAGTACTGCTGCCTCTGCCTGATCTCCTGAGCTTTCAGGTCCTGTAGATACTGAACCAGGTGCCTACTGTAGAAAGAATGCTTGACTCACACTTCCTTTTATCACCCATAATCCTCCCTGCAGAAGATAAATGCTGGCAACATTTGGTATCTTTGTGAAACTACAAAACACAGGTATAGAAAATGGGAAAAATGTGTACATACATATGTTCATTATAGAAAATTGTGAAGTTTAGAACAATGTGAATTAACAAGAGAAAAAAATTAGCCATAATCCCAACACCCAGAAGCAATCACTGTTAATATTTCAGATTGCCCTCTGTACTTTAAAAATGGTTTTTTAGAGATTAAAAAAATTGAGGTATGATTAAAATAAAATAAAATGCAGAGATCATAAATGTTTAGTTCAAAGAGTTTTAACAGTTGGATACACTCATATAATCTCCAACCAAAGCAAGATATAGAACATTTCTATTTCCCTTGAATTTCCTTGTGTCTGTTTTCAAACAATCCCAAATTCCCACTACAATTCCCATGACCCTAAGCAACCATTTTTAAATTTTTACCACTCTAAGATTAGTTTCACCTATTCTTGGAATTTATAAAAAATAGAGTTGTTTGGCATTGTGTTTAACTTTTTTGCTTAATATATTTTTAAAATTCATCCTTGCTATTGCATCTCAGCAGTTTTTTAATCGTTGAGTATTTAATTATGTAAATATGCAGCATTTATTTTACCCCCATTCTCTTGATGTTGGACATTTGAATTGTTTCTAGTTTGGAGCTATTATCAGTAAGGCTGCTGTGAATGTTTCAGTAAGATAATTTTTTTGTCTGCATATGTAGGAGTAGAATTATTGATTTTTAGGATAAGTTTGTGTTAAACTTTATAAGAACAAAGCAACAGCTCTTCAAAGTGGATATAGCATTTTATAGTACAAGTTTGATATGCCATTTTATTGTGTGAGTTTCAGTTGCTCCACATCCTTGTCAGCATTTCATGCCGTCAATCTTTTATGTTATTTATTTATTTATTTATTTATTTATTTATTTTTTGAGGCAGGTCTTGCTCTTTTTCCCAGGCTGGAGTGCAGTGGTGCGATCTTGGCTCACTGCAGCCTCTCTCCTGGGATTAAGTGATTCACGGGCCTCCGCTTCCCGAGAAGCTGCGACTACAGATGTGCACCACCACACCCGGTTAATTTTTGTATTTTTAGTAGAGACGATGTTTTGCCACTTTGGCCAGGCTGGTCTTGAACTCCTGACCTCAAGTGATCCGCCTGCCTCGGCCTCCCAAAGTGTTGGGATTACAGGCGTGAGCCACTGCACCTGACTGTCAATCTTTTAACTTTAGTCATCTTAGATGGAATGAGACAGTATTGCATTGTGGTTTTAATTTGCATTTCTCTCATGACTAATGATATTGACGACCATTTAATGTTCTTGTTGACCAATGAGGTGGCTTTTTAAGTCTCTTGCCCCTTTTAAAATTGGGTTGTTTGTCTTTTCGCTATTCACTTATAGTTCTTGTATGTAGTCTGGATACATAGCCTTTGTCAGATATTTTTGCTGCACGTGTATTTTTTCAATTCTGTGGTTTACCTATTCATTTCTTTGTGATGTTTGTAAATGAGCATATATTTTTGATTTGTTCTTCTTTTCTTTTGAGACAGAGTCTTGCTTTGTTGTCTAGGCTGGAGTACAGTGGTGCAATCTCAGCTCACTGCAACCTCTGCCTCTCAGGTTCAAGTGATTCTCGTGCCTCAACTTCCTGAGTAGATTACAGATGTGCGCCACCACGCCCGCGTAATTTTTGTTTTTTTAGTAGAGACAGGGTTTCGCCATGTTGCCCAGGCTGGCCTCGAACTCCTGGCCTCAAGTGATCCGGCAGCCTCGGCCTCCCAAAGTGCTTGGATTACAGATGTGAGCCACCAGACCCAGCCAAATACTTTTAATTTTCATAAAGTCTTGTTTATTAAGTTTTTTCCCGTTTATTGTTAGTGAATCCCCTCCTCCCCCAAAATCTTTGTCTACCCTAAGGTTGCAGTGATTGTCTCTTTTTTTTTTTTTTTTGGTAGAAGGTTTGTAATTTTAACTTTTACATTTAGGTCATGACCCATTTCAAATTAATTGTGTATGTGGAGTAAGATATGGAAATCAGGGTTTATTTTTTTCCATATGACTATCTGATTCTTCCAACAACATTTTAACAATTTGTTTAAAAGAGTTTTCTTCCTTCATTGGTTTGACTCACTACCTTTGTCAAGAATCAACTGATCGTGTATGTCTAGGTCTGTTTCTGCTCTCTTCACTTCCAGTCAGTTATGTTTTTCCTTATGCCAGTACCACACTATCTTATTACTGTTGGTTTATAGTGTCTTAAAACCAGAAAGCATATACCCTCTAACATTGTTCTTTTTCAGATTTCTTTGGCCATTCTAGATCTTTTGCATTCTATATAAATTTTAGAATAATCTTGCCAGTTTCTTCAGTAAGCCTATTTTTTAGTTTTTACTGTGGCGATCTTGTATATTTTATGTTAGTTTTCTTCCTAAGTTTTTTTTTTTTAATAGAGATGGGGGTCTCACTCTGTCATCCAGGGTAGAGTACAGTAGCATGATCACAGCTCACTGCAGCCTTGACCTCTTGGGCCCTAGGAGTCTCCTGCCTCAGCCACCCAAATAGCTGGGACTACAGCCACTTGCAATCACTCCCGGCTAATTTTTAAAAATTTTTTTGTAGAGACAAGGTTTTACTGTGTTGCCCAAGCTGGTCTCGAACTCCTGGGTTCAAGTCAACCTCCTACCTTGGCCTCCTAAAGTGTTAGTATTATAGGTATGAGCCACCAGGCCTGGCCTGGAATTGTTTCTTAAATGTCATTTTCAAACCGTTTGCTCCTTTTGTATAGAAATACAATTCATTGTTGCCGGGCATAGTGGCTCCCGCCTATAATCCCAGCACTTTAGGAGGCCAAGGCGGGCAGATGACCTGAGGTCAGGAGTTCAAGACCAGCCTGGCCAAACACTGTCTCTACTTAAAATATGAGAATTAGCTGGCCGTGGTGGCAGGTGCCTATAAGCCTACTCAGGAGGCTGAGGGCAGGAGAATCACTTGAACCCGGGAGGCGGAGGTTGCAGTGAGCCGAGATCACGCCATTGCACTTCAGCCTGGGGGACAAGAGCGAGACTTCATCTCAAAAAAAAGAAATATAATTCATTGTTATATATTGACTTCATATTTTGCAACCTTTTTAAATTCACTTATTTGTTCTGATAGGATTTTTTAAAATATTCCATAAGGTTTTCTATGTGCACAATTATGTTGTATGCTGTTAACAAGTTTTACATCTTTTCCAGTCTTTATGTCTTTTATTTATTTTTCTTGCCTTATTGCACTGACTAGCACCTTTAGCTAGTCAGTGGTTAAGTAGAAATAGAGAGAGTGGATATCCCTGCCTTGTTTCCAGTATTAGGGAGGAGAAGTTCAATGTTTCCCCATTAAGTAAGATTTTAGGTTGTTCATATACATTATTTTTCAGGTTTAGGAAGTTCCTTTCCATTTCTAGTACGTTAAGAAATCATTCAACATCACAAATGGATATTAAGTCTTTTCAGGTGCTCTTTCTGTGTCTTTAAAACTTGTCTTATGGGTTTTGTCTTTTATTTATTTATTTTTAATATTTCTGAGACAGGGTCTGTTGCCCAGGCTAGAGTGCTGTGGCATAATCATAGCTCACGGCAGCCTTGAACTCCTGGGCTCAAGGGATCATCCCACCTCAGCCTCCTGAGTAGCTGGGACTATAGGTGTGCACCACCACACTTGGCTAATTTTTTTATTTTTGTAGAGACAAGAGTCTCACTATGTTACTCAGGCTGGTCTTGAACCTTTGACCTCAAGAGATCCTCCCACCTCCCAAAGTGCTGGGATTACACGTGGGAGCTGTGCACCTGGCCATCCTTTATTTTGTTAATATTTTGATTTATACTAATTGATACTTGAATGTTTAATCAGATTTGTATGCCTAAAAGAAATCCCACTTGGCTATGAAGTATTATCCTTTTAATATGTTGTTGGATTTGGTTGCTGATATTGTGTTAAATATTTTTTGCATCTCTGTTCATGAGGAATATTAGACTGTAATTTTCTTCCCTTCCCTTCCCTTCCTTTCCCTTCTCTTCCCTTCCCTTCCCCCTTTTCCCTTTTCCCTTTTCCCTTTCCGACGGAGTCTCGCTGTGTTGCCAGGCTGGAGTGCAGTGGCGCAATCTCGGCTCACTGCAACCTCCAACTCCCTGGTTCAAGCAATTTTCCTGCCTCAGCCTCCCGAGTAGCTGGGATTACAGGCATGCACCACCATACCCAGCTAATTTTTTTTCGATTTTTAGTAGAGATGAGGTTTCACCATGTTGGCCAGGATGGTCTCGAACTCCTGACCTCGTGATCCACCCGCCTTGGCCTCCCAAAGTGCTGGGATTACAGCTGTGAGCCATCGCGCCCAGCCTGTAATTTTCAGTCTTTGTCGAGTTTTGGTATCAGGGTTATGTTTTTTTTTTTTTTGAGACGAACTCTCGCTCTGTTGCCAGGCTGGAGTGCAGTGGTGCAATCTTGGCTCACTGTAACCTCCAACTCCCTGGTTCAGGAGATTCTCCTGCCTCAGGCTCCCGAGTAGCTGGGATTATAGGCATGTGCCATCACACTCAGCTAAATTTTTGCATTTTTAGTAGAGACCAGGTTTCGCTCTGTTGGCCAGGCTGGTCTCGAACTCCTGACCTCAAATGATCCACCTGCCTTGACCTCCCAAAGTGCTGGGATTACAGGTATGAGCCACCACACCTTGCCTATTTTCTTATACTTAGCGTTTGCATCGTATATTTTTGTTCAGTCTTTTACTGGTAACTGGTTTGTCTTTACAATGAAAGTATGTTTCTTATAAATAGCATATAGCTGGCTCTTGCTTCTGGCAATCTCTGCCATTTATATTGAATTAATGTTGAGGACAGGTCTGCCTCCCATCTTGTGGTTTGTTTCCTGTTTGTCCTGTTTGTTCTGTGTCCCTCTGTTCCTCTTATTCTACTGCCTTTTGGTTGAATTATGTATTATTTAGTATTTGCTGATATTTTATCATCCTGTTTTATCTTCTCTATTGACTTTTTGCTTATACCTCTTTGTGTTGTTTTTTAAAGTCGTTGTTCCAGATTGGTGGTTGGTAAACTACAGCTCTCAAACCAAATCCGGCCCACGTGGCTCACATGTTTTTATGAAGTTCTGTTGGAACACAGCCTTGCCCATTCATTTATTTTTTAATTTTGTTTTATTTAAATAATTTTTTAATAGAGATGGGGTCTCGCTATGTTACCCAGGCTGGTCTTGAACTCTTTGCTTCAAGTGATCCTCCCACCTCCGCCTCTCAAAGTGCTGGGCTTACAGGCACGAGCCACTGTGCCCAGCCCCCCATTCATTTACATATTGCCTGTGGCTACTTTTGAGTTACCATGGCAAAGGTGGGTAGTTATGACAGAGACCTTATGGCCCCCAGAACTCAAAATGTTTACTCTGTGGCCCTTTAGAGAAAAGTTGACCCTTGCTCTGGAATTATACTGTCCAAGATGGTAGCCATTAACCACATGGCTATTGAGTGCTTGAAATGTTGCTAGTCCAAAATGAGATGGGTTGTGAATATAACTACACACCAGATTTTGAAGAATGTAAACTACATTAGTCATTGTTTACCTGCAGATTATATGTTGATAATATTTTTGATATATGAGGTTAAAAATATTAAATTAATTTGACTTCTTTTTCCTTTTTAAATGGTAGATATTTGAACATTTTTAATTATATATCTGGTTCACATTATATTTCTATTGGCCAAGCACTACTCTAAGATTATAATATGCATCTTTCAAGTATCAGTCTGTCTTTTATTTTTATTTTCTTTTTGTTTTTGACTGTCTTCAAGTAAAAAATGTACTACTTCATGAACATTGTGAGACTCTTAACAGTATATTTCCAATTACTCCCTTCCCCAATCCTTTGCGATCTTTTGTCTTATATTTTACTTCTACATATTGTGTAAACCCCATGGATACATTAGTGCTTTTATTCATTTTCTTTCTTTTTCTTTAAACTGTTATTAGTCTCTTAAATAAAATAAGGGATTAAAGTATGGGGGAAATGGCATAGATATAAATGTAAAAATTCAGGCATCCATAATTAGAAAGGTACGATTAAGATTTGGAGGGCGGCACTATGGTCGAGAGGAAGACAGGCACTGCTCTGTGACTCACTTCTATTTGCTTTAGAGAATTGACTCTGAGCCCTTGGCAGAGCTGGTCAGAGCAGTCGAGCTTCTACACGTGGCTATTAGCAGTGCTGCTAGAGATGAGCATCCATTTCTTTTGCTGTTTACACTGGTATTGTAGCAGTGTGCTTCTTTTCTTTCCTGTAATAGATTCAGTGTCCAGAATATTCAAGCATTTTATAGTTAACCGGAAAAAAGAGAGGGCTTGGGTTCTGGAGAAACTGGACTGAACATAGTTTGCTTTGAGAGGGAGGAAGATTTGGTTTGGTGGTGTGGGATCTGAAGAAATACAGGGTAGCATAGTGTTTGGAGAATACTCCTCTACAGTGGATGCTGAAACATGTAAGATCTCACTAATAGGTACTCAGTCCCCATAAGCCAACACCAACACTCGCAACTTTCCTGAAAGATAGGTGCTATTACTATTCCCATTTTATTAATACTGTAATGTTCTCTAATTAAAGGGAATGATTTTCTAAAGCCACTTTGTGCTGATAGAGATTTTAATCAGTCATGCCCTTTGGTTACTTGCTCTTTGGTTTATCTCAACTGATGGGAAAATCCCATTGGCCAGTCTCTTCCCTCTAGCCTTTCCTTTCTATGAGACTAAATTTCAGCCTTCCTTGAAAATTGAGTAGCTCTCCGAATTCCTGCTAGGTAGGAAATGCTAATGCATATATCAAAGCTGTGGTTTTTGGATTCCACATGGTTTTCACCTGCAGCTAGTGGTTTCTGAAAGTAACTGAATATATGTATTACATTAGAAGGTGAGGAAAAAGCCCTTTAGGAAGGAGAATTCTAATTCACCAGATCATATTCCAGGACCCATTGCCTTGTCAAAGTGCTTACACATTTATTCATAAATGGGCTTGTGGAGCAAGTGTTTTCTGTCTTCCTACTGAAAAATCCTTAGAGACAACAGAAGCCATAGGGCAGAGTGGACAGAGAACTGACTTATCAGGCAGCCAGAAGCCAAGGGTTCCAGCTTAGGCTCTGCCACCACCTAGCACCTCGGAAAAGACTCTTCATTCTCTCTTCCCTTCAGTAAATACCCATCAAGAGCCCAGCGTGTGCCTCTGTTTTCTCATCTTAAATGAGGCATTTTGGTGGAAAGAATGCTGACGTCCCTTCTGGCTCTTAAATTCCAAATGCTTTTATATTGTGCACAGTGTGTAGGGCATGACATGGAAATTGATAAAAACTCGTGAGACCCTTTGATTCTCTCAAATAGCAAATGGCAGTCTCTTCTAAACCTGAAGATTAGAGTTTTGAAAATCCTTATAGTGGAATTTTTAGTTTAGGAACATACAGTAAATCAGTGTCACAGGTGAACCTATGAAAGCTCTTTATGACGCTACAATAATAAAGACATGTCAAATAAAAAGATCATTGGCTGAGCACAGTGGCGCATGCCTGTAACCCCAGCACTTTGGGAGGTCAAGGCTGGAGGATTGCTTGAGTTCAGAAGCTCGAGACCAGCCTGGGCAACATGACAAGACCCCATCTCCAAAAAACAAACAAACAAACAAACAAAAATTAGCCAGGCATGGTGGCCCATGCCTATAGTCCCAGATACTCAGGAGGTTGAGGTGGTACAATGGCTTGAGCTCAGAAAGTCGAGGCTCCAGTGAGCCATGATCCCACCACTGCACTCCAGCCTGGGTGACAAAATGAGACTCAGAAAAGAAAAAAAAGAATCATTGGCCCTTTTAGTGGAGGCCGCCCTCTAAATTTCCACCTACCAGCTATATACTAGAAGTTTTTAGAAGGTCCTTCTCATGGTTTCAACAAAATGGTTGGAAACTACTAGCACTGTGGCAGAAGAATGTGTACTCAGCCCGTTTTGCCGTCTTTGTCTTGGCCCTGTGCTTAGACATTCATCACTTTGAGTGGGTGCCTCTCACCTTGAGACCCACAACTGTCCACTGCTATTTCAAAATGTGTGTCTACAGCGCAAGCAGTGGCCCCTTTGACCCTTATGGCAGCTGGCTGTCTCACGCAGTCCAGGAAGCTCTGTGTTGACTCTTCCTTGGTGCTTCTCTCTTGCCCTGGGCCTCTTGGGACACCTCCGTTCTGCTCTAACTGCCTCTTCTGTCCCTAGTCTTGCTTTTTCTGGGGAAATTTCCTGTTGTTTAGCTCTTGTTTGCTCTAGGTTCTATAGCTAAGGAGCAGAATTTACATCTCTATCTTTATCTTAACCAAATTATATTTTTACAATTTGCTTATCCCTTGGGATAGAGCCTTAGCTTTTGGAAAGGACTGTAGATTTACCTAGTCTAGCCGCCACAGCAAAATCTCTCTTATATTTGGGCAGAGTAAATGTTGGCAAATTCAATGTAGATCTTATAAGTTAAGTATATTTTAGCAGAGAAAATGTTTCCCATGACACCTTTGAAACCACTGAAATGATAAATGCACATAATTTTTAAAAATTCGTGTAGTACACTAGAGTGTAAAATGAAGGAGGAAAATCTTCATTCCTCACTCGCAGCTTCTCTTCCCAGTGGCAGCTCCTGTTATATTCTTTTGGTGGTTTCTGTTATTCCTTTAAATACCTCCATTTCTTGACTTACCAACTTTGAACAATGTATCCTGATTACTACTATAAAAGATTTGGAATTTAGTATGTATATTCTGCCTTCCGTCTCTTTCTGCCCTCTTCTCACTTTGATTAGTTATTATTTATAATATTTACTACTTTTTGTATCTATACTTTTGTGCCCTCTTTATAAGTTGATCCCAAGAGATGACAATCAGGATGCAGCGTGTATAATATTATGGTTGTATAAATGTTATCCTCTGTAGAGAAAAAAAGTTGCATAAATGGGACATTGAGAAGAAAGTGTATTCCTATGTCATTAAAACTTTGCTGCCCAGAAGAAACTTTCAGCCATCCCAGCGGTTTTTGTGTGGACTTTTTTGAGGGAAGTAATTTTCTTAAATGTTATATTGTTTTGCATGTATAATGTTGCTGGATGTAGAATTCTAGATCCCAAAACTGTTTTCTCTCAGAACTTTAAATACATTGCTCTTATTACTAGAATCATTGATTTGCTTTTGGCAGGTGCCATGTTTTTTGTGCCTTCATGTTCTAGCAGCAAATCGAGAGCTTTTCCTGCTAACCCGCCACCACCTTTCCCTCCTCTTTGCCAGTTTTGGCTAGGTCTAGTTGGCTTTTAAAGGGCTATGCTAATTTCAGACTGGAAAAGTGGTAGAGACCTTTAACACCTGTTCTAAATTATTTACTTTAATAAGTAAGGAAGAATTTCCACCACCCCCACTCATTCCTCCCTCTGAATTCAGCTACTTTGCACCTTACCAGCTGCACACTTGTAAGAAAGGATCAGCCTGTTCTCAAAAGAGTATTTTAAAATATTCAAGTAAATATTCAGCATAAAACTAGAGTCTCGTTAATGTAAAATGCAGAATTTTAAAGTGTGCAGTTACTAATAAAATAGAATGATTAACCAGGAAAATTGATTTTACCATGTAATGTACACAAAGACATAAAACTTGGTTTTTAATAAAGATGTGGTACACCTCTAACAGATGTCCCCTCTGGCATATCTGTCTGGTTGGGTATCCAGGAAAGACGAATGAATGTAGTTTGTCTCCTTCCTTTGACATCTCTTGGACCAGTAGGTCAGGACACGGTTGCTTTCTTTGAGAGGGGATAGTTCAACAAGATTCCTGAGAGTAGCATCACATAAAGAGATGTGGACAATTTGGATAAGCAAAATGTGGCATATGCTTACAGTGGAATATTAATCAGCCTTAAAAAGGAAGGAGATTCTAATACATGCTTCAATTTGCTTCAAGCAAATTGTAAAAATGTAATTTGGTTAAGATAAAGATATAGGTGTAAATTCTGCTCCTTAGCTATAAAAGCACCTTGAGGACATTATGCAAAATGAAATAAGCCCATCACAAAAAGACAAAACACCAGATGATTTCACTTATATGAGGTTCTTAGAGTAAGTCAGATTCATAGAGACAGAAAGTAGAGCGGTGATTGCCCCCACCTGAGGAGAGGTGGGAATGGGGAGTTGTTTAATGTGATTCAGTACTACAGGAGATTGGTTGCCCAGCAGTGTGAGTGGACTTAATGCTGCAGAACTGTACGTTTAAAATGGTTAAGACACTAAATTTTATGTGTACTTTACCGCAATTTAAAAAAATTTTAAAGGGATTCAGACAACTTGGAATACTATTTTAATAGTAGAATTTTACATGAAACCTTTCTTTTGATGGTTGAGAATGGAGAGAATGCTGATGTGAAACCTAGAATACTTAAAAAATGTAAATAGAGAATTATGAATTATTGATAATTCATGAGTGAATTATCATATAATATGAGTTATCACATTTGAGTTCATAATTTTCAGTTACTGCTTTTCTATTTTATGCTTTATTTATTAAAATGCCTTTTAGATCTGGCCTTTCTCGTCTCACCTGTTGTATGGGCTGTAACACATCTGGCAAATGGATGGATTGATTTTTAGATGAAGGTCTGCTTTAATCGAGTGAGAGTGTGAAGTGTCAACTCTACAGACTTTGACAAAAGCACAGCTGGGGAAGCAGAACAATTGTGTTTATTAAAAATTACCTGTATCAGCTGGGCATGGTAGCTCATACCTGTAATCCTAGCCCTTTGGGAGGATGAGATGGGAGGATTGCTTAAGGACAGCTTAAAGACCAGCCTGGGCAACATAGCAAGATCCCATCTCTAACAACAACAACAACAAAAATCAAAAAATTAGGCATGGTGGCTCATGCCTGTAAACCTAGCTACTCAGGAGGCTGAGGTGGGAGGATTGCTTGTGCTAAGGAGTTTGAGGCAGTGATGAGCCGTGATTATGCCATGGCAACAGAGCAAGACCCTGGGCAACAGAGCAAAGAAAATATCTATATGTATTTTTTAAAAATAATTCAAACTCAGCCAGGCCAGATGCCTCATGCCTATAATCCCAGCCCTTTGGAATGCTGAGATGGGCAGATCACTTGGGCTCAGGAGTTCAAGAGCAGCCTGGACAACATGGCGAAACCCTGTCTCTACAAAAATTACAAAAGTTAGCCGGGTGTGTTGGTGTGCCCCTGTAGTCCCAGCTGTGGCGGGAGGCTGAGGTGGGAGGATTACTTGAGCTGAGGAAGTCGAGGCTGCAGTGAGCTGAGATTGTACCACTGCACTCTGGCCGAGGGTGACTGAGTGAGACCCTGTCTCAAATAATAATAATAATAATAATAATAATAATAATAATCATCCAAACTCTAAGATTTCTATAGTTTTTTTAAATTTGTAATTATTTCATTAAAGTTTAGGAGATTTTAGCAATGACTTAGCTTTCTTTAAATTTGAAAACATAGAAAGGTTTCTCAGTGTCTCCAATAAAATTCAGTATTTCCATTTAAAGGCTCCTGTATGCAGAAATTTGGAACTCAGCACTGAAAGCCTGCTTTCACCTCACACATTAAAGCACTGTGTCATCTCAGGATTTTATTTTAAATAACATGAAGCTAAGTTTAACATCACCTTATACTTATATGACCTTTGTTGTGTTAGAACGCTTTCATGTTTCATAATAGCAGTAATATTTGAAAATTGTTTTCTTTCTATACCTTCATGTTATAACCATAATTAAAAGTCTCATTATCATCTATGTTTCTAACAATGTGTTATATTATTGAGTACTTATCTTCATGTAATAGTATAATTTTTTGTGATAGTATAAGGTGCTAATAATTGAAACAAATTGCCCTCAGCATACTTAGATGTTAGGAAAGTGAAATACTATTTTTTCCATGTCTGTTACCTAAATGCAAAACAGATTTTCTGTTTGAGTTGCCCATATCATGTGCATTTAGGATTAGTCCTGTATAATTTATAGTGGTGTTAGCGGAAATAAAGCATAAAATGTATAAATCCTGTATTTTAATTGCCAGATGTAGAAATCCTTAACATTTTCCTCGTAGTTCTTTTTTTTTTTTTTGACACTTTATGCTTTTTAAAAATTCTGCTAGTACATCATAAGCCAGCAGAAACTGCAGCATGTTTGTGTTTATTTAGGGGAGGTTGGTGGATGAATGAAAAATGACTGCTGTGGCCCAAAGCCAAGTTTGTCCTTGTACTGATAGGTGGTTCCATGTTTAAATACGATCTCCAGATCTGAGGGGCCTCCTTTTTGGCCATTCAAGAATCTCTGAAGCAAAGATTTTTCATTTCATTCAGCTTGCTGATAGTGCAGAAGCCAAAGGTTTGCAAAATGAGAATTTTCTAGAATCTCCCTTTTGTGCCTCTTTTTCCCAAATGCAAAAGGACTCAAATCTGTGATGGGTATATGGGTGTTTACTATAGTTTTGTTTGTTTTGATGGAGTTTTGCTTTTGTTGCCCAGGCTGGAGTGCAGTGGTGCGATCTTGGCTCGCTGCAACCTCTGCCTCCTGGTGCGATCTTGGCTCATGGCAACCTCCGCCTCCCGGGTTCAAGCGATTCTCCTGCCTCAGCCTCCCAAGTAGCTAGGATTATAGGCATGTGCCACCACACCTGGCTAATTTTGTATTTTTAGTAGAGACCGAGTTTCACCATGTTGGCCAGGCTGGTCTTGAATTCCTAACCTCAGATGACCCACCCACCTCGACCTCCCAAAGTGCTGGGATTACAGGTGTGAGCCACTGTACCAGACCCGTTTTTTTAGGTCGTTTTTTTATGTGTGTTTTTTTTATTTCTTTGTTTGTTTGTTTTAGTGTTTCAAATGTTTTATCTTTATTTTATTTTATCTATCTATCTATCTATCTATCTATCTATCTATCTATCTATCTATTTAGTAATGGGATCTTGCTGTGTTGCCCCAGCTGGTCTCCTATTCCTGGGCTCAAGCGATCCTCCCACCTCAGCCTCCCAAGCAGCTAGGATTGCAGTCACACATCACTGTGCCTGTACTGTATAGTTCTTTAAACTTTCTATATATTTGAAGTTTTCATAATAAAATGTTGGGGAGGAGTAGAACTGTGAAACTAGAAACTTGTGTACATTTCCAATAGAGTAGGGCAGTTGAGGTGGTTCTCAGTGATCCACAGGTTCCGAACAGAATAATTAGCTAATGCCCATGTGGCTGATGGCTTACCTGCCCATCAGCAAGGCTGCTGGAACACTTTCCTCCTTGCTGCCCAACACTGGGGACCATCCTATACAAGCTATTCTTGCTCCTTGTGCCTCCTTACTGCTCTTCCTTCTCTTTCCCTCCTCTTTTTCTGATGTTTTTCATTGGTCTTCTCTCTGAAGACCCACATCAGTGTCTTCTCTAAAAACATGGACCGACTGTCCACCTTTCCCACCATAGGAAAGGGAGGTGACAGAGAAGGCACTGGCATTTACAGAGTCTCTCATGTGCCAGGCACCATAACACACACTTTTCTATTTTGTTTTGTTTCTTAATCTTCACAGTAACCCATTTTTTAATTGAGGAACTTGCTCAGAGTCACAAAACCAATCAATAAATTCAAGCCCTCCTCTCTCTCTTCCCAAATCCCATTCATGCTCTTTACAAAATGCCTGCTCCCTCCTAAGATATCCATTTATGATCCTTCCCTTCGACTAGAAGTGCCTTGTGAGATGCCTTCTGTGCCACCCAGAGTCCTTGGGAATTCTTTGCCTTTGGGACTCTTGTAAGAAGTGAAAAGAAAAAGTCAGGGATTGTCACGTATTCTTCTTAGTGTTCCCGCACCTAGCAAGTAATACCTTGTGGCCACTTGGAAAAACGTTTAAATAAATGAATGAGCAGGAGATCCTGTACCACACTTGGAACATGTCTTCCCACTCACTGTCCTGCTCAGAAGGCCATGCAGACTGTTTTCTTTCTTTTAACAGTATAAAGTCGTGTTAGGAATGTTTTCAATTGCTTTGCTTACAGTAAGGCAGAGAGGAATGACATTCTTTTGATAATTGCACCATAATCTACCTTATTTGTATTGCCTTACCTTTTGTTCAGACTGAAAGAGCCACCTGAAGGTAGGAGTATGTACATGCCTTGGAATATTAGGTCTGAAGACTTTTCATGCCATTTTTTAAGGGAAAATAATTTAAAAGGTAATCAATATCATGCAATGCTGCAGAAATCAGTATTCACACCACTGTTTTCTGAGTATTACATTAGGTGTCATCTATTTGATAAAGAGAATTGGGGAATTCTTGTGAATGACCATGTGGTACATTGGTTCATCTTCGTAAATTAATGACTCCGAATTCTTGGCAGATTAGTTTCTAGTTTGCTATAATTGCAAATTAACCCCGGAAGAGTCTTCACAAACTAAATCAAGGGGCAAGAAGCATTGTGTTTCTTGATGTTACAGCTTTTGGTAGGTGATTCCTTGTTCTGAGGGGGGCTGAAATGACATTCTCCATGTGATGAGCAGCCTATCAGGTGGGCCCCCCATTTCTTCTCCTTCTGGTAATGCCATCATACCCTGTTCCTTCATCACATTAAATTGTTAGTGCTAATGATGCCTTCATTTGGAATTTGCCTAAAAATCTGACATGAATGTCCATTTAGGATTGCTAAGTTAATGACATAATGAAACTGTGAGAATTTAGAATAGACTTCTCCACATGGTTGATGGCTTCCTCTTATTTCTGGTCATTTGCCTGCAGGGGCATCAGGAAAAGCGGGGTGCACAAGCGGAGAGGAGAGAGGAGTAGGTGGATCCTTCCAGGCACCTACCTCTTTTTTTTGGTCACTGTTTGTGAAGGAGTAGTATACTTCCAAATTTGACCCTGCCCAGATGCCATTAGGGGATTTTCTTTTCTTCTCAAATTAGTGTTAGTGGGTTTATAGGAAAGCCGGAAGGAACCAAAAATGACAGTTTCCAAAGAGATGGAACATCTTCAGAAACATACAGGGTTAAGATATAAAGTTTGTTGTTTAGGTAACTGGCTTTGAATGTTTTCTTTTGTGTCATTTCTATCTGCAAATGTTAATGATTGTGGAATGTAGTAATACCACAGTAACTCAGATGGATGGAGGTGAGGATAGATGGGAGGACATTTTTGAAGAAATGTAATGTATTCTTTTAAGGAATGGGTGGGTGGTATCTGTAACTGTGTAAGCAAAAATGTTACCTGATAAACATGGACTTGTGGAGCCAGAAGGAACTTGGAAGTGATCTGGTCCATCCTCTGTCACGTTACAAATTTACAAAAGAGGACTGGAGGCTCAGAGAAGCTGTCATATTCAAGGTCATAAAGCCAAATCGTAACAGAGCTGAGTTCTGTATACCCTTTAAAGACAAGTCATGACTTAACATCGCAGTAGTGATTTTTCACATATTGAGTGAATCTTTGTGAAGCCCTTGACATTTAAAAAAAAATATTTTCAATGAAAGCTATGAACATTGTCTTTAAAAGCCAAATAGTACAAAAAAAGTTTATAATAAAAAATGGCAGTCCTCTGCTACCCTCATCCTGTCCCTCAGAGACAACCACTTTCAATTCTTTCTTTTGATATTTATTTTCTCAAATAATGTACTTACTGCTACTTCTTCATTTTTTTTAACTTTTATTTTAGGTTCTGGAGTACATGTGCAGATTTGTTATATAGGTAAATTTGTATCACAGAAGTTTGTTGTACAGATTATTTCGTCACCCAGGTACTAAGCCTGGTACGCAATAGTTACTTTTTTCTGATCCTCCTCCCACCCTCCACCCTTAAGTAGGCCCTAGTGCCTGTCATTCTCCGCTTTGTGTCCATTTTGGAGGAACAAAGTGCCTACTTATAAGTGAGAACATGCAGTATTTGATTTTCTGTTTCTGTGTGAGTTTGCTAAGGATAATGGCCTTTAGCTCCATCCATACTTCTTGATTTTTCTGTTTATCTTTTGACTTACAAATAGGATAGGTAAGGATTCAGCTCTGTTGCTCTCACCCACTCCAGGTTGCTTCCTTTCCCCACCCTCAGCCTTCCTCCAACTTTGTTCTCTTTGGTCTTCTTTTTCATAATTGTTTTGGCTATTCTAGATCCTTTGTATTTCCCTATGAACTTCAGTATCAGCTTATAAATTTACATAAAAGCATCTGGTAAAATTTTGGTTGGGATTGAATTAGGATATATAATATTTTCTTTTAACCTATCATAGTCTTCCTTCAAGTTATACCAATTCACATATAGCATAAGAATCTTACAGTAATATACTTAAATTTCCCAGCTCCCAACCTTTGTGCTATTAGTGTTAATAACATTTATATGTTATTAACAGCATGCAACATTGTTATATTTCTTATTTAGTCGGTGATTTTCTAAAAGAATTAAGTAATAAGAAATCTTACGCTGGGTGCATTGGCTCACGCCTGTAATCCCAGCACTTTGGGAGACCACATTGGGAGGATCACTTGAGCCCAGAGTTCGAGACCAGCCTGGGCAATGTGGAAAGACTCTGTCTCTACAAAAAGCCAAAAAATTAGCCGAGCTTGGTGGCACCCGAGCTTAGTGTCACATGCCTGTAGTCCCAGCTACTCGGGAAGCTGAGGCAGGAGGATCCCTTGAGCCCAGGAGGTTGAAGCTGCAGTGAGCTGTGTTCACACCACTGCACTCCAGCCTACGTAACAGAGAGCAAGATCCTATCTCATTTAAAAAAAAGAAAAGGAAAAGAAATCTTATCTATTTACCCATGTAAGTATTTCCTCATTCCTTTGTGTAGTTCTATACATATTTCCATCTGTTATCATTTCCCTTTTGCCTGAAGGAGTCAACCATGTCTTATGGCAAAGACCTGCTGGTGATGAACTCTTTCAGCTTTTTTGTTTGTTTCATTTCTTTAGAGATGAGGTATCACTATGTTGCCCAGACTGGTCTCCAATTCCTGGGCTCAAGTGGTCCTGCCTCAGCCTCCCAAGTTCTTTTGTATGTATAAAAATGTCTTTATTTCACCTTTTTTTTTTTACTTTTATTTTTCCAAACAGAATCTTCCTCTGTTGCCCAGGCTGGAGTGCAGTGGCGCAACCTCAGCTCACTGCAACCTCTGCCTCCTGGGTTCAAGCAATTCCCTTGCCTCAGCCTCTCAGTAGCTGGGATTACAGGTGTGCGCCACCACGCCTGGCTAATTTTTGTATATTTTAGTAGAGATGGGGTTTTGCCATGTTGGCCAGTCTGGTCTTGAACTCCTTACCTCAGGTGATCTGCCTGCTTCAGCCTCCCAAAATGCTGGGATTACAGGCGTGAGCCACCACACCTGGCCTCACCTTCATTTTTGAAAGATATTTTTGCTGGGTATAGAATTCTAAATGGACAGAGTTTTTTTCTTTCATTCATTTTAAGATACTGCTCCACTTTCTTCTCACTTGCATTATTTCTCGACAGAAATCTGTTGTCATCCCCATATTTTTTCTCTGTATGTAATACAACTTTCTCTGTGGCTACTTTTTACAAGTTCTTCTTTATCATGAGTTTTGAGTAATTTGGTTATGATGTGCCCTGGTAATGTTTTCTTCAAGTTTCTAATCAGCTTGGGATTTACTGAGCTTCTTGGATTTCTGGATTTATAGCTTTCATCAAGTTTGGACATGTTGGGCTGGGTGCAGTGGCTCATGCCTGTAATCCTAGCACTTTGGGAGGCCGGGGCAGGTGGATCTCTTGAACCTAAGAGTTCACGACCTGCCTGGGCAATATGGCAAAACCCTGTCTCTTCAAAAAAATACACACACAAAAAAATTAGCTGGACGTGGTGGCACATGCCAGTAGTCCCAGTTACTAGGGTGGCTGAAGTGGGAGGATCACTTGAGCCTAGGGAGGTCAAGGCTGCAGTGAGCTGTGATTGTGTCACAGCACTCCAGCCTGGGTGACAGAGTGAGACCTTGTCGTCCCCCCCCCCCCAAAAAAAAAAGTTTGGACTTTTTTCAACCATTATTTTGAAAGATTTTTTTTCTTTTTCCCGCTCTCATTTTGTCTTTTAGGGACTCCAATTACTCATGTATATTGAGGTGCTTGAAGTTGTCCTCTAGGTCACAGATGCTCTCTTTAATTTTTAAAATTCTTTTTCTCTGTGTTTTATTTTGGATAGTTACTATTGCTGGGTCTTTATCTCAGACATTGTAATTTTCATTTCTAGAAGTTCTGTTTGGTTTGTAGCTTATCATTTTCAACATATGGAGTGCAGTTATAAATACCCTTCAGTGTCCTACTCTGTTAATTCTAACATGTGTATCAGTTCCACATCACTTTCAGTTCATTGATTACTGTTATTGTGGGTTGTGTTTTTCTGCCTTTTTGCATACCTGATAGTCTTTGTTATTTTACTTTTTTCTTTTTTAAGCTATCTCCTACAGGAAGGAAACCTGGTAGTCTTTATATTATAAATTTTACCATATATTATAAATTTTACCTTGTGGTGTACTAGATATTTTTGTATTCCTATAAATGTTCTTGAGCTTTGTTTCCAGTATGTCGTTGAGATATTTGGAATCAGTTTGATTTTTTCAGGTCTTACTTTTGTAGTTTGCTGGGTCTGGAGCAGTGTTCATTGCCTAAGACCTTCCAAACTAGTCTCCCCAGTGCTGTGATGTATGTGTTTTCCCAAGTTAGCTGGTGGGAACAGGCGTTGTTCTCAGCCCTGTGTGAGCACCATATATTGTTCCCTTGAATCCTTTTGGATGGTTCTTTCCCCAGCCCTGGGGAATTGCTCACCCATTATGTGCTGATCAGTCCTCTGCTGAATCATCGAGGAATTCCTGTGCAGATACCCAGGGTTCTCTAACCAGTAAACTGGGGCAGTCACTGGGTTCACCTCGTTAGTTTCCTGTCTCTCAGGGATCACTGTGCTTCCTTGCCCAATGTCCAGTGCCTTCAGAACCATTGTTTCATGTATTTTGTCTGATTCTTTTGGTTGTTTTGGCTGGGTAGGTAAATCAGTCTATGTTATTCCATCTTGGCTGGAATGGAAGTTGCTCCAGTGTCTTTTGTGTCTTTGCATTCAAACATGCTATCCAGAAATCTAATGTCAGTTTTATTCAAGATCCTTTTTATAGAGCCTCTTTTTTCTTTTCTTCTTCTTCTTCTTCTTCTCTCTCTGTCTCTCAATCTGGGCCTTTCTGGAATTTTCGAGAATATTCTTTTTTCTCTCCCAGTGTTTTGAAATTCCACAGTAATGGGCCTTGGAAGTGTTATGCTGGGTACTCCCTGTGGGCTGTTACAGACTGAAGACTTGTGATTTGTGACTTGTGTCTTTTATTTTGTGGGAAATATATTGTTTTATTTCCTTGACAGTTTTTTTCTTTCATTTCTCTCTTCTTTCTTTCTGGAACTCCCGTGGTTAAATGTCGGTTTCCTGGATTTATCCTCTAATGTTTTTGTCTTTGTTTGTTCCCTTCTATTGTCTTTCATCTATTTGTTCATTTCTTGGACATTTCTCTGACTTTCCCCCTTCAATACTTTCATTGGATTTTTTTTTCTTTCAACTCCTATTTTAATTTCTAAGAATTCTTGTCTTCACAATATTCCTTTGAAAGAATGCATACAGCTCTTCCTTGTTGGATGTAGAATTATCTTTTATGTCTATAAGGACATTAATTTTTCAAGTAATTCTCTGTGCATGGTTCTGATATGCATGGATTTCAGTCACCAGGTTAGTTAAATAACACCAGTCCCCCAATAATATGATTCCAATTTCAGTGACTACGATGTGTTAACTGTGAGTAATTGAATAAAGTATAAACTTCACTACTAGCTCTTCAGTCCACTCATCCCTGTGTAGAAAACAGATGCACATCCTAATCTGTCACCAATCAGGTCACTTCTTTCAGAGTCTGTGTGTCTGCACATTCATTATTCTATTCACTCAGACAGCAAAACATGTCATTATGTTGTCTCCTTGTTTCTCAGTGATAAACCCAGGCAACATTCTTTTCAAATGGATAATCAAAAGAGAGAATTGATCAACCAAGATGAAAGTGTCATAAGGAACCAATAAGTGATAATGTTGGAAGTGAAATTCAAATCAAAACAAGTAGAATTATAAAGAAGAATTAGCTGACCACGGGAATGTTGACACTGCTGCCATTTGAGTTACTGTAAATCTGCAGCCAGAGGAACTTAACGAAGGCAACTTATCAGCATAAATGAGGAAAGTGGTTGTGACAAAAAGGATGAAGATGTCCCAGAAGAAGTAACGCCAGCACAAACTTTCACATTAAAGGAGCTCTCAGAGATATTTCACTACATTGAAAGCGCAAAGGATAACCCACTGGAAGCTGATTCACACTTACAAAGGAGTACAACAGTTCACCCAGGCATAGAAGAAACACTCACTGCATATCATAAGTTACATGGCAAGAAGAAGGCACACACTGTTTAAACTACCCTGAATAAGTTTTTTTGTTTTTAACAAAAGCTCATACTTTATTCACATTTCCTCGGTTTTTACCTAATGTCCTTTTTCTGTTTCAGTTTCAGGATCTCATCTAGGATACCATATTATATTTGGCCATCATATCTCCATAGGCTTCTTTAGACCACGATGGTTTCTCTGACTCTCCTTGTTTTTGATTACCTTGACAGTTTCAGGATGAAATTGGCCAGCTAATCTATGGAATGTCCTCCAACTTGAGTTTGTCTGATATTTTTCTAGTGGTTAGACTAAGGTTATGGGTTTTGGATGGAAGACCCGTGATGAAGTGCCATCCTCATCACTTCATATCAAGGGAACATGCTGTCAATGTGATTTCTCACTTGGGATGTTAACCTTCATCACCTGGGTTGAGGTGGTGTTTGCCAGATCTCTCCACATGAAGTTACTGTTCTCTCTCTTTCCACACTCTGCTGTTTGAAAGGAAGTCACTGTACACAGCCCAAGTCTAAGTGGTGGGGAGTTATGTTCCACCTCCTTGGGGGAGGAGTGTCTGTAATTATTCTGAACAAGAGATTTGTCTCTTATTTGTTATTTAGTCATTGATCTATATCATTATATAGACATAAGTTTTATACAAAGAAATAAAACACTTTAATTCTCAGTGGTTTCTGATGCTTTAAATTGCAGTGTACTAAATGTTGTGGCTTTACCTTTTGTATGTTTGTTTGTTTCTCTATTTTTAACCCAGAGTCAGAGACTTAATAATGTTTTGACGAAAGTTTCTAAAGGTCACAGAAAAATCCATTTTTCTTTGATTTCAAGGTGAGTGTAGAACACCTTTAGAGTGCAAAGGACAACCCTTTGGAAGATGATTCAAACTTACAAAGGAGTACGAGTGTAGAATACTCACCCTTCCGTTGTCCAGATGTTTTTATGATCCTGTACTACGTGCAAAGCAAGGACTGGCTGTAGTTTGTAAAGTTTCCTTCAGCTCCCTACTCTGTGCTTGTTTCCTCAGAGTTCCTTTATTTCTGTCTGTATATTGGTCTGTTTTGGTTTTTGTCTGTCATGTTGGAAGCTTTCTTTAAATATTTGGCTGTTCTTGGCCATCCATTATTTTTTAAGAATGAACTAAAAATTGATAAGAAGCTCTGGGTGTGGAGGCAAATCTTATTGATGGTCTTTCTGTGTAGGATGTTGAGGTGAAAAATTGGCTTTATAATTAATATGTCTTTTCTCTGAGGCTGATTCAGTTCCTTTATGGCTTACGCTTCTTATATCTACATGAGAACTCTGCCTAGATAAGGTCACAGAGATTTTCTCATGTTTTTTAGCAGTTTTTAATTATTCTCAGTTTTATATTAGATATATGATCTATTTCAAGTTAATTTTTATATACGGTTATGAGGCATGGGTATGAGTTTATTTTTTGCATATAGATATGCAATTATTCCAGCACTATTTTATGAAAAGTAAATTACTGAATTACAACTCCTTAGTCAAAAATCATTTGGTCATATACGTATGGGTCTATTTCTGGACACTATTCTATTCCATTGATCTATATGTCTGTTCTTTCACCAATACCATACTGTCTTGATTACTGTAGCTTTGTAGTGAGCCTTGAAATCAAATATTGTACCTTTAATCTTGTCTTTTCTATATAAAAGTTTATTCTATTCACTTTTCCACAAAAGTTTTAGTCAGTTTGTCAGTTTCTACAAAAAGTCTGCTAGCTCTTTGATTGGAATTGTGTTGAACCTGTAAACCATTTTGAGGAGAATTAACATCTTAACTACATTGAGTCTTCCAACCCATGAATGTAGTGTATCTTTTCACTTACTTGGGCTTTCTTTGATTTCTCTCATCAGTGTATTATAGTTTTCAGCATGCAAATTTTGCATATGCTATACTGGAGTTGTCCCTTAGTATTTTACCTTTTGATCTATTGTAAGTCATATATTTTTAAAGTTCCACTTCCAGTCATTTATTGCTAATATAAAGAAATATAATAGCTTTTTAATTTTGACCTTGTATTCTTAAACCAACCTTACTTACTCACTTATCAGTTCTAATAATTTATTGTAGAGTATTGGATATTTTTCGTTTGAGAAATTCTATCTACAAATAAAGACATTTGCATTTATCTCCCCAGTACAAATTTTCCCATACACATTTTCTTTCTCTTGCCTTTATTTCTCTGGCTAGGACCTCTAGTACATTGTTGAATAGAAGTTGTGAGAGCTGACATCTTTATCTTATTCCTGATCTTAGGAGGAAAGCTTTCAATCTTTCAACGTTAAATATGAATTAGCTGTAAGGTTTCAGTTTTTTTTAGAGATTGATGCTCTGATTTTCAGCTTGGGGGATACAAACCTAACTGCTGTGCTCTGGGTACAGATTGGCAGAAGGGAGCTGGACAGCCTCACTCCTCGGTATGTGGGGGATGGCTACCCCATTTCGTCAGCTCATTTCGCCTCACTGTCACTCTTCACCATTGTACCTGGTGCCGCTGAGCCTGCGGAGATCGCTTTCTCCAGAGTATAAACCTCCTATCTAGCTCCTACTGGCCTGGGGTGATACCAGTGCCCTGGCTTCCCTGGGGTAGGGGATCCTATTACAGCCTTGCTCCCTCCTGACATGGCTCCAGTCCTCATCACCTGCTCGTTTTAGGAATCTAGGGCCTGGTTGTGCTGAGATTTTGCATGGCTTAATTGGGTGAATCTGCCTTTTGTAGAGCACTCAGATTTCTGTTTCTGCCTCTATGCAGAGCTCTTTGCCACTCTTCTCCCTGCTTTTCCTCTACAAAGAGAGTGCCTGCAAGGTGAGCTGATACCCCATTCTCTGATGCTGCCTCTCCTGTTCTCTTTTCCTCCATAGGTGTTATCTTCTCTCTGCAGATAAATAGTGTGTTCAATCGCTCATGTTTAACTTCCTGGAAATTTTTAAAAAGTAGTTTATTTTCTGAAATAGTTGGCCTTTTGGTTTGCAGGGATGATGTTTTGTTTTTCTTATAGCCTTGATTATGTTACTAATTTGATTAGTAAGTCCTTTGATTGAAGTCAAAAGGTAAATTTTAGTACAAAAGTAAATTTGATCCTAGCCTCTGAAAATTTCAGATGTTCTAAATTCAGGTCCAACTAATTGTATATTGATAATATATTTTACATTTAGAAATTATTATTAATGTAGTATCTTTCATGTTTGCATCAATCTTTTCTGTGTTAAAGTGAGTTGACAATAGGGGATTGTTTGAAATATTCAAAATAGTTTCTTGTGAAAAGTATTTCTTATTGAATGCTATTGATTCTTTGTAATGTTGAACTAATTTTTTTCTTAAGCCTCGTATTCACAAGTAAGCTTTATGTCTAGGATGGAGCAGATACACAATGCATTCATGTTTTCTCTGTCTCTCTCTCTCACACACACACACACACCCACACACACACCCCCACACACACACCCCTATTCCACAAGAGATGTCCTTATTACCAGACAGCTACCATTCAGACCTTATTTAATGTTAAGTTTGTTTACAGACTCTTTTTTTTTTTTTTTTTTTTTTTTTTTTGAGACAGAGTCTCACTGTGTCCCCCAGGCTGGAGTACAATGGTGCGATATTGGCTCACTGCAACCTCCGCCTCCCAGGTTCGAGCAGTTCTCCTGCCTCAGCCTTCCGAGTAGCTGGGATTACAGGCATACACCATGATGCCCGGCTGTTTTTTGTATGTTTAGTAGAGACGAGGTTTCACCATGTTGGCCAGGCTGGTCTCGAACTCCACCTCAAGTGATCTGCCCACCTCGGCCTCCCAAAGTGCAGGGATTACAGGTGTGAGCCACTGCGCCTGGCCCCAAGACTCAAATTCTTTATTAGAAATAAGAATCCTGGTTTATCAGTGATCTCCGAGGGTTTGGCTTCTGAACTGAGCATAGGTTGTCCAACATCCTCCCCTCTCCCACCTAAATTGAGCCCCAAACACAGAAACAGTCATGCTCATGGAATTCGAATTCACCATGAAAGTTTGTGAACACAATAAAAAGGCATTTCTAGCTCCCACTTACCGGATCTCTCCAGTTCATTTTGCTGTGTGAGGTAGTTTGCACAGTGGGACCTTCCCTCAATCCCTTAGCTACATCTAGTAGGGAATGTGCTTTCATTCAGCCTAGCAGGAGAAGCTGCCCATACACTGGAATGTAAACTATGTTCATATTATTTCTAATTCAGGATAAAATAAGCAATTTGTTGTTTGTCACTTGCATTATTGCTTTTAGGGAGGTAGCTTTCACTTATTTCATTTATTTTATCCATTCAGCAAACCTTGGCCAAGGACTTACTCTATGCCAGGCCCTGTGCCAGGTACGGAGAGCACAAGCAGTGTAAGAGCCTGCTCTCATGGAACGTACATTCTAGTGACAGAGAGAGAGAATAGATAAGTAAGGACATAAATAAGAGGCAAGGCAGAGGCGAGTAGGAGGAGGAAAATAAAACAGGGCAGAGGAATGAATGTGACAAGGTAAGTGGCTGTTTCGGCTCCTCCGTGGGGATGGTGCGGGGGTCTCTTTTCTGTTGAGACCGGCACAGTGAGGAGAGCTGGCCCTAGGAAGATGGGAGTTTATAAAGCAGTGCCAAGAACATTGAACTTGGAGTGCAATCTCAGAGCCACCTGCCCAGCTGCAGTACCTGGGGGAGGTCATTTACCCTGAAGATGAGGTTTCTTGTCTGCAAAATGGGAGTGTACATGTGTCCAGCTTAAAAGGGTCATATACAGTTACCAAATATGAGAATGTTGCAAACAGCAGCTCTTTAAAATGAAAGGGTACTGTTATTTTATACAGCGCATGAACGTTCCAGCCAACTAAAGGACTTGCTCTACCTGTCTTTAAGACTTACTGTAGGCCAGGCATGATGGTTCACGCCTATAATACCGGCACTTTGGGGGACCAAGGAGGGAGGATCAGTTGAGCCCAGAAGTTCAAAACCAGCCTGAGGCAACATAGCAAGACACCCCCATCCTTACAAAAAAATTAAAAATTAGTCAGGTGTGGTAGTGCATGCCTGTAGTCCCAGCTACTCAGGAGGTAGAGGTAGGAGGATCGCTTGAACCTGGGAGGTTGAGGCTGCGGTGAGCTGTGATTGCACCACTGCTCTCTAGCCCAGGTGAGAGAGCCAGACCCCATCAGTTTAAAAAAAAAAAAAAGAAAACTTACTGTAAAACTGTAGTAGTACAGTGTGGGGCTGGGTAAGGAAAGACAGATAGTGAAACAAAATAGAATAGAGAGTCCAAGAATACAACCACATATGTGTGATCAGTTGATTTCCCATAGTTTTTCCATGCAGGAATTCCTTCTTGGCATTTAGAGACATTTGTCTCTTATTCCAAATTGTGAGAAAAATGAGTCAAGAAATCAGGAAAAGGAAATATTCTGCGAGAACTAAAATTTTAACAGCCAACATGGGCATTACTAGTTTAAAGGAATTATCCAGCATCAGGTCAAAGGCAAGAGCACAGTCAGCGACACATGGAGTCAGAGATTAAGGTCGTCATTTCAGAACCAGGACAGCAACATGTAGGAGAGAAGGGGTCACATTCCAATCACGTCATTCTTGCTTGTCACTGTCACCATATTGCAAGTGTATGTTTATGGCCCTGCCTGCTATTAATAGTGAGTCATTCTTCTCAATAAAAATCTATTGAGTTTTGCACATGAGTATACTTTACAAAATCCTCCAAGTCTTGTTGGAAGATGTAAGTTTTGGCAGCAGCCCTTAAGTTGGTAGCTTTGAAGCGTGATTCCTGTGTAGTGCTGTTAACCTTGCTAGGATAGCCAAATGTTACATTATCTTCATAGAATCCAATAATGTTCACTGGTGTTTTCCAGTGTTTGAATATTTAATGTAGGCTACGGTTCTTTGTAAATACTTTTACAGGAGAAATGTAAAGAGAAGATGTGTGAATATGATTGTGGAATACTCTTAATGTGAAATCAGCTGATATAAAATTTGAATTAGGAAAAGCAGTATCAATTTTAAGAGCAAAATCAAGGCAAGCAGACAAAATATTTTCAACACTAGGAAAGGAATTGGGCTTATATGAAGCCGTATATAGTCTAAATCCTAACTGCAGTTGGCTTTGGACACCACTCTGAAGAGTTTGACCAACTCTTGACCAATGTTCAGCATAAAATGAAAGAAGCTTTTCTACATTTGGAATATTTTTCACAAAACAAATATTAGTTAATACTTGTGTGTTTTAAAGTATCATTTAAGAATAACTTTTAAATATTTGTGGCATCTTTCAATTTTTAAATGATATTTGGCATTCATTTGGTGCTACTGTGTTTTTAATGTTTTCTGTTAACAAACGTCTATATCAGGTAGAGGTTATTTTTATGTGTTATTGAAATACGTGCTTTTCTCACAGTGTATTCATTCATAATAATAACCTGTGCATATATTATTATATCTTACTTTATAGAACTGACCCCTGAAGCTTTCAGTATAAGTGTATCACATAAAAGTGATTTGCTATTTATAACTCATTATTCAACAACATGTAACACAATGCTATGAAAAATGCAGAATATTTTATGATTTGGGAATTCTGAATTTCTCATTTCTGAATCTTGAAGCTAATGACTGTTGAGAATTTGGAAAAAACAAAAATTCCTGACACAGGTGCTGGTAATCCAGTAGGCGAAGGAAGGCTTTGTCTACATACAGTACTGAAACAACTGGGTAACTATGCCAGAAACCACATTTCTGTTCTTATGTTACACCACATTTAAAATGAACTTGAAGCGACTCATAGAACTAAATGGAAGAACTAAAATGATAACCACTGGTAGAAGAAAAAAATGAAAGGAGATCTTAGTATCTTGCATTAGGCAGAGATTTCTTAGATATGACAACAAAAGCATGAGCCATAAAAGAAAAATGTTGATAAATTGGACTTAGTCAAAATTAAATATTCTTTTCTTCAAAAGATACTATTAAGAAACTGTGAAGAGAAGGCACACACTGTGGAAAAAAATTTCTTTTCCTTTTTTTCTTTTAGAGGTGGGGATTCACCATGTTGCCCAGGCTGGTCTTGAACTCCTGAGCTCAAGCGATCCGCCCACCTTGGCCTCCCAAAGTGCTAGGATTACAGGCATGAGCCATCATGCCGGGCCAAAAATTTTCAAACTGCGTATCTAATAATGTAGTTGTATCTACATACAAAATAGTTGTATCATGATCATATGTACTCTTATAATATATACTCGGCAATTCAGAAAACAACCCAGTTTTTTGAAAAGGGGGATGAGGTCAAAACATTTCAACAGATTCTTCAAAAAAGATATACAAATGGCCAATAAATAGTTTGGCAGTTTCCTGTAAAGTTAAACATAAATTGCAAATGTATTTTTATATATCACCCAGAAATCCTTCTAGGTATTTATATTTGAAAAATAAAAACTTATGTTTTTAATAATAAAAGCTAGCTTTTACCCAGATGTTTATACCAGCATTATTTGTAATGACAAATAGTTGGAAGCAGCCCAAATGTCCATCAACTGGTAAATGAATAAATTGTGATCCAGCCATACTATGAAATAAAGTACTAATACTAACAGCCATGTGACTGACTCTCAAAGTATTATGCTAAGTGAAAAGAGTCAAACAAAAGACTAAATATTGTATGATTTCATTCACATGAACTTCTGGAAAAGGCAAAACTATATAAATAGGACTATAAGCAGATTAATAGTTGCTGTGACAATGTGGATTGAGTGCAGAGTGACACGAGGAATCTTTTTAGGGAGAGGGTATTGTTCTATATCTCAATTGTAGTAATAGTTACATGGTTATAAGCAATTCCCAAAGTTAACCAAACTGTACATTTAAAATAAGTGAATTCCATTGCATGTAAATAATACCCTAATTTAAAATGGGGAATATGTTCATGTAGCAGCTAGATTTTTGTTATTGCTTCATGGAAAAAGGTATTTGTAGGGGTTTGAAAATACGGCCTTTCTATAAGCAAACATTTCTTTCTACTAAAAGGAAAAAGTACTGGAGATGTTCACCCTTGTGGAATTTGATGGATAGTTGACAGCGACTTAGCTTTTAACAAAACACTAATCAAAGTTTAATGTTCAATTTTAACATACCAAGTTGTGTCTGTGACATTTTATTTTTTAATTAATCACCACTTCTTACAGTGGATTTAAATGTCCACTTCTTATTCATTATAAACTAGCTCACTTTGTACATTATAAATCTGTATGCAAAATGAGGTCATACAAATGGGAGATTGTTTTGCCTCTCATTTTACCTTTTGACTTTTAAAATCAGTTAATAAAAGAATGCCTCATCAACATGCAGGTATTGAGAGTGCTACACACACGCATGCACATACACACACATGCACAGCAGTACCTTCCAAATATATAAAGAATCACATTTGTAAAGGCAGTGTTACATATATCTGGTTTTTAATGTATAATTAAAACTTTTATTTAAAACTGCCGTAGTTAAGTTATATGGGATATAATCACAGCTTTTATTTTTATTAGAGGATGGCAGGTCTTACATACATATAGATACAGAAACATTATATGAAATAAACTAATTCCACATATATCTGAGAGCTTTCTCAGGCAGGATGCCCAATAACCATTAGCCTCTCCTAGGAAGCAAAAGACTTACTTGAGAGCAGAAATACAGATTAGCAATTAAGAAATATGCTGTAGGGTGGGTGCGGTGGCTCACGCCTGTAATCCCAGCACTTTGGGAGGCCGAGGCAGGCAGATCTCCTGAGGTCAGGATTTCAAGACCAGCCTGGCCAACATGGTGAAACCCTGTTTCTACTAAAGATACAAAAATTAGCTGGGAGGCTGAGGCATGAGAATCACTTGAACCATGGAGATGGAGGTTACAGTGTACCAAGATCACATCACTACACTCCAGCCTGAGCAACGGAGCAAGACTCCGTCTCTAAATAAATAAATAAAGTTGTAAATTAATTGAGAAACTGTTCAGGAAAATGCTTTGTAAACTTAAATGTTCCATAGAAACAAGAACCCTGCAGAAGCACATCTGGCAGAGTCCCTGTTGCATAGCAGTCAGTTGTTTATGGAGAGGAGCATTACAAATGCATGGGTCTTGTTGGCCAAAAATACCATAATCTGTGGTTAGGATACAACCAATGTATTCTAGTAAGTGCCTTCAAAATCATTGCTTGAAGTTAATGCTAAAATTAGTCAATCTCCATGTCCGTAGAATAGCCACATGATGTTGAGATATGAAGTGGTTGTTGTTATTGTTGTTGTTGTTTGAGACAGGGTCTCACTCTGTCACCCAGGCTGGAGTGCAGTGGGCTGGTCATGGCTCACTGAAACCTCAAACTCCCAGACTCAAGCAATCCTCCCACCTCAGCCTCCCAAATAGCTGGGACTACAGGCATGCCACCACTGTGCCTGGCTAATTTTTTGTATTTTTTTTTTTTTTTTTTTTTTTGTATTTTTTTTTTTTTTTTTTTTTTTAGAGACGGGGTTTCTCCACATTGCCCAGGCTGTTCTTGAACTCCTGGGCTCAAGCAATCCTCCTGCCTTGGCCTCCCTAAGTGTTGAGATTACAAGTGTGAACCACCACACCTGGCCAAGATAGAAGTTTTGACAAAACTATACTCCTATAAAGACACAGGGAATTAACGTTACCCCAGAAAATTCCCTCATTTTCTACCAGTCAATCCCTACCTACCCTCCCATACCCACCATTCTTCTGAATTTTTTTCTCTGAAGATTAGTTTAGCCTTTTCTGGAATTTCATGTAAATGGGTTTATAAAATACCCACCCTTTCCTGTGAAGGCTTCATTCACTTAGAATGTTTGAGATTCATCCGTGTTGTTGGAGGTAACAGTAATTCATTTTTTAATTGCTGAATTATATTTCGTTGTATGAATATAGCCCAGTTTATCCATTCTCCTGTTGATGCACTGCTCCTAGTTTCAGTTTATTATAAAAAATAAGATGAACGAGTTAAAGTCCTCATGAGACAGAAAAGCAGAGTTTATGGGAAGCATGGAAAGGAAAGAACAGTAAACAGGGATTGGGAACATTCCCGGAGGAGAGTGATGTTGAGCAGGAGGAGATGGGCAGTAGGGTCTTAGCATGAACGGTAACATTGAAATGGGCAGTGTGGGATGTATTTGGGCCAGTAAACTTCTGGTGGGATGACGGGCATGTGGGAGAGTACGGACGATGAACTTCATTAGGTAAACCTATATAGTCTCTGCAGCTTGGCTGCCTAGTGAAAGATAGGCCAGGAAAGCAGATTGGGACCCAGATGATAGAGGATCCTGGATGCTGTGCCAAGCAGTTTAAATTTAGGTTTATAGTGGAGAGTCGGAGTTTTTCTTTCCTTTCCTTTCCTTGTCTTACGTATTGATGTAGACTCATGGATTGCTATTTTTTTTTTCAATGATTCAGAATTTATTACTGCCCCCTAATAAATTAGAGGGCACACATTGTCCCAGATTTTCCCAGTGGGAGTCCTTTCAAGCTAGTTCCTATTTCCCTGTGACATGCCTAAAAGTTTTTTACTTCTTGGTATTGCAAAATATTTTAGACTCATTTTATAATTTATCTCCCTTGAGCCTGGAATCATCCACTTATTTGAGGAACCCTGGTTCCTTTTAGTAGGGTATTAGAAACTAAGATCTGGACAATAGATATGCTCATTGCTACTCTGGTGTCTCTGCTTCTACGTCCTTTCTGTAGACAGAGCTGGGAATTTTGTGCCTGGATAGATACAATTATCTATCCCTGCATAAATATACGTATATATATATGTGTGTGTGTGTGTGTATACATAAATATGAACACATATACTCATACTTATTTTAGAAATCACAAGCCTAAACCCGTATCTCCAATTTCAGTCTATCCTCAGAGGGTTCTTCCTTATCTTCCCTTATTCTAATATTTTTATGTCTGTCTGCCAGAAACATCAGCACATTTACTGATTTACCCAGTGCTATCATGCAGCTAAGTGTTTTCAGAATTGCTTCACTCATTCTACTACAGAAGCAAGCCTACTAAGGGGTTCAGGATTTGTTTGCAATTCTCTCCCACACCCTACTCAAGATTGGGCATACCAGCTTCATAAGTTGTTCTTTTGCACTTTGCTTTTTGCACATATTTTACTGGAAATCTTTCCATAATCATTTTCGGTTCTTTGAGATCTTCATTCTTTTTGGTAACTGCTTAGTAGTTCATTGATTGTATGTACTGTTGCGTATTCAACCAGTTTTTTATGCTTAGACATTTAGGTACTTTGCAGTATTTTGCAATTCCAAATAATGCTGTAATGAATAACTTGTACATGCATATTTTTGCATTGTAGGAGGTATATCTTCTAAATTCCTGGAAGTGTATGCAGTTTTGTTAGATATTGCCACATTCCCTCCATAAGAATAAGTCATGCGATTTTGCATTCATACCAGTAATGTGAGAAAGGACCCATTTCCCCAGTCTACTAATGGAGTATATTATCAAGCTTTTGAAGGTTTTTGCCAGTCTAAAAACCTAGTGGGTGAGAAGTGATATTTCAGTGTTGTTTTATTTTGCATTATGAATGGAGTTGAACATTTTTTCATGTGTTTAAGGAGTGTGTGTAATGAGCTGTTTATTCATACCTTTTTTAGTTTTCTATAGGACTTTTGGTCTTTCTTTTTCTCTTCAAGTTTGAGTTATAATTTATTAGAGACATTAACCCTTTATCTGTGATACATGTTGCAGATATTTCCTCGTGGTTTGTCATTTGTCTTGGCTCACGTTATTTATTGCCCTGCAAAAGATGTTTACATCTATGAGGTCACATTCATAAATCCTTTATTATGTCTGGATTGTGAGACATGGCAAGAAAACCTTTTTCTACACCTGGATTTTGGAGGCATTCACCCGCGTTTTGTTTTAGTACCTGTAAAGTTGCCTTTTTTGCATTTAGATATCTAATCCATTAGGCATTTATTCTTTTATATGGTGTGAGGAATGGTTCTAATTTTATCCTTTTCTGCTTGTCCCAACACCATTATTTTAAAGTCCATATATGCCTCAGTATTTAGAGATACCACTGTTATCATACAGTAGATTTCTAGGTACAGTTGGGGCTATTTCTAGACTTTGTATTTCACAGAGTATTTTTAATGCCCGTGGTTCTAGCTGAGTTTTCATTAAACATTTATGTATGTCTCAGAGGCTACCAGGTTCCTGAATTTACAATGCGAAGGAATTTTTAGGCCTCTTCCCCTTTCGTGATAGAAGAACCCTTATTATCTTCTTGTACTTCCTGAATTTTCTAAATTTTCTGAAATCAGCCGAACTTTTTCTAGTCTTTAAAAAATCTTCTTAAAGGTATTACCAGTTTTTAAACAGGAAACTTCAGCATACATTTTTAACAGCCACCCCCCACTGCCGAAACATTACCATTAATATCCTCCCTTATAGTCCCTCAATTAGATGTTTCAGAAAGCTGTCTATAATAGAAATGAAAAAGAGGACAAATGAAAGGCTAGCCAGCCAGTCATAGGAGGAAGAGTGCTCCAGCCTCTTCTGCTTCCCATGCCTTAGAGAACCACCAGGAAGGCAGTGTGTTCTTCTCCTCTGTCCCCTGAGTGTCCTATCAAGTGCACTTGGCAGATTCAGGGAAGATGTTGAGTGCAGGAGTAATGTGGAGGAACTTGAATATTTAGGTAGCCAGAGTTTTTTATGTGGAACATTTTAAACTATTCACTTCCTGGCTGGGCATGGTGGCTCACGCCTGTAATCCCAGCACTTTGGGAGGCCGAGGTGGGCAGATCACTTGAGGTCCATTGTTCCAGACCAGCTTGGCCAACATGGTGAAACCTCACCTCTACTAAAAATACAAAAATTAGCAGAGGCCGGGCGTGGTAACTCAAGCCTGTAATCCCAGCACTTTGGGAGGCCAAGTTGGGCGGATCACGAGGTCAGGAGTTCGAGACCAGCCTGGCCAACATGGTGAAACCCCATCTCTACTAAAAATACAAAAATCAGCCAGACTTCGTGGTGCATGCCTGTAATCCTAGCTACTCAGGAGGCTGAGGCAGGAGAATCGCTTGAACCCGGGAGGCGGAGGTTGCAGTGAGCTGAGATTGTGCCACTGCACTCCAGCCTGGGGGACAGAGCGAGACTCTGTCTCAGGGAAAAAAAAAAATTAGCCAGACATGGTGGCGGGTGCCTGTAATCCCAGCTAGTTGGGAGGCTGAAGCAGGAGAGTCACTTGAATCCGGGAGGCGGAGGCTACAGTGAGCCGAGATCACTCCACTGCACTCCAGCCTAGGTGACAGAGCAAGACTGTGTCTCAAAAATAATTAGATTAGATAGATAGATAGATAGATAGATAGATAGATAGATAGATAGATAGATAAAATTTAAAAGTACCCACCTCCTAGGAAAAGCTGGTAAGATCATTTTATCTCTCACTTCCCACCCTCCCCATGTGCTTGAATGGCCTCTCCTAAATAGAATGCCTTGAATTTATTTGAGGCTTTCATAACTTGGGGGCTATAATAAAAAAATCTCTAAGACCCATTTAGAGGAGAAAGGACTCACTGGCTATGTGGACGCTGTTTTTATCTAGTTATATTTAAGGGAACATTTTCGTAAGGAAAAATCAGGACACATAATCTGATTTAATTCAATATGTCAAAGCCTATAAAGCTTTCAAAATGAAACATTTAATTATACATTTAACAAGTCATCTTTTTGGAAAGGAAGAAGATTACATGAAGGTGGGGTATGCTCTGTAGCTATGTCCAAGTTTTAAGCAGTGGGATAGCAGACTGATTGAAGAATTCTTCAGTTCTGCTCTTTATGCATTAGGCAGTCATGAAGAGAATAATGCTATCTTCTGATTTAATGTAACCAAAACTATTATTTCATTATATTATCTCTACTATTCTATTCTACTATTCTGTTACAATAGTTTTATCAAAATAGAGGCTACTTTACGGATTTGTTCTTGAGCACTCGGATCAGCTTAAATTTGTGTATATCTATTTACAAGCATAATTTAGGACTTTTTTCTGAATAAGCTTGTTATAGGTAAACTTTCAGACTTCAGTTCATAATAAGGTCTTTAATTTTTACACACAGGCAGCAGCTGCCCATGTTGTTGATGGCTGGCTGAGTGTTAATAGAATTAAGAGTATTAAAATATTTTTATAGACTAGTCTTCCTGTAACTCTCAGCACCTTTTATGTTGTTCCACTTTTTGCATTTCAGTTTTACAGCTCCCAGCACAGTAGGAAAGAGAAATTTGAGTCCTAGTCAAGAGGAAGCTGGCCTGGAGGACGGAGTGTCAGGGGAGATTTCCGACACTGAGCTTGAGCAGACCGATTCCTGTGCAGAGCCCCTCTCAGAGGGAAGGAAAAAGGCCAAGAAATTAAAAAGAATGAAGAAGGAGCTTTCTCCAGCAGGTTTGTATTGGATCTTGCCGAAGTTCTGGGGCCGTGGACTATTTAAATGCTCTAGAAACTCCTATTTTGGGGGAGAAATTATAGCAAGGCTTCACTTGGTGGCAAAGCCCATGTAGTCTTCCACCAAAGCAGATATTTTTAGGATCAATTTAATTTAATTTGAGGAATCCTAAAAAGCTCTGGCTCGGGTAGCATAAGGCCTGGGGGGTCTCCTTGTTAAAGATGGCTAGTCTATTTTGGTAATCTCTCTCTCCTCCATGGTGTAGAGGTTTTGCTGATGTGTTTAAAGCAGCCTCAATATTTAAAATGTGCATTTAAATGTGCGCAGAGGCCCCTCCTACATGTTATTTTCAGTAGCAGCGTTTTCACTGTTTCCAGCAAAACCCCCAGGCAACCTGGATTTCTCTCCGAAGCAGAATTATATAAGAAGCAAAGGAAACAGGAAATTAGCACCTGTTGAGAGCCTACTACATGCTAGACGCTGTAGTAGGAGCCATTTCTCTCCTTATTTCATTTAATTTTCACCGTAGCCCTGAGGTGGGAATCATCATCCTTATTTGATGAAGCAGATGCCTGGGCTCAGCGAGGCTAAGTGTGCGGGGCCATGCTGCGCTTAAGAAGCACAGCCGAAAGGCAGACCCAGGTCTGCCTGAGCTGAATCCCATGTCCTCTCCACCCCGCAGATGTGCCTCACTCAGCCCTTCATGCACACATGCCACACAGGGCCACAGCAAGAGGCCAGAAGGGCATCTTGTCAGTCAGCACATGGAAAAGGCCATTCCCTGCTGCAGGGGGCGGTCCAGCAAGGCAGCAGTCACAGTGACAGTAATCATAGCCACTGCTTATTGAGTGCTTATTACTGGAGCCAGGACAGTGCTTAATGTGTAACTGAAATTCTTTCATTTAAATCCTTGAGACAGTCATCATTATCCATTTTACAGTTAAGAAAACGGAGGCCCAAAGGGTTATGTGAGTTGCCCAAAGTCCCAGAGCCATTAAGTCTGTCCTACAAGAAAGCTGGTGAGGCCAGGCTCGGTGGCTCACGCCTGTAATCCGAGCACTTTGGGAGGCCAAGACGGGTGGATCACTTGAGGTCAGGAGTTCAAGACCAGCATGGCCAACATGGCAAAACCACGTCTCTACTAAAAATACAAAAAATTAGCCAGGTGTGGTGGCGCATGCCGGTAGTCCCAGCTACTAAGGAGACTGAAGTAGGGGGACTGCCTCAGCCCAGGGAGGTCAAGGCTACAGTGAGCCAAGATTGCGCCACTGCACTCCATCCTGGGCAACAGAGTGACACCCTGTCTTACATACACACACACAAAAGAAAGTGAGTGCTTTTAACCAAGGTTATGTGTTGAGAGACACTGACCCAGACACAATTATAATCATTCTCCTTTGTCTCACATCGTGACAGTTGTCACGGTTAGCAGAACTAACAATCAAATCAAAGGAAAGTAGTAGTCAAGTGGTGGAACTTGATTCATACCCAAGCTATGAATGCACTGTTTTAATTAATCCCCTTTTGCATGTGGCCCGATCTGACTGTGGGGAGTTTTCTGAATCTCATGGATATTAATGAAATCAGACAAGTAGCAAAAATGTCACATATGCTTTTTGTACATTATGCTGAAGCTGAATTTCAACAGAAAACTTAAACTTGTGTTTGAAGCCTGGATTGGATGTTTTAGCTGTCTCTTGACTCTGGGTGTCTCTCTTTACTTACCTCCTGTCCTTTCCCTGACTTAACTATTGGAGGGGGCCAGGCATGGTAGCTCACAACTATAATCCCACCACTCTGGGAAGCTGAAGCAGGAGGATGACCTGAGCCCGGGAGTTTGAGACCAGCCTGGGCAATATAGTGACACCTTTTCTCTACAAAAAAAAAAAAAAAAAAAAAAAAATTTAAATATTAGCTGCACGGGCATGTAGTCCCAGGTACTCAGGAGGCTGAATCGGGAGGATCGCTTGAGCCCAGGAGTTTTGACTGCAGTGAGCTATGATCGCATCAGTGCACTCCAACCTGGGGGACACAGTGAGACCTTGTCTCAAGAAAAGAAAGAAGAAAAAGTATTGGAGAAGTTTTAAATCTGTAGCATCCTTAGTCTTCAAATTTCATACCTTTATTACCACTGTCATGTTTCGTGTGCTCAACAAATGTTAAAATAATGAATGTCAGCATGATTTCTAGAGATCGTACTGAGCAGGATTTAGAGGGGCAGGGGGGTTTCCCCACTTGTATTCCTGTCCTTCATAGCTGTCTCTTCTGGATTTTTTTAGTTTATTACTCCTCAGGGACAAGCTTTTCGTTTTTCCCCTCTATATCAGCATAATCTGAAAAATATTAAAATTAAAATAACTAATAATAGACTGCATTAATAGATTAGTTCCTTTTATAGCTTTCATCATTTTAAGTGAAAACTTTCTATAAGTTATTTAGGGTTTTGAATTTATAATACTGTAATTAAAATAAGGGTTTTTTTCCTCCCATTGACAGTAAAGCTGTCACTGCCACAAGATTTGAGCTAAAAAAAAAATTGTAGATTTTGTACTTCTTTGTCAGTGCTGCCAAAAAAAAAAGAGAAAGAGACATCTTGACAACTTTTAATTGAATCAGAGAACTTGAGTGAATCGAGCTTTCTTCTGGAGCACCATTCATCGAGCAAGACCCCTGACGGTGCCAGGTGGAAACTTAATGGATCCTTTCCACCTGGTTTGTTTTCAGTGTTTAATCCTATTAGTATCAGCAGGATATAGGTCAGGATATCAGGTGCAGAACCTGTGGAATCAGCCAATTTGGCTTGCTCATTTACTTTAATAAGGTCCCATAATGAGTGAGAGTACAAAGTTCAAGCCCTGTTGAGGGTCTGCATTAAACTCTCAGAAGTATTTAGAGTGTGCCAGGAGCCGCGAAGGTCTGGTTCGGGTGGTGGCGGGAACTGTATTAGAGTGCTAGGCACGGCGCGACAAAGTCTGTCCAACCCAAAACGGTGCTGAGGCGTTGGGTGTGAGCTCCAGTACTCAGAAAAGCATCTCAGCAGGTACTCAACAGATCCTCAGGGGCTTGGGGGCCCAGCACTGGCAGTGAGGGCATGAAAGACATAAAAGGGCACTACCTGTGGGTATTTTCTGTTCTCCAAGGAGGAAGTAGCAAAAATTAGGACGCTGGAATATCCTATGTTGTAGCAATCCCAGAACAACTGATGCTCAACAAATACCACACAAAACAAATTTTTTAAAATTTAATCTTACCGGGTACAGTGGCTCATGCCTATAATCCCAGCACTTCTGGAGGGCGAGGTGGGCAGATCACCTGAGGTCAAGAGTTCAAGACCAGCCTGGCCAACATGGCGAAACCCCGTCTACTAAAAATACAAAAATTAGCCTGGCATGGTGGTGCACACCTGTAATCCCAGCTACTTGGGAGGCTGAGGCAGGAGAATCGCTTGAACCAGGGAGGCAGAGGTTGCAGTGAGCTGAGATCATGCCATTGCACTCCAGCCTGAGTTACAAGAGCGAAACTCTGTCTCAAAAAAAAAAAAAAAAAGTAATCTCTTTATATCTGTTCTTTTTCTTTTAATTTTTTCTCTTTACCCAAGCACATGAACTCATAGTATACATTTTGATATCGAAGATACACTAAGAATTAAGTACTAGACCCAATCCCAGATAACAAAATGACAAAAATAGTGGAAGAAAGGACTATTTATTGGGTTTATACTATTAGACAGAGTGCTAGGAACATCCTTTATTGTCTTGTCTAGACCTTTTAAACATGCAGTAAGGTGCAGATACTCTTTCCCAGTTGTACAGAGGAAACTGAGGCTTAGAGTTGCAGACTTAAAAGTATCTAACTGACATGTGGGAGGCTGGGGAAACTCATCCAGACTTTAGAGGAAATGAAGGATTCATTACAAAGGTGAATGTTTCTTGCAGCTGTTCTAGATCAGAAACAATTACCAATCTAGACTTTCATGTGATAAAGTCACTGGATAGAAATCCAAGCGGGCTGGGCATGGTGGCTCACGCCTGTTAGTCCACCACCTTGGGTCAGGAGTTCGAGACCAGCCTGGCCAACATGGCGAAACCCTGTCTCTACTAAAAATACAAAAATTAGCTGGGAATGGTGGTGCTCCCAGCTACTTGGGAGGCTGAGGCAGGAGACTCGCTTAAGCCCAGGAGGCTGAGGTTGCAGTGAGCCCAGATGGTGCCACTGCACTCCAGCTTGGGTGACAGAGCAAGACTCCAAGACTCCGTCTCAAGAAAGAAACAAAGAAAGAGAGAGGAGGGAGGGAGGGAGGGAAAGCCAAGTAACCAGTCTCCTTCAGGGCTTCTAGTTTATGTGTATACTATGTACTCAGCAAATATTTTTCTTGTAAGTATGGTTGTTTCAATCCTATTTTCAGGAGGTGAATGTACAGCATAAGTCCCCTCCTTTTTTGTTGATATGACTGTTGATTGGTAGTGCCAGCCACTTTCCATCCAAGCAGTTCTAGGTACATACTCGGTACGCAAAGGAAAACTACTCTGCATGCCATTAATGCTGGAATAAAATGTCTTCAGGAAGTGTGGCTGTTTTCCCAGGTCATGTTTAATTGAAGGATTTCTGTCACATACTTGTTCTTGTTGATGTGTTCCTGGGACCTGGAGAAATTGCCCACCCCCTCACTTCTCTGGAGAATCTCAGGGCCGCATGGATGGTCTGATGCTGCCTGGGCTGACCATTGTGAAAATACTGCTGGCTGGTCCCTAGCAGCAGGTTCCATCAGCACCTTAGTTAGATGGTGTTTACAGAGGCATGCCCAAAGGAGATACATTGACTATTCCCGGTTATTTTTTGTCCTGTAAATAGAGACATTGTTCAAAGTCTTTTTTCCCCTAACATTTAAAACAACATGTTAGGCCTTTTAAGTGTTTGCCAAAGAACCTGGAGTTTTATTGGAGTCTTGACTAACCTGCTGAACTTTTCAAGCTGAAACCCTAAGGGTTACAGTATAAAAATTTAGAACCTAATTAGAGCAGCAGTCTCCTCATGCTGTTACTGGTCTCCTTAAAGTCAGAAACAAGATCTACAGCTGCTGCTGTCGGTCACCTGAGAGACCAGGCTGAGGCAGCCGAGCGGCCTCCCAAGGAGCCTTTTAATTACTATGTTCAAGTGTGGTTTGCAGTGAACGTGGCGAAGGAGGTGTGGGCTGCTGTGCAGTGAGGCAGAGGCAGGGCACTCAGTGCGCATTTGTGCCCTCCCTGTTCCTCCTGGCAACTCCAAGATGTCATCAGCCTTGCAGGGAGGGGGCTCACCTTCTTAGTGTGGGAAACCGGCCCCAGGGCGTACCCCCTTCAGCGTTTCCTAGTTAGAAACTTGAGTGCAGCTTCCCAAAGGACCTTCCTGTGTACGGATGTCCACTCTGTGGAAGAGGATACAATGGGAAGCTTCCAGTGTCCTGTGCAGCTTCTTAGAATCCGTTTGGGATTCACCTGGAAAAAGCAATGCCTTACCCCTTCAAGTTTCTCCATTTCAACTCCAGTTAGGTAAAGGGGAGAAAAGCAGAAATATTCACCTTTTGTGTTCCCCGTCTTTTAATTTTTTGTTTTTTTGGTTAATAAAAATAATGTACTCAGCATGAGAATTTGGAAAATGCAGAAAAATAGAAGACAATTAAGCCCCCAGCCCCCAACTTGATGCTGTGGTAACAAGCATTGTTGCTCTGCGGCCAACCTCATACCCTGTATGCAGCTTGTATCCTGCCTTTTCCCCTTTTAGAAACTCTTGGCCAAATAATCTTAACTATAAGCATAGTATTTCATATTAAAATTTTGTTGGTTTTCTTTTAAAACATTGTTTTTAATATCTTGCGCCAGGTCAGCTTCAATAAGATATAATTGTACCCAATGAAAGTCATCACTTTCAGGTATACAATTTGATGAGCTTTGACATCTGTGTACAGTCATATAACCACCACTATGATCACGATATACAACTCCATCACTCCAGAAATTTCCCTCATGCCCGTTTGGAGTTGATCCTTCCCCCAACCCCCACACAGATCCCAGCAGCCATTGGTCTTCTTTCTGTCCCTGCGATTTTGTCTTTTCCAGAATGTCATATACCTGGAATCATGCGATAGTTAGCCTTTTGAGCCTTTCATTTAACTTCTTTCATTTAGCATGATGCATTTGTGATTTGTGGTGGTGCGTGTATCCTCAGTACACTCCGTTTTACTGCTAAGTGGTATTCCACTGTATACAGGTATCACTATTTATCCATCACCCAGGGGAAGGACATTTAGGTTGTTGCCAGTTTTTGTCAATCAAGAATCAAGCTGCTATAAATATTTGTGTACAGGTTTTTTGTATGAATTAAGTTTTCATTTTCTTTGGGTAAATATCTAGGAGTGGGGTTGCTGGGTCATATGGTAACTGTATATTTAACTTCATAAGAAATTGATACACTCTTTTCCAAAGTGGCGTCACCATTTTGGATTTCCCCCAGCAGTATACAAGGCTTCAGCTCACTCTGCGCCCTCACCAGTACTTGATATTGATACACACCCCTTTTGCTTGTTTGTTCAGCAGTTCTAATGGGTATGTAGTGGTATCTCATTGTGGCTTTGGTTTTTATTTCCCTAATGACTAATAAGCATCTTTTCCTGTGATTTTTTGCCATCCAGATTTCTTATTTGGTGAAATATCTTTTCATTTTTTCCCTTTGTTCTAGGGTTGTTTATTTTCTGACTGCATTTTGAGAGTTCTTTATAGATTCTGGATACAAGTCCTTTTAAGCATTTTACAAATATATTCTTCTAGGTTGGTTTTTCTTTTCATTTTGTTGTTGTTGGTGGTGGTGGTTTGTTGTTGTTGTTGTTGTTGTTGTTTTCGAGACAGTCTTGCTTTGTCGCCCAGACTGGAGTGCAGTGGCACGATTTCGGCTCACTGCAACCTCCGCCTCTCGGGTTCAGGCTATTCTCCTGCCTCAGCCTCCTGAGTAGCTGGGATTACAGGCGCCTGCCACCACGCCCAGCTAATTTTTGTACTTTTTTAGTAGAGATGGGTTTTACCATGTTGGCCAGGGTGGTCTCGAACCCCTGACCTCGTGATCCACCGGCCTCAGCCTCCCAAAGTGCTGGGATTACAGGCGTGAGCCACCACAGCCAGCCTCTTTTCATTATTTTAACAGTGTCTTTTCAAGAGTAGTAGTTTTAAATTTTGATGAAGTCCAGTTTATCAGATTTTTCCCCTTGGATTTTGCCTTTGGTGTCATATCTAAAAAATCTTTGCATAACTCTAAGTTGCAAATATTTTCTTCTATGTTTTCTTCCAGAAGTTTTACAGTTTTAGGTTTTACAATTAAAATGTACAATTCAAGTTAATCTTTGTATATAATGCAAGCTATGGATTAAGGTCCACTGTAGCAAAAGGCAGGTGTTTTTAAGTATCTCCCTCCCTCCCTTCCTCCCTCCCTCCCTCCCTGTCTTCTTTCCTTCCCTCCCTCCCTCTATTTTTTTTTTTTTTTTTGTGCGACAGTTTCACTCTGTCACCCACCCAGGCTGGAATGCAGTAGCACTATCACAGCTCACTGCAGCCTTGATATCCTGGGCTCAAGTGATCCTCCCACCTCAGCCTCCTAGGTAGCTGGGACCACAGGTGTGTGCCACCACACCTGGCAAATTTGTAAATTTTTTGTAGAGGCAGGGTCTCCCTGTGTTGCCCAGGCTGGTCCCAAACTCCTGGGCTCAAGCCTTCCCTCATCAGCCTCCTAAAGTACTGGGATTACAGGCATGAGCCACCACACACAGCCAAGTATCTGTTTAAAAAGAAAAGTTGTTCCTAAATGATTCCTTACACTCCAGTAAAACAGGGCTGTGAAAATGAGTTCTGTGGAAAACTGACCATAGCTGCTGCTTTTTAAAAACCATACCTTCTTATCTGCCAGTTTTGAGACTGGCCGTTTGTTGATCTACAGCTCTCCCTTTCTGGAAGGTGCTGGAAAGAACGCTGTTAGTGGCCTTCATTTCCCCTCTGGTCCGGGTCTCCTGTAGATGGCTCCTACAGTTCTGGCCCCTTTGTACACATCATTCTCGCTCAGCAGCTGTACAGGTAGACAGTGAAAACTAGCATCTTTTTGATTATAGACTGTTGGCTTTCTGGGGAACAGCCATGTTCCATGTTGGATCAGCTTATTGATTAGGGGAAGAGACCTAGCGTTCATTAAAAACTTACCCAGCAACTTTGCTGTATCACAGAAGTCCTATACAGCATAAAATAGTACTGGGTCCATCTTAGACGAAGCAGTGAGACCTGTTCAAGGTCATCCAGCTAGTAAAATGGTCCAACTTGACTTGCCTTACTCCAGAACTTTTTGCTTATTCCATTATTTCCTGTTAGCTCTTCATGGAACCACTTCCTGTGTGTCTGGTGGCTCACTGTGCACTCACACACCCCCCCCCCCAACTAATGGCAGGTGCAGATTGGCAGGTGCAGATTACAAGTATTGCAGTGCAGTTGCTTTTAGCAATTTATCTTCCTTTTTCCTCTGAGCTGGATTTAATTTACTTCAGTTCCCCACATTTGGCATTGTAGCTTTTACCTTTAGAATGGCTAATTGGCTACTGCAATATTTCTTTCATATGTGAATTATAAAAGTGCCCTTAATGGATGTTTCTTTTCATACAGTTAGGTGTTTATTGTATCATTGTGGGACTGGGAAGGCCAGGCTAGCTGCAGGTTATCACAGGCCCCTTGCAGTACTTCACTGGACCCCATGAGTCCTTTTCAGTGGATCATCTCCTGCCCATCTTCACTTCTCCAGAGTGGTCTCGCCATCTTTACTGGGTGTCCCAGAACGTGCCTGTTCAGAGCGATGAGACCCAGGGCAGAAAGAGTCCGGTTACCCTTTCCCGGTCTCCTCACCCTAACTCCCTGGATCTTATCACAGTAAATGATCAGAAGTAGAAATTCTCATGTTAGCTGAAATTCTCTTCATGTTTTTTCTTGTGTTCAGACCTCGTTATTTTTAAGCATCCCTGTTACTGATGATAACCACTGTGAACTCAGTGATATGATTCCCTAGTTTGTAAGACACTGCACCCCCTCTGTATTTAAAAGTTATTTCCCATTGGAGGTATCATCAAAGACTTCTCTCCCTTTCTAAAATCTTGGTGTTAGCAGCTAGAAGAGAGACTGCCAGTTTCCCCCGTCAGCCCTACTTTATGACTTAATGCATGGCACCACTTGTGCAGCTGACGCCTGGTCGGGCCACACTTTCCATTATGAACATGCTCTTTCCTGACTTCCCTCACATTCGTTGAAGTCCAGTCCCAGCTCAGTTGCTGGCCGCAGCTGCTCGTATTGTAGAAAGTGGCATGAATAAAAAAGAAGGGCTTCTGACATTGGGGTGAAACTTTGTCACTGAAGAGATCTTTTCAATCCAAGAAGAGGACCCCAGCCAGCTTCACCGAAGCTGGAAAAAGCTGCAACCTTCTTTTGCCCCTGTTGAGATATTGGAACCCCCACTGGTTGGCTTCCCTCTGCCCTTCAGCTGCCCACCTGAGATTTCTCACCTAGGCAGAGCCACAGCACAGCACAGAGAAACTCAGTTTCCAGGGACTTTGGCAGGGATGTTGGTGCTGTGGGAGGATTCAGACCCCATCTCAGCCACTTGCTAGCTCTGTACATCTGGTCATATTACCCCACTTCTCTCAATCTGTTCTTGCATCTGTAAAATGGGGTAGTGTTACCACCTTGGTGGGCTTTTAATGAAGATTATATGAATTAAATGCCCGCTGTATTGCCAACAAAGAATCCAGCATGGTGTTCAGTGAGGAATACTGTGCATGGCTACAGTTTAACTCCTGTGAAATAAATAGATAGATGCTGGAGGCAGGGAGGTGCTTCCTCCGCGCCCCCATGATGTTTCTGTGGTTTCACTTTCCCATGCTGGGCACTGCCCTCCCTAGACAAGACCTGTCTGTGGACTCTTTCCAGCGCAGCTGTTTAGCCAGACGCTGGCCCCGTCTGCAGCCGTCACAGGCCCTCTGTCTGTCTGCTGGTCATGTCATGCTCTCCTCAAGGTGCCGTCCTGGTCCTGCTGTTCATATTGTTTTGTTCTTTCCCACCAGGAAGCATCTCGAAGAACAGCCCTGCCACACTCTTTGAAGTTCCTGACACATGGTAACCAAGACCTGAGGGCAGCAAACCGCTGGTGCTGTCGCTGTGAGCAAGAGCCGGCTGGCACATTTGGAAGCCGCACTGTATTTAACTTAATCAAATGTGGTATGGGAGGGGTTGGAAACCAAGTTGTCTCCTGGGGGGGAGAAAACAGGTTTTATTTTTGTGGCTGTGGTTTTTTCCCCTTTTTAATCTAACTGCCTGTTGACATTGACACTCATCACGGTTGTAGGCTGTCATGAATGTGTACGTGCTTAACCAGTGAATTCCGTGTTGCTCTTGTGAGGCCTTTCCTGTCATGACCCAGTGTGCTTAAGAACCTGCCTGATGGGGAGTGTCGGCTGTGAAATCTGCAAAAAGAGCTGACATTCCAGCTGCTGTGATCATGAATTTGGGGGTGTACTGTCCTGCCTGTGCATCTTCTCGCACTGAGATTTTGAGGCAGTTGCAGCCCTCGGTTAGTCTCCCAGTGGAAAAATCGGTTGTGCCTCCCTGCTTCCCACCATAGCTGCCTGAAAACATGACGCTCTCAAGCTTGTCCTTCCTTCAGGAAGATGTCCACTCATGCCCACCCATGAGAGGGCTTGCCGTATGCCCTGGCCTTTGGGCATATTTATGTAGAGTTCCTTTCTCCTAAGACGTGAGTTTCTCATGGGGGATGTACGAGTAAAAAGGTTAACTTCTGTTCTTATGCGTGGCGCTGTGTTCACTTTCCAGAGTCTCTGTTCGTTTGTTTGGATGGCGGTCTCGGGGTACGGCAGCGTGTGTGCGTACGTGTCTGTGTGTGTGTGTGTGTGTGTGTGTGTGTGTGTGTGTGTGTGTGTGTGAAATCGTGCAAATCTACAACATGTCCCAGCCCATTCTCCGTTGAAACAGATCACAGCAACGACAAACGCTCATGGCGCTGCTTTGCTCCACCCGCTTCAGATAGATCATTGTTAGATATTTCACATTTTTGTATGGTGGAAATAAAAATGAAAAATGTATTTCCAAAAGATGAAAATTAAAAACATTTTCATAGGACTCTGGTTTTCTCCTCTCTTTTTTTTTAATAAGTGAATGATGTTTTCGCTCTCTAGTAATACACAGATAAATTTCACACTCCTAAAAAAATCTGCTAAGCCACTAAGGCTGATGTTCATGGATTTTTTTCTTCTTCTTTTTACCCCTAACTGCTATACCTGCCACGATGGATCGGCTCCTCAGTACCGAGCTGAGCCCTGGTGGTAAGTGGCCTTGTAGGAGGGTGGGAGGAATGAGGACCCTTAGCACTCACACTGGAATCCCAGGGTGTTATGCAGATTCCGATTTGTAAGACAGTTTCCCTAATCAAGAGCCTCTGTCACACCTGTAAGCTGAGACGGGAGGATCACTTGAGCCCAGGAGTTCAAGACCAGCATGGACAACGCAGTGAGACCCTGTCTTTAAAAAAAAAAAAAAAAAAATTTTTTTTTTTTTTTTTTTTAAAGCATGTTAACTTCTCTTCCCCCTTCCTGCTCCTCTCCCTTCCTACAAAACTCCCTGGAGTTTTGTAGCCACAAAGTTAGAAACCCAGGCTTGGCAGGAAGGACTGCCCACCCCTCCTAGAGTAGTCAGCACACACGGCTCAGTGGAAAGTGTGAAGGTAGGATGGAGACAGACAGTAAAGGAGGGTGTATGCAGGAATGTGTAGAGAGGGCTGCCGGACTGCCGAGTCAGCAGCACTCACGGAGAAATGAGGAGAGTCTGACCCTTGATTTTGAAAGAAAAAGAGGGGGCCCAGCGCAGTGTCTCACGTCTATAATCCCAACACATCGGGAGGCCAAGACAGGAGGATCACATGAACCCAGGAGTTCGAGACCAGCCTGGGCAACACAGGGAGACCCCATCTCTACAAAAAATACAAAAATTAGCCAGGCGTGGTGGCGCATGCCTGTGGTCCCAGCTACCCGGGACCGCAGGAGAATCGCTTGAACCCAGGAGGTGGAGGTTGCAGTGAGCTGAGATTGTGCTGCTGTACTCCAGCCTGGGCAACAGAGCAAGAATCTGTCTCAAAAACAAAAGGAAAATAAACAACTTCACAGGGTAGTTGTGAGGATTAAATGAAATTACGTACAATGCCCAGCACGCGCAAGTACACAGTAAACTGTAGTTATATTTAAAGATTATGCTTTTGATCTGAAATGCTTACTGCATTCGCTTCTATCAGTGGGAGCAGACATAGTCACTGGAATTTGACTTAGAATTAAACACCCAGAGGAGCTTTCATACATGCCCAGACCTTTATTTTCTCTGCTGCATCAAATGACTTAAAACAGGTGAGCTGTGGCTCATGCCTGCAATCCTGCCACTTTGGGAGGTGGAGGCAGGTGGATCGCTTGAGCCAGAAGTTCAAGAGCAGCCTGGGCAACATGATGAAACGCTGTCTCTACAGAAAATTTAAAAATTGGCCGGGTGTGGTGGTGTTCGTCTGTTGTCTCAGCTACTCGGGAGGCTGAAGCAGGAGGATTGCTTGAGCCTAGGAGGTTGAAGCTGCAGTGAGCTGTGATTGCACCACTGTGCTTCCAGCCTGGGTGTCAGAGCAAGACCCTGTCAAAAACAAAACAGGTGAGCTGGGCTAACCCACTTCCTCCTCCACACACACACACCAGGCTTTCTTGACATATCTTTTAGGCATAAAATCCTAGGATGGTACTTCTGGCCTTTTGATACCGAGGCCCAGGGGCATATTATGACAACAAGGCTATTGTCTGGGGGCTTCTTGAGCATGGTAGCCAGATCTGGAGGCAGGCATCAGAGTGGGAACTTCCGTGTTTCCCTGCAAATAGTTCTGTAGTCCTTTGATTTTGGAGCTGGGATGGAGATCAAGCGCTGTGGCTCTGTCTATTTTCATAACTTTGTATTTGTCCAGTTTTCCCCTTGAGATTTTATTATGAAGATTTTCAAGCATACACCACCTAGGTCATCATTACCATTTTGTTATACAGTCATGCCTTGCCATCAACAATGGAGGTCCCATTAGATGATCTTAGAGCTGGGAAATTCCTATCAGCTCCAGTGTATACGTGTTTTAAGCTAAGTGTTGTTACAAAGGGGTCAAATAGTTGAAAAAAATTTAGAAGTTTATTAAGTAAAGAAGTTACAGTAAGCTAAGGTCATTTTATTCTTGAAAGGAAAATTTTTTCTAAATTCAGGGTAACTGTGAGTCCTAGGCCTTCACATTCACTCTCTATCACTCACCAGAATGCCTTCCAGCCCTGCAAGCTCCATTCATGGTAAGTGCTCTACACAAGTGTATCATTTTTATTTTTATACTGTATTTTTATTGTAGTTTTTCTGTGTTTAGATACACAAATACCATTGGGTTACAGTTGCCTACAGTATTCCGTACAGTAACATGTTGTAAAGGTTTGTAGCCCAGGAGCAATAGGCTATACTCTCTAGGTTTGGGTAAGAACACTATGATGTTCATACAATGATAACATTGCAGGCTGGGCATGGTGGCTCACACCTGTAATCCCAGTGTTTTGGGAGGCCAGTGCAGGAGGACTGAGTTCAAGTCTGCAGTGAGCTATGATCACACCACTGCACTCCAGCCCGGGGACAGAGCGAGATCCTGTCTCTAAAAATAATAAAATAAAAATCCTTCTATCCACGTTTGGGAATATTAAATTTTTTTAAATCACCTAATGATGCATTTCTCAGAATGTATCCCCATCATTAAGTGACACGTGACTATTTGCTTTATTACGTATCCTTCCATTCATCAATTTATCTTTTCTTTCTTTTTTTTTTTTTTTTTTAGAGACAGTCTCACTCTGTTGCCCAGGCTGGAGTACAGTGGCGCGATCATAGCTCACTGCAGCCTCGAACTCCTGGTCTTGAGCAATCCTCCCACCTCAGCCTCCCGAAGTGCTGGGATGACAGATGTGAGCCACGGAGCCCAACCTACGTAATGTTTTTGAGATTCGTCAATGTTTTGTAGGTATCAGTAGTTCCTTTCTCTCTATTTCTGAGTATGGCTTGACCACTGCTTATTTATTCAATTAATGAACACCTAGGCTATTTCCAGTTTGGGGCCATTATGAATAAGGCTGCTGTGAACAGTCTTGTACAAGTCTTTGAGAACAAAATCTTCAATTTGGGGGAGTAAATGCCAAGGAGTGGAACTGTTGGGTCATGGGATAGGTGGTCTATTTAGAAACTGCCAGATCTTTTTCCGAAGTGATCATATAATTTATACTGCCACCAACAATGTATGAGAGTTCTAGTATCTCCCTTCCTTAGCAACATTTGGTGGTGTCAGACTTTAACTGAGCCATTTTGATGGGCGTATAGTATATCTCTTTGCAGTTTTCATTGTCCTTTATCTGATGACTCCTAATGATGTACTTGCCACAGGTATATCCTCCTTTGTGAGTTAGCTGTTCAATTATCTTGCCCATATTTCATCAGATTGTTTGTCTCTTCATTAAGTTGTAGAAGTTGGCCAGGCATGGTGGGTCATGCCTGTAATCCCAGCACTTTGGGAGGCTGAGGTGGGAGGATCACTTGAGGTCAGGAGTTCGAGACTAGCCTGGGCAACACGGTGAAACCCTGTTTCTACTAAAAATACAAAAATTAGCTGGGCATGGTGGCAGGCACCTGTGCCTGTAATCCCAGCTACTTGGGAGGCTGAGGCAGGAAAATCACTTGAACCTGGGAGGCGGAGGTTGCAGTGAGCTGAGATCACGCCACTGCACTCCAGCCTAGGTGACAGAGCAAGACTGTCTCAAAAAAAAAAAAGTCGTAGCAGTTCATTACATACTTTGGACATCAGTCCTCTGTCGGATAGTTGTTTTGCAAATATTTAGTCCCAATGTATGGCTTGCTTATTTTCTTTCTTTTTTTCTTTTTTTAGACAGAGTGTCGCACTGTCGCCCCAAGCTGGAGTGCAGTGACGCGCTCTTGGCTCACTGCAAGCTCTCCCTCCTGGGTTCATGCCATTCTCCTGCCTCAGCCTCATGAATAGCTGGGACTACAGGCACCCGCCATCACGCCTGGCTAATTTTTTGTATTTTTAGTAGAGACAGGGTTTCACTGTGTTAGCCAGGATGGTCTTGATCTCCTGACCTCGTGATCCACCCGCCTTGGCCTCCCAAAGTGCTGGGATTACAGGCTTGAGCCACCGCGCCCAGCGGGCTTGCTTATTTTCTTAACAGTATCTTTTACTGGGCAGAAGTTTTTAATTAGGATGAAGTCTGTTTTATAGACTTTTTCTATGTCCTGCCTAAGAAACCCCCAAGTTATATTCATCCGTGTTTCCTTCGAGCTTTCTAGTATTAGCATTTATGTTTAAATCTATGATCCATCTTGAATTAACTTTTTATGGATGGTACGAGACTAGAGTTGAGATTCCTTCATTCCATATGGATGTCTAGTTATTCCAGAACCATCTGTGGAGAAGACCTTTTTGTTTAATTGTTGTGGTGATTTGGTCAAAATTCTGTTTACCTAATTATAAGCATGGATCTTGAGGGGGTGTGTGTGTTTCATTTTATTTATTTTCATTGACAAATAATAATTGTACATGCTCATAGAGTACATAGTAATGTTTCTTTTTTTTTTTTTGGACAGAGTTTTGCTGTGTCACCCAGGCTGGCGTGCCGTGCCCCAATCTTAGCTCACTGCAACCTCTAGCTCCCGGGTTCAAGCAATTCTCCTGCCTCAGCCTCTTGAGTAGCTGGGATTTCAGGCATGCATCACCATGCCCAGCTATTTTTTTGTATTTTTAGTAGAGACAGGGTTTCGCCATGTTGACCGGGCTGGTCTCGAACTGCTGGGCTCAAGTGATCTGCCTGCCTCAACCTCCCAGAGTGCTGGGATTACAGGAGTGAACCACTGCCCCTAGCCAATAGTAATAGTAATTTTTTGTTTGTTTGTTTTTTGAGACAGGGTCTCGCTTTGTTGCCCAGGCTGGAGTGCAGTGGCATGATCTAAGTTCACTGCAGCCTTGACCTCCAAGGCTAAAGCAACCTTCCAACCTCAGCTTCCTGAGTAGATGGGACCACAGGCATATGCCACCACACCTGGCTAGTTTTTTGTGTTTTGTTTTTGTAGAGGTGGGGTTTCACCATTGTTGCCCAGGCTGGTCTCAAACTCCTGGGCTCAAGTGATCTGCCCGCCTCAGCCTGCCTCCAGAAGTGCTGGGATTACAGGCGTGAGCTACCACGACTGGCCTGGATCATATGATGTGCTATTTGTAGTGTTTTGAGGAGCCTCCATGCTGTTCTCCATAGCGGCTATACTAGTTTACATTCGTGAATGTGTGTTATTTATTTATTTATTTATTTATTTATTTTGAGACAGAGTTATATTGTAATTACATATGTAATGTAACGAGGTGATGGATATGCTAATTACCCTTATGTAATCATTATACATTATATGTGTGGAAACATTACATCCGTGGTTCACCCAGGCTGGAGTGTAGTGGCACAGTCTCAGCTCACTGCAGCCTCCACCTCCCGTGCTCAAGTGATCTTCCCACTTCACCCTCCCAAGTAGCTGGAGTTACAGTCACATGCCACTACACCCAGCTAATTTTTGTTTTGTTTTGTTTTTTGAGATGCAGTCTCACTCTGTTGCCTAGGCTGGAGTGCAGTGGCATGATCTCAGCTCACTGCAACCTCCACTTCCTGGGTCCAAGCAATTCTCCTGCCTCAACCTCCCAAGTAGCTGGGATTACAGGTGTCCGCCACCATGCCCAGCTAATTTTTGTACTTTTTAGTAAAGACGCGGTTTGGCTGTGTTGGCCAGGCTGGTCTCGAACTCCCGCCCTCAAGTGATCCACCCACCTTGGCCTCCCAAAGTAGTGGGATTACAGGCGTGAGCCACCGCGCCCAGCCCGAGTGTGTGTGTGGTTTTGTTTTGTTGTTTTTTGTTTGTTTGTTTTTGAGATGGAGTCTCGCTCTATCACCCAGGCTGGAGTGCAGTGGCACAATCTCAGCTCACTGCAACCTCCATCTCCCAGGTTCAAGCGATCTCCTGCCTTAGCCTCCCGAGTAGCTGGGATTACAGGCATGTGCCACCACGCCCGGCTAATTTTTGTATTTTCAGTAGAGACAGGGTTTCACCATATTGGCCAGGCTGGTCTCGAACTCCTGACCTCGTGATCCACCAGCCTTGGCCTCCCAAAGTGCTGGGATTACAGGCCTGAGCCACAGTGCCCGGCCGAGTGCGTGTGTTTTTAAAGTGTGCATCATTATTACTGAACAGCAACACCAAGAGAGTCTCACGGTTCCTGTGTGTTCCCACTTGGACTATTTTGCAACACTCCTCTTGACGTTGAAAAGAAAATGCTATGACACTTGGTTACTGCTGAGGCGAGGCCAAACCACCCTCTCCAGACCTGGGAAACCAGTGAGTATTAAAAATAGTTCAATCTTTTTCGCTACTTTTTAAAAAATCTCATGAGTTCAGCTGAAATCTTTTTCCCCCAAATGATTCATGGAGTAAATCAATGTGTCTGATTTTTGCCGAGGAGGGGAAATAGGACACCTGAAGGCCAGATCATGTTTCCCCTGGTTGTGCGCCATCCTCTCCTCCAAGTTGCCTGATCCTGCAAACAGCAGTTCCGTTTGTCTTCAGTTGCCTGCTTTTTCTAGTCATGCTGTGAACTTGAACTTGAGAAAGCTTGATGCTGACTGGGCCTGGTGAGAACGCTACATGTTCAAGTTGAGGGTCTTTTTAAATGGAAATCTTTTTAGACTGGCTCACGCCTGTAATCTCAGCACTTTGGGAGGCCGAGGCGGGCAGATCACTTAAGGTCAGGAGTTCGAGACCAGCCTGGCCAACCAACATAGCAAATCCCTGTCTCTACTAAAAACACAAAAATTAGCCAGGCGTGGTGGCGCATGCTTGTAATCCCAGCTACTTGGGAGGCTGAGGCAGGAGAATCACTTGAACCCAGGAGGCGGAGGTTGCAGTGAGCCAAGATCATACCACTGCATTCCAGCCTGGCTGACCAAAAAAAAAAAAAAAAAAGTTAAAAAAAAAAAGTTTTAGACAGATAATTCTTGTCAAAAAAGGACAACAAATAAGCACCCTTTTTTTTCTGTTTTAGAGGGTGAGGTGGGGAACTTAAGTATGTTTCATAAGTAAAGAGTGAATCCTCACGGTGATTTTTTTTAAGCTTGAAAACATAGGAAAATGGTAAATCAGAAACTTGAAGCCAGGGAGCCTTACCTGTGTGTGCAAGTGTGGACTTGAGCAAAGGGAAGCCTTAGGCACCTGTGCCAGGCCCATGCAACTTTTCCATGGACACGTCTTCCTATATTTCCAATAACAACCAGAGAACCAGCTACCCGCCTTTTGATGCTGTCCTCTTCCTGCAGGAGGAAGGGTAGGGGGACAGGATTCTTCCACCCAAGTGCCCTTGCAGGTGTCTAAGCCTGGGTGGTGGATTCTTGGTTCCTGGCAGGCCTTGGAGGGCAGGCAACAGCCAGACTGCCAAAAACACCCAATTAGATTGAATGTGGTTCCCTAGTTGTGGCTGTGGGTAGGGAGGAAAGTTAAGTCTCTTCACACATCTCCTCTCTGCACGCTGTGGTCTAGTTTGCACAGCCTCTTCTTATTCTTAATAACCCAGAATCTGAGAATTTAGAGTCCTTCTTGTTACTTAGGAAGGACTAATCTTCCCCGGCAGGTTGTCCTGCATTTGTTGAATGGGGTAAAAATTGCATAGCATCTCGAGTGCTGTGCCTACAAATTACCTTGATAAATGATTGTGACTCAGCAAAGCTTAGGCTTTTGCCCTAGTTTTGGAGGCTGGGGCTAACTAGAGAAAAAATGGAGGGTCTGTTGGGTGTTTCTGCTGTTTTTACAAGGCTTCATAATTCCCCATTGTCTGCGTGTGTGTGAATCAGCAAGTGGTTCGCATCCTGATTGGGTGGTGTGATGGGAGCACCCACCTCGCAGAGCCTCAGAGCCCTCATTGTCTCCCTTTTCCATTTGCTCATTCCTACTTTGGCCAGTGGCACCCTGAAAGAGTTTTCATTAGTAACAGTGTTGAGGAAACCACCCATTAGAGGCAGCGGGACTACACTGATCAGCATGTGGGCTGGGTGATTGCTCAGATCTGAGCTCAGAGCTTGCTGTGCTGCTCACCAGATGTGTGAGCCCGAGGATGCTGTCCCGGCTCCCAGCCTCAGTTTCCTCACCTGTGGGACTAGACGGGACTAAACCAGGGGGAGAATAGAAAGCACCCACGGGTAGTAAGTGCTCACCGAGGCATTTCCCCAGATTCCTGCCATTGTTTACTTACACTGGGAAGCACCCACAGCCTCCTCCTGGAAAACACACACCCCCTGCTCTCAAGAACTTTCCATTTTAAAACAAACTTGCCCTCTGGTGTGTCATCCTTGCTTTCTGAAAGTGAGTTTTCTTCTCCACGCCACTGTGTGTTTTTTTCTGATAGCAGTAGGGACTGTGTATTGGAGCTCAGTCTATGGGAAGCATTTTGTACTCGACGTTTAGGCACGATTATCCCCATTTGAAGATAAACTGAGGCTCAGGCGGGTTCAGTAACCTGCACTGGAGGTCAGGGTCAGTGGCAGAGCTG